>NC_000023.11:119451442-120879381 GCF_000001405.40 Homo sapiens
TTAGTAGATAATAGCAGGCCAAGGAGTATGGTTCAGTGACATCAGCCCCAGCTAAGTGCTTCTGTCGTGAGAGTGAAGGAGGAAGGGTTTGGGAACAGCAACAGAGAGCGAGAAGAATGCCACCATCACAATGCTCCCTACCCTGTCACATCTGTGAGGTGGAGAAATGAACAGCCTCCGCTTGGGAGCTTCACAGGGGAAGGACCAGTAAAGACAAGGAAACAGAATACTTTAAAAAGGCTAAGGGCATGGGATTATGTTTATCATGTCCAGAAGGCACAGGTTGGGAGGGAATGTAAGTATGAAATTGAATCTGTCCCAAATGTCTGCTTCCTTCCAGGCAAAATAAACGACAAATATATGGACAGGGTATCATGATTGTATTGCACGTTAATATCTGTTCTAAGCCCACAGAACAAGAAGAACCCCACAGCAGCCATTCTTTGCCATCATCTTGGCCAGGAACCCAGCATCCAGAATGTAGACTTGAGACCCTGGCTCCTTCCACTAGGACATTTATTTCCTAATGTTTCAATCACCTCATCCCAGCTTCTGTTTCCTGTCAGGCTCAGAGCCCCTACCTCCCACACAGTGGAGGAGTAGATGTCCATTTCTCAGGAGCAGTGGACTGCTTCCGGCAGATAGTGAAGGCCCAGGGGGTCCTGGGGCTCTGGAATGGATTGACAGCCAATTTACTGAAGGTGAGAAGAGCCACCAGCCTCCGCTGCTCCCCTGCCTCTTCCAATTCTACCCTCTTCCTTTGTCACCCCCAACCCCTACTACAGTTTGCTTGGAAAACCCCCTCTAGCACTAATGGGTAGCACAAGGCCCATGAATGCACACTGTCTGTCAGCCCCGTAGAGAGGGGAACCTGTGCAGTGGTGGAGTATCTTATACCCCATTCCAGAGGAGCTGAGCATTTAGTGCAGAGATACTTAATGTGGAGGTTCATGGGCCCCTAATGGGAACCTAACCCCTCATCCTAAAATTCTATGCAAAAATGTATGTGTATATGCATATGTGCATCATATTCCCAAAGAACTCCATGACAAAAAAAAAAAAAAACAAAAACAAAAAACATTAAGCACTCTGGACTAACCTTGCACTAGCTGGCATGTAAATGATTCCAGTCAAGGCCAGCATATAGTGACAGGTAGTATCAGATAGTCTGCGTGCATATGACCCAGATCTAGTGCCTCCCAGGCAGGTCATGCCCTTCAATCACTGTCATTCCTCTCCCAACCCACACTGAGCCAGCTTTCCTTTTGCCATCTTTCCTGATTCCAAAAAGAGTTACCATTTGTATTGCCACCGCCATTATCTCACTTTACAAGATAATTTACCCTGATCCAAGTTGACTGCAGACACATTGATGTTTTCTTTTTAAGAACTTAACTTGATTTTCATTTTTGGTTTTAACAGATAGTTCCATATTTTGGAATTATGTTTAGCACCTTTGAGTTCTGCAAGAGAATCTGTCTTTATCAAAATGGTTACATTCTGTCTCCACTGAGCTATAAATTGACCCCAGGAGTCGATCAGAGTTTGCAGCCCCAGGAATTACGAGAATTAAAGAAGTTCTTCAAAACGAGAAAACCGAAGCCTAAAAAACCAACTCTATAAAATGGAATGGAACTAGAAGTGCACTGACTGACAGCATGTTGCAATCACAGATAAATGTAGCCTCATAACTGTGCACCTGAGGAGGGATGAGAAGCTACTGCTATCTGCTGCTCTGGGAAATGAGATGGTTTGGCCATGCACCACCTCAGATCTCCAAACTGATGTCCCTGTGAACACCTGCACTATGAGAAGGTTTCCCAACAAGAGTGTATCATGATGGCATTCCACGAGATTTTATAACCAGAGTCTAGCAGTGATAAAATGTACAATTTACGCTCTGAATAGAAACATGACACCAAAGAAAGGGCATTGCCATGACATCTCAAAGCAACAGGTAATTGAAGTGGCTGAGTGGATACCACGTTGTGAGGTCAGCCACTGGGTCACTTGTAGTCAATGCAAAGCTTGCACAAACCAACGTCAGCCTAGTTTCACTCAGTTTGACCTGAGACTTTCCAATACAATCTGTTGTTTTGTTTTGTTTTTAGAGACAGGGTCTTGCTCTGTCACCCAGACTGGAGTACAATGACACAATCATAGCTCACTGCAGCCTTTAACTACTGGGCTCAAGACATCCTCCTGCTTCAGCCTCCAGAGAGTTGGGACCATAGGTGCACACCACCACACCTAGCTAATTTTTTGGGGAGGTCTTGCTATGTTGCCCAGGCTGGTCTTGAACTCCTGGGCTCATGCAATCCTCCTGCCTTGGCCTCCCAAAGCGCTAGGATTAGAGGTGTGAGCCGCTGCACCCTGCCCCAGTACAATCTTTTTTGAACTCAAATTTTTGCTGACATCTGAGTGCACACACCACAGTGTAAATTATGCCTTATCAGAATCTAAATGAAAATAGCGAACATTTAAAAGCTATCACCATTGTAGTAGAATCATCCTTCTTTTTTGAAATTTGAAGCATCCCAGGCTTAAAATCTTGTGTTTCAGAAAGACAGTTTATACCATGACTGCTTAATTATCCCCCCAAAGACCTTCTGATTGAAGTCATGTACAGTTCAGTGGCCTAAATTCTCTGCCTTTTTAACTTGCTTTGCAAGCCTACTCTGAAAATAAGTTATTTAGTCAAGTTATTCTCAAAGATGTCCCAGTTGCCTAGAAAGGATCAAATGGAACATTTGACACACATACTCAAAAAAATGTAACTGACTATAAACACTTTAACCTAATCATCTGTATCAAACTTTCTAAAAATCAAATCTCAGGATTGTTCCACTTTAGAGATTCTATGTAAAGTTTATATAACTATACTTGTCAAATAGCACCTATCTATGCATTTAAAAATGCATTAATATCTAACATAAAATTGTTAATTTATACACACACATACACTCATACATAGAGAGAGATTTTCGGTATGTTGCAAGTATTTTTTCCGATTAAATTTATTTTCCAAAGAAAAAATGATGTGTTGGTCATTTATTGCTAGTCTGAGTTATAAAACTATGGTTAAATACATATTGGCCAAATCTGTAAACTCTCAAAGCCTTATCCTATTTAAGTATACCAAAATAATTCACTTTTCCAACTGCTGCGGCATTCTGTTTTATGGAGAATGGCAGTTAACACACACACACATGGAAATCTCATCTGTAGCTCAATCTGTTAGAGTTTGGAGGGTGGCAGATTCTTTACCCAAAGTGAATAGTTCATGTTTATTACTCTTTATTTTCCTTGAAACAGACAACTTTTCAAACAGTTCTGAAAGCTGCAAAAATATTTTTTACTTTTTTAACTATAAAATCCTAACCTCACATTATTTCATGATAATATCTTGTGTATTCTTCCACAAGTAATTTTTTTTTTAATTTGAAAAAAAAAATTGTCACCCAGGCTGGAGTCCAATGGCGTGATCTCAGCTCACTGGAACCTCCTCCCGGGTTCGAGCAGTTCTCCAGCTTCAGCCTCCCGAGTAGCTGGGATTACAGGCGCCTGCCACCATGCCTGGCTAATTTTTGTATTTGTAGTAGAGACAGGGTTTCACCATGTTGGCCAGGCTGGTCTCGAACTCCTGACCTTAGGTGATCTGCCCACCTCTGCCTCCCAAAGTGCTGGGATTACAGGTGTGAGCCACCACACCCTGCCCTTCCACAAGTATTATTAAATAGATAGCTAAACTCTTGCAGTTGTCATGCACAGAAATGTTTTCTGAGCTGCAGTTTTGATTTTTTCTTCATTAAATTAAGTGGGGAAAATAATACGCCTGATTTTTCTAATTTCAGAAGAACTCTAAAACTCTTGTTCTGTTTCTAAAATAAACTTCCAGCTAATTTCATTTTCTTTGGATTATGAAGAGAGAGTTCTGCCTTTCTGCTTTATGGCTGACAGTGAGCACCACACTGGACTAAGTACTTGAGAAGGATTATAAAGATGTGTGATGCAATGTTGACTCAGGAGGAATTTATGGTCTTGAGGAACAAATCATACCTACATATATGAAATGACTATGATTACAAAGCAAATACAAGCAAAGGCATGATAATGTAGTATGAACTGTTCATAAGATTGCCAAGAAGCTCTATACAAACTTAGTGAATAAAAAACTAAAGGGATCATCACATGGGAGAGAGACTAGTGATCAACAGGGATTTGGGGAGGTTGTGAGTCTTTTTTTTTTTTTTTTTTTGAAACAGAGTCTCGTTCTGTTGCCCAGCCTGGAGTGCAGAGATGCAATCTTGGCTTACTGCAACCTCCACCTCCTGGTTCAAGTGATTCTCGTGCCTCAGCCTCCTGAGTGGCTGGGACTACAGGCGCCTGCCACCATGCCCAGCTAATGTTTGTATTTTCTTGGTAGAGACGGGGTTTCACCATGTTGGCCAGGCTGGTCTTGAACTCGTGACCTCAGGTGATCCACCTGCCTCAGCCTCCCAAAGTGCTGGGATTACAGGCATGACCCACCGCACCCAGCCATGAGTCTTGAACTAAGTTTTGAAAGAAGTTAAGGGATATGTATTGGTCACGAATAGGAAGGCATTGCAGGTTAAAGGCAGGGCATTGCAGCATCACAGAGATGGAAGCAAGCAAAAGTGGGTCAGAGCAAGAAAAGTGGCTTTGTGCATTTATTCAATAACTGCTAGGCACTACAGACACAGTGGCACAAAAGGCAGATAAGGTCCTTGCCTTCAAGGAGCTTACACTCTAGTGAGAGTGGCAGTCAATAAACAAGTAAACTAATAAATAATTTAGGTAATCATGGACTGTGATGTTATGAAGGTGCTTATATAGAGGGTGCTTTATTAGAGAATTATGTGGAGGTAAGGGGAATATTTTATTTTTGGTTTTTGTTTTGAGACAAGGTCTCGCTCTGTCGCCTAGGCTGGAGTGCAGTGGCGCGATTTCAGCTTACTGCAACCTCTGTCTCCCCGGCTGAAGTCACAGGGGAATATTTTAAATCAGGGAGCCAGAGAAGGCCACTCTGACAGGTGACATTTGAGATGAGACCAGAAGGATGAGAATGAGCCAACTATGCAAAGAACCAGGGAGGGCTGGTCAAAGTGCAGTGGTGTTTACAAGTAATTGACCACAATCAGCTACAGATTTCTTTGTTCCTTCCCACTCCCACTGCTTCACTTGACTTGCCCTAAAAAAAAAAAGAAAAAAAGAAGGGCTGGGCGCGGTGGCTCACGCCTGTAATCCCAGCACTTTGGGAGGCCAAGGCAGGCGGATCACTTGGTCAGAAATTTGACACCAGCCTGGCCAACATGGTGAAACCCCGTCTCTACTAAAAACGCAAAAATTAGCTGGGCCTGGTAGCACACACCTGTAATCCCAGCTACTCAGGAGGCTGAGGCAGGAGAATCCCTTGAACCCGGGAGGCGGAGGTTGCAGTGAGCCGAGATTGCACCACTGCACTCCAGCCTGGGTGACAGAGCGAGACTCCGTCAAAAAAAAGAAAGAAAGGACAGAAAGGAAAGAAAGAGAGAGAGAGAAAGAAAGGAAAGAAAGGAAAGAAAGAAAAAAAAGGAAAGAAAGGAAAAGAGAAAGAAAGAAAGAAAGAAAGAAAGAAAGAAAGAAAGAAAGAAAGAAAGAAAAAGGAAGAAAGAAAGAAAGAAAGAAAGAAAGAAAGAAAGAAAGAAAGAAAGAAAGAAAGAAAGAAAGGAAGGAAAGAAAGAAAGAAAGAAAGAAAGAAGAGAAAGAAAGGAGAGAAAGAACGAGGGAGAAGAGCATTCCTGGAAAGAAGAGAAAGAAAGAAAGGAGAGAAAGAACGAGGGAGAAGAGCATTCCTGGCAGAGGGAAGAACAAGCACAGAAGTGTGGCAGTGGGAAAGCCTTGGTGAACAGAAAGGAGGCGAGGGTAGCCAGAGTGTGGTGAGAGAGTGGGATGAGATGAGATTGGAGAGAGACAGCCAGGTCTTATGTGGCCATGTGGGCCAGAACAAGAAGTTAAATTTTATTCTAAATGCTGTGGGGAGGCATTGAAGGTTTTTAAGCAGAAAAGCGATATAATCTGACTTTGATTTTTATAAGATTACTCAGTTGCTGTGTGGAGAATGGATTGGAGGGAAGCAAGGCTGTGAGTGAGAAGACCAGTTAAGAAGCGATTTCGGAAGTCCAAGCAAGAAAGGATGGCTTGGACTAGAATGGTGGCAATAAAGATGGAGAGGAATGAATGAGTTCAAGATGTATTTTGAAGGTGGACTCAGCATGATTTGCTGAAGGATTGAATATAGGGAGTTAAAGAAAGGAGTCAAGGGTGGCACCTAGGTTTTTGGTTTTTGTTTTTCTGAGACAGGATATCACTCTGCTCCCCCAGGCTGGAGTGCAGTGGCGCAGTGGCGCAATCTCGGCTCACTGCAACTTCCGCCTCCCAGGTTCAAGCAATCCTCCCACCTCAGCCTCCCAAGTAGCTGGGATTATAGGCATGCACCACCACGCCCAGCTAATTTTTGTATTTTTTGTGGACATGGGATTTCACCATGTTGCCCAGGCTGGTCTCGAACTCCTGAGCTCAAGTGATCAAGGCCTGCCTCGGCCTCCCAAAGTGCTGGGATTACAGATGTGAGCCACCGAGCCTGGCTGGTTTTTGCCTTTTGACTTGAGAACAGGTAGATGATCTTGCCATTTGCTGATGTGAGGAAGACTGAGGAGGGACAGAGTTTTGGTGGGGAGGAATTCAAAGTTCTGTTTTGGACATGTTAAATTCAAAATGCCCATGAGACATGCAAGTAGAGAAGTAGACAGTGGGCTGGAGCACATGCTGTCTGTGTAATTGTCCAAACCAGTCGTGGTAAGCAGAATAATGGCCCTCACCAAAGATGTCCACACCTTAACCCCCAGAACCTGTGAGTATGTTACCTTTCATGACAAAAGAGACTTTGCAGATGTGATTACTGTTACAGACATTGAGATGGAGGGATTCTCCTGGATTCATTGGGTGGGCCCCTAATCACAATCCTTAAAATCACAAGTGGGGCCAGGCACGGTGGCTCACGGCTATAATCCCAGCACTTTGGGCGGCCAAGGCGGGTGGATCATTTGAGGTCAGGGGTTTGAGACCAGCCTGGCCAACATGGTGAAACCCCACCTCTACTAAAAATACAAAAATTAGCCGGGTGTGGTGGCACACACCTGTAATTCCAGCTACTCAGGAGGCTGAGGCAGGAGCATCGCTTGAACCTGGGAGGTGGAGGTTGCAGTGAGCCAAGATCACACCACTACAATCCAGCCTGGGTGACAGAGTGAGACTTTGTCTCAAAAAAAAGAAAAAAAAAAAATCACAAGTGGAAGAGGAAGACAGAAGAATGGGTCAGGGAGATGCAAGGATGGAAGAAGAGGCAGGAGAAATGAGGCCTGAGAAGAACTGGACTCGCCACTGCTGGCTTTGAAGACAAAGGTTTCCAGGTGCCAAGAAATGGGTATGGCCTCTAGAAGCTGAGCATGACCCTCAGCTGACAGCCAGCAAGGAAACAAAGGACTTCAGCCCTACAGTCACAATGAACTGAACTCAGCCAAGAACCTGAATAAGCAAGCTAACCAATTCACCTCTGGAGCCTCCAGAGAGGCATGCAGGCCTGCCGACACTTCGATTTTGGCCCAGTGAGACCCACGTCAGACTTGTGACTACAGAACTACAAGCTAATAAATTTGTGTTGTTTAAGCCAATGCATTTGTGGTAATTTGTTATAGCAGCCATAGGAAACTAGTATATCAGAACTTTATTGATAATTATTTCAGGATAATAGGGACAAGTCTAGAGTGTGGGGAAGAGTGATGACTGGAGATAGGAATTTGGGTGTCATCAGCAGATAGATGGCAAGGGACTGAGTAAGAGCAGCAAAGGAGTGGATGGGAAGAAACTTCTGGGGGAGTTGGAAGCAACAAAAACTGACACTCAGGATGGTGGCCAAAGAAAGGCCTCAAGGGACGTGAGGCCGGGCATGGTGACTCATGCCTATAATCCCCGCACTTTGGGAGGCCGAGGTGGGTGAATCTCTTGAGGTCAGGAGTTTGAGACCAGCCTGGCCAACATAGTGAAACCCCATCTCTACAAAAATACAAAAATTACCTGGGTGTGGTGGCGGGCACATGTAATCCCAGATACTTGGGAGGGTGAGGCAGGAGAATTGCTTCAGCCCGGGAGGCGGAGGTTGCCGTGAGTTGAGATCACACCACTGCACTCCAGCCTGGGCAACAGAGCAAGACTCTGTCTCAAAAAAAAAAAAAAAAAGATGGGACTTGAACCAGGCATGCTGACTTGAAGCCCTAGTACATTCTATTGTGATGCAGGTGCCTCTAATCTAATCACAGACAATGAGGAGGAAAAAAAACAAGTATAACAACAATAGGAGACTGGAGAAGGGATAGACACGGGGAAAGTCGGGGCAAGTTGGGGCAAGTCGGGAAAAGTCGTGTACTAGCAGAAAGCAAAAATAAATTCTTCAGTCATTCGTATCTCTCCCTTTTGTTGTCATTGCTAGCCAAAAATAAAAGTAATATCCAAACTAACTGATATGATATTCAGGTCCATTTGACAGCTGTTACTTAGGAACTGTCTAAAATATTCCAATGGGGCCAGGCACAGTGGCTCATGCCTGTAATCTCAGCACTTTGGGAGGCCAAGGTGGGAGGACTGCTTGAGTCCAAAGAGTTCAAGACAAGCTTGGGCAACATAGGGAGATCCTGTCTCTACAAAAAAATTTAAGAATTAGCCAGAGGTGGTGGCAGGTGCCTGTGGTCCCAGCTAATCGAGAGGCTGAGGTGGGAGGGTCACTTGAGCCCAGGAGGTCAAGGATGTAGTGACAGTGAGCCATGATCACGCCACTGCACTCCAGCCTGGGCGACAGAGTGAAACCTTATCTCAAAAATAAATATAAATAAATAAATAAAATATTACAATAGGATGATGGAAACGAGGGGGGTGTGTTTGACATACAGCAAAGCACATATAGCTATAGTAGTCATCAGAAGATAAATACCACATATTAGATCCTGAAATAAATATTTTTGCTCACATCTCTAAAAGGAAACTTGAAATAAAATTTCATGTACTCATTATGTTTACTTTGGAATTAGAAGTTATACATCTTTATCAAAGATGAATCTCTGCTCCATTTTCAATAAGCTCACCTGGGGATCCTGATTGTTATACCAAGCTGCCTGATTTTATATATATCAAATTACATTTAATTATATAGATGCGATATGTAATTTTTCCCATAAAGTTATTTAGTCTTACTCAGACTAAAGTTGGAGATCCATAAAGCAAAATGTATATGTGCAGGGGGTGTTTTGTGTAAATTTAGGGGTATAAGTACAATTTTGTTATATGACTACATTGCTTAGTAGGGAGGTCTCGTCTTCATATAACCATCACTTGAATAATGTACATTTTACCCTGCACAGGTTTAGAAGCTAGTCACAGCTTATAAAATTTATTAAAATATGTCAAATATTTCTAAGTTAAATTTTTCTGAGTTAAATTATTTATATGCAATTGGGCCATATGCAGTGGCTCATGCCTGTAATCCCAGCACTTTGGAAGGCCGAGGCTGGTGGATCACTTGAGGTCAGGAGTTCAAGACCAGCCCAGCCAAGATGGTGAAACCCCATCTCTACTAAAAATACAAAAATTAGCCAGGCATGGTGGTGTGCGCCTGTAATCCCAGCTACCTGGGAGGCTGAGGCAGGAGAATCGCTTGAACTCGGGAGGTGGAGGTTGCAGTGAGCCAAGATCACACCACTGTACTCCAGGTTGGGCAACAGAGCAAGACATTATCTCAAAAAAAATTTATATACAATTGCATTTAAATGGTAACTAACCACCCCCATTGGGCAACATAGGGAGACCCTGTCTCTACAAAAAAATTTGAAAATTAGCCAGGGGTGGTGGCAGGCACCTGTGGTCCCAGCTAATCGAGAGGCTGAGGTGGGAGGGTCACTTGAGCCCAGGAGGTCAAGGTTGCAGTGCCTGATGTGGAGGAACTGGAACTCTTGTATCCCGCTGTTGAGAATGTAAAATGGTATAATCACTCTGGGAAAAAACTTGGGCAGGTCCTCAAATGGTTCAACATAGAGTTAACATGTGACCCAGTAATTCCACTCCTAGGTGACAACCCCAGAAATAAAAACATACGTCCACACAGAAACTTGTATAGGAAAGTTTATAGCAGTGTCATTCATAATAGGCAAAAAGTGGAAATGAGCCAATGTCCATCAAATGATGAATAAACAAAATGTGGGCCAGGCATGGTGGCTCATGCCTGTAATCCCAGCACTTTGGGAGGCCAAGGCGGGTGGATCACCTGAGGTCCAGGAGTTTGAGACCAGCCTGACCAACATGGTGAAACCCTGTCTCTACTAAAAATACAAAAATTAGCCAGGCATGGTGGTGCATGCCTGTAATCCCAGCTACTTGGGCAGCTGAGGTAGGAGAATCGCTTGAACCCAGGAGGCAGAGTTCACAGTGAGCCAAGATTGTGCCGTTGCACTCCAGCCTGGGCAACAAGAGCGAAACTCCATCTCAAAAAAAAAAAAAAAAAAAAAAAAAGTGGCATATCTGTACAATGGAATACTACTTAGCAACAGAAAGTAAATAACTATTGATACGCACAACATGAATGAATCTCAAAGAGTAACATGCCAAGTGAGAGAAGCTAGACCCCAGAAAGAAGAGTGCATAATATATGATCTCATTTATACAAAATTCTAGGAAATGCAAAATTCTAGGAAACTAATCTATAGTGACAGAAAGCAGATCAAAGTTTGCTTGGGGATGGAGAGATTACAAAGGGGCACAAGAAAATTTTGTGTGGTAATGGATATGTTCATGATCTTAATTGTGATGGCTTCACATGTGTATACATGTGAAAAAACTTAGCAAATTGTGCACTATAAATATGTACAGTCTTATTGTCTGACAATTACACCTCAATAAGACTGTTGTTTTAAGCAGTTACCCATGGGCTGGAATCCACCAACTGTTGTTTTGTTTTGTTTTGTTTTGTTTGAGACAGAGTCTCACTCTGTCACCCATGCTGTAGTGCAGCGGTGCAATCACGGCTCAATGCAACCTCCACTTCCCTGGCTCAGGTGACCCTCCTGCCTCAGACTCCTGAGTAGCTGTGACTACAGGCATGCACCACCATGCCCAGCTAATTGTTTAATTTTTTCGTAGAGATGGGGTTTCACCCTGTTGCCCTGGCTGGTCTTAAACTCTGGGCTCACGATATCCTCCTGCTTTAGCCTCCCAAAGTGCTGGGATTATAGGTGTGAGCCACTATGCCCAGCTGTATTTTTCTTAAAATTAATAAAATCTAACACATATTAAATGCTGTTCTATGCACATATTATCTCATTTGCATGTGCCTACAGTCCTCTGAGGTATAGGCACTACTATCATTCTCATTTTACACCTGAAGAAATTGCAGTTTGGAGAGGTAAAGCAATTTACCCAAGACCTGACAGCTAGCGAATGGCAGAGCCAGAATTTAAACTTAAGCAACCTGGTTGCAGGGCCCACCCTCTTAACCACTGGGCTAAATTACCTTTCTCTTCCTATTTGCTCCAGATTCCCAGACCCAGACGCTCAGATCCACTCACTCTTATAGATACAAAAGGATAGAGCCACAGAATCTTAGAATTGGAAAGGGTGTAGAACTCTCTTCCAGACCAACCCAGCGATCTCCCCCATAGCATCCCTAACAAGTGGCTATTCTGCCTCAACTTTTAGCCTTCCCAGTAACAAAAAGTTCACCCCATCGTATGGCAACCCATTCTACCTTTAAGTATCGCATATTTTACAAACTAATGTCTTTTTGAGCTGAAGTCTACCTTCATGAAACTTCTACCAGCGGGTTTAATTCCATATAGAATGTTTAATTTATGAAGACAGTTATGATGTCCTTCTTTCACCCAAAGCTCTTTCCCAGTTAAATATCTCTCATTCATTCAGCCATTTCTCATAATACATGATTTATAGACACTTCACTTTCCTGATTGCCTTGTTTGAATATGTTCCAGTTTGTTAATGTCCTCTTAAATGTAGCATCCAGAATTAAATGTAAAACTCTATGGGCTGGCCAACAGAAACCCAAGTGGAACTGAAAGTCCCTCTGATCTGGTCACTACCATTCTCTTAGTGCAACTCAAGACTCGTTAGTATTTTTTGGCATTGTCAACCCACAGTGAACTAGGACCTAGTTCTCTTTTTCACACATGCTACCATTAAGCTCTATCTCCTCATCCTTAAATGTCTTGCACTAAATAGGGCATTAAAACCCTTTATTGCAATGCTTCCCATTTTATAAGCCTGGGTTTATTCTGGACTTTAGCCCTTATGACTCAATTCCTAGAGGTTTGTGATATTCTTTGGGCTTTGTCCTTGGAAGCATAGTCCTCCTTCTGTCATCTATACATGCACTTTTAAGATCTGAGCTCATCAGAGAATAATCTATAAGGACACTGTAGTTTATTAGAAATCTCTCCCTTTTTAATTTATCATTGGAACTTTTCCAAATTCTACAGTTCTGAATTTTCAACTGGATCCCTCTCCCTTTTAAGCTATCTTTCTCTTTTGGTGTTAGGCCAGATCATACTTATCTTTTCTCTGATCCTTTTGAAGTCTACCTTACACATACACATACATACACCGCACACACACACACACACACACACACACACACACACACACACACACGTTAATTAACCTATGTGACCATGCCCAGCAATTTTTTTTTTTTTTTTTTAGTTTTTTTGCTTAACAGATATCCAGATGACAGGATCACTTTCCCCAAGATTCTTGTCACTTTCACTTTGCTAACCAAATCTTCCTTATTTATTATCAGGATTAAGCCCAGCTTAGCAATTTACCTCATTGCTTCTTTATTCTTTTGAGAACTGTAATTACACTGTATCAGCAAGAGAGCCAAGAATCTATCAGATGTTTTCTTAAATTTAAGATGGTCTTAAAAATAAGAAAAAAGAATGTATCAGATATGTTGCTATCAGAATAACTTCCAGCAGATATTCAGATGTTCTATGTCTCTGATCACCCTTTCCTGTTCGTCTATGTGACAGTTTTATGAAATGCCATTCATACTTTTATTTATTTTATTTATTTTTTATTTTTATTTTTATTTTGAGATGGAGTCTCGCTCTGTCACCCAGGCTGGAGTGCAGCGGCACGATGTGGGTTCACTGCAACCTCTGCCTCCCGGGTTCAAGCGATTCTCCTGCCTCAGCCTCCTGAGTAGCTAGGATTACAGGCCTGAGTCACCGCACCTGGCTGATTTTTGTATTTTTAGTAGAGACGGGGTTTTACCATGTTGGCCAGGCTGATCTCAAACTCCTGACCGCAGGTGATCCACCTGCCTCGGCCTCCCAAAGTGCTGGGATTATAGGCGTGAGCCACCGCGCCCGGCCCCATTCATACTTTTAATCTGAGAAGTCTCTTGTATACTTCTACAACTATAATCACTTTCATTTCTCCGTTTCATTCTCACTGAATGCTTTTCACCCTCCAGCCAATGAATTACTAGTTATACCTTCTTGACATATTACTGCTCTCTTCTTCTGTATGGTATCTCTGAATCAAGTTTTCCAGATGCCAGCCAGAAGTTCCACCCTCCCAAGTCTAAACAATACCTATAAAATTGCATTTTCCTGAGTGTATTAAAATTTTACATTCCCGGCCAGTCGCTGCGGCTCATGCCTGTAATCCCAGCACTTTGGGAGGCCAAAGCAGGCAGATCACCTGAGGTCAGGAGTTTGAGAGCAGCCTGGCCAACATGGTAATAACCTGTCTCTACTAAAAATACAAAAATTAGCCAGGCGTGGTGGTGGCGTGCCTGTAATCCCAGCTACTCAGGAGGCTGAGGCTGAAGAACCGCTTGAACCTAGGAGGTGGAGGTTGCAGTGAGCGGAGATCGCGCCATTGCACTCCAGCCTGGGCGACAAGAGCAAAACTCTGTCTCAAAAAAAAAAAAATTACATTCCCTTTATTACCCATATTCTGGGTGTTGGTACATAGATATCTGAGGCCTTAAAAGTGTCATTTCTGACTCTCTTCCTTGTTTTTCCTTGAGAATTACTAGGCATTGCCTTAGCTTTAGTTCCTCTTAATTAGACTTATATTTTACATAGCTTCCAGAAACACAATAATTACTAACACAGCACTATGTCTCAATGGAGGAATTAGTTTTGATTAACTGACCAGCCATATATCATTATCAACATCATCATCATCATCATCATCATCATCATTAATATTCTTCTCGGCTGGGTGCAGTGGCTCATACCTGTAATCCCAGCAATTTGGAAGGCTAAGGTGGGAGGATCACTTGAGCCTAGGAGTTTGAGGCTGCAGTGAGCTATGATCGTGCCGCTGCACTCCAGCCTGGGTGACAGAATGAGACTCTATTTTCTATTTTCCTGGATGCTTGCTCCTTGTTTCTTTTTCCTTCTTTTTTAAAAAGTTTTTAAACTTTCAGACTTTTTTAAATGTTGCAAAAATAGTACAAAAATGTCCTTATATCCTTTATTCAACTTCTCTAAATCTTACATAACCACCATAACCAAGAATAGTATTGGTAATCTACAGATATTCAAACCTCACCAATATAACCAATGTCCTTTTTCTGGTACAGGAGCCGGTTGAGTGTCATATATTACATTCAGTTGTCAAGTATCTTTAGTCTCCTTTAATCTGTGACAGTTCCTTAGTCTCTTTGTCTTTCATGATCTTAACAGTTTCGAGAATATCTGACTCCTTAAAATACACGCGGTGATAGGTGACTACGGGAGCTCCAGCTCACCGTGGATTTAGCAAAATACCAAGTGATGACAAGAAGTTGCTTTTAAATGACCCATCTTGTATTTCATCGTCAATAAAACCACACTTAGTTACCCAAAGACTGAGAAGGGAAAAATTCTATGTAATTATTTGATCATCTTTTTTTGTGGAGAGAAAAAAAACTGACAAAACAATGAGCTCTGGAATAGAATACAGTAGAGGCATCATGCTCAAAGAGAGTAGCAGATGTGGCCAGGGAAAGGTCACATGTAGAAAAGGGATACACAAGTGATGGCGAGGTGTATCGAGGAATAATTAACAGTTGAATAAAAATGCATTAATCAGAATGTCAAGAGTTCAAACTAGAAAGATTTTGAATTTTAAATGCATTATAAATAAAATCCACCTCTCTCCAAATAAAGCCCTCTGTAGAATTTTGCTTTAGCTCTTGTTTCTCTCACCAGAATAGAGAAGCGAGTATCACCTTTGGAGGATATACTCTACCATTCTCTGAAACTGTTTTTTTGCATTCAGCTACCTCGCTATTATAATCAGCTGAGAAACACCATAGCCTTTCACTAACACAGGTCAAAGATTTCTCCCAGGATCAACAAAGCTAGATTCAAAATTGCTCCTTTGAACACATGCAATTTGTGTGCATCAGTTTCGATCGCTGGGGTTCTTGAGGAGACTAACAAATTGCAAAGTGTACTTTCAGAGGAAGGGCCTAACCATCCTGGGGGGTCCTAGAATTGGGTCCTTTCACAGGCAGATCTGGAGAAGATAGGAGAGGGCAGGAAAGGAAAGTGAAGGATATGAACACTATGTGTTCAGTGTGCAAAGGCCTGCTGGCATTTTGCCTATGGGAATTCTGAAGTCTGGGCACATAAGGTTCAGCTGCAGTTGCAGTTTTCAACAGTCGTCCTTATTTTTATAAACATTGTTATGATTATTCAGACACGGAACTTGTGATTACACTATTTGCTCCTGTTCTGAACTTGAGGGAGTCCACTTAAGCTAACAAGTAGGTTTTTGAGGACATGTGTGGCAAATGCTTACCCAGTGAAGGGATTAAGGGGCTCAGTAAGCACTTGTCCATTGGCACAATGGCTGCCAATCTAATTCTATTGATTCCTCTAAATGTTTCTGGAGTTCAGAAATCTATTCAATCCAAGGGCACTTTACCTGGGGTCCTGGGAGCCAAATGTTAACGTAGTTCTTAACCTTCCTAAGCCTCTTAACCTTCTGGGTACAACCTCTATATTTGTCTTCTGGCTAAAATCATTTCCCCACCCCCAGCCCAGTCCTTTGGACTCTCCCAGGCCAATTCCTGGCAAGATCTTTGTCGAACTGTATTTGCAAACCAGGGTCTGGGGCACGGTGGCAGTTCCTTCGTCTGCTGTTCCCTTAATTTCGTCTGGTTTCACTGGCTCCAGGACAGCACACGGTCTAGAGTGGGAAGAGTGAGGCATTCACCTTGGTGAAAAACAACTCAGTAATTAAGACAAATGATTTTTCATGTACTATTTTAAAAAAATCAGAAGCAATGCAAAAATCCATGATGAACAAATGATCAACATTTGAAATACAGACAGGATCCCAACCTGCACTTGCATGACCTTGTCTCGCTTGCCTCACCCTAAACCCAGCCTTGACACTCCAATTAAACTTTATTTACAAAACAAGGGGGCCGGCCAGTAGGATGTAGTTTGCCCATACGACTTTTTTAAAGTATCGCATTGACTACTGTTTATCTCGATGACTGAAGGGTTCTTTTGGCATCCCTGTAGCAAATGCGTCTCACCCTAGTCCTGGTCCTGCTCCAAGGGTTTTTGTCCAGGCACATCGTGACCTCACCCTTCCTCCCCTCTCCGAGGCCTCTCTCAGGGTCCAGCGTTCAAGTCCCGGGTGTTCTCTGGACCCGCCCCTTCCTCTCGCCGGGTCAGGTGCCGAGGGCGAGCACGGGCGGCGCGGAGAGCAGTCCCGGCCCGCCCTCCACGACTCCTCCTCCTGCGAGCTGGGCCACTCAGCGGCTCTGCCGCCCAGCGCGCCGGGGCCCAGACCCCGCCCCGGCCCCGCCTCCGACGCCTGCCGCTCCAGCTCCGGCTCCCCCTATATAAATCGGCCATTTGCTTCGCTCCGCCCCGCAGCGCCGGAGTCAAAGCCGGTTCCCGGCCCAGTCCCGTCCTGCAGCAGTCTGCCTCCTCTTTCAACATGACAGATGCCGCTGTGTCCTTCGCCAAGGACTTCCTGGCAGGTGGAGTGGCCGCAGCCATCTCCAAGACGGCGGTAGCGCCCATCGAGCGGGTCAAGCTGCTGCTGCAGGTACGTCCTGGGATCCAGGAGCCCAACCAGGAAGTGGGGGGAAGGGTCGCACAGAAGGCGGGCGCCCGAGGGGTGGCGGGGAGCGAACTCTAAAGACATGGCCAGGGAAGCGGCTTAGGAGAGGCCAGAGCGGGGCGCAGAGGCAGAACAGAAGTCAAACTGGTGGGAGGCGCCTTTAGTGACCTGAAGTAGTGAGTCTAGGAAGGGGCCGGGGGCAGAGGGCAGGACCAGGCTCTCGGCATCTCCGAGGCGGCGGACTCGGATGGAGCAGTTTCTGAGTGACGGCCTCCCCGGGCCTGGGCGTCAAGGGCGAAGGCCGAAAGCCGGCGTTAGAAAGAGGAACGCCAGTTCTTACCGAAGACCTCAAGGTCGCGGCAAGGAGATAACTGCCCGGGGGAGGCCATGCGCCCGGGTCCAGCGGCCTCCCAGCCCGCGGACGCGCTCAAACCTCGCCGGGCCGGAAGCCGGCGCCGGGAAGCGCGTGTGCCTTTTACGTCCGCCCCCGCGCAGCCGCGGCCGCTGCCGCCGCGTCTCCGCCTGCCTCCCTGCGCCGCGCGCTCTCCAGTGCCGGCTCTAGAGGGCGCTCCTGGGCTAGCGTGTAGGGCTGGCGGCGGCGGCGCTCGGGTCACCTCTGGGAGCGGAGTGGGGGCGGAGCGAGACGGAAGCAGCTCAGGAGACTTGAGGCGTAGGCTGCGGTCCCCAAGGTGACCGCGCCCTATGTGGGACTCGCCCTAATGCCTCTGAACCTGGGTTTGAGGTAATGACCTTTCTCCTAGGTCTGAAGGTCACGGGTCCGCTGGAGGATGCCCCCTCTCCACTCAGAGGGGTGGAGGCTTAATGCTACTGGTGCAGATCACCTCTTCCCCTGTGACAGCCTCAGAGGGTTGGGAGGGTCCAGCCAGTATGATATACGAAGACTAGATTTGAGAGAGGGGAGCCTACCTTAAAGGGCATTGATCGAGATGGCATAAGCTCTTCTCTTTCCCTTCCCCATGGTTATAACTGTCCCTGTTGGCTTCCTTCCTGTCTGTTAGGTGCAGCATGCCAGCAAGCAGATCACTGCAGATAAGCAATACAAAGGCATTATAGACTGCGTGGTCCGTATTCCCAAGGAGCAGGGAGTTCTGTCCTTCTGGCGCGGTAACCTGGCCAATGTCATCAGATACTTCCCCACCCAGGCTCTTAACTTCGCCTTCAAAGATAAATACAAGCAGATCTTCCTGGGTGGTGTGGACAAGAGAACCCAGTTTTGGCTCTACTTTGCAGGGAATCTGGCATCGGGTGGTGCCGCAGGGGCCACATCCCTGTGTTTTGTGTACCCTCTTGATTTTGCCCGTACCCGTCTAGCAGCTGATGTGGGTAAAGCTGGAGCTGAAAGGGAATTCCGAGGCCTCGGTGACTGCCTGGTTAAGATCTACAAATCTGATGGGATTAAGGGCCTGTACCAAGGCTTTAACGTGTCTGTGCAGGGTATTATCATCTACCGAGCCGCCTACTTCGGTATCTATGACACTGCAAAGGGTAAGTTTGCTGTGGGCTTTAACGTTGTGTTCTTAGGAGACAGTTTAAAAGAGCATTGTACCAACCTAACAGTCCAAGAGCTAAAGAGTTGTTTTTTTAATTGCTAAAGGAAGCCAAGATCATCCAATGCAACCCTTGTGTACAGATGACGTGTTTAGGGGATGTGGGGAAAGGAAGTCAGTAAAACTCTGCTTTTTGGTAAAAGCATCTCTTTCCTATTCCCAGGAATGCTTCCGGATCCCAAGAACACTCACATCGTCATCAGCTGGATGATCGCACAGACTGTCACTGCTGTTGCCGGGTTGACTTCCTATCCATTTGACACTGTTCGCCGCCGCATGATGATGCAGTCAGGGCGCAAAGGAAGTAAGTTCCACTTGAGCAGAAGATAAAGTTGTAGTCGTGGGGCAATCTGCTGCCACAAACTGGTGATACATACCTTTAAAATGGCTGTCTGTCCAAGTCAAGGGATGGGGTTGATAGCATCTGTGTCTGTTCCACAACTGCCTTTGAGCTGGCCCTTCAGATGCCTATGAATGAGGGTGCTTAAATGGTGTTAGAGGTTAAGACCAATGGGTAGTCTGTATTCCTGTGGTCATAGCATTAATATTTCAGTGTTGCCCATGCTAATGTGTGAATGTTGGATTTAAAGCTGACGTTCTTAGAGGTGGGGCTCTGCTTTATTTAGCCTAGTGAATCTTAGGATTTTTCATCGGCCTTCAGTCACTAACTCCATGTCTTTATTCTTTGCAGCTGACATCATGTACACAGGCACGCTTGACTGCTGGCGGAAGATTGCTCGTGATGAAGGAGGCAAAGCTTTTTTCAAGGGTGCATGGTCCAATGTTCTCAGAGGCATGGGTGGTGCTTTTGTGCTTGTCTTGTATGATGAAATCAAGAAGTACACATAAGTTATTTCCTAGGATTTTTCCCCCTGTGAACAGGCATGTTGTATTATATAACATATCTTGAGCATTCTTGACAGACTCCTGGCTGTCAGTTTCTCAGTGGCAACTATTTACTGGTTGAAAATGGGAAGCAATAATATTCATCTGACCAGTTTTCTCTTAAAGCCATTTCCATGATGATGATGATGGGACTCAATTGTATTTTTTATTTCAGTCACTCCTGATAAATAACAAATTTGGAGAAATAAAAATATCTAAAATAAATTTTGTCTGCAGTATATTTTCATATAAAAATGCATATTTGAGTGCTACATTCGAATAAATACTACCTTTTTAGTGAATGCTACATTTTTAATAAATGCTACAGTATCTCCGGAGATGAAGAACTGTCTTTTTAAAACCAATTGTCAGCAGTCCGCTTAACAGAATAACTTGGTTGTGCCACCCACAAACATTTCCAACACATTAGCAAAGGAATTCAGGCCCAGTGCATCCAAAAAACATTGTTCCATTGCCTATGGATGATCATAGCTGAATGAGCTTTCTCCAAGAAATACTGTGAACCCACCTTCTCTAGTCCTATGGTTATTAATCATGAGCCATGAGCTGAATTATCCACTTTAAAATGGTTACGTTTGTTGCATGAATATCACCTCATTTAAACTTTTAGAATCAATACCAATTTCATCCAGTTGCCTTCATTTTCACCTGGCTCAAGCCATTTTTTTTTTTTTTTTTTTTTTTTTTTTGAGACAAGAGTCTTGCTCTGTTGCCAGGCTGGAGTGCAATGGTGCAATCTTGGCTCACTGCAGCCTCCGCCTCCTGGGTTCAAGCGATTCTCCTGCTTCAGCCTCCCAAGTAGCTGGGACTACAGGTGTGTACCACCAAGCCTGGCTAATTTTTGTATTTTTAGTAGAGACAGTTTCACCATGTTGGCCAGGATGGTCTAGATCTCTTGACCTCATGATCCACCCACCTCGGCCTCCCAAAGTGCTAGGATTATAGGCGTGAGCCACTGTGCCTGGCCAGCTAGAGCAATTTTTTAAAATTTATTTATTTATTATCTATCTTTTGAGATGGAGTTTCTCTTTTTTTTTTTTTTTTTTTTTTTGAGACAGAGTCTTGCTCTGTTGCCCAGGCTGGAGTGCAGTGGCACGATCTCGGCTCACTGCAACCTCCGCCTCCCAGGTTCACGCCATTCTCCTGCCTCAGCCTCCCGAGTAGCTGGGACTACGGGTGCCCGCCACCACGCCCGGCTAATATTTTTTGTATTTTTAGTAGAGACGGGGTTTCACCGTGTTAGCCAGGATGATCTTGATCTGACGTTGTGATCTGCCTGCCTTGGCCTCCCAAAGTGCTGGGATTACAGGCGTGAGCCACCGTGCCTGGCCGAGATGGAGTTTCTCTCTTTCGCCCAGGCTGGAGTGCAATGACACAATCTTGGCTCACTGCAACCTCCCCCTTCCAGTTTCAAGCGATTCTGCCTCAGCCTTTTGAGTAACTGGGATTACAGGCGCCTCTCACCATGCCGGGCTAATTTTTGTATTTTTAGTAGAGACGGGGTTTCACCATGTTGGCCAGGCTGGTCTCGAACTCCTAACCTCATGATCTGCCCATTTCGGCCTCCCAAAGTACTGAGATTACAGATGTGAGTCACCACGCCTGGCCTCAAGCCATTTTTAATTCCATTCAGAGTAGAGGATTAGAGCTGGCACAGTTACATAGTGCTGAGATTGCAGTGCTGTTAAAGATTATGAAGAGGGCCAGACATTGGCCACGACCTCAAAACTAACCTTACAAAGAGGAAATAGCATCTGCCTTTTGCTTCATGCTAATAAGCCCAGTCAATGGAGGGCATTTATGTTTATTTTCAATAAACCCTTATTTGGAATCCATGTGACAGTGTTTGGACTTTCTGTATCTCTTGATTAGGGCTCAAATCCAGTGGATTTTGCCATGAGATTTGTACTAAGAATGCAGCATTATGTCTGTCAAGCCACAACTTTAAAAATGATAGAACGGGTGCTCCATGTGTACATGTAAAGCTCATTCTTGAGGAATATCCCACACACTGGCATGTATAAGAGCTATTCACAGAGAGGTCTGCATGGCATGGATGAATGCCCAAGGATCCCAGAGTTTATGTTTGTCCTCTGGCCAGGCACCTGAATCGTAGTATAGCTTAGTTATTAAGAATTCTGTTCTGGTATCAAAGAGGCCTGGGCTGAAGTTCTGGACTCTGATGTTCAGTTGTGTTAGGCCAAGTTACTTAATTTTTCTAAACCTTGGTTTTCCTTATCTGTAAAATGAGGCTATTAATAATGCCTGCCTCAGAGGGTTGTTGCAAAGATTAAATAATTTATGCCAAGCATCTACCATAGAACATAATAAGCATTACATAAATGGTGACTGACAGTTCTTAGGAGGCAGATTTCAGGGGCTCTAGAATCAATCAGACATACCTGGATTTTAATCCTGGCTCTGCTGATTACTGTGTGACTTTGGGCAAGTCACTTAATCCCCGGGAGCCTCAGTTTCCTCGTCTGTGAAGTGGGGATATAATAGCGCTTATATATTTCTTTCCTTCCTTTTTTTTTTTTTTTTTTTTTTGACACGGAGTCTCACTCTGTCGCCCATTCAGAGTAGAGGATTAGAGCTGGTACAGTTACATAGTGCTGAGATTGCAGTGCTGTTAAAGACTATGAAATCTTTAACAGCTGGAATGCAGTGGTGCGAGCTCGGCTCACTGCAACCTCCGCCTCCCAGGTTCAAGCAATTCTCCTGCCTCAGCCTCCCAAGTAGCTGGGATTACAGGCATGCACCACCATACCTGGTTAATTTTTGTATTTTTAGTAGAGATGGGTTTTCGTCATGTTAGCCAGGCTGGTCTCAAACTCCTGACCTCAGGTGATCTGCCTGCCTTGGCCTCCCAAAGTGCTGGGATTACAGGCGTGAGCCACCTCTCCTGGACTGCTCATATATTTCTTAGGGGTGTTGTGAGTGAGGGTTAAGCATAAGAAAGCATGTAGAGCCAGAAGTATGGTGCCTGGCATTTAGCAAGCACTCCGATGTGAACTTTCACATAATACGGCACCCAGGTTTGTTGAGTGAAGATTTGCCCAAGTACAGCACTGCTTAAGAATGAATTCAAGCTCACCTTTCTTTTTCTGCAACAGACTAGATATACTATATTGTGTAGCATTTATACAAAATAAACTTCAGGTTAGTTCTTTTTCAGTTGTAGATTTTATTCTTGAAAGGGGATAAGAGGCTCTCCAGTAAGGGCTGCATACACGATGCAAGAGGAGCCAAGCCCCCTTTATGGTTATTACAATAGATGTGGACTCACTGAGCTGGCAGCTATTAAAATAAACCTAGGACCAGGCATTAATGATCAGAAAGCAAGAAGTGGTGCCTCCTGCAATTGGGTAGCTGACATAGATGAGGTGGGGGTTTTTTTTGTTGTTGTTCTTTCTATTCTTGTTCAATGATTTTTGAAATTTAATTTAAAGACAAAGTGGTTTTAATCTCTCCAAGCTGTGCAGGATAGTGCTATAGAATTCATTATGTCCATTACGCTCATGCGAACGTTGATGGTACACAATCTTAGCAACACCCTAATTTATGCCGTTGTTTTGTTACTATTCAATACATAACAGGATCCGTGAAGCCTGATTCCAGGTGAGAGAGCCAGAACACAGGTCAGCTTGTGCACAGCCGTGCTTCCTATTCCAAGGGCCCTCTGCACTCAGTGACTGGAAGCAGCGCGCTACGGGCGCTCCGGACCGCCGGAGAAAGAAACGAGGGGTGTCTTCCCAGAGCGGCAGTTTTCGTGAATGGTAAGTCATTTAAACCGTCATTTTTTTGTATCAAAAGAGATGCAGAGATGCTAGAGAGTCTATTAATTTGAAGGCATTTTAAAAACATAAACTGCAAAGAGAGTTTTGGTATACAAGGGCCATTTCTGGCACTGCCCCCAGACTCCAATTCAGTCTCCTCTATCATTACAGATACTTTGGGAGAAAAAATTTTTAAAGTACTGCTGTACTGTATCATAGATTTTCAAGCATCCGTGTTACTGGGGTAAATTCTATTTCTCCTTTGAAGTTTGTGAACGTAGTATTTCTAATTTGCTTTTGAGGTTTTTAATAGTTAACATCTGTACATGGTAATAAAAGCCAAATAGTAAAGAAAATATGTAAAACGAAAAGTAAACATCTTCCTGTCCTGCGTTTCTCATCACTAGCCCCCTCCTCAAAAGTCACCGTTATTAGCAATTTCTTGGCTATCCATTCCCCCAAAATTAATGCATATTGCTGTAACGGCTGCTGATTTGTTTTATCGGAATCGTATTCTGACCACCTGGATTCAAAATGGCATGATTCTTTTAGAACCGAGTCATACTGTGGAGTACCAGGACTAACAGAAGCTGTCGGAGGCAGGAGGGCAGGGAAAGGGTAGCTTCCGGACTCTGAGCAAGGATTTCTAAGTGTGGCCATTTATTAAAATCCTAACCTGGGATTTTTTTTTTTTTTTTTTTTTTTTTTTTTTTTTGCGGGGGTTGGGGGGTTAGTTTTGGTTGCTGAGTGACCTGGAGACAAGTCACTTCTAACATCAGGGTCTTAGTTTCTTATCCTTGAATGGAGAAATTTGGGGAAGAGACAAACTCTAAAGTCCCTTCTAGTTTAGACGTCCTCCAGCTCCATCATTTTTGCAGAAAGCAGAACCAGTGAAAGGACCAGGATTAGGTGATTTAATCCTTTCAGAGAACATTTTAAAATATCTAACACAATCGTAAATGAATAGTCTCTGACTCAGAGCAGTCATTTACAGACTGTGTGGGTGGTTTGCCATTGGCAAGTAAAATTACGAATGTAAAGATTTACATTAATTTCAGGACCAAGAAGCTGAGCAACAAATTACAGCTCGGTGTTTGGGTCAGAGGTGCTCTGATTTACCTCAAAATAATTAACATCTGTCTTCTCAAAGCCTCATCTTATTATGTGTAATGTGCACTTCCGTATGCAGGTTGAGATTTATTTGAACAACAAATATTAGGCGCTGCAATTTCGGACACAAAAATGCCTTGTGTTCCACTCCAAATGTTTGGAGGAGCTTTCCTATCATTTCAGCCATTATTTGCTTTATGTGCAGGTGAACAAGGTCAGATGCATGGTGCTCTTCTTAGCCAAAGGCTTAAGAGAGCCTTTGGTATCCCGGCAACAAATATAAACAGTATTCAAGCGACAGATTGGGCAGTTGCTTTCACTAGACCCTCATCAGAGACAAAACTGAGTTAAATTAAAGGAGTCTATTAATCCTTGGCTTTTCCGTGACTATCAGGGAAGGGGACAGAGAAACGAGGGGGTTATTTTTATGGCGAGCATCCATCCTGGGATTTCATTTCCTTGGGCAACTTTCGTAACATGGGGAGGCAATTTAGCACTGTTGAGATTTTAGAGAACATGCCGAATCTGATCACATGACATGTTACACTGTCTCTAATGTTTTCAGTCCCAGAATAGAGATGGTTATGGTTGCAAGGACATAACCAGAATAAAGTATCAGTTAAATAGCTGTTGACTGGTAACTTCCGAGGGCCTCGTGTTTGGGAATGAAAAGGAAAACTCTTCTGTCTAAATGAACTCCAATACCCAGTTTGGCAAGAAGCAGAGATATCTTATGGGCAGAGGCAAAGGCAGATGTACTGTGGAGCTAGGGGTGCTTCCCCTTTGGAGCCACCCCTTGCATGGGCCCCTCCCAAGCCCTAACCATATATTCATTTGGTCATATGGTTTGGCAACATTTTCAAAAGACATATTTTGTGTTTTTAAAAAGAGGGAGCCAAATCATATAAGCTGACACTTCCACAAAACTCAGATCCATTCCTGCCCGTGGAACTGGAGTGGATGAAGGAATTTGGAGGCAGCCCTGTACATCAGGGAGAGGTCTGGGGCTTCCTCACCACCTGACCTTCCTCGGAGCACACCGCTCAGGACTCACTCATGAGAAGCTTTGAGGCTAGAGGTCTCATTTTCAAATACCAAACTTTCTTACTTGACAACAATTCAACTTTTACTTAACTGTTTTGTGCCTTAGTTTCCCCATGTGGAATATGGGGATAACTTTAGTACCTACCTCATAGGAATAGTGTGAAGATTAAAGGAGTTAATATATGTAAAGTGCTTAGAACAATGCTGGGCACCTGCTTTACACAATTTTGCTCTTATTATGACTGTTATTGCTTTGTTTTTGTTTTTGAGATAGAGTCTTGCTCTGTCACCCAGGCTGGAGTTCAGTGGTGCGAACTTGGCTCACTGCAACCTCCACCCCCCAGGTTCAAGCGATTCTCCTGCCTTAGTCTCCCGAGTAGCTGGGACAAGAGGTGCAAGCCACCACACCTGGCTAATTTTTGTATTTTTAGTAGAGATGGGGTTTCACCATGTTGGCCAGGTTGGTCTCGAACTCCTGGCCTCAAGTGATCCAACCGCCTCAGCCTCCCAAAGTGCTGGGATTACAGGCAGGAGCCACTGCATCTGGCCCGACTGTTATTGTTTTATTGAAATGCTTTAAATTATTTTCACTTCATTCATGGGAGAATGGTTTAATGGATTTATCCTTTTCCTGCAGATTTTCTAAAACAGTCTCAAGAAAATGCTATATATACTATAGAAAGTGGATCACACACACACACACAGAGAGAGAGAGAGAAGGTTGTAAAGAAAGAAAAGGACATTTTTGGAATGGACTGAATGAATAGAAACATGTGCTTATGGTGATAATCCTGAGCTCTAACTCAGAGCACTTATTTTACAACACTGATTATGAAAGAGACCAAAGGTCAAAGATAAATCCGTCCTGCCTCACAACCAGACTGCACTGCTCACCTGACCCAGGGGCCACTGTGTGGTCACCAGGATTCTTCTCACAGCTTCCTTTGCTCTCGTAGTATTTCAAGGAACCCATGAGGTCCCAGCCTGATTACCCAACCCTATGACTTCACTCCCTAGGGAAAGAAGCTGCAGGGAGGAGAAAATTTACTGAGACCTTTAGAAGCAAAGGATCTCCTTTCACTTTCACAACTAAGTCCAGGGTTCAGGAGTCCATTTATTACAAAAATTGAGCTTCATAATGGCTTTATCCCAGAAGTGAAGATCAGGGGGTAAGGACGCTTGGGCTTCTGGGTAAAAGCGTGCTGTTTGCCAATTAGGGTAGAAAGCTAGGAGTTTGACCACTGAAATTGTAATCCCACTTCGGCTCCATGTTTCTTTGTCTTGGGTCATATCACATCCCGTCACTAGTTAGTGGCTCAGTTTGTCTACCAGGAAACCTGGAAATCAACTTTCCTTTTTAAGCTACAATATAATTCCTCAAATCTACTGTGGGCTGTGGTTCTTTTTGGAGTTTCTAGGGCTAGATAGATTGAATTAAGTTAAGCCTGCGTCTTCAGGTTAAACAATCGATACAACCAGGTAACAGTAATTTCTCTAAAACTACAGAATCAAGATCATAGCTCATTATTTTGACATCTTATATGCCAGATGTTGTGCTAAGCACTTTACATGGATTAACTGTCCCTATTGTCTCAACAGCCCTAAGAGGCAGGTATTATTATTCACTCCATTTCACAGCTATGAAACCGAAGCTTAGAGAGATGAGATAATGTCCTCTGAGCTATCTGACTCGGCAAAAGGTTTCAAAGAGAACTTCAAGGTGACCCTGTCCAACTATTTATTTTGGGTCATGAACTATATTAAAATATGAAAGCCGGCTAGTTTCAATACCAACTGACAAAATCCATTTGACAAATATTAAATAGAAATTATAATAACCTCAGTTGGATAAAAAAAGAGATAACAAAAGAAAAAATAAATTATAATAACCAAAGCACTGTTTGTAAAGTCCATTTTTAGAGTATGGGTTATTTTCTATTTTCAGCCAATTTAAGAATTATGGTCATTAAAAACTACTTGACCCTAAAGCTCTAGAGTTAAATTTGAATTTATTCACATTTCTTTGGCTTTTCCAAGACAGATCTTCCTTTTAAATGACGGCTCTTCACAAGGAATACTGAGCCTCTCTCTAAGGTTACAAGCCTGAGGCTGGGGTCATTAGGACTTTGCGTAAGGCCCATACCAACTAACAACCACAGGAGGAGTTGGTGTTGGCCGCACCCTTACCTCTAACCAGGGTTGGCTCTCAGAAAAATGCAGTGAGGCTGGGCACAGTGGCTCACGCCTGTAATCCCAGCACTTTGGGAAGCCTAGGCGGGCAGATCACCTGAGGTCAGGAGTTCGAGACCAGCCTGGCCAACGTGGTGAAACCCCGTCTTTGCTAAAAATACAAAAATTAGCTGAGTGTGGTAGCGGGCACCCGTAATCCCAGCTACTCAGGAGGCTGAGGCAGGAGAATCGCTTGAACCCGGGAGGCGGAGGCTGCAGTGAGCTGAGATCGCACCATTGCACTTCAGCCTGGGTGACAGAGTGAAACTCAGTCTCAAAAAAACTTTGGGAGGCCGAGGCAGGCAGATCACGAGGTCAGGAGATCGAGACCATCCTGGCTAACGTGGTGAAACCCCATCTCTACTAAAAATACAAAAAATTAGCCGGGCATGGTGGCAGGTGCCTGTAGTCCCAGTTACTTGGGAGGCTGAGGCAGGAGAATGGCGTGAACCCAGGAGGCGGAGCTTGCAGCGAGCTAAGATTGCGCCACTGCACTCCAGCCTGGGCGACAGAGCGAGACTCCGTCTCGAGAAAAAAAAAGAACAAAAGAAAAAGAAAAATGCAATGAGTTGGGCTTTGGGCTATTTTATCTGATTGCACCTTATATTGAGAGACAGTACTGTGCGCCTCATGTTCTGTTCCTCCTCCTGCACGTGATCTGCAGTTCCACTTGCCATTTCCTACCTATGTCATTCACTTTCATATTTCCAAGCTTGGCTGTACTATTGTTTTTCCCAGCATGCCCTTACCTGCCCCTCTGCCAGGGCATGATCCTTCAAGACCCAGCTCAGATTGCACCACCTCTGGGAGCCTTCCCAGACTCCACCTGCCCATACTCATTGCTCTCTCCTCTGTACTTCTAAAGTAATCTATCTCTGTCAGCTTCACAAAGGCAGATATTTTGTCTGTTTCATTCATGTGTCCCCAGTGTCTAGAACAGTGCCTGGCACATAGTAGATGTTCAAGAAATAGTTGTTAAGTGAATGAATTATAATGTTTATTTCATGGTATCACAACCAAGTATTTATTTGTCTGTCCTCATTAAGGGCTATGTCTCGTTTCTCTTTACATTCCTAAAACTGAGCATAGAACCTAACACATAGTGAATGTGTGGTAAATGTTTGCTGAAGGAGGAGATAAATGAGAAAATGGGCCAAGTGCAGTGGCTCACACCTGTCATCCCACCACTTTGGGAGGCCGAGGCGGGTGGGTCATTTGAGGTCAGGAGTTTGAGACTAGCTTGGCCAACATGGTGAAACACCGTAACTACTAAAAATACAAAAAATTAGCTGGGTGTGGTGGCACATGCCTGTAGTCCCAGCTACTCAGGAGGCTGAGGCCGGAGAATCGCTTGAGCCCGGGAGGTGGAAGTTGCAGTGAGCTGAGATCGCACCACTGCACTCCAGCCAGGGCGACAGAGACTCTATCTCTAAATAAATAAATAAATAAATAAATAAATAAATAAATAAATAAATAAAATAGCCAGGCACAGTGGCTCATGCCTATAATCCCAGCACTTTGGGAGGCCGAGGCAGTCGAATCACTTGAGATTGGGAGTTTGAGACCAGCCTGGCCAACATAGTGAAACCCAATCTCTACTAAAAATACAAAAATTAGCTAGGTGTGGTGGCGGGCACTGTAGTCCCAGCTACTCGGGAGGCTGAGGCAGGAGAATGGCTTGAACCCGGGAGGTGTAGGTTGCAGTGAGCCGAGATCGAGCCATTGCACTCCAGCCTGGGTGACAGAGAGAGACCCTGTCTCAAAAATAAATAAATAAATATCTGTATAACGAAATAAATAGAGAATGAATGAATGGCATGTTGTAGGGTTTGTGCATTGGTTATTGATTGGCATGAATGAATTTTGGCTCGATCCAGCCACTTGATACCTGGGAACAATTCTGTAGCAATAAATGTACAGGGCCTTTCTTTTTCATTTTCTTACATAATAATTCAGCAAATGTCCGGGGCCTTTTGACTTGCAGCTATTGTTTTTCCAGACCCTGGGCTTACAGGGAAGATCTGGATATTGCAGGGGTTGGGAAATCAACTGGTTCCTGTACTGCTGCTATGTTGTCCATGCTAGAGAACCAGAGAGGCGGGACCTTGGCACACACCCCTCCCCTCCTGAAATCTGTGTGAAAAACAGCTGACTCCACATCCAGGGCTTCTACCATACTGTGTTCATGGGATGCTGGCCTGTGCCACACATGTGCTGGCCATCTTGTCATGAGCCCCTAACACAGAGCCCTCCACATAGTAATTGCCTGATGGATGTCTGGTTGTGATGATGACAATATTGAACAGTGGCTGTCACACAACATGACTCAGGCCACTCCAAGGGGAGAGGAACAGACATGTTCCTGGGGCACCTGAGGACGCTGCCGATAGAGCTGTGCCAACTGCACGCCCATGTGACTGATTAGGGCTGATTAGGCCAGACCTGCTCCCAGACCTGGGCCTAATGTTCCCAGCTTCTAAGACTATTTCAGCCACTAAAAGCCCATGAGAACCCTTGAGTGAATGTGGCCCTTTTTGACGTGCTCAGGAAGCAGGCAGAGTTTGTTCTCTCTCACTTGTGAGTGGGAGGCCTCCAGGAGTGCAGCAGCGGACTTGCTCAGTAGTAACATCCATTGTCATTTCTTGAGCTTTGACTATGGGCCAGGCACTCTTTTAATTGTGGATACTCATTTAATCCTTTCAGTGGCCTTATGATGCAGGTGCTAAGATTACCATTTCCCAGATGAGGAAACCGAGGCACCTGGCAAACCACGTGTAACACCTGCAGATGAAAACCCTGAAAACAAAGGGAACCCCCCCCCAACTTAGAGAGAGTCAGAAAGTAGCACTTAATGCTGCGGTGCCTGGAAAATAACCACGGAGGCCCAGAGGAAGGGAGGGGTTCAAGCTCTTTAGGGACCATCGGCCTGCTTGGGGACCTACCCATGTGAGGAGCCCCTGGAGAGGCGCTTGGTGCAGTGGTTAAGAGCATGGTTCCGCCCCTTTCCAGCTGTGAAATGGTGAGCAAGATTCTAAGTCTCACTGCCTCACCTTGCTCAGCCGGAAAATGGGGTCAAGAACACTACTTGCCTGGCACTGTAGTGAGGATGAAATAAATTAATATTTGCGAGGCGCTTGGCACAAAGCCTAGCATATAATATGCGCTTAAGTGTTTGTTAAATAACTACGGGCTCTCTCAGAGTCGGCCCCTTCCCTTTAGGCGCCGGTTTTGTAATCTGGGAAACTTTGTAAAGAGCGCTCTCAGCGCGGTGGCTAAAACAGTCCGCTAGGACTATGCCGAGTAGCAGCAGAAGGAAATGGCCCGGCCCGCCAGGCGGGGAGCTGCAGACAACTAGGAGAGAGGAGGGCAGGGCACGCCCTGAGGGAAAAAACGCGGCTTTTGCAGGCCTAATGGCGGTTGAAAGTCGCCGAAGTGCAAGGCTGGATTGAGACAGACAGGCTGAAAAAGTCGCAGCGCAGCCGCAGCGGCAGCAGCCGATGGCCGACTCCTTCCTTTTCCAGTCCACGTGCCCAGGCGGGTCTCCGGCCGCCTCTCGCACCTGCCTGCAGAGGGCGCGCTGCTTCTCGCCTCGGCCTGGGCACCGCGGCCGACTCCGCTGGAAGAGCTGTGTCCTCCACGCAGACCGCTTTCCACCAAGCTCAGCTAAACCCACCGCCCCCAAGAAGTCTACCCTGGCCGCTCCAGCCAAGCTCTTCCTCCCCTGAACCCCCAAAGCATCATCAGCACTGCATAATTTAGAACTTGGATATGTGCTGGCTGGTCACTGTGTCCTACGTATGGGACAAATCTTGGCTCAACAATATCATACTTTGCATTTCTCCCCCGAGTCACACACGGCCATTGGCATACCGGCAGCCACATAGCGTGTGCCCAGCAAACACCTGGTGTACCTCTACTGGGTCTCACTGTATTGGCTCCCAAAGGAGACTCTCAGGATCCCTGATGTCGCCAAGCCCTGGGGTGGCAGAAGGGACACCTGGGAGGATGCCTGCATGGCCTCAGTTGCCACTTCGAGCCTTCACTGACCAAATGAGGTCGGTGTAGCCCACCTCAGAAGGCAATGCCTTCGTGCAAAGGAAACCCTCTGCCAGGGAATCCATTGATATGGAAATATTTGCTGAGCCCCAGCTTTGGTGCAGAGCCCTGTGCTGGGCACCAGGGACACAGTGAGGAATAGAAAGGATTCTTGTGGTGATGGGAGGCAGTGTAGAAAAATTAGAATAGCAAGAGATTTAAAGTCAGGCTGGGCGCGGTGGCTCACGCCGGTAATCCCAACACTTTGGGAGGCCAAGGTGGGTGGATTATTTGAGGTCTGGAGTTCGAGACCAGCTTGACCAACAAGGTAAAATCCTGTCTCTACTAAAAAAAAAAAAAAAAAAAAAAAAATTAGCAGGGCGTGGTGGCGCATGCCTGTAGTCTCAGCTACTTGGGAGGCTGAGGCAGGAGAATTGCTTGAACCCCGGGAAGTGGAGGTTGCAGTAAGCCAAGATTGCACCACTGCACTCCAGCCTGGGCGACTGAGTGAGACTCCGTCTCAAAAAAGAAAAAAAACAGAGAGAGATTTAGAATCAGAAAATCCCCCACAGGCACTAGCTGTGTGGCCTTGGGCACACCATGTCACTTCTTTGAGTCTCAGTTTCCTCTTCTGTATCTCTGAGGGAGTCTGGAGTAGGGTAGCGGTGGTCAGATCTACAATGATAGCCAGATTTATAATGTTTTAATGTTCATGAGAACATACTTATCCATGAAGTAAGTAATTTAAATTACATTTTTAACAGTACACATTTTTTTTTTTTTTTTTTAGATAGAATCTCGCTCTGTTGCCCAGGCTGGAGTGCAGTGGTGCCATCTCGGCTCACTGCAACCTCCACCTTCTGGGTTCAAGCGATTCTCCAGCCTCAGCCTCATGAGTAGCTGGGATTACAGGCGCTCACCACCACACCCAGCTAATTTTGTATTTTTAGTAGAGATGGGGTTTCACCAGGTTGGCCAGGATGGCCTCGAACTCCTGACCTCAAGTGATCCACCTACCTCAGCCTCCCAAAGTGCTGGGATTACAGGCATGAGCCACTGCACCCAGCTTTATTCCTTCGATTTAGCTGTAACTTTGTAACCAACCTCTCCCTATCCTCCCCTCCCCTCTACCTTTCCCAGCCTCTAATAATCATAATTCTACTCTCTACTTCTATGAGCTCAGGAGTTTTTTTTAGCTCCCACATATAAGTGAGAACATGCAGAACATGCCTGACTTATTTCACTTAACATAATGTCCTCCAGGCTCATCCATCTTGTCATGAATGACAAGATCTCATTCTTTTTTATGGCTGAATAATATTCTGCTGTGTCTGTGTGACATTTTCTCTATCCATTCATCCATTGATGGACACTAAGATAGATTCCATATCTTAGCTATTGTAAATAGTGCTGCAATAAACATGGGGAGGCAGGTATCTCAATACACTGATTTCCTTTTTGGGGGTATATATCCAGTAGTGAGTGGAATTGCTGGATCATATGGTAGTCCTATTTGTAGTTTGTTTTTTTTTTTTTAAGAAACCTTCATACCATTTTCCATAATGGCTGTACTGATTTACATTCTCATCAACAATGTACAAGTCCCCTTTTCTCTGCATCCTCCCTAGCATTTTTTTTTTTTTGTCTTTTTGACAATAGCTATTCTAGCTGGGGTATACATTATATTTTTTTAAATTGAAGCATAAAATGGAAGTGATGGTGTTTTGTGAAAACCAAATGATAAAATAGTTATGAAAGCTGTTGTAACTGAAAGAGGCACCACAAAGTTTCATTATGTTTACCACTGCTAAAATATATAGGAGGCACCCAGTTAATGTTTCTTGAGGAGAATGGAAATGTTTCCTGAGTGATAGGATCCATATATAAACATGAGAGTTAAGAGTGCCAGAACATCTGACATGTGCCAAATGCGCTGTCCAGATGATAAGTATTTAATGGATTCTCTTAGAGAGCAATCACTGGGCGGGGTGGTCAGGGCTGCATGGTGGAGGTGAGATTTCAGTTGGGCCCTGATGATGGCGTTGATCTTTGGTGAAGAGGCATGAGGAAGACAATCCAGACAGAGGGAAGGGCATGCACTAAGGGCACAAAAGCAGGAAGGTATGAATGATCGAGAATGCCAAGTGCAGGAGGGCAGGGCCCTCTGCCTCTGCTCTAGCCTCAGTGCCTAGCACAGTCCCTGACACATAGTAGGCTCTCAATACATGTTTGTGGAAGGAAGGGAGGGAGGGAGGAAAGAAGGAAGGAAGAGAGGAAGGAAGGAAGGAAGGAAGGAAAGGAAAGGAAGGGCGGAAGGGTGGGCCAGGTGTGGTGGCTTACCACTATAATCCCAGCATTTTGGGAGGCCAAGATGCGAGGATCACTTGAGCATAGGAATTTGAGACCAGCCTGGCCGACACGGTGAAACCCTGTCTCTACTAAAAATGCAAAAATTAGCTGGGTATGGTGGTGGGTGCCTGTAATCTCAGCTACTCGGGAGGCTGAGGCAGGAGAGTCGCTTGAACCCAGGAGGTGGAGGATGCAGTGAGCTGAGATCACACCACTGCACCCCAGCCTGGGCGACAGAGGGAAACTCCATCTCAAAAAAACAAACAACAGCAGCAGCAACAACAAAAATTAGCTGGGCGTGGTGGTGCATGCCTGTAGTCCCAGCTACTCAAGAGGCTGAGACAGGAGAATCGCTTGAACCCAGGAGGTGGAAGTTGCAGTGAGCCGAGATCGCACCACTGCACACCAGCCTGGGCGACAGAGCAAGACTCCCTCTCCAAAAAAACAGATTACATGATACAATGTGAGTAAAGAGCCTGCTGCAACCCTCAAGGACAATTGGTGGCCATTGTGATCACACCCCTTAGGCTGAAGCAGATTTCGGAGGAGTGCTTTGCATACAGTAGGTCATCAGCTAATACGGGTTGACTGAGAGGAAGTTTGGGGCCTTGAACCTTTTATCCGTGTAGGCAATGGGGAGCTTCGCACACAAAGTAGGGTGGGTGTTGGACGATGAACACAGATGTGGACAATGGGTTAGACAATCAACACAGATGTGGTGTGAGGTGTGGGTTGAAGTGGAGGAGGAGGAGACACAGGTATCGCAGTTGTTGCAACAGCAAAGGGATTAGTGACAGGCTAGGGTGATGGCAATGGGGATGAAAGGACAGGTAGGGCAGAGAAAGCAAATAACAGAACTTGTTTTTTGTTGTTGTTTTTGAGACAGAGTCTCGTTCTGTTGCCCAGGCTGGAGTGCAATGGCGCAGTCTTGGCTCACTGCAACCTCTGCCTCCTGGGTTCAAGCGATTCTCCTGCCTCAGCCTCTTGATGTGTCCGGAATTGGTGGGTTCTTGGTCTCACTGACTTCAAGAATGAAGCCGCAGACCCTCGCGGTGAGTGTTACAGCTCTTAAGGTGGCGCGTCTGGAGTCTGTCCCTTCTGATGCTCAGATGTGTTCGAAGTTTTATCCTTCTGGTGGGTTCGTGGTCTCGCTGGCTCAGGAGTGAAGCTGCAGACTCTCGCGGTGACTGTTACAGCTCTTAAGGCAGCGCGTCTGGAGTTGTTTGCTCCTCCTGGTAGCCTCGTGGTCTCACTGGGCTCAGGAGTGAAGCTGCAGATCTTTACAGTGAGTGTTACAGCTCATAAAAACAGTGTGCACCCAGAGTAAGCAATAACAGGATTTATTGCAAAGAGCGAAAAAACAAACCTTCCACACCATGGAAGGAGACCGGAGCGGGTTGCCAATGCTGGCTGGGCAGCCTGCTTTTATTCTCTTATCTGGCCCCCACCCACATCCTGCTGATTGGTAGAGCCCAGTGGCCTGTTTTGTCAGGGCACTGATTGGTGCGTTTACAATCCCTGAGCTAGATACAAAGGTTCTCCAGGTCCCCATCAGATTAGTTAGATACAGAGTTTGGACACACAGGTTCTCCAAGGCCCCACCAGAGCAGCTAGATACAGAGTGTCAATTGGTGCATTCACAAACCTTGAGCTAAACACAGGGTGCTGATTGGTGTGTTTACAAACCTTGAGCTAGATACAGAGTGCCGATTGGTGTATTTACAATCCCTGAGCTAGACATAAAGGTTCTCCAAGGCCCCACCAGAGCAGCTAGCTACAGAGTGTCGATTGGTGCACTCACAAACCTTGAACTAAACACAGAGTGCTGATTGGTGTATTTACAATCCCTGAGCTAGACATAAAGATTCTCCACTGTCCCCACCAGAGCAGCTAGATACAGAGTGTTGATTGGTGCACTCACAAACCTTGAGCTAAACACAGGGTGCTGATTGGTGTATTTGCAATCCCTGAGCTAGACATAAAGGTTCTTCAAGGCCCCACCAGAGCAGCTAGATACAGAGTGTGGATTGGTGCACTCACAAACCTTGAGCTAAACACAGGGTGCTGATTGGTGTATTTACAATCCCTGAGCGAGACATAAAGACGTCCCCACCAGACTCAGGAGCCCAACTGGTTTCACCTAGTGGATCCCACACTGGGGCTGCAGGTGGAGCTGCCTGCCAGTCCCGCGCCGTGCGCCCGCAGTCCTCAGCCCTTGGGTGGTCGATGGGACTGGGCGCCGTGGAGCAGGGTGTGGTGCTCGTTGGGGAGGCTTGGGCCGCACAGGAGCCCATGGAGTGGGTGGGAGGCTCAGGCATGGAGAGCTGCAGGTCCCGAGCCCTGCCCTACGGGAAGACAGCTAAGGCTCGGTGAGAAATCGAGCGCAGTGCCGGTGGGCCGGCACTGCTGGGGGACCCAGTACACTCTCCGCAGCCACTGGCCCGGGTGCTAAGTCCCTCATTCCCCAGGGCCGGCAGGGCTGGCCGGCTGCTCCGAGTGCGGGGCCCGCCAAGCCCACGCCCACCCGGAACTCCAGCTGGCCCGCAAGCGCCTCATGCATCCCCGGTTCCTGCTCGCGCCTCTCCCTCCACACCTCCCTGCAAGCTGAGGGAGCCGGCTCTGCCCTTGGCCAGCCCAGAAAGGGGCTCCCACAATGCAGTGGTGGGCTGAAGGGCTCCTCAAGTGCCGCCAAAGTGGGAGCCCAGGCAGAGGAGGCGCCGAGAGCGAGCGAGGGCTGTGAGGACTGCCAGCACGCTGTCACCTCTCACTGAGTAGCTGGGATTCGATTACAGGTGCGTGCCACCACACCCGGCTAATTTTTGTATTTTTAGTACAGATGGGGTTTCACCATGTTGGTCAGGCAGGTCTGGTACTGCTGACCTCGTGACCCACCCGCCTCGGCCTCCCAAAGTGCTGGGATTACAGGCGTGAGCCACCGTACCCGGCCAGAACTTATTTTTGAAAGGAAACTGGAGAGATGACTGCAAATTAGAAAAGAGAAATAGGTATTAACTCAGAAAGATGCAGAGACCTGCTACGTGTGTTTTACTGCCAAAAAGCACAGAGCTGAGCCTGTCTACCACCTCCTGTCAAAGTGTAAAATAACCCGGAAGACTCACAGGGGGTTCTGCTGGCCCTGGTCAGTGAAAGTTGGAATGGCCAGTTCCCAGACGCTGCAAATTTTTTGGGCAATAACATTTTCCCAGGAATTTTAGAGACTGCCGGATTTTTTTTTTTTTTCCTTCTCTTCCTTCAAATTGTCAGGACAGCACCGTCCACAAGGGGGCAGATTATATCTGGCAAAGTCCAATTACGATGGCAATACTAGTGATATTAAAAGGCAATCTCCTGGCCGGGCGCTGTGGCTCATGCCTGTTATCCCAGCACTTTGGGAGTCCAAAGTGGGCAGATCACTTGAGATCAGGAGTTCAAGACCGGCCTGGCCAATATGGTGAAACCCCATCTCTACTAAAAATAGAAAAATTAGCCGGGTGTGGTGGCAGGCGCCTGTAATCCCAGCTACTCGGGAGGCTGAGGCAGAAGAATGGCTTGAACCCGAGAGAATGGCTTGAACCCGGGAGGCGGAGGTTGCAGTGAGCCGAGATCGTTCCATTGCACTCTAGCCTGGGCGTCGCAGCGAGACTCCATCTCAGAAAAATAAAAAATAAAGGCAATCTCCCCTCATAGGTGCTTCAGCTATCTGAACAAGCACAAAGAGGATATCAATGCCATCCATTTCCCCTGCCCTATTAGCAGGAGCTGCAACGTCAGAGGTGTGCGTGTTGCCATATGGCAATGAGGCGAGCTCTGGGAAGCCAAAGAGCCCTTACCCGACTACAGGGGACATTGGTTATTGGCCAAACTTGACACTTCCTCCTGCTTCTAGCTCCTGGACACCTCACCATTTTCATCTCCCTAACAGGGCCAGGAAACAGCAGAGTGTGAGGCCCAGTGGGCCTGATGGTGCTAGGAAGACCCCTGCAAACTGAGATCAGTTGGGCAAGTGCCCACTGCAAGCTGAGCCCAGGATTGGGTGTGGGGAGGTGGAAATCCAGGAGAAATCAAAGACTCCTTCACCAAACCCAATCTGATGGAAGAGAAAAGGCAAGCCCACATTGGTTCAGAGATCACAGAGACCTGGGTTCAGATCTCGATCCCATCACTTCTTAGCACTATGTCATAAGTCAGGCTGCTGAACTTCCTGAACCTCAGTTACCTCATCTGTAAAATGGGGAGGGCAAAAACAGTATCCACCTCACAGGGTGGTTGTGGGGTTTCAGTGAGATATTGCATAAATGAGATAGAGCCTGGCTCACAGGTAGTGCTCAGTAAATGGTAGCTGGAATCCATGTTATTGTTCCAGTAACAATAAAGCAATGTGGTACCATTGACTATACTGAGTACAGAAAAACCTTGGAAGACACAAGTGGCAGGTGAGTAGAAAGTGGGTTTTTCCCTGACTGATTGAAGGTGAAGGGGCAGGAGGTGTGAGAACGGAGCAGGGAGGGCATTCCAGAAAGAGGGAAAGACAGGATGTCTTCAGGGCTGGTCCCATGGGTCTGCATCGGCAAGGATGGAGGCTGCTGTGATGGGGCTGAGTGGTTTCAGGCCCAGCCCAGCCAGGTACAGGCAGCTGCTCAGCTCCCCGACTGTGCATTAAGAAGTCAGTGAAAAAGTCATATGAGGGGCTGGGTGCGGTGGCTCACGCCTGTAATCCCAGCACTTCGGAGGCCAAGGCTGGCGTATCGCCTGAAGTCAGGAGTTCAAGACAAGCCTGGCCAACATGGTGAAACTCCATCTCTACAAAAAATACAAAAATTAGCTGGGCATGGTGGCAGGTGCCTGTAATCCCAGCTACTTGGGAGGCAGAGGCAGGAGAATTGCTTGAACCCGGGAGGTGTAGGTTGCAGTGAGCCGAGATCATGACACTGCACTTCAGCTTGGGTGACAGAGCGAGACTCGGTCTCAAAAACAAAAGTAAAAACAAAGAAGTAATATGAGGGAAAGAGTGTCTCGGATGATTGTTAGAGAAGTCTCTTGGTCTCCAGCCACAGCATTTTAGAAGAGGAAGGCAAATCTATGACAGCAAGCTAAGGAAGATGAGGCCCAATCTCCCTCTGCAGGTGCAGAGAAGCCAATAATATGGGATAAGCGACTCTGGAAGTTTCTTTCTTCTGGGCCTGAACATATGTCTAGAATTCCAAGAACATGACCCGATGGGACCCAGAAGCCAGCCCACAAAACCCTCAGCTATCAACTACAAAATGCTCATCCCGGGCATTTGTCCCCCCACCACCCCCAAACTCCCCACCCCAGGGACAGTAAACTGGAAGGCTATTCTTGACATTTCTGATCTCAGAGCCCGGTCTAAGGTTTTCATTTCCATGCTGGGTTTTGTTTTTTTGTTTGTTTGTTTGTTTAGACAGAGTCTTGCTCTGTCACCCAGGCCAGAGTGCAGTGGCGCTATCTCAGCTCACTACAACCTCAACCTCCCGGGTTCAAGCGATTCTCCTGCTCCCAAGTAGCTGGGACTACAGGCACACACAACCATACCCAGCTACATTTTTGTATTTTTAGTAGAGACAGGGTTTTGCCATGTTGGCCAGGCTGGTCTCGAACTCCTGACCTCAAGTGATCTGCCCACCTCAGCTTCCCAAAGTGTTGGGATTACAGGTGTGTGCCACCGCACCTGGCCCATCCTGGTTCTATAAGTTTAACTTCCCCCGTGAGTAGATCTTTTTAGGGCGCTGACAGAGCCAGCAGAGCTGGGCTCATTTCCTGTTTGCCCAGATGCTAAGCTTCCATATAACCCTTGGTTACACAGGCCCTTGGAAGGAAGCCTTGGCCTAAATAGCCCCAAACAAGTGATAATAGAAAAGCCTTTTATATTTAGCTTTTGGATATTGTAAGTGATTTTTGGCAGCATATTTCTCTTCCTAAATAGAGCTGGATTGGGCTAATTAAAATTAACTTTATGGGATGCAGAATAGGAGAGTGGTTAAGAGCCTTTATAGACCAGTGGTATGGGCGCTCAGCCACACAGTCTGGTTTTCAGTCCAATCACCACCATTTGCTAGCTGTTTATCTCCCTGAGTTTCTTCATCTGCAAAACACAGATATAGCCAGAATACCTTTCTCATTGGGTATCTGTGAGGATTGCATGAAGACTAATACATATAACACAGCCTGATGTCTGGCCCCTGGAAGCATTCAATAAAGGGTGGCAGTCATAGTTATCATGACATTATTTCCCTAGTAGACCCACTGGGCTTTGGATAAAGGAAGTCTAAAGGTAGCCTGGGGGAGGGGTATATGAGGGAAAATCAGGCCAGGATTAAAAACTGTCAGCATAGGCCCGGCACGGTAGCTCTCATCTGTAATCGTACCACTTTGGGAGGCAGAGGCAGGTGGATCAGTTGAGGTCAGCAGTTTGAGACTAGCCTGGCCAACATGGCAAAACCCTGTCTCTACTAAAAAATACACAAATTAGCCAAATGTTGTGGCAGGTGCCTGTAGTCCCAGCTACTTGGGAGGCTGAGGCAGAAGAATTGTTTGAACCCGGGAGGCAAAGGTTGCCGTGAGCCAAGATCGTGCCTGGGTGACAGAGTGAGACTCTGTCTCGCAATAAATAAATAAATACATACATAATAATAATAAATTGTCAGCCTATAATCCAGAAAAAAACAATCCACCTGTGGATAATCGAGTTATCCACTTCTTATTCTTTTTTTTTTTTTTTTTGAAACAGGGTCTCACTGTTGCCCAGGCTAGAGTGCAGTGGTGTGATCAGAGCTCACTGCGGTGTTGAACTCCTGGCCTCAAGTGATCCTCCTGCCTCAGTTTCCCAAAGTGTTGGGATTACAGGAGTGAGCCACCACTCAACGGCCAGAACGTGATTTCTTGACCCTTTTTCTCAGGATTGTGCTAGCTCCTCAGCAGGTTTAGGCTAGAGTGAGCAGGTGGCATTGCCCCAAGACCAGTTGGATGCAGAGTCTGTCAGGAATCACTTCTCTATGCAAGGGAGTAGGTCTGGCTAGGCACAGGTATGTGCTTGCAAGGTAAATAGTTGTTACTGACACAGTCACCTTTGTCTGTGAGGGGAGGAGGAGGCCAATGCCTATGGAAGGACAAAACTCCTTCAGCCTTAGGCAGGTCTTACCTGCCCCTGCATTCTTGTCAGGTTATATATTGCTCTTGTGATGTGTTTGGAAAAAGACAAGAAAACATACTTTTTTTTTTTTCTTCTAGCCAGGACCTCTGGCTAGAGGTAGAGGGACTTCTTAGACGTCACTATCATGGCTGAAGCCTCAATTCTGTCCTAAGCCAGGAAACCAAATTGGTAAATTTGGTCTTTTTTTTTTTTTGACAGGGTCTCACTCCTGTCTCCCAGGCTGGAGTGCAGTGGCACAATCTCAACTCACTGCAGCCTCGATAGCCCAGGCTCAAGTGATCCTCCCACCTCAGCCCCTCAAGTAGCTGGAATTACAGGCATGAGCTACCACGGCCGGCTAATTTTTGTATTTTTAGTAGAGACAGGGTTTCTCCATGTTGGCCAGGCTGGTCTCGAACTCCTGACCTCAGGCGATCTGCCGGCCTGGGCCTCCAAAGTGCTGGGATTACAGGCGTGAGCCATCATGCCTGGGCTAGTAAATTCAGTCTTTATATCATGGTTCCTCCATTGTTGTCAATAACTCTAGCACTGTGAACATGCTTTTGTGAGCTGATGCTGCTATTTACTTCTCTATTTACACATTTACGTATTTGTGTCTCCCTGATACCACATTTATCTTTTGAATGGGTAATATATTGGTAATATATCCTCGGATACCAAATTGACAAGGTATAAAGGGTTTACAGTAACAAGTTAGTTTCCCTCCCACCCCTGTTCCCTCGCCACCCACAGGTAATCTCCATGACCACATTCTGGTGTTACCTTCCAGAGATAAGCTATGCCTATCCAGGCATCTATTATTTTAGGTGGTAGCATTCTTACTCATATTTGTATCCCAGTGCGTAGAGGAGTGCCAAACAAAAGTATGCTGTCAAAAAAAGCTTGTTGGTTGCATGTTTGTTGCTCCAGATTTGTTGCCCTCATCCCAGCCATGGGTGCCTGAACTCTCTAGTTGAAATTTTCATGAGCTTATCAAAATTTTACCTGGGGCCAAGCGCGGTGGCTCATGCCTCTAATCCCAGCACTTTGGGAGGCCGAGGCAGGCGGATCACGAGGTCAGGAGTTCGAGACTAGCCTGGCCAACATGGTGAAACCTCGTCTCTACTAAAATTACAAAAAAAATTAGCTGGGCGTTGTGGCGGGTGCCTGTAATCCCAGCTACTTGAGAGGCTGAGGCAAGGAGAATCGCTTGAAGCTGGGAGGCAGAGGTTACAGTGAGCTGAGATTGCGCCATTGCACTCCAGCCCAGGCAAGAGTGTGAGACTCCGTCTCAAAAAAAAAAAAAAAATTTTTTTTTTTTTTTTTTTACCTGTTTGGACTTGCAGCTCTGGCTTTATTTTCTCCAGACTGAAATTTACAAAGAAGCTACTGGGGCCTTGCCTAATATAAACAAGTTATTCTCCTTCACAATAGAACTCTAAAGAGCACCCTGATGCATGAATTTTCTTCCCTGCTCTGTTCAGTGTAAAACAGAAGCTTAGCCCCAGCTCCTCTTTGTTAGGTGACTGTTCCCTGAGGCAAGGGTTAAAGAGACTTTGATGCTGCTCATCTTAGGGGAGTCTCTAAGCATACTCATCTCAGAATTCTGGCTCAGGAAATAAAATGCAGGAGTTTCCACTGCAGTATTCCTCAGTCCTTGACAGAGCTGGGTTTTCCAGAAGCATCCAGACAGCAGTGCCACCTTCATATTCTCTCATATTCTCTCTCTCTCTCTCTCTCTCACACACACACACACACACACATTTTTTTTCTCCCTGATGTGGCTAGGGGACAGGCTGGACTCCTGCACTTGATCCATATAAAAGAACCTAAGGAAGAAAGAAAAAGGGAGGAGTAAGAGGGCCACTCCCTGTCCTGTTCTATGATCACGAGGCTTGTAAACTCAAGGAGGCAGCAGGGCAGAGTGCCGAAGCAAACAGAGGCTGCCTGGGCTGGAATCCTGACTCTGCCATTTATCGCCTGTGTGACTTTGAAACCACCTTTGCAAAATTATAACTGAGGAAGTTATGATAGTGAAAGAAAACAGACCTAACCGATTCCATCTTGCTTCTAACCTTTAAGCTGTCCTTGTTCATTCCTGGGCATAGGCCGAACTCTCCATTGCAATTCCCCTGTCTTGATAAATCGTCTCTATCTAGGCAGTGAGCAAGGTGAACCCACTGGGTGGTTACAACTTTGGACAAGTTATTTAACCTCTGTCTGCTTCCATTTCTTCCACCGTAAAATGGGGATAACTGTACCTACTTTAAAAGACTTGTTATGAGGATTCAGTGAGTTAACAGATTGCAATGCATTTAGAACGGTGCCTGGGCATGTGGTAAGTGCAATATACATGCTATTTATTTATTTATTGTTTTTATTTTATTTTATTTTTGAGACGGAGTCTCACTCTGTGGCCCAGGGTGGAGTGCAATGGCGCGATCTCGGCTCACTGCAACCTCTACCTCCTGGGTTCAAGCAATTCTCCTGCCTCACCCCCCAAGTAGCTGGGACTACAGGTGCCCACCACCATGCCCAGCTAATTTTTGCATTTTTAGTAGGCACAGGGTTTCACCATGTTGGCCAAGCTGACCTCAAACTCCTGACCTCAGGTGATCTACCTGTCTTGGCCCCCTAAATTGCTGGGATTACAGGCGTGAGCCACTGCACCCCGCCTATACATGCTTTTTAAACAAAAAGAAAAACGTCCATGTCAGTGGTTCCCGTGTTCGATGCATGTCCCTCTATTCCCTGGCTGTAAGTTTCAAGGTTTTCACTTACCGATCTTGGGCCCTTTGGTGCATTTTTTTTCCTATTGGGAAAAAGCTAAATGTTGTGTTGTATGGTGCATTTCTTACACAGAAAGGAAAAACTAAAAAATAGCCTGTATCTAGGCTAAAATTCCTGTATAGAGGCAAGATTGTGTCATCTAAAGTTCTTACTACATTGACTTTTTCCTGATGCTGTTCTTGGGGCCCCCACTCTGCCTCTAGAGGGCTGGTAAGAGTCCACAGGAGAGCTTCCCAAGCCAGTGCCTTTTAGGAAGAGTTGCTGTGGCTACTGAGCTGATCAAAGGTCTCAGCCTCCACAAAGAAGCATGTGCTGCTGTGGCAATGGGCCTGAGGGTACGGGGGCCCCAGGGTTGCAGGGCAAGACAACAATCCGGAATCCAGCTGTTGTCTCGGCCATCATCTGAGGTCATCCTGCCAGATTGGCAGGCTGTGCCCTAGACCACAGAGGTAGCCCCTGCTCTTCAAAGGGCTGGATTGTCAGCCCAGCCCCTCCTAGGCCTTCTCTTCAGGCTTCTTCTTTCTACATTATCCCAACACAAACAGCTTGACTTCCAAGTGACATTGCACCAGAAAGACTTCCAAAGTCAGCTCACCTATCCTAGGGATCTAGCCCGGCCAGGGGCTCCTATGAGGGATTCCATAGGAGGAGTCAGAGACTGTCATCTAGGAAGGCTTCAGAGCTTCAGGATAGGTCCTGGGCAACCCTTGATCGCCCTCAGAGACTCACTCAGGTTTTGGCGTCCCTCGGTTACAGAAACCCTCATGACCCTAATCACATTGCAACTGCATTTCCTTCCTGTGCCTCGGGCTCAGTCAGGGTTGGGCCCAGGTGTGCCAGAACAGCAGGCGTTCAAAAAGCACATCGCTTGCTTCTCAGATCTTGCTCACAAACAGTTTTGTGCAGTTCTATGGAAAGGAAAAAAAAAAAGTGTACCCTTAACAACCAATATACACATACAGACTCATTCAGTGAACATTTGTTGAGTGTCTGTTATGAACAAGGTCCTGTACCAAGTACCAAGGGGAGGGGAAGAGGATGCAAAGTTGACTTAAGCATAGTCCTTTCCCTTAAGGACTTTGTCCTCTGCCAGAGAAGCCAGTCACACATATATAAATGGAATTAGTTTATTAGTTTAATAAAGTGGAATTAAAACAAGCTGTAACATAAGACCAAACTATTTATTGACTTGACATTTGCTGAACAGATATTGTGGGCCAGGCACTGTACTAGGAGCAAGGGATACACAGCAGAGAAGAAGAGAGAAAAAATCCTACCCTTATGGAGCTTATATCCCAGTGAAGGAGGCAGAGAAGTAAGAATTACAATATAGTGTGACAAGAGTGTTAAGAGGGGTCAGCAGACTGAGATTTGGGAGCAAAGAAGGAAGAATGTTTAACTAACTGACATTTGGGGAATCTGGAAACACTTCCGAGAGAAAGCTCCATCTCGGCCGGGCGCGGTGGCTCACACCTGTAATCCCAGCACTTTGGGAAGCCGAAGTGGGCAGATCACTTGAGGCCAGGAGTTCGAGACCAGCCTGGGCAACATGGCAAAACCCTGTCTCTACTAAAAATACAGAAATTAGCTGGGTGTGGTGGCACACACCTGTAATCCCAGCTACTCGGGGAGCTGAGGCAGGAGAATTCCTTGAACCCAGGAAGCAGAGGTGGCAGTGAGTCAAGATCTCACTACTGCACTCCAGCCTGGTTGACAGAGCAAGATTGTGTCTCAAGAAAAAAAGGAAGTGCCATCTCAACCACAGCTGCCATGTGGCATGGCTACAGTGTGAATGTTGTGCATTACCAATTGTAACAGCCCAGGCTGAAGGATAAATAGGAGTTAGCCAATAGTACTTAGCAGGTGTGGAGAACCAAAAGTGGTTCAAAATGGCTAGAGTGCAAGGGCCATCTGGCAAATGTGGATGGAGGGAGCATGAGAGTTGGAAACACATCATTTTGCAAATATCATTATAAAGATTGGATGGGCCAGATGTGGTGGCTCACGCCTGTAATCCCAACCCTTTAGGAAGCTTAGGTGGGAGGATCACTTGAGGCCAGGGGTTCAAGACCAGCCTGGGCAACACAGCGAGACCCTGTCTCTACAAAAAATTAAGAAGATAAGCTGGGCACGGTGGTGCAAGCCTATAGTCTTAGCTACTCAGGAGGCTGAGGTGGGAAGATCACTTGAGACCAGGAGTTTGAGGCTCCAGTGAGCTATGATCGTGCCACTGCACTCCATCCTGGGGTACAGAATGAGACCCTGTCTCAAAAAGAAAAAAATATCGGATGAAACACAACATGCCAAAATCTGTGGGATACAGTAAGAGCAGTACTAAGAGGAAAGTTTGTACCAATAAGCAACTATATCAAGAAAATATAATGATTTCAAATAAACAACCCAACAATGCACCTCAAAAAACTAGAAAAGTGGCTGGGCGCAGTGGCTCACACCTGTAATCCCAGTACTTTGGGAGGCCGAGACGGGCAGATCAGGTCAGGAGATTAAGACCATCCTGGCTAACGCGGTGAAACCCCGTCTCTACTAAAAAAAATACAAAAAATTAGCCGGACGTGGTGGCGGGCGCCTGTAGTCCCAGCTACTTGGGAGGCTGAGGCAGGAGAATGGTGTGAACCCGGGAGGTGGAGATTGCAGTGAGCCGAGATCGTGCCACTGCACTCCAGCCTCGGCGACAGAGCGAGACTCTGTCTCAAAACAAAACAAAACAAAACAAAACAAAAACTAGAAAAGCAAGAACAAACCAAACCCAAAATTAGTAGAAGGAAAGAAGTAATAAAGGCCAGAGCAGAAATAAATACAATTGAGACTTAAAAAAATATACAAGATCAATGAAATGAAAAGTCAGTTTTCCACTAAAGAACTTATCCATGTAACCAAAAAACAACCTGTACCCCAGAAAACTACTGAAGTTTTTTTTAAGTTGGTTTTTGAAAAGATTTAAAGAAACAACAGGCCGGGGCGTGGTGGCTCATGCTTGTAATCCAAGCACTTTGGGAGGCCGAGGTGGGCGGATCACCTGAGGTCAGGAGCTCGAGACCAGCCTGACCCACGTGGTGAAACCCCATCTCTACTAAAAATAAAATAAAAATAAAAATTAGCCGGGCAGTAGTGGTGCGCGCCTGTAATCCCAGCTCCACTCGGGAGGCTGAGGCAGGAGAATCGCTTGAGCCCAGGAGGTGGAGGTTGCAGTGAGCCAAGATCATGCCATCTAAAAAAAATGCTGCGGGAATGTTCTTTAGAACATTTTTTTCCTCTCAAGTACAGGAGCTACTCTAGGGTCAGGTATTGCATTTAGCTTTTTTAAAAATCTGGAACAGGATATCTCTATTCTTAGGAAATATACACTGAAGTGTAGAGGTAAAGGACCATGATATATACAACTTATTCTCAAATGGTTCAGAAAAAGTGTGTGTGTTTATAGTATGCATATAAAATGTATATACATAATGTGTATATATTATGTGTATGTGTATATGTGTATATATAGTGTGTATGTATAAAATGTATATACATAATATGTGTGTGTATCTGTATGGAGAGAGAAAGAGCGAGAAAGAGAGAGAGAACCCAAATGATAAAGGAAATGAGATAAAATGTTAAAAGCAGATGAATCTGGGTAAAGATTATACAAGTGTTCCTCGTGCTCTTTTTATTTTTGCACATTTTGTAAATTTGAATTTTTTTTTATTTTTATTTTTTTGATGGAGTTTCACTCTGTTGCCCAGGCTGGAGTGCAGAGGTACAATCTTAGCTCACTGCAACCTCCGCCTCTCAGGTTCAAGTGATCCTCCTGCCGGCATCTTTTTTTTTTTTTTTTTTTTGGCATTTTTGGTAGAGACAGGGTTTTGCCATGTCAGCCAGGCTGGCCTTGAACTACTGAGCTCAGGCAATCCACCCACCTCGGCCTCCCAAAGTGCTGGGATTACAGACGTGAACCACCGCGCCCAGCCTGAAATTACTTCCAAATAAAGAGTTTTTTAAGTATAGGACAGGAGCGGTGGCTCACGCCTGTAGTCCCAGCACTTTGGGAGGCCAGGGCAGGGGGATCACAAGGTCAAGAGATCGAGACCATCCTGGCCAACATGGTGAAACCCCGTCTCTACTAAAAATGCAAAAATTAGCTGGGCATGGTGGCGCACGCCTGTAGTCCCAGCTACTCGGGAGGCTGAGGCAGGAGAATTGCATGAACCTGGGAGGCAGAGGTTGAAGTGAACTGAGATTGTGCCACTGCACTCCAGCCTGGCGATAGGGTGAGACTCTGTCCCAAAATAAATAAAAATAAATAAATAAAAATAAAATAAAAAAGTATGGCAAGACAGAGTACCAAGGATTGGGGAGGGAGTGGTGAGAAATGAAAGCAGCAGCTAGTTCTTGAAGAGACCTGCTCACCATGGTCAGAATCTGGACTTCGGGGCAGTAAAAGGTATATTCCCAAAGGAGTGAAAGGAGCCAGGCATGGTAGCTCATGCCTGTAATCCCAGCATTTTGGAAGGCCGAGGTAGGAAGATCTCTTGAGGCCAGGAGTTCAAGACCAGCCTGGGCAACATAGAGAGACCCCGTCTCTACAAAAAAAATACAAAAATTAGCCAGGTGTGGTGGCACGCACCTGTAGTCCCAGCTACTCTGGAAGCTGAGGTGAGAGGATCGATTGAGCCCAGGAAGTCAAGTTTCAGTGAGCCATGATCACGCCACTGCACTCCAGCCTGGGCAACAGAGCAAGACCCTGTCTCCAAAAAGCAAACACAGGACAAAAAACGAAAAGGGTGTAGGGGAAGGGGTTGACCTTGGAGGAAGTACCAGGATAGAGAAAAGATGGGCATTTTGCAGGCTGAGTAGAAGGATGCATGGTGGTCATCTTCTTAGCTCTGGTTATGTTTGAGCGACACATCATAGTACAGATACAAAGATGAATGAGGCACGGTGGGCTCTTCTCAAGAAGTCTGGTGGTGTCACATCCTGGAGAACTGGTTGCGGCAGTGTCCTGGAGATGTCAGAGGCGGCCACAGAAGGGCACGGGCTTCAATGTCACCTTGCAGGACTGGAGAGGGGTTGGTGCAAGCTATATCTTATAGGGGGCTGTCTCTCCAGCTGGCCTAGAGGATGGGGGTTAAGAAGAGACTTGAGTTTTGTAAGAGAAAAAGCCTCCCTCAGACTCTGAAGACGATCAGGATCCGCCCACCCAGAGGAAGAAATGCGTGGCTCTGTCAACTTTTCAGGTCATAGGTCTTGAGTGGGAGAATGGGAGCCCTTTTTCAACCCCACCCCCAAATTTCCTCTTGCCAGTTTCTTTCTCCCTCCTGGAAGGAAGCCTGGACACCACATTCTGGGAGATCATAACTCTCCCCCTGAGAGCTATTTGCTGGCTCTCCCCACAGAAAGACCTTGGGAGGGAAGCACAGTCACCTGTCATGGCAGGAGCTGGCAAGCTGAGACCTCTCCCTTCCACTGGCCCTGCCTTCTTCAGGGCCAGGCTTCCTCATGGGCTGTCCCTTCAGAACCCAGCCCACACCTTTTCAGGAAGCCACTCCCCACAAATCCCCTCTGGTCCTATGGACATGCGCATTACCCTTCTCTGGGCCTTCCCCTGACTTCCTCATTGGTGTCAATTTTTTTTTTTTTTTTTGAGACGGAGTGTTGCTCTTGTTGCCCAGCCTGGAGTGCAGTGGCGCGATCTCGGCTCACTGCAACCTCCACTTCCCAGGTTCAAGCAATTCTCCTGCCTCAGCCTCCTGAGTAGCTGGGATTACAGGCATGTGCCACAATGCCCAGCTAATTTTGTATTTTTAGTAGAGATGGGGTTTCACCATGTTGGTCAGACTGGTCTCAAACTCCTGACCTCAGGTATTCCGCCCGCTTTGGCCTCCCAAAGTGCTGGGATTACAGGCATGAGCCACCGCGCCCAGCCTCAAAACTTTCTTCTCAGTTCACATTCCTTCCTTTCTGCCAATGCCAGTAGGGTGAATCAGATAACCTAGAGTGGTGAGCTAGCTAATATGGCAGTGCTGTCCCCAGAAACTACTGGAATAAGGGGGAACATCAGGCACCTACAACCTGGAGAGAAAGACTTGTCAGGCAGGTCTGCTTCCTGCTGCCTTGGGCACTTCCTTCGGGACTGGTTTGTTGAGAGGGTTGAGAATGGATTGGAGGGGGGGGTGGGGATAGTGGGGGAACTAGAGGCAGGAAAGCTCATCAGGAGGCCTTGCTGCACTTCCACATAGATGGGGGCCTGACCTGAAGTAGTGACCGTGCATGGAGAGCGAGGTTGTTGAAGTGAAAACGTGAAGGCTAGAACAGGCCTGACTTGATGACTAGGCCTATGGGAGTGTGAGACGAGGGTGTGCCCAGATTTCCTGCTTGGCCAGGTAGGTGAGTGGCAGTGCCACTTATTGAGAAAGGGATCATCAGGCAGGACAAACTGTGAGTTTGAGGGGGAAGGAAAGGATGACAAGTTGTGTTGGGTAGATTCAATTTGAGTTGCCTATAGGATGTGTAAGTGGGGCTGTCCAGGAGGCACTTGGATGGGAGTGTGTGTGTTTCGAGCACAGAAGCAAAGTCTAGTCTGGAAACAAGAGTATTAATTTTCTCTCTCTCACTGTTTCTCTCTCCTTCACACACACACACACGTGTGCGCGCGCACACACACACACACGTGCAAACACCAGAACTTTCAAAGCTAGGTGCACTCACAGGGTCATTAAGCCCAGGACATGTTGACAAGGGTGTGGAGGTGTCATCCTCGGGGACATGCAGGGAGGGTTCCTGGACAGTGATTTTTACATCGCCTCCTTAATTGTCCATAACCATAACCATGATCCATAGCCATAAGGACAATAGGAATTGTGGTCCCCCAGAGATTTTTTTCCTACTGAAACTCCATAGTCACACCTCTTTGCAGACTTTATGGCAGGCCTTCCCTTTTTTCCAAACCCCTGTGAATAGTGTCAGACAGCATCTGCGGGAGGATGTGTGTGAATGCTGGGATGCAGGGGGCATGGCAGGGAGTGGAGCACTTGTAATTCTGTTGATGTTGGAGCCCTCCCCTTTCAGAGTGCATTGAGTCCTTAGTGTGTGCCCCCTCGCCCCGATCAATTCCCAATCCCTGTGTTGCAGAGAGGGCAGCACCACCTTCTCAGCCGCACAGGATATTCTCAGGCTGATGCCAAGAGCAAATCACTCCCAGCCAGCACACTTCTGCCAGCCTTGGTAGGCACAGCGTGTAGCAGTGCGCATGTGGGTGGGGACAGAGGTGACTTTTCTCATAGACTGGGAGAAAAAAAAAGGCATCTGAACTTCCTGGTTACAGAACATCCGGCTAGTAGAAACCTTTGTGTGTTTGTACGTGTCGGGCAGGGGGGGATTAGTGAGGTTCCCCTCCCCTCTAGTGTTAGCAATAATGAAGGACACTCTTTGTACAAGACGTCAAGATGAGAGCTTCCACACAGGACTCCACACTGTGCTTCTGTTTCACCAGGAAGAAATCTTGAATGTCAGCCAGGCTTGTACTCATCAATTCATTCAGCCAGTCTCTGAGGGCTGGTCCTTCTACTGAGTGCTGGCTAGGGTGGGGCTGAGGACTGTGCCCCTGGAGAGCTGCCAGCCTAGGTGCAAACACAGAACCTTCATTCATGCAGTGACATCACAGCAGCCCATCACAACACTGCCCCAACTGCATCAGAGCAGTTGCACCTGATAGGTTTCCCAGGGGTTACCTGAGGAGCAAAGCCAAGTGCGTGTGGCCCAAAGTAGACAGCATATAGGGCCTGCACGCTGAGGACTGCCCCAAATGCTGGCCCAGCTTTTTCCACCAGGGAGGGTCAGATTCCAAAGCCGACAGCCACTCAGCACGAGGCCCAGACCCAAATTCCACTGCCAGCCACTTCTACTGCTGAAAAGGAAATAGGGCCGAAAATGTAGACTTCAAGGGCAAACACTGGATCACCCTTGGGAGTAGCTTCCAGAGCTCTGAGTAACATCCTGGAGGCAGAAGAGAAATGTTTGCCCTGCCCCCCAGCCCACAGTCTCCAGCATCACCAGCCTTTCTGGAAAGCCTTCCGAAGTCAATTTCAGCCCAGCCAGGAGCAGGGCCAAGTTGACAGAGGGCTGAGCCAGAGCTCCCCTGCACTCACACCTTGATCTTTCTCTTCCTCTTAGACTTGAGTGCTTGCCAGGTGTGCATTCCAGAGTCAATGCAAGTGTCCCTGGCTCTCTTCCACCCCTTCCCAGGCAAAAAGAGGCCACCCACCCATGGAAAAGCCACTGTTGTCAATCTGTCGCCAGAACTCTCGCTCAAGGTGGCAGTGAGGCTTTGGTGCCAGCTAGGGTTTGCTTTGGAATCCAGGAGCTCCCATCAAAGGCGGTGGGCTATGGGGTCCTGAATGAATGGCAAAGGGGCATGGGAGTAGGGATGAGGGTCATTCAGGACTTGGAAATATAGTTGGCCCCGGGTATGTGCTGGAGCTGGCTCCCTCTGGCCCATGAGAGCCAGATGCTATATTTTCAGAAGTTTTGTGAGTCAGTCATTAAGCATAGCACTTATTTTAAAATATATAAAATTACAATTAAATAAATTATATTAAAAACTAAGGTAATCAATGTCCCAAAACTCATCATCTCCTAATCATTTTACTTTTTTTTTTTTTTTTTGAGATGGAGTTTCGCTCTTGTTGCCAGGCTGAAGTGCAATGGCACGATCTCAGCTCACCGCAACCTCTGCCTCCCGGGTTCAAGCGATTCTCCTGCCTTAGCTTTCCAAGTAGCTGGGATTACAGGCATGTGCCACCACGCCCGGCTAATTTTTTGTAGTTTTAGTAGAGACGGGGTTTCTCCATGTTGGTCTGGCTGATCTCGAACTCCCAACCTCAGGTGATCCACCCGCCTCGGCCTCCCAAAGTGCTGAGATTACAGGCGTGAGCCACCGCACCCGGCCTTCATTTTACTATTACCTGTGCTCTTCAGATGATTTATGTCTACAGTATCTGTAGAGTTGAAATACTGTATAATAGTGTGCAATTGTGTCTCTTCCCAACATCACATTGAAGTTAACTGCTTGAAATCAGCCACAGTGGGAACACTTACAACTCAGAAATCAGCAAATGCTATAAATCAGGCTTGATCTATTCTTTTGTTGTCTATCTAGAGGAAAGAAAGCAATAGAAACAATGTTAATAATGCAGATAAAACTCAAAGGTGTGCCATATCTATAGCTGTTAGATTGTGAATAATACCAAAAAATGAGAAAATAGTCTTCCAGAGTTTGAAAACCACTAACCTATTCAGCAAGGAAATCAGCCAGGCACGGTGTCTCACACCTGTAATCCCAGCACTTTGGGAGGCTGAGGCTGGCAGATCACTTGAGGCCAGGAGTTCAAGACCAGTCTGGCCAACATGGCCAAACCCTGTCTCTACTAAAAATACAAAAATTAGCCAGGCGTGGTGCTGTGCGCCTGTAATCCCAGCTACTCAGGACGCTGAGGCACGAGAATCACCTGAACCCGGGAGGCAGAGGTTGCAGTGAGCCAAGATCACACTCCTGCACTCCAGCCTGGGCAAACAGAGTGAGACTCCATTTAAAAAAAAAAAAAAAAAAAGAAATCACTCACATTGTGGACAAATGAATGCAGTTCTGACATCATTGTTTCTCACTTAAATGAAAATATCAACCAACATGCACGTCAGAACTACATTTGTTCGGCCGGGCGTGGCGGCTCATGCTTGTAATCCCAGCATTTTGGGAGGCCGAGGCGGGTGGATTATTTGAGGTCAGGAGTTCGAGACTGGGCTGGCCAACATGGTGAAACTTTGTCTCTACTAAACATACAAAAAATTAGCTGGGCATGGTGGTGCACCCCTGTAATCCCAGCTACTCGGGAGGCTGAGGCACGAGAATTGCTTGAACCTGGGAGGCAGAGGTTGCAGTGAGCTGAGATCATGCTACTGCACTCCAGCCTGGGCGACAGAGTGAGACTCTGTCTCAAAATAATAGTAAAGTTCTAGGTAACAGTAGATTAAATGTTTATTTAATCCATTCATCCAACTAATATTTATTGAGCATCTACTATGTTTACTGAGTGTTGATTAGGTGCCGACCTGTAATATCAGCTACTCGGGAGGCTGAGGCAGGAGAATTACTTGAACCCAGGAGGCGGAGGTTGCAGTGAGCCGAGATCGTGCCACTGCACTCCAGCCTGGGCAACAAGAGCAAAACTCTGTCTCAAAAAAAAAAAAAAAAAAAAGAACTACATTTGTTCATCAAGTGCAACCACAGATATAAGAGTTGGGCAACAATCGATGAAAGCATTCTGTGAGAATCACTTGGCTATATTGAATTTACAATAAATAATATTGTATATTTTATTGTTATGGCTAATTCGTGTACTATATATCCTTTACATAAGTAAAATTTATAATTAATTAGCTTATGTACATAAACACACAAAAACATACACATACCTTACCCCACCCCGAGAGCTGGTCGTTAAACATTTACAAACTCACCACTGGTTAAGCCCAAGGTTCACAACTACTTTGGCACCAGAAACACAAGGTTCAAAGGTCCCAGAGGTACTCCAACCCTGACCAGAACATGATGGAGGACAGACAACGTGGCTAGAAAACATCTATGTGTTAAAAAAGCAAAGCAAACAAAAACTTTTTTTTTGCTCTCACTAGGCCATAAACTCCATGAAGGTAGGAACTTCATCTCTGCCATTCATAGTGGTATCTTTGGCACCTAGTCAGCTCAATCATTTTTTTTTTTTTTTGGTGTGTTTTGCTTTGTTTTGTTTGAGATGGAGTCTCCCTCTGTTGCCCAGGCTGGAGTACAGTGGCCTCATCTCAGCTCACCACAACCTCTGCCTCCCGGGGTTGAAGCGATTCTCCTGCCTCAGCCTCCCGAGTAGCTGGGGTTACAGGCATGCGCCACCATGCCCAGCTAATTTTTGTATTTTTTAGTAGAGACGGGTTTCACTATGTTGGCCAGGCTGGTCTCGAACTCCTGACCTCGTGATCCACCTGCCTTGGCCTCCCAAAGTGCTGGGATTACAGGCGTGAGACACCACACCCAGCCAAAAGCCCATTACTGTTTTTTTTTTTTTTTTTTTTTGAAACAGAGTCTCACTCTGTTGCCCAGGCTGGAGTGCAGTGACGCGATCCTGGCTCACTGCAACCTCCGCCTCCCAGGTTCAATCCATTCTCCTGCCTCAGCCTCCTGAGTAACTGGGATTACAGGCGTGCACCACCACGCCAAGCTAATTTTTTTTTGTATTTTTGGTAGAGACGGGGTTTCGCCATGTTGGCCAGGCTGGTCTCCAACTCCTGGGCTCACGTGATCCACCCACCTCGGCCTCCCAAAGTGCTGGGATTACAGGCGTGAGCCACCATGCCGGGACAGTTTTTGTTTTTGTTTTTGAGACAGACTCCCACTCTGTCACCCAGGCTGGAGTGCAGTGGTGCGATCTCAGCTCACTGCAACCTCTGCCTCCCAGGCTCCAACGATCCTCCCGCCTCAGCCTCCTGAGTAGCTGGGACTACAGGTGCTCACCACCACACCTGGCTAATTTTTGTATTTTTGGTAGAGACGGGGTTTCACCATGTTGGCCAGGCTAGTCTCAAACTCCTGACCTCAAGTGATCCACCCACCTCAGCCTCCTGAAGTACTGGGATTACAGGCGTGAGCCACCGCACTCGGCCTCAATCAGTTTTTCTAGAAAAAAATGAATGGCTCTTCTATGTCAGCTAACTTTGGTTTGACTTCTAACATCACCCGGGGATGGCCTTGAGTGGAGAGCCAGGCCTGCATTCCTCAGTCTAGAAATGGCCCTCTCCACGGGTTCCTTGCTTCCCTCTCAGTCCAGCTCGGCAAGGACTCTAGTTCCAGCATGCTTCCTTGATGCCTGCCAGGAAGAGCAACTGCTTTACTTCCTGAACACTGGCATTGAATTAAAACCTAGCTGGTTCCCCAGAAGGTGGCCCAGGCTAGCTAGATGCCTCTGCCCCTTGTTCCTGGATCTGACAAACCAAACCACTTTGGTCTAGCTGCCAACTGTGGCTGTGTGGACAGAATTAAAAGAGGTCATGGGAGGATGTAAGGAGAGTTAAAGCAATGAGGGAAGTCTAGAAAAATAAATCCAAAATGGGAAGTCATTTGCTTTGGGAAAAAAAGCATAGACCTGTCTCCCTGACTAGAAACCTAGGAGGCTTTCCAGTTCTATCAACCACTTAGTAGCTGTAGACCTCGGACAAGTCGCTTTAACTTTCTGATCCTCAATCTGCTTACGTAGAAAAAGACATAAAAAAGGCTATTCCAGAAAATCTCAGTTCCCTCACCCTCCAGTTTTGCTGGTCTTGAGGGCAACTGCTAACAGACTCCTGGAAGGAATCCTTTTTTTTTTTTTTTTTTTTTTTCTGAGTCAGAGTCTCACTATGTTCCCCAGGCCAGAGTGCAGTGGCACAATCTCAGCTCACTGCAACCTCCACCTCCCAGGTTCAAGCGATTCTCATGCCTCAGCCTCCAGAGTAGCTGCGACTACAGGCGTGTGCCATCACGCCCGGCTAATTCTTGTATTTTTAGTAGAGACGGAGTTTCACCTTGTTGGCCAGGCTGGTCTCCAACTCCTGGGCTCACGTGATCCGCCTGCCTCAGCCTTCCAAAGTGTTGGGATTTACAGGCGTGAGCCACCACACCCGGCCGGGAATTCTTACATACCAGAAGAAGGGCATTATTTCTTCTGGTATATATACTTTCTTTGGGAAAGGTGTGTTTTGTGGCAAGTGGGGAAGGGGTTGTTTGTTGATTGGTTTATTTTTTAGAGATGGGATCTCACTATGTCACCCAGGTTGACCTCGAACTTCTGGGCTCAAATAATCCTCCGCCCTCAGCCTCCTGAGTATCTAGGACTATAGGCATGCACCACCACACCTAGCTTGGACAGGTGTGTTTTTATTTTCTTTTTTTTTCACCTTTTTTATTGTTTTAATTTTTTTTATTTCAATGGCTTTTGGCGTACAAGTGGTTTTTGGTTACATGGATGGATTATATAGTGGTGAATTCTGAGATTTTAGTGCACCCATCACCCAAGTAGTATACATTGTATCCATTTTACAGTTTTTTATCCTTCACCCACTCCCACCCTCCCCTTTCTGAGTCTCTAGTGTCCATCATACCACTCCACATGCCTTTGTGTACTGATAGCTTAGCTCTCACTTCTGAGTGAGAACATACAGTATTTGGTTTTCCATTCCTGAGTTACTTCACTTAGAATAACAGCCTCCAGCTCCATCCAAGTTGCCGAAAAAGACATTATTTCATTCTTTTTCTTTTTCTTTTTTTTTCTTTTTTTGTTTGGAGATGGAGTTTTGCTCTTGTCACCCAGGTTGGAGTGCAATGGCTCGATCTCAGCTCACTGCAACCTCCGCCTCCCGGGTTCAAGTGATTCTCCTGTGTCAGCCTCCCAAGTAGCTGGGATTACAGGTGCTTGCCACCACGCCTGGCTAATTTTTGTATCATTAGTAGAGATGGGGTTTCACCACGTTGGCCAGGCTGGTCTTGTATTCCTGACCTCAGGTGATCCGCACACCTCAGCCTCAGGAGAATCGCTTGAACCCGGGAGGCAGAGGTTGCAGTGAGCCGAGATCATGCCACTGCACTCCAGCCTGGAGGGCAAGAGCAAAACTCTGTCTCAATAATAATAATAATAATAATGGCCATTCTGGCTGGGGTAAGGTGGTATCTCATTATGGTTTTAATTTGTATTTCCCTGATGATTAGTGATGTTGAGCATTTTTTATGTGTGTGTTGGCCGTTTGTATATCTTCTTTTGAGAAATGTCTCTTCGTGTCATTTGCCCCCTTTTTAATGGGATTATTTGTTTATTTGTTTTCTTGCTGATTTGTTTGAGTTCCTTGTAGATTCTGTATATTACTCCTTTGTTGGACGCATAGTTTGCAAATATTTTCTTCCATTCTGTGGGTTCTGTTTACTCTGATGATTTTTTCTTTTGCTGTGCAAGAAGCTTTTCAGTTTAATTAGGTCCCATTTATTTTTGTTTTTGTGGCATTTGCTTTTCGGGTCTTAGTCATAAATTCTTTGCCTGCCTAGGCAAAGAATGTCCAGAAGAGTTTTTCCTAGGTTTTCTTCTAGAATTTTTATGATTTCAGGTCTTAGATTTAAGTCTTTGATCCATCTCAAGTTGATTTTTGCATAAGGTGAGAGATAGGGATACAGTTTCATTCTTCTACATGGGGCTAGCCAGTTTGCCCAGCACCATTTATTGAATAGGGTATCCTTTCCCCAACTTACGTTTTCGTATGCTTTGTCAAATATCAGTTGTTTGTAAGTATTTGGCTTTATTTCTGGGTTCTCTATTCTGTTCCATTGGTCTAATATAACTACTTTTATTTTATTTTATTTTTATTATTTGAGACAGTCTCTCCCTGTTGCCCAGGCTGGAGTGCAGTGGCGTGATCTTGACCTACCGCAATCTCTGCCTCCCAGGCTCAAGTGATTCTCCTGCCTCAGCCTCCTGAGTAGCTAGGATTACAGGCACGCACCACCATGCCTGGCTAATTTTCGTACTTTCAGTAGAGATGAGGTTTCACCATGTTGGCCAGCCTAGTCTCGAACTCCTGACCTCAGGTGATCCACAAGCCTCGGCCTCCCAAAGTGCTGGGATTACAAATGTGAGCCACCGCGCCCAGTTAATGTAACTACTTTTATATCAGTACTATTTTGTTTTGGTAACTATAGCCTTGTAGTATAATTTGAAGTCCGGTAATGTGATACCTCCAGATTTGTTCTTTTTGCTTAGGATTGCTTTGGCTATTCTGGCTCTTTTTTAGTTCCATATGAATTTTAGGATTTTTTCTGATTCTGTGAAAAATGATGTTGGTATTTTGATAGGAATTGCACTGAATCTGTAGATTGCTTTGGGCAGTATGGTCATTTTCACGATATTGATTCTACCCATCCATGAGCATAGAATGTGTTTCCATTTGTTTGTGTCATCTATGATTTCTTTCAGCAGTGTTTTGTAGTTCTCCTTGTAGAGCTCTTCCAGAGAGGTATGTTTTTAATAAAATAACTTATCTTTAAATGGAAGCGAAAACGTGTGGAAAACATCCCAATTGGTGAGGCAGGGTGAAAAGAAATACTGCAATTTCTGAAAGCTTTGGATAAACTCACACCTGATAGTTTACCAAAGGACTCAAAGATGACATTTGGGTCTTCATGTTCCATGATGACCTTGTCTGAGTCAGAGGAATCCATGGCTCAGCCACAGGGTGGCATTTTATGTTCTTGTGTTCTCACATCCTTCAAACATCCTCACTGCTGCATATGCACGCCCACACCTTCTTCCCACATCCCGAAACCACTGCCCGAAGACAGGCCAGGTGATCGGCAAAATGAAGCCCCTCAGCTTCCAGTGAGCAGACAGAAGGCTTCTTCTCAGCCCCTCCTTCCCCTTGCTGCTTCCCAGGGGAGAGGCAGACTGTGGCCCTATGATTTTAGGAGCAGTCCCTGTCCCCAGTTGCAATATGGGTTCAACTCCCGACTATTTATTAGTCTTAGGCCTCTTGCTCTGCCCTATTTTATGATGTTCAGAACAACTCTATGAAAATGATAAGGCTGGCATTTTTCAATCCTGCCTCTACACTGCAGGTAGGGGTGAAGCCTCTTCAATATTGTTTTCCTGCTGAGCATGGTGGCTCACGCCTGTAATCCCAGCACTTTGGAAGGCTGAGGCAGGAGGACTGCTTGAACCCAAGAGGTCGAAGCTGCAGTGAGCTATGATTGTGCCATTGCACTCAGCCTGGGCAACAGTGAGACCCTGCCTGAGAAAGAAAAAAAAAAAGTAGTGTTTTTTTCTTACTACTTCTCTTTTCAGAATGCTTTCAACTGCCTGCTATTTTGAGTCCAAATTCGTGGCATGACCTTCAAAAACAAGTTATCATTAATTCAGCACTTACTATGTGCCAGGCGTTGAATCTCTTGTATCCCCTGAACCTAGTAACAACTGTAGGACAGGCATGCCACTATCTTTCAAATGAGTGAATAAATCCTCAGAACAGCCAGAAAAGCAGGTATTATTATTCCCCATTCTATTAATGAGGAGACTGAGGCCTAGAGAAGTTAAGCCACTTGCCTGAGGTCACAGTTAATAAGAAGAAAAATCAAGATTCAAACCCAGGTCTGTCTGATTCTAAATCTTGGGGATGCTATATATATATATAAAAATATATATATTTCTATATATAGAAATATATATATAGAAATATATAGAAATATATATATCTTATTATTTTATTTTATTTTGAGATGGAGTCTTGCTCTGTCACCCAGGCTGGAGTGCAGTGGCATGACCTCTGCTCACTGCAACCTCTGCCTCCCGGGTTCAAGTGATTTTCGTGCCTCAGCCTCCCCAGTAGCTGGAACTACAGGCGTGCATCACCACACACAGCTAATTTTTGTCTTTTTTGGTAGACACGGGGTTCCACCATGTTGCCTAGGCTGGTCTCAAACTCCTGGCCTCAAGTGATCCACCCACTTCGGCCTCCCAAAGTGTGGGGATTACAGGCGTGAGCCACAGTGCCCGGCAATATATGGCTTTTTAAGTCTCCTCCACCCTCAGCCTCCAGAGAGCAGACAGACAGGAACGTTCTGGCCTAGCAGACAGCCGTGTGATATTTTTGGTTCCAGTTATTACCGTGGAGATGGTTGCAGCTTTCTAGGCAGATGGAAGCACGCCAGCTGCCCCATCTACAGACACCGCCCTCCACAAATAGCTTATCAAACCCTGAGGATTGCAATATAATAAAGCAGCTGCCCCTGGGAACTCCCACAGCCCTCCCAGGATACACACCGTTGGCCAGCCCCAACCGCTGGTCCACCCCTGGAAGAAGGACTTCTTGGAAAACCTGTTGTTAGAAGGATTTCCTTCTAGGTAGCTGCTGTGCAGCCAGTAACCAGGGCTGCTCTCAGGGAGGATGGCTCCACCTTTCATTGTGCGGGCCTCCCTGTAGCCAGCTCTGCTCCTGTGGAACCTACTGACCTCTTGTGGGCAGAGTGTAAATGCACTGCAGCTGGACAGCCTCAGAGGGTGCGGGCTTCAGCCAGCTCCTCAGTTTGATTTGTCTCTGACAATGCTGGAGTGTGCTGGTCTCTTGACCTCGCTGCGCCTTGGTTTCCTCACCTATACAATGGGGAATAAACAAATATCCCTGTCCTACTTGAAAACATGAGAAAATACTTTTTTTTTTTTTGAGACAGAGTCTCGCTCTGTTGTCCAGGCTGGAGTGCAGCGGCACGATCTTGGCTCACTGCAACCTCCGCCTCCCAGATTCAAGCAATTCTCCTGCCTCAGCCTCCTGAGTAGCTGGGATTACAGGCACGTGCCACCACGCCTGGCTAATTTTTGTATTTTTAGTAGAGATGGGGTTTCACCATGTTGGTCTGGCTGGTTTCAAACTCCTGACTTCGTGATCCGCCCGCCTCGGCCTGCCAAAGTGCTGGGATTACAGGTGTGAGCCACCGCGCCCGGCCGAGAAAAGGCTTTAATTGGGGGGAAATATATGGGTAAATTCAAGATGCCAAGGTCCCAGGTGGGCACTCACAAAATTGCAGTACCTGACCAGAATGATTAGATATTATCCAACAGTGCTCATTAACCTTTTTAAGTCTGCAGCAGACACAGAAAATGGTATTTGTGTTGCACAAAGAAGGAGGCTTCTTGTGGCCAGAGCTGCCCCAGGCTCAGCCCAGCTACCCCAAAGGCTGAGAGCAGCAACATCTCAGGATTCCTGGAATCTTTTTGCAGCACGTGGGGTTGACAGATGTGACTGTATTATACAAGCAGTTGCAGAAGCAGTGAGCATTGTCAGGATTCTCTTTCTCCTCTTTCCATATAAGTCAGTTAACAAAACGTTTGGGTGGGTGGCCCTACCTCTTAGACACCCACAGAGTCCATAGACACAGGTAGAAACCATCATTGCACAGTTGGGCAAGGGTCTTATATGCCTGGCCCAGGCACAAGGCAGGGTTCCACAGGCTCTGGATCCTTTGTGCTTCTTTTGTAATGCAGAGAAATTAAGAGATCACAGCAGATTGTGTTTTGGGATAATCTGGGTCTGTCAGATACCAAAGAGCCTCCTGTCTCCCGTCAAACCTCGTTTCCTTTTCTCCTGCTGTCTACTTGCACTCCACTGACTCATTCATCCAACAAGCACTTAATAAGTGGCAACCAAGCACCAAACCTTGTGCCAGGTCGTGGGATTACAGGATGAAACTGTTGCCTTCAAGGAACTCAGTCTCATAGAAAGACAGACACAGAAAGAGAGGCACTGGATAGGCTGCAAGAGATCCAGTGGATGTCTGTAAAGAGGAGAGGAAGTGCGAGGGCCTAAGTCAACCTCAGAGAGTCAGGGACACTTGTAAAGACACCTGAAGATTAAATAAGGGGTGGGGGAGGGAAGAGTAACCAGGGAGGAACAAGGCAGCTTTGCAGAGAGAAGAACATATGCAAAGGAGGCCCCAAGACATGACAAAATGAAGCATGTTCAAAGCACTTCAAGTAGCCCAGTTGTGCTAGAATATAAAGTGCTAGATGGGGCGGGGGCGATGGAACCAGACAGGCAAGGGCCACATGAGAGGGGTGCCAATTGAAGGGGTTTTTATTCAATACTTCATCATTTATTAAATAGTTCAGCCACAGGCACGGTGGCTTACGCCTGTAATCCCAGCACTTTGGGAGGCTGAGGTGAGTGGATCGTCTGAGGCCAGGAGTTTGAGAGCAGCCTGGTCAACATGGCGAAACGCCTCTCTACAAATATACAAAAATTAGCCGGGCGTGGTGGTAGGCTCCTGTCGTCCCAGCTACTCTGGTGGCTGAGGCATGTGAATCGCCTGAACCCAGGACACAGAGGTTGCAGTGAGCCAAGATCGCACCACTGCACTCCAGCCTGGGCAACAAAGTGAGACTCCGTCTCAAAAATAAATAGATAAATAAATAAATAAAGGCAACAGGGGGCCACTGGGGCATCTTAAACAGAAGAATGCCATGATCCAAATTACATTTTTTTTTGAGATGGAGTCTTGCTATGTTGCTCAGGTCAGCCTTGGCATCCTGGGCTCAAGATATCCTCCTGCCTCAGCCTCCTGAGTAGCTGGAACTACAGGCACGTGCCACCAAATTACTTTGGTTGTTGGGAAGTAAGTAAGAAGGGAGAGAGATTGTGCTGAGAGAAATCTGTTTTCTGGCTTGAGTAACCAGATACACAGTAGCATTCACTGAATCCGGGAACACAGGGAGGACCCAGTTTGAAGCAGGGAATGAAGACAAGAGCCATTGTGAATACACTGGGTTTGAGATACCTGTAAGACACGAACGTAGGGTGTCTAATAGTCGGATATAAAAGTGTTTCATGGGTAGGGCACAGTGGCTCACACCTGTAATCCCAGTGCATTGGGAGGCAGAGCGGGGAGGATTGCCTGAAGCCGGAAATTTGGGGCTGTAGCAGGCAATGATCACACCATTACACTCCAGCCTCTGTGCTCCAAGCTGGGTGACAGAGCAAGACCCTGTCTCAAATAAATAAATAAAGTAAGTAAAATAAAAAAATAAAGTGGGTGAGGGCCAGATGCAGTGGCTCACGCCTGTAATCCCAGCACTTGGGGAGGCCCAGGCGGGTGGATCACTTGAGGTCAGGAGTTCGAGACCAGCCTGGCCAACATGGCGAAACCCCGTCTCTACCAAAAAATACAAAAATTAGCCAGGCGTGGTGATGGACACCTGTAGTCACAGCTACTCAGGAGGGTGAGGCAGGAGAAGCACTTGAACCCAGGAGGCGGAGGCTGCAATGAGCCGAGATTGCACCACTGCACTCCAGCGTGGACAATAGAGTGAGGAAACAAGAAAAAAAGAAAGAAAGAAAGAAAGAAAGAGGGGGAGAGAGAGGGAGGGAGGGAGGAAGGGAGGGAGGAAGGAAGGAAGGAAGGAAAAGAAAGAAAAGAAAGTGGGAGAGGGCCAAGTGTCCTAGAAATGAAGGGAAGAGGGGATGGCCATCGGAGCCACACTCACATAGAAGTCAAATAAGACAGGGCTGAAAAAGGAGAACCATTTCAGCAGTGATGGAGACCGAAGCAAGATCACAGTAGGCCTCTTCAAGAAGCTTAGACTGTGAAGGGGAGGAAAGAATGAAAGCTAGAAGTAGGCTCTGTGTCAAAGGTTTTTGTTGAAGGCATTAGTTCAAATGTACATGCTGAGGAGGAGAGATGGAGAAAGAGGGGAAGGTTGAGGCTTCAGGAAAGAGAGGAGGTAAGTAATAGAGCAAAGTCCAAGGGGAAGTGAGGAGGACTGAACTGAATACATGGGGGAGGTGGGTGTCAGCCTGGGGCAGGAGGAGGGAGTTAGGGGAGGGGGAGAGGGTGGTGCAGGTTGGATTTGCTGAGCAGACTCTGAGATGGAGATTAGCATGCAGGAGGTTTCTTAGGGAGTACTCTTGGGATCATCACGCGTGGAAAGGAAGGAATGGAAGCAGGACTGGAGAAAGGAGACATTGGGCTGCAATGCAGATTCAACAAAGGCCTCAGCCAGACCTATGGGAAGCTCTGAAGCTAAGAGTGGAGACAAGGGGGCCAGGCCTTTATATCCCCACATCAGTCATTCATTGGACACAGGCTGTCCTGGGAAGGAGGCATGCCCTTGGGCAAAGTGGGTTTCTTCAGCTGAGGCTGTCCCCAAAGGGGTCCACCAGCTGAGGGCTCTCTACTGTTAGGCACTGAGTCTTTCTGTTGTGAAGATCAGGGAAGCACATTGCAGTGTCTCCTATAGAGAGGAAGGGGGCGCTATTGCATTTGAGTTGAATCTGCAGCCCAGTTGGTGTGAGGCTGAAGTTCACGCTGTTGGCTTCAATTTTGCTCCGTGAAGATGGAAACCAATCTTTCTGATGAAAAGGGGGCTAGCTGGGGTTGGGGGCTAGAGGAGAGTGAAATGATGATGAAATGGCTGCTTCAGGACACTGAAGATGCGCTGACCAGGGACATACAATAGGATTGCCAAGCGATGTTAGGGTCTTAGTTGAAACTAAAAAAATCATTTTAGCAGGCCCAAACAGTGTCGCGATTTCAAGGCTCTGTCATTCTTGGTCACTTGGATATCTGTCCTTCCTCCTATGGATTTTTGTTAGTTTTTATGAGGAAATGTCTATATTATTTAGAGGAGAATATTTTGTGAGACCGTGTTCCTAAATTCTGCAACTTTTTACCTAAACTACTTCCTGAACCAGGCCTAAATTCAAGGCCTTCAGTATATAATTACAATTTTCGCTACAACAATCGTTGCTGATGCTAATGATGACAATCTTGCTAGTGGCAAACAAAACTGTGTGGATATTAAAATATTATAAACCAATTAGAAAATGACTTCAGGCCTGACAATAAAGAAGATAAACACTTGTCTACAAGTAGACAAATAAAAATCAGGATTAAATCTAATTAGCAGGCAAATACAAAATGTAGAAAATTACAAAGGAAAACGAAATTTGAAGCTTCAAGGAAAAAAAACACTGCTATAATAACGAAATATAGAACAGGTGGTTCATCAGGTACTAGAGTGACAATAGACAAGTACACCGTCCAATTAAACAATCGGCTTTTAAAATCCATACAGGAATTATGTGGATGATCATTCAAAAACAATGTCTCACTGTTCTGTGAAGAAAGGGTCCCCCACATGAGGGGGAGCAGTTATAATGAGAATTCACTAGGCCTAAAGTGTAGGCTAGGTAACCAACCGTGCCTTGCTCACGAAACCAGCTTGTTATTCCAGAGTAACTATGAGCAAGCAACAACCATGTTCATAGTAGCAGTAGCAATACGGTTCTTTCGTTTTGTTTTTTTTTGAGACGGAGTTTCACCTCTTGCCGCCCAGGCTGGAGTGCAATGGTGCGATCTTGGCTCACTGCAACCTCCGCCTCCTGGGTTCAAGTGATTCTTGTGCCTCAGCCTCCTGAGAAGCCAGGATTACAGGCGCCTGCCACCACGCCCAGCTACTTTTTGTATTTTTAGTAGAGACAGGGTTTACCGTGTTGGCTGGGCTTGTCTCGAACTCCTGACCTCAGGTGATCCGCCTGCCTCAGCCTCCCAAAGTGCTGGGATTACAGGAATGAGCCACCACGCCCGGCCAGCAATACAGTTCTTAGGGGAAAAAATGAAATGTCCAGTTCAAGAATAAAATCAACATTCATGATGGGGCCTCACTCGGCCTCCCTGCACAGATTTGTCACCGAACATACATTTCAACAAAGGCTTTGGTGCCCAAGTGACTTCAATTGTAGAAATTTTAGGACATAAAGGATGGAAGACCTATAGGGAAACTCTTTAGGAGGAATTAACCAGGTGTACCTTAAAATCACTCTAGGGCCGGGTGCAGTGGCTCACGCCTATAATTCCAGCACTTTGGGAGGCCGACATGGGTGGATCACTTGAGGCCAGGAGTTCGAGACCAGCCTGGCCAACATGGCGAAACTCCATCTCTACTAAAAATACAAAAATTAGCCAGGCGTGGTGGTGCACCCCTGTAATCCCAGCTACTCGGGAGGCTGAGGTGGGAGTATCGCTTGAACCCAGGAGGCAGAGGTTGCAGTGAGTCAAAATCATGCTACTAATTAGGAGATATACCTAATGTAAATGACGAGTTAATGGGTGCAGCACACCAACATGGCACATGTATACATATGTAACAAACCTGCATGCTGTGCACATGTACCCTAGAACTTAAAGTATAATAATAAAAAAAAAATCATGCTACTGCACTCCAGCCTGGACTACAGAGTGAGACTCTGTCTCAAAAAAAAATAAAAATCACTCTAGATATGAGGGGAGTCGGTACTCTTTCCAGCCCAACTTTAGAGAACAGCTGGAGATACCCACAGCCTCCAACGGTGGAACACTTCCAGCAAGTATAATCTTACAGCTCTTTTCTACCAGCCTGCCTGACCACGAGGCACTAATCCCAGGAGCTCCAACTACTGTTCCCCAGTCCTTTACCCCCTATCTCAGAAAGACACACATGTACTGTCAACTTAAATAACAGAAAGAGACTCTCTAATAGAAAATGACATTTATTCGGGAATAGGGCATTGCAATGGGAATAATAACACCATAGTAAACTATGTGCATATTCAGGGAGGTAAAGGAAGACAAAGGCTTTTAAAGGAAAAATGGGCCAGGCGTGATGGCTCACGCCTGTAATCCCAACACTTTGGGAGGCCGAGGCGGGCAGATCACCTGAGGTCAGGAGTTCTAGACCAGCCTGACCAACATGGAGAAATCCCGTCTCTACTAAAAATACAAAATTAGCTGGGCATGGTGGCGCATGCCTGTAATCCCAGCTACTTGGGAGGCTGAGGCAGGAGAATCGCTTGAACCTGGGAGGTGGAGGTTGCGGTGAGCCAAGATCACGCCATTGCACTCCAGCCTGGGCAACAAGAGCGAAACTCCATCTCAAAAAAAAAAAAGGAAAAATGAGGATTATATAATTGTTTTTGAAATGATTATCCTTGGCTACAAAGATCAATAACAAGGGTGATGCCAGTCTGAGGCTGGACAGGCAGTTGCTGGGCAGATGTCCTTGCAGAAGTTTTTTTTTGTTATTTTGTGTGTGTGTGTCTGTGTGTGTGTGTGTGTTTTTTTTTTTTTTTTTTTTTTTTGAGATGGAGTTTTGCTCTTGTTGCCCAGGCTGGAGTGCAATGGCATGATCTCGGCTTGCTGCAACCTCCGCCTCCCGGTTCAAGTGATTCTCCTGCCTCAGCCTCCCAAGTAGCTGGGATTACAGCTGCCCGCCACCACGCCTGGCTAATTTTGTATTTTTAGTAGAGATGGGGTTTCTCCATGTTGGTCAGGCTGGTCTTGAACTCCCGACCTCAGGTGATCCACCTGCCTAGCTCTCCTAAAATGCTGGGATTACACGCGTGAGCCACTGCGCCCGGCCAGAAGTATTTTTTGTGTAAGGTTGCAATGGCCATTGTGCAAGGTTGTGGTTTTTGTGGAGTTTTTTGTGATAGTCTTGTTATCATACAAGTGTGAGAATCCTCTCTTACATAGCCTTGCCTAGCTCTATGTGTCAGGGCTTTTTAAAAAATATAAAAGTGACTCCATTTTGATTCTGACAACTTTCACAGTACACATGCACAGAAAAAGTATTGATGATCTTGGTGATCTTCTGAATCTCCAAGGATACCTACCTTACCATGTTCCAGACAATCTACTAAGGGCTTTGTGCTCATATTACCCCTTTCTTCCTCTCAAGAACTCTATAAAGCAGGTACTTCTATTATCCCCATTTTATAGATGAGGACATGGATGCACAAAGAGGTAACATGACTTACTTAAGATCTCAGCCAGTAAGTGACAGAGCCAGGACACAAACCTAGGCGATCTGATAGTAAGGCTGTACATTTCCCCTAATGCTATGATGCCTCCCACATTTTGAGGACTAGACCAGTGATTCCTAACCATTCTTTTTTCATTGGTCCCTCTGAAAATTGGGTGAAATCAACAAATCCTCTCCCCAGAAAAATGCCCATCTGTTCACAAGCACACAGAACATATTTAATTTCAAGGAGCTTGGGGACTCCCTGAAGCTCATCCCTGAAGCCCATGGAGCCCAGGTTAAGAGCTTCTATTGTGTAGGCTAGCACGCTCTCGGGAAGCAATTTGGCCTAGACCCCACCCAACTCATCATACCCCTTGCTTCCCCTGGGAGAGCTCACCCCCTGTGCTTTAGGCTACTCTCACAGCTGAAGTTCAGAATGCTCTAGGGCTTTGTAACCTGGCTTTGTAACCTGACACTTGTGACCTCATATTTGTCCCAACATACTATGTCCATGCCATCTCCTGCTGCACCAGGATGAGGTCTCTACTGGGCTAGCCCAGCCCTGGTCCAGAGAAGATAAGCTCAAAGATTGTTCACAAAGAGAGCAGGGCATAGTGCTTCAACTCCAGAAACAGGGAGGGAAATCAAGTTCCCTGGCAGAGCAAATAAAAACTGGTGATGCCCAAAAGCCAAGACTTGGAAGCAACCTAAGTGTCCATCAACAGGCAAATGGATAAAGAAAATGTGGTACATACACACAATGGAGCACTATTCAGCCATAAAAGAGTGAGATCCTGTCATTTCAATAACATGATAGAACTGGAGGGCATTATGTTAAGTGATATAAGCCAGGCACAGAAAGACAAACTTTACATGTTCTCACTTATTTGTGGGAGCTAGAAATGAATTCATGGAGAGAGAGAGAGTAGCAGGATAGTTACCAGAGGCTGGGAATGGTAGTGGGGAGTTGTGGGGGGGGAAGTGTGGATGGTTAATGGGTACAAAAAATAGAATAAGATCTAGTATTTGATAGCACAACAGTGTGACTATAGCCAATCATTTAATTGTACATTTTAAAATAACTAAAAGAGTGTCATTAGATTGTTTGTAATACAAGGATAAACGCTTGAGGTGACGGATACCCCATTTACCCTGATGTGATTTTTACACATTGTATACCTATATCAAAATATCCCATATGCCCCATAAATATATACACCTACTATGCACCCACAAAAATAAAAAGAAAACTGGTGATGCCAAGGGCTCCCCAAACAATGGCCAGAACTGGAAGTACAGTCAGGAAAGGATACAAGTGGACACAGGTGGAAACCTGCTCTGGGGGCATCTAGGGTGGGTGCTGTGGTTTGGCCTCCCCAACCAGACATTCAGATTTGAGCTGCTCCAGAGCGCTCAGCAGGAAAGACATGTGAGATTCACATTTGAACTCAGAATAGGTCGGGGAAAACCACATTTGCGGTTCATTCATTCTGTCAACAGATGGTATTTAGCATTTGTTTTTTGTTGTTGGTTTTTTTTTGTTTTGTTTTGTTTTTTGAGACGGAGTCTCACTCTGTTGCCCAGGCTGGAGTGCAGGGGCATGATCTCGGCTCACCACAGCCTCCACCTCCCAGATTCAAGCGATTCTCCTGCCTCAGCCTCCTGAGTAGCTGGGACTACAGATGTGCGCCACCATGCCTGGCTAATTTTTGTATTTTTAGTAGAGATGGGGTTTCACTATGTTGGCCGTGCTGGTCTCGAACTCCTGACCTTGTGATCCACCCACCTCGGCCTCCCAAAGTGCTGGGATTACAGCCGTAAGCCACTGCGCCTGGCCTGTTTTTCGTTGTTATTGTTGTTTTTGAGACCAAGTCTCATTCTGTTGCCCAGGCTGGAGTGCAGAGGTATGATCTTGTCTCACTACAACCTCTGCCTCCCGGGTTCAAGCGATTCTCGTGCCTCAGCCTCCCGAGTAGCTGGGATTACAGGCACCCGCCACCACACCCGGCTAATTTTTGTATTTTTAGTAGAGACGGGGTTTCACCATGTTGGCCAGGCTGGTCTCCAACTCCTGACCTCAGGTGATCCACCCACCTTGGCCTCCCAAAGTGCTGGGATTTATAGGCGTAAGCCACCGCGCCCGGACGGTATTTAGCATTTGTTTCCTTACCAAGCAGTTATCTGCCAGGCACTGTACTAAGTTAGCACTTTACAAATATCAACTCACTTAATTTTCACAAAACCATAATGAGATGAGTACTACTATTGTCCCCATTTTAGACACAGGAAACCTGAAGCACAAGAGAGATTAAGCGACTTGGCCAGTTACACAGCTAGTAAGTGACAGAGCCAGGACGCAAATCTAGGCGATCTGATAGTAAGGATGTACATTTCCCATAATGCTATGATGCCTCCCACATTTTCAGGACCAGATCTGTGATTCCTAACCATTCTTTTTTCATCAGCAGAGCTGGGACTCAAACTCAGGCAGTCAGGCCTGCAGCACCCATGCTCTGAACCACCGTCTTCTGCAGCTAGTGTGATCCAGAGGCTTGGCTAGTTACTGGCAATAGAGCAGTGAACAGGCCAGACATGATCTCTGCCTTCAAGGTGTTTACATTCTAGAGTGGCCCCTGAGTAGTCAACAGGCAATTCCATCAAGTTATGATGAGTTCCATGTTGGGGGTCCGGGAGGCTGTGAGTGGGCTCCATATTGGGCTGGGTTCTGGGCTTCAGAGCAGAAGCCAACAGGTTGTAGGGACACCTTTCTTGGGTTCAGGATCAAAGAGGCCAAACAGGAGTAGGGGAGCCATTTCTGATTGTGGGGCCTGCCTTTCAGCTCCCATTCTGAAGCTGGGAAACCAAACAGCTGTGAGTGAGTCTCACATCAGGAACAGAAGCAGCACAGGAACCAAACAAGCGTGGTCACTCCCGCCAGGGGTATCAGAACAGCAGATCCTACAGACCTGTTTCCTCATCAATCTCTCCTCGCAGAGACTACAAGCTCCCTGAGGGTAAGACCTAGGCCTGCCTTTCTCCCTCATTCTCTCAGTGCCCAGCACAAGGTTGGCACCTAATCAACACTCAGTAAACACAGTAGATGCTCAATAAATATTACTTGGATGAATGGATTAAATAAACATTTAATCTACTGTTACCCAGAACTTTACTCTTATTATTATTTTTTATTTATTTATTTTTTAAGACAGAATCTCGTTCTGTCGCCCAGGCTGGAGTGCAGTAGCATGATCTCGGCTCACTGCAACCTCTGCCTCCCAGGTTCAAGTGATTATCGTGCCTCAGCCTCCTGGGTAGCTGGGACTACAAGCATGTGCCACCACACCTGGCTAATTTTTTGTATGTTTAGTAGAGACGGGGTTTCACCATGTTGGCCAGGCTGGTCTCGAACTGCTGACCTCAAGTGATCCACCCGCCTCGGCCTCCCAAAGTGCTGGGATTACAAGCGTGAGCCACAACGCCCGGCCCGGAACTCTACTAGACTCTGGGGTATAGCAGTGAACAACAACAGAAAAAATCCCTGTCCCCACTAAACTTTTAGCTTATAGTGGGAGCACCAGACAATGAGCAAAATGAGCAAATATTTATATAGGGTTTTAGCGAAAAACTATAGGAGGAGAGGGGGATAGGAAGTATGAGGAGGCGATGAAATTTTAGATACAATGGTCAGCAAAATCCTCTGAGAAAATGACATTTTCTCAGACAAAATCAAGACCTGAAGGAAGTGAGGGTGGGCCGTTTGCAGATACCTGAGGAAAAAATGTCAAGGCAGGAATGTGCCTGGCATGTCTGAGGGCCAGGGAGGAGATCACTGTGGCTGGAGCAGAGTGAGCTGATAGGGACTGGAGTAGGAGTTGAGGTCAGAATGAATGAACAAGTGGAGACTGGGAATGGTACCAAGAAGCAGGGGAACCAAACCAGTTCCACAGCCAGAAGCCCTCCAAGTCCTGACTGGCCCCATGGGGAAAGGGAGAGGAGAGCCCCCACAAGAGTGCCTATTAACTCACACTCCTCCAGCTCCATTCCAAAGGCATGACTTGAGTCCCTACCCCATGCCCAGCCCTGAAACTCCTGGAAAAAAAGCAGGATATTCCTTGAACCTCCTCTTTCTCCTCAATTGGGAATAAGGGCTGAGCTGGCAGGAACAAGCTGAGATTGAGAATTGACCTGTAGAGCTTACACAGTCCACCCTTCCTCCAGAATATTCCATTTGTCCTTGGAGACAGCATGACGGAGCCATGATGGGCTCTGGCCATCTGTTCCCTCTGGTCCTTCTGAAAGAAAACACTTTCAGACCAGGCACCGTGGCTCATGCCTGTAATCCCAGCACTGTGGGAGGCTGAGGAGGGAGGATCATTTGAGGCCTGGAGTTTAAGACCAGCATGGGCAACATGGAGAAACCCTGTCCCTACAAAAAAAAAAGAAAAAAAAATATATATATATATATACTCTCTCTATATAGTATATATATAAGGTTGGTGCAAAAGTAATTGCAGTTTTTGTAACGTGATGGCAAAAGCCACAATTACTTTTGCACCAACTTAATATAAATATAGTTATATATATAATGCTTATACTTAAATATATAAAAGCCAGACGTGGTGGCACATGCCTGTTGTCCCAGCTACTTCGGAGGCTGAGGTTGGAAGGAACACGAGCCCAGGAGGTGGAGGCTGCCGTAAGCCAGCATCACACCACTGTACCCTAGTGTGGGCAACAGAGTGAGACCTTGTCTCAAAAACAAAAACAAAAACAAAAAACACTTCCAATTAGAGTCTTTAGACAGCACATTTCTTTGAAAGTTCCACTTTTCCACCCTCCTCCCTCACTCTGGCCCCACCACCAGAGGCAAAAAGAGTCACTGGCACTGCCCTCCTTTTGGGATCCCTGTGTCCAAGGAGGTGGGCCTGCACTGTCCCCAAAGAGTTCCAAGGTCAAACCCTCCATTATCTAAAAAATGGTTTGGGCCGAGCACGGTGGCTCATGCCTGTAATCCCAGCACTTTCGGAGGCCGAGGTGGGCAGATCGCCTGAGGTCAGGAATTCAAGACCAGCCTGGCCAACATGGTGAAATTCCATCTCTACTAAAAATACATCATTAGCCAGGCGTGGTGGTGGGCATCTGTAGTCCCAGCTACTTGGGAGGCTGAGGCAGGAGAATCGCTTGAATCTGGGCAGCAGAGGCTGCAGTGAGCTGAGATCGCGCCACTGCGCTCCAGCCTGGGCGACAGAGCGAGACTCCATCTCAATTAAAAAAAAAAAAAAAAGAATGGTTAGAAGGAACTCTTTAGACACTTTGGACACAAGCCCTTCACGATTTTTGTCTTACAAGTATGTTCACCTTCTCTGTAGCTTTTCTACCCTCGATAGCATCTTTTGATGAGCAGGTGCTTTTTTTTTTTTTTTTTTTTTTGAGAGGGAGTCTCGCTCTGTTGCCCAGGCTGGAGTGCAGTGGCACCATCTCGGCTCACTGCAATCTCCGCCTCCTGGGTTCAAGCGATTCTCTGCCTCAGCCTCCCGAGTAGCTGGGACTACAGGCGCCCGCCACCATGCCCGGCTAATTTTTGTTTTTGTTGTTGTTTTTGTTTTTTTTTTCTTTTAGTACAGATGGTGTTTCACCATCTTGGCCAGGCTGGTCTTGAACTCCTGACCTCACGATCCACCCGCCTCAGGCTCCCAAAGTGCTGGGATTACAGACATGAGCCACCGTGCCTAGCCTGAGCAGGTGCTCTTACACTGAATGCGGTATCCATCTTTTCTTTCATGGTTAGTGGTTTTGTCTTAAGAGGTCTTTCATTTCCCAGAGATAATGAAAATGTTTTTATTATTTTCTAGAAGTTTTACCACTTTGCTTTTTACATTTAGATCTCATTTACCTGGAATTGACTTTTGTGGATGATGAGAGGTAGGGGGTCAAGTTTTCTTTTTGCCATGGGAATAGACAATTGTCTTAGCAAAATTTATTACAAAAAAATTCTTTCCGGCCGGGCGTGGTGGCTCACACCTGTAATCCCAGCACTTTGAAGGCTGAAGCGGGTGGATCACCTGAGGTCAGAAGTTCGAGACCAGCCTAACCAACATGGTGAAACCCTGTCTCTACTAAAAATACAAAAATTAGCCAGGTGTGGTAGTGCGCGCCTGTAATCCCAGCTACTCAGGAGACTGAGGCACGAGAATCGCTTGAACCTGGGAGGCAAAGGTTGCAGTGAGCCGAGACCGCGCCATTGCACTCCAGCCTGAGTGACAAGAGCAAAACTCCATCTCGAAAAAAAAGAAAAAAGAAAAGAAAAAAATTATTTCCTCACTGAATAGCAGGGGCGCCTTTGCTGTACATCTAGTGACTGCACATGTGAGCCTGTTTCTGGACTCTCTATTGTTTCATTGATCTATTGTCCATCACTGGGCCAATACCATACTGTTTAAATTACTTTCAATATATAATAAAACAATATCTAGTAGAACAAGTCCTATCACCTTGTTCTTCAAGAGTGATATTGGACCTTTTCATTCTGTATAAATTTCACTCCTATTCTTGGACTTTCTCCTTGCTTTATAAATTTAAATTAGCTTGTCAAGTCTCCCCTGCCCCCTGCCCAGCACCACGTGGACATATGCACACGTGGACACACACACACAATTGTTGAGATTTTTATTGTGGTCTCACTGAATCTATAAATCAGTTTGTGGAGAACTGACACTTTAAAGCTATTGAGTCTTCCACATGAACACAGTGTATCATTCCATTTACTCAGGTTTTAATTTTTCTCAACGATATTTTATAGTCTTCTATGTAAAGGCCTGCATAATACTTCCTTAGATTTATCCTCAGGTATCTTTATGCTATTTTAATCATTTAATATGTCTAATTTTAAATGTTACGTTTCCAACTGCTGGTTACTTAGATACAGAATACAATTGGTTTTCTATATTAACCGCATGTCCAGCAACTTCTTTTTTTTTGAGACGGAGTCTTGCTCTGTCACCCAGGCTGGAGTGCAGTGGTGCAATCTCGGCTCACTGCAACCTCCGCCTCCTGGGTTCAAGCGATTCTCCTGCCTCAGCCTTCCGAGTAGCTGGGACTACAGATGCACACTACCACACCCAGCAAATTTCTGTATTTTTAGTAGAGATGAGGTTTAGTAGTGGCCAGGCGGTCTCGAACTCCTGACCTCGTGATCCACCCACCTCGGCTTCCCAACTGCTGGGATTACAGGCGTGAGCCACCGCAACTGGCCAACTTTTCTAAATTCATTTATCAATTCAAATATTTATTCTTCAGTTATTTTGGATATTCTATATACACAATCATGTTTTCTACAAATAATGATGTTGTTATTTCTTCCAAGTCTTTAAACGTTTTGTTTCCTTTTCTTCTCATTGCACTGGCTAGGATTCCCAGTACCATGGTAATAAAGGGAATCTTTGTCTCATTTCCAACTTCAGGAGGCAAGCTTTTAAGTATGCTTGCTGTAGGATTTTTTAATAGATGCCATTAATCATAATTTAAAAGTTTTCTTCTATTCCTAGTTCATTTCCATGTGTATCCTTACAATTAATCCCTCTCATTTTCTAACATTCAAAAGAGCCTAATTAAAACAATGATAAATGTGTCACTTTCTTTTAAATATTAATACCTCATATATTTTTCTTAAAAAAAAACTTTTTAAAACTAGAGACAGGGTCTCACCATGTTGCCTAGGCTGCTCTCGAACTCCTGGGCTCAAGCGATCCTCCTGCCTTGGCCTCCCAAAGTGCTAGAATTACAGGTATGAACCACCCTGCCTGGCTCCCACATTTTTCTTAATTTTTAATTGACACATAATAACTGTACATATTATGGGATACAATGTGATGTTCTGATACATGTATACAATGTGTAATGATCAAATCAGGGTAATTAACATATCCATCACCTCAAATATTTATCATTTGTATGTGATAACACTCAAAATCCTTTCTTGTATTTTGAAATATACATTATTGTTAACAATAATCATCCTATTGTGTAACAGAACATCAGAACTTATTCCTCCTAATTGTAACTTTGTACCTATTGACCAATCTCTGCCATCCCTCCTTCCCCCTCCCCAGGCTATAGTAACCACTGTTCTATCCTCTACTTCTATAAAATCAACTTTTTTTTACATTCAATATGAGTGAGATTATGGGGTATTTCCCTTTCTGCGTCTGGCTAATTTCACTTAACATAATGTCCTCTAGGTTCATCCATGTTGTTACAAATGATGGGATTTCATTTCTTTTTATGGCTGAATAATATTCCATCGTGTATATGTATATATATGCGCGTGTGTATGTATGTGTATATATACACACATACACACATATATATATATGAACTGGGATTGCTGTATCATATGGTAGTTCTATTTTTAATTTTCTGAGGAACATCCCATACTGTGTTCCATAATGGCTGTAGCAATTTACATTTCCACCAGCAGTATGTAAGGGTTCCCTTTTCTCCACATCCTCGCCAACCCTTACCTTTTGTCTTTTTGATAATAGCCATTCTAACTAAAGTGAGGTGATATCTCCCTCACATCACCTCACTTTGATTTGCATTTTCCTGATTAGTGATGTTCAGCATTTTTTCATATACTTGTTGGCCATTCTGTATGCCTTCTTTTCAGAAATGTCTATAAAGGTATTTTGCCCGTTTAAAAATCAGATTGAGGCCAGGTGCGGTGGCTCACGCCTATAATCCCAGCATTTTGGGAGGCTGAGGCGGATGGATCGTTTGAGGTCAGGAGTTCAAGACCATCCTGGCCAACATACCCCGTCTCTACCAAAAATACAAAAATTAGCCGGGCATTGGTGGTGCGCACCTGTAATCCCAGCTACTTGGGAGGCTGAGGCCTGAGAATCACTTGAGCCCGGACGGTGCAGGTTGTGGTGAGCTGAGATCGCACCACTGCACTCCAGTCTGGGTGACAGAGTGAGACCCTGTCTCAAAAAAAAAAAAAAAAAAAAAATCAGATTAAGGCCGGGCACGGTGGCTCACACCTGTAATCCCAGCACTTTAGAAGGCCAAGGCAGGTGGATCACCTGAGCTCAGGAGTTCAAGACCAGCCTGGCCAACACGGTGAAACTCCGTCTCTACTAAAAATACAAAAATTAGCTAGGCATGGTGGCGGGTGCCTGTAATCCCAGCTACTTGGGAGGCTGAGGCAGGAGAATCGCTTGAACCTGGGAGGGTGAGGTTGCAGTGAGCCAAGACCGTGCCATTGCACTCCAGCCTGGGCAACAAGTGCAAAACTCCATCTCAAAAAAAAAAAAAATCGGATTGAGTTTTTGCTATTGAGTTTGAATTCCTTATACAGTCTGGATATTAACCCCTTGTCAGATGTAGAATTTGCAAATATTTTCTCTCATTATGTAGGTTATATCTTCACTCTGTGGACTGTTTCCTTTGGTGGACAGCTTTTTAGTTTGATGTAATCCTACTTGTCTATTTTTGCTTTTGAGTTCATATGAAAAAAAAAAAAAAAAAAACCTTGCCCAGCCCAATGTCATAAAGCATTTCCCTTTTCTTCTAGCTGTTTCAGTTTCAGATCCTACATTTAAGCCTTTAATCCACTGGGTTAGTTTTTGTATATGGTGAGAGAGAGGGGTCTGGTTTTATTCTTCTGCATATAGATATGCAGTTTTCCCAGCAACATTTATTGAAGAGACTGTCCTTTCCCTAATGTGTGTTATTGGCGCTTTTGTTGAAAATCTGTTGGCTATAGATGCGTGGATTTATTTCTGGGCTCACTATTCTGTTTCATTGATCGATGCATCCCAGCAACTCGGGAGGCTGAAATATGAGAGTTTCTTCAGCCTGGGAGGCAGAGGTTACAGTGAGCTGAGATCGCGCCAATGCACTCCAGCGTGGGAGACAGAGTAAAACTGTCTCAAAAAAAAAAAAGCACCGATTCCATCTGGTTGTTTTCAAAAGGAAAAATTAATTGTATTTCTCTGAAAATGAAAATGACTGTTTTGGGAAACTCTAAGTTTACCATCCCTGGAGACTTTAAAGCAAAGGCTGGACCAGTATGTGTCTAGGAGGCTACACAGGAAATTCCTGCACACAAGAGAAGGTTAGAGGGTATGACATCTAAGGTCTTTTCTAAACTTCAGTGATGAAGATCCTGTGACTCTGCATTTCTATAAATCCTATCATTGGGCCAGGCACAGTGGCTCATGCCTGTAATCCCAGCACTTTGGGAGTCCAAGGCAGACAAATCACCCGAGGTCAGGAGTTTGAGACCAGCCAGGCCAACGTGGTAAAACTCCATCTCTACTAAAAATACAAAAATTAGCCGGGGGTGGTGGCACGCACCTGTAATCCCAGTTACTTGGGAGGGTGAGGCAGGAAAATCACTTGTACTCAGGAGGCGGAGGTTGCGGTGAGCCGAGATCGTGCCACCGCACTCCAGCCTGGGTGACAGAGTGAGACTCCATCTCAAAAAAATAAATAAATAAATCCTATTATTGTACTGCTTCTGCACCAGATCCCATTCCCTCCTGCCTACTCAAGTATATTGCTTCAGTTATTTTCTCTCTCCTGCATTATCAGTTTTTACTTCTCTCTTGGATTTTTCCTTATCAGCATTCAAATATGCTGTTATTTCTCCCATCTTGAAAATACTGTTAATCTTACTTCCCCCTCCAAATACCACCCCCTTTCTCTTCTTCCCTTTCATAGCAAAACTCCAAAAAAAAGTACCTATATTCACTACCTCCAATTCCTCTTCTTTCATTGTCTCTTGAACTCAGTCCTGCTAGCCTTTCGCTTATGCCACTCCATTCAAACACCTTGTAAAAGTTACCAATGACCTCCCCATTGCTAAATGCAGTGGTCATTTCCAAGTCCTCATCTTGTCTGTGGCATTTGGCAGATGATCATTTCCTCCTCCTTTAAACACAGGCTGGTCATTTGTCTATTTGCTCTCAGACTCATTCCCCGCTTCTCAAACTCCTGACCTCAAGTGATCCACCTGCCTCAGCCTCCCGAAGTTGCTGGGATTACAGGCGTGAGCCACCGTGCCTGGCCCCATTCCACTCTTCCCCTGCTCTGCTATGTGCAGCAGACAACATTTCCCAGGCTCCTTTCCCTCCTGACTTCCTGAGAGGTTTGGCCTGTGAATGGGAATCTTTGGCAGAAGACTGGAAAGCAAGAGAAGGGAAGAAGCCAGGGTATTTCCTCCCTTTCTCTCTGTTTTGAGCGTCATCTCCAGCATAGACTGTTATCTCTTCTGTGGCTCCCACTAGATAGTCACTCCCTCCATGGACCAAGCTCCTGCTGGGCTGGTGTTCCTGCTTCTGCTGGGTGGTCCTTGATCCCGGACTTGGGTAATACCACCTTCTGCTTTTGTCCCTCCAGCCCTAGAGGTGAAGTAGCTTCCTGCTGTTGCTAAATCTCTGGATCAATTCATCATCCCTTCCTGGGATTCTAAGGTCTTCTATCCCCTGAGTACCAGTTCCTCATGTTAAATTCTGTTTACAACTCTGAATACGTTTTGTTTTCTTTTTTTCTTTTTTAAAACGGTTGTTCGCTCTTGTTGCCCAGGCTGAAGTGCAATGGTGTGATCTTGGCTCACCACAACCTCCGCCTCTCGGGTTCAAGCAATTCTCCTGCCTCATCCTCCCGAGTAGCTGGGATCACAAGCATGCACCACCACGCCCGGCTAATTTTGTATTTTCAGTAGAGACGGGGTTTCTCCACGTTGGTCAGGCTGGTCTCGAACTCCCGACCTCAGGTGATCCACCTGCCTCAGCCTCCCAAAGTTGTTTTCTGTTTTCTTAACTGGACCTCGAGTCATGTAAAACACTTGCTTCTCTTCACTCTCAGTTTTACTCTGTCTTCATCCAGCCTTAGTAGCCATTCCTTTGCAGTCTTTTTTGCTGATTTCTCCTCCTCTCTTGACCATTAAATGATGCCCCAGGACTCAATCCTTGGACTTATTCCCTTTGCTATCTGTATTTAGATCTTTGGCAATTTCATCCTGTCTCATGGCTTTAAGTAACATCTATATACTGACAACTCCCAAATTTATATTTCTAGCTAGACCTTCCCAGTTGAGCTGACTACATATCCAACTGCCTACCTGACAACTCCACTTAGTCAACAGACATTTCAAACATAACATGTTCAAAATGGTGCTTGGCTTTCCCTTGAAAGCTGTTCTTCCCCATCTCAGTAAATGACACTTCAATTTGCCCAGTTATTCTAGCCACAATTGAGGAGTTATCCTTGATTCCCCTCTTCCCCTCACTTCTCACACCAAATCTATCACCCAGTCCTCATAGGAAAACCTCCAAAACACATCTCAAATCCATTCACTTTCTCCAATTCTTCTTTTACTACCCTGGTCCAACCATTCTCACCTCTCACCTGGACTACCGCCATGGTCTCCTAATTGGTCTCTCTGCTTCCATTCTGCCTCCCAAAAAGCCACTCTCCATGCAGCAGCTAGAATGGCTTTTTTTTTTTTTTTTTTTTTGAGACAGAGCCTTGCTCTGTTGCCCAGGCTGGAGTGCAGTGGCACAATGTCGGCTCACTGCAGCCTCTGTCTCCCGGGTTCAAGCGATTCTCACGCCTCAGCTCCAGAGTAGGTGGGACTACATATAGGTGTGTGCCACCACACCCGGCTAATTTTTTTATTTTTAGTACAGGTGGGGTTTCACCATGTTGCCCAGGCTGGTCTTGAACTCCTGACCTCAAGTGATCTGCCTGCCTCAACCTCCCAAAGTGCTGGGATTATAAGCGTGAGCCACCGCACCCAGCCTCGAATGACTTTAAAACATAAATTGGCTGGGCACGGTGGCATATGTCTGTAATCCAGCACTTTGAGAGGCCAAGGCAGGAGGATCACTTGAGCCCAGGAGTTCAAGACCAGCCAGGGCAACCTAGTGAGAAAAAAAGGACAGGACAGGACAGGACAGGACAGGACAGGACATGACAGGAAAAAGGGAAGGACAGGAAAAAGAAAAAGGAAAGGAAAGGAGGAATTTCTTTCTACAAAAAATAGAAAAAATTAGCCAGGCGTGGAAGCACGTGCCTGTAGTCCCAGCTACTACTTGGGAGGCTGACGTAGGAGGATTGCTTGAGCCCAGGAAGTTGGGGCTACAGTGAGCTATGATGGTGCCACTGCACTCCAGCCTGGGCAACAGAGACCCTATCTCAAAAAAAAGAAAAAAAAAACCTATAAATCATATCATGTTACTCCTCTGCTTAAAAGCCTTCAATCAATAACTTCTCACTGTATTTTTAAGAACCAAAATCCTTATTCAGGCCTGCAAGGCCCTACATGGCCTGGTTTCTGCTCACTCCTCTGACCTCGCCTCCTTCCACTTGCTTGCTTTCTCTTACTCACTACAACCTAGTCACACTGGCCTTATTTCTGTTCCTCCAACATGTAAACTTATTCCCTTTGTAGGGCCTTTGTCCTTTCTAATGCCATCATCACCTGGAACGCTTTCCCCTGATCCTTATATGGCTGGCTCATTCAGATCCTTCAGGTCTTATGTGGCTCAGTGTCCCCTCCTCAGAGCCCATCCTTGATTACTCATCACTCGCTATCATATCACACTATTTTCGTAGATAATTTTCTTGTTCACTTGTTCATCTGTCACCCCTGCCCTCAGAATGTGAGCTGCTTTGTTCTCTACTATGCCCCCAGCTCCTAGTGCAATATCTGGCATATAATAGATACTCAATGTATACTAGTTGAATGACTAAAAGTAGATTAGCCTTAAGTAGGAAGAGGGGGATCTCTTCCTCTGAGATTTGAAAGAGAAAAAGATGGAGGCAGACACAACTAAGTGTGCCCTTAAGTTGCTGGTGCTTTGGAGATCCCTCTCTGGTCATCTACCAAGAGAGAGAGCTTGCAGGGAGAGGCTTGAAGAAAGCAGCTGTAAACTGTTCCTTAGGGAAACAGGAGAGTTGCTGACCCAAAACATACATTAGGATTGACTAGCTGTGGTAAGAACCCATCTGACACTGGAACCATAAATTCACAGTGCCAAATATCCACTCATTGACAAGACATGAACACTCAACTATTTGGGTAAGACATCAGACAAAACATATTGTAGGACTGATTCTAAATTGAGAGTTTGTAGGACAGATGTTATAGTTTTAAAAGAAGGTAAGATCTACAATAGCACCGGAAAAATGAAGTACTTAGGTATAAATTTAAACAAAATATCTGCAGGACCTATACACGAAAAAAATAACAAAACACTGATGAAAGAAATCAAAGATCTAAACAAATGGAAAGTGGAAAGATACACTTTGCTCATGGGTTGGAAGATGTAATATTATTAAGATGTCAATTCTCCCCAACGTGATTTTTCGATTTTACACAATCCCAATCAAAATCCCAGAAAGAATACTGGAGATACCAACAAGCCAATTCTAAAATGTATACTGGAGGCCGGGAGCAGTGGCTCACACCTGTAATCCCAGCACTTTGGGAGGCTGAGGTGGGTGGATCACTTGAGGTCAATTCGAGACCAGCCTGGCCAATATGGTGAAACTCCGTCTCTACTAAAAATACAAAAATTAGCCAGGCGTGGTAGCATACACCTGTAGTCCCAGCTACTCAGGAGGCTGAGGCAGGAGAATCTCTTGAACCTGGCAGGTGGAGGTTGCAGTGAGCCGAGATTATGCCACTGCACTCCAGCCTGGACGACAGAGCGAGACTCTGTCTCAAAAAAAAAAAAAAAAATTAACAACCACACAAAAAAATCAAATAATCTAATTTTAAAATGATCAAAAGAACTTGAATAGACATTTCTCTAAAGATGATATACAAATGGCCAACAAGCATATGAAAAAATGCTCAACAGCACTAATCATTAGAGAAATGAAAAAAAAAAAAAGAACCTACAATGAGATATCACCTCACATCCATTAGGATGATTACTATTAAAAAAATAAAAATAAAAAAATAACAAGTGTTGGTGAGGATGTGGAGAAATTAGAGCCTTGGTGTATTGTTGATAACATTGTAAAATGTGGCCGGGCGCAGTGACTCACGCCTGTAATCCCAGCATTCTGGGAGGCTGAGGTGGGCAGATCACTTGAGGTCAGGAGTTTCAGACCAGCCTGGCCAACATGGTGAAACTCCATCTCTACTAAAAATACAAAAATGAGCTGGGCATGGTGGCACACACCTGTAATCCCAGCTACTTGGGAGGCTGAGGTGAGAGAATCACTTGAGCCCAGGAGGCAGAGGTTGCAGTGAGCTGAGATCGCACCACTGCACTCCAGCTTGGGTGACAGAGTGAGACTCTGTCTCAAAAACAAACAAAAAAAGATTGTAAAATGGTACAAGTGCTGTGGAAAACAGTATGTATGGAGGTGCCTCAAAAAATTAAAAATAGAACTACCAGCAATTTCACTTTTGGGTATATATCAGAATTGAAAGCAGGGTCTCAGAGATATTTGCACACTCATGTTCATTGTGCTACTATTCCACAATAGCAAGGGGTGGAAGCAACCCAAATGTCCATTGACGGATGAATGGATAAACAAAATGTGGTATAGACATACAAGGGAACATTACTCAGCCTTAGAAAGGAAGGTGTTCTTCCTTTCTAATGATTCAACATTGAGGACATTATGCTAAGTGAAATAAGCCAGTCACAAAAAGTTAAATGTTGTATCATTCCACTTACATGAGATATCTAAAGTAGTCAAATTCATAAAAACACAAAGTAGAATGGTGTTACCAGGGGTTGTGGGGAGAGAGAAAGGGGGAGTTGTTACTTAATAGGTATAGAGTTTCAGATTTACAACATGAAAAAGTTCTGGAAATCTGTATCACAACAATTCAAATATACTTAACACTACTGAACTACACAATTAAAAATGGTTAAGATGGGCCAGGCACGGTGGCTCACGCCTGTAATCCCAGCACTTTGGGAAGCCAAGGCAGGCAGATCACAAGGTCAGGAGTTTGAGACCAGCCTGGCCAACATGGAGAAACCTCATCTCTACTAAAAATACAAAAACTAGCCGGGCATAGTGGCAGGCGCCTGTAATCCCAGCTACTTGGGAAGCTGAGGCAGGAGAATCGCTTGAACCTGGGAGGCAGAGGTTGCAGTGAGCCGAGATTGCGCCATTGCACTCCGGCCTGGGCTATGACAGCAAAACTCCGTCTCAAAAAAAAAAAAAAAAAGAAAAAGAAAAAAAAGAAAGGTTAAGATGGTAAACTTTATGTGTTTTTTACCACAGTTTAAAAAAAAAAAAAAAGGAAAACAGTATGTTCCACACCATCTGCCATTAGGGAAATGCAAATTAAAATTACAAGATACCATGAAGAAACTGTTGCAAATTAGAGACCAAGGAGACATGGGCAGAGTGACATGGAACCTAAAATGGCTCAGGCAACCTAGTTTTTTAAAAATCTTTTCAATTTATCTTAAAAAATAAAGTGACATTTCCAAATGTCACTAATTAATAGAGAACATTTTGCAACATTTTAATGTTTTGTCATACTTGATAATTTGCAAAAACAAAAACAAAAATATGATAAGACTCTCCAAAATGTCAACATGGCTCTTCATACCAACAGCAAAACGCTGTATTTCCTGTTAAAATACAAGTTAATAAAGAAAATAGAGAAACTAAATACTAACATATCATGTTATTTTAATAACTATTTAAATATGAGGTGTGGTGGCTCACACCTGTAATCCCAGCACTTTGGGAGGCTGAGGCAGGTGGATCACAAGGTCAGGAGATGGAGACCATCCTGGCTAACACAGTGAAACCCCGTCTCTACTAAAAAAAAAAATACAAAAATTAGCCGGGCATGGTGGCAGGTGCCTGCAGTCCCAGCTACTCGGGAGGCTGAGGCAGGAGAATGGCGTAAACCCGGGAGGCGGAGCTTGCAGTGAGCCGAGATCGTGCCACTGCACTCCAGTCTGGGCGACAGAGCGAGACTCCATCTCTAAAAAAAAAAAAAAAAAAAAGAGTAAAACATAATGAAAAGCATATGCTTGCTTGGTGCTAATGACGTTTTACAGTCTTATAGATGAAGCAACATGTGTAATTTCAACCAGATGTTGAAATGGTTTAGGATTAGTATCTAAAGACAAGTATTTCAGAAAATATGTAGAAAGGTAACCATACACTTGCTACAGGGGGTCCTCTATGCAACTGTCTTGACTTTGCACTTTATTTTTCAAAATGAAATTATAATCTGTTCTGAATAACATATATGTTTTAAGTTCATAGAGGGAGTTCAGCATAGTTAAGAGCTCAGGTTTTAGAGTCAGATTTTTGGCTTTATTGCTTACTGGGCTATAGGATCTTGAGAAACTTAAAACTCTCTGAGCCTCGGAGTACTCATTTCTAAAACAAGGATGGTAACAGTTAATCCTGTCCCGTAGGATGTCGTGTTGTTTAGATTAAGATAATACCTGTAAAGTGCTTTCCATGGCATCCAACACATAGTAAGTGCTCAATAAAAGGTAGCTAGTATTATTGTTGCTATTCTTACTACTATTTTTTCATTATTACTGTTAATAAAATAATCACCCTTCAAATCTAAAAACAAAATAAAATAGGTTTAGAGGAAGTGAGCACATGAGAGTAGCAAGGATAGGTTGTGGTCAGAGAGCAGAGTACTGGATTTCAGAGGTGGAGTGGATGACATCCAGGCTGTGGTATGGGAGTTTGTGGCTAAAGTGCAGGAAAGGTAAAGGTCACTGTCTGGAGTTGAGGTTAAGGAACTGTAAGGTTATGGTTTCTCATCCACATGACGGTTAATTATCTCTCAGAATGAGGACGGGAAACAAGGTAGAGAGGAAGAATTGGTTGCGAAGACTTCACTGGATACAGGAAAATAACTGGGAAGAAGGTAACACAGCCCCATCCTGGGCCTTCCTGGGACCCCCACCCCTCTTTTTCCCAGTTCTTGCTAGCTCACATCTAACCTACTTTGCCTTGCAAATAAGGAGATCAGAAAAAAAGCAAAACAAACAAACAAACCAAACAAAAACAAAAACATACAAACAAAAAAAAACCTGCCCTACTATCCTACTATCATCTCCCGGTAGCACCTCACGAACCTGCCTTGGGCACCTACTAAGTGCAACTTTTTGTAGATAATACAAGAAGGTTAACACAACTCCTGTCCCAACACCTTTTAATACAGTTGAATGGATAAAAACATGGATACAAACACATGGATATAGGTATCATTGAAGCAGTGTGACATAAAATAACATCTATATATACAACACTCCTCTGCAAATAACAAATGTAAAGTAAAAGATACCCAACAAATCATTTTGTTTATCTTGCTATCATTTCTTAATCTATAACGTCTCCCTCCCATGTATCCATGCAAGGAAGCAGTATCAGCTGCCCGACTAGAGGGTAGCTCCCTCCCTTGGGTTACTTTTTTTTTTTTTTTTTTTTGTAGAGACAGAGTCTCACTCTGTCGCCCAGGCTGGAGTGCTGGAGTACAGTGGTGCAATCTCAGCTCACTGCAACCTCCACCTCCCGAGTTCAAGCAATTCTCCTGCCTCTGCCTCCCAAGTAGCCGTGACTACAGGGGTATGCCGCCACACCTGGCTAATTTCTTTTGTATTTTAGTAGAGACAGGGTTTCACCATGTTGCCCAGGCTGGTCTCAAACTCCTGAGCTCAGGCAATCTGCCCGCCTCTGCCTCCCAAACTGCTAGGATTACAGGCGTGAGCCACCGTACCCGGCCACCCTTGGGTTACTTGAGACCCTACTTTCATTTGGATCTGAGCTGTCCTACCCACTCACTGCAATCTGGCTTTTCCTTCTTTGAGTATAAAGTCGATACGGGATGGCTCGCCTACAGCTTCAGTGTTTGAAGTAAAGAAAGCTTTATGCAGATTCTGGCTTTTAATGGGTCTCCTCTGACAGTAGAAAGATTCAAACCACAGCCAATTCCAAGAACCCTTCTAAGAACAGAGACAGAGTCACTTCAAAGGATCTGACTTGCTATACCTAAATATAATTCATGGTGCTTTTCCTATGACACACCATAATATTTTGTCCAAAAATCTTGCAACATGTTATTAACTTTGAAGAAAGAATAAAAGCAGCCACTTTAGAGACTGGAGACACTCAAGCACTCATCTATTCATAAAGTTTCTACACAGCTGAAGAAGTTTGCATCAAGTGGACAAAAAATAGTACAGAAAACCTAAATACAGAAAAATTCAGAAAACTCCATCTCCTAGAAAGCAGGGCAAGGCTGGGCACGGTGGCTCACTCCTGTAATCCCAGCACTTTGGGAGGCCTAGGTGGGTGGATCATTTGAGGTCAGGAGTTGGAGACCAGCCTGGCCAACATGGTGGAACCCGTCTCTACTAAAAATACAAAAATTAGCCAGGCGTGGTGGCACATGCCTGTAATCCCAGCTACTCAGGAGGCTGAGGCAGGAGAACTGCTTGAACCCGGGAGGCGGAGGTTGCAGTGAGCCGAGATCGCACCACTGCACTCCATCCTGGGCGAAAGAGCAAGACTTTATCTCAAAAAAAAAAAAAAAAAAAAGAAAGCAAGTTAAATGGACTCAGTTAAAGACCTCACTGAATGTAGGAGAATCAATGGGAAACAACGTAAAGCCTTCTGCTAGGGCATAAATAGGAATCCGTCTATGTAATCAAGAAATTACTTTGCCTCCTGATCTAAATGCTTGCCTCTAGTCTAGGGCTTAGAAAAAGGCCTGGTTATTTGAACTGGTTGTCAATCAAGGTCCCCTTCATTTTCGCTTTCTTGGCTTCCAATTCAGCCTAGAAAGAAAAAAAAAGCATATGTCTTGATACATGACATGAAATTATTTTCCTTCCTTATTCTAACCAACCCAAACACTCTCCCTTAATGTTCATTTAGTGTACAAACTAGAATCATGGTTCCCAAATCATTATATACCTCTAACATCTACTTTCCAACCTTTCTGATGTTATAGCACATACACAAAAAATGCTATTTGTAGGCAAAATGGGCAAAAAGACAAGGCTGTGGCCACAGGAAATCAGCGCAGGGATTCCAGCAGCCCCAGCGCCCCCCACAGGCTGAGGGAACCAATACTGTGGCATACCAGTATGCTATTCTTGGCAGAACAGGAAGAACATCATTCTACAACAGTGCTACTTAAAGTTATATGGTCTATGAACTATTTGTTATTGGTCCACACAAAATATGTACAAAAATGGATAGTAAGCATTTAGAAGCTTTTATAGCAATTTGACACAATAGTAATTTTTAAAATCTGATAAAAATTGAGACAATTCATTTTTATTGTATTTTATAAATTACAAATCTGTTCATGGAAATTTGAAAAAAGGAAAGCACTGGTCTTTCTGCCTTTGAAAGGTTGAGAAGCACTGTTCTAAACGACTATGGCAAGGTAAAGCAGCTCCCAGGACCCACCACTTCTGTCACCAAAAACTCACTACAGACACAAAGAGACTGGTATACCTTTGGATGAGACACCAACATAGTGATATCTGATTTTGATGAAATATTTTAAGTAATTGTCAAAAAAAAATACATAGGCACCATCATACACAGATCCATATGCTCTAAGATGAGCCCATGAATAGTGCAGAAAACCACCAGTGCTTTAAGAAGCAATGACCAGCCCCAATCCTGGTACTACCAAGGTAGCCCTATCATGTGCCATTACATCCTGGGACAACGTCCAGAAACCCTGACCTTTAACTCCTGATCTTGGACCACAAGAAGCAGATTAAAATATCATCCTGGCCTGGCGTGGTGGCTCACGCCTGAAATCCCAGTACTTTGGGAGCCCGAGGCGGGCAGATCACCTGAGGTCAGGAGTTCGAGACCAGCCTGGCCAACATGGTGAAACCCCATCTCTACTAAAAATACAAAAATTAGCCAGGTGTGGTGGCACGTGCCTGTAGTCCCAGCTACTCAGGAGGCTGAGGCAGGAGAATCCCTTGAACCCGGGAGGCGGAGGTTGCAGTGAGCTGAGACCACGCCACGGCACTCCAGCCTGGGCGACAAAGTGAGATTCCAGCTCCAAAATAAATAAATAAATAAAATAAAAATAAAATACAGAAAATAAAATATCATCCTAGTTAGGGCTATAACAAGTATCATCATTTAAGGCCTAGATCCTGGGGTCACTACTACAGAGTAGGGTATACTGACAGTCACAGACCAGGGTTATAAAACTGGCAGCCAACTACTCTAAAACCTCCCAACAGATTTCCTAAAAGATTTCCCTGCCTGCTGAAAGGTCTTTCAGACCAAGACATCCAAATGATAGGGCCCCAGCACCTTGCTACCCCTTGCTACTCACCAGCTCTTGCAGTCGCCTCTTGCTCATGCCTTTGCGCTCCAGCTGTTTTTCAATCACTTTGGCATTCTGTGCATATGAGTCAGCAACTTCCCTCTGAAGGAAAAAAGGAGCATCCTTAAACCGGAAGTCTCACCAAGGAATAACAACAAAGACGTTAAGTCATAATGTATACTACTCAAATCATGAAATCATGACTAAAATGGCAGGACTCTGTTCCTTTTCCATTCTCCATCTTTTCAGTAATCCAGGAGCACTTAGGGTATTTTGTTTGATTGCTTGTTTGTTTGTTTGTTTTGAGACAGAGACTGACTCTGTTGCCCAGGCTGGAGTGCAGTAGCACAATCTTGGCTCACTGCAACCTCCACCTCCCGGGTTCAAGTGATTCTTCAGTAGCATTTACGTTTTAACCAAAACATATGTAAAACAGCAGATGACATCTTGCCATCAATATCGTTATACTGAAGAACCATAAAGGTAATTGCTACTACTACTGAGGACAGACTCACAAACCACGAGTTGGGCTGGAAGGAAACTGAAATCTTTCAGTCCAGTAGTTTCTCAAATTAAGAGGGATGAGCACTTTGCCCTCTAAGGCATCTCTAAAAATAGCATGGAGGAAAAAATCACTGATCTCATTCAACATCCAACTCCTTCGTTTTCATTTTACAGATGTCCCTGAGATTCAAGGAAACAGGAACTGGCTCACTGTCAGAGTTTCTTTTCTTTTCTTTTTTTTTTTTTTTTTTTTTTTTTTTTTTGAGACAGAGACCCGCTCTGTCCCCAGGCTGGAGTGCACTGGCGCAATCTCGGTTCACTGAAGCCTCCACCTCCCGGGTTCAAGCGATTCTCATGCCTCAGCCTCCCGAGTAGCTGGGATTACAGGCGCGCACCAACACGCCCGGCTAATTTTTTGTATTTTTAGTAGAAACGGGGTTTCACCATGTTGGCCAGGCTGGTCTTGATCTCCTGACCTTATGATCCGCCCGTCTCGGTCTCCCAAACTGCTGGGATTACAGGCGTGAGCCACCACACCCAGCCCATAGTTTCTTATCAGCAGAGCAGGGTCTAAAAGTGAAGTCTCTAATATTTCCACTACTCCAAGGCTCCCGCTCTAGAGTCCCCTTTCCTCGTACCCTTCTCCCCAAATTCCAGTTTCCTTAAGACCAGAGACACTTACAGCCTCAATCTCCTCTTCCTCTTCATCAATGGTAGACACGGTGACAGAACTGAACTTGCCCATGTCTTTGGTCCGTTTGGTCATCATCACCTGGAGTGGCAGGCAAGAAGAAGTCAGTCCGGTTCACCAAAACAGGATCCATGAGCCGTGAGTGTGTGCGCACACGCCTGTGTGAGGGGCTGTGGGTATTGGGGGAAACACTACCTCTTTGGGACAGGATGACCTATTTAAAAGTGCCAATGTTTTTATTTACATATTTTTCTAACATTTGCCATCAAAGGCTCTTATTTTTTTTTAATTTACTTTATTTTTTTGAAATAGCATCTCACTCTGCTGCCCAGGCTGGAATACAGTGGCACAATCATAGCTCACTGCAACCTCAAACTCCTGGGCTCAAGTGATCTTCCTGCCTCAACCTCCCACGTAGCTAGGATTACAGGCATATGCCCCCACGCCTGGCTAATTTTACATTTTTGTAGAGACTGGGTCTCGCAAAAAAAAAAAAAAAAAAAAAAAAAAAAGAAGGACAGAAGGTATAAAAAAGCATCCTTAACGCTTAATGTCTCAGGCTTGTATCCAACTCCTGGCCTCAGGCAATCCTCCTGCCTTGGCCTCCCAAAGTGCTAGGATTACAGGCGAGAGACACTATGCATGGTCCATCATGGGTTCTTAAAATTTATTTTTAATTACTTTTTTTTTTTTGAGATGGAGTCTCACTATTGTTGCCCAGCCTGAAGTGCAATGGTGCAATCTTGGCTCCGTAACCTCTGCCTCCTGGGTTCAAGCGATTCTCCTGCCTCAGCCTCCTGAGTAGCTGGGATTACAGGCATGCACCACCATGCCCAGCTAATTTTGTATTTTTAGTAGAGACGGGGTTTCTCCATGTTTGTCGGGCCGGTCTCGAACTCCTGACCTCAGGTGATCCGCCCACCTCGGCCTCCCAAAGTGCTGGGATTACAGGAGTGAGCCACTGCACCCGGCCAATTAATTTTTTTTAAGAGACAGGGTCTTACTGTCACCCAGGCTGGAGTGCAGTGGCACAATCATAGCTGACTGTAACCTCAAACTCCTGGGCTAAAGTGATCCTCCCGCCTCAGTCTCCTGAATAGCTAGAACTATAGGTGAATACCATCACACCCAGCCAATTTACTTTTTTTTGTAGAGATAGGGTCTCGCCGTGCTGCCCAGGCTGGTCTCAAACTCCTGGCCTCAAGTGATCCTCCCACTTCTGCCTCCCAAAGTGCTGGGATTACAGGCATGAGCCACCATGCCCAGCTTGGAATATATTTTTTAATTAGCCTAATTCATTGTTTTTAATTGTTCAAAAAAAAATTTGTAAAATAACACATGATATCTCTCCATAAAAAGAAGAAAATTTGAAGGAAATTAATGTGAGTAAAAACCATACAATTTCTAACCTTAGTCATGAGGCAACTGTAGGAAAGAGAGAACACATAACAGGTGTTACAATTACATAGCATCTGTTTATACACAAAAATGGCACCCGATTAATAAAGAATGCATCCATACACATGCTTGAGGGGATGAATACCCCATTTTCCATGATGTGATTACACATTGCATACCTGTATCAAAATATCTCATGTACCCCATAAATATGTGCATCTATATACCCCCCAAATCGTTTTTAACTTTTAAAAAATAAAAATAAAGTATAAGAATATATCCATAAAGAAAAAAGAAATAAAATAAGAAAAAGACAAAAAAAGAAAAAGAAATAAAAAGAATACATCCATAAAGAGCAGTTTCTCATCACTATAATCTTATTTCAAAACATGAGCTAAATCTAGAGCTATATTAAGCAGTCTCTCCTTCAATGGTAATTACCTTCTTAGGAGGCTCTTGTTTCTGAGTATATATGTTCGTTTTCCCAAAGCCCTGGCCAAACTTGACTACTGCTCCATCCACAATGAAGGTAACAGGAGCATTCTTTGGCTGGGATTGGTAGAAGAGCGGCAGTCCACACCTGCAATGACACAGTGAATTTCTGCGAGGTCTCATAATCCAAATTCCCAAAACAGCAATTTGCAAAGTGTGCTTAGACTCTGGGAATATTTCTGTTTGTGGCATAAACTAATGACTGGCTCTTCTCAGTGTCTCCCAAAACTACCTCTACCTGATAAGAATCACTTAGGCCGGGCGTGGTGGCTCACGCCTGTAATCTCAGCACTTTGGGAGGCCGAGGCAGGTGGATCACCTGAGATCAGGAGTTCAAGACCAGCCTGGCCAACATGGCAAAACCCCATCTCTACTCAAAATACAAAAATTAGCCAGGCATGGTGGCAGGTGCCTGTAATCCCAGCTACTCGGGAGGTTGACACAGGAGAACTGCTTGAACCCGGGAGGTGGAGGTTGCAGTGAGTGGAGATCATGCCACTGCACTCCAGCCTGGGCAACAAGAGCAAGACTCTGTCTCAAAAAAAAAAATTCATTTTTCTGGCCAGCTGGTCAAAGATACAACTTTGACTAGCCTCTTTGGGGAACATATTGGTATTTGTGCATAGTTGAAGTCTGAAGGCAGTTGATAAGGATAAAGACATAATGGGGGTCGGACGAGGTGGCTCAGGCCTGTAATCCCAGCAGTTTTGGAGGCTGAGGTGGGCGGATGAACTCAGGTCAGGAGTTCGAGACCAGCCTGACCAACATGTTGAAACCCTGTCTCTACTAAAATACAAAAATTAGCCAGGCATGGTGGCATGTGCCTGTAATCCCAGCTACTAGAGAGGCTGAGGCAGGAGAATCGCTTAAACCCAGGAGGCAGAGGTTAAGGTGACCTGAGATTGCACCACTGCACTCCAGCCTGGGCGACAGAGCAAGACTCTGTCTCAAAAAAAAAAAAAAAGACATAATGGAGAGTTGTATCCAAATAATTATTTTCCTAACACATTATGCCTCTACTTGCCTATGCTTGGAGAAACCCACATTGTTAATACTTACTTTGCACATTTCTTCCTGTACTGTCGTTCAATGCCTTCAGGTCTGCACAGAAAATGGAAGTTAAAAAGATATGAACAAATCTCATTATGTATCAACCTTACTATCCCATTTCTTCAAACGCTAAGAGGCCCTTTCAAAAGTTTTCATTTGGGGGCCGGGCACGGTGGCTCACGCCTGTAATCCCAGCACTCTGGGAGGCTGAGGCGGGCGGATCACCTGAGGTCAGGAGTTCGAGACCAGCCTCAACATGGGGAAACCCCGTCTCTACTAAAAATACAAAATTAGCCGGGCGCAGTGGTGCATGCCTATAATCTCAGCTACTCGGGAGGCTGAGGCAGGAGAATTGCTTGAACCTGGGAGGCGGAGGTTGCGGTGAGCCGAGAGCGAGCCATTGCACTCCAGCCTGGGCAACAAGAGTGAAACTCCGTCTCAAAAAAAAAAAAAAAAAAAAGTTTTCATTTCATAGGTCAACTCATTGGTTCAACATTCCTCCCTTCCTGCAACAAACATTTATGGAGCCCCTGATACAGGTCAGGTATCTCCCTGACAAAGGAAGAGGAAGAGGAGGAGCAGTGTAGTCATAATCATAGGTAGCAATAGTAGTTGTAGTAATAACAACAACAATAATAGCGGCAACCACTTATAAACCCTTTACTATGTGCCAAGAGCTATTCTAAAGTATACATGTATTAACTCGGCTGGGCACGGTGGCTCACGCCTGCAATCCTAGCACTTTGGGAGGCCCAGGTGGGTGGATCATTTGAGGTAAGGAGTTCGAGACTATCCTGGCCAACATGGGGAAACTCCGTCTCTACTAAAAATATAAAAATTAGCTGGGCGTGGTGGCGGATGCCTGTAATCCCAGCTACTCAGGAGGCTGAGGCAGGAGAATCACCTGAACCTGGAAGGCAGAGGCTGCAGTGAGCCGAGTTCACGCCACTGCACTCCAGCCTGGGTGACGGAACGAGACTCCATCTCAAAAAAAAAAAAAAAAAGTATACATGTATTAACTCATTTAATCCTTACAACAACTCTGTGAGGTATGTCATATTATTATTCCCACTTTATGAATGAAGAACCTAGGCCCACAGAGTATTACATGGCTTGCCCAAAGTCGTGGAGCTAGGAAGCAGAGGTTGAATTTAAGCCCAGGCAGTCAAGCTCAAGAGCCCACACAATACCACCTTAGACACCAAGTCATATACACAAGGACTCAATTCCACCCACACGGCTGTTTAACAGAAACCTGGGACTCATCCTTGATTCTTCTCTTCCCCTCATCTCCCACACTTACTTCATCAGCAAATTCTATGGATTTTTATCTCCAAGAAAAGACCTTGAATCTGTCTGCTTGTCTCCACGTTCCTGCCACTATCTTAGCCTACACCACCATTATCAACTCCCTGGACGACTGTAACAAACGGTCCTGACTGGTCTCTTCACTTCCCCTCCCCTTGTTTCAACTTTGTAATAGGCAATATATGCATATGGTATACATAAGAGTATAAAACAAAAAATATCTTCCCTACTCATCCTCCACCCACCCAGTTCCCTTCCCCAGAGGCAAATACTGTTTCTGGTTTCTTCTGTTCATCCTAGAGATAGCTGATGCATATATAAGCAAAGAACTCTGACTGGTACATAAAGAAAATATTTTTTTCCTTTTTTAGACAAATGTACGCTGTTCTCTACTTTTGTTCACTTAAAAATATAACTTGGTTAAATATATATATATATTCCATATCAATAGATAAAGAGTTACTTCATTCTTTACAAGGACCGCATTGTATTCCTTTGTATAGATAAACCAAAATGTCTTTTACGTGTTGGACAAATTCCTAGAAGTGTGTACATTTTAAATTCTGGTAGATGCTGCCAAATTTCTCTCTATAGAAGTTGAACCAATTTAGACTCACACTACCAATATACTGAGAGTTCCTGTTTCCCTACAGTCTCACCAACACTGGATGCCGTTAAATTGCATCACTGCCATTCTCACATGTGAAAAATGGAATCTTTTAATTTGAATTTCTTTTTTTAGGAGTAAAGTTACACATCTTTTCATATATTTAATAGTCATTTGCATTTTCTTTGTTTTGAACTGTTAGTTCATGTCCTTTGTTTATTCAGTTACCTTTTAATTTTATATTAAGGAAACTTGCAATAATTAAGGGGCCTTGTTTATTCTCTAGTTTGTCATTTGTCTTTGACTTTTTCCACCATGTGGAAATTTTAGGTTTTTCTGTGGTCAAACCAATCTTCTTTTCTCACATAATAATTCATACAATTCAATAGCAAATAAATAAATAACCTGATTTTTTAAATGGGCAATGGACCTGAACAGACATTTCTCCAAGACATACAAATGGCCAACAGGTATATGAAAAGACTAATCATCAGGGAAATGCAAATCAATACCATAATGAGGGCCGGACGTGGTAGCTCATACCTGTAATGCCAGCACTTTGGGAGGCCGAGGCGGGCAGATTACTTGAGGCCAGCAGTTCAAGACCAGCCTGGCCAACATGGTAAAACCCCATCTCTACTAAAAATACAAAAATTAGCTGGGTGTTGTGACACATGCCTGTAATCCCAGCTACTTGGGAGGCTGACACAGGAGAATCGCTTGAACCTGGGAGGCAGAGGTTGCAGTGAGCCAAGATTGCGTCACTGCACTCCAGCCTGGACAACAGAGCAAGACCCTGTCTCAAACAAACAAACAAACAAACAAAAAAACCATAATGAGATATCCTCTCATTCCAGTTAGAATGGCTGTTATCAAAAAGACAAGGCTAGGTGCAGTGGCTCACGCCTGTAATCCCAGCACTGTGGGAGGCCGAGGCAGGCGGATCACGAAGGTCAGGAGATCGAGACCATCCTGGCCAACATGGTGAAACCCCATCTCTACTAAGATACAAAAAATTAGCCAGGCATGGTGGCATGCGCCTGTAGTCCCAGCTACTAGGGAGGATGAGGCAGGGGAATCACTTGAACCCGGGAGGTAGAGGTTGCAGTGAACCGAGATTGCACCACTGCACTCCAGCCTGGTGACAGAGTAAGACTCTGTCTCAAAAAAAAAAAAAAAAAAAAAAAAGACAAAAATTAAATGTTAGGGAGGATGTGGAGAAAAGGGAACCCTTATATACTGCTAGTGAAAATGTAAATTAGTACAGCCATTATGGAACACAGTATGGGAGATTCCTCAGAAAATTATAGAACTACCCTATGATCCAGCAATCCCACTTCTTGGTATATATCCAAAGGAAATGAGTTCAGTATCTCAAAGAGATATGTGCACTCTCATGCTCATTGCAGCATTATTCACAACAGCCAAGATATGGAAGCAACCTAAATGTCTATCAATGGCTAAATGGATAAAGAAAAGGTGGCACGCACGCACACATGCACACACAACAGAACATTATTCAGCCTTATGAAAAGAAGGAAATCCTGCCATTTGTGATAATATGGATGGACTTGGAGGACATTATGCTAAATGAAATAAGCCAAACACAGAAAGACAAATACTACATGATCTCACTTGTTTGTGGAATCCAAAATAGTCAAACTCATAGAAGCAGAGAGTAGAATGGTGATTGCCAGGGGCTGAAGGTGGAGGAAATGGGAGGTTGTTGTCCAATGGATATAAAGTTTCTGTTGCGCAAGATGAGTAAGTTTTGGAGATCTAATGTACAGCATCATAACTATAGTTAACAATACTGTATTGTACATTCTAAATTTGTTAAGTATCCTCACTACCTACACACACAAAGAAAATGGTAACTGTGAGGTGATAGATACATTAATGAGCTTAATTGTGGTGATCATTTCACAGTGTATATGTATATCAAAATATCAAGCTGTATCCCTTAAACATATACAATTTTTGTCAATTATACCTCAATAAAGCTAAAAAAATTAACACATCATATTGATAGAAGGAAAGAGAAAAACATAATCATTTCAATAGACACATAGAAAAAGCACTTGACAAAAGTCAAAACCCCTTCAATATACTAAGAATAGAAGGGAACTTCCTCTACCTAATAAAGGGCATCTCTGAAAAACCCCCATCTGTTTACCCACGTCTTAGTGCATTTTCTGTTACTGTAACATAATACCACAGACTGGATAATTTATAAATAAAAGAGATTGATTTCTCACAGTTCTGAAAGCTGGGAAGCATAAGAGCATGGCTCCGGCATTGGGCAAGGGCCTTCGTGCTGCATCATAACACGGCAGAAGGGCAAGTAAGTATGAGAAAGCTCGATTTTAAAACAAAGCCGCTCCTGCAATAACAGACCTACTCACATGACAGCAACGTTAATCCATGCATAAGAGCAGAGCCTCATTAATCCATTCATAGGGCAGACAGATTGTTTCCAACACATGAACTTTTGGGGAACACATTCAAATCATAGCACCACATAAACTAACATCATACTTAATAGTGAAAGACTGAAAGCTTTCCCCCTAAAATCAGGAACAAGATAAAGATGCCACTCTCACTACTTCTATTCAACACCTAGAATAAATTTAACAAAAGAAGTGCAAGAAATGTCCACTGAAAACTAAAAAGTATTACCAAAAGAAATTAAAGAAGACCTAAATAAATGTAAACACATTTTGATGTTCATGGATTGGAAGACTTAATATTGTTAAGGTGGCAATATTCCTCGAATGAATTTCCAGATTCAACACAATCCCTTTCAAAATCCCAGCTGGCTTTTTCACAGAAATTTAAGCTGATCCTAAAATTAATATGCAATTGGAAGAAATCCAGTAGAGCCAAAGCAATCTTGAAAAAACAAGAACAAAGTTGGAGAACTCACACTTCCCAATTTCAAAATTGACTAAAAAGCTATAGTAATAAAGACAGGGTGATACTGGTATAAGGACAGACATACAGGTCAATGGAATAGAACTGAGAGTCTAAAATAAACCCATACATATATGGTTAACTGATTTTCAACAAGGGTGCCAAGACCATTAAGGGGGAAAAACTCAGTCTTTTTAACAAAAGGTCCTGGGAAAACTAGATAGCCACATGCAAAAGGATGAATTTAGCCCCCTACCTCATGCTATATACAAAAATTAACTCAAAATGAATGAAAGACCTAAATGTAAGAAGTAAAATTATAAAACTCTTGGAAGAAAACATAGCTGCAAATCTTCATATGCTTGGATTAGGCAAACATTTCTTCTTTTATTTTTGAAACAGATTCGGGCTGTGTCACCCAGTCTGGAGTACAGTGGCACGATCTTGGCTGGCTCACTACAAACTCCACCTACCAGGTTCAAGCGATTCTCTCCTACCTCAGCCCCGAGCAGCTGAGACTACAGGTGTGCACCACCACATATGGTTAATTTTTGTGTTTTTAGTAGACATGGGGTTTCGCCATGTTGGCCAGGCTAGTTTCAAACTCCTGGCCTCAAATGATTCACCCACCTCGGCCTCCCAAAGTGCTAGGATTACAAGCATGAGCCACCACGCCTGGCCATTTCTTAGATATGATGCCTAAAGCACAAGCAATGGAAGAAAAAAATCAGATATATGGGATGATAAAAATTTAAAACTTGTGTGCTTCAAAGAATATCATCAAAAAAGTGAGAAAACAATTCACAGGATGAAAGAAAATATTTGCAAATCATATATATGATAAGGGACTAGTATGCATAACATAGAATTCTTACAACTCAACAACAGAAAGACAAATACACCAATTTAAAAATGGGGGCCAGGTGCGGCGGCTCACACCTGTAATCCCAGCACTCTGGGAGGCCAAGGCAGGTGGATCACCTGAGGTCAGGAGCTCAAGACCAGCCTGACCAACATGGTGAAACCCCATCTCTACTAAATACAAAAAATTAGCCGGGCATGGTGGTACGTGCCTGTAATCCCAGCTACTTGGGAGGCTGAGGCAGGAGAATCGCTTGAACCCTGGAGGTGGAGATTGTAGTGAACCGAGATTGCAACACTGCATTCCAGCCTGGGCAACAAGAGCAAAACTCTGTCTCAAAAAAAAAAAAAAAAGAATTTCTACTTCCTCTGTTTCCCCTGTCCTTCCTAAGGTTCCCCTCCAACTTAACTGGCCAGGGCAGAGATGAGGGAGGAACGAGGAAGCGGGCAGGCAGGCAGTACAACTGAGGCAGATGGTTTATTGGTGAATGCCAGCTGTTTGGGAAAAACTCTGTCAACCTGGGTTTTTCCTCTGATCTCACACCACAACAACAACCTTCAACACAGAAGAAGACTTCTGTGGCCAAATGTGTGTGGGTTTTTCCCCACACTCCAATAAATGGATGCCAGCTAGGTGTCCTCCAATTCAGTTCTGACACTGTCTACTCGGACACAGCGTCAGATACCACAGGTTGACGGCTTGGTCCCCAAGACCGGCCACTAACCAGATACCAGTCGCAAGTCCAGGCTTCCAAAACTTTTTTTTTTTTTTTTTTTAAGACTGAGTCTCACTCTGTGACCCAGATTGGAGTGCAGTGGCACATCTTGGCTCATTGCAACCTCCGCCTCCCAGGTTCAAGCGATTCTCCTGCCTCAGCCTCCTGAGGACTACAGGTGCGCACCACCACGCCCAGCTAATTTTTTGTATTTTTAGTAAAGATGGGGTTTCACTGTGTTGGTCAGGATGGTCTCAATCTCCAGACCTCATGATCCACCTGCCTCAGGCTCCCAAAGTGCTGGGATTATAGGCATAAGCCACCGCACCTGGCTGCCCGGCTAATTTTTGCAACTTTTTTGTAGAGACAGGGTTTCGCCATGTTGGTCAGGCTGGTCTGGAACCCCTAACCTCAAGTGATCTGCCCGCTTCGGCCTCCCAAAGTGCTAGGATTACAGGCATGAGCCGCCATGCCTAGTCAGGCCTCCAGAACTTCTGACCAACCAGCTTCAAGTTGGGGTTCCCACGACCCCCTCTTTGGGTTCGATTACTTTGCTAGTGCAGCTCACAGAACTCAGGGAAATAGTTAATGTTTACCAGTTAACTACAGAGGATATCACAAAGGATACAGAGAAGAGATGCACAGGGTGAGCTAAGGGGCAAGGGGCGTGGAGCTTCCATGCCCTCCCTGGACACGCCACCCTTCAGGAACCTCCACATATTCAGCCATCCAGAAGCCTCCCAAACCCTGTCCTCCTGGGTTGTTATGGAAGCTTTGTTACAGAGGCATGATTGACAACCATGTAGAAATGTGATTGGACAAAAAGCACATTATCTAAATCCAGCAAGGCCTGTCTGTTCAGACTTTTCTTGGCCTCTGTGCAGCATTCCTTTCTCTAGGGCAGAGGTGTCCAATCTTTTGCACAATCTTGCAAACATACTAAAACCACTGAATCATACACTTTAAAATGGTGACTTTTATGGTATGTAGACTATAACTCAATTTAAAAGAAACTAAATCTCGGCTGGGTGTGGTGGCTCACACCTGTAATCCCAGCACTTTGGGAGGCTGAGGTGGGCAGATCACCTGAGGTCAGGAGTTCAAGACCAGCCTGGCCAACATGGTGAAACCCTGTCTCTACAAAAATTACCCAGGTATGATGGCGGGTGCCTGTAATCCCAGCTACTCAGGAGGCTGAGGTGGAAGAATTACTTGAACCTGGGAGGCGGAGGTTACAGTGAACGGAGATCGCGCCGTTGCACTCCAGCCTATGTAACAGAGTGAGACTGTCTCAAAAAAAAAAAAAAAGTGGAAAACAGAAACGAAATCTCTGAGGGTAAAGCTGAGGCATTCGCATTAAAACAAACAAACAAACAAAAAACTCCTCCAGATGATTCTGGCACACAGCAAAGGTTGAGAATCACTTTGCTAAGGTGTACATGAAAAGCAGAATTTATAAGGCACACATTATATGCACCTTTAGCTATACTGGATGTTGCCAAAGTACTTTCCAAAGTCATTATAACTATTTGTGGTCTTTCTGGTACTGTAGGAGACTTCCAGTTGCTCTTTGACAACACATGGGTATTATTTTCCCAATTGAAGGATAAGGAAATTGGGGGCCTAAAAGATTACTTGCCCAAAGTCACAAAGTGGTACTGCTTGGGATATAACTATACAGACTGTGCTGACCATCATCTTTAATGTTCTGCCTCTCCATTTACAAGTATTACTTATGTCAAAGGTGCTCCAATTCATTGACATCACTGGACCAGGGCACTAATAATATTTTTGGTTCTATATACCCTCTCTGGTCCCACTGGGACTAAATTCAACCCCATACTGAAGGGAGAGATTCACCATACAGAGAATGAACTTCCCCTAGAATCCTGAAGTCGGCCAATCCCGTAAGTTCAAGCTTTCAAAACACATAGAAATATCAAATAAATGGGGCCGCATATTTCTCAATGAGTTAATCTTCAAGTACCAATGACAAACTGGATTTTGTCAAGTTTATAAAAATGTATCTATTTCTAACTATGTGCCAAGAAGCAGGCAAGATGTCTGTCCTAAGGGTTTCAGAAAAATAAGGCAGGGTTCCTGCTCTCAAAAAGTTCATCTTATTGAAATAGTGAGACTTTAATGTAAATGAGGTAAGAATTTCAAGTGGTATGACTTAAAGAAGTGATTAATATGAGCTAGATGTTTGGGATAATTGACCTTGATTTTCTTTCCTATCCTGAATCTCAAGGAATATATGAGATAGGGAAGACTCTGTGACCAAAAACAAAACAAAACATTCTCGGCCGGGCACGGTGGCTCACGCCTGTAATCCCAGCACTTTGGGAGGCCAAGGCGGGTGGATCATTTGAGGTCAGGAGTTCGAGACCAGCCTGGCCAACACAGTGAAACCCCGTCTCTACTAAAAATACAAAAATTAGCCAGGCATGGTGGTGCATGCCTGTAATCCCAGCTACTCGGGAAGCTGAGGCAGGAGAATCACTTGAACCCAGGAGGTGGAGGTTGCAGTGAGCCAAGATTGCGCCACTGCACTCCAGCCTGGGCAACAGAGTGAGACTTCATCTCAAGAAAAAAAATTCTCCATTCTGGCTGTGGTAGCTAGCCTCTAAGGTGGCCCCCAATGATCCTTGTCCCTGGTACTAACACCCTTGTATAGTCACCTCCCACAATGAATAGCGCTGACTTGTGACACCAAAAGGACATCACAGAAACAACTGTGTGTGCCTTCTGAGTCATAGCCATAAAACACATTGCGGCTTTTGCCTTGCTCTCCTGAATTACTTACATTATGGGAAGCCAGCTGCCATGTCATGAGGATACTCAAGCAGCCTTATGGAAAGATCCCTGTGTTGAGAAACTGAGGCTTCTTGCCAACAGTTAGCACTCAACTGCCTACCATATGAGACACCTTGGAAGATGACTCTCCAGCCCTAATCAAGATTTCAGGCCAGGCACGGTGGCTCACACCTGTAATCCCAGCATTTTGGGAGGACAAGGCAGGGGGATTGCTTGAGCCTAGGAGTTCAAGAACAGCCTGGGCAACATAGGAAGACCCTGTCTTTACAAAAAAAAATTAAAAATTAGCCAGGCATGGTGGCACATGCCTATGGTCCCAGCTACTCAGGAGGCTGAGGTGGGAGGATCACTTGAGCCCAGGAGATCGAGACTGCAGTGAGCTGTGATTGTGCCACTGCACTCTAGCCTGCGTGACAGAGTGAGACCCTGCCTCAAAAAAAAAAAAAGACTTCAGATGACTGTTTACATAGTCATCTTCTTAATCGCAGCTTCATGAGAGACCAGAATCACCTAGCTAAGCTTGCTCTTGAATTCCTGACCCACAGAAAATACATAAAATGATAAATGTTTGTTCTTTAAAAAAAAAAAAATCAAGAGAGTACCAGAAGATGAAGATGGACAGATCATAGAGCGCATTCAGGCTTATATTTTTATCCAGCCAACTAGGAGTGTTTTCCTTGTACTCCACAATGATCCCTAAATGAAATCAGATGGGGAGGAAGGAGGAGTCCTTAATGGATTGGGCTAGACTCCTCCCCACTCAGAGCAGCTTTCTGCTTATCAGTCTTATTTATACTTCTGGGTAAGAATTTAATTAAAGAAAGGATTTTTCATCTAAAAATGTTTCAAAGGCATTGCTATAAGTGATGAAGGGTCACTAACAGATTTGAAGCAGGTGACTGACATAATGTGTATTTCAGATAATTCAAGCAGTAGAGGATAGACTGGAGGAGAGCAAAACTAGAGACCAAAAGACCAGGTAAGAGGCCACTTCAGTAGTCTAAGTAAGTGATTTTGGGTACTGAAATAACGGCAGTGCAGCAGGGCTGAACAGGAGGCAGCAGCCACAAAAGAGATTAGAAGGCAGAATCGACAGTACATGGTGAGTGACTAGATGTATGCAGGGGATGATGGTGGGATGGTGGGGACAGATGAGACAAAGAGAGACTGACTCCTAGATTTCTGGCTGGGGCCACTGCATGAATCCTGGTGTCATCATAAGAAGAAGGAAAAGAAGGACTAGCATTTGGCTAATAGTAATAGAGACCTGACTGCAATGGCTTCAACAAAAGAGCTTGTTCTCTCATGTAACATCAGGAGGAAGGCAGTTCTGAGCACTGGTTGAGACCCAAGGATAGCAGGGCAAAGGCTCTGCAATTCTTGTGGCCTCTCCTTCCCAGTTCCAGGCTGGCTGCTAGTGTTCCAATTATCATGTCCATTTCCCAAGAAGCAGGATGGAATAAGGATAAAGGGTAAAAAAGGCTTGAAGTCACCCATCAGCTGACATCTACTTCCATCTCTTTTGCTTGGCCAAAGCTAAGTCATATTCAGAATCTTAGTTGTTGGGGGGAAGGGGACTGGAATATGCACCCTAACTTTACAGACACTCGTGTATAGGAGGGTGTAGCAGAAGAGTGTCAGAGTACGCCTGTAATCCCAGCACTTTGGGAGGCCGAAGTGGGCGGATCACGAGGTCAGGAGATCGAGACCGTCCCGGCTAACACAGTGAAACCCCGTCTCTACTAAAAACACAAAAAATTAGCCGGGCGTGGTTGCAGGCACCTGTAGTCCCAGCTACTCAGGAGGCTGAGGCAGGAGAATGGCCTGAACCCGGGAGGCGGAGCTTGCAGTGAGCTGAGATCACGCCACTGCACTCCAGCCTGGGTGACAGAGCGAGACTCCGTCTCAAAAAAAAAAAAAAAAAGAGTGTCAGAGTGGTGCTGAGCGAATCGATCTGTGGTACTGTCCACAGTAGAGAAATGATAAGTTTGGCCTTCATCATGTTGGATCTGAAAAGTAGGACATCAGGTGAAGAGGTAGAGTAGGCAACTGGCTATACAGTTCTGGGACACAGGAAGGCACAGTAGGCAGATTTAGATTTTATCATCAGCATAAAAGTGTAACTAATGCCATGTAAGGTGACAAGAATGCCCAAGGAAGGCATAAAGAGAGTGGGGACAAAAGCAAGGTCAGAACCGCATGGAATACCAATACTTGAGGGGCAGGCAGAAGAAAAAGAATCCAAAGGATTGAGAAGGCCAAAGAAGGAGAAGGAGGCTCACAAGAGCAGCTTCACGTGTTGAAACCCTGTCTCTACTAAAAATACAAAAATTAGCCAGGCATAGTGGTGCACAACCGTAATCCCAGCTACATGGGAGGCTGAGGCAGGAGGATCACTTGAACCCAGGAGGCAGAGGTTGCAGTGAGCTGAGATCGCATCACTGCACTCCAGCTTGGGTGACAGAGCGAGACTCTATCTCAAAAAAAAAAAAAAAAAAGAAAAGAAAGAAAGAAAACATGTAGCTAGATGTCAGCCTATAGTTTTTTTCTGGTTCAACACTAAAGTTTCATAAGGGCAGGATTCTTTGCTGTTTACTGGTTGTACTGGGTTAGATAGTGACCCTTAAAAATTCACATTCTGGCCGGGCACAGTGGCTCATGCCTGTGATCCCAGCACTTTGGGAGGCCGAGGTGGGAGGATCACTTGAGTCCAAGAGTTTGAGACCAGCCTGGCCAACATGGTGAAACCCCATCTCTACTAAAAACACAAAAACTAGCCAGGCATGGTAGCACACACCATCTCAAAAAAAAAAAAAAAAAGAAAAAAGAAAAAAGAAAAAAAAATCCACATCCATCCAGGAACCTCAGAATGTGACCTTATTTGGAAATAGTGATGTTGCAGACATAATTAGTTAAGTTAAAATGATGTCATACTGGAGGAGGATGGGCCCTTAATCCAATATGATTGGTGCCCTTATAAGAAAAGAACAGGCAAAGGGAGAATGCCATGTGATGATACAAGCACTGACTGGAGTGATGCATTTACAATACAAGCCAAGGAATGCCAAGGATTGCTGGTAAACGCCAAAAACCAGGAATGAGGCAAGGAAGGATTCTCCCCTACAATCTTGAGAGAGAGCATGGACTTACCAATACCTTGATTTCAGACTTCTAGCCTCCACAACTATTAAACAACTTCTCTTGTTTTAGGCCACCCAATTTGTAGTACTTTATTTTTTTTTTATTTTTTGAGACAGTGTCTCACTCTGTCGCCCAGGCTGGAGTACAGTGGCACAATCTCAGCTCACTGCAACCTCTGCCTCCCCATACAAGCAATTCTCCTATCCCAGCCTCCCGAGTAGCTGGGATTACAGGCACACGCGCCACCATGCCCAACTAATTTTTGTATTTTTAGTAGAGATGGGGTTTCACTACGTTGGCCAGCCTGGTCTCGAACTCCTGGTCTCAAGTGATCCACCCACCTCAGCCTCTCAAAGTGTTGGGATTACAGGCGTGAGCCACCACACCCAGGCTGTAGTACTTTACTATGGCAGCTCTAGAAAACTAATACACTGGCGGCCGGGCACGATGGCTCACGTCTGTAATCCCAGCACTTTGGGAGGCCAAGGCAGACAGACCACGAGGTCAGGAGATCGAGGCCATCCTGGCTAACACGGTGAAACCCCGTCTCTACTAAAAATACAAAAAAAAATTAGCCGGGCATGGTGGCAGGCGCCTGTAGTCCCAGCTACTCGGGAGGCTGAGGCAGGAGAACGGCGTGAACCTGGGAGGCAGAGCTTGCAGTGAGCCGAGATCGCGCCACTGTACTCCAGCCTGGGTGACAGAGCGAGACTCCGTCTCCAAAAAAAAGAAAACTAATACACTGGTATATATTCCAGACTTCTAGGATAGTACCTGGAACATAGTAGGAGCTCGGTAAATGAAATATTTGTTGCATGAATGGATGGATTTTTTAATTCCCTAGGATTGACCTTTCCATGACTTCTAGCACCTGCTGCTGACCGTCCCCTAGCCACACCCCCACACACTTCTTGATACTCTCTCCTATTTTCTGCATCACCAGGTTCTTCTGGTTCTGTTCCAATTCTTTTGTCTGCCTTTTAAATATTCAGTCCTATCTGCTTGCTCCACACTCTGTAATTTTATCCCTTCCCAGGTTTCAATTTCCCATATATACCAAACTCCCAAATCTAAAACAGAGCTAACCACATCACACCCCTGCTTAAAAAACAGAGATAGGCCGGGCGCAGTGGCTCACCCCTCTAATCCCAGCACTTTGGGAGGCAGAGGCAGGTGGATCGCCTGAGGCCAGAAGTTCGAGACCAGCCTGGCCAACATAGTGAAATCCCATCTCTACTAAAAATACAAAAAATTAGCCAGGCGTGGTGGCAGGTGCCTGAAATCCCAGCTACTCAGGACGCTGAGGCAGGAGAATCGCTTGAACCTGGGAGGCGGAGGTTGCAGTGAGCCAAGATCACACCATTGCACTCCAGCCTGGGCAACAAGAGCGAAACTCCGTCAAAAAAAAAAAAACGGAGATGGCTCTTCATTGCCTACAGATTAAGGCCAAACTTGTCCACTTCAGCACTTTACTCTGTCCTCACCCTAGTATGCATGATGCCGTTCCTGTAAAGTAACCTGTGCTCCAGTCACAAACGACAATTCAGGTTTCTAAAGCACACCATGTTTGATGCTTTTAATGCTTCCATATTCCTTCCACCTGGAATGCTCTTCATTCCCTTCATCTACTTGGTGAAATCCTAGTTCAGGCTAAACACAAATGCCATCATCTTTTGAAGCCTTTCCTGGCCACCATTCAGGACAAATGACCCACTCCCACCTGTTTTTCCTTTCGTTCAGAAGACCAGTATTTTTTCCTATCACAATAGGAGTCATTCCCTCAAAGTCATGAGCTCTTTAATGGTAAAAATCATACCTTATTCATCTTCACAGATCCAGTACCTAGCTCAGTGCCTGGCACACGGTATGCTCCACAAGATTACAGGTTGAATGAACTCATTCAAACCTGTAAATTGTAAACAAACTACGGCTATCAAATGGCAATGGAGGGGCCGGGCACAGTGGCTTATGCCTGTAATCCCAGCACTTTGGGAGGCCAAGGAGGGAGAATCACTTGAGGCCAGGAGTTCAAGACCAGCCTGGCCGACATGGTGAAACTGCGTCTCTACTAAAAATACAAAAATTAGCTGGGCGTGGTGGCGCACGCCTGTCATCCCAGCTACTGGGGAGGCTGAGGCAAGAGAGTTGCTTGAATCTGGGAGGTGGAGGTTGCGGTAAGCCGAGGTCACACCACTGCACTCCAGCCTGAGCAACAGAGTGAGTGAGACTCCATCTCAATTAAAAAAAAAAAGCAATGGAATCACATGTGAGCACCATTTCAACAAAGCACAATAAAGATATTACTACATTAACAGAAGTTAGAAAACCACCACAAATGTCAAAGTATTGGGACCAACTGACCTGTTCAACAATAGATGTGATATTTATATTATTCAGAAACAGACTCCAACACAATAGGGAAATCCTAAACAGGGAGCATCAACCTCTTACCTCCGCAGATACATAGTCTCCTCATCTTCTGTGTTACAAAACTTATGGGCATGTTTGGCAGCATCAATCACACGGGACCGGTCCCGGGGCCTCATGGGCAATTTCTCTAACTGGCAGTCTGAAGGAATGGAGAGATTTGGTCACTAGAGTCATGGCAAAATATAGCAAATGAGTCACTGCAAAATATCCTGAGAAGTTTTGAGTGGGATCCCTAGCACTAGAATTTTCTACTACAATTACTATGCTTATTGAAACCTATTATTGAATGTTCCAACTAAAAATGACTTGCTATCAGGAGACCTTGGTATTTGGACCCAGCTCTCTTACTACCCTGGTGATCTTTGGCAAATCACTTCCTCCTTTGGAGACTTTTGCCTCATTTGAAAGATGAGTTAGATGATATTATCTCAAAAGTCCTTCCCAATACTGCAATTCAGGTTTCTGTAAGTATTTCTGTGATCATAGTACACTTGGTTTGTGTTATAATGCATTAGAATCAGGAGACACAATCAAGCATACTGGAATGCCTACAAGGAAGCACTGGGAAAAGTGGGTATGTGCTAAGAAAAGGAGAGAGGCTGGGCGTGGTGGCATGCACCTATAGTCCCAGCTACTCAGAAGAATGAGGCAGGGCGATTGCTTGAGACCAGGAGTGCAATGCTGTAGTGTTCCATGATTGTGCCTGTGAATAGCCACTGTACTCCTGCCTGGGCAACACAGCAAGACCCTGTCTCTGTTTTACAAAAAAAAAAAAAAAAGAGGCCAGGCGAGGTGGCTCATGCCTGTAATCCCAGCACTTTGGGAGGTCAAGACGAGCAGATCACCTGAGGTCAGTAGTTCAAGACCAGCCTGGCCCAGCTACTTGGGAGGCTGAGGCGAGAGAATTGCTTGAACCCAGGAGGTGGAGGTTGCAGTGAGCCAATATTGTGCCACTGCACTTCAGCCTGGGCAACAGAGCGAGACTCCGTCAAAAAACAAAAAAAAAGGAAGAGAGAGGGTGATTATATAGTATGCAAATGATCCATCCTAGTTGGAGGAATTTTAATCTGAAAACAATGAAAACACAGTAAACAAATTAGGTACAGTTGTAAAGCAGATTGAAAATTGATATAATGGGCCAGGTGCGGTGGCTCACGCTTGTAATCCAGCACTTTGGGAGGCTGAGGTGGCAGGTGGATCACCTGAGGTCAGAAGTTCGAGACCAGCCTGGCCAACATATAGCGAAACCGTCTCTACTAAAACATACAAACATTAGCAGGGCGTGGTGGCACACACCTGTAGTCCCAGCTAGTTGGGAAGCTGAGGCAGGAGAATCGCTTGAACCCAGGAGGCAGAGGGTTGCAGTGAGCTGGGATCACACCACTGCACTCCTGCCTGAGCAACAGAGGAAAACTCCGTCTCTCAAAAGAAAAAAAAAAGAAAAAAAAAGAAAATTTATATAATGCAAATTAAGCACCTAAAGGATCACAGAGAAAGTCAAGTGGTCAGAGTAATTCAAGATGAATAGAGGAGGTGAAGAGAGGAGTTAGAGAACACTAGGCAGTTTACATGTCAGCTCATTTACTCTTCACAATGAATGGTTAAAGTAAAGATTTGTTGTTCCTATTTTAAAGATGAAGGAACTGAGGTTAAAAAGGGTAAGAGATATACCATGCATCTAATAAGAAGCAGAACAAGAATTCAGACCCAACTCTAAGTGATTCAAAAGCACATGCTGTTTCCACCACACCTCCTTACCAAGAATTAATTTCTTCGATAAATACGTGAGGGCCCTCTAGGTAGCAGGCACTGTTCTAACACTGTGCTAAAGATTCAGCAAACAACAAAGCAGATAAAGTCTCCGCCCTGGCCGGGCACGGTGGCTCACGCCTGTAATCCCAGCACTTTGGGAAGCCAAGACAGGTGGATCACCTGAGGTCAGGAGTTCGAGACCAGCCTGGCCAACATGGTGAAACCCCGTCTCTCCTAAAAATACAAAAATTAACCGGGTGCGGTTGCTCACGTCTGTAATCCCAGCACTTTGGGAGGCCGAGGCTGGCGGATCACCTGAGGTCGGGAGTTTGAGACCGGCCTGACCAACATGGAGAAACCCTGTCTCTACTAAAAAAATACAAAATTAGCTGAGCATGGTGGTGCATGCCTGTAATCCCAGCTACTCGGGAGGCTGAGGCAGGAGAATCGCTTGAACCCAGGAGACGGAGGGTGCAGTGAGCCGAGATGGTGCCACTGCACTCCAGCCTGGGCAACAAGAGCGAAACTCCGTCTCAAAAAAAAAAAAAAAAATTAGCCAGACATGGTGGCAGGTGCCTGTAATCCCAGCTACTCAAGAGAATCACTTGAACCTGGGAGGCAGAGGTTGCAGTGAGGTGAGATCGCACCATTGCACTCCAGCCTGGGCTACAAGAGCTAGACACTGTTTCAAAAAAAAAAAAAAAAAGTTCCGGCCCTGATGAAGCTTACATTCTAGTGGAAGAGGCAACATATTTTAAAATAATTATAATATGATTTTGGGTAATGATAAGTGCTAAATATTAAGCAGGGTAAGAGGACAAAGTGACAGGGATGCTGTTTTAGATAAGGTAATCAGGGAAGGGTTCTCTAAGGAAATTACATTTTAGCAGAGACCTGAATGAAGTAAGGGAGGGATTGAGGGAAAAGTTTTTGGGGCAGAAGAAATACCAATTAAAAAGGCACTGGGGGGCAGGAACACTTTTGACATGATGGAGAAAAAGCAAAAAGGCCACTGTGGCTGAAGTGCGATGAGCAAGAGGAAGACTGTTAGGGAATGAAGCCTGAGAGGTAGCCACAGGCCTGATCAAGGGTCTTGGTATGGATGGACTTTGGTTTTATTCTCAGTGTTATATGAAACCATTGGTTTTGAACAGGACTCTGGCTACTATGTGGAAAAGAGTGGAAGCAACGAGAGCAAGAGACTATTGTGCCAATCCAGGTGAAAGATGGTAGTAGCTTGGACTACAGTGTTAGAAGTGGAGGTGGTAGGCCGGCCGTGGTGGCTCATGCCTGTAATCCCAGCACTTTGGGAGGCCTAGGTGGGTGGATCACTTGAGGTCAGGAGTTCAAGACCAGTCTGGCCAACATGGTGAAACCCCATCTCTACTAAAAATACAAAATTAGCCGGGCGTGGTGGCACATGCCTGTAATCCCAGCTACTAGGGAGGTTGAGGCAGGAGAATCGCTTGAACCTGGGAGGTGGAAGTTGCAGTGAGCCGAGATCGCACCACTGCACTCCAGCCTGGGCAAGAAGAGCGAAACTCCATCTCAAAAAAAAAAAGAAAAAAAAAAAAACTAGCCGGGCCTGGTGGCGCACACTACTTGGGAGGCTGAGGCAGGAGAATCGCTTGAACCTGGGAGGCGGAAGTTGCAGTGAGCTGAGACCGCGCCACAGCACTCCAGCCTGGGTGACAGAGTGAGACTCCCTCTGTCTCAAAAAGAAAAAGGAATGGAGGTGGTAAGAAGCAGTCAGATCCTGCATACATTTTCACGAAAGCACCTGCAGGATTTCCTGATGGACTGGACAGATGTAAGGTACGTGACAGACAGAAGTCAAGACTGATTCCAGGTTTTGGTCTGAGATACTGGATGAATAGTTGTACTACTGACTGCAATAGGGATGACTATAAGAGGAGCAATTGGAGAGGGGGTGTAGAGGGTCATGAACTCAATTTTCAGCACGATATATTTGAGAGGCCCATTAGACATTCAAGTGGAGATGTTGAATAGGCAATTGGAGTCTCAGGAGAGGTGCAGGTTAAAGATGAACATCTGGGAGTTACCAGCATGTCAGTTGTATTTAAAGCTTGGGAATGAATGAGATCACCTAGGGGGTGGGTACAGAGTGAGAACAGGTGAGAGTACTGAGCTATAGGGCCTTGGAATGCCTAAAAGTCTGAGAGAGAAAAGGGAGCCAGACAAGGGGAAAAATCTAAGGCTGGGCGCGGTGGCTCACGCCTGTAATCCCAGCACCTTGGGAGGCCGAGGCGGGTGGATCACGAGGTCAGGAGTTCGAGACCAGCCTGGCCAACGTAGTGAAACCCCCGTCTCTACTAAAAACACAAAAATTAGCCGGGCATGGTGGCGGGCGCCTGTAATCCCAGCTACTCGGGAGGCTGAGGCAGGAGAATCACTTGAATCCGGGAGGCAGAGCTTGCAGTGAGCCGAGATTGCACCACTGCACTCCAGCCTGGGCAGCAGAGTGAGACTCCATCTGAAAAAAAAGGGGGGGGGGAAATACGAGGTAGGAGGAAAATCAAGTGAGTATGGAGTCTTGGAAGCAAATAAAAAACATGTTGCAAAAGGAATGAAATGATTACCTCTGTCAAATGCCACTGACAGAATTAAAATGAACATTGATAACTGACCACTAGAACTGTTAACATGGAGCCAAATACGGTTAAGATGATGAGGTGGGAAGGAAAGCCTACCTGAAGTGAGGTCAGGAGAGAATTAGAAGTCAGGATGCAGAGACAGCCAATATAGGCAACTCTTTTGAGAAGCTTTGCTATAAAAGAAGCAACGAAATGGGGTTATAGCTGGAGGGGAATACAGGATCGAGGGAGGGTTTTATTTTCGTTTGCTGTGAGGTAAGAGCAACTGCAGCATCTTGGTATCCAGCAGAAAAGTTATAAAGCTTCTAGAGGCAGTAGTTTTTGAAGACAGTGGATTAAGAGGGAAATACAATATGTTTGTGTTTCTATTTTTGTTCTCCTGAAGGAGTTTAGTTTTGAGGAAGGTCTGGATACAGAGTCACAAGGCTAAACAAAAAGCAGGAAAAAAAAAAATGCCCTGGAGTGGGGCGGGGATGCGTAGGGAGGATTTAGTCGGAGAGAGAAAACCCACCAATCTTCGTTGAGAAGTGGCTCCCAGATCACAGCCAGAGGAAATTCGCCTTCAAGAACCCGAAGTCTGGCTCCTTGCAGACGCCCCCGCAGTTCCCGGCTACTCACCCAGCACTAGGACCATCTGGCCGCACAAACAGTAGTAAACATGGAGGGGCTTCTCGCCGTCGTCATATTCCTCCCGGTCCCGAGTGTCAGAGCAGACTACTGACCGAGACACTACTTTCGGCATGATTCCCAAGAGCAATCTGAAAACTCTACGCCAAGAAGAGGGTCGCCCCGAAATGACGTCACGAGTGCGCCTTGCACCTTTTCCTTGTGGCTACGCTGGTCACGTGTTAGCAGAAGTCTTATAAACTTCCGGGCTGTCCTATCAGGCTAAGATATACGGGGGTGCGCCTGGAGCCTCCCAGAACCTACTTTGTCTTGGCCAAGTTAGCTGGGACTCCTGTGATCTGGGAGTCACTTCTCAATGAAGATTGGTGGGCTTTCTCACAACACCCTTAATATTATATAAATTCTTTACATTTCTATAACGCATGCATTTATATGTATATATACACATATGTATATATAAGACCAGCTAAATAAAGGACTATGCATTATATAGTTTATATTATATATATATATATATATATATGATACTGATTTGGGTGTGTTTCTAAATATGATTGTGATTTTAATGACTATTCCAGATGAGTACATAATTTTTTAGGTATCTTATTTTTTAGTTGATATAATTCACGTAACATAAAATTCACCCTTTTAAAATGTGTAATTGGGTGTTTTTTAGTGTATTCACAAAGTTGTGTAACCATCACCACTAATTCCAGAACATTTCCATCATCTCAAAAAGAAATCTTATACCCATTAGTAGTCACCACGACCCGCACATCCCCCACCTTCCCAGCCCACGGCAACCACTAATCTACTTTTTATCTCTATGGATTTGCCTATTCTGGACATTTCATATAAATGGAATCCTACAATATGTGGCCATTTGTCTGGCTTCTTTCATTTACCATAATGTTTTCAAGGTTCATCCATGTTACAGTACTTCTTTCCTTTTTATGGTTGAATAATATTTCATCATATGGATATATCACATTTTGTTCATTCATCAATTGGCAGACAACGGGGATGTTTTCACTTTTTGGTTATTATATAGATAATGCTGCTATGAACATTCATGTACAAGAATACTTCCACCGCAAATTTGTGTGGGAATATAAATCTGGATTTTTAACTTTTGACAGCACGAGAAGTGATTAAAGCACCTTGACACTGTTTGTGATTCAAACAATGTGGGATGTCATTGAATGACTTTACTGCAGTACAGGTTTCAGGTATAAACACTGTTTTGCCTTGTAATTTTAGGTTAAATTCATTAAGGAACATTACTAAGTCTATGGCAAAAGCCATTTTTTAAAACTATTCATGTTCAATAATAGTGGTCAAGGGTGGGGTTCTTCTCATTTAGAAAATTTTCTAAAATTTTGAATTCAAATTCAAATTCAAATTTTCTAAAATCTTGAACTCCTGACCTCGTGATCCACCCACCTTGGTCTCCCAAAGTGCTGGGATTACAGGTGTGAGCCACCGCGCCCAGCTGAACTTCACTGTTGACACTACTGTCAAGAATAACACAAGACAGATTCAAGTTTGTTTGTTTGTTTGTTGCAAAGTACCTGCTGTTTAATAATACAATTAATAACTACAGGATTTTAAACAACTTACATTTTGACAAGTATTGTACATTTGTCTAAACCTTTTCTGCTCCATACATATTTGTAATACATCTTAGCAAATTATGCTTTAGACTGAATTGAATTAGTGTTTTCCTGACTTCTTTGAAATACTCTCATCTGCAGTTGTTCCACACAAGACCATACACCCAGGCCAATTTTTTTTTTTTTTTTTTTTTTTGAGACAGAGTCTGGCTCTGTCACCCAGGCTGGCTGGAGTGCAGTGGCACAATCTTGGCTCACTGCAACCTCCACCGCCCAGGTTCAATCAACTCTCCTGCCTCAGCCTCCTGAGTAACTGGGATTACAGGCACATGCCACCATGCCTGGCTAATTTTTTTTTTTTTTTTTTTTTTTGTATTTTTAGTAGAGGCAGGGTTTCACCATGTTGGTCAGGCTGATCTCAAACTCCTCACCTCAAGTGATCTGCCCACATCGGCCTCCCAAAGTGCTGAGATTACAGGCGTGAGCCACCACGCCCGGTCCAATTCTTCAGTCACTTTAAAGTCAACATTGACTCCTTGAGTAAAAAACAACAACTGAGTAATATTGGTAAACATTCATCAGGAGCCAAGGAAAACCACTTGAAATCATTTGCTTTGTTTTTGTTTTTGTTTTTGAGACAGGGTCTTGCTCTGTCACCCAGGCTGGAGTGCAGTGGCATGATCACAGCTCACTGCAGCCTCAAACTCCTGGGCTCAAGTGATCCTCCCACCTTAGCCTCCCTAGTAGCTGGGACCACACATGCACACCACCACATCGGCTATTTTTTTTTTAATTTTTTTGTAGAGACAAGGTCTTGCTGTGTTGCCCAGGGTAGTCTTGAACTGTTGGGCTCAAGCAATCCTTCTGCTGCAGGCTTTCAAAGTGCTGAGATTACAGGTGTGAGCCACCGTGCCTTGCCCTTTTTTGTTTGTTTGTTTTTGTTTTGATGTTGATTTCAATGTCCTCAACTCTTAGAGCCACTGTTCTTGCTGAAAGGTGAATAGTCTTCACAAGTTTTATTTTTCTTGAGCCTATTTCTTTGACTTCTGCAGCCAAACACAATTTAGCTCAGTATCAGTAAATGACTTTCCTTGGTTGGCTAACAAAGGAGCCACTCAGAAACTTACTTTGACTATAGGCTTATTTTTATTTTTTCCTTTTTGGGGGGGGCGGGGGATGGAGTCTCGCTCTCTCGCCCAGGCTGGAGGGCGGTGGCGTGATCTCGGCTCACTGCAACCTCCACCTCCCAGGTTCAAGCAATTCTCCTGCCTCAGCCCCCTGAGTAGCTGGGATTACAGGCATGCGCCACCACACTCAGCTACTTTTTGTATTTTTGGTAGAGATGGGGTTTTCTTTTTTTTTTTTTCTTTTTTTTTTTTTTTGAGACGGAGTCTCGCTCTGTCGCCCAGGCTGGAGTGCAGTGGTGCGATCTCGGCTCACTGCAAGCTCCGCCTCCCGGGTTCGCGCCATTCTCCTGCCTCAGCCTCCCGAGTAGCTGGGACTACAGGCGCCCGCCACCACGCCCGGCAAATTTTTTGTATTTTTAGTAGAGATGAAGTTTCACTGTGTTAGACAGGATGGTCTCGATCTCCTGACCTCGTGATCCGCCCACCTCGGCCTCCCAAAGTGCTGGGATTACAGGCGTGATCCCCCACGCCCGGCCGAGATGGGGTTTTCCCATGTTGGCCAAGCTGGCCTGGAACTCCTGACCTCATGATTCACACACCTCAGCCTCCCAAAGTGCTGGGATTACAGGCATGAGCCAATGCGCCTGGCCTATTTTTTAGTTTTATTATGAATTTTGCCATAATAAGATATTCTACTTAAAATTTTAAATTTTACTAGCCATTGCTCTCCTCTGAGTTGGGAATATTGTGATGAATGCTTAGTCTGGTAACATTGATGTACATTATAATATTATTAAATCTTTTGACTTTTTTCAACCGTTTAAGAATATAGAAAGCCATTCTTAGTTTGTAGGCCATAGACAAATAATGGCAGGTTAGATTTGGCTGCAGTTTGCTGAGCCCTGGTCTGATGGATGTGGCTGGTTTGATTGAATTCCCATGTACAACATGGTAGACATGTGTATTAGTTTCATATTACTGCTGTAACAAGTTACCACAAACTTGGTGGCTTAAGACAACACAAATGTATTATCTTAGAGTTTTGGACATCAGAAGTCCAAAACCAATATCAGTGGTCTAAAGTCAAGGTGTCAGCAGGTCTGATTGCTTCTGGGGGCTTCAGGCTTCCATCTTTTGCCTCTTCCAACTCCTACTGCAGACATACTTTGGCTCCTTCCCTGGTGGCCACATCACTCCAATCTCTGCTTCAGTCATCACATGGCCTCCTCTTTGACTCCTACTTCATCCCTCGTATAAGGACTGGTTTGATTGCCTCAGGCCCACCCCTTTAATCCAGGATAATATCCCCATGTCAAGATTCTTAATTTAATCACATCTGCAAAGTCCCTTTTGCCATGTAAGGTAACATATTCACCAGTTACAGAGATAAGGAAATGGAGATCTGGCTGGGGGGGCGGAGGGGGCAGGGTTGTGCATTATTCAGCATACCACACCATGCCTTTGTTTTCTTTGATTCAGTAATTTAGCAGGTAGTGAAATCCTTTTTTTTTTTTGAGACGGAGTCTGGCTCTGTCACCCAGGCTGGAGTGTAGTGGCGTGATCTCGGCTCACTGCAGCCTCTGCCTCCCAGGTTCCAGCGATTCTCCTGCCTCAGCCTTCCAGGTAGCTGGGATTACAGGCACGCACCACCACGCTTAGCTAATTTTTTTGTATTTTTAGTAGAGACGGGGTTTCGCCATGCTGGCCAGGCTGGTCTCAAACTCCTGACTTCGGGTGATCCACCCGCCTCGGCCTCCCAAAGTGCTCGGATTACAGGCGTGAGCCACTGTGCCTGGCCTGAAATCCCATTTTCAAGGCCTTAATTTCCCCATTTCCCTCAGCTTTGATATTCCCCTCCCTCCATCCCAACCTCTTTGTCTCTCTCTCTTCCCCCCACCACTTATGTCCTAGAGGCTGAAGATGAACAACATACTACAAGTTGTCAAGAGCAAGAGCACACACTTTGCTAACTGTTACTTCCTAAAAGTAATTCTCTTGAAATATTTTCTGAGATTATTTGAGTCAAGAAAGACCTTTCGATTTTATTTTCTGTTGGTGCTTTGTTGCTGTTTGTACTAAATTTTATCAACAGAGGTGAAAACCGTAGGAAAGTAAAAGTCCTTTGCCTTCACTGGATAACAGAAATACAAACTTACAGCCTGATAAGGCAAGAAATGATCTTTAATTTCGTCTCTTCTCCTAACCCAAAATACTTCAGGAAAATAAAAATCTATTTTTCATGTTGAAATCTTCATGAATGAAATTTCACAATTTTTTTGGTTTTTTTGAGACAAGTCTTGCATTTTTGCCCAGACTGATCTCAAACTCCTCACTTCAAGCGATCCTCCCACCTCCACCTCCCAAAATGCTGGGATTACAGGCATGAGCCACTGTGCCCAGCCCACTTTTCTTTAAATTGAGGAGACTTATCCTTTCTGGACCCCTGCTCTTGGGTAGGGGTGGTGCTTGGCTGTGAAGAGGGTATTTCTTCAAGATGTCAAGGTGAAAAAAGGGTAGAAAGAATGCTTGGCCAAACTGTGCTAAAGTTAGTATGTTCTAGCCTGATAATCATCATGCTGGAAAACAATCTTCTGTATTGCTGCTTGCTATGACAACCCTGCTTCTGCTGAGGAATGTGGGGGCACGGTGTTCCTGCAATGCAGTTTCATTCCTTAGTCAGAGAATGCTACTCCCATGCAGGTGCCAGGGGGCTTCCAACCATTTGGGTCATGCTCCTGAGTTTTTTTGTTTGTTTGTTTGTGTTTTGTTTTCTGAGACGGAGTTTCGCTCTTGTTGCCCAGGCTGGAGTGCAATGGTGCGATCTCAGCTCCCTGTAACCTCCGCCTCCCGGGTTCAAGCAATTCTCCTGCTTCAGCCTCTGGAATAGCTGGGATTATAGGCATGCACCACCATGCCCGGTTAATTTTGTATTTTTAGTAGAGACGGGGTTTCTCCATGTTGGTCAGGCTGGTCTCAAACTCCTGACCTCAGGTGATCCACTTGGCCTCCCCAAGTGCTGGGATTGCAGGCTTGAGCCACTGAGCCCAGCCCTTAGTTTTCTTGAAAGGAAGAAAGTCCAAGAAAGGAAGAGAAAGGGGGTTTCAAAAAACAGACAAGCTCACAACAAACTTACATACATCTATATCCTTCAATAAATTTCAGACATGTATATCCAGTAGCAGGAGCTTCTCAGTCCCTTTCATACTTTTTAGTACGGTACATGCCGCTTCTTAATAGGGTATTTTCTTTTTCTTTCTCTTTTTTTTTTGTCTGGTCGTGTCGCCCAGGCTGGAGTGTAGTGGCATGACCTCCGCTCACTGCAACCTCCGCCTCCTGGGTTCCAGCGATTCTTCTGTCTCAGCCTCCCGAGTAGCTCGAACTACAGGTCCTCACCACCACGCCCAGCTAATTTTTTTGTATTTTTAGTAGAGATGGGGTTACCTCATGTTGGCCAGGTTAGTCTTGAACTCCTGACCTCAGGTGATCTACCTGCCTCGGCCTCCCAAGTGCTGGGATTATAGGCGTGAGCCACCATGCCTGGCCTCAAAAGGATATTTTCTTTTTTTTCTTTTTTTTCTTTTTTTTTTTTGAGATGGAGTCTTGCTCTGTCGCCCAGGCTGGAGTGCAGTGGCGCGATCTCTGCTCACTGCAAGCTCCACCTCCCGGGCTCACGCCATTCTCCTGCCTCAGCCTCCAGAGTAGCTGGGACTACAGGCGCCCACCACCACGCCCGGAGAATTTTTTGTATTTTTAGTGGAGACGGGGTTTCACCATGTTAGCCAGGATGGTCTTGATCTCCTGACCTCGTGATCCACCTGCCTTGGCCTCCCAAAGTGCTGGGATTACAGGTGTGAGACACCGCGCCCGGCCAGGATATTTTCAATACATCTCTCTCATGCTCAAACACCTATAAAAGCTGCCTAAATTCCCCATTCTCGCATTTGAGGGCATTTAATCAACTTCTGTCACCCTCACTTTTCCTAGCTGAGGTCTCATCATTCCCCAGCCAAGAACCTGTCCATTAGCCAAGCTCATCTGCCCACGGGTTTAGCTCCATGCCCTTGTCTGTGCCATTGCCCCCATATAAACTGCTTAAGTTCTTCTCTCTCAAGCTCCGCTTTCATCTCTGTTGAAACAAAATTGAAATACACCCATTTCAGGAAGCTTGTCCTGATCCCACCAGAATGACGATTCCTCTGCTGTGCAATCTCTCAGCATCTGTGGTTTCACACACTTCTACAAGTTGAGGATCTCAAATCTGAAAATCTAAAATCCGAAATGCTCCAAAACCTGAAACTTTTATAATGCAAATAATTCCAAAATCTGAAAAAAAAAAAAAAAAAAAAAGGAAATCTGAAACCGTTCTGGTTCTGCTGTTGCTGTCGTAGGCAGACTTCTAAGATGCTACCCTCCCCTGAGATTCTTGGTCCTTGGTATATACACACACTTTCTCCCAGTTATTAAATGAAATACTAATCTAGGTTCTGCAGTGAAAAAATTTAGCAGACATAATAAAGGTCCCAACTTAGATGTTTTTAACATAGGGAAATTATCCATGGGGTGGGCCTGACATAATCTGATAAGCCTTTAAAGTAGACTGTGCTCTTCCTGAAAACAAGATTCAAAGAGTGAGAGGGATGTGGTGGGAGAGAAATTCTCTGTTGATGACTTTGAAGATGGAGTAGGCCACTTGGCAAGGAATGCAGGCGGCCTCTAGGAGCTGAGAGTAGTTCCCAGGTGGCAGCTAGTAAGGAAATAGGGACCAAAGTCCTACAACTGCAATGAACTGGGCTTGGCCAACAACTTGTAATTTGTTAAGCAGTGATGAAAACGAATATACTTGCTTTTGTAGATCTTGCTTTTGTTGATTTCATATGTGTGTATGTGTGTGTTAGTAGACTGCAAGTTCTTAGATGAGAGGAAAAAAAGTTTTTTTTTTTTAATTTTTGTACCCCCTTCCTACTACAGCCATAATGTGATGCTATTAGGGAGACTTGCCTTAACTGATATGTTGGAGTTAATGGGAGATAGAAATCCTTGACCATGAAAGTACCTGTTGTTAAGCAGCAGCTAGAATCACTACCATTGTCAAGTGCCTCCTGCTTCTCATGTTAGAAACAAATTCCTGCACATCTGATATCTTCTGGACATCTTCACGGGGATGTCTCACCAGTCCCATGAACTCAGTAAGTCCCACCCAAAATTTCCTTTTCCAAACTTGTCCCTCTCTCTCTATTCTGTAATTCTGTTAATGGCACCTTCAAAACCCCAGTTATCTCGGGGCTTAGAGTTTCAGCCACTGTTGACTCCTTCCTCTCTCTTGCCCCATATTCAGCCTGTTGCCAAGTCCTCCCCATTCATTCATATCCTCGCCTTTATTGTCACTGCCTGCTTCAGTATCTCGCACCTAGATACTGCAAGAGTCTCCTGCCTGCTCTCTTGAGACCAATCTCTGATAAGGACAGCTCTAATGATGTCACTTCCCTGCTCAATGGACTTCCAAGGAATCCATTAGCTTGGCATTCAAAACTCTTGATGACTTAACCCAAATCTACCTTTCTCCTATTTTCAATAATTTTTAAATGTGTATTATGCCTATCTTCTAAGTTATTTTGGGTTGACCTTTAAAAATTATCCTTTAAAACTGTTATTGCTTTTGCAGGTCCACGGACTGTGACTCTTCCTGCAACCTGCAGCTTTTCCACGTTCCTTTTACTTCAGACCCACTGTCCTTGCAACTCCCTGCAGTCGGATAGTCTCATATCTTGGACTCTTCTGAACATAAATAGCCGCTTGGCTTGTTGAACTACCAAGGGGAAATGTGGTTCCAGAGCCAAATTGTGAGTGCCCAAAACAAAACAGAACAAAACAAAACCCTACTCCGCCTGCCTTAAGCTCCCATTCCCTCCCACAGGACATACAACACTATTTCATTCTGCCCTGGGGTGATCATTGGCCTAAACGTTGAGCGCCCAATCCTGCATTCAATCCCACAGCCCCGCCCCGCCCCCCCGTCATAGTCAAGGCCGATTTATTCTTTTGATTTTCCGTGATTTTAACCAATCACTCCTCTCCCCACCCCTCCGACCCCAGTCTCCGGTGTCCGAAGGGGTTGTGCACCCTAGAGTTGCCGCTTTTTGAGAACCGGTTTTACCTCCGCCCACTCCTTCGTCCTCTAGTTTGGGACTTCCAAACTTCTCCCCTCTCCTCCCCGGGCATAGTGCGCGCTTTCATGAATGATCTGGTCACAAAACAAACAAAAACGAATAGAAAAAGAAAAAAAGAGAAAAAGAAAAAAAGCCGAAAACTTCCCAGGGTTTGCCTTAGAATTAGCAGGTGGGGATGGACCCCGTTCCACCACGAGCTCCTCCAGCGCCCGGGGCTCCGGCGTACCCTACGCCTCTGCGCTCGCGGCCCCGCCCCGGGCCTCCCGTGGGGCTTTAATGACATAAGCAACTTTCCTCGCGCACCCCCCGCCCCGTCTTGGTACGGCCTGTCCGGCGCTCGACGTTCCACCCCCCTCTCTCTGCTCTCAGGTTGGTTCAGCCCCCGTCTACACTGGGGTGGTGCTTAGCCGGCGCCAGACCGACCCTCGACTTCGGAGAGGCAGCGCGGTTCCTCTGGGTGCTTCCGCCTCCCCTTCTCCTGCTTCTCCAGCCTCTTCGGCCTCCTCGCCCGCCGCGGGAACCCGAGACCCCAGTGTATGCCCCACCCCTGACCCCGCTCGCGACATGTCCACCCCGGCTCGGCGGCGCCTCATGCGGGACTTCAAGAGGTAAACCGAGGGGACGGCCGAGGCCGGGGGTTGCGAGCTGGGGCACAGGGCGGGTCCCGAGGCGCGCCGGGCGGGGAGGGCTGGGGAGCGGCCGGGAGCGGGCGCCAGTGCCGGCCTAGGGGGACCCCTGTCTGTCTTCCCGAAGGTTGCAGGAGGATCCTCCAGCCGGAGTCAGCGGGGCTCCGTCCGAGAACAACATAATGGTGTGGAACGCGGTCATTTTCGGGTGAGTCTGCGTTCGTGGCGGTGGCGAGAAAACTGGGGACGCGAGCAGCTTCGGTCTGCGCTCCGGGGCGGGCCCCCCGCGGAGGCCGAGCGGGTAGGGGAAAATGTTTGGGTCTGGCTGGGCCTAGGCGCCTCCCCGGAGCCTGTGCCTCGATTAGCTCAGTTCCCGCTGCCAGGGGGAACCGCTTGGGGTTCTAGGGGGGCGGGGCGGGGAGTGGTGGCGGTTAGGCGCGGCGGCTTGCCCTGTGTCTCTGAGCCCGGGACATCCATTTGTAGTGGCTTCCGACCCCGGTAGCGGTGCTGGAGATGGCAGAGCTCGGGATAGCCATCTCAGATGAAGCAGGGAGAAGGGGGCCCCTTAAGTGGGAACTGACCATTTTTCTCTGTGTTGCAGGCCTGAAGGGACCCCGTTTGAGGATGGTAAGAGAGAGTTTCTTTACCCACTTTTCAGGAGCCTGGTCATCTGGGGAAAGGGTTCCCAGTCATCCTGGAAGTGTCTCCTGCTTAGGAACCTGCCTCTGCCTAGCCTCTGTCTGCTAAAGGCTTGAGTGGAATGCAGTGTGTGGCTGGTGGTTCTGGATATTGTATGCTTGACTAGAACTGCACCTTTCTTCTTGCTTTCTTAAAAAAAAAATCTGTGTAAGGCAGTCACTTTTTAAAAGGAGCAATCATAGCACTGGTATTAAGGATTTTTGAGGCTTGGGCTGTAATTCTGCTAAATTCAGCCCTCCATCACTGAATTAGTATAAACCCAACCAGTTGCTGATAGGCAGCAGAGACCCCAGAGACCATCTGGTTCAGAATTCTACCCCAAGGGCAGGAGTTGTGTTCAGCAGGTGCTTGGTAGATGTGTGTTGGATGTTGAGTGGATGCGAGAATCCCTTGCGTACAACTGTCTGGTTTCTACAATCTGACATTGAATGCCTGTCAGCCTCACTGCTCTAAGATGGTCTTAAATGCCTCATTTGAGTACAGTATTCTTTCTTATTTTTAAGTGAATTTGCAGTGTGTGCTTTCATCAAGACGTTATGATGAGTAATTTCAAAGCAGCTTCACAATTGAAGTTAGCCTTAATGTACCCTTTTGATCAGTGTCCTGCCTACCTGAAAGTACTACATGTACCAGTAGGTACATAATTTTTAATTGATTTAGGTTTAACTTTTAAAAACACGTGTAAATTGCTTTTTAAAAACTTTCTGATTTTAGATAATTATAGATTCATATGCAGTTGCAAGAAATAATAGAGACACCCTTTATACCCTTAACCCAGTCCTCTACCCAAACCCTCCCATTTGGTAACATCTTGAATGACTAGACCCTATCACAACCGGAAAAATGACACTGATAGTTCTACACTCAGTTGTGTGTGTGTGTGGTTGTTTTTTGAAAGTTTAATACATTTAAAGGATGATTAAAGTATTTGAACTCATGAAATTCTTTAATATTTGAGGTTTTAAAAAAAAGGAAAAGGATCTTTCTGTTATTTTTTTCCTCAATGATTTCCTTCGGTCACATAGCATTTATACACACACACACACACACACACACTTCAGTTTGAAGGTGGGAACAAAAACATTTCTGCAAACTACTTAATACATACTTATGTTGCTGAGCCGGATTGCTTTTTGATGCTACCAGTCCACAAAATGTTGTGAGGTAAGTCAATTTCAACTAAGTCTGTAATTCATCTCAAGTACTTAGATTTCCCCAGGAAACTGTGGACAGTCACCTGAATATTTTTAGCTTCCTCTTTACCTTTACCCCCTGGGTAAATATCATTACTCTTCAGGGCTGCAAAGAAAAGAAATGACAGCAGGAAACAGTGATTGTAAGGGCATACTACTTTGGCGCAGTTAATCATTTGAACTGATTTGTAGCAAAAAACTATAGCTAGACTTAATTTTCTTCTACCAGATTGGCACTAGTTTTTTTGTTTGTTTGTTTTTTGTTTTTGTTTTTTTGAGACGGAGTTGCGCCCTGTCACCCAGGCTGGAGTGCGATGGTGTGATCTCGGCTCACTGCAACCTCCGCCTCCCAGGTTCAAGCGATTCTCCTGCCTCAGCCTCCTGAGTAGCTGGGATTACAGGTGTGCGACACCGCGCCCGGCTAATTTTTTGTATCTTTAGTAGAGACGGGGTTTCACCATGTTGGCCAGGCTGGTCTCAAACTCCTGACCTTGGGATCCACCCGCCTTGGCCTCCCAAAGTGCTGGGACTACAGGCTTGAGCCACCGCACCCGGCGAGCACTAGTTCTTTATACCTGAGCTTTAAATGTACAGATTAACTGTGTTTGCTTTAGCTCTAGTAGGCCTTGTTTTCATTGGCTTCTTTTTTCCTCGTTTTACTCTGTTTTATGCTGGGCACAGCTTTATTAATAGTACATCACTTTGCTGGGGATTGGCTACCTAAATATTTCAAGGGTGCTTCTCTTAAGTGGTATGAATTGAAAAGGTACTTACAGAGTCCATTATCTACCAGGACTGTCACCTTTGACATTACTGGTTCTATTTTTGATGATGTGTATCTCCATCCTAGCATTACTGAAAGGAATTACTCAGGCTGATTTGTTCTGTTGAACAGTCTGCTACCGATGGATGCTTCCTCAGGTGTCTGGAACACTGTGGCCTGTGGTTCCCCCACAAAAAAAATTTTAGCTTTTTTTTTTTTTTTTTTTTTTGAGATGGAGTTTTGCTCTTGTCACCCAGGCTGGAGTGCAGTGGCACGAGCTCAGCTCACTGCAGCCTCTGCCTCCCAGGTTCAAGCAATTCTTCTGCCTCAGCCTCCCAAGTAGCTGGGATTGCAGGCACCTACCACCATGCCCAGCTAATTTTTGTATTTTTTAGTAAAGAGGGGGTTTCACTATGTTGGGCAGGCTGGTCTCGAACTCCTGACCTGAGGTGATCCGCCCACCTCGGCCTCCCAAAGTGCTATGATTACAGGCATGAGCAGCCGTGCCCAGCCTTAACCATTTTTTGAATACCCTTTATTTATAGTTGGGGAATTTACAGTTAGAGAAAAGACTGATTAGGGATAAGTGGCATAGTTGATTTTGCTGTTTCCAATGTATTATGTTATTAATTAAGAACCCCAAAACTACTTTTGCTTCTTTGTTGTAAACCGTTCGTTATGGAAGTTTCTGGAACAACCAGGTCCTAGTTAGAGTGATGAAATCTTAAGACAAGCAACACTTAAGGGTATTTTGGTTTAACTTCACACACTCGAAGTAAGAGGAATATATTCTCAAGAGCTTACACTACCAAAACATTGGGGAGAAATGCTTCCTCATCAGAATATCTTGGTATACATGCTAAATACAAAGGTTATGGAATATAATCTTCATCACATAATCTAAAAATTGTTAATAGACATGGTAAGGTACTGGTATTTGCTTTTCATAATAGATGTGTTCTTTAGAATTGGGGTATAAATCGTTTTTATTTTTTTTTAATTTTTGGAAATGTTTCTGAGTCATAAAATCTTTTTCAAAATGAATCTCTAAAGTCCACTAAGAGTGTTTTAAATATAAATAAATCCTATGATGAAGAGTTTTGGATATTACTTGAAAAATCGATTTTCAGTCATCAAAAATAATTTTGAAGTTATATGTATTTTGCTTTCTTCTCAGGGGTCACAAACTGGTGGCCAAATGGCAGAAAACACCTGCAGGTGTGTTTTCTTTGGCCAACACAGTATTTTCCAAAACTTGACTTTGTGAGTGTCTTTAGGCAGAACATATACCCCCTCTAGTTCAACCATATCACTCCTTATTGCCATACACCAGTCACTTAACACGTTTATGTAATTTTGGTGGTCTCCCTGTATAGATGGATTAATTGATACTTTCCTTACGATGTCTTAGCCTCCTCGGGAAGATGAACAAAATTAGTATACATTATGTACAACAATGGTGAGGCTTAAATTTTCAGTTATTTTAAAGCCTAGCCTTCTAAATATTCAGAGGGTAAGCTGTAGTCTCAAGACTGCATAATACTAATTCTGGGATTTTAAATTCCCTTAACATTTGTTTTAGAGCTTAGAAATTACATTGAAGGTTATACTAAACAGGTTCTGATTAGTGTGACTAAAAGTGTGAAGTTTTTACCCTCTTTTTAATGTGTACCTTGAATAAGATTTGGGTTGTCTTAATTTATATTCAAGTAGACATAAATAGGTTGCTTCACTTCTCAAGATATTAAGTGAACTGTTTTAAAAGACTTGCGATTAACTTCTTTGGTAGCTAGGTAATCACTTAGTTGAACTTCTGGGCAAGTGTATGCAGAAAGCTCAAGTCAAGGAACTTGTGAGCCACCAATATAGGTACTCAACTTGCTTTGAACTGTGAGTGTTTGATGTAGACCTAAAAGTACTGTTTAATATCTGAATGCCTTAATTGTATATTTCTTACTGATAGTTCTGATTTTTGGGTTTTGCCTCCTTCAGCTGAGTCTAGAGATGTGAAACTTTAGAATTATTATAGCAAAAATAGTTGCTCATGGTTTTGGAGCACTTAACTTTGTGGAACTATGCATATTCCTCTCATTTAAACCTCACAACAATGCTATATGGTGGGTACTATGATTAATCTCATTTTACAAATGAGGAACTTAAGGTTTAGTCAAGGAGAACACCTTCCCCAAAGTCTCACAGCTAGTAAGTACCAAAGCAAGGACTTGGGCCCAGACCTGTCTGACTGCAGAGCTCATGCTCTTAGCAGTGTGTTTTACTGTTTTTGCTTATGGCTTCCCTATGTCTTGCTTTACTACCTTTAGATACCATATTTAGTGATGGTTTTGAAGTAGCTGGGATCTCCATGTGCTATTACATCTGCCCAGTTTTAGAGCAGTGTCTCTTACCCATAATTTAGTCAGATTGCAACATTGATCCAAATGTGTTTACACTTGAGATCATAATACATAAGGAAACTCAAAGTTTTGAACTCTAACACATTCCCACTTTTTCTTGCATATTATAGTGTCAATAAATACTGAAAAGGAAGAACTGTGCTTTCTTCCTCAGAAAGAGGAAGATTTATGACCAGGTGGTGATAAAGGTGAAGTATGTTCTGATGGACATACTTCCATACTTCTAATGGGCATATGTTTGTCCATTCCATAAGATTTTACTTTCTTAGTTATAATACATAGTATCTTCAGGTCTGGCTTTGAAAAGAAAATAGGGAGTAACAATAATTTGAGGAATATAATGTCTCTGTATGTTGCATTTTATATTATTTTGAAGCTTTGAGACACTTGTTCATAGTAAGGGCAGCTTTGTTAGCAAATTGTTTCCAATGAGCTTGCTAAAAACAAACTTTTTGATACTGTTTTGTCACAGATCTAGTCCTAGAATGATTATAGTCTTCTCTCTTTCTTAAGCAGTGATAAACCTTTTAATGAGAACAAAAAGGAAATAAATTGCTAACTCTGAAGGAACCAGTAAGAAATACACTGAAGTATGGTCTGTTGTTTTAGAATAATTTGTTAAATGGACCAGAGTAATATAGTGGAACATGCATCACCTTATACCATATAGTAACTGATTCTTCTAAGTTTACTTGAACAGATTTCAGTCAGGAAAAAACATTGCTCAATTGTGTTCTTCAATTTATTCAACAAACAATTGAAAATAATATTTTAAAGGACATAATCTCTTCATATCACATCTTAACAATTCTTGAATGAGATCCAGTTTGTCCATGCCTTGTAAGTAAGTTTATAACCTACTATGCTTTAGGGCCTCCTGCTACCTTAGGTTGACATATATTTAAGAAAAATAATTTCATTTCAATAGTAGCATAAACATTAGAAAAATAAATTTGCTGGAAACATGAATGCAATCTAAACCAAATGTGATTTTAAAATTATTTCTGCCATTAATTCCCTCCATATGTGTGAATAATTGAGTTGATTTTATAGTGAAGTACCTTATGAGCCATACTTAAGGGTTTCTGAGAGGGACTATGAAGTTTTTCCTGGCTTAAATTCAATTAAGTTTTCATTATAGGGTCACTATGACATGAAAAGGAACCAGTATGAACACTTTTATACTTATTCCCTTCTATTTTAAAAATAACTTGATTATGGATTTGTATTCTGGCATTGGTTTTTGAACCATTGTGCTTTCATTCTTTCTAGTCTGTCTAAAAATCACTGGAGCGTTTAAGATGGCAGCTGACTAACATAGGCCTTTGAGGTCTTTTGGTCTTCTAAAGGAAGAAGGCCAAATTTTGGGCCCAGTTTCTTAAGGATGTTTTCAAAATGTACAGTGGCTAAAATCTTGTAAGCAGTAATTTTGTGTTTATGATGGCTGTCTCCAAGTTTGGGGGAAAATAATGGCAAAACAAAAAATCACATTTGAGTAGTTCTTAGAGCAATTCCTAGAGATGTATTTCTTACCTGGCCTTTCCTCTCTACCCTGTATCTTTGCATTATTTAATACTTGGAAAAACCCACATAGCATTAAAAACAAAGTACTACTGAACAAAGTGATAAATACATTTTCTTAAATCTTTCTTTTCTAACCACAGGAACATTTAAACTTACAATAGAATTCACTGAAGAATATCCAAATAAACCACCTACAGTTAGATTTGTCTCTAAGATGTTCCATCCAAATGGCAAGTATCACTTTTAGTACAGTGTTTTAAACTACTATAGTGTTTATTATGGAGTATTCCACATTTCCTGTGTATTTTGTGGTGCCTGAGTATTTGTTTAGGCAGCTTGCTGCTTCTTGAAAGCTGAACTTGTTCTTGGTTGTCTGTGGCTGTCTTGTCCTAGAACTGAAGCAGTGGAGGTATTTTCCCTTTGCTTGGAGTCTGGGAGCCTCCTGATTTTGATGACCTTTGTCATTTACTTATTAAACAAAATGAAGGATGCTCTTGAGGTTTCCTTTTAATGCTAGGCCAGATTGGGATAGTCTTGTGTTGTAATTATTTTCACTAGCGTTTAGAAAAGTAGTTTTCATTGGACGCATATCAGAATTACTGTGGAACATTTTAAAAACACAGATGCCTTCGCCCCACTCCAAACCTAATGAATAGGATTCTGTTGTTGAAGGCCAGGCATACGGTATTGTCAGAAAAGCACCACAGGTGATTCTAACTTAACCACTTTGCACTTTTTAAAATAGTAGTAAGCCTAGAACAGCTTGCCTTTTATTTAGGTTAATGAAGTATTTTTCAGGGTATCAGATATGTTTATCTTTATGCCAAAATGAAATCTTGTGAACTCTGAGTGATCTTTTGTTATTTCAGATAGGGGATACAGCCTACAAATTTGGTGGAATGAATTTCCCACATGTCTGTGGATAGCTAGGGACCCTGTTCAAAAATGTTTCTGATTTCCTGGATAATAGGGCAGCCTTTTCCAAAGGATGAACACTAAATATCTTCCAGTTTTATACTGATCACATCTGACATTCTCTGATCATCCTGATTATTTCACTAGTGGTGGTTATGACTTATCTTTTTAGGCAGTTAACTGGGAAGCAACATAGGAATCTTTAAACTTCAAAAGCAAAGTATTCTTGACTATTTTTGTTTTGTCTATAATGTTAAAACCTTAGTGGTCTTGTTACGTTTAATGTACCTACTTCTTTGTTCTTAGTCTATGCAGATGGTAGTATATGTCTGGACATACTTCAGAACCGTTGGAGTCCAACCTATGATGTGTCTTCCATTCTAACATCCATACAGGTGAATTTTTCCTTAATGTGACGAACTATAACTTTTAATATGTTTATATTAGCAATTGAATTGTTTTTGAAAGTCATAATGTAATAGATCTTTTTATTTTTGGTCAAAGCTTGTTTGTTTTATAGATGAAAAGTAGACCATTAAGACCCAAGTCAGCTGGGTACAGTCGCTCACACCTGTAACCTCAGCACTTTGGCAGGCCAAGGTGGGAGGATTGCTTGAGTTCAGGAGTTTGAGACCAGCCTGGGCAACATAGTGAGACTCTTCTCCCTTAAAAAAAAAAAAAGCCGCATATATTTTCCTAGCTACTAGCAGATTCACATAACTCTGGGTTTGTATGCTAAAGACAAGAAATGTAGCTGTACTTAGGACAATTCAATTGAGTGTCACTACCTTATAAAATAGTTGTTTTGCATTAAGGAACTGACATTTTAAAAATTGTCTCTTTAGTCTCTGTTGGATGAACCCAATCCCAATAGTCCAGCAAACAGCCAGGCTGCTCAGCTGTACCAGGAGAACAAACGGGAATATGAAAAGCGTGTTTCTGCAATAGTAGAACAAAGCTGGCGTGATTGTTGACCCCGGGTACAGTTTAAAGAAGCTGGCCATAAGAAAAATATATATTGATGTGTTTGTCACCTCCCTACTCCTGTCATTACATTTACTTTATTAAAAGCAAAATAACTGTTGTGCTGTTTCCATCTTCCTTGCCAAGTTTTCCTACCCCTTCTACCCTCTCCTTAAACATCAGAAAACACCCTCTATGAAATCAAATGTACTGTACCTGGGTTACTTGCAAAAATTACTAATGCTTCAGTTTTTCTGTTGTATTTCATTTCCAGTTTTCAGGCAGTTATTTTTATTATTGTACTTTAAGCTTTTAAGATGAATTGTTATACAAGAGGTGCTTATGCTTAGCTTGATGACCAGGATGTTATTTTTAACAAAATGATTGCTGAAGTGTTTCATCCTGGCTGGTCCTTCACTTGTGTTGGATTTAGAAGTGAATGTGTTTGGAATATGGCCTACAGAGAATAGAAACAAATCCATGTAAACAATTTTGAAGGAGGCATGGGAGCTAAAAATCCTGTGATACTAAGATCTCAGTCATATGAATTACAACGTAGTATTTACTGGCAAGAAGGAGAAAGTTGAAGGACTCAGCTAAAGGAGTACAGCAATTGTAGTAACTGACACATCCTCTCTTTGCAAGCTGCTGACTGGGCACACTCATGCCAAGTTTCAGAATTATTGGTCTTCTGGGTTTTTGCTTTTTAAAAGAGGTGTGGGAGCAGAGGAATGGAAACAATCGTGAGTTTTTGAGCTAGGGAAAGTTGGAGCTCCTTTAATCTTTTTAAAGGATCAGTGCTGCCCTAAGTGAATAAACTCAATTGTCCATCTTTATTTTAGAGTTTTAATGAATTCAAGGAAGGGAGCATAGCATATCTGTGGCAAACTATTTTCCACTCAAATCCTGAGTTATTGCTGCATGCTTTAATTTCTTCCCTTTCAGCATCTGAGAACCTTAAAGCCAATGTCTGCGATCTTTTTTTGGATATTTATACTTTTAGATATATAGTACCTTTAAGTAGCAGTATGGGACAAGGCTTGTAAATGTTTTGTCTAATGTTCTATTGTCACCTTTTATGCATTTATCACTTCCAAATCTAACTTTGCACAAGTAACCCATGTAAAAAAAAATGTACATTTTTCAAAAGTTGTAAATAAAAATAACCTTAAAATTTCATAGTCAAGGTATCTTTTTTTTTTTTTTTTTAGCTCAGTATAAACTTTTTGTATTGGTTTCTTATTGGGATCTCATATGTACTCATTTCCCCCCTCAAACATTAAGGTAAAAGCAAAAATACTCATTCTGGGAGGGGAAAAGACAAGACAGATACTTCTGGAGAGAACTTTTTTTTTCTTTCCAGTCATAAGTGGTAATGCTTTTTAAATATATTAACAGAATATGTTGCCGGGCACAGTGGTTCACGCCTGTAATCCCAGCACTTTGGGAGGCCAGGGCGGGCAGATCACGAGGTCAGAAGATCAACCATCCTGGCTAACACAGTGAAACCCTGTCTCTGCTAAAAATACAAAAAGAAATTAGCCAGGCGTGGTGGCATGCCCCTGTAGTCCCAGCTGCTTGGGAGGCTGAGGTAGGAGAATCGCTTGAACCAAGGAGGCGGAGGTTGCAGTGAGCCAAGATCGCGCTACTGCACTCCAGCCTGGTGACAGAGTGAGACTTCTTCCTCTCAAAAAAAAAAAAAAAATTTAACAGAATGTAAAATTATTAAATAAAGTTACCTCAGTATACATTATAATCAATCAAGGGAATGAGGTTATGGGGGGCGTGCGGGGGGCAGGGATAAACCAACCTAGGTATTTATCAGCACCCTCAGAGACCAAGATCTAACTTGTTGATCCTGACATACCACCTCTTTAAAAGCCCTAGCTCAAAAACAAACAGTACCAAACTTTTTTTTTTTTTTTTTTTTTTTTTTTGAGACGGAGTCTAGCTCTGTCGCCCAGACTGGAGTGCAGTGGTGCAATTTTGGCTCACTGCCACCTCTGCCTCCTGGGTTCAAACGATTCTCCTGCCTCAGCCTCCTGGGTAGCTGGGATTACAGGCGCTCGCCACCATGCCCAGCTAATTTTTGTATTTTTAGTAGAGATGGGGTTTCACTGTGTTGGCTAGGCTGGTCTTAAACTCCTCCTGACCTCATGATCCACCTGCCTCGGCCTCCCAAAGTGCTGGGATTACAAGCCTGAGCCACCGTGCCCGGCCTAGATGGTATTTTAAATCCTATGCAAAGTTTGGGAGTACAGATATCCTCAATCACTTTGATTAAACAAAACTACTTTCTTCTGAGGAGCAACCCATCTCATTTGAAAGAGGCAAGGACAATGACTTTGTAAAAACTACCACCTCTTGGTACTTGTTTGGTTGGGTGGATGGGGCTAAATGAAGTTAAGTCCTTATGACACATGTATCTCACTCATCTTTTAAGACATGGTACTTGAAGCCTCAGTATGGAGTACAATCTGTACTAATTACCACATTACTTGGATTGTTTCACCTAGGAGCAATGTCCTTCAATTTGCTTAATAGTTTCCCTCAAGTCCATTTCTGCTTCAAAGTAGAACCACATTAAATTTTTCTATTTGGTGGATTAGTTTTACATTAACTTTTTCATCCTGCTATGTGGCTGAGTGCTTTAAATTGACACTGTTAATCATACCTGAAACAATGTAAGGCGAGACTCAGAATGGTCAGGTTTAATAACTTTTTTCTTCTGTACACCTGAGAAACACTATACCCAATCTCTTTCACAGGATAATCCATTTAAAACCTTACAACAGAGCCAACAAGCTGACCTCCCAAAACAACATATGCATGGTCAAAGGCACCACAAACCATTCATTTGAACATTTCATGCTAATTGCCTCTTTCTCCCTTTAAAATTTTTAACACCACAGGCTACATGTATTGATAACAAAGTTAATGAAAACAAATTTGCAATGTCCCTTTTTCAAATGGCAGTCAGGTTTGAACTTTTCAATTCTGCACGTGCTGATGTGGGGAAGGAGGTATGATGAAGAACCAAAGCTGCAATTAGAATCCTTTATTTAGGACCCATCTCCAGCTTCAGGGGTTACTCATAGCAAAGAGAATGCATTGTATACTACTAAAAAAGAATCCCAACAAAGTGCATGATATTGCCATTCATTTTGCAATCAAAGGGGAGGAAAAAAATCCAAAAAGTAGATCTGTGATACTAAAAGCTAGATATAAAATGGAAAGAACAGTTAGTTCCTCAGTATAAAAAACACTTAATCCAAATAAAATTTGAAATTGCTCATGTACCTGTACAGATTGTATAGGAAGGTTACTGGGTTAAGAATGACTACATTTCAAAGAAAGGGAAAATACAGTAACCAACTGAAAGGGGACAAAATGGAACAAAATGGAACAACAGCAAGCTTGTCAGCAGCTCATTCATGCCAACGCCATTCTCAACATTATTTTATCCTCAAGCAAGTTAAGTGATTTTGCTCTAATTCTGTATCAATATCACAGATCCTAAGAAGTTAGGCAATCTGGCCCCTCAAATCCAGTAACCAAATTTGTATCTACTTGGTGCAATTATTTGGGAGCCTTCCTAACTGTAACTACCTTAATATTCTGTTCTGTTGGACTCACCTAGACAAACCAGATTATATTTAACAATCCCCTACCTTTCCCTGCCTCAAAATCATTTGGGGGAAGAAAGAAATGTAAAGAGAGTAATCAGTGAAGTTTTCATATCCCTTAATCCCAAAGCCACTCTTACTCAGAGAATTGAAAACAGGTTTTTTTCTAACTCACAAATTCAACCATAGCTTCTGAAGGTTGGCATGAACCTTGTAAATTAAAAACAAAACAAAATTGTAGCCCGGGTGTAGTGGCTCATGCCTGTAATCCCAGCACTTTGGGAGGCTGAGAAGGGTGGACTGCGTAACTCCAGGAGCTTGAGACCAGAATCCCATCTCTACTAAAAATACAAAAAATTAGCCAGGCCAGGCGGTGCGCACCTGAAGTCCCAGCTACTCGGAAGGTGGAGGTTGCAGTGAGCCAAGACTGCGCCACTGCACTCCAGACTGGGTAACCGGAGTGGGACCCTGTCTCAAAAAACAAATTGTAATCCTACAAAATCTATAAACATTTTGCTTAGTTTTTTTTGCCAATGTTAATATGAAGTGGCAAAATAAAATGTACACCTCATTTCTCTTCCTACCGACATTAAGAAAGGCTATGCACTGTAGGAAGACGGTTAATGGAAAACAATTATCACACTGTTTAGTTACCGTAGATGAGTACCAGTTACAGAAATCCAGGTGTAAAGGCTAATCCCTTTATATTTTTTAAGCATTAATTTAACTACAGTGGGCAGCTGCTTAATGTAAAATATAAAAAACAGGGCCAGGCACGGTGGCTCAAGCCTGTAATCCCAGCACTTTGGGAGGCCAAGGTAGGGAGATCACCTGAGGTCAGAACTTCAAGACCAGCCTGGCCAACATGGTGAAATCCCGTCTCTACTAAAATACAAAAATCAGCCGGGCGTGGTGGCGGGTGCCTGTAATCCCAGCTACTTGGGAGGATGACACAGGAGAATCGTTTGAACCCAGGAGGTGAAGGTTGCAGTGAGTCGAGACTGCACCATTGCACTCCAGCCTGGGCAAGAAGAGCGAAACTGCATCTCAAAAACAAACAAACAAAAAACGGGAAAGGAAATTACGATTTCTTGTTGGCCAATTACATGTCAAGCACGGTGCTAAATGTTGTCAAGCACTGTAAACCACCTAATTGTCCTGAACATCATTTCATTAGAGGTGTCTAGTGAGCAATGGTAAATTCACCTGTGCTGTTATGAGGTTATACTTGATTTATCTGAGATACAAAAATAAAATCACATAAAAGGGGGCAGCCAAAGATTTGGTTGAAGCCAGCATGTTGGTCCATAGGAAAAAAGTGATAGTTGACTGATTCCTATCTGTTAAATCCGGACATTCATCCACATGTGCTCTGGGTGCTGAACTATTCTGTGCAAACACCACTTCCCTTCTCCAAAGACCCAGTGTTGCTACAAGGCTGCTGCCCGGAAATGAGCACGCCACCATTCTGATCAACTTTGGCTCCTTTTTATTCAGGAAGCATACACTAATTCTTTTTATACATTTTTTTTTTTTACATTCCAGAAATAAGCGAAAATAGCAGTTTTAAATATGTTACAAAGTTGGCTTTTCAGGCTTAATAAGCTTTTTGAGAGAGGGACCAGCCAACTGACCTTTTCATCAAAGCACCAATGTATCTTCAGTCTTTTACCAAGCTCTACCACAGCTGTGGTTGCCTTGGATGTGCTGCACATCCAAACCGTGTGAAAGCTATAATGGAGAGTTGCTGTGAGTCTCTCTGCAAGGCACCAAGAACAAACAGTTCAAGCTTCCTTTCTTCAGATTGAACCAAAGTTTTTGAAACTTTCAACTGCTCTCTCAAGTAGTGCTCTCTCAGCGTGAAGACTAGAATTTGTTAAAACCCATATATCACAAGATACAGTAAATCACTTCCAATAGTCTGGAAATCACATGGTAGAAGTTATAAATAAATGAACACTAAAATTACTTTAAGAAAGTTTTACATCATTTAGTTGGTAAGGACATTTACGTGTACAGCACAATTTATTGTCAAACATTCTATAACTGGCTTCACACAAAGATGAAAATAGATTAATACAAAATGATCTGACATTTTCAGTAAATCTGGAATTAAGACTGGATTTTTATTGTAGTCAATATCAACTTTACATATTGTTGCAGATTGCTGTGCTATGCCCTTTAAAATGATAATTTCTCAGGGTAAAATTCCATTTGGATATGTGTTCTTGCTTGTCAAACTACTAAAATCTGAGGGACACAGCAATATCAAAGACACAAACAGTAACTGCACAATATCATCTGCTGGATTAAGCTAATACAAGTGGACAGAATTCTTTAGGTTCCAATATCTAATAAACCACTATGTGAAATGAACAAGGTGAGACATCTTATGAATATACTCTGCAACCGGAACATGTAGCATTTCTTTAATTCAAAAATCTGCCTCATTAGGCATTTACAAAATAAATTAGTAAGATCTCAATTTGCTTGAGGCATAACAAGCTCGTAATGGCCCACTTGGCCTTCCTGTTTGAGCTGATCTAGTAGGTCTTCCTTCCGTCTTTTTCTACCTACCACTAGGTACCTATCATGGCCCACCCCATGAGACTTACTCTTAAGACCATACTTCTGGGCAATCTGATGTATTTGCTTCCGTTCATCATTAGTCAGCTCTCTAGAGAAAGTCAAATCTGTGTGGCTCTCGGAGCGGGCGTAGTTTCTGATGATCTGTTCAATATCTCTCTTGGCAATTTTATTCACCCTCTCTACATCCAGACCAAGCCCTTCCCGCTTATGCTGCTCTTTCACTGAGATAGGCTCCCGTATGCCCTCACCAGATTTACCTAAACCACCACCAGTCCAACCCATCTTTCTCAGCAGCTGATTTCCAATATTATCTTCTTTGATTTGCTGTTTGTAAGCCTCCTCTGCTGAGCGGCCCTGAATTTCATTTCTTGAAATCACATCTTCAACAGCTCCTTTCTTCAAGTTGTTAATGACAGTTGGCTGGGTCTTTTTGAGGGTTTTCACAGCTTCCCCAGCAGCTTCATATTTGACAGTTTTCTTCACCCCAACTGCTTCTGCAATTACTTCACTCTCTAGAATCACTTTGCATTTCCAGCGGAGGCCTGTCATCCTTTCATAGACATACTCAACTGTCATTCGGTTAAACTGAGCTGTGTCGTTCAGCGTGCACACGGGATTTGAAGAATTCTCATAAACTACAAGATCCTTTATATCTTTCTTCTTTCCAGATCCTCTGGGTGAAGAGCCTGTATGGCATTGTGAACTTTTGACAGATGGATAAGTGGGCTGTGTTTTTTGAAGAATTTTCAAAGCCTCGTCGGCAGCTGCATGTTTACTTGTTTTCTTGGTTCCATAACCTTCAGCTAAGCAGTGATCTTGTAAAAACACTCGACAACGCCATGTGCGATTTGGCATCATCTCATATTTGTATTCAATTGACATCTTGTTGAATGAGGCAGAATTGTTAAGGATACCAATTGCATCATTTGCATTTTCTGTAATGACAAAATTGGTCCAGTGTTTGGCAGAAGCATTAAAAATTGGCTGCCCGGAAGCATCTTTACCCAGCACCACCAGGTCTTCTGGTGGCTTCAGAGCTGGAGGAAATTCATAGGAGGACATGCCAATCTGACACACCACGAGGTCCTCTCCAAATGTATGCTTGAATTTCCGCCGGACAACTCTAACTTCAATACGTTTCTGCAAGAGTTTTACAGCTAGCTCTGTAGCTCGATCCCTGGACCCATTCTTGCTGCCAGCATAACCTGTAGTTAAGTAGATATTTTGGCATCTAACTTCACAAGCATAGCCATCAGTTAGAAGTTTTTTATTTTTGGGGATGTCGGCAGGAGGAATTTCCTTTAAAGGAGCATATATATACTCAGGATTTGTCTTACACGCCTGAATACAACGAGTTAACATATATGTATAATTAATTTTATCAGATCCAGAAGTCATTTCTGGATTAGAAAGGTTCTTCCAGATTGTCGCCGTTAATTTTTCAATAAAATACTGCTTCTCGGCTACCACAGACTCGGGAAATGTCTGTGATGGTGAAGGCTCAGGAGTTGACTGAGAGTTTGCCTGCTGTGATGTGGTGCTTGGGGCAGGGTTCCCACTGTCAAAATACATGTTGGCTGTTACAGGCTGGTCTTTTGTGAGAATGAATCCTGATGAATCACAATACTGAGAATTCCCATCTTGTATACTGAAAGAGTCTTGAGTATAATCTTGGTAGATGTCTCTTGGCATGCTGGCAAAATGTGTTTGTTCATTTACCTCTTTTGTTTGAGGGCCATAAGGATCTTCCTGTCTTTCATCTTTTGAACTACTAGCTACAAAATGTACAGGCTCAAAACGAGGTCTCGCATGGAATTTGGAACCGGCTTGCTTTTTAGGAGGATTTTGACCTATAGAATGAGTGAAATTTACAATTCATTAAAATGGGAATATTTCAAAAGAACCAAGCAGGAAAATAGTACCAACCATATTATTTGCAAGCTGCATTGTTGGTACGAGATACTTCCATCACAAAAACTTCACGCCATTTGGGTGAAGAGACTCAATTATCAATGTAAGATTCCAGCATAAGGAGGGATGCTCCCTGTCTTTCCACATGTAAGGGAAGACCCTTGATAGAAAATATACCATTAAGTCAAGTATACAGGTCACCACCACACATGACTGGTAGCTGCTTTTGCATCAAATGAGCTAAAGCACAGGTGAAGTATACTCTTCACTTGTGCTGGAAGGTGAAGTGGACTGGAAGATTGTTCCAGTACAATCTCATACCACCCATGCTGAAAAGCTCACTTAAGGATTGAAAATGGAACAGATGGCTCTAATGCAAGACAGATAATGAGCAGAGGCAGTTACAAAGCCTTTCTCTTTTGTATCAGAGGTGAGTGACTCTGTGATGGTGCTTTACATAGTTGTGACTAAAAATCAAAGAAAAAGAATTATCAAAAGATTCAGAAAGTTTTCAACTTCAAAACCTCAGCTCTGACCCATTCATCACAAAAGGGTGTTTGCTCTATTTTCTTTCTAGAACAAACAACAGCTGGAAACTAATGATTTATGTGAGATGCCAAATTTAAAGCTATGGAAGAACTCTGATGAAGCTATACTAGACACTAGAGCTTCCTCCCTGTAACACTGCTCAGTAGAAAGCTCGTCCATCCTGGACCCATCCAAGAGGATTTAGTGACTTAGATGCTCAAGTGATCACAGTATAAGATTTTATTTAGAGGGCGGTTCCATGACATAAATTTCAAGGACTGCATAATAACATGATTTCAATATTCTTAGTTTTCAATTCTATTTAGCATCCTCAAAAAATTGTATATAATTAAAAGCTAAAACTCTTTTACCCGTAAGAACTAATGTTACCAATGTTATTTGAAATCTTATACCACACTCATATCATTTTTTTAAAGCCATGTTGTTTCTTCAAATCCCACCTTTCAGAAACAAGTATACTCACCATCACATGTTGAGAGGTGGCGTTTTTGACCTTTGGAAGGTTTGGACAGCACCAGATCATATGAAGGCATCTCCCCAATATCAATACCTTCAGCCATTTGGAGAATTTTTTCCATCAAGCGTGGGCTGTACCTATTTAAGTTAATATAATCTACAGTTAAAACAGGTAAGGATGTCTTTTTTAAAAAGCTTCAAAATAAGCCAGTCTTATAATTGCTCCCACAAGACTTTATCAACAGGGTATCTTGGCTATAAAACCAAAGAATCGGCCCTAAAATATTTACCCATCAAATGAATAATTATGTTACTAATTAGGAAACAAGATTTTTCAGCATAAGACATACAAATATAAACTCAAAAAAATTTAGCAAAAACCTCATCTTTAATTTGAATTGAAAATATCAGTATAAATTCATGACTTGTTTTGATTGTGGTCTCTATCATTTCTCATGAAATGGAATCAGGGTCCTTAGAGAAATGGCTGATTCTAAGTCTGTGGCAGGAAATGTCTAAGGTGAGCCTGAGAAATCATCTAGCACCTAAAACCAAGGAAACTGTCAAAGATCAAAGGTGTTGTGTCAAATGGACTCAGAAGCCAATTTGAATAGACTCTTACTGGCAAAGTGAGCCAACTCAAATATCGATAAGAACAATGATGGCAATGGATTGAAATATATCAAATATGTTGAAAATTCATTAGTTCATAATGATACTTACAAACTATTATTGGTCACCTTTGGAGGATGGAAGGAACCATGTCATTATTCTGCAAACAGGTAAATATGAAAGGAAGAAAGCAAACATTTATCCTGTATTCTCCTGTATAAATTGTACTTAGAGCAACCAAAGAGATGATGAGGAAAATGTCTTTTAGAGAAGCATTCCAGCTAATAAATGAAGGAATGGACTACTACCATTTTGTAACCTATAATAAAAAATGATCATCAGGCGGGCATGGTGGCTCACACCTGTAATCTCAGCACTTTGGAAGGCCTAAGCGGGTGGATCACTTGAGGTCAGGAGTTCGAGAACAGCCTGGCCAACATGGTGAAACTCCATCTCTACTAAAAATACAAAAATTACCCGGGCATGGTGGTGGACACCTGTAATACCAGCTACTCAGGAGGCGGAGGCAGGAAAACTGCTTGAACCTGGGAGGCAGAGGCTGCAGCGAGCCGAGATCACGCCACTGCACTCCAGCCTGGGCGACAGAGCTAGACTCCATCTCAAAAAAAAAAAAAAAAGAAAAAAGAAAAGAAATTATCAATGGCTGCTAAACCTATTAGGTGAAAAGCTAATGGGGGAAGAACTCACAGTCAGACCCAAGCAAATATTCTCAACTGATTATTGACAAAGGTGCCAAGGCAATTCAATGGAGGAAGGATAGCCTTCTCAACAAATGGCGCCGGAACTAGTAGGCATCCATAGGCAAAAACAAAAACAAAAACAAAAAAAAAACAACTCTACACCTAAACTTCACACCTTATACAAAACTAACTCAAAATACATCATAAACCTAAATGTAAAATTATGAAACTTTTACTGAAAAAAAAAACACAGGAGAAAATCTGTGGGATCTAGGGTTAGGCAAACAGTTCTTAGGCTTGATACCAAGCATGATCCATAAAGAAACTGGTGATAAAATGGACGTCATTGAAATTAAAAAGTTTTGGCTGGGTGTGGTGGCTCACTCCTGTAATCCCAGCACTTTGGGAAGCCGAGGTGGGCGGATCACTTGAGGTCAGGAATTCAAGACCAGTCTGGCCAACATGGCAAACCCCCATCTCTACAAAAATAGAAAAAAAAAAATTGCTGGACATGGTGGTACACACCTGTAGTCCAAGCTACTTGTAAGACTGAGGCAGGAGAATCACTCAAACCCGGGAGGTGGAGGTTGCAGTGAGCCGAGATTGTGCCACTACACTCCAGTCTAGGTCTGGGTGACAGAGCGAGACTCCGTCTCAAAAAAAAAAAAAGAGTAAAAAGTTTTGCTCTTGAAAGACTGTGAAGAGGATGAAAGGTCAAGCTGCAGACTGGGAGAAAATATCTGTAAACCACACGCTTGACAGAAGACTAGTAGTACCTAAAACTCAATAGAAAAAAAAATCAAATTAAAAAATGAACAAAAGACATAAACGAAATACTTCACCAAAGAGGATAGACAGATTGCAAATAAGCACATGAAAAGATGTTCATCACTAGCCACCAGGGAAATGCAATTTAAAATCACAATGAGGTATCACTATACACTTATTAGAATGGCCAAAATAAGTGACAATGGCTGGGCACAGTAGCTCACGCCTGTAATCCCCGCACTTTGGGAGGCCGAGGGGGGTAGATCACGAGGTCAGGAGTTCGAGATCAGCCTGACCAACATGGTGAAACCCTGTCTCTACTAAAAATACAAAGATTAGCCTGGCATGGTGGCATGCGCCTGTAATCCCAGCTTCTCAGGAGGCTGAGGCAGGAGAATCGCTTGAACCTGGGAGGCAGAGGTTGCAGTGAGCCGAGATTGTGCCACTGCACTTCAGCCTGAGTGACAGAGCAAGACTCCATCTCAAAAAAAAAAAAAAAAAAAAAAAAAAAAAAGTGACAATACCAAATGCTGGCAAAAATGAGGAGAAACTGGATCACTCAGACATTGCTGCTGGGAATGTAAAATGATACAGTCACTCTGGAAAACAGTTTGGTAGTTTCTTATAAAACCAAACATCAGGCCGGGTGCGGTGGCTCACGCTTGTAATACCAGCACTTTGGGAGGCCAAGGTGGGCGGATCACCTGAGGTCGGGAGTTCGAGACCAGCCTGACCAACATGGAGAAACCTCGTCTCTACTAAAAAGACAAAATTAGCCGGGCGTGGTGGTGCATGCCTGTAATCCCAGCTACTCTGGAGGCTGAGGCAGGAGAATCGCTTGAACCCAGGAGGTGGACGTTGCAGTGAGCCAAGATCGCACGATTGCACTCCAGCCTGGGCAACAAGAATGAAACACTGCCTCCAAAAAAAAAAAAAAAAAATCAGTTACCACTTGATCCAGCGATTGCAATTATACTCTTGGACATTTATTCCAGAGAAATGAGAACTTATGTTCACACAAAAACCTGTACACGAATGTTCATAGCAGCTTTATTTGTAACAGCCCAAAACTACAATCAGCCCAGATGTCCTTCAACAGGTGAATAGTTAGATTCTGGTACACACACACTATGGAACACTACTTGGGACAAAAAGGAACTTTTTTTTTTTTTTTAAACAGTCTCACTCTGTCACCCATGCTGGAATGCAATGGCGCGATCTCGGCTCACCGCAACCTCCGCCTCCTGGATTCAAGTGATTCTCCTGCCTCAGTCTCCCAAGTAGCTGGGACTATAAGCATGCACCACCATGCGGGGCTAATTTTTGTATTTTTAGTAAGACAAGGTCATCATGTTGACCAGGCTGGTGTCAAATTCCTGACCTCTCCGCAGGCCTCAGCCTTCCAAAGTGCTGGGATTACAGGCATGAGCCACCGCACCCGGCCATCTCTTTGTATTATTTCTTACAGTTGCATGTCAATCTATAATTATCTCAAGAAAAATTTCAGTTTAAAAAGCTGATCGGGGACTTTATCATCTTAATATCACTAAAAGTGGGACAACCGAACATGTACCCCACGATGTGATACAATAGGATATCACGGCACTATCTAGAAAGCGTTATGGCTCTCCAGAGAATTGAACCTGAAACTAATCAAGTTCCTGACTCCCAGAAACATGTGAAACACCACAAGAATGGAACTATCCAACTCCAGAATGAGGGAACAGTATGTGACAGCCCAGTTTCCTCATCAAATAAATACTGTAGAATGAAAATAAAAGGAAGAGGGAGTGGTTATAGGTTAAAGGAGATGGATCAATCAAATACATTGTATAGACTTTGTATCATGAATGAATCAAACGAGCTGTAAAAAGACATTTGAGACAAATGAAGAAAACTGAACATGCAATAGGCATTGGGTGATTTTTAAGAAATCACTGTAAATTTTGTTGAATATGAATAATGGTATGGTGACTATTTTTAAAAATTCTTATCTGATACAGATGTGTACTGAAGAATGTACAGGTGAAATGATGTCAGGATTTTATAAAATATACTCCAGACTATTGCCCACAAAAACCTAGGGCAGAATAGATGAAGAAGGGTAGCATGGCAGACTGCTGATGATTGCTGAGTGATGGGTACATGGGATTCATTAAACTCTTTTCTACTTTTGTGTGCTTGAAATTTTAAGGCAAAGCTTTAAAATATACAATTTAAAAAATGGCTCCTGGCTGAGCACAGTGGTTCATGCCTGTAATCCCAGCACATTGAGAGGTGGAGGTGGGCAGATCACTTGAAGCCAGGAATTCAAGACCAGCCTGGGCAACATGGCGAAACACCATCATTACAAAAAATAAAAATAACAAACAAACAGAAAACGTAGCCAGGCATGGTGACCCATGCCTGTAGTCCCAGCTACTTGGGAGGCTGAGGTGGGAGGATCACTTGAGCTGGGAAGGTCAAGGCTGCAGTGAGCTGTGATCACACCACTGCACTCCAGCCTGGGTGACAGAGTGAGACCCTGTCTCTTTTTTTTTTTTTTTTTTTTTTTTGAGAGGGAGTCTTGCTCTGTCTCCCAGGCTGGAGTGCAGTGGCACAATATCAGCTCACTGCAACCTCCACCTCCCGGGTTCAAGCACTTCTCCTGCCTCAGCCTCCCAAGTAGCTGGGATTACAGGCATGCGCCACCACGCCTGGCTAATTTTTGTATTTTTTAGTAGAGACAGGGTTTTGCCATGTTGGCCAGGCTGACCTTGAACTCCTGACCTCAGGTAATCCACCTGCCTCAGCCTCCCAAAGTGCTAGGATTACAGGTGTGAGCAACTGCACCCGGCTGAGACGGTCTCTTAAAAAAAAAAAAAAAAAAGGCTCCTTATGAAGATTGGCTGCTTGATAGAATAACATTTTACTACAGAGAAACAGAAACAGGAGCTCAAGTGAAGTGTTGGTTATGACGGTTACCTGCTCTCCCTTCCTACCTTCAGAGCCTTCCCCAGCCTAGGACCAAAAAAGAGATTCCTGGTAGCATTTGGGAAGAAGTTCTGAAAATGAGTAACTATCATACCTTTACATGAATCAGTTCTGAACCAGAAGGAGGGTAACATTTTCCATTTTCAGTAGAACAGGTTGCACACCCATCACGTATCATTCCACGCAAAGCAGAAGTCAAGGCACGGTGGCCTCCCCGACAGACTGCTGGAAGCTAGCTCTGTTGTAACCTGTACTTCCCACTGACAACTGTTGCTGCTAAAGCTAGCACGAGTATTTAAATACCAAGAGTAATTTTATTTTCATTGACTCTTATCTGAACATCAGAAAGCACAGTCTAAAACACAATATGGCTGGGCGGGGTGGCTCACACCTGTAATCCCAACATTTTGGGAGGCTGAGGTGGGCAGATCACCTGAGGTCAGGAGTTCAAGACCAGCTTACCCAACATGGTAAAACCCCGTCTCTACTAAAAATACAAAAATTAGCTGGGTGTGGTAGCAGGCGCCTGTAATCCCAGCTACTCAGGAGGCTGAGGCAGGAGAATTGCTTGAACCCGGGAGGCGGAGGTTGCAGTGAGCTGAGATTGCACCACTGCACTCCAGCCTGGACGACAAGAGCGAGACTCTGTCTCAAAAATAATAATAAAATAAAATAAAATAAACACAATACATTCTACATATCACTTCCATTCAAATTTGGGAGTACATATTTCCAAAGTATGAGATAAAAACAAAAGCCGGGCGCGTGTGGCTCACGCCTGTAATCCCAACACTTTGGGAGGCCAAGGCAGGCAGATCACCTGAGGTCGGGAATTCGAGACCAGCCTGACCAACATAGAGAAACCTGTCTCTACTAAAAATACAAAAATTAGCCGGGTGTGATGGCGCATGCCTGTAATCCCAGCTACTTGGGAGGCTGAGACAGGAGAATCGCTTGAACCTGGGAGGCAGAGGTTTTAGTGAGCCGAGATCGCACCATTGCCTTCCAGCCTGGGCAACAAGAGTGAAACTCCATCTCAAAAAAAAAAAAAAAAAAAAAAAAAGTCTATGAAAATGAGATGAGTCTATAAATCTTAAACTACTAATCCCACGCCTGTTACCAAAAGTGGCCCTACAACCAGGCAACTTACCTTGAATTCCAGTCAATATTCTCCAGACCTTCAGTTAGAGCCCGATTCCAAGTACAGTATACAACTGCAAATGGCATATATGTCTTACGGTGTGATGCACTTAGGGCTCACTCATTCATGCTCACTTTTCTCAGGTTTCTTCCAGCATTAGTAATTATTCTACCTACTTACTATACCCTATTCATTACATCTGCCACAAAATTCAACTTCACCCATAGGCCATAAAAATAAGTCTTTACATAGGTTGCTGATACAGTTCTCTGTCCTTTGCTATGAAGTCATAATACTGAAGAAGCCCAGCCAGTATGAACAATAATGAAAAAGACCGTATAGTACCTAACAAACACTTCACTATTCAAAGAACAATGTAAATACGAATCTAGAGTGTTTAGTAAGACCACGAGGCTTCTACAATCCAGAGTAGCTTTCCAAAGATAAAGAAGTGGTGCCACATATTTAAAGTAAGCCAAGGCAGTAAAGCTTTTATTATTCACTTTCTCCAGAGTCTATTTTTTAATAGTGTGTTTTAAAGTAACACCTTTAACACCAGGCATTTTAGAAAATCCACCAAGAAAAGCACCTACATTCCCAACCACTGGCCGGGAGCAGTGGCTCACACCTGTAATCCTAACACTCTGGGAGACCAAGGCAAGAGGATCACTTAAGCCCAGGAATTCAAGATCAGCCTGGGCAACATGGCAAGACCCTGTCTCTACAAAGAAAAAAAAAAAAAAAAAGCTGGGCATGGTGGCATACACCTGTAATCCCAGCTACTCAAATCACTTGAGCCTAGGAAGTTGAGGCTACAGTGAGCTGTGATCACACCACTGCACTCCAGCCTGGGTGACAGAGGAACCTGTCTCAAAAATAGTTATAATAACCCCAACCACTGATAACTTCATCAACATGTTGGGTTTTAATTAATTTTTTTTTTTGAGACTGAGTCTCACTCTATTGCCCAGGCTGGAGTGCAATGGCATGATCTCGGCTCACTGCAGCCTCTGCCTCCTCAGTTCAAGTGATTCTCCTGTCTCAGCCTCCCAAGTAGCTGGGATTACAGGAGTGCACCATCATGTCCGGCTAATTTTTGTATTTTTAGTAGAGACAGGGTTTCACCATGTTGGCCATGTTGGTCTTGAACTCCTGACCTCGTGATCTGCCTGCCTCAGCCCCCCAAAGTGCTGGAATTACAGGCGTGAGCCACCGTGTCTGGCCATGTAGGGGTTTATTTTTTAATGCTTTTTCTGTGTTTTCCATAACTCCCCATCACTATCAAGTCATCTATGTTGATTTCAAATCTGGTGGGGTTTTTTGTTTTTAATTTACTGTATCATAAGCCTTTTCTCCACATCATTACCACATGAGTTTTAATGGCTATACAGTATTTATATTATTGAATAAAATGTAAGATATCATTAAGGCAAGTCTAATATAGTAATTTTTTAAGATGCACGCATACTATATTTTTAAGTCTGCTAAGTTACCCTTTAGATTATAAATGCTTAAAAAAGAAAACCAGGCCAGGCGTGGTGGCTCATGCCTGTAATCCCAGCAATTGGGAGGCCGAGGCAGGCGGATCACTTGAGGCTAGGAGTTCAAGACCAGCCTGGACAACATGGTGAAACCCTGTCTCTATTAAAAATACAAAAATTAGCCAGTCATGGTGGCATGCACCTGTAGACCCAGCTACTCGGGAGACTGAGGCAGGAGAATCGCTTGAACCCGGGAGGCAGAGGTTGCAGTGAGCGGAGATCACAGGCTGCACTCCAGCCTTGGCGACAGAGCAAGACTGTCTCAAAAGAGAAAGAAAAAAAAAGAACCCCAAAATTCTGAGGTCTTATGGTTCTCAAAAGTAGCTGATATTATACCAAGCTTTTGGAAACCAGGATGTGACTCAACTATCCCACCATATCTAGCACATAAAAAGATGATTTCTAATGAACAAAAACATCTGTCTTCATAAGTTTTACATCTCTGGACACAAGACAGGTGCATATATATGCATACTTATGAATAACGTAAACCACTATAACATACAATGGCAGCTGAAATTTAATAAATATTCAGTAATAGATGCTTACAAAACTTTTTTTTTTTTTGAGATGGACTCTCACTCTGGCACCCAAGCTGAAGCGCAATGACGCGATCTCGGCTCACCGCAACCCCTGCTTCCCAGGTTCAAGCAATTCTCCCGCCTCAGCCTCCCGAGTAGCTGGGACTACAAGCACCCATCACCACGCCTGAGTTTTACCACGTTGGCCAGGCTGGTCTCAAACTCCTGACCTCACGTGATCTGCCCGCCTCGGGCTCCCAAAGTGCTGGGATTACAGGCATGGGCCACCGGCCACGGCCGTTTTACAAAACTTTAAAAAAGTATATTAAACTGTTCTACTAAGTTCAAATAAAAAAGCTGAGATTTGAAAATTAAGCAAAGATTAAGGTTTCCAAGTGTAAAATTGTTTATTCAAAACTATTCATAAGGAAAACTAATTAAAAAAAAAAAAAACTTTTCATAAGACGGGCCGGAGCCTGGCAAAATGGCTGATGCCTGTAATCCCAGCACTTCGGGAGGCCCAGGTGGACGGCTCACCTGAGGTCAGGACCAGCATGGCCAACGTGGTGAAACCCCGTCTCTACTGAAAATACAAACAAAATTAGCTGGGCGTGGTGGTGCACGCCTGTAATCCCAGCTACTCGGAAGGTGGAGGCAGGAGAATCACTTGCACTCAGGAGGTGGAGGCTGCACTGAGCTGAGATCGCACCATTGCACTTCAGCCTGGGTGACAGAGCAAGGTTCTCTCAAAAAAAAAAAAAAGAAGAAGAAGAAGAAGAAGAAAAAGCTGGGAGCAGTGGCTCATGCCTGTAATCTCAGCACTTTGGGAGGCCGAGGCGGGCGGATCATCTGAGGTCAGGAGTTCGAGACCAGCCTGACCAACATGGAGAAACCCTGCCTCCACTAAAAATACAAAATTAGTCGGGCATGGTGGTTGCACACCTGTAATCCCAGCTACTAGGGAGGTTGAGGCAGGAGAATCGCTTGAACCCGGGAGGCGGAGGTTGCGGTGAGCCAAGATCGCGCCATTGCACTCCAGCCTGGGAAACAAGAGCGAAACATTGTCACACAAAAAAAAAAAAAGAAAAAAGAAAAAGAAAAAAGGACTCGGGCCAGGCGCGGTGGCTCACCCTTGTAATCCCAGCACTTTGGGAGGCCAAGGCGAGTGGATCACTTGAGCTCAGGAGTTCAAGATCAGCCTGAGCCACAGAGGGAAACCCCATCTCTATTAAAACAACAACAACAACAATTGATAAGACTCCTGATATAAGTTAATAACATACACCCAGATTATTGATAATCTTTCAAAAGCTCTCACACCCATTTCATTAGCTAGTGATTTATGCACTCTCCCTACTATGTGCACAGTTTTGCAACATGAGCCCAGCCAACATCTATCTACCTTCCAAACACCAGTCTTGTATCAACCAGGAAAAGACAAATAAGGGAGCAAAGCTGGTTTCATTTTAAGGTATATTTTATCTATTAATTAATGTCTCATCAAAGGTAAATAGTAGGCCAGAATTCTCCTTCTAATCTTATTGATCAACAATGACTGGAAAACTAAATGCCCCAGTTAATCAAACTGCTTTATTAAATATAAAGACACTATCTACAATTTTAAGTAAAAATCACACAGTTCTCTAGGCATTCATATGTACAATTATTTAAGTGCTGTAGATGTAGTTGGTCAGAAAACTGAACTAATTTTTCACTAGCCACAAGACATATCTCAGAAATTGCCTGCAGAAAAAAATTCTTGGTTAAGTTGTTTACTTGGACGAAACAGACAAATGAAAAAATGAAGTGAAACAATTTTAGCCATTTGAGCTTTCTGGTTGCCTGGACAATTAGGGAGAAAATGATTAAAAAACAGAATAGAAACATTTTTATTTTATCCTACAAAGCAGTGGTTCTGAGAGTGCTGATCTCTGGATCAGCAACATCAGCATCACCTGGGAACTTATCAAAAATACAAAATCTGAGGCCCCACCTCAGACCTACCGAGTCAGACACCCTGGGGCTGGGACCCAGCAATCTGTTTTAACAAGCCTAACAGGTGATTTTGACGTGTACTTAAGTTTGAACTCCCCAGTTACAGAGTCAAGAAGATATTCAAATTTGTTCTGTGGAAATTGCCACCATCACCAAAAGGAATGAAATAAGGTCTGTTTCCCTGCACATTTGAGTTCCTCCTGGCTTGGTCTTATGATGAAGGAATTTTCAAAGATTTCTTTGACCTAGAAGTTTATTTCAGCTCCAAGTAAAATGGAATACAAAACATTTTGCCAGAGGGAAAAAAGAGCAAGGAAATTCCTTTGTGCTATTCTTCACAGCCTGTTCCAAAAGTCAAGTGATAAACCTCGAGCAACAAATCAACAATTTAAGGCCAGGTGCAGTGACTCACTCCTGTAATCCTAGCACTTTGGGAAGCTGAGGCTGGCGGATCACTTGAGCCCCGGGGTACGAGACCAGCCTGGCCAAAATGGCGAAACCCCGTCTCTACCAAAAATACAAAAATGAGCCGGGTGTGGTGGTGCATGCCTGCAATCCCAGCTACTCGGGAGGCTGAGACATGAGAATTGCTTGAACCCAGGAGGTGGAGGTTGCAGTGAGCCAAAATCGTGCCACCGCACTCCTGCCTGGGTGACAGAGCAGACTCTGTCTCAAAAAAAAAAAAAAAAAAATTAACAATTTAAGTTTAGAAAGAGCTATTTCACCATGTATTCTACAATTCACTTGAGAGAAGAGTATTCTGCCACAGAAAACAAGAACTCTGCCAAAATCTACATTAACATCAACAAGTATTGGAACACAAGTTTTACCCACCTGAAGATGAGAGGTAACATAAAGCCCATCTAAAGACTGCACTTGGTCCCTAGCTTCCAAGAGTCTTCATTGGCCCTTCCCTTTCTTCTATATGGAAGCTATCAGATATAATGCAAACATTACTTTTCAGTTAAGCTATTTGATAATGTAATGGCAATTCTTGTATTAACTAAACTGACTTAGCTACAATGTAACATGGTGTACATACATAGTATGTACAATGTAGCATACATAGTATCCACAGATGCACCTGTGTGCACACACAACAGCCTGCAATTCTTGAGCCTTTAACACCAACTACCATTGGCCTACTTTGTGTTTTTAATGCCCTGGTTATGTACAAGGGTGTTGTTCTTGGAATTAAATCCTGAGATATAATGATGTGGCTTATGTTCAGTTACTTGCTTTCACTCATGATCCATCCTTCCCAAATATGGCAGCTGTGGCTCAGTGGAAAGAGCATCAGTCTGGGTATCAGAAGACCTAGGTCCTAGCCCCAGCTGTAAGACCTTGGAAACGTCACTTAACTTCTTGGCCTCCACTGATTTAGCAGTAAAAATGAGATGCCACCTAATCCCCAAAGTTGTTGTAGGAAATGAAATAATAAATATTTAAAATGTGTTGTACATCATAAAGCTGTATACATCCACTCACTCCACACACATTTATTGAGCAGCTATTATTTAGCAGGCAATCTTCTAGGCACTGAGGATAAAGGTGTAAACAAGAAAGCAAAATCCCTATCCTTAAGGGAGCTTCCATTCTAGTGGGAAGGTAAGATTTATTATTAACACAAAGGATAGTTATCCTCATTTAAGTTTTTGTTTTTATTTTAAGGATTCAGATTTCCGACAGCCTTCTGTGATATTATGGAGACTTACGATTATAGGATAAAGGTAACTTTTGAACTCAAGAACAACACTGTTAGGCAAAGGTCAAGTAGATTTATCTGACTTGTTCAATAACTAAGGCTTCTTCAGTTGTAACCAGTTCCTCCTAATCATTATCTCTGGAGGTAGAAATTATGCTAACCTTGAGAAGACAGAAAAGTAATGTCTGTGATGAGAGCAAAGTATATCACACTGAATGCCATGTTCAATAATTAAGGGCAGGAGGAGACAATCCTATTTTTCTGCATCTGTTACAGTCACTCCTGGAACTGAACTGGCCAAAATTGACATGATCATATTCCAGAATCTCTCACCCTTCCTGATTTAAAAAAAAACAAAAACAAAAACAAAAACAAAAAACTATGATTGCAGGAATGTCAAAAGAAGTCGTCTCCCAATCTATCAAAGAATGAATAGTCTAGTATAGGGCCGATTTAGGGGTTCTGAAGGACAGAGGTCCAAGTAGCCTCTTCAAAAAAAAAAAACAAACAAAACACGCTGCGTTGGAACCATACTGCAGTCTCCATTGAATGCAAAGAGCTTTCAAAGAGGCCTGTTCAAAACGTCACCAGGTTCTAGGAAAGGGGGGAAAAACAAACACACACACACCCCCACCCCCACCACAGACACACACACCTAAAACCTCACTCAGAGCCAAATGTTAATCCTTCTGATCCCATTTAGGGTAAAAAGAGGGCAATCCATTTTTACAGTAGATATATCCATTTCTTTGTTTGAGTCCAGACACATTATGCGCAAATCTACAAGCAAGGCTGACGCTGCTGCGGCTCAGAGAGCTGATACGTACCGCCTCCCCAGGAGAAGACAGTAAGACCCTGCTAGGGGGCTGCAAGTAGAGGGGGGTATTTAAGAGGAATGGAAAAAGAGAGTGGTCAGGAGGAGACTAGAACAGTGGGGTCCCCTCGCCCTTCCCCCACAACTCCAACTGTCGAATATATTCTCTGCGGATACTGCATCCTTGGAAGGCCCTACGCAGGTCCGAGATGCTGCTATTCATCATTCCCCACGTCCTCTAATACCGCCACCAACTACAATGACCACCTCTCAATAATCCTCTTCTAGGCGCTGCTTCATCTCCATCCCTGGTCCTGGAGAGGCCGCTTCCGCGATCTCTGCACCCTCCTAGCTGTTATGTCATGCCCAGCCACCACAGTCGGCCACCCCACCCCCAGGCCAATAGTGATCCCTCTAGTGCCCTCCAGCACCTCCAAATCTCCAGCCTCCAACCTATCCTCCGCATCCCGCCCCCGTCCCTATCCCAACCACCATCATCGATCCCTCCAGCGCCGTCCCTAACCCGATCCCCCATCACCGATCTCTCACCCCCGTCCCTAACCCGACACCCACACCTTCCTCACCTGCAGCCCAGGAAGACGTGGTTGGTCCAGGCGGCGGAGAGCGCGAGGAGCTGGTCGAGGGCAGCCCCGGGATAGCTGTGCAGGTGCCGACAGATGAAGCTGCGCCGCAGAGCCCACTGCCAGTCACTTTCGTGGCTATAGCGCCACTGCTCCAGCACTGGCTCGGGCGGGGGCGGCGGGAGGGGCGGCAGCGGCGGCGGCGGGAGGGGGGGCAGCGGCGGCGCGACAGGAAGTCGCCCCCCAACAGCAGACGTCCTCCAGCCATCTTCTCCGCCCCCAAGCAGGGACCCCAGGGACGAAGCCGACTACGGACCGCGAGCTAGGCAGCTAGCAAGCGGGCGGAAACGGGGGGCCGGTGGGAGGGGCCGGGTAAGGAGGGGCGCGCTGAGGGGAGAAGATCAACTCTCGGGGGGACTGGAGTGTGTGCGTGGGGGCCACCGTTAGGAGGAAAAGAGGAGCACGAGCTCGCGTCCCGACACTGGGATGCACGTCCCCTACACTCCTCTAACTCGTGGAGGAGCAGAAGGGCTTCCGCCGCACTCACGCGCGAGCCGGGGAGGCCGAGTCAGGCTCCGCACCTCCACGGATCCGCAGACCCACGCACTGCGCGGAGAGCGATAAAAGACCCCAGCACGCTCTGCTCCCCTCCTCTAGGTTCTAGCCTACCTACCCGCGTGCCGTCCGGGGTTGTGAGGCCAGTGCGCTTGCGCCGCGGCTGTTCCCTAACTTCCAAATCCCGTCGCAGAATCTCGCGCGACGTACTTTTTTCCCTCCAGTGACGACTACGGGCCTTTGACGCACTACGGTGACAAGCGGAGGGCGGGGACTCCAGAAAGGGAATTTAGGAAGGTTCTCTGAGGTTCGAGAATATGGTTAGAAGGTGCCCTCAGATGAATGTTGGTAGCCCACGGCTCGTCTGACGCTTTTCCCTGGATTTTTAAGCGGCGCGACAGTGAGACCATGTTCCTTGTAAGGGATTTAGGTCTGCACTGGACTTTACATTAAAACAAAACAAAACAGTCAGCTCCCCGAGGTGCCTTTTCTTCAGAGAGTAGCTTGAAATGCTCTGTGCATCGTGCATCATTAGCTTTGTGTAATAGCTTACTGCGGAAACGTAGTAAAAATGAAACACTTGCCAAGAAAATCATCCACAGCGCCGCTTCTCAAGTTAGCCAGTTTCAAGTCCATACTGTATCCCAATTACGAACACAGATACTGTTTACACAGTTCTGATCACGATTGCAAGTCTGTATTTCACGTATCAACTTAAGTGCAAAAGATTACAAGATACAAAAGGGGCCCACAGAAGAGGGTACTGCAAGGTAGAGCCGCTCAATCACTGTAGCCAAATGTATCACTCCACCCGGAGTCAGCTTCACTCAATAACTTCAGTCCCTATCTGCCAACCTGTGTCACGAAAGCAGTTAATCAATGAGTGTCTGTCGGCGGGAATTTACACAGCACCTACTGTGTGCTCAATACAGCAAGAGTACAAAAAAGAAGGAAAGAAAGTGGGTTTTCTCTGTTGTCCTGGAATTGACTACAATCTTGGTGGGGAGAAATAGCCCTGCATAAAACTAAATGTTCCACCAGGAGCCGGACCATTGGATGAGGTGGCTTTAACACACTACCATCTTTAACTCTTTAATGACGTATTTCTAATTATATGACACTTTATGTTAGGGGTGTATTAGACTGAGAGGAGCAGAAGATAACAGCACTTTACACACTTTCATAATTTATTTCCACGTCTGTCTTTCTCCGTGGTGGGCATTCATGTTTATTGGGGTAACAATCGAAATGTTTTTAAAAAGTTCACAAGGTGATACATGCTGTGAAGAAAATAAAACAGGCTGGGTGCGGTGGCTCACGCCTGTAATCCCAGCACTTTGGGAGGCCGAGGCAGGAGGATTACTTGAGGTCAGGAGTTCGAGACCAGCCTGGCCAACATGGTGAAACCCCTGTCTCCACTAAAAATACAAAAATTAGCCGGGCGTGGTGGCAGGCGCCTGTAATCCCAGCTACTCCGGAGGCTGAGGCAGGAGAATCGCTTGAACCCGGGAGGCAGAGGTTGCAGTGAGCCAATATCGCGCCACTACACTCCAGCCTGGGCAACAGAGTGAGACTCTGTTTCAAAAAAAAAAGAAAGAAAGAAAACAGAGCAGTGCAAAGGCAAATGACTGGGGGAACACTAGATGAGGAGTCAGGTGACCTAAATTCTCATCTCATCATTGCCAACAACTATCTCTACAGCCTTCGGCAAGACACTTCACCTCTGTGGCCTTATTTTTCTCACTCGTACAATCATTACTTGAATTTATTATCTCTAACCTTCCTTCGTAGTACTATATTCTTTGATTTGATGGTTTAGAGACTAACATTACCTCAATAAACATGAATGCCCACCATAGAGAAAGACAGACATGGAAATACAGAATTCTGAAACTGAAAAGTGCTGTTATCTTCTGCTCTTCTCAGTCCAATACACCCCTACGCATAAGGTGTCATATAGTTAGAAATATGTCATTAGAGAGTTAAAGAGGGCACTGAGTCAAAGCCACCTCATCCAGTGGTCCTACTGCTGGTGGCACATTTAGTTTTACATAGGGCTATTTCTCCCTACCCAGCTTGTAATCAATTTCAGGACAACAGAGAAAAACCACTTTCTTTCCTTTTTGTATTCTTGCTGTATTCCACTGGAATGTCAGTTACATGAAAGCATGGAACTCATCTGTTTTGGTCTTAGCACCTATACCTTGATCCTGCAGGCACTCCAGAGATATTTGTTGAATTAAATGCATAAATGAATGAAGCTCTTCCTTTTGTCTCAACCCAGTGAAAATCATTTCCTTGGAGCCTACATTTTAAGCTGATTTGTTATTTTATAATTAGATTAATTTCAGCCTGCTATTGTTTGAGTGTGTCCCCTTCAAAATTTAAGTGTTGAAACTTAATGGCTGATGTGATGGTATTAAAAGGTGGGACCTTTAAGAGGTCATTAAGCCATGAGAGCTCCTCCCTCAGGAATGGGATTAAGGACCTAATGAAAGAGGCTTTAATCGGTGTTTGGTCACTTGCCCTTTGCCTTCTGCCATGTGCGGATATAACACTCCTCTCCCCTTGTTGCTGGAGGATGCAGCAACAAGGCACCATCTTGGAAGCAGAGAGCAGAGAGCTGCCCCAACCAGACAACTGAACCTTCTGGTGCCTTAATCTTGGATTTCCCAGGCTCTGGAACTCTGAGAAATAAATATATATTCTTTATAAGTCTCAGGTCTCAGTATCTTGTTATAGCAGCATAAATGGACTAAGACATAGCCTAAGTTGCCAACTTTCACCAAAATCCGCATTGTAATAAATATACATCTTTCCTAGAAAACAATCTGTGAAAAGATAAACTACTTCCTCTCAGCCTGGATTAAAACTTTTCCGTTGTATAGAAACAAATAATTGTAATCTGACTTTTGAAATTGGATTACAAAATAAAAGGTGTTGGAACTGATGTAAGAGGCCATCTGCTCTGGAACAACCATAACAGGATTCCATTTGTAAATCCCACTAAGGAATAAGCAGTTTCATCCATAGAACACAAATTTCCAGGATTCTCCATGTCCTTCTCTCCCTGGTATCCTTCTGATTACAAAAAAATCCATCAGCCAATCTATTTTAGCCCATTCCTTTCTCACAGCCACAGAGGGTTTCTCAGTGAGCAGGAGTTAAAACCCCTGAGAAGAAATACATTAGTTGAAGAGAGGTGTAGGCATAGATAATAAAGGTTGCCATTACAATCCTAAACAATCCAGAAGGCTGGGCGCGGTGGCTCATGCCTGTAATCCCAGCACTTTGGGAGGCCGAGGCGGGCGGGTCACCTGAGGTCAGGAGTTTTAGACCAGCCTGGCCAACATGGTGAAACCCCATCTCTACTAAAAATACAAAAATCAGCCGTGCATGGTGGCATACGCCTGTAGTCTCAGCTACTCAGGAGGCTGAGGCAGGAGAATTGCTTGAACCTGGGAGGTGGAGGTTGCAGTGAGCTGAGATCACGCCACTGCACTCCAGCCTGGGCAACAGAGCAAGACTCCGTCTCAAAAAAGAAAAAAAAAACAAAAATAAAAACAATCCGGACACCACCTGTAATCATCCATCCTCCTCCTCTCTATTGCAGGGGTCTGTCACTGTCTTTTTTTTTTTTTTTTGAGACGGAGTCTCGCTCTAATCCACTGTTGCCCAGGCTGGAGTGCAGTGGCACGATCTCAGCTCACTGCAACCTCCGCCTCCCTGGTTCAACCAATTCTCTGCCTCAGCCTCCTAAGTAGCTGGGATTACAGGTGCCGGTCACCACGCCCTGCTAATTTTTGTATTTTTAGTAGAGACGGGGTTTCACCATCTTGGCCAGGTTGGTCTTGAACTCCTGACCTCGTGATCCACTCACCTCAGCCTCCCAAAGTACTGGGATTACAGGCGTGAACCACCGTGCCCGGCCGTGTCACTGTCTTAAGACACATAAACCCCCGTTTTGACTGCTTTGAGCTTCCTTTCCTGCTTTTGCCTATAGGGGGAGTCAGTACGTAATGAAAAGACAGAAACTTGGAACCTGTCTTTTAACTATCCCATAAACTATCCCAAAAATCAGATCACTAAAAGTTCTTGACCCGAAAATTCTGCACCACCATGTGCTCTTGAGGAATGTTTAGTAACGGATTGAAAGCATAACTAGGAGTTCTCACTGGCCAATTCTGAGTAATGTGAGCACCAATATTATTAAAGACAGTAATGAATTATAAACCACTGAAAACTTGGGAGCCATAAGTCCACAGTGATACCAAATAGATAAATAAATGAGAGAGAAGGGAGGGCCTTTGCAGGGAGGGGCTTTGCTTTCAGTCGAATACCATGTGCTGACTGGTAAATATGGAGGGAGTGCTGGAGTTGGAAAATCATCATTTTATATAGATCGGTCCAGGCAAACATTATCAACAGATGCTCAATCCAAGGAGAAATTTTTGATGAGTAAGATATTTCCAGGAACTTAACAGTTTCTCTCCACAGATTGTTTATTAGTAGCAATAAAAAAAAAACAGTAATTATATCCTGGAGAAATTGGGCAACACCTTGACCCAAAATGAGAACATCCTATTTTTAAAATAGGACTTCAAAAATATCAATGTCATGAAAGACAAAGAAGGGCTATTCCAAACGAAAGGAGAGTAAAAAGACAGGGCACAATGCATAAACGTAGACTAGATCCTGTACTGCGAGAAAAAAAATGCTATAAAGGATATTATTTGATAGATTAGTGTTAGAATGTGAAATTTACCCAAGTTGATAACTGTCTGCAGTTATGTAAGAAAATATTATCTGTATATATGGGGCACATACATATATATGGGGCACAAAAATGATAAAGCAATAGGGCAAAATGTTATCAACTGGTGAATTTGGGTCAAGAGTATGTGAGTATACGTTGTACTATTCTTTTTTTTTTTTTTTTTGAGACGGAGTTTCACTCTTGGTGTCCAGGCTAGAGTGCAATGGCGTGATCTCAGCTCACTGCAACCTCTGCCTCCTGGGTTCAAGCGATTCTTCTGCCTCAGCCTCCTGAGTAGCTGAGATTATAGGCATGTGCCTGGCTAATTTTGTATTTTCAGTAGAGACAGGGTTTCTCCATGTTGGTCAGGCTGATCTCGAACTCCTGACCTCAGGTGATCTGCCTGCCTCAGCCTCCCAAAGTGCTGGGATTACAGGCATGAGCCACCGCGCCCAGCCGCATTATACTATTCTTGTAACTTAATTTCAAAATGTAGTTTGAAAAGTGCAATAGTGGGCCAGGCGCAGTGGTTCACGCTTGTAATCCCAGCATTTTGAGAGGCCAAGGTGGGCAGATCACGAGGTCAAGAGACCAAGACCATCCTGGCCAACAAGGTGAAACCCGTCTCTACTAAAAATACAAAAATTAGCCGGGCGTGTTGGCGCTTGCCTGTAGTCCCGGCTACTTGGGAGGCTGAGACAGAAGAATCACTTGAACCTGAGAGGCGGAGGCTGCAGTGAGAGATCGTGCCACTGCACTCCATCCTGGGCGACACACCGTGACTCCATCTCAAAAAAAAAAAAAGTGCAATAGCTCCTGACATTGGTGAAGAATATAAATCTAGTGCAGTGGCACAATCTCTACTCACTTGCAGCCTCCGCCTCCCGGGTTCAAGCAATTCTCCTACCTCAGCCTCCCAAGTAGCCAGGACTACAGGCATATGCCACCACACCTGGCTGATTTTTTGTGTTTTTAGTAGAGACAGGTTTTCACCGTGTTGGCCAGGCTGGTCTTGAACTTGTGACCTCAAGTGATCCGCCCGCCTCAGCCTCCCAAAGTGCTGGGATTACAGGTGTGAGCCACCACGCCCAGCCTCTAGCTACCTCTTAATCACTTATCTTGAGGTTGCACTTTACTGGGACCTCTGGAGAGCTTATAAATGATGCCCCTACTCTTATGAAGCTTAACATCTCTTGAGGAGGGAAGTCCCCCAAATAAGAAGCAGAGAAGATTATATAAGTTCAAGTAGGGGCCGGACTCAGTGGCTCACACCTATAATCTCAGCACTTTGGGAGGCCGAGGTGGGCGGATCTCTTGAGCTCAGGAGTTGGAGACCAGCCTGGCAATATGGTGAAGTCTCGTCTCTACAAAAAAATACAAAATGTAGCTGAGTGTGGTGGTGCGTGCCTGTAGTCTCAGCTACTCGGGAGGCTGAGGTGGGAGGATCGCTTGAGCCCAGGAGGTAGCAGTTGCAGTGAGCCGTGATCATGCCACTGCATTCCAGCCTGGGCGATGGAGTCAGACAGTGTTAAAAAAAAAAAAAAGTTCAACTAGGGAGTTTGAAAATGGAGAAGAGATCAGGAATCAGGATAGGTGGATGAGATCAAGAAAGTCTTTAAAGTAGGACCTGAGCCTTGAAGGTAGGATTTAAATCAGTAGATGATATTTCAGACAGAGTCAACGAACAGTTTGTGTAACTCAGGGAGAGGTTTGTGCAGAGACAGAATAGACTGGACAGAGAACAAATATTGGGAAGTGTTGAAAAACGTGGTTGAGTAGATACAAGGGGCCAGTCTGCAAGTTCCCCAAGGGCAGCATCTAACTAGATCTCATGCAAAGGATTTAATTAAGCCCGGGAGCAGTGGCTCACCCCTGTAATCCCAGCACTTTGGGAGGCCGAGGCGGGAGGATCACTTGAGGTCAGGGGTTAGAGACTAGCCTGGCCAAGATGGCAAAATCCGTCTCTACTAATAATACAAAAATTAGCCAGGCGTGGTGGCGGGCCAGGGACTACAGGCCCACGACACCAGGCTAGTTTTGGTTACGTTTCTTAATGGCTGGGAAAAAATTGCTGGGCACAGTGGCTCACGACTGTAATCCCAGCACTTTGGGAGGCCAAGGTGGGTGGATCGCTCGAGCTCAAAAGTTCAAGACCAGCCTGGGCAACATGAGGAAACCTGTGTCTACAAAAGATACAAGAATTAGCGGGGCGTCGGGGCGCTCTCCTGTAGTCCCAGCTACTTGGGAGGCTGAGGCAAGAGAATTGCTTGGGCCCAGGAGCTCGAGGCTGCAGTGAGCTATGACTATGCCACTGCACTCCAGCCTGGACGAAGAGTGAGACCCTGTCTCAAAAAAAAAAAAAAAATCAAAAGAATAATTCAGGATATGTGAAATTCAAATCATATGTCCATAAGTGAAGTTTTATTGAGCACAGCCATGCTCAACCTCTTACATATTATCTACGGCTGCTTTTGTGCTGTAGTAACAGTTGAATAGTTGCAGAGATCACATGGCCTGCAAAGCCTAAAATATTTATCAGCTGGCGCTTTACAGAAAAAGTTTGCAGCTGGGTGCGGTGGCTCACGCCTATAATCCCAGCTCTTTGGGAGGCCGAAGTGGAAGGATCGCTTGAGCCCAGGAGTTTAAGACCACACTGAGCAACAGCCAGACCCCAGTCTCTACCCTCCTCCAAAAAAAATTAAAAACAATCTGGGCATGGTGGCACGAGCCTATAGTCCCAGATACTCAGGAGGCTGAGGTGGGAGGATCACCTGAGCCCAGGATTTTGAGGCTGCAGTGAGCTGTGATCGCACCACTGCACTCCAGCCTGAGCAACACAGTGAGATCCAGTCTCAAGAAAAAAAAAAAAAAGTTTGCTCACTCCTGACCTAAAGCAATGGTTGTCCACATGGGGCGATTGTGCACAGGGAACATTTTGGCAATGCCTGGAAACATTTCTGGTGGTCACAACTGTGGAGGGTAGGGAGGGCATCCTACTGATATCTAGTTAGTAGAGGCCAGGGATAGTGCTAAATATTCTTTAACGCACATGACAGCCCTCCAGATGTCTGGTCCCAAATGTCCATAGTACTGTGGTTGAGAAACTCTGGATTATAGGACTCTAAGGTGAGTACTTTCTTTTTTTTTCTTTCTGAGACAGAGTTTTGCTCTGTCGCCCAGGTTGGAGTGCAATGGCGCGATCTCGGCTCACCGCAAGCTCTGCCTTCCAGGTTCAAGCAATTCTCCTGCCTCAGCTTCCCCAGTAGCTGGGATTACAGGTACGTGCCACCATGCCTGGCTAATTTTTGTATTTTTAGTAGAGACGGGGTTCCACCATGTTGGCCAGGCTGGTCTTGAACTCCTGGCCTCAAGTGATCCATCCACCTCGGCCTTCCAAAGTGCTGGGATTACAGGCGTGAGCCATTGCACCTGGCCAGGTGAGTACTTTCTAGTACAGGGAAAACTCAGTCCTTAACAAGGGAGCCCACTGACTGAACGCCCAGGTCTTTAACTTTTAGCTCAGGTAGCCTTCACAATGACCATGGCAAGGCAATCACTGATGTCCTCCTTTTCTGGAGACGTTTTATTAAATTTTTATTTTACTTATTTATTTTTGAGATGGAGTCTCACTCTGTCGCCCAGGCTGGAGTGCGATGGCGCGATCTCGGCTCATGGCAACCTCCGCCTCCCAGGTTCAAGCGATTGTCCTGCCTCAGCCTCCCAAGTAGCTGAGATTACAAGCGCGTGCCACCACGCCCGGCTAATTTTGTATTTTTAGTGGAGACGGGGTTTCTCCATGTTGGTCAGGCTGGTCTCAAACTCCCGACCCCAGGTGATCTGCCCACCTTGCTTACAGCTCACAAGTCTGTAGGGCTCCAGGGCTTGTAATTTTCCATAACACCTCAGTGCCTGCCTCTGCTCGGTGACGTCACAAACGTCACAGACGTATTGTCTCACTCGGCTGTCTCCTAGTGTGTGAGCTGCGCAGAGCCAGGCCTATATACATGGATATTTTCTGAAGCCTCCAGGCCTCTGTAAGGAAAGGATGCATGCCCTGATGTCTGCACCCTGGCCCTTAGGAAAACAAAGTTGAAGAAAATTCGTTTTCCTAAGGGCCACCAGAGTTCTTTAAAGTGATGACTCTCTCTCTTGCCTACTTTAATGCTTAGGAGGATGGGAGGCTCCGCTCTCTAGTAGACCCAGGACACAAAATACTCCTTAGTATCTATAGAATGCTTTTTGAGTCATAAAGAATAGTCATATCCATGAATTTTGGGGGATGCTCACATCACAGGATTAAATGAGAGAAGACACGTGGCATAGAGTTCTTTTCCTGCCAGAATTAAAACTCACCTGAATCTTGTTCCGTAGGCTCTGGCGCTCCACATTCTCCATCTAATATACTAAATGATAATCAGCTCAACTTAGTTGAATCCATGCTAATAAAGAAAAAGTGGAGGACTTCCTGCCCACCTCCACCCCAGGTGTTGGGAATTTCAGGCCCAGCTGGAATAAAGTTGGAGGGGGCGGGCACGGGGGATGGCAACCCATCTAGGAAGATTTCATAGGCTGGTGGTGCCTCCCTGAGCCCTTCAAATCACCCACTCAGAAGGCAGCCACCCACTCCTCAGGCAAACCGTGGTGGGCCGCATCACCCAGTGACTTAAGATCAGATCACACAGCCATTTAGCATTTCTTTGAATTTTATTGAAAATTGACATGGACATTAGAAAGGTATCAGGCTAAACAGTGCTGGTTCTGGGATGTTTCTCCTGGAGAATGAAAGCCCCAGAGGGGCAATGACTGGTCACACCTTTGAGCAAAAAGAACAAAGGAGAAGAAAGGAAAAACACACACAGATTCTGGAAAACATGCAAAGAGGCTCTCTCAAGAGACACTGAACAGCAGAATGGTGGTGATGGTGGTAGGGGATATATGAGAATGAGCACACTCACATGGTATTTTGATGCAAGTTAAACCAATGAATTCAAGGCAGATTTACCAACATCAAAGCTCTCCCTCCAGATCCCAGGTTGAGCAGAAACCTCTCTCAAAACCCTAACTGGTCTCGGAAGGTGGAATGGAGTAATTTTGCCCTCACTAAGCTTAAACCCCCTCCCTTCTCTACCTAAGTGTTAGATAGTGGATACATTTTCCCCCTTTGCTGGAATCTATAGAAGGTCTGCGAATGCTGAAGAAGATACAAATGTCACTTGACTTTCTCTTGCATATTCAGAAATGTTTAACAGTGGCTGTAGACAGTCAACCCATCGAACCAGAGAAATGTTTAAAAGAAAAACATAAAACTCAAACAAAACCTTGTGAACAGAACAGTACTTTCATACCCACAGCTGAGGTGTCCTGCCCCAGTCACTTACACTTGGGTGAGTGGTCCTGTAGTTGTTTCTCTGAGGTTACATTTCGTCCATTTTCCAGCTCTGATGGTTCTTTTCCTGCCTTGTTAGTTAGGACAAGACACTTCCATTTAAAATACCATGTGAGTCAGGAAGAGAGCTTCTTGCCTGGACACAGGGACACATGAACACTTGTTGAGTGGTGTGGTGTATGTGTGTGTGCTTGCAGTTTGAGGGGAGAGGAAATTGGTTGATTTCTGATTTGAGACAATATGGAACCCTAACTCTTCTATAATGGCAGTCTTCTCCTTTAGACTTAGTGCAGCTGCTGAAGACAAGATTAAAAAAAGCTGGAAAGGAGAGAGAAAGAGAAAGAAAACATGAAATTAGCCAAAGAAAGAGGACATTCAAAGTAAGACAGGGGGAGGGGAATGGGCAATATTGAGGTAGCACAGATTGTAGTGTGAGAAGACAGGTTAGAAATGGGGGTCATTGCTGGGCCATCACCACGGGGAAATCTGCTGAGAAGGTTTTAAGAACACCACACACCAGTTTAAAGCTTCTTGTTTTAATTAAAAACAAGCACATATTAACAGCCACATGTGAATGCCAAATGATTAAAACAAAAAAACAAAAACAAGAGCCATCTACACTGCAGCTAGGGAAAGCAAACTTCTTGGCTTAAGAGAAGTGAGGGATGTGTGTACGTGTGTGTGTGTGTGTGTGTGTGTGTGTGTGTGTGTGTGTGTGTGTGTGTTTCAGAAAAGCCACTCCAGTCTGGGAAAATAAAAGCACAGACCATTTCTAATGACTGGTTTTGTTTCACCAGAAGTAAACAGAGTACTTAGGGTATTTTTTTTTTAAATAGTAACAGTTGTACTAATTTAAAAGCCTTTTCATTGAAGAAGGAAAAAATCTGTCTACAGTGAGAAAAGCTACCCAATGAAATACACATTTTAATAGGTTGATCAACTTTTTAATTTATGTTCACTCATGGGTTCGATTTTTGTTCACCAAACTTCCCTGATTATAAGGGTCACCTAGGGCACCTGTTACACACAGTCTCCTGGACCCCGTTCCAGCCTTGCAGCATCACTGGGTCATTGGGTTAAGGAGCTGGCCCGGCATGCCTTCGTTTTGCCAGCCCTCACCCAATCCATCTTCAGATGTTTTTCTGTGGAAAAAAACCTCGAGGGTCTTCTAATACTAACTAGTCAGTTACTCTGAACATCAAAAGACCTCGTATCCAGGAATGTAACGTATATAAACAGATTGAATCCCTTTGTGAAACTGATTGGGAGTCAGGAGGCATGAAAATTAGTCTGGCTTCTGCCTCGAAACAGAAGTGGGACCTCGGTCAAGTCCCTTCCCTTCTCTGGGCCTTCATTTCCCCTTACGGAGTAAGTAGGTTATATCGTCTTACTGACTAAAATGTCTCCCTTAATATAAAACTCCTCCTTAGTTTCTGAAGGTCTCTCCAAGGCTGTGTGGGTCTAATACTTTTGAATTATTCAGAGCTTCTCAAGCCTTAACTAGTTAATCTGTACACAAATGCAAATGAGGGCGCCTCCGGTTTGTAATGCAAATAATTACCGGGCGGCGGTGTGGGGAAGTGGTGGTTACCGGTTGGTTGTTTAAGCGTGAATTTCTGGGAAAGCAGCTCTGAAGCTGGACATAGAATCATCAAAGTTGCAAATATGAAGCCTTTCCCAAGGAGACCTGACAGGCCTAACTCAGCATCTCTCTGAGCTACTGGCTGAGTATCTGAGCAGATTTTTTTTTTTTTTTTTTTGGTCGTTGGTTTGTTTCTACCTCCAAGCATATGGTCTTCAAAAAAATACTCCACTGTAACTTGAATTTTCCCAAGAAACTGGCTTGTGCTTTGGCAGCATCACCTTCATACTTGCTCTGGTCACTCACCAATCAATAGAGCACCAAACCTACACAGCAAACCTATATTCTTGCTTTGTCAACAAGAAAAGTGCGTGCATATGTTTGCTTTTCATTTTTTTCTTTTTGCTTCCTATTATGATCTATAATTGAAGTGAGAAATCCCCTTCCCCTTCTCAATACTTCAAAAAGGCCTGGAAATTTGGCATAACCTTGTTTGACTGTGTGCTTTGAAAGTAAGTGATCAAAAAAAGAAACTCTAAAAAAAAAATAGAAGTAGGTGGTCATGGTCAGTGCCAGTGGGGCTGGGAGGCAGGAGCAAGTTGCGGAACTCAAAAAGAAGAAGTGAGCTTGAAGTACATGGCAGGATAGGGGTGGGGGGCCTCGCTGCCTGGCACCCCAAAGGAAAGCTGTCAGTTAAAATAGGAACCTCGGCTTAAAAGGCTAAATGGAGTCCAGTCCAGCTGTAGCGGGGAATACTATTCAGTACACAGCCATGGATTACTGCAAAGGAAGGGCAGAGAGACGGCATGTTAGCCACAGATCATTGCCAGGTCAACTCCATCTCTCACACTGTCACTGGCCAAACACCAAAGGCCACTGTGCCTCATAACCCTGACAAGGGAGGGCTCTCTACTTCACAGAGGTTCCCAAAGCCACTATCAGATGGGACCCATGATAAAAACTTAGGGCTGGAATATTTTTAAACTCTCAACTCCTTAAATTGGAAAGAAAGTTAAGGGCCTTTTCTTCTCTCCGGCCGAGTCTCATCTCTTCTTATTGGGGGATGCATGCAAAATGCATGTTAAAAATCATCATGACATTCACCAAATGAACTAGAAGACTCATCAGAGCAAACCCCCAAACACTTGATTCTTTTGACAGCTCAGTTTTCCAGCCTACAAAGTGGGATTTATTATTCCTGCTACTGGCCTCACCTTATTGGGACAGTATGGAGCCCTTCCGGAAATTACCCCCCGAGATGCTGAAATACCTCACAAGAAGAATTCGGTAAGGCTATCATTCAAGACTCTAGGCTGGTAATAATATTCAGGTTTATTCTCCCTTTTGCATCTGTGGGATACCCAGAGTTAGAGAGAGGGGAAACGTCTGCTATTTTCTTCAGCAGTTGTGTTTTATGGGAAGGGCTTGGTGTAAATAAATGCGTTGCCGATTTTGAGCACAGCTTGAGTGCAGTTACTTCGAGTGAATGAAAACTGGAAAGGGCTGGACTCAAAGGTTAGAAGGAAAAGGCGCCAAAGGCTGTCCTTTTGAAACCCTCTAAGAAATGGCTGTGGCTCCTGAGGATGAGGGTGGGGTGGACCAGGGAGGACTAGTGACTGGGATACAGGAGACCAAGGGGACAGCTGTGCTGATCGGTGGTTACCCAGCCATGGTGGTTGCAAATACCTCAGGGAAACTAACAGCAACCAGAACTGGAACAGGGGAGCTGGTGGGAAAGAGTAGCAGATGGGCCCCCTGACCATGTCACACCTCTGGCAAAGATGTGGGGGAAGACAGGGGGGATGGCTGGGGGTGCTGGGAGGGGGACTGGGATGCAGGATGCATCTGCGAGCCACATGACTGTTGGCTTCTTGACCAGCGGCCAGACATCACCCTCAGATTCTCAGGTTTCTATAAACCTTGGCAGGAAGAGAGGAGAGGGCGCGGGTTGGATTGTATGCCCCCCAGGCATGTTAAGGGGGAAATTAGAGAAAGGGAGGCCCAGCTCTGTTGCGCAGGAAAAGGGTGTCTACAGGAAGCCCAAACTGAAAATGAAAAGAGAAGCTGAGTTAATGAATGGATAGATTAATGTACCAAAAAAAAAAAAAAGTCAGAAGAAAATTAAGTAATGAGGACTAATGGCTAAATTAGAATATAGCTATGTTAGATGGTCTTAAGGTCTTATTGCATTGGCTCCGGGGAACATGCTTTCTCTCTCATACACTCCACACACACTCCCACATGATGGCAGCAGTGGCATTAGCCAGCAAAATAATGATCAACAACCACAAAAATACATTTTATCTTTCTTTCTTTTTTTTTTTTTTTTTGAGACAGAGTCTTGCTCTGTCACCCAGGCTGGAGTGCAGTGGTGCGATCTCGGCTCGCTGCAAGCTCTGCCTCCCGGGTTCACGCCATTCTCCTGCCTCAGCCTCCCCAGCAGCTGGGACTACAGGAGCCCGCCGCCACACCCGGCTAATTTTTTTGTATTTTTAGTAGAGACGGGGTTTCACCGTGTTAGCCAGGATGGTCTCGATCTCCTGACCTCATGATCTGCCCGCCTTGGCCTCCCAAAGTGCTGGGATTACAGGCGTGAGCCACTGCACCCGGCTCTTTTTTGTTGTTGTTGTTGAGATGGAGTTTTGGTCTTTTGCCCAGGCTGGAGTGCAGTGGCCGTGATCTTGGCTCACTGCAACCTCCATCTTCCAATTTCAAGCGATTCTCCTGCCTCAGCCTCCTGAGTATCTGGGATTACAGGCGCCTGCCACCACGCTCGGCTAATTTTTGTATTTTTAGTAGCGACGGGGGTTTCATCATGTTGGCCAGGCTGGTCTCGAACTCCTGACCTCAAGTGATCCACCCGCCTCAGCCTCCCAAAGTGCTGGGATTACTGGCGTGAGGCACTGAGCCCGGCCTATCTCTTCTTAATGACTAGGTCCTGACTAGTGTCCCCCACCACCCACCCCCAGCACCACCACCCACCCCCAGCACCACCACCCAATACCTTGTACAGGAATACCTTCCACAAATCTCTAAGTGGCCTCAGGCCACTGGATAGAGCCCCAGGCTCTAGCCACTGCATTTCCTGTCCCATTGGGAAAGTAGAGGAGGCTGAGGTTTCACCCCAGGAGATCCTTAGAGCTGTCCTAGTCAGCTAACTGGTACTCTGGGGCAAGACCTGTTTGCAGAGCATATGGGGATGATTGCAGAACTCTGTTCTAGGGTCCAGACCACAGTTACCTGAAAATGTGAACTATGGAAACCCATCATTGGTTTGTGCTTAAATAATACTTTGACCTCTCTTCCATGTAAATTTCATTCCTGTGACATAAATACAGCAAGTAGAACTGATCCCCATTTCATATGAGTAGACCAAGAAACACAGAGAAGTCAACAGACTTGCCTGTGGCTGCAAAGAGTCACAGCTGGGCCCAGAGCTGGTGTGTGTGTGTGTGTGTGTGTGTGTGTGTGTGTGTGTGTGTGTGTGTATTTTTATTTCTTTTGAGATGGAGTCTTGCTCTGTCACCCAGGCTGGAGTGCAATGGTGCGATCTTGGCTCACTGCAACCGCCGCCTCTGGGGTTCAAGCAATTCTCCTGCCTCAGCCTCCCAAGTAGCTGGGATTATAGGCACCCGCCACCATGCCCAGCTAATTTTTGTATTTTTAGTAGAGACAGGGTTTCACCATGTTGGCCAGGCTGGTATTGAACTCCTGACCTCGGGTGATCCTCCTGCCTCGGCCTTCCAAAGTGCTGGGATTACAGGCGTGAGCCATCATGCCCAGCCAACTCTCTTAAAAAAAAAAAAAAAAAATAGAGAGATAGGGTTTCACCATGCTGCCCAGGCTGGTCTCCAACTCCTGGGCTCAAGTGATCCTCCCACCTCAGCCTCCCAAAGTGCTAGGATTACATAAGTGAGCCACCTCGCCCAGCTTCCATTTACTCATCTTGCAAACTGGGGATTATTCCTTCTCTACCTCACAGACCTGTTGTAAGTATAAAATGAGATACTATACAAAAGACAAAAACAAAAACAAAACAACAACAACAAAAAAAAACACTTTGGAAAGTAATAAAAGCTATACAAATGCTCATATCTTATTTTTATTCTTTGTCTACTTCCTAGGGGAAGAGTAATCTAAAAAACACTGCAATGGCCTATGTTCTAGGTTTCATGGGAAGGCTGACGTATTTTGATGTGTGTATACTATCCATATACTGTGCACTCCTAAGGACCAATAATGATTGAGGTAGAGTATCTGCAACGATGTAGGGGGTCACAAAGGAATCGCTTTTACAAATGCAGAGAGCTATAAGTAGTGCCTCAAGCAATTTCAAAATGTGGAGGCACAGTAAGCCTCACTCTGCCTGCATTCTAGGTGGCCTTCGTGATCCACCCCTTGAATGAGGGCTTTGAGGAGGGGGCGGGTTGCCTTTGCTGCTTTCAGATCCTGGGGAGCCAAAGCCTCCCCTGACTCGTTGGTCTGAAATTGCTTTCGTGGTCTGCCAGGGAGAATCCTGCCAGGAAGAGCCAACCTACTTGGGGTTGGGGTTGGCTGTTCCAGCTGTTTACCAATTGCCTCTCACTTGTAAAGTGTAGCTTTAATTATAGTTTTGCCAGAATTCATTTTAGGAATGGCCACTAACAATGATTTACTTGGGGAAACCTGTAAGCAACTGTGTCAAGCCACGTGCAGTGAAACCTGAATTAACTGAAATCTCATTAACTAGAATACATATTTCCTGCTCACCTCATTAAAAATGGGAGAACAAAGAACATAACACATGAACTGAGTTCCTATTACATGTCAGACACTTCACTACGCACTGGAACTACATACAGTGCAAAGAATGGACAGGCATTCTAGGAACTGACTGTCTTCCTAAATGGAAATCTGCTGTTTAATTCCAGTCAACTAGCAGGGGCTCCAAGACTTGCTGTTAAGCCAGACAGTAAATCAAGTCACTGTTCTTTTAAGATTGTTTCCTTTGGCCCGGTTTCATGGGCCTTATGTTGCAGAAACCTCTATGGACTTCCTCTTCAGGATTTGCTTCCAAGCAGGATGTTTTGCCAGCTGCCCCGAGTCCCCAGTGCAATAGCTGCGGCAATCAGTTTGGTGACTAACAGCAGGCTCTCCATTTAAATCATAAACTACATGGGTGAGTGGGGAAAAGTCTTCTCTATATTTTATATTCCCTGATCCAAACAAACCAAATGTAAAAGGGCATTTATGAGACAACCGGGATGTTTCAAACACTGACTAGACATTTCATGTTAATGAATTATTGTTCATTTTGTAGGTGTGATAATGGTGGGGTTGTGGTTATGTTTTTTTAAAGAATCATTATCTCTTGGAAATATATACTAAAGTATTTACAGATAAAATGATATAGTTTTGCTTTATAATAATTCAGCAGGTCTGTAGTAATTGATGAAACAAGATTAGGCATATGTTTATGGTTGCCTGGGGGCTGAACTGTATTATCCTCTTATTTTGCTCATGTTTGAAAGTTTCCACGGTAAAGTTTAAAAAAAATAATAATAACCCTTCATCGGGCGCGGTGGCTCACGCCTGTAATCTCAGCACTTTGGGAGGCCAAGGTAGGCAGATCACCTGAGGTCAGGAGTTTGAGACCAGCCTGGGCCAACGTGGTGAAACCCGGTCTCTGCTAAAAATACAAAAATTAGCCAGGAATGGTGGCACATGCCTATAATCCCAGCTACTTGGGAGGCTGAGGCATGAGAATTGCTTGAACCCAGGAGGCGGAGGTTGCAGGGAGCTGAGGTTGTGCCACTGCACTCCAGCCTCGGTGACAGAGTGAGACTCCGTCTCAAAAAAAGAAACAAACAAACAAAAAAAACCCTAATTATGTTAAATTAAAAATGTTTGTATTTCCTTTCCATCCACTACCTGAGTCTAGTAGAGGAGATAGAAGGTCCTTAATCCCTGCTTTCAGTCTCCCTATAAACTATGTGAAACTTTATAAACTTCTATTAACACAACATCTAGCACTCAGGAATCCTTACCTGCTGATCTCCTTATAAGAGGTTTTCATGAAGCCAGTACTTGTAGGATTAAATGTAAGGAATTCTCTATAATTTCTAAGATCTCTTCATTTTCCTCCGCTTTTATTATGGGTTTTTTTTTTTTGTTTTTTTTTTTGTTTGTTTGTTTGTTTGTTTTTTTGAGACGGAGTTTCGCTCTTATTGCCCAGGCTGGAGTGCAAAGGTGCGATCTCGGCTCACTGCAACCTCCGCCTCCCAGGTTCAAGCAATTCTCCTGCCTCAGCCTCCCGAGTAGCTGGGATTACAGGCATGCACCACCACGCCCGGCTAATTTTGTATTTTTAGTAGAGACAGGATTTCTCCATGTTGGTCAGGCTGGTCTCGAACTCCCGACCTCAGGTGATCCGCCCGCCTCGGCCTCCCAAAGTGCTAAGATTACAGGCGTGAGCCACTGCTCTCAGCCTTATTATGGTTTTGAGGGGTACAGTCAAAGGAAATTTGAGGACTTGAACCCCTCAGATATGAAACTGCCACCAGCGGGAAACAGAGAAGTGAGTTTCCATTGACTCTGGACATTCTCAAACCTGATGCAGGGGGATGGGAGAGGGTTGATGCTGACTGTGACATTGCAGGACGGAGCTTGTGAAACCCAGTTTCTCTCATCACCACGGTTTCATTAATTTTGAAAATAATGGTTATAGCTCCTTTTGTTTTTGAGATGGAGTTTCGCTCTTGTTGCCCAGGCTAGAGTACAATGGTGCAATCTCGGCTCACTGCAACCTCCGCCTCCCAGGTTCAAGCGATTCTCCTGTGTCAGCCTCCAGAGTAGCTGGGATTACAGGCCTGTGCCACCATGTCCGGCTAATTTTTTGTATTTTTAGTAGAGATGGAGCTTCACCGTGTTAGCCAGGATGGTCTCAATCTTCTGACCTCAGGTGATCTGCCCTCCTCGGCCTACCAAAGTGCTGGGATTACAGGTCTGTGAGCCACTGCGTCCGGCCCGATTATGGCTCTTTAAGAAAAAAACTTCCCACACTGAAACCTCAAATACTGATCACAGGATCCACCTGTGTTACCCAGCTGTTCTAGCAGCAAAAGTCTGAAAACGACCCCTCACTTTAATCAGGCAGGCAGGCAGGCATTCCACATGTACACCTGAAACCACACCAGACTATTTCTGCATATTATAAGTCACGAGAGAAAACCAGCTAGACCAATGAAGCAGCTTCTTCTACGATTAGATGCTTGTGTTGGGGGTGCGGGATTGGGGGAGATATGTTCTAGAAGCCACTGCCAGTTCTATTTAGAGTTAATCAAGCTTACCAGGACCCTGGGTCTCATGCAGCATGCAGCAAACAGCAGAGTTAACTGTAAAACAGTAAGAGCTGATGAAGATGGAGTGAGCATGAGGGGAAATCAAATATTATGACTTGACACAAACAATGAAGGGTTAGAGGTCAAAGGTGATTAGGAGTAGCAGGAAGGGGAAGTGGGAAGGGTGGACTGGTAGGAACCCCTGAAACACTGATACTCTTTTTTTTTTTTTTTTGAGTCAGGGTCTCTCTCTGTTGCCCAGACTGGAGTGCAGTGGCGCAATCATGGCTCACTGCAGCCTCAACCTCCCGGGTTCAAGCAGTTCTCCCACCTCAGTCTCCTGAGTAGCTGGGATTATAGGCAAGTGCCACCAGGCCCAGCTAATGTTTATTTATTTATTTTTTTTGTAGAGACAAAGGTCTCACTATGTTGCCCAGGCTGATCTCAAACTCCTGGACTCAAGCAATCCTTCGCCTTGGCCTCCCAAAGTATTGGGATTACAAGCATGAGCCACCACGGCTGGCCAGTACTTTCTTAATCTCTTTAGGGGCAGCTAAAGGAAATTCTGAATATGTGACTCTTAGATCCAACCACCATCTCTCAAGAAGAAATACTACTACCACCATTTCTGCCCTCAAAACTCACTACCGTGACTATGGGAGGAGGGTAGCACAGGTCTAACGGTGGCTCTTCCAGAAGTTAACAAATTGCTCATGAAATTACATAAGAAGCCAAGATTCAGGGCCACTTCTGCATCTGGAAGTACAGAAGAAGACAGGTCATTCTGTTAGGCCCTTATTGCTAATATAAGGTGCCACATGCCAGCAGGGTTTTCACCCATTTCAGAATTGGAAAGGGGCACTGTCACCAACCCCAAATATTCCTGAAGAGTAGAGAGGGGTATCTCCCTGTTGGGGTCTCCTGCCTGGGGTGGGAGAAGTCAGTCAGTATGAGGCAACAAGGGGAAAGCTTGATGTAAGAAGAACTTTTACTGAACATCTGAATAGGGAATATTTATAGTTTCATTGTAGCCTGAACAAACCAATTCCTAACTCCCACAAGCAGGCTATGAAACTGCCCCAGGTACTGAGTTAACAAATACCACAGGACTATGAAGGCAGCAGGTTACAGCTGGATGACAAATTTAGATTTTTCTGATCTTAAAAATAGGAATTCATTCCTGCTGGTGCAACTAATACACCATGACAGATAAGTTAATACAGTACAGGGTGTGTCCAAAGAGACTTTTTTCTGGCTAGTTGAACTTTATCCATCAGGTAATACCAAAAAATTTCATTCATCAGTGAATTTGACATATAGTATTAAGATTCAGTAAGAAAAATTTCTGGACTAATTGGTGAAGATGTTCTTTTTTTTTTTTTAGACAAAGTCTCACTCTGTCACCCAGGCTGAAGTGCAGTGGCATGATCTTGGTTCTGCAACCTCCACCTCCCAGGCTCAAGTGATTCTCCTGCCTTAGCCTCCTGAGTAGCTGGGACTACAGGTGTGGGCCACCATGCCCAGCTAATTTTTGTATTTTTAGTAGAGACGGGGTTTCGCCATGTTGCCCAGGCTGGTCTCAAACTCCTGACCTCAGGTGATCTGCCTGCGTCAGTTTCCCAAAGTGCTGGGATTACAGGCGTGAGCCACCGTACCCGGCCAAGATGTTTAAATTACACATTTGCATAAAGAGTAATTGGATTGCAAAGCTGAATGCCTTCAAATATAACATATTTTACTGTTATGCAAAAGTTACCATGTTATTCCTAAGTGATAAGCCAGAGGAAAGGAAGGTGTTTCTTCCTTCTGGCAAAAATATCCCATAGTTAAGTCCAGGAACAAATGGCTGAAAACAGAAGGCAATGACCATGGACACCTTTTGGATCCTCAGTACCCTTCAGTAAAGACACAGCTAAACAGTCCACCTGGGAACTCCTCAAGCCACACTGCACAAACAACTGCAGGGCACAAGGGCACCACAGGAGTTTTTCTAGATCCCGTTGAAATATTTTTCTCCAGTTCTGGGATGAGGAATGGGTAACTTCAGCAAGCAGAGACTGGGGTTGGGTGAGGATTATTGACCCACATGGTATCCAGGAGCCACTGTTCTAATACCAGGGGAGATCAGAAGGTCTTACAGTCATTCCACAGATTGAGGATGGGGCACATGCAGCATACACTGGCATCTGAGGGCTCCCCCATAAGTTCTCAGCACCCCAGGCTAGGCAGAACTAAGCCAGCAGGGAGGGATCACAAAGGGGTGGGAAATCAGGGCTGAGCTGCAGCCTTCACTGGCAGCAGTTAAATTCTGTTGGCTGCAGAGAGTAATAACTGAGGCAGGGTGAGGGTGGGACTACGGCCATGGAGAGGTGAGCAACCTCAGATATAGGGCAAGGGTGGGGAGAGGGTGCACCGAGTTTCTGCTAAAGGCTCTCTCTTTCTTCCACTATCCTGTATCTGCACTTCTTTTTTTTTTTTTTTTTTTTTTTTTTGAGACAGAGTCTCAATCTGTCGCCCAGGCTGGAGTGCAATGGTGCTATCTTAGCTCACTGCAACCTCTGCCTCCTCAGTTCAGGCAATTCTCCTGCTCAGCCTCCCAAGTAGCTGGGATTACAGGCGCACGCCACCACGCCTGGCTAATTTTTTGTATTGTTAGTGGAGACAAGGTTTCATCATGTAGGCCAGGCTGGTCTCGAACTCCTGAACTCAAGTGATCCACCCGCCTTGGCCTCCCAAAGTGCTGGGATTACACCACGCCCGGCCCGTAGCTGCAGTTCTTTTTGTTCCTCTCTTTCTTTTCTATTTTTTTTTTTTTCAGATGGAGTCTCACTCCGTTGCCCAGGCTGGAGTGCAGTGGTGTGATCTCAGCTTACTGTAACCTACACCTCCCGGGTTCAAGTGATTCTCCTGCCTCAGCCTCCTGAGTAGTTGGGACTACAGGCAGCTAATTTCTGTATTTTTTTTTTTTTTTTAGATGGAGTCTCGCTCTGTCGCCCAAGCTGGAGGGCAGTGGTGCGATCTCAACTCACTGCAACCTCTGCCTCCTGGGTTCAAGCAATTCTCCTGCCTCAGCCTCCTGAGTAGCTGGGATTATAAGCGCGCGCCACCGCGCCTGGCTAATTTTTGTATTTTTAGTAGAGACAGGGTTTCACCATGTTGTTCAGGCTGGTCTTGAACTCTTTTTTTTTTTTTTTTTTTGAGACGGAGTCTCGCTCTGTCGCCCAGGCTGGAGTGCAGTGGCACGATCTCTGCTCACTGCAAGCTCCGCCTCCCAGGTTCACCCCATTCTCCTGCCTCAGCCTCCCGAGTAGCTGGGACTACAGGCACCCACCACCACACCCAGCTAATTTTTTTGTATTTTTAGTAGAGATGGGGTTTCACTGTGTTAACCAGGATGGTCTCGATCTCCTGACCTTGTGATCTGCCTGCCTCGGCCTCCCAAAGTGCTGGGATTACAGGTGTGAGCCACCGTGCCCAGCCTATTTTTTTTTTCTTTTTTTTTTAAGCAGAGACGGGGTTTCGCCATATAGGCCAGGCTGGTCTTGGACTCCTGACCTCAAGTGTTCCTCCTGCCTTGGCTTCCCAAAGTGCTGGGATTATAGGTGTGAGCCACCGTGCCCGGCCTTGTTCCTCTCTTATATTGCTGCACCTCTAATTTTTTTCTTCCCTTCTGCTCTCTCACTCTCCTTTGCTTTTCCTCTTTTCCCTTCCTTTCCTATGGACCTTGAGTTTGCAGGGCTTTCCTGAGCAAGCTGGACAGATGGGCTGGGCCTCTGGGACCACACCCCTCTGCTACTCTCAACTCCCCAAGCTCAGGGAATCCAAAGGTGCCACAGGGATGCTGGGACCAGTTATAGGTACCTCAACCAGTCTGACAGCCCACAGCTCACCTCTGGTCACCAGTCCTCAGCCCCTTCAGGTGCCACGTCCTGCCCTGGGAGGATGAGCAGGAGGAAAGAGAAGGCACCACCCCAGAGCAGCCTGCTACTTACTTTTTCTTCTCTTTGTCTCTCTTCAGAGTCTGTGAGCCTCCAGCCTGGGAGCCCTGGGACTGGAGCAGCTCAGCCGCCGTCTTTCTTTGCTTGAAAGCATTCACTTCATCATCCAGGGATTTCTTCTTATCCTCCAGTTTCTTCTTCTCGTCCTGGTGCAGTTTCTTCAGACGGTCAAACTTCTCGTGCAGCTGGCAGGGAAGCACAGGGAGATTGGAGAGAATCCCCTGTGAGCAGTCCCCAGCCTGGCCAAGCCCAGGTGGGTGGGGACCAGTAGGGCTGTGACCCTGCAGGACCCTGGAACCTCAGGGGGCATTTCTGTCAGGGATTGCTATGATGGCACCAAAGGCACCATGCTCTGGATCGTTCTCTCTTCCTGCCATTTTATCTCCAAGTCTCTGCTCCTGAATATGGTAAAGGAATACTGCATTGTGTTTAGTCAGACATTTTGTTAAAAAGAGTCCCCATAGTTACCACACATGGTCAATAATAACATCAATTATAATAATATAACATTTACTGAGTGCTGGCCGGGCTCAGGCCTGTAATCCTAGCACTCTGGGAGGCCAAGGTGGGCAGATTACTTGAGGTCAGGTGTTCGACACCAGCCTGGCCAACATGGTGAAACCCCGTCTCTACTAAAAATACAAAAATTAGCCAGGCATTGTGGCATGTGCCTGTAGTCCCAGCTACTCAGCAGGCTGAGGCAGAAGAATCACCTGAACCCAGGAGGCGGAGGTTGCAGTGAGCCAAGATTGTGCCACTGGACTCCAGCCTGGGCAACAGAGGAAGACTCCGTCTCAAAAAATAAAAAAAGAAATTACCGAGTAATTACAGGCTAAGCACTGACTTTTATAAGTCCTTTATGTATATTAATTTATTTAATTGTTACCACATTCCTATGAGGTAGGTTCCGTTATTATCTCCATTTTATGAGGAAACAGAAGGTCTGAGAAGTAAGGAATTTGACTATGGTCAACCCAGTATTTAGAACATTATATAATGGGACCTCTTATGTGTAAGGAACCCCTGTCTTTTCTTAACCCCTGCAATCAGGAAGGATCACCATGGATCTCAGAGAAAACTTCAGTATGGGAAAGCCAGTCAAGGAAATACTTGGCTTTGGACATGGAAGGAAATAAAAAGGACTTTATGACATGGAATGAGTACAGACACCTCAGCCTTAACTAAAGGGAGGCTTAATTAGTCCTGAATAGAACCAGAAACCCAAAGAAGAACAAGAAGAATATTCTGGGCCAGGCACAGTGGCTCACGCCTGTAATACCAGCACTTTGGGAGTGCTGTAATCCCAGTAGTCGGCTCAATCCCAGCACTTTGGGAGGCCAAGGTGGGTGGCATAAGGTCAGGAGTTCTAGACCAGCATGGCCAACATGGTGAAACCTCGTCTCTACTAAAAATACAAAAATGAGCTGGGCGTGGTGACGCTTGCCTATAATCCCAGCTACTTGGGAGGCTGAGACAGGAGAATCACTTGAACCCGGGAGGCGGAGCTTTCAGTGAGCCGAGATCGCACCACTGCACTCCAGCCTGGGCAAGAGTGAGACTCTGTCTCGGAAAAAAAAAAAAAGAATATTCTGGCATGCCATTGTGGTAAGTGGATCAGAGAACAAGAGGCACAGACAGTCACAAACTAGAATGCAATAAACTACCCTGAATAGTAAGAGCAGAGCAAGCCGAATTTCACTTTCTTTCATGGATTCAGGAGAGAGTTTAGGATTCTGTAGCACTTGCAGCATACGATGAAGAAGGTTAGTTCTCCGGGTCCTGGGGGTATTTGGCACTGTCACTTAGGTGGGTGAGTGACAGACTTGCTGTATAAACCAGATCTTTTCTTTTTTCTTTTCTTTTTTTTTTTTTTTTGAGACAGAGTCTCGCTCTGTCGCCCAAGCTGGAGTGCAGTGGCACAATCTCGGCTCACTGCAACCTCCGCCTCCCAGGTTCAAGTGATTCTCCTGCCTCGGCCTCCCAAGTAGCTGGGACTACAGGCACGTGCTACCACTCCTGGCTAATTTTTTGTATTTTTAGTAGAGACGGGGTTTCACTGAGTTAGCCAGGATGGTCTCGATCTCCTGACCTTGTCATCCGCCCACCTTGGCCTCCCAAAGTGTTGGGATTACAGGCATGAGCCACCACGCCTGGCCTAAAGCAGCTCTTACTAGTCACTAGGGCTGCCTATCAATTGCCTTAACCTGGTTTTTGTTTGTTGCACTTTTATTCATTTGTCTTTGAGATCCCCTCACTTCTCCTCCTAAAAGTGCTGGGTGACATTTTTGTTTTTTTTATTGAGACAGAGTCTCACTCTGTCACGCAGGCTGGAATGCAGTGGCCTCGATCTCTCGGCTGAAGCATTCCTCCTACCTCAGCCTCCTGGGTAGCTGGGACTACAGGCACGTGCAACCATGCCTGGCTAATTTTTTGTATTTGTAATTATTTTTTTTTTTTGAGATGGAGTCTCGCTCTGTTGCCCAGGCTGGAGTCCAGTGGGACAATCTCGGCTCACTGCAACCTCCGCCTCCTGGGTTCAAGCAATTCTTCTGCCTCAGTCTCCCAAGTAGCTGGGACTACAGGTGCGTACCACCACACCTGGCTAATTTTTGTATTTTTAGCAGAGACAGGGTTTCACCATATTAGCCAGGCTGGCCTCAAACTCCTGAACTCGTGATCCACCCACCTCGACCTCCCAAAGTGCTGGGATTACAGGTGTGAGCAACTGCGCCCAGCCAATTTTTTCTATTTTTAATAGAAACAGGGTCTCAGTATGTTGCCCAGGCTGGTCTTAAACTCCTGGGCTCAAGCAATCCCCTCGCTTTAAGCCTCCCAAAGTGCTGGGATTACAGACCTGAGCCAAGGCACCTGTCTGACATTTTTTTTTTTTGAGGCAGAGTCTCGCTCTGTCGCCCAGGCTGGAGTACAGTGGCGCGATCTCGGCTCACTGCAAGCTCCGCCTTCCGGGTTCACGCCATTCTCCTGCCTCAGCCTCCCGAGTAGCTGGGACTACAGGCGCCCGCCACCACGCCCGGCTAATTTTTTTGTATTTTTAGTAGAGACGGGGTTTCACCGTGTTAGGCAGGATGGTCTCGAACTCTTGACCTTGTGATCCGCCCGCCTTGGCCTCTCAAAGTGCTGGGATTACAGGCGTGAGCCACCGCGCCCAGCCAACAGACATTTTTTTTTTTTAAGTGAAACTGAAAAAAAAAATCAATACCCTTGTCATGGGCTTTGGTGAGAACCCTTGAGAGTGTGACAGGTTAAATGTGGAAGAGAATCGTGAAGTAATTAAGTGTTTCCTTTCTTTTTTTTTGTTTTTGAGATGGAGTCTTGCTCTGTCACCAAGGCTGGAGTGCAGTGGCATGATCTCAGCTCACTGTAACCTCCACTTCCCAGATTCAAGCGATTCTCCTGCCTCAGCCTCCCAAGTAGCTGGGACTATAGGCATGTGCCACCACACTCCACTAATTGTTGTATTTTTAGTAGAGACAGGGTTTCACCATGTTGGCCAGGCTGGTCTCGAACTCCTGACTTCAGGTGATCCAACTACCTCGGCCTCCCAAAGTGTTGGGATTACAGGCGTGAGCCACAGTGTCCGGCCCAATGTTTGGATTTCTGTTCCTGTGTTAGTTTGCTGAAGATAATGGCTCCCAGCTCCACTCATGTCCTTCTAAAGAACATCCTCTGATTCCTTTTTATGGCTGCATAGTATTCCATGGTGTATATGTACCACATTTTCTTTATCCAATCTATCATTGATGGGCATTTGAGTTGATTCTATGTCTTTCCTATTGTGAATAGTGTTGCAGTGAACATATGTGTGTGTGTATCTTTATAATAAAGTGATCTATAGGATTGCTGGGTCGAATGGCATTTCTGATTCTAGGTCTTTGAGGAATCACCACACTGTCTTCCACAGTGGTTGAAGTAATTTACATTCACACCAACAGTGTAAAAGCGTTCCTATTTTTCCACAGTCTCACCAGCAGCTGTTGTTTCTTGACATTTTAATAATCACCAGGCTCACATTTACCTCTTTCTCTGCCTCTTTGAGCTCCGCTTCTTTCTCTTTGACTCGCTGGACGAACATCTGTCTCATCTCCTCTTCTTTTTTCTGGAGTTCCCCTAGGAACTCGTTCCTTTTGGCCTCATATGTCTCCTGTAAACTGCGAACATGGTCAGGTTAATTCTTCTTCCTTTGGAATGATTCCTATTTGATAAAACTGGCCCCAAAGATCCTCACTGGGTTCCTCTGTCCTCCCTTCCCCAGTTGTGAGCCAGGTACAAAAATAGAACCACAAAGCTGTGGGCACCTGGCTTGGCCCATGACAGCATGCCCACAGGGATTCTGGAGGGGGATGGGGCAACCCTAGTGAACTGGAGAGACTTAGAATATCTGGTTCTATACTCTTGTTCTACGGATGAGAAAACTGAGGCCCAGAGAGGTGAGGTGTCTTACTCAAGGCCCCACGGCTAGTTAGAGGGAGAACTTTGACCAGAAGCTGAGTCTCCTGTCTCTTCATCTGGGTTTTCCCACTGCACAATGCTGCCAGGCCCTGGCTCTGAAACTGACCACATTAATGAACTATTTCAACAAATGCTTGAGGAGACTCCATATGTGCTAGACTCAGTACTAATTGACATGATGCTAGTCACTCAGCCTCTAGAGCCAACAGCCATCATACCTGCCATCAAGGAACTCATGGTCTAGTGGGAGATGCCCCTGGCCTAAGCTTATTTTTAAAGAAATAGGAGATAGGCTGGGTGCAGTGGCTCACGCCTGTAATTCCAGCACTCTGGGAGGCCAAGACGGGTGGATCACCTGAGGTCAGGAGTTCGAGACCAGCCTGGCCAACATGGTGAAACCCCATCTCTACTAAAAAATACAAAAAATTAGCCAGGCGTCGTAGTGGGCGCCAGTAATCCCAGCTACTCGGGAGGCTGAGGCAGGAGAATCACTTGAACCTGCTAGGCGAAGGTTGAAGTGAGCCGAGATTGCGCCACTGCACTCCAGCCTGTGTGACAGAGTGAGACTCCATCTCAAAAAAAAAAAAAAAAAAGCAATAGCCTGGTGAAGAAGAGGTGGAACTGTGATCCAAAGAGGGCAGCATGTAAGAAAGCAGGTGTGAAGAGAGAATGACATTCTTGGGGAGCCAGGTATGGTTCAACATGGCCAGAGAGCACCATGGCAGTGGTGGAGTAGAGGCAGACAAAGTTCCTGAGCCTGGAGGAAGAGAACAGGCTTTGAATGCCATATTTAAAAATTGGATATGTACACACTGCATGGTTTTAAAGCAGGAAGTAGTACTAGATCCAATTTGAAAATGAGAAGGACCATTCCGGCTGTGCTGTGGGAAGGATAGACTGTCCATCAATCCAAGTAAGAAGTGACAGGATCTTGGCCAGGTGTGGTGGCTCATGCCTGTAATCTCAGCACTTTGGGAGGCCAAGGTGGGTAGATCACTTGAGGTCAGGAGTTCAAGACCAGCCTGGCCAATATGGTGAAACCCCATCTCTAATAAAAATACAAAAATTAGCTGGGTGAGGTGGTGGGCGCCTGTAATCCCAGCTACTGGGGAGGCTGAGGCAGGAGAATCGCTTGAACCCGGGAAGCCAAGATTGCAGTGAGCCGAGATTGTGCCATTGTACTCCAGCCTGGGCGATAGAGCAAGACTCTGTCTCAAAAAAAAAAAAAAAAAAAGAAAGAAAAGAAAAGAAGAAGTGATAGGATCTTAATGTTAAGGGCTGGGAGGGAATGGAGGGAGCAGTAAGGGAAGCAGAACTCCCAGGACTTGGGAGGAGCCAAAGGTAATTCTGATTATCCTTGGGCAACCAGGTGGATGGTGGTATCATGAATGGCAACAGGGAATGTTGGAGACACATGCTTAAGAGGGCAGAAGATGAATTTGTACAGAGCTTGATTTTCGGGGAGGTCCTCTATGGGATGTCTGAGTGGACATCCAGGATGCAGTTGGATTAATGGGTTTAGACCTCAGAAGTAAGACTAGCTTGGGAACCATCTACTTCTAGGTGGTAATTAGGGCTGTGAGAGTAGAAAGAACCAGCTGCAAAGAGAACAGAAAGTGAAAGGAGCAGAGGCTCTAGGAAAGAATCCCGGGGGGTATATCAACATTTAAAGGAGTAAGGTGAAGAAAACGAGCCTGCAAAGGAGGCTGAGAAGAAATAGTAGGAGAGATAGGAATAGAATCAGCCAGGCCAGTGCTAGAAAAGCCAAAGGCAGAGAGCATTTCAAGGAGGCAGTGGGGAATGGCATAAAGTGCTGCGTTGATATCAAATAAGATGGAAACCAAAGGCCACATTGAACTTGGCCACAAGTCTGCGATTCCTGGCCTTGGAGAGAGGCATTTGAGTGGTTATGCTGGGGACAGAAGCCAGACTGCAGTGGATTGAGGAATGAATGAGAGATGGGGAAGAGGAACCAGTAAACATAGAACAACTCTTTCTCCTCATCCTGTCAAGGACTTCTTGACAGGACAGAGGCTGGTAAGAAAGAGCAGGGTTAAGGGAGAGTTTCTTCAGCACAAGAATGCTTACATGCAGCATGGGAAGGAGCTGGCAGAGAAGGAGTGAAGAAGGCGAAGACACAGGAAACAGAGGTATTCAGGATGGAGTGAAGGAGGAGGGAAGGAGACAAAATGACCAGGTGGAGGCACACCTACTCCTCTACAAATGCAGATGAAAGCTGCAGGTGGGGAAGACAGCCAGGGAGCTCCCACCAGAAAAAGACAAGCATGGCTTCCCCCAGCCCCACCTGTCAGTATATAGGGCATGAGCCTGTCCCTCCTGAAGCAAATATCCCCAAGGGACTGGTTAGGCTCTGACTCCAGGCCAGCTTTAGGCTGTGCACAGGTAGAGTAAGATCTCAGAGGCTCTTTGAAAGCCTTTTTAACTGGTAGACATCTCCCTCACTTGCTTATTAATGCCTGACCACCATAAAGGGCACCACGTGGTAATTTCAACTGTGGGGCTTATTTCACACATCACGCATATAGATCAGACACTTCTACTTGGCGCATTACTCCTCTCTGCATAATAACCTGCTTTCAAAAACATTCCCCTTCTCTAAAAGCATTCTGATTTAAGAAATATGGCAGTGATGATCAACATCCTGCGGTCAAAACAGAACTTGCACTTGAATGCAGACACTAAGGACAGCAATTGGAGAGCCTGCAGTTCATCGATGCATGGCAAGGGCATGCTACCTGGTCCTATCTGGGTTTGAGAATGGGGAAATGGGTAAAGAACAGACTAGAAACCTGTCTGAGCGCCAGGAGCCTGATGAAGAAAGAGGGGCAGAGGACAGTTACCAACTGCCACCTCGTGGAACAGGGCCCCAGCTTGGGGATTCCCCCCAGCGCAGCTGCTTGGAGCTGTCATGGATGCGTGCATGTGTGTGTGGTGATCAGCCTTGCTGGTCCTCTGGGCATCCTCCCTTCCCTTGCCCTTAAAAGCAAGGCGGCGGTACTTCCCAAGCCTGCTCCCCACAGCTCTCCTGGCAGGTGTGCAGAGGCAAAGGGTGAACAGGCAAGCAGAACTGGCAAGTGAGTCGCCCCTGCTCCTTGAGGTCTTAGCACCCGTGTCTCGCCTCCCCTGTGAATTCTCCAGGGGAAGGCTTCCACACCACCTGAGTGGGCTGAGCTGAGCTGGGCTGGGCTGGGCTGGGCTGGCAGGAGCGGTACCTGAAGGGTTTGCTGTCAGGGTCGGTGTCCTTGAAGCCCATCTCCTCCAGCTTACAGCGGCGATACAGCTCATAGTGCCGGGTGTGGGTCTGCTCCCGCAGATCCTCCATGTTGACCCGAATCAGCATCTCCCGCAGCTTCACAAAGTCGCAGTGGGCCTCGTTTTCAACTGCATAGCAGGATTTGGGGTATTGAAAGTATGTTGAAAGGAAGGCCAGCAGAAGCAGAAATGGATGAAACGAGAGGCAAAATGTCTAACAGTGACGTTGCCTTGCAATCTGTGTATTTAGATCCTGCAAATTTACCTCCTCTCTTTTCTACTGAAAATGTAAATGAAAGGTTACAAAAATGCCAGTAATGAAAAACTGTGATATCATAAAAATACTTATTAAGACAGTCAGTAGCACCACAATCTAAATTCAGCAGTCAGAACCCTCAAAAGAATGTTTGGTCTGCACCACTTGTAGGACAACAGCATATATGCATCTGTCCATCCATCCATCCATCCATCCACTCATCCATCCATCCATCTATCCATCCATCCATCCATCCATCCATCCATCCACTCATCCATCCATCCATCCATCCATCTATCCATCCATCCATCCACTCATCCATCCATCTATCTATCCATCCATCCATCCATCCATCCATCCATCCATCCATCCATCCAATCAATATTTGTGGAATCTCTGTTCCCAGTATTGTGTGAGGCACTGGGAATTCAGAAACGAAGTGATGGAATCTTGCTCTCAGGAGCTTATAGTTTAGAGGAAGAATAGATACAAATAGACAAATACAATTCAGTGCACAACTACAAAAATAGAGGGATAGCCAAGTTGCAATAAAGCTCAGAAGAGGGGAACCTAAGAACTCCTGGGAAAGTGAAGACTTCACCGAAGAGAAAATCTCTAAGATGACTCTGGAAGGAAGAATAGCAATTTATCAGCCAGAGAAGGGAATGGTGTTTGCAAAGTGTCAATGAGGCTAGGCAAGGTTATGTAGCTAGTAAGTTGCAGAATTAGGGTTCAAACCCAGGCAATGTAGGGGAGGTGACAAAGTCTCCAAAGAATAAGGGGAAAGAACTAGGATATTGATAGATGACAGTGACAAGGAGGGGTGTGGACCGCAGGCATGGCCCACCTGGATGGTAGAAGCTTCCAAGGAGGTGGTTTCTTTAGAAGGTAGATAATGGCCTGACAGTAGCAGTGGTGACTAGGAGCAAGGGGACCCCACTTTCTGGCCTGTGTGAACAAGTCCCCTCCTCAAAAGAGTGCAAGCAAAGGTCTGCAATTTGGGGCAGTGGTCAAGAATGACAGATGTGGACCAAGTCATAGCAAAATCGATTTCTGGCTGGACCAGGTCACGAGGAGCACTTTGTCAAGGTGGCTACAGGTATGGCTTCACTGTGTCGGATGGTGGTATTTGCCCTGAACAAGTAGGAAAAATGGTGTCTGAAGTGAACAGGCAATCACCCCAGATTCTGTCTTGCAGGGTCTGGAAGAGGGTAGTGAGGGCAGAGAAGGGTCTGGGATAAGTGGGTCAGCCATAGTTGAAGCAGACTACCTTGTGGTCATTAATCTTTCCAAAGCCCGAATCAGCTCACATAATCCCTCTGCTTAAGACCCACTGAATTAGGAATAAAGCCCCCTGCTGTCATAGAACACAGGCTAATATTAAAGATGACATCAGTAAGACAACTTCTCAGGACTATGCTATATGCCATCTCCTCCTCCATCTCTGGACAGTGATCTCTAATGGTGAGTCAGAAGGAGTGCCTCCGAGGGCCCTGCAGGCTGCCTGAGCAATATACAACTTCTTCCTCATTCAAGCGGAACAGTCAACTTAGACTTACAAGAAAAACTTTCAAAACCCCCTTTTCTGTTTAGGTTCAGAGTAGTCCACATCAGATGAAATAAGTCATTGGAACCATGTCTACTGGCTTCTCCTCGTCTCACTTCAGGTTCCTGTTTCTCAGACCACAAGTCCATTCCCAGGGTGGGACACTGTGGGTCCAGAAACCATTTGCAAACGTTCCTAGTGGAGCATCCCCAGCTCCGAACAGCAGAGAAGACCAGAACTTAGCACAGCTCTGATAACCAGTCTTGTCCTACCTATGGAAAATCCAGCTATTGCCAGTGGGTGTGTGGGGTGTCCTAAAACATGCCAGCCTTCGTATGTGATGTGGACAACTCGCCATCCACTTTCAGGTGTTTCCCCAGTGGTAGGGATGAGTTTACAGAGAACCAGCCACTCTTTCACACGATGCCCCTATCAGCCACGGCCCAGTTTCTAGCTGTAGACTCTGAGGACCAGAGACCTCTTCTACCCACAGCGCCATCCTTGGCCTTGTCTTGTGCACTGAACTGACTAGCCCTGAGGGTAAGTTAACATATGTCAGGCAGATCACAGAAGGAACTTTCCTGAGTGTAATACAATATGTCTAATTGCTTTTCAATTGTGAAATAATCATACATACAAAGAGCATGAAATGTGTATGTACAATTTAAAGAATTTTTGAAAAATTAACACCAATGTCTCCACAACTCAGGTTAAACATTACCAGTACCTTGGAAGCCCCTGAGTGCCCTTTCCCAATCTCATCCCCCTCTATCCCTCAACTCCCCTGGCAGAGACTTAATCCTTCTCCTGACTTTGGGGATTATCATTCCTTTGTTTTTCTTTATAGTTTTACCTCTTATGTATGCATTCCTAAGAATATATATCTTGTTTAGTTTTGCCTCCTTTTGGAATTCATACAAAGGGAATCCAATGGTATGTTTCTTTCTTTCTTTTTTTTTGAATCTCACTCTGTCGCCCAGGCTGGAATGCAGTGGCAAAATCTCAGCTCACTGCAATCTCTACCTCCCGGGTTCAAGCGATTCTCCTGCCTCAGCCTCCTGAGTAGCTGGGACTACAGGCACATGCCACCATACCTGACTAATTTTTTTTTTTTTGTATTTTTAGTAGAAACGGGGTTTCACCATGTTGGCCAGGCTGGTCTCGAGCTCCTGACCTCAGGTGATCCGCCTTCTTCGGCCTCCCAGAGTGCTAGAATTACAGGAGTGAGCCACCGCGCCCAGCCCCAACACGTAGTTTTTTTAAATCCCTTATCCCCCTCCCACCCTCCCACTATCCAGTCTTTTTTTTTTTTTTTTTTTTTTTTGTATTTTTAGTAGAGATGGGGTTTCACCATGTTGGCCAGGATGGTCTCAATCTCCTGACCTCGTGATCCGCCCGCCTCGGCCTCCCAAAGTGCTGGGATTACAGGCGTGAGCCACTGTGCCCGGCCTATCCAGTCTATTTTAAAGAATATCTGAATTGTTTGTAATTATTTGTCATTACAAACAACACTACTGTGAACATTCTTCAGGTGCACTTGGGCAAGAACACATGCTTTTTCGCACACTCCTTCCTACCTTGCAAGTCCTTGTGTTTTAGGAATACCTTTCCCATTAGAAATTAGAGGGAGCTTGCTCCCATCAGAGCATCCCAGTATGGAGCCAGAGTTAGCTTGCTAGTGACCCCTATGGCTATTTGGGACCCATGCCGAATGAGCAGAGACTTGGGACAATTTAGAAACTTGTCATATAGTGGCTGGGGACAAACAAAGAGACAGACAAAAGGGGCTTCCTGTGTGTAGCCCTTCCCGGAGACTCACTCACCCTGCACAGTGCCCCAAGGATACTGCCGCGCCCTCATCATCTTGTTGCCTATCTTCAGTTCTTCTGTGCTGCCAATGACAGCAAACGGCAGGTGGGCCTGAAACCGAAGGCAAACGAAAGCTGAGAACTGCAGAAGAAAGGCACTGAGTGTTACACAACCCAACTGCTGTTCGTCTCTGGGGCCCCAGGCCCTCACCCTGCAATGTCCCTCACTGTCATCATCACCAACAAGCATTTATTAAGTTCCCAAACCATGTGAGGATAAGAGGCCTAGTCCAAGCCTCTGCTGTTCAGAAATTCACAATAGAGGGTAACAATGACATGGCTGAATGCATAGGGAACAAAGAGAGAAAATAAGCAGAATAATAAGCAGACACACAGATTACCAAACTATTCGCTATTCATAGTTACTGCTGAGGGGAAGAGCCTTTGGAAGAAGGGGAAGTGGAATGAGGGGGGTTCTGTGTGGATAGAGAGGATAAAGGAGTACCAAAGGGTCTGGGATCACTGGCCCTTCTCCCTCCCTGGCATGCAAGAGCCCCAAGACTAGGTCCATACTGAGACCACACAGCCAACTGAGCTGTACTCTCCTTGTTCTCATCCTTCCCCGGAGAAAGAGCTCACATTGAACTTGTGAGCCTAGAAGGCAAGTCACCAAGGATTTACTCACATGACCATGCTGGGTTCTTCTGTAGGTGCTATAAGGCAGACAGAAGCAGCAGAAGACACGCTCCCTCGCCCTCTAGGAGCTTACAGTCTTGTTGAGGAAGCCCAAATTACATAACTCAAGTCATATAAGATAGTATGTGATCAAGGGCTCAAGTATATGGTCTGGTACCCTGTACATAGTAGGTGCTTAATAAATACTTCCTGAATGGCAGTGGTAGGGCTAGGGAAAGAGGAAAGAAAGGCAAAGGACAAATAGGTTTATGAGCTTGGTGCTCACAGGGAAAATGAGGAGCTTGGCCTGGCTTTATGGATGAGAGAAGAGAGAGCTGCCCCGACTTGGCAGTATGGGGCCTAGGAAACACTCACAGAGCCGTAATCCACAAGGAGCTAGCCAGCTTGTAAGTGCTAAGTCACCACAGCCAGATGGAACCACGGAATCAATGTTTACTGACCAGGTGAGCCCAGGTGGGGCTTTGCCCAAAAGGGCTTTACACCAACAGGTAAAGAGCCTATGGGGAAAGTTTCTTAGCCTGCCTGCAGAAACAGGCCATGATCTCAGATATTCTGACCCATTTGCCCACTCATCCATTCTACAAATATTTACTGAGCTCCTATGATATGTGCTAGGCATTAAGAATGACGTAATAGCAAAAAAGCACAGACCCTGGCCCCGGAGAGTGCACAGTGTGCCAAGGGAGAAAGCCATCTCAACAACGATCATACAGGAAGATCAGGGTTGTACCAGAAGTGGAGGTTGCAGTGAGCCGAGATCGCACCACTGCACCCCAGCCTGGGTGACAGAGCAAGACCCAGTCTCAAAAAAAAAAAAAAAAAAAAGAAAAATCAAGGTTGTAAACAGAGGCTAAAGGGCTGGAGTAACACAGAGGAGGGAGCAATTCTTGGGAAGTCAAATAAGTTGTTTCAGAGTAGGTAGTGGCAATCATACTAACAGCATTAGCATTAGCAATAATTTGTTAAGCCCTATGCACTGGGTACCAGCTGCTTTACATGGCATTGTCTCACTGAATCTCTACAACACTATATGGTAAGTTGCCTTATTAGTCTCCTCTTTAGATGGGGAAACTGAGGTCCAGAAGGGCTAAGAGACTTGTCAGCAGGCACACAATAGTAAGGAACAGAATAACTTCAAACCCCACCCCTTGCTGGTCTGCTACCTCCATTTAGGGGGTTCAAGCAGTAGATGAGGTGCGTACTCTAAACCTTGGGGGGAACTAGTTGTGCAAGACCAGATTATCAGAGGCAATTCAATTCAGGGAAACCCACAGCAAATCTGTCGCTTGTTTGTTTAATCCACAGGCTGATCTCACAGTCAATTCTTTTCTCCATTCTCCTCTAGCTCTGGACCCCAAAAATGTCCTTCAGAGCAGAAGAACACAGGATTTCATCAGGAGCTCAGCTCCAGGACCTCCACCAGTCCCTCAAATTGCTTGGCCGCCAGCTGAAGCTGCTCTTCTTTCACCCTCTCCACTCTCAGCTGCTATCAGACGATCGTCTCAGACACCCTCCGACCCCTCCCCACTCCACTGACTGTCCCTTAAATCTGGACATGGGAAAGAGGAGGTTATGGATTATGGAAGGTGGGTGTGGGGTGGAGGTGGGAAATGTTTCATCAGTCCTGGGAGGGGAATGACCAAAAGAGTAACTGGGCAAGTGACACACAGGGCATTTGGGAAGCACTGAATTCCTGAAAATGCTGCCCAAGGGCCTAAGCATGTCCAATCTTTGCCAGGAGAGTTGATCTGGGCACAATTCATCCCTACTCAGGGACCTAAGACATATCGGGAGCCTCGAATCCACCCCTAAACACTTTCTGGGAGGACATTTCCCCTGGAGAGACCCCACAGCTTCAGCCACATGACACAGAAGAGCCAAGGGGTGGCGAATGCAGAGAGCTAGACTGAGGGAGGAGGTGATAAAGAAAAACCACGTTGTAGCACTCCCTCCTCCTGGGCTCTCAGCTGTAAGTGATGGAGGAGGAAGGCATGTGAATTGGGAGGTGCTTCTCTGAGCTCGAGGAAAAAAAAAACCAAGAAGAAAACAAAGGCATACAAAAATGTCAGTATTCCCTCGGGCCTGTTGCATTTTTACCATCAAGAGACACCGTCAGAATGATAGGGTGACTTGCTTCCCCCTCTTTCTCAAACTGCTGTCATTTTATTCTTCTAGCTCAAAAACATAGCCCCAGCCCTCCCACAGCACGCTCCTTTGCAGCTGGCGTCAGTCTGCTTTGATAAGTATATGCAAGGTAGGCATTTCCCAGCGCTCTCCTTTGGTTTGATTTTCACAACATCCTTCTATGGCAATGATTAAAAGATCCATTCGTGAGCTGAGGGAACTGGGATACATGGAGGTTAAACGAGTTGCCTAGGTCCCTAACCCCCATGCCCAGATCCTCTGAAGCAGCAGCGAGGCCACCGAGCTTTGGCTGCCAACCTCTCCCAGCCACCTAGGGTGGTCCGCACTCTGCCTCCTGGCTACATGGCATCTGCTAGAAGGAAGCAAACCATGACAAGCAGGAAATCATGGGGACCAGGCTCTGGCCCTCTGTTCCACTGCTTTTGAGAGACAGATGGCTTTGACAACCAGAATAGAGTCGAGCAGAGCAGAGAGCAGATACCCACCCTCCCCCCGCACCACCACGGACCATACTTCTAGGTCCTACCAATGGGATCCAAATCTGAGGCCAGGCTTTCTGCTATTTTTCCCAGGTCTCTGCAGGAAACTGACAGACAGTGGTGACATTTTCTATGTGTGGACCCAGGGAAGAGACTCTGATAGATGCAGGGCAGTGTTGCTGCTGAAACACAAACAGGCCTCTCAGGAGAGTCTGTGTGACTCTCTCACTCAGACTTCCAATGAGGCGCCCTCGGATATCAGATTTCCCAGTGTCAGAAAACTCCAACAAGAGATAGTCGCAAGCCTTCCTTGGGAGTCCATTCCTAGATTCACCATCTGTCTTAGTGCATTTTGTCTTGCTACAGTAAACTACCTGAGACTGAGTAATTTATCAACAATAGAAATTTATTCAAAAAAAAAAAATTTATTCCTCATAGTTCTGGAGGCTGGGAGGTCCAAGATCAAGGCACCAGCATTCTGGTCTGGTGAGGACCTTCTTGCCGCATCCTCACACAGCAGAAGGACAAGCTAGCCCAACACTGCATGATGTCTCTTTAAAAAGGGTCTTCGGCCAGGTGTGGTGGCTCACGCCTGTAATCCCAGCACTTTGGGAGGCCAAGGCAGGTGGATCACGAGGTCAGGAGTTCAAGACCAGCCTGGCCAAGATGGTGAAACCTCATCTCTACTAAAAATACAAAAATTAGCCGGGCGTGGTGGCGGGCGCCTGTAATCCCAGCTACTCGGGAGGCTGAGGCAGAGAATTGCTTGAACCTGGGAGGCGGAGGTTGTGGTTAGCCGAGCCAAGATCGCACCACTGCACTGCAGCCTGGCCGACAGAGCGAGACTCCATCTCAAAAAAAAAGGGCCTTCATCCCATTAACAAGGGAGAAGCCCTCATGGCCCAATCACATTTTTTTTTTTTTTTTAAGATGAGAGTTTCGCTCTTGTTGCCCAGGCTGGAGTGCAATGGCACGATCTCGGCTCACTGCAACCTCCGCCTCCCGGGTTCAAGCGATTATCTTGCCTCAGCCTCCTGAGTAGCTGGGATTACAGGTGCCTGCCACCACGCCCAGCTAATGTTTGTATTTTTAGTAGAGACAGGATGTCGCCATGTTGGCCAGGCTGGTCTTGAACTCCTGACCTTGGGTGATCCACCCGCCTTGGTCTCTCAAAGTGCTGGGATTACAGGTGTGAGCCACCGCGCCTGGCCAGGCCCAATCAATTCCTAAAGGCCCTACCTTTTTTTTTTTTTTTTTTTTTGAGACGGAGTCTCACTCTGTCGCCAGGCTGGAGTGCAGTGACGTGATCTCAGCTCACTGCAACCTCCGCGTCCCGGGTTCAAGTGATCCTCCTGCCTCAGCCTCCCGAGTAGCTGAGACTACAGGTGTGTGGCACCATGCCCAGCTATTTTTTTTTTGAGATGGAGTTTTGCTCTTGGTGCCCAGGCTGGAGTGCAATGGCGTGATCTCAGCTCACCACAACCTCCGTCTCCTGGGTTCAAGCGATCCTCCTGCCTCAGCCTCCTGAGTAGCTGGGATTATAGGCATGTGCCACCATGCCCGGCTAATTTTGCATTTTTAGTAGAGACGGGGTTTCTCCATGTTGGTTAGGCTGGTCCCGAACTCCCGACCTCAGGTGATCCACCCGCCTCGGCCTCCCAAGTAGCTGGGATTACAGGTATGAGCCACTGCGCCTGGTAATTTTTTGTATTTTTAGTAGAGACGGGGTTTCACCATGTTGGCCAGGATGGTCTCGATCTCTTGACCTTGTGATTCGCCCACCTTGGCCTCCCAAAGTGCTGGGATTACACGTGTGAGCCACTGCACCCAGCCCCGACCTCTTAATACTATCATACTGGCCACACCTGAATTTTGGAGGGGACACAATCAAACCATAGCACCACCTTTACTGACTTGTGTCTAACTTAAATTCTTCTTGTACATTGTAAAGTACTTAATAATCCAATTGGCGTGAGTTACTTTATTCTTATTTCACCACATCCATTATACTTGGGAGGCTAGGTGACTGCTTAGCCCAGTGAAATACACACTGTCAGAACTCTTTATTCCTCATCTAATGATAATATTCTGATTGGGCTTGGTTTCCTCCCAGGGTGGACAGTGTTTCCCAGTTATGTTAGTCCCCATTTCAGGCCCCTGCTGGTGACTGAACAAGACCATTGGCTGATTTGCTCTCAAGTCAACCACTGGTGATTCCTGTAAAAGTACATGGCAACAATGGAAATACCATTGCTGTCTCAGAGGAAGGGATGGACTTGTGCCTGTGGGTCTTCCTATGACCCTACTGTTCAGCCATGTGTTCTCACTGGGCCCAAATGTCAATTGCCTTTGTGGGAACCAAACCCCAGACCTCACAAATGGACAATTAATGGAGCTCAGTCAATTAAGTAACTGGGCCTTTTTGCTGGTCCTGGCCATGCTTTCAGCCATTCAAAGAACATCATTAAATTTAAAATAACATAGCAATTCTTAGTATTAAAGTCTACAACCTTGAGAGATATCAGAGCATGGGTTGAAAATAGCATGCAACAAGACCTCGCTCTCCCTTCTCTTCCCCCTCAATCTACAATAAGGTTTTCTGGAGCCACCCATAATTCAAGGTGGTGGCAGGGACCTCATTACTCTCATTTCCTGCCACAAAAATCCCCCATGGTGAGAGACAGGACATTGTACAGTCTTCTCCACTCAGGCAACAGATTTCTTCCGCTTCTTCCAATCCAGCTCCTATGACAATTGGCTGGGGTGGCTGAGGCTGTGGGGCTGGAGTCAAATCCAAAATGAAAGACCAGCACCAATTCCTCCTACCACCCAAGCCCAGGTCCTGAGGATGCAGCTTCATACACCACGGCTTGTGTGAAGACTCTGGGGACTTTTGACATAGTTGTTCGGTGGCAGGCAGGCTAAGCAATCCTCTGTGTATATTTGATAGCACCCTCTTTCCCATCACAGCGCATGTAACACAAAACACTCACATGCAAGCTCCTCTCACAGGCATGCCAATTCAGGCACACTAGCTGTGAGGCCACTCCTCTCTTTCCCACTCAAAAAAAACCCATAGTGGATTAGCCGGGCATGGTGGTGCATGCCTGTGGTCCCAGCTACTCGGGAGGCTGAGGCAGGAGGATTAGTTGAACCCAGGAGGTGGAGGCTACAGTGAGCTGAAATTGATTGCATCACTGTACTCCAGCCTGGGCGACAGAGTGAGAGCCTGTCTCAAAAAAAAAACAAAGCACAGTAGGATGCAAGGGAGTAAGTGGTGAGTGATTTATGATAGGGATAATCCTGAATCCACTGGAATTCCCTGCTCCTCTCCTCTCCTCCCCTCCCCTCCCTTCCTCCATTCCTTCCTTCCTTCCTTCCACTGGAATTCCCTCCCTCCCTCCTCCCTTCCTTCCTTCCTTTTTATTTCTTTCTCTCTTTCTCTCTTTATTTACTTTCTTTTTCTTTCCTTTCCTTTCTCTCTCTCTTTTTTTTTTTTTGTGAGACAGGGTGTTGCTCTGTCACCCAGCCTGCAGTAGTGCAGTGGCTCGATCAGGGTTCACCGCAGCCTCAACTTCCCAGGCTCAAGTAATCTTCCCACTTTAGGCCACCCACCGACCAAGTAGCTGAGACTACAGGTGTGCGCCACAGCACCAGTTAATTTTTTCTTTTTTGAGATGGAGTTTTGCTCTGGTTGCCCAGGCTGGAGTGCAAAGGCGAGATCTCAGCTCACTGCAACCTCTGCCTCCTGGGTTCAAGCGATTCTCCTGCCTCAGCCTCCTGAGTAGCTGGGATTACAGGCATGCGCCACCATGCCTGGCTAATTTTGTCTTTTTACTAGAGACGGGGTTTCTCCATGTTGGTCAGGCTGGTCTCGAACTCTTGATCTGAGGTGATCCACCTGCCTTGGCCCCCGAAAGTGTTGGAATTACAGGCGTTAGCCACCGCGCCCGGCCACTAGTTAATTTTTTTTAAATTTCAGTAGAGATGAGGTCTCACTATGTTGTTCAGCCTCGAATTTTGTTTCTCAAAGTGAAACACAATTATGAGTAATAAAGGACCCAGAATCCCTTCACAGCCATAACAGCATGCTTGACAACTGCTGCTGCCTAGCTTGGGGGTTTCCAGCCTTGAGGTTGAGCCTACCCTAGGCTTAGCAGGAGGCCAGAGCTGAGCTGAGAACAGAGCCCAGGATGATTATCACTCCTAATCCATGAGGTACCAAGATGTGGTTCTGTGTGACACCTTGAGATGGCTGAGTACTCTCAGTCCCTATTTATTCTTAGCAAAGCAAACCACAAGCCTGCAAGCTGCTTGATGACTTAGGGCATCAGTGTTCAGAAGGTCTCTATGGGGACTGATGTCCTGAGGTGACTAGACGCTTCCAGACATCAGTGCCCGTGGCACCCAGATGACACTTCTCGCGAGGCTCCCGTTTTTCTGCAGACTAGGCTGTCTCTTCATAACAGAGCCTAGTTTCCATCAAAATGCCCTGACTTCTCGAGAGGACAAGTGCTAATCTTTTTTATTTTTTCCATGCCCACGGCCGGTCAGAGAAGACCTATCTCTACCTACCATGCTCCAGATAGCCTTACCCTTGAGCCAGATTTGTCTAAGATGGTGATGGTGATAACAAACACATCTCGGGTGTACTGATGGACAGGAAGTCAGGAGAGACAATGACTTGCTGCCCTGCTATGCTAATTTGTTGGCCAATTCATAGGAGGTGGCAGCTGAAGTTGTAATGATAACTTAGAGGGCAGTGGCAGCAGGAAAGTTTTCTAAAAATGGCTTTTATTACAAGGCTTTCCTGAGTTTGGCTATACCCAGGCATTATGTCATTAGGAAAAACTGATGACACTCAATAGAGAAAAAGAAATCTGTTCCTAAAGCGGAGGCTTTCTGAAAGCTATTAGCTGTCTCCTTGAAATCACAACATTGAAGATTTCACAGCAACAGCAACACATTGTAAGGAAGCATTAGGAGATGTTTGCATCTCTGCCTTCTTTATTACTCATTTCTCTAGTAGGAGAAAGTGGGGGAGGAGAGGAAAGATGGCAAGGTTTTTTATTATTATTATTCATTCACACTTAATAAAGCAAAGCATAACGCTGATTTTTTTTTTTTTTTTTTTTTTTTTGAGATGGAGTCTCACTCTGTCGCCCAGGCTGGAGTGCAATGGCGTAATCTTGGCTCACTGCAACCTCTGCCTTAGCCTCCAGAGTAGCTGGGATTATAGGCGCACACCACCACGCCTGGCTAATTTTTGTATTTTTTAGTAGAGACGGGGTTTTGCCATGTTGGCCAGGTTGGTCTCAAACTCCCGACCTCAGGTGATCTACCCGCCTCGGCCTCCAAAAGTGCTAGGATTACAGGCGTGAGACACCATGCCCAGCCAACCCTGATATTTAAAAATAACATATCTCGGTTGCAGTGAGCCGAGATTGTGCCACTGTACTCTAGCCTGGGCAATGGAATGAGATCCTGTCTTAAAAAAAAAAAAAAAAAGTAAAAGAAAAAAAGAGTTGACTACACTAAGATGGATGGTGAAGATGTTTTGCTGCTATTTGGTAAAATAATAATAATAATAAAGGGGTCAGCGTGGTGGCTCACACTTGTAATCCCAGTACTTTGGGAGGCTGAGGCAGGAGGATCGCTTGAGCCCAGGGGTTCAAGACCAGCCTGAGCAACATAGCAAGACCCCGTCTCTACAAAACATTAAAACATTAGCCAGGTGTGGTGAGTGCACCTGTAATCCCAGCTACTTGGGAGGCTAAGGCGGGAGGATCCCTTGAGCCCAGGAGTTCAAGGCTGCAGTGAGTTGTGATCACACCACTGCACTCCAGCCTGGGCAACAGAGCAAGACCCTGTCTCTAAAGCACATTAAAATAATGATAATCATCATAAAAAGCAAATGGTCAGGAAATTGCTCCCACTCACGTTCATGGTTCCATTGATCTCTGCCACCGACTCATCATCTGTAGGAAACTGATAGATCTGGACTCCGTTGCTGACAAGCTCGCTGGTGATTTTGATTTTGAACTTTGTTAGCTCACTCTTCGAAATGGCATCTGCTTTGGCAATGATGGGGATGATGTTCACCTAGGGAGAGGAGGGGCAAAGTGGGGTCATTGTTGGTAACCTGCAACTGATAGCAGCATGACCTAGGACTTCCACCAGCTGCCAGAGGGAGCCGCTCAGCCCAGTGGTCAAAGACTGGCCACTTCTGTAGCCAAATGACAATATAATAAACGACAAGTACTAACTATGTGCTGGGCACTGAACTAAGTGCTTTACATGAATTAGCACAATTAATCCTGACAATAACCCTTCCAGGAGGTATTATTACTACTATTTTGCCAATGAGAAATTAAGGCATAGGGAGGTTAAGTAACTTGTCCAAGGCCATGGAGCAGGTAAGTAGGAGAACTGGGATTCAAATCCAAACTCAGCCTTATTCCTAAGTCCATAGTCTTAAGCATGAGCTGTCTACCAGTTCAGATCCAAGTTGATGAGCTGTATGTTATCTTGGTATCAAGGTTACTGCTTGGGAGACTTGAAGCAGAAAGGTGATAGCTGGGAATCTGTGGCTGACAGGGGAGAGGTGGCCTCTTCTTGCTAAGAGTAAATTGTCCCAACCCATCGGGTCTAGTCTAGCCCAAGCCGGGTGTGATATGGACCCACATGAGAGATGGCAGGGAAAGGAGGCAGGGACAGTGCTCAGTGAGGATGCACACCTGGCTCTCTTTCTGGCAGGAGACACTGAATAATCAACTCAGTTAGGTGAGGAAGAACCTATAGTTACAATTTGATCTGAGACTTATGCAAAAAGAATTATACTGCCTGAGTCTCATGATTAATTTCTGAGTAAGAAAAGCAAGTATAAATGCCCAATTTCAGGCATCAGGAGAAAGAACTAATCCCAACCAAAAGTTCAATCCACCTGAACCCTAATCCTTGAAATTCCTCCAAGAAGGGACAAGGCTTTTACTGTCAGAAGGTAAAGAAACTTGAAATGCACATGTGTTTGTGAGACAGAGCACACTAAGTTCAGGTTGACATGGAGAGCATAATCATTCCTGCCAGTAGACTCCAACGGGGGGTGGGGGAGGGGCATAGGTGGCACTCAGGCCCCGGACTCTAAAAGGGGAGTCTGGGAGCTCCAGACGTGGAAGAAAAATCCTGCTTCCTCTGCGCTTTGGCTTAGGAGTGCCTCTGAAGGCTGATATCACACAGCCGCTGGGTCAAGGAAAGACTGAACCGTGGAGGCACCTCCCTTGAAGTCTTTCAGGGGCAGAAGGGTCAAAGCCCTTGCCAAGATGAAACAGCAGGCAGAGCCTATTCTCCTTGGCACTTTCGCCAAGTCCCCATTGACACACTATAAACATATATCAGGCCAGGGGCAGTGGCTCATGCTGCTAATCCAAGCACTTTGGGAGGCCAAGGTGGGCAGATCACCTGAGGTTGCGAGTTCGAGACCAGCTTGGCCAACATGGTGAAACCCCGTCTCTACTAAAAATAAAAAGTATCCAGGCATGGTAGTGCATGCCTATAATCCCAGCTACTCGGGAGGCTGAGGCAGGAGAATTGCTTGAACCCAGGAGGCGGAGGTTGCGGTGAGCCAAGATCGTGCCATTGCACTCCAGTCTGGGCAACAAGAGTGAAAGTCCGTCTCAAAAATAAATAAATAAATAAATATATATGTATCTATCTATCTCAAAGGCTTAACTCGGCCCATCCACCAGGCCTGCAGCCATGTGGCTCACCAATGCCCCTATACAGGACATGCAGGGCATGGCCACATTTCAAGAGCAGCCTTTTATTCATGGGCCATGAGCCTATTGCTGCAAAAAATGAAAAACTGCTCCTATTCTGATGAGAGCTGAAATTCAGTCTTAGAGTGGATGTGCTACTAAATGGCTGCATGTGAATTCGATTATTTTTTTGATACGGAGTCTGGCTGTGTCGCCCAGGCTGGAGTGCAGTGGAATGATTCCAGCTCACTGCAACCTCCGCTTCCAGGTTCAAGCGATTCTCCTGCTTGAGCCTCCCCAATAGCTGGGATTATAAATGCGCACCACCATGCCCAGTTAATTTTTGTATTTTTAGTAGAGACGGGATTTCGCCATGTTGGCCAGGCTGGTCTCGAACTCCTGACCTCAGATGACCCGCCTATCTTGGCCTCCCAAAGTGCTGGGATTACAGGTGTGAGCCACCGCACCCAGCCAAGTTTTTCTTAAAGGAAGACAACGCCTGATTCCCACAGCCATCTTTCTCGGGCATGGAAGCATTATAACATGGGGTCACAGATCTGAGTGTCACAGAATCTGCACTCTACCAGTAGCTAGCAATATGACAATGAGCAAGTCACTTAACCTCTGAGAGCCTCAGTTTTCTCTTCTGTAAAATGAAGATAACAATAATGTGTACTTCACGGGGCTGGCATATAATGAGGGTTTTAATGTTAACTGCAATCATAAAAGTAATTATTGATAGCAAGAATAACTTTCAAAGTCAAGTTTGCATGTTTGATTCTAGCCAGTTAACATTCGGACAAAGAAAAAAACAGCTTTCCATTGCCAAAGCCTTTGCCCCTAGACCCAGGGAGCCATCTTGCTAGTCCCCAAGAGGGATCAGGGCAGAAAGACAGCTCAGGGCAAGCCCATCCCTAGTGCTGGGAAAACAGATCACAAAGCTTACGACGCTGGTGCTGGATCCGTAACACCATCTTTATGGAGGGACAGGGAATGAGGGAGAGGATGAGGATGCCACAAATCTCTCCCGGAATCCCACATCTACTTTGCACAAGAGATCAGTAAGAGTGAGCCCCCAGCGCCCCCGCCCCTGCCTCCTATACCTTACTGTCCAGCTTCTTCATAGTCACTAGGTCCAGAGACTTCAGGGAATGACCCGTGGGGGCAATGAAATACAAGCAGACATGGATTCGGGAGTCATGGTAGGTGTGTAGCACTCTTCGGATCTTTAGCTCTTCCTGCAGGTAGGCCTCGAATTGTGCATCGATGAATTCCACGATAGGCTTGTAGCTAAAAGGGAGAGCAGGGACAGAGGCGGATCCCGTCAAAAACTTGGATTTTGACACCGTCCTTTTTGGAAGTTTCAAATGCCCTCTGTAATCTTGACTCTCTCCCATCCAACTGCATTTCTCCATCTCCCTTCAGTGGGCCTCCAATCTTGTCAGCCTGGCCACCTTCTTGGTCCCTACATGAGCCAAACTTATGCCCATCTGTGCACCTTCACTAGAATGCCCCTTTCTCTCTCCTCATCCCAATTCTGCCCTCCCAGACCTCAGGGCTCAGCTTAATGTCCTCCTCCTTCCTACGGCCTTCCCCACTTATGCCAGAAATCCCTTCTGCGAGTCAGGGGCATAACAAGAAATGGCATTCAATTACTTATTGTTGCTTCACAAGGATTCTCTCAAATAGATTGTGCCTTCCTAAAGAGCAGGGCCTGTGAAGGGCACTTGTCTGTCCCTCGGGGGGCCCCAACACAGCATGGAGCCCACTGGCTGTATCTGTAGAGGGACTGATTTTCCTCCAAGCTGGGCTCATGTCTTTGCTCCCTTTATCTCGCCCTACAGTGCCTAGATGAGAGCTGGGTACACAGTGGGTAACAAGACCTCTCTTTGGCCCACTGCTGGGCAATCTTGTGAGAACATTCAGGGCTTTTGCTCATTCTCGCTAGGTTTAGCGGAGCTCCACACTTGGCTCCCCCAAGGTCAAGATATTTTTCTGATTCTCATTTCTGCCAAGGTGGTGACTTTAAGTATTCAGGCCAGGCACAGTGGATCATGGCTCGTAATCCCAGCACTTTGGGAGGCTGAGACGGGCGGATCTTCTGAGCTCAGGATTCGAGACCAGCCTGGGCAACACGGCAAAACTTCGTCTCTACTAAAAATACAAAAATTAGCCAGCTGTGGTAGCTCATGCCTGTAATCCCAGCTACTCAGGAGGCTGAGGCAGGAGAATCGCTTGAACCCGGAAGGCAGAGGTTGCAGTGAGTGGAGATCATGCCACTGCACTCCAGCCTGGGCAACAGAGTGAGACCCCATCTCCAAAAACAAACAAACAAACAAACAAAGTATTCAGGCAAAATCTGGTAAAGCTACTCCCCTCCGCACACCCTGCACACATGGACACAGGCCCGCCAGCTCACTGAGTCTCCACACGCGGCTCCTCTAGGTGGCCCCCAAGTCTTGCCAAGGCTTCTTAAACAACAGTCAGCCCTCTATGTCTCTCTTTCCTGGGCCTCCCTGGGAAACTTCCCTCTCCCTCTGTCCCAGTCCCCTCCCACGTCATCCCCGTCACCCCTACGGCCTCTTTCTGCTCTAACTAGGTCAGCTTAGCTCAGCTCTGCCTCTTGTTCTCATCTCCCCTGTCTGTCTGCTGCCTCTCTGGCTGAGGGGGTGCCTCCCTTCAGGCTAGAAGAGGCTTGTCATGTGGGCCCAGGGCAGGGAGTTTTCAGATACCGCTGCCAGAAGGGAACATGATGATCAAAGGAGGAGCTGAGCCCAGCCAATGCCTCCCACCTGCAGCAGCTCCCAGGCTGAGCCTTTCTGAAAGATCCCCCTAGTAGAGAAGGGGAAAATAGCCTTTTAAGAAAGAATCACAGGATCCTAGATTCTGAGAGCTGCAGCCAGAGCTGAGATCCAGGTGCAGGCTATCTCTGGAGCCCCAGAGAAAAATCTTTTTTTTTAAGATGGAGTTTCGCTCTGTTGCCCGGGCAGGAGTGCAGTGGTGCGATCTCCACTCACTGCAACCTCTGCCTCCCAAGCCCCAGAGAAAACTCTAAAAACATAGTCCTTTCTTTATTCCTTTGATCCCTCCGAGCCACTGTTCCGAAGGGTAATCGCATCAAAGAATCTCTTGGTTGCAAAGATCCTTAGAAGGTTCCTGACGAATTTGGAGTGAGGGTGGGGAATGTATCCCCTAGGCTTATTTAATTAATTTTTGGATGTTTTGCTGATTTGAAATAGTTGATGATGGCACTGCTTCATTTTTTTTCTCAATTACGTAATTTTTTTTTACTTCATTTTTTGCTTTGCAGAAGGAATCAGAGGAAAGAAAATAAAGCTAAAAAGTGCATTTTTTAGCTCCCCCACACACCCCGAAATCTGTAGTGATACCCTGTGCCTGTCTTACTGCAATTGCCTCTGGCTCTCGGAAGCTCTCAAGATGTACATGGATCAGACCAGCCAAACCAGCCAATCAGCCACCAGGATTTGGTGTAGACGAATCCTAAATGGGTGGCTTATCTTCGTCTTATTCATCTCTGTATCCTCCACGTCTAGCCTGCTGTCTGGAACATAGTAAAGTTTCCGCTACTGCTCTGCATTCCCTCCACCCCCAGGCCCCAGTGACTCATCTTCCCACGGTGGCCACCTCTCTCCCACACTCTGTTGTGCTGCTCACTGGACTCCAGTGGGTGGTAAACAAAATCCTTTACTCTTATAGGCTACCTCCTCCCAAACTGCTTCCTTCCTCTAAGTGACACCTGACTATCCTTCAGAGATGCTGCTTTTCTCATATCCTTCTCAACTGGAAATTTCTTCATCTCCACACCCAAGTCCCATGGAAGGGCAGAGAGGGCAGCTTTCTTCTAGCTCTTGATTCCCTCGCTCACTGTGATCTCCTCATCTCCTCCATTTTCGACCAAAACCAGCTCCAACAGACTCCATCCCTCCCCATCACTACTGATAATCTTTGACATTTCAAGACAGCCGTTCTTAACACAGGGTTCATGGACCTCCTAGGTTCTGTGAATAGAATTCAGAGGATCTGTGAACTTAGATAGGAAAAAAATACATCTTTTTCACTAATCTCTAACTGAAGTTTAGCAGTTTCTTCAGCTGCAGACATAGGTAACAATCTATAGTAATGTTAGCAGTACCTGTGATTTCATAACCAATAGAAATCACTGATATCATCATTTCCCATTCCAGTTGTTGTAAATAGCTCAAAATAGCATTTATACTCATTACAACATTCAAATTCTGGTAATTATTAAGCCTGCATATAGATATTATTACTTCTGGAATTGATAGAGAAGCACATGGATTGCTAAGTCACAATTTTTAAATATTTTAGTAACTGTATTTTTAGTATACTTGGTATATTTTAGGCATTTAAAAACATTATTTTGAGAATGAGCCCATAGGCCTCACTAGATTGCTAACGGGGCCAATGGCACAAAATAACCCCTGGTCTAGACAATAATACTTATTCATTTCGGATAATGATATGTACTATGAAGATACTCCAATAGGATAATGGGATATACATGTGATTGAGGGTTCAACTACTTTAAATACAGTGATCAGGGAAGGCTTCTCTAAGGGTGTGACATTTGAGCCGCAAGGATGAGGATGACAGAGCCATGGAGAGATCTGGGTGAAGAGCATTCCAGGCAGTGGGAATAATAAATGTGAGGATGGTTCTGAGGCAGAAACCAGTCTGACAGGTTTGAGCAATGGGAAGACGGCCAGGGAGGTGGGACTTGGTGAACCCAGCTTGAGTAAATTATTCACAGTAGCCCAAAGGTGGAAACAACCCAAATGTCCATCAACTGATGACCGGATAAAGAAAATGTGGAGGCCAGGCGCAGTGGCTCACGCCTGTAATCCCAGCACTTTGGGAGACCAAGGTGGGCGGATCACGAGGTCAGGAGTTCGAGACCAGCCTGATCAACAGGGTGAAACCCCGTCTCTACTAAAAATATAATAATTAGCTGGGCATGGTGGCGTGCGCCTGTAATCCCAGCTACTCAGAAGGCTGAGGCAGGAGAATTGCTTGAACCGAGGAGGCGGAGGTTGCGGTGAGCCAAGATTGAGGCACTGCACTCCAGCCTGGGCGACAGAGTGAGACTCCGTCTCAAAAAATAATTAAATAAATAAAATAAAATAAAGAAAATGTGAAAATGTGGAGGCCAGGTGGGGTGGCTCACACCCATAATCTCAGCACTTTGGGAGGCCGAGGCAGGCGGATTACCTGAGGTCAGGAGTTCGAGACCAGCCCTGCCAACACAGTGAAACCCCGTCTCTACTAAAAATACAAAAATTAGCCAGGCATGGTGGTAGGCACCTGTAGTCCCAGCTACTCGGGAGGCTGAGGCAGGAGAATTGCTTGAACCTGGGAGGCGGAGGTTGCAGTGAGCCGAGATCGCACCACTGCACTCCAGCCTGGGCAACGGAGTGAGATTCCGTCTCAAAAAAAAAAAAAACAAAACAAAAAAACTGTGCCTTATTTCTTAGTATCTCTGACACTTCACACTGTACTTGTCACATAGTAGACATTTAAGTTTATAAAGTGGACTAGGTTTCCACGGCAACTTGGTTCTCAGTCTTGTCAATTCTCTCAAATCTGCCCCTCCTCTCTATCCTCAAAGCTTCTCTTCCTGTTCAAGCCCTCATCATCTCTCCCATCCTCAAGAGTTGCCCCTGACCTCCTTGTCCCCCTCTAGACATGGCCTTGTGTATTTCTCCCAGCTCAGACAAGCTTTCTTTTTTATCTATTTTTTAGAGACGAGGCCTCGCTCTATTGCCCATGCTGGAGAACAATGGCATGATCATAGCTCACTGTGACCTCGAACTCATGAGCTCAAGCGATTCTCCTGCCTCAGCCTTCTGAGTATCTGGGACTACAGGCACACACCACCACACCTGGCTAATTTTTTATTTTTGTGTAGAGACGGGGTCTCTTTATGTTATCCAGGCTGGTCCTGAACTTTTGGGCTCAAGTGATCCTTCTACCTTGGCCCCACAAAGTGTTGGGATTAGAGGTAAGAGCCACCGCGCTTAACCTAAATTTATTTATGCAAGAACACCTATTCTCGACCGGGTGCGGTGGCTCACGCCTGTAATCCCAGCACTTTGGGAGGCCGAGGCAGGCGGATCATGAGGTCAGGAAATCAAGACCATCCTGGCTAACACGGTGAAACCCCGTCTCTACTAAAAATACAAAAAAAATTAGCCGGGCGTGGTGGTGGGCGCCTGTAGTCCCAGCTACTCGGGCGGCTGAGGCAGGAGAATGGCGTGAACCCGGGAGGCGGAGCTTGCAGTAAGCCGAGATAGCGCCACTGCACTCCCGTCTGGGCAACAGTGCGAAAGTCCGTCTCAAAAAAATAAAAAAGAATACCGATTCTTCCTTCCTCACAGATAACCTCTATTTTCAGTTTGCTGATTATCTTTCCAGACCTTTTTCTATGCATCTACGCACATAAATAGAGAGAAATATTTGTGGTTTTATTGGAGGGAGGGGGGCAGATTTACAGACACCGCATCGTGATCATTCTGCAACTTCTTTTTTTCACTTAACAACATATCCTGAGATCTAGCCATGTGAGTATATATCGATCTACCTCATTCTATTAAACTGCCAAACACAATTCCATGGTATGGTAATTCCACAGTTTATTTAATTGCTCTGTTGGTAGAAATTTAGACTGTTTAAATTGTTTTTCATTCAATAACCAAAGCTACAGTGAACATGCTTTCTCTATGCTTCTCAGGAGCATGTGCAACTGTTTCTCTAGGCTGTATACTTAAAAGGTGGAACTGCTGGGTCATAAATTATTCACATTTAAAATTTTAATAGATACTGCCAAATTTGCCCTCCAAGAAGTCTATATCAATTTACAGTCCCATCAACGTGAATGAAATTACCTCGTGTTAGTGGATATTATACCATCCTTTTGTTTTTGCAGATCTGATGGATAAAAAATATTTGTTTCATTTTGCATTTCTTTAATTACTGGGGAAGTTGAATGACCATCATTTCATATGTTGATTGTACATAAGTATTTCCCCTTCTGTAAATTATTTGTTTATTTCTCATTGAATTGTAGAAGCTCTTTTTCCATTTTAGAAGAATCCTTTGTCTGTTATTTAGGCAGCAAATATCTTCTCCCCATCTGTAGCTTGTTTGTACTTTTGTTTATGGTATCTTTCAATACAAAAGGGTTTTTTATTTTAATGAATTTAAATCCATCAGTCTTTTCTTCTATGACTTTTGAATTTTGTGTCATGATTGGAAAAGCCTTCTCTACCCCCAAAGTTATAAAAATATTCTCTGATGTTTTCTCCTTATATTTTTAGAAATCTGTTTTTAGTCCAATGGGAATCTATTTTTGTGAATGGTGTTTGTGTGAGAGGGTCTCGTTTTATTTTTTTCCTAAATAGATGGCCTATTTTCCCAGCATCATCTCCTGAATAGTCCATTCTTCCCCTGCTGACTTACATATGCTAAATTTCCATATGAGCAGGAATCTGGTCTTAGACTGACTTTTCTGTTCCATTGCTCTTTTTGCTCTTCTGATGCCTTTACATGCTTACTTTCCATTCACTCAGCAATCACGGTAATCTGGCTTCCACCCACAGTTCCCCTCGAATTATTATTCTGAAATGTATTACTGACCTTCATATCACCAAACCCAAAGAATATTTTGCAGTTCTCGTCTTCCTGGATACCATGTATCATTCCTTCCCATATACTACATGATTTAGCTGTTCCTTGATTCTTCTATCAATAAAAATCATGATCATAATATCTTCAGTTTATGAGGCAGTTACTCTGTGCCAGGTGTTTAAGCATTTCATATTCCACACATGTCAAATGTGCTTCACCACAACTCTCTAAGGTAGGTAGTATTATTATTATCATCCATCATTATCATCCCCATTTTACAGATGAGAAAACTGAGGCATAGAAAATTTAAGTACCTTGTTCAAGATCCCTGGGCTAAAAAGACAGCAAGATGAAATTTGAACCCAGGTCTGAGACCAAAGCCTAGGTTCCTAAGCACTCCCCTCTCCAGCTTGTCCTTCTCAGTCTCTCCCTTAAATCCCCTTTTCTCCAGCATCCTTTTTTATTTTTATTTTTTGAGATGGAGTCTCACTCTGTTGTCTAGGCTGGAGTGCCATGGCGCGATCTCAGCTCACTGCAACCGCCACCTTCCGGGTTCAAGCAATTCTTGTGCCTCAGCCTCCCGAGTAGCTGGGATTACAGGCACATACCACCATGCCCAGCTAATTTTTTGTATTTTTAGTAGAGACGGGGGTTTCACCATGTTGGCCAGGCTGGTCTTGAACTCCTGGCCTCAAGTGATCCACCCACCTTGGCCTTCCAAAGTGCTGGAATTACAGGCTTCAGCCACTGTGCCCTGCCTCCAGCATCCTTTAAATGGTAGCTTTCCGCAGTATCCGGCCTTAGTCATTCCTCTTCCTAGTTTATGCATGAGCCCTTGTAAAGCGGGATATTCTAATGCCTTGTTTCAATGATGCTTCACTGACATATCTATGCTAACATGGCCCTAACAGCATGAAGAAAACACTGCTTTTTATTACAGATCCCTGGAGCTTACTCCACCCCTGCTCCTCAGTGCAATTTCAAGGAGGCTTTTCATTTCTACTTATTTGATTTATTATAAGTATGTATCACATTTATAATCGGGAAGAAACAATAGGGATATCTTAAAACTATAACGGAAGTAGATTTGCCTCTGAGGCGCAGTATCTGTTCAGTCCTCCCAAGCCATTATTATCAAGGCATTGTCCAATGTTAGATATGTTGAATGTATGTAACTGAAAGAACTGTAAGAAATGTAATTGAAGTTTCTGAGCAATCTGCAGCTGAGATTAAGCACTCATATTGTGGCCCAAATATCCTTTCTCCAAAGTTTAATTTATTCTCAACCAAACAAGATTAGCACAATAAGCATGCCTATAAAAAGCAGAGGTGGCCAGGCACAGTGGCTCATGCCTGTAATCCCAGCAATTTAGGAAGCCAAGGCGGGGGTGAGCGGGGGGGATCACTTGAGGTCAGGAGTTCGAGACCAGCCTGGTCAACATGGTGAAACCCCATCTCTACTAAAAATACAGAAAAATTAGCAGGGTGTGGTGGTGCGTGACTAATTCCACCTACTCTCGGGAGGCTGAGGCAGGAGAATCACTTGAACCCAGGAGGCGGAGGTTGTAGTGAGCTGAGATTGTGCCACTGCACTTCAGCCTGGGTGACAGAGTGTGACTCCATCTCAAAAAAAAAAAAAAAAAAAAAAAAAAAGCAGAGATGTCTTTTTTCTAGAATTTCAAATGCAAAACAGAACTCAGTTCCATTATTAAGAAGCTATATATATTTGGCTGGGCACGGTGGCTCACACCTGTAATCCTAGCACTTTGGGAGGTCAAGGAGGGTGGATTATGAGGTCAGGAGATTGAGACCAACATGGCTAACACAGTGAAACCCCATCTCTACTAAAAATACAAAAAAAAAAAATTAGCTGGGTGTGGTGGCACGAGCCTGTAGTCCCAGCTACTCGGGAGGCTGAGGCAGGAGAATGGCGTGAACCCAGGAGGCGGAGCTTGCAGTGAGCTGAGATCACACCACTGCGCTCCAGCCTGGGCAACAGAGCGAGACTCCGTCTCAAAAAAAATAAAATAAAATAAAAAGAAGCTACATATATTTATTCATTATAAGGAAGTGAGTGTGGCTGTTGTAGCTTTAAGGGGGAAATAAAAGAATTTGACATAAAGTTCACCTAAGAAGCAAGAGAATCCTGAAAGAATGAGAAGACCCTCTGCTTAAAATGATGAATGGCCCTTTCTGAAATGAGCACATGTGATAACCATGTGACTTCTGGTTAAATGCAGATGGTACCTGACCCCACCCCTCATCACATTCCCATCTCTGAGCCTCACCTAGTCTTCACTCACACACATTCTCAACCCCCTACATCTTTCTGTTTTGTTTTGAGACAGAGTCTTGCTCTGCCGCCCAGGCTGGAGTACAGTGGCGCAATCTCAGCTCACTGCAACCCTGCCTCCCGGATTCAAGTGATTCTCCCGCCTCAGCCACCTGACTAGCTGGAATTACAGGCACCCGCCATCACACCCGCCTAATTTTTGTATTTTTAGTAGAGACGGGGTTTCATGATGTTGGCCAGGCTGGTCTTGAATTCCTGACTTCAAGTGATCTGCCCGCCTCGGCCTCCCAAAGTGCTGGGATTACAGGCGTGAGCCACCTTGCCTGGCCCCCCAACATCTTTCCTGTCCCCCCTCCTACCTGTCAGCTTATTCCTGTTCAGTCCCTTTTCAGGATGTCTTTTCCTCCATCTATTGACTTAGCATCCTGAGGTTTTTGTCTTTAGCCCAGTGTTCTTCTTACTCTACTCTGATCCCTGGGTGATTTTACATGTGTCCATGGTTGGAACATATCACCTCTACCTTGATAACCCAATCTATTTCTAGCCTCTTCTCATCTCCAATTCTGTGTGTTCAACTGCCTACTGCTGAAGGTCATCGCGTATCTCAGTATTCCTCAGACAGATCAAACTTGACATGTCCAAAACAGAGCTGATTATTTTGAACCCTGGTTCTCTTACGGAATGCCATCACCATGTGTCCACTCTCCAAAGCTGGAAATTTGGGCCTCATTCTAGATTTTTCTTTTGCCTTCACAACCCCACACCAAGTGCCTACCAAGTCCTGTTGATATTTACCTACTCAGTATTTAGCAAATCTGTCTCCTCTTCCCTATCTCAGCACCTATTTTACCTCTTGCCTTGATCATAAATCCTTCTGTGATCTGGCACCTGCTTACCTCTTCAGCCTCATCTCACCGTTTTTTCCCCAAGCTTACTCCAAGTGTTAGCCCAGGGGCAGAACCAGGTTTTTCCAGCCCTTAGGCTTATGCAATCTGAAAGACTCTCTGAGGAAAATAATACGACATTGTGATTGAACATTAGTTACAGAGCTTTGGAAGGGGCCTGTGCAATCTTCATTAGCTTCACAGTGACTCTGCCTCTGTCTAGCCAAAGAGAGCAAGCTACACTTCCCTAGAACATACCAGAATCCTACACATCACTTTGCCTTTATACAGGCAGTTACTTCTGCCTGAGATGCCCCTCTCTCCATTCCCTTGTCTGTCTGGCAAAACAGTTCGTCCTTCAAGAGTCAGCTCAGGAGGCACATCCTTTGTGAAGGCTTCCCTGACCTCCCTACGTGGAATTGATGGTTCTCGCCTTTGTGTTCTCATTGTAACTTGTCCTTTATCTCTTTGTACCCTGTCCTTTACAGAACATCTTATACTCTATGGAAATTATTTGCTTAAAACCGGTTTTGCCTATGAGTCCCTCAAGGGCAGAGACTAAGCCATTCCTTTTTAGATGGTCAGAGCTCGACAGTACCTGGCGCAAGGTAGGAGCTCAATAAATGTTTGCTGCATGGAATTGAGACCTGACCCATGTATACTAGAAAGACACCCTTCTTTTGGCAAAGTGAGTGGAGTGGAACAGTTGCTGTAGACAGGGACACCAGACAGGGCCTATGCTTGGGAGGTACCTGCTGCTGCCCACACCATTCTGGGAGGACAGGCTTGGGCCCGATATCTGTGCTGTCTTCAAGATCTCTGTGGTGAGCTCCTCTCTGCGGCCCTCTACCAACCTCCCCACCCTACCCCACCCCACCGCCTTCTTTACCTGTCCTCTTTGTTGATCTGGTCCCCAAAGCCAACTGTGCTAACGATCGTGAGCTTTAGCCTCACGTTGCTCTCTTGGAGGTCATAGGTATTAGACTGGAGCTGGACACCCGGCTGTGTGTGGGTGGCTGGCTCCCCTTCGAATTTGGTGTTGAACAGGGTGTCCATGAGGGTGGACTTGCCCAAACCTGTCTCTCCTGAAAAGCAAAAGGATAAATTATGGTCTGTTCACATAGTGACTATTCAGCCCTTACACATCATGTTTCATATACACATTTGTTGACACGGGAAAATGAACATGATAAAACATAAAGCAAAAAGCAGAAGCAGATGAACTATATGATGTCAGTTAAATGAAAAAGACTGAAAGGAACTATACAGACGGATCAGTAGTAGTCATCTCAGATAGTAGAATTGAGGTAATTTTCATTTTATTCTTCCAACTTTTTTCTGTCATTTGGAAATTTTACCTTGAGTATACATTGTTTTTTTTGTTGTTGTTTGTTTGTTTGTTTGTTTTTGAGACAGAGTCTTGCTCTGTCACCCAGGTTAGAGTGCAGTGGCATGACCTCGGCTCACTGCAACCTCCATCTCCCGGGTTCAAGCGATTCTCCTACCTCAGCCTCCCGAGTAGCTGGGATTACAGGCACCCGCCACCGTGCCCAGCTAATTTTTGTATTTTTAGTAGAGATGGGGTTTCACCATCTTGGCCAGGCTGGTCTCAAACTCCTGACCTCATGATCCACCCGCCTCGGCCTCCCAAAGTGCTGGGATTATAGGCGTTAGCCACCGCACCTGGCCAAGTATACGTTGCTTTTATAGTCAGAAAAAGAAATTATGTTATAGGCAGCAATGGAGAGATATAGCTATGCCTAGAAAAAAAGACTGGGAGGAAATACAATATACTCTTACCAATGGCTATCTCTGAGTGGTGATCTTATGTGTGGTTTTCATCCCTTTCTTTATGCTTTTTTATATTTCCCAAGTTTTCTAAGTGGAATATGTATAGTTTTTGTCATAAAAATTAGAGGACTATTTTAAATTTTTTTAAAAAATGACAGCAGTGGCCAGGCGTGGTGGCTCACACCTGTAATCCTAGCACTTTGGGAGGCTGAAGCAGGCAGATCACTTGAGGTCAGGCATTCGAGACCAGCCTGGCCAACATTGTGAAACCCTGTCTCTACCAAAAAATATATATATACATACACAATTTAGCCAGGCATGGTGGCAGGCGCCTGTAATCCCAGCTACGGAAAGGCTGAGGCAGGAGAATTACTTGAACCAGGGGAGGCAGAGGTTGCAGTGAGCTGAGATCGTGCCACTGCACTCCACCCTGGGCAAGAGAGTGAGACTCCATCTCAAAAAAAAAAAAAAAAAAAAAGACAGCGGTCCCTTGTCAAACAAATATCCTTTCATCCCAGTCCCCACCTCTCCTCCCTGCCAGGCCTAAACAGCCCTCTGGGGATGCCCCAGATGTGCCTCCCCACGGTGAAAACTGTGCAGGCTCCTGGCTTATCCTCCCAGCCTGGTTGAACGGTTGAACTTTCAGTGAGACCGTTTTTAACTAAGAGGGGCGGGGTGGGGAGACCCAGCAGGCCACAAAAATTCTTCTTCTTCTTCTTCTTTTTTTTTTTTTTTTTTGATACAGCGTCTCGCTCTGTTGCCCAGGCTGGAGAGCAGTGGCGCAATCTCGGCTCACTGCAGCCTCTGCCTCCCGGGTTCAAGTGATTCTCCTGCCTCAGTCTCCCAGGTAGCTGGGATTACAGGTGCCTGCCACCATGCCCTGCTAATTTTTGTATTTTCAGTAGAGATGGGGTTTCACCATGTTGGCTAGGCTGGCCTCAAACTCCTGACCTCTGGTGATCCACCTGCCTCGGCCTCCCGAAGTACTGGGATTACAGGCATGAGCCACCGTGCCCGGCCCTTATCCTTAAATTTTAAACAAACTAGCCATTTATTTGTTTAACTACTAGGCTGCGAGATACTAATAAGTCAAACTGTTGGAATTTTAAAAGTCTTGAACTTCACACTAGGGAAACCAGTAGGGGAAAGGCTGTGGCAGACTGGTGAAGGTTTTGGAAGCTTATTCCTGGGAGATCAAGGGATACCAAGCCACTGTCAGGAGCCAACAAGACTTCAGGGAATGGGACATCACAAGAAGTCAGGAGTTGGTGACAAGGGGGCTAAACAGGAATCTGATATGAGGCCACAAACTGGGCTGGGCGCTGCTTATAATCTCTACAGATCCAGGCTGTATTTGACCCCTCAGCCCACCCCAAGTGACTCAGGAATACCAGGAATTAAAGAGTCAGTAGAGAGGGCCAGGCGCGGTGGCTCACGCCTGTAATCCCAGCACTTTGGGAGGCCGAGGTGGGTGGATCACGAGGTCAGGAGATCGAGACCATCCTGGCTAACACGGTGAAACCCCGTCTCTACTAAAAAAATACAAAAATTAGCCAGGCGTGATGGTGGGTGCCTGTAGTCCCAGCTACTTGGGAGGCTGAGGCAGGAGAATGGCGTGAACCCAGGAGGTGGAGCTTGCAGTGAGCTGAGATCGCGCCACTGCACTCCAGCCTGGGCGACAGAGTGAGACTCCATCTCAAAAAAAAAAAAAAGAGTCAGTAGAGAGGCAGGCACTTCGAAGAGAGGATATCATTAATTACTCTGGCCTGCCCTTTGAAGACAAAGACTACTCTCCCATTTATTCCGCTATCATCATCCCTGTTTTTCCCTCTCCTCTCCCCAACCCAGGGGGAATGTGAGCCTCGACTTCTCTTCACAGTCGGGACTGGGTTTGCATTGGGCAAATTGTGGCCTGCCAAACCCCGCCTTGCGACCAAAAGCACACATCTGCAGGGTGGTTCAGGGCTACGGTTAGAGCTACATGATGCAGAACTGAAAATGCTCCATCTCCCCTCCCCACTCTGGGTGTGTCTAGCCTGCTTCTTTTATCCCAAATAATGAGCTATGAATGCAGGAGGTGCCTTTTAAAATATCTGTGTATGATGAGAGTTTTCTGTGTGTGGACAGAGAGAAGGGAGAGAGAGAGAAGAGATAAGAGAGAGGAGGGAGACAGGGAGAGGGAGGGAGAACAAGGAGAACATTCAATTCAGTCTGGCTACCCGGCCCCCCAGCCCAATTTCATAGCCAGGTCTGACTAACTTGGTAAATTGCCAGAGTGTGGGGAAATGGTTCCTCACACAGATCATGTTTCAAGCCAGGGTCTGCTATATCCATTAGCAGCAAAGACTCTTGAAGAAGAGGCCCCCTTTTTCCTCCCCTAAAGGAACAGGAAGTATTTGGGTCCCAAGAAGAATTTTATGAGGTGGGGCCTTTGCCATGGGAGGTGGCAGACTTGGCCAAGCAGTGGAATGTATCACACCCCACCTCACCCAAAGTTGGGGTGCACCTTAACTGCAAACGGGGCCAGCACCTTGGAGGTGGGAACACAGTGTGGCTCCCACATCCTAACTCACCTCCCCTCTCGAGGGCACTGAGGTTTGAGCTACAGTTTAGCTCATCTTCCTATGTGCCTGATGAATTTTCCATGTACATCCTTACCCCCAACTCCCTCCCATGGAACAGAAGGGAGCACATGGAACAGAACCATCCTTACCCCCAACTCCCAAAACCCTTCTGTTGCATGAGCTCCCTGCCGAATGCCCTGTAGCTCCTAGGGAGTGGGGGTCCTGTTTCCCCAGCACCCAGAGTGGGCACCCTGGCTCCCCGATCCTAAGAATTCTCAGAGAGCAGGAGATGGGCCATCTTCCAGTACCCCCGAGAGTGCCTAACCCAAGGTTCACACAGAAGGCCTCAGGGGCAGCACCGCAGCGTTGAGGGACCCACCCTGTTTGCACAGCTGGAGGAATGGGGGCCGGGCAGGGCAGGACAGGGAGCTGGGAGGAACAGCAGGAGAAATGACCACCCAAATGCCTGCTGGCACAAAAGCGCTGTGGAAATTAGATGCCAAATAATGAACGTCTGGAAGAAAAGAACACCCGGGTGTCTAGGGAATTGAGATAAATGCAATAGTAGAGAGGGCAGAAAATCAAGCGAGCTCATCCTATGGCTATCGAGAGCTCCTGTTCCAGTTTTCCATCAGTGTAGAGCCTGGGGGTCGGGGAGGCTTTCTGTCAATGACTGGCACAGACCCAGCCTGATCCTAGGATGCTGCCCCTCCCACGGCTGCCCTGGGCCCAGTACTGAGTGTGAGTGTGTTGTGAGGGGGAGGCACACGTGACCTAACTGGGATCAGGTCAGCAGATTCCACACCCCTGCAGGAAGGTGGAGACTTGGCAATTCGATTCCAGCAGGAAACCTGAGGAGTCCCGAGGGGTCAATTTCTCACTCCTCCTCCCCCAGCCCTCCCAGGGCTCCTCCAAGTGGATAGTAAGGTTTTTAACGCATGCTCCACCAGCCAAGAGGATTTCATCTCACTTTGCTTAATGTAGATAGTATTCTGGAAACAATAGTTTTAAAAAAAATTAAAACATATATGAGTACTACGAAATATGTTTTTTTTCAAACTATGCTCTTGCGGGACGGTGGCTCAGGCCTGTAATCCCAGCACTTTGGGAGGTCGAGGCGGGTAGATCACCTGAGGTCAGGAGTTGGAGACCAGCCTGGCTAACATGGTGAAATCCCGTCTCTACTAAAAATACAAAAATTAGCCGTGCATGGTGGCAGGCTCCTGTAATCCCAGCTACTCAGGAGGCTGAGGGTGGAGAATCGTTTGAACCCGGGAGGCGGAGGTTGCAGTGAGCAGAGATCTCACCACCACACTCCAGCCTGGGCGACAGAGCGAGATCCTGTCTAAGAAAGAAAGGAAAGACAGAGAGAGAGAGAGAGAGAGACAGAGAGAGAGACAGAGAAAGAAAAAGAAAAGACTTCTAGCCAGGTTATCACTAAGTTACTTTGTGACATGAACTGAGCTCTTTCCCCTCTCTGGGTCCCAGTCTCTTTTTCTATAAAATGAGAGCGTTGGTAATAACAGCTATTGTTTACAGACACTGCTCTAAGTTTTTTACATATATTTTCTTATTTATTCCTCACAGCAAGCCCATGAGGAAGATGTTACTATTTGTCCTCAATTTATAGATGGGTTAACCAAGCCACTTACTAGCTGTGTAAATTTGCACCAGTTCCTCAGCATCTCTGCACCTTACTTTCCTCATCTATAAAATGTGGAGGGGCCGGGCGCAGTGGCTCATGCCTGTAATCCCAGCACTTTGGGAGGTTGAAGCAGGAGGATCAGTTGAGGCCAGGAATTCGAGACCAGCCTGACCAACATAGACCCTGTCTCTGTTTTATTTTTTATTTCCATAGGTTTTTGGGGACAGGTGGTATTTGGTTATATGAGTAAGTTCTTTAGTGGTGATTTGTGAGATTTTGATGCACCCATCTCCTGAGCAGTATACACTGAACCCAATTTGTAGTCTTTTATTCCTCACCCCCTTCCCGCCCTTTCCCCCTGAGTCCCCAAAGTCCATTGTGTTATTCTTATGCCTTTGCATCCTTATAGCTTGGCTCCCACTTATGAGTGAGAACATACAATGTTCGGTTTTCCATTCCTGAGTTACTTCACTTAGCATAATAGGTCTATTTTGAAAACTAGTAATAATAAAATAAAATGTGGAAGAAGTAACTAGTCCAAGGTCACAAACTAGTAAGTGGCAGAGCCAGCATTTGAATCCAGGCAGGCCGACGCTGGAGTCCATGCTTTTAACCAATGTGCTCTAGCGAGACGCATAGGCGTGATACGTTTGTTCATTCAGTCATTCAACGAGTATTTACAAAGACTCTAACAGGAGCCAGGCACAGTTATAGGAGCTGCAGATACAGCAATGAACAAGATAGCCACAATCCCTGTTCTTGTGGACCTAAAGTCTCTTCCAGTTCTGAATGTTGAACCCAGAGAAACGTCTCTGAGTTCAACAGGGAGGTGCCCAAAAGGAAACATTCCAGGAACTCCGGTTGGCTAAGGAAGCCTATGGAAAGGGACAAGGTTATGCCTGGCTCTGTGACCTTGTCCTTTCTCCTTCCTGATCTTGCAGAGGCCTGGCAGGCAGTGGTGTGCTGGAGCCGGCTCGTCCGCTTCCTGCATCTCTTCCCAAGCCCACGTGCAGTGATGTCATGTTGGTAGCTTAACAGCAGCCATGGCAGGAGTAATGACACCAACAAAATCAGCAGATGCTTCAAACCACAACAGTTTTTCTCCTGAGATGGGCTGTGACGTTGACCAGCACACCACTGCTGGCAGCCTGTTTTAGACAAATAAGCAGCTGCCTTTCCCAGATATGAAGGGATGAAACAATTGATCCTTGGCCTTGATAGAATGCTAGCTGCCCTTTCCCTCCTCCTGCAGCAAGCCTCAATCCTGCTTCTCTTGTGTGACTGTTTTTTTCCATGTTCAACAGAGCCCAATTGAGCCTGGAATCCTGAGCAGCTTCAAAGTAAATATTATCATTATGACCCTTTGTGCTCTTCACAGCCATGACTGCTACTGTAGCATTTAGATGGATGAGTCTCTTTGGGGCTTGTTCCCAGGAGTGCAAAGCAACGGGCCCCAGAATATTTGTACTGTTGGCTCTGGTGGTTCCTCTGAGGCATTCTGTACTGCATCTAGGATCAGGGGATCCTTGAAATTTCCAAAGCTAAGGGACTAGTATATGTGTTTTTATGGGGAGAAAGAGGAACCTCACCTCTTCGGTAATTATGGTCAACCCTAGAGAATATATTGGAGAGGAGTCATAATATGTTCACACTCATGTGCCTAGTCCTCTAAAAAGAATAATAGGCCAGGTGTGGTGGCTCATGCCTATAATCCCAGCATTTTGGGAGGTCCAGGTGGGCGGATCACTTGAGGTCAAGAGTTCGAGACCAGCCTGGCCAACATGGTGAGACCCTGTCTCTACTAAAAATACAAAATAAATCAGCTGGGCATGGTGGTGCGCACCTGTGATCCCAAGTACTAGGGAGGCTGAAGCATGAGAATCACTTGAACCTGGGAGATGGAGGTTGCAGTTAGCAGAGATAGTGCCACTCCACTGCAGCCTGGGTGACAGAGTGAGACTCTGTCTCAAAAAAAAAAAAAAAAAAAGAAGAAGAAGAAGAATTGCAGGTGCCGTTTATTGGTATCCTTACTATAAATTAGGTTCTGGATTATCAAAAATTCTCGGCCGGACGCAGTGGCTCACACCTACAATCCCAGCATTTTGGGAGGCCGAGGCAGGCAGATCACCTGAGGTTGGGAGTTTGAGACCAGCCTGACCAACATGGAGAAACCCCGTCTCTACTAAAAATACAAAATTAGCTGGGTGTGGTGGTGCACGCCCATAATCTCAGCTACTCAGGAGGCTGAGGCAGGAGAATTGCTTGAACCCGGGAGGTGGAGGTTTTGGTGCGCCAAGATCGTGCCATCGCACTCCAGCCTGGGTGACAAGAGCGAAACTCCATCTCAAAAAAAAAAAAAAATGCTCTCTCTTAGTTGCAACACACATATGTGCACAGATGTACACACATGCACACATGCATGTAGGATACCTTGCTGGATGTAGGCCTATGATCGGCAGCCCAGCACCAAGATAAACAATAGTGTGAAAAAATATCCTAGGTCTTTGTTAATAATTGAAGCTAGTGCTACCATAATTTTACACCAAAAATGCCCTATCAAGAAAAAGAAACGTTTGGGTATGGTGGCTCATGCCCATAATTCCAGGACTTTGGGAGGCCAAGTAGGGAGGACTGCTTGAGCCCAGGAGTTAGGGACCAGCCTGGGCAACATAGTGAGACCTCATCTCTACACAATAAGTTTTTTTTTTTTTTTGAGACGGAATCTCACTCTGTCACCCAGGCTGGAGTGCAGTGGCGTGACCTCCGCTCACTGTAAGCTCCGCCTCCCGGGTTCACGCCATTCTCCTGCCTCAGCCTCCTGAGTAGCTGGGACTACAGGCGCCCGCCACCACGCCTGGCTAACTTTTTTGTATTTTTAGTAGAGACGGGGTTTCACCGTGTTAGCCAGGATGGTCTCGATCTCCTGACCTCATGATCCGCCCACCTCGGCCTCCCAAAGTGCTGGGATTACAGGCGTGAGCCACCGCGCCTGGCCCTCTACACAATAATTTTAATTAAAAAAAAATTAGCCAGGCATGGTGGCATGTGCCTGTAGTCCCAGCTACTCAGGAGGCTGAGGTGGGAGGATTGCTTGAGCCTGGGAGGTTGAGGCTGCAGTAAGCTGTGATCACGCCACAGCACTCCAGCCTGGGCAATAGAACAAGACTGTGTCTCAAAAGAAAAGAAAAGAAAATACTTTGGGGAAATATATTCTATGCCCAAACAGCATCTTGTTATAACAGTCATTAAGGGAGTAAATGTACACAGGCAGTAGGCATGAACTATCATCACAAAAAGCTCTGCAAGATAAAAGATCACCTTCAGCAGCTAAGCTATGGACCCTTTGCGAAGTCAGTGACTGGATCCAGCCTCATGGCTGGGCTGACATTGCAGCTTCAGAGCTACTCTAAGCTACTTATGACCTTGGCCCAAATTGTGGGTTCTCTGAGCAAGGACAGGGTGGTGAGCACAGCAAGAGGGCAGGATGCGTGCATTGCAGGGTTTTTTGGAACAGGGGTGAAATTAACCCAGTCGGGGCTGGCCTATCCAATGGTTGCACCTGTGAGTCTAAGACAGGAGCTACAGAGGCAGCCATTTCCTGAAACTTGACAAGTGGGGAGCAAAAGAGAGTCTGTGACTCTTGAGGATGAGAGCATCTCCTTCCTACTCCTCCCCTCTTGGAGGGTCTGTGCTGGGTACTTGAGCAATTCCATCCCAGCAGGTGCAAGTGGAAGCATTTATAGCTGTACAATGTCTAGGTGGAAACTAGAGGATGGGGGATTACTATTTCTCCCATCCACTTTGCCTTGAGCTTGGCTGCCTCTGGGCCCTAGGGGAGCCTGTGCTCCACATATCAAATTACCCTACACTTCCACCCTCAGAGATCCATTTCAATTCACATGGCCTCCCTCCTAAAGCTTTACTAGCCCACCCAATCGCACTGGTTGAAAGGTTGCTTAAGGTGGATCTGTCATTTCTCTTCTCATCTCAACTTCAGTACAGGTCATATGGAGTTCTGGGAAGAATGCCAAGGGACTCTGATATGTTTGTGCTTAAATATTGTGGTAATCAAATATTATGTGAAATAAGTTGGCCATCAGCCAAAGATTGGAGCTCTTGTTAGTTAAACAGAGATTTGGCAGTGCTAACATTGGATGTGATAGTCTTTGCACTTGATGTCGATTACTGTGACTTCTAGTTATTTTACATTTTTCTCCAAATAGCACCTAATCATAACCATCAGTTAGACTTTCAGCATTTGAAGAATTAACAGCCTAGATCTGGACTCTAAGGCCCTCGATGTGTAATTCTGTGAAGCACATATTTTCTTTTTTTTAATGTACTGTTTTATTCACTAATGCCTCCAGGTATATTTCTCTCCCTATGAACAAGGACATGCATAGTAGAAGTCACATCTTAAAAATAAGTTTGAGTATAAATCTGTGGATTGAAACTGAAGCACATATTTTCATCTGATAGGTTCCAAAGTTGATGTGGGCCAGGCATAGTGGCTAATGCCTGTAATCTCAGCACTTTGGTAGGCTGAGGCAAGTGGATCGCTTGAGCTTAGGAGTTCAAGAACAGCCTGGGCAACACAGTGAGACCTCACCTCATCTCTACGAAAAAAATGAGCCCGGTCGCATGCCTGTAATCCCAGCTACTTTGGAGGCTGAGGTGGGAGGAATGCTTGAGCCTGGGAGGTTGAGGCTGCAGTGAGCCTCTGCACTCCAGCCTGGGTGACACAGGGACACTTTGTCTCAAACAACAACGACAACAAAACCAAAGTTGGTGTGTGGGAGTGAGCCATTTAGCTAGGGAGTGAGCCTAGCTTGTGGGAACAACTGCCCGTCATCTGTTGTTCTCTACTTGTCCTTGAATGTGTAGCAATTCTCTTACAAAAAGTGACCTGGAAAAGAATGCTGGGGATAGAGGAAAAAAAATGATAAAGAGCCCAAGAAAATGAATGACCTTAGTGAGAAAACAGAATTTCTAGGCTGGGCGCGGTGGCTCATGCCTGTAATCCCAGAAGTTTGGGAGGCCGAGGTGGGCGGATCACTTGAGGTCAGGAATTGAAACTCCGTCTCTACTAAAAATACAGAAATTAGCTGGGTGTGTGGCGTGCACCTATAGTCCCAGGTACTCAGGAGGCTGAGGCAGGAGAATCGCTTGAACCCGGAAGGTGGAGGTTGCAGTGAGCTGATATCACGCCACTGCACTCCAGTCTGGGTGACAGCACAAGACTCTGTCTCAAAAAAAAAAAAAAAAAAAAGAAAGAAAGAAAAGAAAAGAAAGAAAAAACAGAATTTCTGAATACATTAAAGTGTAAAATATCCAATTTAGTAGTAGTTCAGATCTACTACATGAACAAGTTCCCCATACGCTCTATACAAAAATAAAAGGCAATTAGCAAAAGTGTTTGAGTGTTTCAGCCAGTACAAAAACAGACTTTATTCTGGTATTTATATAATCATTAAGGTTCAGAAGGTCACTGGAAATATGCAGGTATGCTTTCCCGTGTTACAGGGTGAAAATTATATGCTATGATCATGTTTGCAAATTTGAGATATTTAAGATCTAAGAAGATTCTTTTTTTTTTTTTGAGACAGAGTCTTACTCTGTCGTCCAGGCTGGAGTGCAGTGGCGCGATCTGAGCTCACTGGAAGCTCTGCCTCCCAGGTTCACGCCATTCTCCTGCCTCAGCCTCCCAAGTAGCTGGGACTACAGGCGCCCGCCACCGTGCCCGGCTAATTTTGTTTTTGTATTTTTAGTAGAGACGGGGTTTCACCGTGTTAGCCAGGATGGTCTCGATCTTCTGACCTCGTGATCCACCGGCCTCGGCCTCCCAAAGTGCTGGGATTACAGGCGTGAGCCACCGTGCCCGGCCGAAGATATTCTTGAAGAAGGAACCGTTATCCCTCATATTTGTTTGATTGGTGCTCAGTGGTTTCCAAAGTGCTTTCATGTGCTCAAGAGATATTGCTGGCAGCAGTTAGAGAAGCAGGGGGAGGAACAAGGGGTCAACCAGGCCTGAGTCCTCATTATGGTGCCACTTCTTCTGTGTTGCCTCAGGTAAGTCCCTTATCCTCCCCAAGACTCTGTGTCTCCACCTGTTTCATGAGGATACAAATGCTACTTGCTCTGCTCACTTCGCAGAGTCCTGGTAATGTCCAAAAGAGCTAATGTGAGAAAGTGAAAAGTATAATGAATGGTTCCTGTGGCATTCACCCATTCATTCATTTCACAGATATTACCGCACTCTACTTGTGCTGTGATTAGCAAATAGAGGGGGCTAAGATGCAGCTCCCACTGTTGAGATTAAATGTCTAGGTAGAGGCCGGGCACAGTGGCTCACACCTGTAATCCTAGCACTTTGGGAGGCCAAGATGGGTGGATTGCTTGAGCTCAGGAGTTCAAGACCAGCCTGGGCAACATAGTGAGACCCCCATCTCAAAAAAAAAAAAGTCTAGGCAGAGAGATAGGTAAAGGGAATAAAAGAATGTTGCATACAGCTGTGTGGTGCCTGCACCCGAGCTCAAACTAAACCAAGCACAGCAAAACTACAGAGGAAACAGACCCAACCCACTGCCCACAGCTGGTGGGCAGGCGTTTTTTGTCAGCTATCCCCTCCCTCCCAATTCTGCCCTGGATCCTGTCTTCTGTAGTCAAAATGAACTCTACAGCCATACTGAGCCAGCCAGCTCCCTTACAGAATTTCCACTGGGTCTCACATAGCTCAGTTTCCCCCCAAGATATGGCCCTATACTCTGATCTGGCCAGGGGAAAAAAGTAATTACAGCCAGCTGTTTACAAAAAACAGGCAGAGAGATAAAAGAAGAGGGGAGAGACACTCTCGCAACTAAATCAGAATGACACACTATTTAACCTAATTACCTGCAAAGCCGTATCCAGCCATTAAGGATCCATATTCTGTAATAGAATTTCCTGCTATGGAAATACTCACCCACGCACAGGATGTTGAAGCAGAAGCCCTGGCTGACGGACTTATTCACCAGCTGGTCAGGCAAGCTGTCAAACCCCACATGTCCAGCCAGGGGGACAGTTCGGCAACCTTCACCCTAATTTGGAAGGAGTGAGGGAGAAAATGAAAATGTGCTTAAAAGCAGTCTGGGTCTCGCTTCTCCATCCAAATGTTCGCTGTGCAAGGAAGTCACACCCGCCCAGGCCCAGTGTGTCATCTCTTCCCTCAGCTACTCCCTGCTCCAAAGCAAAATGGCCCGTCAGCTTGGAAATCACAGATTCTTGGGGACAGGCATCCTCTAGGCTCAATAGTGAATGTCGCCACAGCTCCAGAGAAAATTACAGAGGAGCTTATTAGGGGCAGGAGAGTGGAGTCAGGGGAGGAGAATGCTGGCACCGAGATTCACAGACTCAGGTTAAATCTCCACTCAGTCATTTACAAGCTGAGTAACTTGCTGAGACTGTTTCCTTCCACATCTGCCATCTGAGATAATATGGCATATCTTAGAGGTGACTGGGAGCCTCAGAAACGCTAATACATGTAACGAGCTTAGTATATGCAGAAGTATTCAGTAAGTATTACGAAAAGGGTTTAAAAAGCAATTATTGGGCCGGGTTCAGTGGCTCACACCTGTAATCCCAGCACTTTGGGAGGCCAAGGCGGGGGGGATCACTTGAGGTCAGGAGTTCAACACCAGCCTGGCCAACGTGGCGAAACCCTGTCTCTACCAAAAAAAACAAAAATTAGCCAGGCATGGTGGTGGGTGCCTATAATCCCAGCTACTTGGGAGACTGAGGCAGGAGAATTGCTTGAACCCGGGAGGTGTAGGCTGCAGTGAGCCGAGATCACGCCACTGCACTACAGCCTGGGCAATAAGAGCGAAACTCTGTCTCAAAAAAAAAAAAAAATCAATTATTGGCTGGCGAAATGTCTCACACCTGTAATCCCAACACTTTGGGAGGCCAAGGTGGGTGGATCACTTGAGGCCAAGAGTTTGAGACCAGCCTGGGCAACACAGTGAGACAACATCTCTACAAAAAATCAAAAATTAGCTGGGCATGGTGGCATGTGCCTGTGTAGTCCCAGCTACTTGGGAGGCTGAGGCGGGAGGATTGCTTGTGTCCAGGAGGTAGAGGCTGCAGTGCGCTATGATGGCACCACTGCACTCCCGCCCAGGTGAGAGAGCAAGATCCTGTCTTAAAAAAAAAGCAATTGTTCCTCTCTCTCTAGAGCATTTTGAGGACCTACAAAGGCAGTGTAGTGTAGAGGTTAAGAGTAGAGGCTTTGAAATCTGGCAGGTGTTAGTTACAGCCCCATCTCCACCATCTCCTGGCTGTGTCACCCTCAGACAAGTTACATAAACTTCTTAAGTTTTCCCCATCCATAAAATCGGAAACTATTGAGTAGGAGTGTGAGGATTATACAGGATCATGCTCCTCAAGCCCTTAGCGTAGTGCCTAGCATGTGGTGAGCATTCAATCAGCAGTAGCTGCTGTTGTTATTCACTGTGGGGTTATCCTTACACCCCCAGCCTGAAGGGTACTGCATGGAACACTGTGGCTCCCTATGGCTACAAGAAGCTGCCTCCGTGCTTCCTCTGGGTCCCTTGACTCCCTAAGGGTCAGCCAAGCCACTCCCAGCCCTGGAAAGCAGAGGGCCTTTGCTTCGCCTGCAAGGCCCAAAGCTGCTTATAGTTAATGATTTTACAAAACAGGAGGAGACTCAAACTGGAACAGGATTCCAAGGAGCCAGGGGGAAGCATAAAAGGGGCCTGCGTGGAGCGTGGACTCAAGAAATGTGCCAAATACCAACCAACGGCCACAGGGGAGGGGAGGGGACAGGGGAGAAGGGAGCTTGAGACAGCTGAGCTAGACAAGAAGGGAGTACTATGTAAGGAGTCAGTTTCTGTTGGGTGGGGCTGCACCAAGCTTTCCATAACTAGAAAGATGCCAAGAGCAGTCCAAGAAGGGCACGGTTAGTGCCAGGAGGCCCAGCCCAGCATCACAGGCTGCACTAAGCAGGCAGCTCTTCTGTTGGGCTGGACCACCTTTTAGACTAGGTCCATAATAAGGGCACATTTTCACACTGAAAGGGGTGGGGTGTGAGGGTGGTGGAGCCTCTCAGCAGCCAACTTTGTCAGAACCGGCTCCCAGATAGCCCCTTCACACAGCTTTAGATCTCACTCCCATCGGTGTCACTAGATCCTGTGAGGGCAAGCGACAGGGCTAGTGCCGGTGAATGCCATGTGGCAAGTTCATTACCCTCACACATCTCACCCCACACCCTCCCAGTGGAGAACTCTTAACAGACAACCATATGCCATCATTCAGTGAGAGTTGGTGTATTCTCTGCCCCAGGGGGTCCCCTGAAGACACCTGAGGCTGGGTGCAGTGGCTCGCACCTGCAATCGCAGCACTTGGGGAGGCCGAAGTGGGCGGATCTCTTGAGCCCAGGAGTTTGAGACCAGACTGAGCAACAATGGCAAAACCCCATCTCAACAACAAGAAAAATACAAAAATGAGCCGGGCATGGTGTCGTGAGCCTGTGGTCTCAGCTACTCAGCAGGCTGAGGTGGGAGGATCACCTGAGCCCAGGAGGTCGAGGCTGCAGTGAGCCATGATCTCGCCATTGCACTCCAGCCTGGGTAACAGAGCAAGACACTGTCTCGGCCGGGCGCGGTGGCTCATGCCTGTAATCTCAGCACTTTGGGAGGCCGAGGTGGGCGGATCACGAGGTCAGGAGATGGAGACCATCCTGGCTAACACGGTGAAACCCCGTCTCTACTAAAAATACAAAAAATTAGCCGGGCGTGGTGGCGGGCGCCTGTAGTCCCAGCTACTCAGGAGGCTGAGGCAGGAGAATGGCGTGAACCTGGGAGGCTGAGCTTGCAGTGAGCCGAGATCGCGCCACTGCACCCAGCCTGGGCGACAGAGCGAGACTCCGTCTCAAAAAAAAAAAAATAAATAAAGACAGCTGAGCCTCATGAGTGGTTCACATCACTCAAGGCTTTGTTCTACGTTCACCCCTTTCTGCTTCTCCTTCTCATTTCCCCTTCTCTTTATTAAAGCAAACAAAGTAAGATGCAAGATTCCCACTGCTAGTTCTTGGTCCGCAACGCTGCAGGGGAGTCAGGGACATGAGAACTGATATGCTTTCTTTACGGAGCCTCCGATGTAGCAGGCATCGGAAATTGAGGTGGACTCAGAGTTGAGGTTTCCTGAGCCATTTGTTATCACCCCTGGCTGCCTCTTCCGGCCTCCAACAAATTCAGCACCATGAAGCTTCAAGTGCTCCAAAGTCAAAAGGAGAGGAAATGAATTTTCAAACTGAAGACAGTGCTGTAAAGAGCCCTAAACGGCAGAAGAAAAAATTTTCTTTTCTTTCCTTTTTTTTTGATAAGGAGTCTCTCCCTGTCTCCCAGGCTAGAGTGCAGTGGCGCGATCTCAGCTCACTGCAACTTCCGCCTCCCAGGTTCAAGCGATTCTCCTGCCTCAGCCTCCCGAGTAGCTGGGTGCCCACCACCGCACCCGGCTAATTTTTTGTATATTTTAGTAGAGATGGGGTTTTGCCATGTTGGCCAGGCTGGTCTTGAACTACTGACCTCAGGTGATCCACCCACCTTGGCCTCCCAAAGTGCTGGGATTACAGGCATGAGCCACCATGCCTGGCCCAAAAGAAATAATTTTTTAAGCCCTAAGAAGCAGAAGTATGGACTTCATTTCCTAAGCAATGGGATTTGGGGGATTTTGAGTGATTTGAGCAGGGAGGGCCATGATACAGGGAGTGTTTTTAAAAGATCACTCCAGCTGCAGGGTGTTTGCTTGATTGGATGGACAGAGAGACTAGGAGCAGGAAGACATAGGAGGAGATGACTCCAATAATGTTGAGCCAGCAGAGTGACATCCAGGCACTGTGACAATAAATGCTGGTTGGTGTGAACTGACCTGACTTGGGACTCAAAGAGAAGGAACAAATTTGAGAGATGTCTTAAGAAGGGATGAGCCTCTGCCGGGAGCAGTGGCTCACGCCTGTAATCCCAGCACTTTGGGAGGCTGAGGCAGGCGGATCACGAGGTCAGGAGTTCAAAACCAGCCTGGCCAACATGGTGAAACCCCATCTCTACTAAAAATACAAAAATTAGCCGGGCGTGGTGGCGGGAGCCTGTAATCCCAGCCACTCAGGAGGCTGAGAGGCAGGAGAATCACTTGAACCCAGGAGGCGGAGTTTGCAGTGAGCCGAGATTGCGCCACTGCACTCCAGCCAGCCTGGGGGACAGAGAGAGACTCCGTCTCAAAAATAAATACATTAATTAATTAAAAAAGAAGGGATGAGCCTCAAGGAGTGATTGGGCAGAGAGAACAATCGCAAGGGTCTAAGCCCGGGAGCTTGGATTGACAGCACCATGGAGACACATAGGAAAGCCAGGAAAAGATGCCTGTTTAATGGGGACGATGAGGAGACTGATTTTAAATTAGCTGTTACTAAAAAAATTACATTTATCAGATTTTTTATTTTGTGGAAGTAATCAATGTTCACTGTAGAAATTTTAGAACATACAGATAATAATAAAGAAGAAAATCAAAATCAACCATAATATCACTCTCCAGAGATAAACACTCTTAATTTTATTTATTTATTTATTTATTTATTTATTTATTTATTTATTTATTAGAGATGGAGTTTCTCTCTTGTTGTCCAGGCTGGAGTGCAGTGGCACAATCTCGGCCCATGGGTTCAAGCGATTCTCCTGCCTCAGCCTCCGGAGTAGCTGGGACTACAGGTGTGCACCACCACGCCCAGGTAATTTTTGTATTTTTAGTAGAGACGGGGTTTCACCTTGTTGGCCAGGCTGGTCTTGAACTCCTGACCTCAAATGATCCGGCCACCTCGGCCTCCCAAAGTGCTGGGATTACAGGAGTGAGCCACCATGCCCAGCCACTGGTGACTTTTAGAATCCTTATTTCTTTTGTATCTGTTACCCAGTGTCCAATACACCTAAATTAACTGAGGAGTTTGGGAAAGAAGGGACATAGAACCTGGTCAATGTGTTTTTCTTGCTAACTGGGATTTAAGCAGCAAACTTTTTGTCTCAATCCCTGTAGCTAAGAAAGCTTCAAAAATGTATTTGTGGCCAGGCACGATGGCTCACGCCTGTAATCCCAGCACTTTGGGAGGCCGAGGCGGGTGGATCATGAGGTCAGGAGTTTAAGACCAGCCTTGCCAACATGGTGAAACCCCGTCTCTACTAAAAATACAAAAATTGGCTGGGCGCGGTGGCAGATGCCTGTAGTCCCAGCCACTCGGGAGGCTGAGTTAGGAGAATCACCTGAACCCGGGAGGCAGAGGTTGCATTGAGCCGAGATCACGCCACTGCACTCCAGGCTGGGCGACAGAGTAAGACTCTGTCTCAAAAAAAAAAAAAAAATGTATTTGTATAGTTCCTACTTTAGGAAATCCTGTCTGGCAAACACTATGCACCCTTGCTTTGATGAATCTTATAAGATGTCAAGGTCATCATTATGAGTATCAGTCCGCATTGTTCAGAGTTAAATACGCAAAGGTAGGAAGGACAGAAGGACACAACATTGAACTGAATGTACACTGACCCCAGCACAGCCCCTGGAAGTTTCTCCCCTCCTCTCTCACTAAATCTCTGATATCTTATCTCTTTCCTCTTTCTCCTTAAGGTGGCCTGATTAATTGAGGGCCTGATTACTTTGATTGCAGTTAATTGAATGTTCCTTGACTACAATGTGCACGAGAGGAGATGGAACCGGCAACTTGGCCCAGCATGTCTGACAGTAAATCTCAAGTTTTCATCTTTAGTAGCAGGTGGTGCCATATTACCATACTGAAGGCCTGAACTGAGATGCTGGAATGGCCAAAGTCACCATTTTAAATTGCACTTCTCTCATAACCCTGCAACCTCCTCTCAGAATCTGTACAAAGATCTATTACAAGGAAATTTATTACAGCACAGTTTATAATGCTGAAAAAAAAAACCCAACCTAAATGTCCAACAATAGGAAAATATTTAACCAAATTATGGTACACGCATATTCTGGAATATTCTACATCCATTAAGAAGCATGTGGGTAGTTCTGTATGTACTGATGTGAGTATCTCCAAGACATATTATAAAACAGAAAACAGAAGTTATAGGGCGACTGTAATAAAATAGAAGAAAATGGAAGTTATTACATGACTGTAATCCCAGCATTTTGGGAGGTCGAGGCAGGTGGCTCGCTTGAGCCCAGGAGTTTGAGACCAACCTGGGCAACACAGCAGAATCCCGTCTCTACAAAAAATACAAAAATTAGCCAAGTGTGTTAGCACACACCTGTAGTCCCAGCTACCCAGGAGGCTGATGTGGGAGGATTGCTTGAGCCCGGTAGGTCGAGGATGTAGTGGGCCAAGATTGTGCCACTGCACTCCAGCCTGGGCAACAGTGAGACCCTGTCTCAAAAAAAAGAAAGAAAAAAAAAAGAAAATAGAAGTTGTAAACTATAAGCACAATATGAGCCCATATATGCCCCAGAAGCCCTGTAGATGTGTATTTGCACGTAAATGTATGTGGATGCATAGAAAGAAGACTGAAAATACAGCCACCAAACCCACAATCGTAGCTACCTCAGGGGAGGGGGATGGAAATAGGGGCTCAGTCAAGGGAGTAGTCGGTATGCTTCCCTATTGTTTGACTCTTTTATAGCACGAATGTATTCGCATGTTACCCATGTAATTTTAAAACATTTTTAATATAAGAAAGAAGAGTTCTCACTCAGCTTTGCAGCAGGGGTAATTAGGATGCAGAGAGTCTGAGAGGAGCTAAAAGGAAGGCAAAATGAAAGAGTGCTCCTGAGAACTGGGAGAGCGCCCCACTCCCCTCCCCAATTACATTTCCTGTTTTCTCCTCATCTGCAGTCACCTGTGGTTTTTAAATACGTTATACCACATTTCATATCACAGGCAGAAACACTGCTCTCTTTCTCTTCTGCCTCCTCTCCTGAGGACACACCAATTTCGTTTTTTAATTGAATATTCGTAAGGTTCATATTATCAAGAACAAGTTATGGTGGTTCCAGCTGCGCATCTTTCTCTCATTGCTGTTACTGAAAATAAAGAGTCCCTTAAGCACCCGAGTAGGCCACCTCTGTCCCCCACTCCCCTTGGCCCCTCTTCCAACCTCTGTGATAGTAAGCAAGCCGTATTTGAGGCCTCTGGGAACTGAGGGTGCATCTGTGTCAATGGAGAATTTCCCGCCTCTGTTTCAAACCAGGGTGGCTAAATTAGTAGCTGTCATTCTAAAGAATAAAAGCAAAAAGTTTGAAACTCATTGCTGATGACTAGGCTGTCCCTAAACTTTCTCCTCTGGCCATTCCCATCCAAATACTAGGAAAGCGGCCAGGTACGGTGGCTCATGCCTGTAATCCCAGCACTTTGGGAGGCCAAGGCGGGCAGATTACTTGGGGCCAGGAATTCGAAACCAGCCTGGCCAACACTGGGAAAACCCGTCTCTACTGAAAATACAAAAATTAGCCAGGCTTGGTGGCTCATGCCTGTAGTCCCAGCCAGTTGGGAGGCTGAGGCAGGAGAATCGCTTGAACGCAGGAGGCGGAGGTTGCAATGAGCTGAGATCGCACAACTGCACTCCAGTCTGGGCAACAGAGGGAGACTCTGTCTCAAAACAAACAAACAAACAACAACAACAAAAATGCTAGGAAAGAAAAGAAACACTGAAACCGGACTCTCTTCAGTCACCTACTGGTGGGCCCAAGCTCTCACACCTCCCTTTTCTCCATTTCCACTCTCAGCCCTGAACACTGATGTCTGAAAGACCGTGCAAATCTCCAAGACTATGAATCATCGGTTCAGTGATACATGATGGAATATTAAGCAGCTGAGAAAAATGTTTTCTAAGAATATTTAATGACAAAAGGAAATGCTCACCAAAGGCAAACAACAACAGGAAAACCAACCTGTATACACAGGGTCATCCCAATGATGGGGGAAAATACACATTTTTTAAAAGATTAGAAGAACACATGCCAAAATAATGTCAGTGATTTCTTTTGGGTAGAGAGGTTGTAGGTGATGTTGCTTTTCTGGGTTTTCCAAATGTTCTACAATAGGCATATTTTACTTTTATAAACAGGGAAAATGTTACTTTTTTAAAAAAGATTCTATGATGATACTTTCCTGGGTAGGAAAGTGGCCTCAGGTATTTTAGAAAAATATTGAACTACAACCAAAAAGGTGCCTGACAATTTGGGTCATCAGAGCATTTAGCTTTCAGGCAGTTTTATTGTATATAAAACATTTATTTTACCAGAAATACAATAAAACCCTATTAGTCTCCTTATTATAACTTCTTTTTTTTTTTTTTTTTGAGACAGTGTCTCACTCTGTCAACCAGGCTGGAGTGCAGTGGCGCGATCTCAGCTCACTGCAACCTCTCCCTCCTGGTTTCAAGCGATTCTCCTGCCTCAGCTTCCTGAGTAGCTGGGATTACAGGTGTGTACCACCACACCCAGCTAATTTTTGTATTTTTAGTTTAGTAGAGATGGGGTTTCACCATGTTGGCCAGGCTGGTCTAGAACTCCTGACTTCAGGTGATCCACTCGCCTCGGCCTCCCAAAGTTCTGGGAATATAGGCGTGAGCCACTGTGCCCAGCCCCCTTATTATAACTTATTATTACATATTATATATATAACTTATTGTCATACAGTATAATTTCTTATTATAATGATTCATGTGAACCAGAAGTCAAATCATATATCCTGAAACATGTAGCAAAAAGTCTTGATGAAACAATCAGGTAGCTGATAGCTTCCTCTGCTGCCTCCAATGCTGCCAAGGATGCCGCTGTATTATGTCATAAGAACCACAAAAGCACTGATAAGTTCCCAGAGGTTTTTTTTTTTTTTTTTTTTTTCTGAGATGGAGTCTCACTCTGTCTCTCTCAGGCTGGAGTGCGGTGGCACGATCTCAGCTCATTGCAACCTCCGTCTCCAGGGTTCAAGTGATTCTCCTACCTCAGCCTCCCGAGTAGCTGGGATTACAGGCGCCCACCACCACATCCAGCTAATGTTTGTATTTTTAGAAGAGACGGGGTTTTGCCATATTGGCCAGGCTGGTCTCGAACTCCTAACCTCAGGTGATCCGCCCGCCTCAGTCTCCTAAAGTGCTGGGATTACAGGTGTGAGCCCCCGCACACAGCCAAGTTCCCACAGGTTTTAAAAACAATTCTCAAATGCATCCAACACATCAAATATCAGAATGTCCCTCATGCTAATTAAGCCAGGCTAAGAGGAAACTGAGTAGTAGCAATGCCCTATCCTGGGAAAGAGAAATGTGGGGGCTGTTCTAAGGAGAAATAAGGCCTGCAAAAGCTGGCAGCACCCCCAAGGGGCCTCAGAAATGCCCTTCAGTTGGGGAGCAGTTGTGCTGAAGAAGCACAAGACAGACTATCCTTACCAGACAGAGGAGGAGGCCCATTTTTGGCAAATCCAATAGATGAAACTGATTTTAATACACAAGATAAATTCCAGAGTGGCTTTTCATTCTATAAAAGGATTCACAGCAGGATTCCATTAAGTAGCCGGCTCTTCTACTGCATTGAAAGCAGGATTCAATAGACAAACATTCAGCTGTCATGTACCTTTATAGGAAGACAATAGCTATCTACACCTACATGGACAGGCAATATCTGAAGGGTTGTTTCTGTTCCACTTACCGAGAGCCTGCTGAGCTAAAAGCATAGATCGACCTTCCCTACGACTCTCTCCCCACCCAGCTCAAGGGGTCAAAGCAGGGAAGGGGTGGGGTTCAATTCTGCCACCTCATTCGGAAGCAGACGCAGGCAAGGACCTAAAAGAAATGAGGCTGGAGAAAAAGGAAACATAAGCACCATACAATGTTAGAGCTGGAAACGCCCTTAAAGATCACCTAATCCAGCCCTTTCGTTTCACAAAAGGGGAAACAGAGACTCACAGAGAGGAAGTGACTTGGCTCACGTCACAGACTGATTTAGTGACAGAGAATAGTGCTAGGATCCAGGCCCCTGTCGAGCCAACGGCCACTCTCAAATGGAAAAGCTGACTCAAGTGGCACATGTGTTTCTTTAGACTGGTAAAATTCCGGGACATTGAGCTTCTGGCTTGATGCTGGTCAGGGGCAGAAGGGTCAAGGAACCGAATCTGGAAACCCGTGAGCTCCCCAAGGTGGTTCTGGCCCACAGAAGGCAACTGAAGCAGTCAATGCGGTGGAAGGCACTCATTGTGTGTTCCTGCTCTCTACTCACTTCCCCACTTTTTCCTCCTGTTTCCCTCTCTTTTGACTGCGGCCTAAGTCTCAGCCTGGCCAGCTGCCCAGTTCTGCTGAAGAACCCCAAGACTAACACAAGCCTAAGTCTAGGTCAAATATCCCCACCTCAGGCCAGGGGTGACCCTTGCTCAGGGTGAGTGAAACTTTCCCACAAAAGCCAGCCAGATTCCCTGGAAGCCAGACAATTGAAAGAGAGTTTTCTAGGTGTTCTGGCTATTGTTACCTCCAATCTGCTAAAAAAGAAAAGGTTTACCCACAGGCCTCTGGGTGAATGCCCAACTGCCCTCTGGGGAGCCTGAATTTGCCTCTGCCTCCATCTGGTCTTGTTTAATGGGGATCTGAAAAAAACCCAGTTCCTGCCTCAGCGCCAGTGTTCAGAGCTGGGGGCCTCCAATGTGAAAGGAAACCGAACACGACCTCACACCTCATCAGGGCCAGGAAAACAGAGTTCTGCCCCGTTACCCCAGGGCCTTCATTCCGGGTCAGAGAGGGCCATGGCAGGGGAAACCTGAGCCCTGAGGCCTCTCGCTGAGAAGGCCTGCAGATCTTTTCCCTGGTCACCTTTAAGTGAGTGGAAGGGCCGGCTGAGAGCGCGCTGCATAATTCAGCAGATGGCTGCCTCTAATGAGAAGACACTGAAGAAGAGGATAACATTATTTCTCACCCTCCTGAGCATGTGGCCTCCTTCCTCTGTGCAGGCGGCAGAGAAACCCACGGTTTCAAATCCCAGCAGCAGAAGCCTCCTCCTGCCAAACTGAGGAGGAAGGGTCTGTGTTTCTAATTTATTCTGCGCCCCCCACTCCAGTTGTTACTTAAAATAATCCATCATTACATGGCTGGTGGCTCCAAGATTTTTATTTAAAGCAATATGGAGAAGAAAAAATAAAAAAGAAAACCCACACAACCCGTGACTGTGCTATATTGGATTTAAGCTGAGAATCTTTTTAATATCAGAGAGTCTCCGAATCACCCTAGTATACTCTTCCCTGGGCCCTATGGGAGTGCTGAGGGAGTGTAGTGAAAAGAGGGGGAAGAGAGGTCATGGCAGGATTTTGATGTCTTAGAAACATCATGAAAAGACAAGTGTTTTTAAACAAGGAATCTGTGTCATCTGGTGGGTGTTTAATCGTATCACCCACTGACCAGCAATAGCACTTCGGACTAAGTAACTTGGTCTCCCTACACCCATTAAATAAAGGGAACAGTAATACTTGTCCAGGAAGCCATTGGGGAAAATGAAATCATACAGATGGAAGCATTTCGAGATCGTTGAAAGAAACATGTTATATATATCCATGGCTTTCCTTCTTTCCTTCTTTTTCCTTCTTTCCTTCTTTCTTTCTTTCATCTGTCTTTTTTTTTTTTTCTTTTTTGAGACGGAGTCTCACTCTGTCGCCCAGGATGGAGTGCAGTGGCACAATCTCGGCTCACTGCAAGCTCCGCCTCCCGGGTTCACGCCATTCTCCTGTTTCAGCCTCCAGAGTAGCTGGGACTACAGGCACCCGCCACCACGCCCGGCTAATTTTTTAATTTTTAGTAGAGATGGGGTTTCACCGTGTTAGCCAGAATGGTCTGGATCTCCTAACCTCATGATCTGCCCGCCTCGGCCTCCCAAAGTGCTGGGATTACAGACGTGAGCCACCGCACCTGGCCTCATCTGTCTTGAATGTAGTTTTAATGTACATGCAACTAAAAGCCCTTCTCAATTGTTCATGCTAATATTAAACCATGGCTCTGATCATCCAAAAACCCAGGCAAGTCCAGAAATCAGCCCTACTTAGTTTGGGAATACCTTTTTCCAGAGGACTTATCTTCCTAATTGGCTTTGCTCAGGCTAATGCAATAGGTTTGCTCCCTTATAGCACACAAAGGCAGTGGCCATGCTTGGTAACAAAGCCAGCAATTAATAGAAAATTTACAGCAGAGACTCCACAAAGTAAATGCTATGCACATGACTGCAGATCAAAATCTCATTAGATGATACAGACAAATCACTCTGCTATAATGTAGTTTTGTATTAAGAACACCGCTAACACTCACATTTCCAGGATTTAGGATGTAAAAAGGAAACAGGGCTTATTCCTGCCTTTCATCTGGAAGCTGTGAGAGGGCAGAGTTCCTGCGTGCCTTGGCCACCACTATATCCTCAGCACCTGGCACGGGGCCTGGCCGATCAGTGCCCAGTGAATATGTGCTGAAGGAATGAATGAAAATAAAAGTGGGTGAATTGGCAAATGAAATGTTCCCAACCCAGTAGCAGATGTGAGATCTCACCCACCTTCACACCTACCCATTTCCTATTTGAAGCCCTCAGGAAGCCCTTCCTGTCACCCTCTGCCTCCATTCATTGCTGAGTTAGGTTCCCTTAGTAATGAAATCTCATGGCAGGCAGTCACTCTCCTGTGTAGCACTTATCACAAAGATAATTAGATAGTGATTTGTGTCTGCCTCCACCAGTTCCTTGAAAGAAGGGACCATGTGCATTTGGGGGACATTGTCATTCTGCCCGCTTTTTATTTTGAAAAATCCCAGGCCGGGCGCTGTGGCTCACACCTGTAATCCCAGGACTTTGAGAGGCCAAGGTGGGCAGATCACGAGGTCAGGAGTTCGAGACCAGCCTGGCCAACATGGTGAAACCCTGTTTCTACTAAAAATACAAAAATTAGCTGGGCACGGTGGTGCACACCTGTAATCCCAGCTACTCGGGAGGCTGAGGCAGGATAATTTCTTGAACCCAGGAGGCGGAGGTTGCAGTGAGCTGAGATCGCGCCACTGCATTCCAGCCTGGGCGACAGAACAAGACTCCATCTCGGGGAAAAAAAAAAAAAAAAGGAAAAGAAGAAAAGAAACATCCCAAACACACAGAGAAGTTAGAAAATAATGTAATGACTGTCCAAAAACCCCTCAAATTTAGAATCAACATTTTTAAATATTTAGGGCCATGTAAACTTTCTTCCGTGTTGTATCACCAATAGAGCTAGGTAATAGGGTTTTGTTTTCTATGTTTGAGGTACGATACTACCTTTAGTGGGTGGTGGTAGGAACGCCTGAAGCAGAGACCTCAAAGGGAATCAAAGGGTAACTGCCACGTGATGATAGCAAAACCAGAGTGCAGCAGCAATCTTTTCCCCACCTGAAGACAGTTGCTCTGAGACAGTTGACCCAGACCAACCCCAGCTAACTTTGTAGGGCAAAGTTAGCCCCTGAAAGTTCACTTGGGAGAATGACCACTACCTAGATTGCCACTAGAGAAAGCTTCATTGTTCACATTGTGGGACTAGTTCAAGCCAGAATCATCCAGATGCTCTTGGTATGGGCCGGCATTTACGGTCTGGATCCCAGAATGCAACATTGAAAGGAACAGCTCATTAAAAGAGCCAGCACATGCAGCTTTTGGGGCTTGCCCTGTGCCTTGGTTACCTTGGACAAGTCATGGAACCTCTCGAAATATATATTAATAGCAGCCCAAGCCACCTCATAGTCAGGGGGTGAGGTGGGGCATCACAAGGATCTTCTATAGTTCTTTAATTATTTCACAGTGTCCACAATTTGTCATTCCAACTAGACTATAAGCTTAAAAGCCACGAACTTTTTTTTGTTTTGTTTTTTGAGACGGATTCCCACTCTGTCGCCCAGGCTGGAGTGTAGTGGCACGATCTCGGCTCACTGCAAGTGCCGCCTCCCAGGTTCACACCCTCAGCCTCCACAGTAGCTGGGACTACAGGTGCCCGCCACCACGCCTGGCTAATTTTTTGTATTTTTAGTAGAGATGAGATTTAACCATGTTAGCCAGGCTGGTCTCGATCTCCTGACTTTGTGATCCACCCACCTCGGCCTCTTTTTTTTCTTTTTTGAGATGGAGTCTCGCTCTGTTGCCCAGGCTGGAGTGCAGTGGTGCAATCTTGGCTCACTGCAACCTCTGCCTCCAGGGTTCAAGCGATTCTTCTGCCTCAGCCTCCTGAGTAGCTGTGATTACAGGCACGCACCACCACGCCTGGCTAATTTTTGTATTTTTAGTAGATACGGGGTTTCACCATGTTGGCCAGGCTGGTCTCGAACTCCTGACCTCATGATCTGCCCACCTCAGCCTCCCAAAGTGCTGGGATTACAGGCATGAGCCACCAAGCCCAGTCCGATCACGAACGTTTTTTAAAGCCTGCTACCTTTTTTTGTCCAGTTGACAAGGGCTAACCATAGTGCTGGCCACATATCAGTCAATCAAGTAAATATGGACACAGTGGAGAAATGGTGTTGTCACACCAAACCGTTTGTGGTGTTCATTCAAATGGGACGGACTTGTATTATGTGCACCAGAATTGAACTTCCAAGTTGGCTGCGTGCAATGTAAGCCCTACCCAACAACTTGAAGGCTTGTTTTAGTCACTAAGGATGTTTACCCACAGTGACTCTCAACTGATTCTAGAAAGAACACACCCCCCACATACATACACATACACACACACACACACACACACACACACACACACACACACTAGGGCACTTACTCGCATGGTACCACGTCTCAGAGCTCATTAAAAAGAATTCCTGGCCGGGAGCAGTGGCTCATGCCTGTAATCCCAACACTTTGGGAGGCTGAGGCGGGTGGATCACAAGGTCAGGAGTTCGAGACCAGCCTGGCCAACATGGTGAAAACCCCCCTCTACTAAAAATATCAAAACTAGCCAGGTGTGGTGGCGGGTGCCTGTAATCCCAGCTACTCGGGAGGCTGAGGCAGGAGAATCGCTTGAACCTGGGAGGCTGAGGTTGCAGTGAGCCGAGATCATGCCACTTGCACTCCAGCCTGGGCAACAGAGCAAGACTCCGTCTCAAAAAAAAAAAAAAAAAAAAAAAAGAATTCCTAAGCTAGCCACACTTAGGTTTATTCTCTAGTCTTCTGTTCCCAAACCCTGAATACATGTTCCTTGGAGGAAACAAGCAGCAACCAGATGTCCAAGGTCTCCTGAGTTAACTCCGTCTTCCCTGGTGAATTACAACTTATTGCAGACACAAAGGAGAACAGAGAGACAAATGACACATAAACAGGAGCTTCACTGGCTGGGGGAGGGGGGCATGGAGAGTGACGTCAGTTTTCCCAGAAACCCATTTATCACGATAACAAGGTCTCGAGTGCTTAGGCTGCTCTTTCAGCTTCAGAATCTGGCGTACAATTATGTTCTTCATCATACAGTATGGCAAGGCCAGCCAGAGCAAACTGGAGCCATGCAAAGCAAACCAAGTGGCCCTAAAGCACCCCCTCACCCCCATCTGCAGAACAAAGGGCATCTCTAGGTTGCCTGAGTTGTGCCTGAGGTGAAACACACACAACCTTCTGGAATGTTCCCCATTGCAACATCTGCCCTGCAATCCTAATCCAGGCAAGAGAAACTGGTGAGAGTATGGAGGACAGGTCGATGCAAATTCATTAGCTGACATGAAAAATCATTAGCGTCATTTTTGGATGGAGCTAGTGTAATCCCAGAGATTAATTCCTCTACTTCAGCTATACCATCTCTGAAATGCAGGTAACCAGGAGCAGAAAAGCCACAGCAGAAAAGAGGGAGCCCTCAAAACACTAAAGCAATAAACAACGAGAGTGCCAATCTTGGGGGAAGAAAATTCTCTCAAATTGCATCATCACAGAGAATGTCCCCTGTCTACTCCTGGTCCTTCCACAACATGACTGCATAAAGTGCTCTGTGCTAGGGTGTGCAGGGGGTGGAGGAGGTTCCGAAGAAATGATCCTGCCCTTCCAAACAGGGACAAAAGAGACATTAATACATATTCTGTAGAGAAAATATTATCAGATTCTGGCTTCAGATTTTGTAAAATCAATTTCAATTACACCAAATACCTAGAGGCTTTTTTTTTGTACTGTAGTTGCATTGCATGAACTATTTTCCTAAATAAGTAAGCTACAAGGTTGAAAAACATTTTTATGTGGTTCAGAGATTTTCGTCAAGTAGTATGTGGTGTCATGGGATTTGACCTACCTCTGTCTCCCACTCCTTCCTCACCTCGGGGTGCTGGTGGGCTTATTAAAGTCCCAGATACCCATGGATGAATAGAATAGCTAGGGTGTCCCCCCCAAATGGAATTCATCGCCCTTTGCAACCAAACTTCTGGTTTAAAAAACAAACATGGAGCCTCAGGTCACTTCAACATGGTTTCTCTGCACATCCCAGGCTGGAAAACTTCAGTTCTTTAAATGAAGATTTTTTTTTTCCCAGAGTCGGTCGCCAACAAAAAAAGAGACGGCACCGCTTTTGCGAGTCTCACACTTATTTTCCTGAGTCTCCATAGAAAGAAGCCAGCTCCACAGGTTTTGGCACACAAGCCCAGTTACACTGAACATGCACCCGAGACAGATCCTCAGAGGCCCGCTCCAAAACATGCCAAAATACGCAGCCAGCCACCTACAGGCCAGCCAACTGCACCCCACACTGACGCACAAATGAGACCCAGAGGCACACAGCACAAGCAGACAGAGAGGCGTTCGGACACACACCACAGAGGTGAGCACACTCAGAGAAACACGCGGACTTCTTTGGGTCACAGACAGAACCCCGGCGCCGCCGCCGCCCGCCCGGGAAGACACGAGCGCGCGCGCGTGCACACATACGCGCACACCGATACACACACAGACGCAGTCACATATGTAATGCATATAGAGAAACCCTATCCCAGCCAGTCACCTCCCCGCCCCCCTCGCCACTCACCGCCTTCTGCCCCAGGCTAACCCCAGCCCCGCGCCTCTTTGCCTGTGCGGTCCCGGGTCACAACGGGCAGCCGTGCGCAGGGGCGCGGCAAGGCCAGGGTGCCAGGGACCCGGAGGGCTCGGCGGCTCCTACGGCCATTCATTCGGCAACGCCCCAGCCGTGGGGCCGCAGCTGCAGCGAGGGAGGCGGTGGCGCTCACTGCGGCTCTTGGGCAATGCAAGTTCAGCCGCCGGCCCGCAGGTTTTGCCTGCCCCCCTGCCGCCCCCCGCCCCCCGCGCGCCACCACCGTTTTCCGGGACAGGCTGAGGGACTGAGCTGCTGACCCCGGGAGCAGAAGTCCCACCGTGCCCTTGGCTCCTGGATGCTGCCCACTGCCCTCCTCGCGATGTGGCGGCGGCGGCCAGGTCTCCTTGACCCTCACCAGGCCCTCGGCCCCGGCCCTGGCACCCAAGCTCTGCACTTACCACCTGGCGAGCTATATCGGTCGCTGCCATCGCTCCTGCGTCCGCCAGGGCTGCCACGGGTGCCGCCGCAACGGGAGCTACTGCACAGGAAACAGAGGAGCTCCTCCGACAAAGAGAAAGTGTTACACTTCGGGCGCGACCAAGTCCGGTGGGGGGAGGTGCAAGGGAGGGGCCCCCTCGCCGCTGCTCCAACCCCAACCTCCCCTCTACCGCCCACCCCTTGAAAGTAGGGTATGGAGAGGGGGCGGATTTAACGCGCCGCTTCCCCCTATGGCCAGACCAGTTCCAGTTCTTCCTGCAACCCCAGCCATAGGCTTCTACGAAGGGGGGCGGGGGCTCCCCTCGGTGACCACGTCCTCTGCCCCCCCCGCCACTTGGCTCCGTGGTACGTCCCGACCTCTGCTGAATTGTCACACCCCCCTGCTCTCCTTTACATCCCTAAGTCCCCAGACCCCGAAGGCTGGAAGGGAGCCCCCGCCCCTCCCCCCTCCCATACTCTGCTCAGCGGCCGAGCTCTGCAGTTCTCCTCCCGGCCCCCGTTACCCCCCTTCCTTTCCACCGAGATCCCAAGGTGCTTAGATGGGTGCGCCTTGGCCGCTGGAGTCTCGATGCCCCACTGTCGTGTCTCCCTCCCTCCATGGCCCGGGAGCGCAGCTGCGGCCGAGGTACCGGGGAGGCCTGCGGCACCTGCCGCTCCACAGTAGAGCTTAGAAAGGGGGCCCGTGGGGGGAGCCGCACTGCAGCCCGGCAACTGAGCTGAGCTGTGGCATGTGGGGTCCGAGGCTAGAGGTCTTGAGACGCTGCTTCTGCCCTGGGGTTTCCAAGCCTTGGGTGCTGTGGGCTGTAATTTCGTGGAGCCAAGCTCACCACCTTTGGGTACCTAGTACAGACGGAACCCACGCCTCCTCTCTCCGACCCAGCCCTAGACGCTCAGCAAGACCACCCACCCCTTCTAGTACCAGAGGAAGGGCTGGAGATGAAGGTTCTCAGCTCTATGGAGCGAAATGGAGGGGCGGGTGACGGGGAGCGGCCTCCAGTCACTCTGTCCCGCCCCCTGATTTCTCCTTGACCCTCATTCAGCCCGGGACAAGGCGGCCAATAGGGCGCAGAGGAGAGAACTTCCGAAGGCAGGGGTGCGCCCGCCCGCCCTCCTTATCCCCGTGGCCCACCTCCGCGGGTCCTCTCTCGTGGGCACCTCTCCACTTCTCCGGCCTTGGCGCCCTCCCCTCTCTCTTGGGACTGGCCTCTTGCTAGCTCCCTGTCACTGGAGCACGCTGGCAGATTTGGCATGCCCGAGGCCCCAGCGGGAGGGACAGTACATTCCACTCCTCAAAAGGGCAGGTTCCCTGGTGTGGGAGAGAGACCTGGGCCCGCCAGAGGGACCCCAGATGGGGGAGGGGATGACAAGGCTATGGAGGAAACCCGGGCCCAAGAGGGGGCCCCAATGGAGCATGGAAGATGACCCCGTAAAGGCCCAAGGCTGGAGCAGCTGAGGAGGAGGCAGGAGAGAGGGAAAAAGAAAAGAAGGAACCAGGGAGAGAGAGGAAGAAGGGACTCGATCCAGAGGCCCTGGTCTCGGAGAAGTCAGGGAAGACAAGAAAATGGAGTAGCCAAAGAAGAGCATGCCTGGCACTTGGTTCCACCTGCTGGATGGAGCTTCTCACACTCTCTCGGGAAGCCCTTTATGTATGTACCCTGTGCGCCTGGAGAACAAGGACTCAGCAAACGCATCCCAGGGCCGAGTGCAGGGCCTCGCAGTCAGGAGGCACTCTATTAAGCTGAGGGCAGAGAACTTGGATGCGTGCGAGGGGGGCGGGGAGAAGAAAGAAGAGACACAGTGAGGGAATAGCAGTAAGGACAGTCATGAAGAGCCAAGTATTCAGGGAGCGCCACTGTGCGCCTTCATTGTGCTGGAGACCCAGGAGCGGCCTAAAGAGAAGAGCCTGGCAAAATCAGGGATCAGCGCAGAGGAGCTCCGCGAGACAGAAGGCGCAGGCCATAGGGCGGATGGCGGTGGCAAGGAAGAGGGGCAGCTGGAGTCTTTCAGACTCTCTGGAGCTTTGGGGCAGGGCCTGAGCCCTGGACTGGGTTGGCAGTGACACGGGGGACCAGTGCTATATCTGAGGAACCACGGTGAGGCTTGGGCCCCAACCGCATGGGGGCGGGGAGTCAGAGGTGACTGGCGGCTTCCAGGCTGGGTGTCTGGGACAGGGCTCTTCCCTGGCAAAGGCTAGGGCGTGGTGGACTGAAAGGCCCCGAGGTCACTAGCCCCGATCTGGACTTGGGGTTTGGGTGGTGGTGGGACAAAAGGGGAGAATTTGGAAGCCAGAGCAGAAAGCTGCTGCCGGAACGGGAGGGGACTGGAGGGCTGCGGGTCTCCCGGGAGAATCCCCCACGCACTGCCCCGCCCGCCTTAGCACTCCTCGCGGACTGAAGCTCCGTACTTACCGGCCCAGCGCTGGGGGCACCTGAGCACGGAATCCTTGGTGTCTCATCCATATGCCCCATTCGGCCCTCCTGTCCCTAGAGACTACCAGAACCTCACTGCGTCCTCCTCCTCCAAAACGCTGAACCTCGAAGACCTGAACTAAGTGCTTAATTCAAGTCTCCTGGGACCCTTTGGTTCCTCCAATACCTGCCCACCTGCGGCTACAAGTCCCTCCTGGGGCCTGGGCCTCCAGCCTCCTTCGGTGGGGTGTGGGTCAGTGTGTGTGTTGGTCTTGATGTGTGAGTAGATGTGTCGGTGTGTTCGTGTGTATTGTCAGTGTGTGCTAGCTGTGTGTCTGTATATCTGTGTGTCAATGTGTGTGTTGGCATGTGTTGGTGTGTCAGTGTATTTCAATGCATGGTGAGTGTATGTGTGTCAATATGGAGAGAGGTGTTAGCTCACTAGCTTTACATACCTTATCTCACTCAGTGCAGTGGGCCGACGACTGAGACGTGTGAATCAGAACATTCATTTCAATAAAGAGGTTTGGAAACTCTCTGGGATCATGCCTTTCTTTTTTTTTCCTTTTTTATTTTTTTTTTGAGACGGAGTGCTCTGTCATCCAGGCTGCAGTGCAGTGGCGTGATCTCTACTCACTGCAACCTCTGCCTCTTGGGTTCAAGCAATTCTCTGCTGCAGCTGGGACTATAAGCGCCCACCACCACGCCCAGCTATTTTTTTTTTTTTTTTTTTTTTGTATTTGCAGTAGAGACAGGGTTTCACCATCTTGGCTAGGCTGGTCTTGAACTCCTGACCTCGTGATCCACCTGCCTCGGCCTTGCAAAGTGCTGGGATTATAGGTGTGAGCCACCGCACCCGGCCTGAAATCATGCCTTTCAGTCTTTGTCCCGGGTCACCTTCCCAAGAACAGGGGAGATGGAAGGGCTGAGGAGGCAAGAGGGCTCATGAGTGGTCAGTTCGTGAGTTTTCTTCCTTGAATGTCTGTCCTCGTTGATGAGTGAAGCCAAAAGATTCCCCTTTATGAAGAGTCATTTGGGACTCCCGGGCGCTTCCATGAACATGTATGTGCTCATGTTTGATGTTTCCTTGTGGGGTCCCTTGGGCCCAGCATGGTGTCTGGCAGGTGTTCAATCAATGTTTGTTGAGTAAAGGAATGAACAGAAGCATGTAAATGAGGTGGCTTCAGTATTTCCATGTCCTTAAAGAAGCTGCAACAAACAGAGACTTCCCAGGGGCAAGCAGGTGGCTGTCATTAGCATGCCAATGTTTGTGGAGCCAGACTCTACTGCCTGGGAGCAGAAATGGCTACCCCTGCTAGATAAGAGTGGGCCCTAATTGGAGCCCAGCTTTCCACAGGTCACTGCTGGAGTTGGGGGTGCTAATACTGGATAGAGGAGCAGCAAGCAACTCAGGGGCAGGGAGGGAGAAGAGGGCACTGAAATGGAGCTAAGAGGTCAGGAAAGGGCTTTGTCCTGAAACTGTGGCTTTGTGATAGGAGAACGAGAAAGATGGTAGAGTCAGTCTCAAGTGGAGAAGCCCTGAGAACCATCTGAAAAATAAGATCAGAAAGTTGGAGGAGGGGCCGGGCGTGGCGGCTCATGCCTGTAATCCCAACATTTTGGGAGGCTGAGGCAGGTGGATCACTTGAGGTCAGGAGTTCGAGACCAGCCTAGCCAACATGGTGAAACCCCCGTCTCTACTAAAAATACAAAAATTAGCCGGGTGTGGTGGCGCATGCCTGTAGTCCCACCTACTTGAGGCAGGAGAATTGCTTGAACCTGGGAGGTGAAGGTTGCAGTGAGCCGAGATTGTGCCACTGTACTCCAGCCTGGGTGACAGTGCGAGACTCCATCAAAAAAAAGAAAGGGAGGGGGAGAGAGAGAGAGAAAAGAAAAGAAAAGAAAAGAAAGAGAAGAAAGTTGGAGGAGGAAGACAAGGTGAAGCAGGGAAAATGATCCGGGATTCACCAAATCCAGACAGTGCCAATTAAATCAGAAACTCTGTGAAGGGGCTGAGTCAAAATGAACTAAAGATCCCTTTCCTCAATTCTGCATTATCACCTGCTGCCCCTGGTTTTGCTTTAGTTTCTTTCCAGTGTTTCTTAAAATGTGGCCTTTGAAGCATCAGCAGCATATGGGAAGTTATAAAAAATGCAAATTATTGGGCCCCACCCGAGACCTACTGAATCAGAACTTCTAGGATGGGACCCAGGAATCTGTATTTTAACAAGTGCTCCAGTGGATTCTGATTTATGCTGAAGTTTGAAGACCACTGGTTTATCTTGAAAATCTAGCCCTGATGGGTTGGGATACAGGACTGGTAAGGTTTGGTAGGATATTGAAGGAGAAGTTTGAAGGCCGGGCCATTGCCAATAATTGTAGATCTGTTGGATTTCTATGGTGGGAGGAGTGAGGGTATGGGAAAGGGGGTGCCAAAAAAGTAATAGAAGGGAACCCAGCAGGAGCTAGCTCACTAGAAGAGTTAGAAAGATAAACTTTGCCTCCCGATATGGTTAGGCTTTGTGTCCCCACCCAAATCTCATCTTGAATTGTAATCCCCATAATCCCTTTGTGTCAAGGGAGAGACCAGGTGGAGGTAGGGAAAGACCAGGTGGAGATAATTGAATCACGAGGTGGTTTCCCCCATGCTGTTATCATGATAGTGAGTGAGTTCTCACGAGATCTGATGGGTTTGTTTTTTTTTTGAGATGGAGCCTCAACCTGTCACCCAGGGTGGATTGCAGTGGCACAATCTTGGCTCACTGCAACCTCCGCCTCCAGGGTTCAAGCGATTCTCATGCTTCAGCCTCCCGAGTAGCTGGGATTACAGACGAGCGTCACCACGCCCAGCTAATTTTTGTATTTTTAGTAGAAAGAGTGTTTCACCATGTTGACCAGCCTGGTCTCGAACTCCTGACCTCAAGTGATCCGCCTACCTCAGCTTCCCAAAGTGCTGGGATTATAGGTGTAAGCCACTGTGCTTAGCCAGACCTCATGGTTTTATAAGGGACTCTTCCCCCTTCGCCTGGCCCTTCTCCTTCCTGATGCCTTGTAAAGAAGGTGCCTTGCTTCCCATTCACTTTTGGCCATGATTGTAAGTTTCCTGAGGCTTCCCCGGCCATGCTGAACTGCATTAAACCTCTTTAAATTACCCAGTCTCAGGCAGTTCTTTATAGCAGTATGAAAATGACTAATACACCTTCTTTGCAATTTTCATTCATTCCACAAATACTCACTAAATCTCAACTGCCAATTGCTAAGTGCCAGAGGACTCAAGAAAGAATAGGTGACAAGAACTCCTACCTTCACCTTAAGACACTCCCAGGACAGTTGCCAGATAGCTCTACAAACAACCAGTAATGTGATAAGTGATATAATTGGTCAGGAGCAACACCCTGGGGAGGAAGACACCCAGAGAGGTGAGGGAAGGTATCTCAAAGAAGAGCCATTTGGATTGAATCTTTAAGAATGAGTGGTGGTTTATCTGGCAGTCAAGAGGGGGCAGCAGAGAGAATAGCATGAGTAAAACCAGAAAGAAAGGGCAGAGAGCATTTCAGGAATTTTAACTCTTGGCCAGAGGGAGTGGTAGGAAGAGGGGACAGTGGCTATAAATGAGACTGGAAGATAAGATGGGGCTGGATCTGGAAGGATCAGGTTGGTCATACCAAGTTGCTTACACTTTTTGCTCCAGAATAGGGGTTCTCAAGCTCTGCTCTCCAGACAACGCCTGGAACTACGCCCAATGTAAATGGGATGCTCACAGTGCAAAAAAAAAAAAAAAAAAAAAAATCAGTTAATGGGTAGAAATTTCTCTATTTGAACTTTTTTTAACCATAAATTTTCCTAAATCTTTGACAGATGCTCCTGCTTATCTGCTAGCAAGTAACAAAAATGAATGAACAACTTGCCAACGAATATAAAACAGACAAACGCAGTACTAATCATGCTTAATTCAACAGTTTATTTTTTCACGGACATCTGTACTTGTGGCTATGATTTTATATTGCACACACATAATGTGGACATATTTTTAGCTAGCAGAAGTGTTCTTTTGAAAAGTGTTTTATTTCATATGGCATGATTTAATATATGAATTATTTCATTACATTCTGGAAAGAGCACCACCACATCCAGATGCTATGCCACCTGAACCAGTTGGAGAAACTATCCCTTAAATAGTGAGGAGTCACTGAAGAGTTTTGAGCAGGAGAGTGACTTGAACATATTTGCAATTTTTTTTTTTCTTGAGATGGAGTCTTGCTCTCTCACCCAGGCTGCAGTGCAGTTGCACGATCTCTACTCATTGCAACTTCTGCCTCCTGGGTTCAAGCAATTCTCCTGCCTCAGCCTCCCGAGTAGCTGGGACTACAGGCTTGTGCCATCAGGTCCAGCTAATTTTTGTATTTTTAGTAGAGATGGGGTTTCACCAAGTTGGTCAGGCTGGTCTCGAACTTCTGACCTCAGGTGATCCACCCGCCTTGGCCTCCCAAAGTGTTGGGATTACAGGTGTGAGCCACCATGCCTAGCCCATATTTGCAATTTTGAAAGGTCACTCTCTCTCCAGCTTGGGAAAAAGATTGGAACAGAAGGCGATTAAAGCAGTTAGGGGCCAGGTGCAGTGGCTCATGCCTATAATCCCAGCACTTTGGGAGGCTGAGGCAGGCGGATCACTTGAGCTCAGACGTTCAAGGCTGCAGTGAGCTATGATTGCACCACTGCACTGCCTGGGTAACAGAGTGAGACCTCAACTCTAAAAAAGAAAAATATGCAAGACTTGGGAGTGAGGACACTGCTGTAGCAGTTCAAGCAAGAAATGCTGGTGACAGCGACATGAGAGTGGAGTGGCATGGAAGGAATAGACTCAGCATTACAAGGGGCCACCCATTAAAGGTCTTGTGTGCCATTCTATGGATGCTGAAGTTTCAATGTGTAGGGAATAAAAGAGCCTTTGAATTCCTGTTTCTTAATGGGTGGTACCCAACCAGCTGCATCAGAATCACCTATAGTGTTCCTAACAGATGCAGGGCCCTAGAGCCCACCTCAGATCTGCTGAATCAGAATCTCTGTATGAGAGAAAGAATGTGGATTTGTACCAAGCACTCCAGGCGGCTCTGAGGCACATCAAAGTTGGAGAACTACTGCGTGAATGGTTATTGAGCAGTGGCATGACAGAGTGAGATCTATGTTTATGCAGATCACTTGAGTCACCACATGAAGAACTGATTGAATGAAGGTAAGACTAGAGGCAGGAAGCCGGGCGCGGTGGCTCACACCTGTAATCCCAGCACTTTGGGAGGCCAAGGCAGGTGGATCACGAGGTCAAGAGATCGAGACCATCCTGGCCAACACAGTGAAACCCCGTCTCTATTAAAAATACAAAAAAATTAGCCAGGCATGGTGGCACGCGCTGGTAATCCCAGCTACTTGGGAGGCTGAGGCAAGAGACTCGCTTGAACCTGGGAGTTGGAGGTTGCAGTGAGCCAAAAAAAAAAAAAAAAGACTAGAGGGAGACTAGTTAGCAGGGTACTGTAATAGTCCTCAGCTAGGCAAGACCTGGAACTCAAGAGAAGGCTGGGCTTCCCACCCACATCATGACATACTAGTTATCCTTATACCCTGGTTTATACACACTGATTTAGACAAACGATATAATTTTGTATTCCCCCAAACAACTGTTGTTTGCTCAGCAGTATTCCCAGAGCCATAGAGTACGATCTTGTAGAAAGTATTGAGCACCTGCCATATCTAGGACCCTCCACTAGGCACTGTAGTATGTATAAAGAAATATAAAGTCTAGGCCAGTGCGGTGGTTCACGCCTGTAATCCCAGCACTTTGGGAGGCTGAGGCGGGCGGATCACATGAGGTCAGGAGTTTGAGACCAGCCTGGCCAACATGGTAAAACCCCGTCTCTACTAAAAATACAAAAATTTCCTGGGCGTGGTGGTGCATGCCTATAATCTCAGCTACTCGGGAGGCTGAGGCAGGAGAATCACTTGAACCTGGCAGGGACAGAGGTTGCAGTGAGCCGAGATGTTGCCACTGCATTCCAGCCTGGGAGACAGAGCGAGACTCCATCTCAAAAAAAAAAAAAAGAAAAGAAATATAAAGTCTAGTTTCTCATGCAACACTCCCATGTAACAAACCTACACGTGTACCCCCGAACCTAAAAAAGGAATGGTGGGGTATATCCAGAAAAAATATAGTTTTGTTCTGAAAGAGCTTGGTGTCTAACTGGGGAGACTACACACACACACACACACACACACACATACACACAAAGTCAAATAGCAAATACCAAATACGTCATAAGGCAGTATCCAAGGTGTAGTACAGACAATAAATACCAATGTTCTACTTCCCGGTGGTCTTTACATGGGTGTTTGCTTTATCAATATTGATTCTGCTGTATTTTATGCTTTAGGAACTCTTCTGGATGTATGTTATATTTCACAAGAAAAAAAAGTTTACAAAGACACCGAGTTCTGCAAGTTGAGTGATACTGATCAACAACCCATAGATATGGTAGAGAATTGAGAGAAACAAGGTCTGTACCCAGTGGCCTCACAGTTCTCCACAGACAAGTCACAAAGACTGTGAGAGGATTGAAATAAGACACAGAAAAATAAGAGACAGATAGAAAAAGATGGTAATGAGCCAGGCGTGGTGGCTCACGCCTGTAATCCCAGCACTTTAGGAGGCCAAAGCGGGTGGATCATGAGGTCAGGAGATTGAGATCATCCTGGCTAACATGGTGAAACCCCGTCTCTACTAAAAATACAAAAAATTAGCCGGGCATGGTGGCACACGCCTGTAGTCCCAGCTACTCGGGAAGCTGAGGCAGGAGAATCGCTTGAACCCGGGAGGCAGAGGTTGCAGTGAGCCGAGATCACACCATTGCACTCCAGCCTGGGCAACAGAGCAAGAGTCTGTCAGAAAAAAAAAAAAAAAAGGCCAGGCACAGTGGCTCATGCCTGTAATTCCAGCACTTTGTGAGGCCAAGGCGGGCGGATCACTAGGTCAAGAGATCAAGACCATTCTGGCCAACATGGTGAAACCGTGTCTCTACTAAAAGTACAAAAATTAGCTGGGCGTGGTGGCGCTCGCCTGTAGTCCCAGCTACTCGGGAGGCTGAGGCAGGAGAATTGCTTGAACCTGGGAGGTGGAGGTTGCAGTGAGTCGAGATCACGTAACTGCACTCCAGCCTGGTGACAGAGCAAGACTCCGTCTCAAAAAAAAAAAAAAAAGAAAGAAAGAAAGAAAAAGATGATAATGACACCTTGGTGAGATATTGGCTTCACCATCACCACCATTACTCATTGATCAAGATGAGATATCCATTTTATATCAAGCTCTCAATACTTTGCATTTATGTACTGATTTCTTTTTGTACCCATACACTGTGTACACAGATACATGTGCACACCCATGCACACACACACGCACATCTCATTCCAAAACAGATTTTATGGGTACATCAGGATCAAAACAGAGAATTCAAATATGCTATTTCTAGTGGGTTGATATAATTGCTATGATTCAGCTTTGTATTACACTGGAGTCTCCAGAGAAACAGAATATATGTATATTAATTTTATATACTTATTATATTAACATATATGATATTTATTATAAAGAATTGGCCCACATGATTATGGAGTCTGAGAAGCCCGACAATTTACCATCTGCAACCTGGAGACCAGGAAAGTCAGGGGCACAAAATTCCAGTTCGAATCCAAAGGCCTGAGAACCAGAAGATCTGATGGTGTAAGTGCCAGCCCAAGAGTCCAAAGAGGCCGGGCATGGTGGCTCACGCCTGTAATCCCAGCACTTTGGGAGTCCAAGGCGGGTGGATCACATGAGGCCAGGAGTTCGAGACCAGCCTGGCCAACATGGTGAAACCCCATCTCTACTAAAAATACAAAAATTAGCCGGGAGTGATGGCAGGGGCCTGTAATCCCAGCTACCTGGGAGGCTGAGGCAGGAGAATCACTTGAACCCAGGAGGCAGAGGTTGTAGTGGGCTGAGATCATGCCACTGCACTCCAGCCTGGGCCACAGAGTGAGATTCTGTCTTTAAAAAAACAAAAAAGATCCAAGGACAGGAGAAGAGAAATGCCTCAGATCAACAGTTAGGGAAAGAAAGGCAACTCAATCTTCCACTGCATTTTTTTAAGAGACGGGATCTTACTCTGTCCCCAAGGCTGGAGTGCAGTGGCACAATCATAGCTCACTGACTGCAGCCTCAAAATCCTGGGCTCATAAGCTCAAGAATTCCTTCTGCCTTGGGCTCCCAAGTAGCTGGAACTGCAGGCACTTGCCACCATGCCCAGCTAATTTTTTTTATTTTTAGTAGCGACAGGGTCTCACTTTGTTGTGCAGGCTGATCTTGAACCCCTGGTCTGAAACAATCCTCCTGCCTCAGCCTCCCAAAGCACTGGGATTGCAGGCATAAGTCATTGGGCCCAGCTTCATCTGTTTTTTCCTTCTATTCAGGCCCTCAACAGATTAGATGATGCCCACATTGGGGAAGGCCATCTGCTTTACTCAATCTACCAGTTCAAATGCTAATCTCTTCCAGAAACATGTTCACAGACACATCCTATTTCTGGGAATCCCTTGGCCCAGTCAAGTTGACATATAAAATTAACCATCGCAAGCTTTAAATATGATTTTTAGCTTTCTGGAAGGCATAGCAAAAGGAAAAATACTAGCTTGCATAGTTTTATGTATTTCCTATACACAAAGGTCACTATGTGATTCATTAATCCCACAAATATTTATTGAGTACCTACCGTGTGTCAAGTCCTAGACTAAGTGCTGGAGATTAACAGTGAGCAAAAGCAGACTTGGTCCCTGACTTCATGGAGCTTACAGTCTAATAGGGAAGACAGATAGCAAACAATATCACACACATTAATGAAAAAATAAAACTGCAATAAGAGCACCTAGGAGATACTCATGGTGCCCTGAGAGCCTATAATGGTGGTGGGGTGGGATGGGGACAGATTTGACTTAGTCTAGCAGTCTAGTATGTCCATCTATGAGGCTTCATGGAGGAAGTGACGTTTGAATTCAGATCAGAAGATTAAATGGGTGTGAGCAAGGTAAAGGGAGGATGGGAGTAGGAAGAGCATTCCAAGCAAAGGAAAGAGCATGTATGAAAACTCTATGCAAGAAACAGAGGGTGGGAGTGGTGACACACACCTGTAATCCTAGCACTTTGGGAGGCCAAGGCAGGAGGATTGCTTGGGGCCAGGAGTTTGAGACCAGCCTGAGCAACATAGTGAGACCTCATCTCTAAAAAAAAAAAAAAAAAAAAAGGTTAAAAAATTAGCCAGGCATAGTAGCACATACCTGTAGTCCCAGCTACTTGGGAGGCTGAAGTGGAAGGATTGCTTGAGTCTGGAGGTGGAGGCTGCAGTGAGCTGTGATTGCACCATTGCACTCTGGCCTGGGCGACAGAGCGAAACCCTATCTCAAAAAAAAAAAAAAAGAAAGAAAGAGAGAAAGAAACAAAAAGAAAAGAAAGCTGATGTGGCTGAAGTGCACAGGGACCAGAGCAGGATGAAATGAGACTGAAGAGGTGAGCATAGAGCAAGATCACACAGGCCCCTAGACCAACATTAAGGGGGATATTTTTATCCAACAATATAAAAAGCAAACAGGAAGCAACAGGAAGCCACTGAGAGTCTTAAGACAGGAGAGTGACATAATCAGATCCATGTTCTGAAAAGTTCCCTTGTCTTCAGTGTGGACAGTGTATTGAAAGGCAAAAAGAGTGGAGGCAGGAAGGTCAGTTAGGAGGCTATTGCAGTGGTCCAGCTGAGAGATCATGCGGGCTTGTACTAGGGTGTTGGAAGTGGAAATGGAGAAAAGAAAACTTCTTTGGGAGATATTTAGGAGGGAAAGACAACCCAGACTTGGTGATGGGAGGTGGAGGATGAGGAAGACAGAGATGCCAAGGACAACTTTGAGGTTTCTGGCTTATGTGGTGGTACATTTTGTTGAGATGGGGAGCACTGGAGAACCTCTGATTTGGGGAGGAAGGAGAAAGTCTTTGGCACCAGTTTGGGACATGTTGAGTTTGAGAAGCTTTTGAGGCATTGAAGGGGAAGATGTCGAGTACGCAATTACAGCTCAGAGGAGAGATAAAAGTATAGGAGTCATTGGTTTGCAGGTGGTATTTAAACCCATGGGAATAGATGAAATGACCTAGAGGACTCAAGACTAATCCCTGGAAAACCTCAACATTAAGAGATGGAAAATAGGAGGAAGAACCTGAAAAGGAGAAGCCAGAGAGGATGGAGGAAAATGCAGACCACCACATGCCACTGAAACCCAAGGACAAGAGGATTTCAAGAAGGTAATGGTCAACAAAACTGAATCCTGGCTGGGCGCATTGGCTCATGCCTGTGATCCCAGCACTTTGGGAGGCCAAGGCAGGAGGATCACTTGAGCCCAGGAGTTTGAAACCGGCCTGGGCAACATAGAAAGACCCCATCTCTTTAAAAAAAAAAAAAAAGAGCTGAATATTGCCAACTGCCAAAAGGTCAAGGGAGATAAGGGAAAACTGTCCATAGAATTTAGGGTTCATGGAGCTCATTGAGCTAATCAAGAGCTGTTTTGGGAGTGTGATGGTGGCAAAAAAAAAAGGCTCAAGTATGCTGAAGAATGATTGGGAAATGAGCAAATGGATTCAGCAAGTACTATATAGCCAATTTGAAAAAACAACATGGCTGTAAAGGAAAACAGAGATGGTATGGTAGCTGGAGAAGGATGTAGAGGTCAGAGTTTCTTTAAAGATGGCAGGCTGGGCGTGGTGGCTTACGCCTGTAATCCCAGCACATTGAGAGGCCAAGGCAGGCAGATCACTTGAGGTCAGAAGTTCGAGACCAGCCTAGCCAACCTGGTGAAACCCCATCTCTACTAAAACCACAAAAAGTAGCCAGGCATGGTTGTGGGCACCTGTAATTCCAGCTACTTGGGAGGCTGAGGCAGGAGAATTGCTTGAAACCAGGAGGCAGAGGTTGCAGTGATCCAAGATCACGCCATAGCACTCCAGCCTGAGTGACAGAGTGAGACTCTGTTTCAAAAAATAGACAATAATAATAATAAAAGAAAGATGGCAGAAAAGACATGAGAATGTTAAATGTTGTTGGAAAGGATTCCGGTGAAAGGTAGTGATTGAATACACAGAGTACTGGGCTGGTAAATGTTTAGTAATTGGCTTTCCAAGAAAAAAACAAACAACAACCCTGCTGTGCATCATTTGCCGATTTCCATGGTGTAAAATACTCTCACTATGACTGATTTCAGGCTATCTATGTGACGTTTCAAGCCCCGCAAGCAGGCTGTAGCACACTGCTGACAGGAGAAAGAAGAATTGAAATTCGTAGTTATCAGCCAATTGTATCTTCTCTTTTATAAATTTCCTGTACATGTCCTTAGCTCACTTTTATATTGAAACACTTATCTTTCTCTTGGGAATTCACAGAGGTCTTTGTGTACATATGAATATTAATCCTTTCTCATTTACTTATGGTGGATTTTTGTATAAGAGTTTTAAAATATTTATGCAGTCAAATCTATCAATACTTCCCTTTATGATATTTGCCCTTAGTGTTCTTCATTTTATTGTAAATTACTAAATTGTCACTCTGCTTTGATGAATGTGAATTTGGCTAGCATGAATTATCTTTCGGAAGCTGAGGTGTTTTAAATTGCAAAGACGAGGAACAAACTGTAGATCTTAGTATATTCACCAAGGTATTAGCATCCTGTGTGGTCTTTCGGTGGCCAGGTAACACTCCTAATTTCATCTTTTTTTTGGGATGGAATCTCTCTCTGTCTCCCAGGCTGGAGTGCAGTAGCACGATCTCGGCTCAGTGCAACCTCTGCCTCCCAGGTTCAAGTGATTCTCCTGCCTCAGCCTCCTGATCAGCTGGAATTACAGGCGAGTGCCACCATGCCCGGCTAATTTTTGTATTTTTAGTAGAGACAGGGTTTCATCATGTTGGCCAGGCTGGTCTCGAACTCCTGACCTCGTGATCTGACTGCCTCGGCCTCCCAAAGTGCTGGGATTGCAGGCTTGAGCCACCGCGCCCAGCCAATTTCATCTTTACAACTAAGTATTTAAAATATCATAATAGGACAGAAAACACTTGCAAAGGGCCTGCTCCCTTCTTTTTACATTTCTTTTCTTTTCTTTTGGAGACGGGCTGGAGTGCAGTGGCTCAATCATGGCTGACTGCAGCCTCAACCTCCTGGGCTCAGCTGGTCCTCCCACCTCAGCCTCCCAAGTAGCGGGGACCACAGGCATACGCCACCATGCCTGGCTACGTTTTTTTGTTTATTTTTTGTAAAGACAGTATCTCTATGTTGCCCAGGCTGGTCTCGAACTCCTGGCCTCAAGTGATCCACCCACCTCCACCTCCCAAAGTGCTGGGATTACAGGTGTGAGACACTGCACCCAGCACCTCCCTTTTTTTTTTTTTTTTTTTTTTTTTGAGACAGGGTCTCGCTCTGTCTCCCAGGCTGTAGTGCAGTGGAGCAATGATCACAGCTCACTGTAGCCTTGACCTCCTGGGTTCAAATGATCCTCCCACTTCAGCCTCTCCAGTATCTGAGACTACAGGCTCACGCCACTATGCCCAGCTAGTTTTTTGTGTAGACAGGGGTCTCCCTATGTTGCCCAGGCTGGTGTCTAACTCCTGGCCTCAAGCAATCCTCTCACCTTGGCCTCCCAAAGTGCTGGGATTTCAGGTATGAGCCACCACTCCCCGCCCTTCTTTTTAAATTTCTACTCCAGTGATTTGAATGTGTGTTTCAATCACCTGGACAGATATTTTCCCTGCCATGGCAAATACACATTCAGGGACCTTTAGGAAGCTGGTGACAAGGTTTTATCATTACCTGCCAAGAGAGACCTCAAAAGATAATCAGTCATGGTATTTTACTCCTGTTAGAAATAATCAAGATAAAATTGTAACCCCTGACTTTGGCACATATTTTCTGTAACTCAATTGGTCAATATTAAATAACTTTATAAAATAGATTCAGTCACCTGAGGGCATATTGACTTGCAGCTAATTCAACGAAGCAGACTCATGGAGAAGTCATGTTACTTAAAATCAGACATTCCACAGTGTCAGCCTTCAGCTGAGAGACCAAGTCAAGGATACAGTCAGGGTTTAAAGGGGTGAATAAACTGGTGGAATACATTCATTCATTCATTTATTCAATAGAGATTTATAGAACATTTTGTGTGTGCTGAGACCTGTACATGACATTGGGAAACAGTGGTGAACAAGTGCATTATGGAATGTACAGTCTGGGTGGGAGTTGGGGGATGAAAAGTCACATAGGTTATTATAATACAGAGTGGTGAAGAAAAGAATGGGGTCCTCAGGATGGGTACCCAATTGAGACTCAGGTAATTAAGGAAGGCTTTACAGATGCGTTGATACCTAAGTTGATGCCTGAATGGCAGTAGGAAGTGGCTGGGTAAAATAGGCAAAGGAAATTATCAAATTATCAGAATGAGGTCTAAGAACAAAACACTGGTAACCAGAAATGGGTTGGGAAATGCCAGATGTCAACAAAAGCACAGGGGTGGATTCCAATAGTGTGAATCTATTATCTTGAACTGGAGTCAAAACTGAGGGTGAGTAGGGATGTGTATGTGGGGGAGGAAGGGGTAGTTCTTTCTGCGGAGACATGGGGCATGGGGGTTTTGAAGACATCTCTAAAGCAAGGCAGAAATTTCTTGGCTTAAGTGTGGATAAGATCTTGTCAGAAAGGATAAAACACCCCTCATCTAAGCTCGCTTTTTTTTTTTTTTTTTTTTTTGAAACAAAATCTTGCTTTGTCGCCCAGGCTGGAGTGCAATGGTGTGAACTCAGCTCACTGCAACCTCTGTCTCCCGCGTTCAAGTGATTCTCCTGTCTCAGCCTCCTGAGTAGCTGGGATTACAGGTGCACACCACCATGCCTGGCTAACTTTTCTATTTTTAGTAGAGACGGGGTTTCACCATGTTGGTCAGGCTGGTTTTGAACTCCTGACCTCGTGATCCGCCAGCCTCAGTCTCCCAAAGTGCTGGGATTACAGGCGTGAGCCACCATGCCTGGCCTAAGCTTGCTTTTGAATGATAAGCACCACCCCAACTTCTCAAAGGGGTCCTTCATGTGGCCTTTGCAGTGCTGCAATAGTATTGAGGTTTTTCTATGACCATGGAAAGTGACTGATTAATGCTCTGCTCTGTATTATGGAACATGGGGACTCAATGAAGCATTTTTTTGACATGTTGGCAAAGGGCCAAAACTATTTCCTGAGAAAGATCTGGGCTTCACTGCAAGTAGCTTCATGGCCCACCTCCATGAGAGCTCCTACGACCTCCCATTCAGGCAAGACCAGAGGTCGAGCTTCTCAATTTTTGTAATAGAATATCTACAAAGCACCTCTGCTATTGGTTTCCAAAATATATGCATTAGCCTTCAATAAACATTTTTAATTTAGAGCTAAAATACTAGCTCTCTAAGCCCTTGTCAGAGATTACAGTTTTAAATAACCCACCATGGAGTTCTGATCACAAATCTAGCCATGAGACCTGAAATTTTAGAGAAGTTTGTTTAAGGCAATGTTTCTCCATTGTAGGTTACATAATAAAAGGTGTAGATATGTACGGGCCACATAAATCAATAATAATGGTGAAATATGGCTTGTTGTTTATTTAACAATATGTATTGTGGAGACAGTAATACAAAAGCACCCCCAAAAGTTGTATCAACTGTATTCACTCAAAAGTGCATATTTATAGGCCTACTGTTGGTCATTGGTCAAGTCTGACTGATCCAATAATAAGAATAGAACATTGGTATTTAACAAAATAAACTGGAACAGCGGGAGCTATTCAGCCTGGGCCTGTCTCATGCTGGCTCTGGAGACAGACTCCTGATGGAAGCTTCATTCTGGAAGTTGTCAGAAAGAGAATGCGCTTTCAGCTGCATCACGAAGACCCTAATCTCGTCTAGAGTTTGGCCATCTAGCCTGAGCAATTGGGATAAACGTCACCTGCAAAACCTGGGGGATGGTGGCTGGGCGCGGTGGCTCACGCCTGTAATCCCTGCACTTTGGGAGGCTGAGGCGGGCAGATCACGAGGTCAGGAGATAGAGACTATTCTGGCTGACATGGTGAAACCCCGTCCCTACTAAAAATGCAAAAAATTAGCTGGGCGTGGCGGCACATGCCTGTAGTCCCAGCTACTCGGGAGGCTGAGGCAGGAGAATCACTTGAACCTGGGAGGCAGAGCTTGCAGTGAGCGGAGATCGAGCCACTGCACTCCAGCCTGGGCGACACAGCAAGAGTCCATCTCAAAAAAGAAAAAAAAAACCTGGGGGATGGTGTACTTCTTGGTTGCTCCAGTTCACTGAGCTGAATGTTGACACACTCTAGTAGTAGGTTTCATAATTTAGTTGCAGGCAGGGTATAAATAAATAAAAGGGCCAGGCGCAGTGGCTCACACCTGTAATCCCAGCACTTTGGGAGGCCGAGGCGGGCAGATCACAAGACCAAGTACAAAAATTAGCTGGACATGGTGGCACACACCTGTGATCCCAGCTACTCAGGAGGCTGAGGCAGGAGAATCGCTTGAACCTGGGAGGCGGAGGTTGCAGTGAGCAGAGATTGTACCACTGCACTCCAGCCTTGGCAACAGAGCAAGACTCCCTCTGAAAACAAACAAACAAACATACAAACGAAGGTCTGTACTTCCAAGTCAATCATAAAAATGTCTTTAAAATTACATTCTTTTGTTTATGAAAATAAAACATTGTTTATACTCATCAAAACCTATGAATGAGGTGAATTTAGTGGTATGTGGATTATAACTCAATAAGGTGTTATATAAAAAGAAAAAACCCGTCTGGGTGCGGTGGCTCACGCCTGTAATCCTAGCATTTTGGGAGGCTGAGGAGGGCATATCACAAGGTCAGGAGTTCAACACCAGCCTGGCCAACATAATGAAACCCTGTCTCTACTAAAAATACAAAAATTAGCTGGGCGTGGTGGTACACGCCTGTAATCCCAGCTACTCGGGAGGCTGAAGCAGGAGAATTGCTTGAACCTGGCAGGCAGAGGTTGCAATGAGCTGAGACCGCGCTATTGCACTCTAGCCAGGGCAACAGAGCAAGACTCCATCTCAAAAAGAAAGAGAGAGAGAGAGAGAAAGAAAAAGAAAGAAAGAAAGAAAGAAAGAAAGAAAGAAAGAAAGAAAGAAAGAAAGAAAGAAAGAAAGAAAGAAAGAAAGAAAGAGAAAGAAAGAAAGAAAGAAAAGAAAGAAAGGAAGGAAGAAAGGAAAAGGAAAAAAACCTATGAGTCTCTTCTGACCATCCCATCACTGTGCCTTAAACTCACCTGGGCCTTCTGCACTATACCAAGGCTGCTACAGGAAACGCAAGGCAATCAACCATGCTTGGCATCTACCGAGCCTGGCCCAAGCCTGAGGACTGGCTCTGACCTCCTGTTACTGCTTTGGTCTTTTTGGCTTGCAGGTTCTTGGCTCCGCATATTTCACCTAAGTGAGAGAGGCTCCTTCCTCACTTCCTGGGCTCTCAGGGCCCTGTGGTTGAAACTCTCTTCTGCACCCCTCCTCCTGTATCCAGGGAAAAGAATCCTCATGCAATTGTGACTTATTTCCTACCAAATATAGTGCAGCATTCTTCAAAATCTATGAGTGCATTGAACTCAAGACAGTTTGGCAATGGAAAATGAGAGGTTTCCAGTCATCATCTGCCCAATCCGCATGTCCAGCTGGGGGTCTGCATTTCCATGAACAAATCAACAGAGCTTTTATTTGTCTCTTGCAGTTTCAAGTTCAATGTGTTCAGATGTCTTGTCACATCCATAAGAAAATACAATCTTGTGAATCACGGAAGGTCTAACAAATTAGATTTGGTGGCTCCTTTATTGCAAAAAGCCCTTGATTGGAGGTGACAGCTCGATAAATCTACATACTTGTGATCAGTCTCTTCTAAATAGCTCATAAACTGGTCATGGTTAAAGGCATGAACACAGAGAAAATTAATAATTTTCATTGCTTTCTCCATCAACAGTATGTGGTAAACTGGACTTGCAAAGTCCATGAGATGAAGCATGAGGCAATGACAGCTGGGTCCACCAAATTTCTCTTGACTTGAATACATGGTTGTTTTTTTTTTTTTTTTTTTTGAGACGGAGTCTAGCTCTCTTGCCCAGCTGGAGTGCAGTGGTGCGATCTCGGCTCATTGCAAGCTCCGCCTCCTGGGTTCATGCCATTCTCCTGCCTCAGCCTCCCGAGTAGCTGGGACTACAGGCGCCCACCACCACACCCGGCTAATTTTTTTGTGTATATTTTTAGTAGAGATGGGGTTTCACCATGTTAGCCAGGATGGTCTCGATCTCCTGACCTCATGATCTGCCCGCCTCGGCCTCCCAAAGTGCTGGGATTACAGGCGTGAGCCACTGTGCCAGGTCTTTTTTTTTTTTTTCTTTTTGAGACAAAGTCTCGCTCTGTTGCCAGGCTGGGGTACAGCGGCCTGATCTCAGCTCACTGCAACCTGTGCCTCCTGGGTTCAAGCAATTCCCGTCTCAACCTCCCGAGTATCTGGGACTATAGGCGCACACCACCACGCCCAGCTAATTTTTTGTATTTTAGTAGAGACGAGGTTTCACCATGTTGGCCAGGATGGTCTCGATCTCCTGACCTCGTGATCTGCCTGCCTCGGCCTCCCAAAGTGCTGGGATTACAAGCATGAGCCACCACGCCCGGCTGACAGATATCTTTTTTTTTCTTTTTTCTTTTTCTTTTTTTTTTTTTTTTTTTGAGACAGAGTCTCCCGCTGTCGCCTGGGCTAGAGTGCAATGGCGCAATCTAGGCTCACTGCAACCTCCGCCTCCCAGGTTCAAGCAATTCTCCTGCCTCAGCCTCCCAAGTAGCTGGGATTACAGGTGCCCGCCACCGCCACCACGCCCGGCTAATTTTTTTGTATTTTTAATAGAGATGGGGTTTCACCAGATTGGCCAGGCTGGTCTCGAACTTCTGATCTTGTGATCCGCCTGCCTCAACAGATACATTTTCTTTTCTTTTTTTTTTGAGACGGAGTCTCACTCTGTCACCCAGGCCGGACAGATCTGCACTGGTGCTATCTTGGCTTACTGCAACCTCCGCCTCCCTGGTACAAGCAATTCTCTGCCTCAGCCTCCTGAGTAGCTGGGATTACAGGCGCCCACCACCACGCCCAGCTAATTTTTGTATTTTTAGTAAAGATGGGGTTTCACCATTTTGGCCAGGCTGGTCTTGAACTCCTGACCTCGTGATCCGCCCGCCTCAGCCTCCCAAAGTGCTGCGATTACAGGTGTAAGCCACCGTGCCCGGCCGACAGATACATTTTCAATTCCTTTTTTTTAAGGCAGGGTTTCATTCTTTCACCCAAACTGGAGTGTAGCTGCACAATCACAGCTCACTGCAGCCTGGACCTCCCAGGCTTAAGTGATCCTCCTGCCTCAGGCTCCAGAGTAGCTGGGACCACAGGGGCATGCTGCCATTCCCAGCTTTTTTTTTTTTTTTTTTTGTAGAGATAGGGGTCTCACTATGTTGCCCAGGCTGGTCTTGAACTCCTGGCCTCAAGTGATCCTTCCACCTCAACCTCCCAAAGTGCTGGGATTACAGGTGTGAGCCACCATGCCCTACTCCAGTTCCTTTTAAGGGGAGAAGTGCTATGCAGTAAGCACAGGGTACTGAGAGACCACAGAACAGCAAGTTAACCAGATGTGGGTTTGGAAAGACTTCCTAGGCCTTGAAGGATGAGTAAGAGTTAGCTGGGGAAGGGGGAGTCGAGATTAGATACAGTCTAGGCAAAAGGAATAGTATGTACAAAGACAAGAAGGAAGAAAGAACATGGTATGTTCAAGGAACTCTAAGATATTGTGTGACTGGAAGTCAGAGTTTGAAGATACTGGAAATTACCAGTAGCCATACCATTGCCTCGGGTGCCATATTGAGGAGCTTTCTCCATATTGTGGTGAATGAGAATTCAAAATATTCAAACAGAGGATAAACACAGTCAGATATGAATGTTAAAAGGATATCTGTGTATACCTAACAGAAAACCCCCAAGGGTTAGAATGAAAAGGAAAAAGACATTTAAAAGGAAATATAAAATTTGAACAGCATTATAAACTAACTAGGCCTAAAGACATCTATAAAACACTCTACCCAACAGTAACAGAATGCATATTCTTCTCAAGTGCCCATGGATCATTCTGCAGGATAGGCCACATGCCAGGCCGTAAAAGAAGCCTTAATAAATTTAAAAGTATTGAAATCATACATAGTATGTTCTCCAACCACAATGGAGTGAAATTAGAGATAAGTTAGGCAAAATTTTGGGAATTTTGCAAATATATAGAAACTAGACATGGAGTTGGCTGTCCTGTAGGGAAAAAAAAAGAAGTTAAACATACTCATATATAACCAATGAGTCAAAGAAGAAATCATAAGTTAGAAAACGCTTTGAGATGAATGCAAATTATGACACAATATACCAAAATATGCCAATATACTAATATACCCTAGTTTATGGGATGAAACTAGGCTGGGTGCGGTGCCTCACATCTGTAATCTCAGCAATTTGGGAGGCTGAGGCAGGAGGATTGCTTGAGCCCAGGAGTCTGAGACCAGCCTGGGCAGCATAGTGAGACCCTGTCTTTAAAAAAAAAAATTTAAGTAAATAAAAATAAAATAGAAACTAAAGCAGTGCTTTGAAGGAAACATATAGCTGTAGACCCCTAAAAAAAAAAAAAAAGAAAAGAAAATTAAACCCAAAGCCATCAAAGGAAGGATTAACAAAGATTAGAGCAAAAATTAATGAAGTGGGGAACAGAAAAACATAGAGAAAATCAGCGAAACCAAAAGTTGGTTCTTTGAAAAAAAAATCAACAAAATTGATGAACATTTACCTAAATGGACTAAGAAAAAAGAGAACGCACTCAAATTACTAAAATCAAAAATGAAAGAAGGGAAATAAGGACTGACTTTACAGAAATAAAAAGGATTATAAGAGAATACAATGAAAAACTGCATATCAACAAATTAGATAATTTGGATGAAATGGAAAACAAATTTTTTTTTTTTTAGACAGAATCGCATTCTGTCACCCAGGCTGGACTGCAGTGGTGTGATCTCAGCTCACTGCAACCTCTGCCTCCCAGATTCAAGCAATTCTTCTGCCTCAGCCTCCCAAGTAGCTGGGATTACAGGCATGTGCCACCATGCCCGGCTAATTTTTTTGTACTTTTAGTAGAGACGAGGTTTCACCATATTTGCCAGGCTGGTCTCGAACTCCTGACCTTGTGATCCACCCACCTCGACTTCCCAAGGTGCTGGGATTACAGACGTGAGCCACCGCGCCCGGCCAGAAAAATTCTTAAAAAGGCACAAACTACAGGAATTGACTCAAGAAGAAATAGGAACTCTGAAGAGAGATGTAACAAATAGTTTGTGCCAGTAGTCAATAACTTCCAACTAAGAAAAGCCCAGGACTAGATGGTATCACTGGTGAATTATACCAACATTTAAAGAGGAATTAACACCAATCCTTCTCAAATTCTTCCAAAAAATAGAAGAGGATATAACACTTCCAAACTCATTCTGTGAGGCGAGCATTACCCTAATACTAAAGCCAGACAAAGATACTACAAGGAAAGAAAAGTACAGCCCAATATTCCTTATGCATATTGATGCAAAAATCTTCAACAAAATACCAGCAGCTGAATTCAACGGCATATTAAGAGGATTATACACCATGACCAAGTGATTTATTCCTGGAATGCAAGGATGATTCAACACATGAAAATCAATCAATTTAATGCATCACGTTAACAAAGTATTTGATAATAAAACCAGATGAAGATATAAAAGGCGCAGTGGCTCATGCCTGTAATCCTAGCACTTTGGGAGGCAGAGGCGGGAGAACTGTTTCAACCTGAAAGTTCGTGACCAGCCTGGGCAACATAGCAAGACCTCGTCTCTACAAAAAGAAAAAGAAAAAGAAAATCATATCTCTTATGAACATAAGCATAAAAATCCTCAACAAAATACTAGCAAACTGAATCTGGCAGTATATAAAAAGATTATTCTCCATTACAAAGTGGAATTTACCAAGGGATGCAAGGTTGGCTTAACGTCTGAAAAATCAATAATGCGATACACTATATCAATAGAGTAAAAAACAAAAAGCAAAACAATCATTTCAACAGATGCAGAAAAAAGCATTTGACAAAATTCAACACCTCTTCATGATAAAATAAATAAATAAACTTAGAAATAGAAGGAAACATTCTCATCTTGACAAGGAGTGTCTATGAAAAAATCCACAGCTAACATCATACTTAATAGTGAAAAACTGAATGCTTTTCTCTTAAGTTCAGGAAAAAGGCAAAAATGTCCACTCTCAACACTTCTCTTCAACATTGTACTGGAAGTTCTAGCCAGGGCAAGTAAGCAAGGAAATGAAATAAAACACATACAGATTGGAAAAGAAAAAGAAAAACTATATTTGCAGGTGACATAATTTCATACACAGAAAATCCTAAGGAATTTACTAAAAACTATTAGAACTAATAAATGAGGCTGGGCACAGTGGCCCACGCCTGTAATCTCAGCACTTTGGGCGGCCAAGGTGTGTGGATCACTTGAGGTCAGCAGTTCGAGACCAGCCTGGCCAACGTGGTGAAATCCCATCTCTACTGAAAATGCAAAAATTAGCTTGGTGTGGTGCCACAAACCTGTAATATCAGCTACTCAGGAGGCTGAAGCAGGAGAATTGTTTGAACCCGGGAGGCGAAGGTTGCAGTGAGCCAAGATCGCGCCACTGCAATCTGGCCCGAGCAACAGAGCAAGACACTGTCTCAAAAAAAAAAAAAAAAAAAAGAACAACATGTCTAGAAATAAACTTAACAAAAGGAGTGCAAGATTTATACACTAAAAACAAAACATTATTGAAAGAAGCACGGGAAAGACATTCTGTGTTCATGAATTGGAAGACTAATACTGTTAAAATGACAATAATCTCCAAACTAGCTAAGATAGATGCAATCTCTATCAAAATCCAAGGTACCTTTTCTTTCCAGAAATTGACAGGCTGATCCTAAAATTAATATGGAAATTCAAATGACCCAGAATAGTCTTGAAAAACAAAGTTGGAGGACTCACAGTTCCCCATTTCAAAACTTACTACAAAGCTACAGTAATCAAGACAGTGTGGTCCTAGCATAAGGATAGACATAGATCAATGGAATCGATTTAACAGTCCAGAAATAAACCTTGTAGTTTACAGTCAATCGATTTTCAACAAGAGTGTTGTCTTACTCCATTCAGGCTGCTATAACAAAATGCCATAAACTGGGTAGCTTATAAACAACAAAAATTTATTTCTCACAGTTCTAAAGGCTAGGAAGTCCACAGTGAAGGTGCTGGTAGATTTGTCAGAACCCACTTTCTGGTTCATAAATGGCGCTTTCTCACTATGTTCTCATGTGGAAGGGTCTAGCTACCTCTCTGGGGTCTCTTTTATAAGAGCACTAAACTCCCAAAGGTCCTACCTCCTAATACTATCACTTCATTAGGATTTCAACATATGGCTTGGGGACGAAGGAGACACGAATATTCAGACCATAGCAAGTATCAAGACAATTCAATGGGGAAAGAATAGTCTTTTCAACAAATGATGCTGGGACAACTGGATATTCACATGCAAAAGAATGAAACAGGACCCCTACTACATACCATATATAAAAATGAAAATGGGCCAGGCACGGTGGGTGACTCATGCCTGTAATCCCAGTGCTTTGAGAGGCCAAGGTGGAAGGATCGCTTGGGCCCAGGAGTTCAAGACCAGCCTGCACAACATAGCTAGACCCCATCCCTACAAAAAATGATAATAAAAATTAGCCAGGTGTGGTGGCACACACTTGTAGTCCTAGTCTCAGCTACTCAGGAGGGTGAGGTGGGAGGATTGCTTGAGCCCAGGAGTTAGAGGCTGCAGTGAGCTTTCATCATGCCACTATGCTCTAGCCTGGGCAGCAGAGTGAGAGAACTCATCCCCCCCACCCCCAAAATAAAAATTAATAAAAATTTCAATGGACGGGCTTGATGGTTCATGCCTGTACTCCCAGAACTTTGGGAGGCCAAGGCAGGAGGATCGCTTGAGCTCAGGAGTTCAAGACCAGCCTCGGCAACATATTGAAACCTTGTCTCTACAAAAAATTGTACAAATTAGCCAGGTATGGTGGTGCACACCTGTAGTCCCAGTTACTTGGGAGGGTGAGGTGAGAGGATCACTTGAGCCCAGGAGGTTGAGGCTGCTGTAAGCCGTGATCACACCACTGCACTCCAGCCTAGGTGACAGAGTGAGACCCTGTCTCTCAAAGAAAAAAAAAAAATTAAAATGAATCAAAGACCTTAATGTAAGAACTAAAATTTAAAAACAGAAGAAAACAAGAGTAAACCTTCATGACCATGTATTAAGCAATGAATTATTAGATGTGACACCAAAGGCACAAGCAAGAAAAGAAAAAACAGATAAATTGGACTTCATTAGAATTTTTGTTCCTTATAGGATACCAGCAATAAAGTGAGAAGACATCCCACAGAGTCGGGGAGAAATATTTACAAATCATATATCTAATAAGAGACTTATAAATGAAAATGTATGAAAAACTCTTACAACTCAAAAATAAAAAGCAAAATAACTCAATTTTTAAAAAGGGGAAAAGATCTGAATAGACATTTCTCTAAGGAAGATAGACAAGTGGCCAATGAGCTTATGAAAAGATGCTCAATACCATTGGGCCATCAGGGAAATGCAAATCAAAACTACAGTGAGATACCACTTTATACCCACTAGAATGGCTATAATAAAAAAAAGAAATATAATAACAAGAGTTGGCAAGAATGTAGAGGCATTAGAACACTCGTTCACAACTGCTGGTAATGTAAAATGGTGCAACCATTTAGGAAAATAGTTTGGCAGTTCCCCAAATGTTCAAAATAGTTACCATATGACCCAGCAATTCCACCCCTCTCAAACTAGGTATCTACCCAAGAGAAATGAAAGTATATATCCACAGAAAACCTTGTACATGAATGCTCACAGCAGCACTCATCATAATAGTCAAAGAATGGAAATACCCAAATATCCATCAATGGATAAATGAATAAATAAAATGTAGTATATCCATACAAGGGAATATTATTCTGCAATATAAAGGAATTAAGGGCCGGGCGCAGTGGTTCACACCTGTAATCTTAGCACTTTGGGAGGCTGAGGTAGGTGGATCACCTGAGGTCAGGAGTTCGAGACCAGCCTGGACAACATGTTGAATCCCTGTCTCTACTAAAAATACAAAAATTAGCTGGGCGTGGTGGTATGTGTCTGTAATCCCAGCTACTCAGAAGACTGAGACAAGAGAATCTCTTGAACCCAGGAAGCAGAGGTTGCAGTGAGCTGAGATTGCACCACTGCACTCCAGCCTGGGTGACAGAGCAAGACTCCGTGTTAAAAAAATAAAAAATAAAAATAAAGGAATGAAGTTCTGATACATGCTACAACACGGATTAACCTTGAAAACATGATACTAAGTGAAGGAAGCCAGTCACAAAAAAAAACACATATCGTATGATTCCAATTTTATGAAATGTTCAGAATAGAGAAATCTATAGAGACAGAAAGTAGATTTAGTACTGTCCTGGGGCTGGAAGAATTAGGAAGGAAATGAAAAGTAATCACTAATGGGTATGGAGTTTCTTTCTGAGGCAGTGAAAATGTTCTAAAATTAGATAGTTGTGATAGTTGCACATATGTGAAATACTGAAAGCCATTGAATTGTACATTTTAAAAATGTCAATTGTGGCCTGGCGCAGTGGCTCACACCTGTAATCCCAGCATTTTGGGAGGCCGAGGTGGGAGGATCACCTGAGGTTAGGAGTTTGAGACCAGCCTGACCAACATGGAGAAACCCCATCTCTACTAAAAATACAAAATTAGCAGGGCGTGGTGGTGTACTCCTGTAATCCCAGCTACTTGGGAGTCTGAGGCAGGAGAATCGCTTGAACCCGGGAGGCGGAGGTTGCAGTGAGCGAGATCGCACCATTGCACGCGAGCCTGGGCAACAAGAGTGAAACTCCGTCTCAAAAAAAAAAAAAAAAGTCAATTGAAAGATATGTGAATTATATGTCAGTAAAGCTGTTTTTTAAATAAATCTTTGTGGTGGCTGGTATGGAAAAGAAACTGGAGGAGGTGAAACTGGAGGTCACAGAAGTGACTGGTGCATGGTCCAAGCAGGAGAAGATGAGGCCTGAGCTGGAATAGGATTTGTGGACTGGATTCAAGAGAGATTCAGGATAGAGGTAGGCCAAGACTTGGTGTCAATTCATTTTTGGCATGATTCCTGGTTCCATAGTGTCTTGATCCATTTTGTGTTGCTATCAAGAAATACCTGGCTGGGCGCAGTGGCTCATACCTGTAATCCCAGCACTTCGGGAGGCCAGGCATTCGAGACCAACCTGACTAACATGGCAAAACCCCACCTCTACTAAAAAAAAAAAAATACAAAAAATTAGCTGGGCGTGGTGGCATGCACTTGTAATCCCAGCTAAATGGGAGGCTGAGGCAGGAGAATCGCTTGAACCCTGGAGGTGGAGGTTGCAGTGGGCCGAGATCGCGCCACTGCACTCCAGCCTGGGCGACAGAGCAAGACTCTGTCTCAAAAAAAAAAAAAAATACCTGAGCCTGGGTAATTTATAAAGAAATGATGTTTATTTAGCTCATGGCTCTGCAGGCTGGGAAGTCTGAGAAGCATGGTGTCAGCATCTGCTGGGTTTCTGGTGAGGGCCTTGTGCTAGGTCAAAACGTGGCAGAGAAGGTCAAAGGGGAAGCAGACGTGGGGAAAGAGAGAAACCTGAGGGGCATCCTGGCTTTATAACAAGCCACTTGTGTGGGAACTAATCCTGTCCTGCCAGAGTGAGAACTCACTATCCCGAAAACGGCACCAAGCCATTCATGAGCAATCCGCCCCCATGACTCAAAACACCTCCCACGAGGCCCCACCTCCCAACACCACCACTTTGGGAATCAAATTTCAATGTGAGTTTTGGTGGGGACAAACAAACCATAAAAACCATAGCACATAGTGGCTGTCCTGACACTACCAGAGTCTGTATCCATGCACTGCTCTCCATCTCCACAACTATTGCACTAATCCAAGCCATTGTCATCACTCATGTCAACTACTGCCCTTTTGGATGATCTACCTGCATCGACTCATGTTCCCTGCCAATCTATTCTCTACACTGAAGCCACAATGGTCTTCCCACACTGTAAGTCTGATCATGTCCTTCCTGTGCTTTAAACTCTTCAATGATTTCCCTTTGCACCTAGAATAAAGACCAAAATTCTTGACCCACTTAACTGTCCCTGTATGTCCTGGCCCCTGCCTACCTCTCTTACCTCTCCCTTACTCTCTGTACTCTAAGTACACTGCACTGCTTTCAAATGCCTCACCTACCACAGGATCTTTGCACATGCTGTCCTCGCTATGGAATGCTTCCATCTCTGCTTCACCTGTTGACTCCAACTCTTCTCTCAGTCATCACCTCAATCATCATTTCTTCCTGGAAGCCTTCCCTGATGGCTCCAGTTCCCCTACTTTTTTTTTTTTTTTTTTTTTTGATACAGACTCTCACTGTGTTGCCCAGGCCGGAGTGCAGTGACGCAATCTCAGCTCACTGCAATCTCTGCTTCCTGAGTTCAAGCGATTCTCCTCCCTTAGCCTCCCAAGTAGCTGGGATTACAAGCGCCCACCATCACACCCGGCTAATTTTTGTATTTTTAGTAGAGATGGGGTTTCATCATGTTGGCCAGGTTGGTCTTGAACTCCTGACCTCAGGTGATCCACCTGCCTCAGCCTCCCAAAGTGCTGGGATTACAGGCGTGAGCCACCACACCCGACGGCCCCTATTTTATGCTCTCGGAGCTCTTTCTACTTTTCCTTCACGGCCCTTATCACAGTTGCAGTTTCACCTTTATTTATTGTATCGTTTGATTATTGTCTGTGTCTCTCCTTAGGTCATAAGCCCCATAAGAACAATATCTGTGGCCATTTTGTTGAACGTTGTATCTCTGATGCCTAAGACACCATTTGGCACATAGCAGATCCTGAATTATATTTGTTAAAGAAATGAATTAACCTCAGGGACGATTTTAAATGCTAATTAAAGCAACAATGATCTATCCTATTGTGCTCATAGATTGGCAAAGATTAAAAAGATTGAAAATACTTAGCCTGGGCAAGCGTTGAAGAAAATGAGCACTCCCATACGCCGGGTGGTGGGTGTGTAGGCCAATTGGACCTTCATATGTTCACATTGTTTGACCCTGCAATTCCACCTATGAGACTTTGTTCCAAGAAAACGATCACTCGTGCATAATGATATACACAGGAAGATGTTTAGTGAAGCACCATTTGTAATAAGAGAAAGTTGGAAACAACCTAAATCTTCAACAATAGGATATGGCATGGCATAGTGGCTCACACTTGTAATCCCAGCAGTTTGGGAGACTGAGGTAGGAGAATCCCATGAGGCCAGGAGTTTGAGACCAGCCTGGCCAACACAGCGAGACTCCATCTCTACAAAATAATTTTTTTTTTGAGATGGAGTCTCCTCTGTCTCCTCCCAGGCTGGAGTGCAGTGGTGCAATCTTGGCTCACTGCAACCTCTGCCTCCCAAGTTCAAGCGATTCTGTTGCCTCAGCCTCCAGAGTAGCTGGGACTACAGGCATGTGCCACTACGCCCGGGTAAGTTTTATATTTTTAGTAGAGAAGAGGTTTCACCACAGTGGTCAGGCTGCTCTCGAACTCCTGACCTTGTGATCTGCCTGCCTCGGCCTTCCAAAGTGCTGAGATTACAGGCGTGAGCCACTGTGCCTGGCCAAAAGAATTTATTTTTATTTACTTATTTATTTATTTATTTATTTTTGTGGAGATGAGGCCTACTATGTTGCCCAGGCTGGTCTCAAACTCTCTTAAGCTCAAGTGATCCTCATGCCTCAGCCTTCCAAAGTGCTGGGATTACAGGTATGAGCCGCTGTGCCTGGCCTACACATTTTTTTTTTAATTAGCTGGGGCTGAGCTCGGTGGCTCAGGACTGTAATCCCAGCACTTTGGGAGGCCAAGGAGAGTGGATCATCTAAAGTCAGAAGTTCGAGACCAGCCTGGCCAACATGGTGAAACCCTGTCTCTACTAAAACTACAAAAATTAGCCGGACATGCTGGTGGGTGTCTGTAATCCCAGCTACTCAGGAGGCTGAGGCAGGAGAATCACTTGAATTCGAGAGGCAGAGGTTGCAGTGAGCCGAGATGAGGCCACTGCACTTCAGCCTAGGAGACAGATCAAAACACTGTGTCAAAAAAAAAAAAAAATTAGCTGGGCATGGTGGCATGTGCCTGTAGTTGTAGCTCCTCAGGAGGCTGAAGCAGGAGGATCTCTTGAGCCCAGGAGTTCAAGGCTGCAGTGAGTGCCACTGCACTCCAGCCTGAGTGGCAGAAAAAGACCTTGTCTCAAAAAATAAAAATAAAAAATAAAAAATTAGGATATTAGTTGTATTAGGCCATTCTTGTGTTGCTATAAAGAAATACCTGGAACTGGGTAATTTATATAAAAAAAAAGAGGTCTTATTGGCTCACAATTCTGCAGGCTGTACAGGAAGTGTGGCACTGGCATCTGCTAGGCTTTGGGAAAGCTTTAGGGAGCATTTTAACTCGTGGAAAAAGGCAAAGTGGGAGCAGGTGTCTCACATGGCGGGAGCAGGAGTGAGGAAATAGAAAGGGCAGGGGAAGGTGCCACACTTTACAACAACCAGATCTTGTGAGAACTCACTATCACGAGGACAGCACCAAGCCATGAAGGGATCCACCCCATAACCCAAATACCCCACCAGGCCCCACCTCCAACATTGGGGATTAAAATTCAACATAAGATTTGGGTGGGGACAAATTTCCAAATTATTTCATTAATTAAATAAATCAGGGTAGGGCGTGGTGGCTCACGCCTGTAATCCCAGCACTTTGGGAGGCCGAGGCAGGCGGATCATGAGGTCTGGAGTTCAAGACCATCCTGGCCAACATGGTGAAACCCTGTCTCTACTAAAAATACAAAAAATGAGCCAGACGTGGTGGCATGCACCTGTAGTCCCAGCTGCTCGGGAGGCTAAGGCAGGAGAATCCCTTGAACCTTGGAGGCGGAGGTTGTTGCAGTGAGCCGAGATCACACCACTGCACTCCAGCCTGGTGACAGCGCGAGACTGCATCTCAATAAATAAATAAATAAATAAATAAATCGTGGTGCATTCATACAATAGAATACTGTGTGGCCTTTAAAAATGATAATGTAAATTGTATTTATTGATGTGATTAGATGTTCATGATAGAATCTTTAGTAAAAATAGGCAGTTACTAAAAAGTATGATGGGGCCAGGCGCAGTGTCTCACGCCAGTAATCCCAGCATTTTCAGAGGCCAAGGCGGGCAGATCACCTGAGGTCAAGAGTTCGAAACCAGAGCTGGCCAACATGGTGAAACCCTGTCTCTAATAAAAATACAAAAATTAGCCAGGTGTGATGGTGGGTGCCTGTAATCCCAGTTACTCAGGAGGCTGAGGCAGGAGACTCGCTTGAACCCAGGAGGGGGAGGTTGCAGTGAGCCAAGATCGCACCACTACACTCCAGCCTGGCAACAGAGCAAGACTCCATCTCAAAAAAAAAAAAAAAAATTTTTTTAAAGTATGATAGTAAGATACTAGGTCTTCTATTTTAATAGTATGTAATATTGATATATAAATGCATAAAAAAACTGCAAGGATAAATACAAAGCTATTTACTATGAGTTGTTTTGGAGGTCCTTAATATTTTACTCTACATGATTCTATATCATCTTAAAATTTTGCGAGGCCATGGTGATACACACCTGTAATCCCAGCTGCTTGGGAAGCTATGGTGGGAGGATTGCTTGAGCCCAGGAGTTCGAAACCAGTCTGGGCAACAATAGCAAGACCCACCCCCCTCTTAATTAAAATATTTTTTAAAGTATTTTATGAAGATGTACTCATAAGCTGGGCGCAGCGGCTCACGCCTGGAATCCCAGCAGTTTGGGAGGCTGAGGCAGGCAGATCACCTGAGGTCAGAAGTTCGAGACCAGCCTGACCAACATGGAGAAACCCTGTCTCTACTAAAAATACAAAAAATTAGCCCGGTGTGGTGGAGCATGCCTGTAATCCTAGCTACTCAGGAGGCTGAGGCAGGAGAATCCCTTGAACCCAGGAGGCGGGGGTTGTGGTGAGCCGAGATCGCGCCATTGCACTCCAGCCTGGGCAACAAGAGCAAAACTCCGTCTCAAAAAAAAAAAAAAAGAAAGAAAGAAAGAAAATGTACTCAGGTATCATTGCATAATTGAAGAAGTTTTAAATCAAAAAAAGGAAAAGATAGAATACCAATAGTAAATATGTGTATATGACCATACGTATATGTGCTGTAGGTAAATATACATATAAGAAGGATCAGCCAGGCACGGTGGCTCACACCTGTAATCCCAGCACTTTGGGAGGCCAAGGCAGGTGGATCATCTGAGGTCAGGAGTTCGAGACCAGCCTGGCCAACATGGTGAAACCCCATCTCTACTAAAAATACAAAAAATAGCCAGGTGTGGTGACACATGCCTGTAATCCCAGCTACTAGGGGGTGCTGAGGCAGGAGAATTGCTTGAACCCGGGAGGCGGAGGTTGCAGTGAGCTGAGATTGCGCCACTGCACTCCAGCCTGGGCAACAGAGCGAGACTTGTCTCAAAAAAAAAAAAAAAAAGCATCTGGCCAGGAGCAGTGGCTCACCCCTGTAATCCCAGCACTTTGAGAGGCCGAGTCAGGCGGATCACTTGAGGCCAGGAGTTGAAGACCAGCCTGGCCAACATGGTGAGACTTCGTGTCTACTAAAAATACAAAAGAAACTAGCCAAGCATGGTGGTACGTGCCTGTAGTCCCAGCTACTCTGGAGGCTGAGGCAGGAGAATCACTTGAACCCGGGAAGCAGAGGTTGCAGTTACCTGAGATCACACCACAGCATGCCAGCCTGGGTGACAGCAAGATCCTGTCTCAAAACAAAACAAAACAAAACAAAAACAAACAAAAAAAAACAACTAATATGAAGCTCTTAACAGTAGTTGTTCTGGATTGGAGGATTATGGATGATCTTTATGCTCCCTTTTTGCCTGTCTATATTTTCTATAATTAGCATATATTACTTTTGTAATAAGAGAATGTAATCAAGTATATTTCATTTTGAGAAAACATTACAGTGAGAAATAAAGGCCAGGAGAGAAGGACTACTCATGCTGGCTAGCCAGCCCATTATCTCTCAGTAAAGCACACCTACGTGGGAGGCCACATTTTAATCAAGAAGTTGCTTAGTGACCACAGAACCAGAGCAAAGTGCCTAGCTGGATGGCTCTAATGTCGAAAGACAGCAAGCAATGATAGCCTGATGTATCATCTCCACTGCAGTGCTAACCTGCCTGCCCTGAATGCAGACTTTAAAACACCCCAACACACCTAAAGCACCAAGAACCTGCCCTAAGATTGTTTGATCGCATTGCCCTGGATCTTCCTTGCTTGTGTATGACTTACATTCGCCTGACTGTGTCTCTGGCTGACAATAAACTCTCAGCTTCATAGCCTAGCTTTGCATCCGTTTGTGGTCTGGTGTCTGACTCTTTGTTTTAGCATTTGCCCTTGGTCTCCTTGAGGCTTAATTTGCAGCTTCTCTCTAATGAATTTCAGTTTGGACTTGCTCCTTGACTCATCCTGCTAAGCTCCTCTAGTTGCAGGAGCCCGGGTAGGGGCCCTGCCTCTCCTTGTTCCACTGCTGGGCAGGGGTAGGACGTGGGGATTCAGACTTACACCTGACAAGGCTAACTTCAGACACATTTTTTCTTTAGCTTATAACTTTCAGTTAACTTACGATCAATTCTTTTTTTTTTTTTTTTAAGACGGAGTCTCGCTCTGTCACCCAGGCTGCAGTGCAGTGGCGCAATCTCGGCTCACTGCAAGCTCCGCCTCCCGGGTTCACGCCATTCCCAGTAGCTGGGACTACAGGCGCCCACCACCGCGCCCAGCTAATTTTTTTTTTTTTTTTTGTATTTTTAGTAGAGACGGGGTTTCACCGTGGTCTCGATCTCCTGACCTCGTGATCTGCCCGCCTCAGCCTCCCAAAGTGCTGGGATTACAAGCATGAGCCACCGCGCCTGGCCTTTTTTTTTTTTTGAAACAGAGTCTTGCTCTGTTGCCCAGGCTGGAGTGCAGTGGCGCGATCTTGGCTCACTGCAACCTCCGCCTCCCGGGTTCAAGCAATTCTCCTGCCTCAGTCTCCCAACTAAGCTGGGACTACAGGTGCACGCCACAACACCCAGCTAATTTTTGTATTTTTAGTAGAGACGAGGTTTCACCACATTGGCCAGGCTGATCGCGAACTCCTGACCTCGTGATCCGCCCACCTCAGCCTCCCAAAGTGCTGGGATTACAGGCGTGAGCCACCGTGCCTGGCCTTACAATCAATTTCTTATTCTTGGCCCGGCACAGTGGCCCACATCTGTAATCCCAGCACTTTGGGAAGCCGAGGAGAGCAGATCACCTGAGGTCAGGAGTTCGAGACCAGCCTGGCCAACATGGCAAAAATCCATCTCTACTAAAAATACAAAAATTAGCTGGGCGTGGTGGCACTCGCCTGTAATCCCAGCTACTTGGGAGGCTGAGACACGAGAATCGCTTAAACCCAGGAGGCGGAGATTGCAGTGAGCCACGAAGAAAGTGCAGTTATGATGGGGAAGAGGGAGAAACCAGTGGCTGAAGAGGGGCATAATGGGGTTGAGGTGGGGGAGTGTTGGTTTTGTTTTTCAATAGTCTGGAGCAGGCTTTGAGGCAAGCTAGTTTCAAAGCAGCCTAGGGTGGTGGAAAGGGCTTGAGTTTTTCCTCATCTTGACCATGACAAGCTTTCCTCAGCTTGATCTCATCTCCGCCAGGTGGCAGGGCAGCGAGAGCCCTGGCTCAGGAGCCAGACTGCCTCCGCTCTTAGCCCAGCTCCACACTCCACAGCGTGACTTTAGCCCAGTTATTTGTGCCTCAGTCTTCTTTCAAATGGGCATAATAAGGGTACATACTCCATAGGATTGTCGACCTAAAAAGAAGCAGCTTGGGCAAAATTAATGTAAGTAGAGAGTTTATGTGGGCCAAGCTTGAAGATTGCAACCTGAGAGCAGAAAGTCAAGTTTCCCTGAATGTACACTTCAATTACTAGCAGTTACAGGTGGAGTTTTGAAGGCAAAAGTAGGGGACAAGGAGTGGACTGATGCAAAGTTGTTTGTCAGGAATTCTCATTGATTTACAGAAATAACATTGTTAAGCTACAGACTGTGGGTTGTAGTGTCTGGTGTGGCATTATTGGGTTAATTTATAGCTATTTATGGCAATAGCAAGCAATTTCAAGAGATGAATACACAGTTCAAAGTGGGGAGTAGGGCCTGATTTCAGTCTCATTTTAATGTCTCTCCCGGCCTGACCTGCATTCCTCAGATAAAAATTCTTTTCTCGGGATCATTGTAAGAAGGGAGATAGCTCCCAGCCTGGGCAACATGGCGAAACGCCGTCTCTACAAAAAATACTAAAAAATGAGCCAGGCATAGTGGCAAGTGTCTGTGGTCCCAGCTACTCGGGAGGCTGAGGTGGGTGGATTACTTGAGTCCAAGAGGCAGAGGTTGCAGTGATCTGAGATCGCACCCCTGCACGCCAGCCTGGGAGACAGAGTGAGACCCTGTCTCAAAAAAAAAAAAAAATTGCTCATGCAAAGATGCAAAGTACTTAGAACTGTGGTTGCCTGGCATGGCACATAGTAAGTACCTGCTAGGTGTGAACCGCTATTGTTGTTGCTAGCTATGTGGCCTTGGGCATGTCACTTAACCTCTCACTTTGTCATTCAACCTCTCATTTAACTTCTCATCATTCATCACTTGATTAAGGATTCAAAGTGCCTTTGCCCGTACTAGGTATTCAGCAACACTCAGTTCCCTTGGTTCTTTATATGGTAATAATAGTATTTTACATATGAACACTTACTACACTCCAGGCAGCTCATCTATTACCTTCATCATCCTAGTTAATTATCAAGACAACCATATGAGGAAGTGACATTCGGAAGCAGGTATCCCTAGTTTACAGATGAGGAAACCAGGGTCAAATAGATTGCGATTGGCCCAAGGGCGTATACGAAATGGCTGAGCTGAGATTTTACAATCCTATTTCTTTTTCAAATACTGACACTGGAGTGGGTGATGACCAGTTGTTACTAAATCCAGTGGCTAATCCTTTATTGCTACATGGTTTAAACCGATTGTTGCTGCTAGCTGATGATGAAAGGCTTTGTAGCCTTCCTCCGAGTGGGAACACTTTGCTGCCCCCTTGTGACTCACCAAGTTTCTGCCTCCAGGTTCCCCGTTATTTGAAAAAATAAACAAATAAATAAAAGGCCCGGTGCTGCGACACACGCCTGTAATCCCAGTACTTTGGGAGGCCGAGGCAGGCGGATCATGAGATCAGGAGTTCGAGACCAGCCTGGCCAACACAGTGAAACCCTGTCTCTAATAAAAATACAAAAATTAGCTGGGCGTGGTGGCACGCACCTGTAGTCCCAGCTACTTGAGAGGCTGAGGCAGGAGAATTGCTTGAACCCGGGAGGTGGAGGGTGCAGTGAGCTGAGATTGCACCACTGCACTCCAGCCTAGCAACACAGCGAGACTCTGTCTCAAAAAAAACTTTTTTTTAAAATTAACTATCTTTTCTGGTACAGTAATTTCCCTCCAGAAAAGGTGTTGAGGTGTTGCCTGGGAGAGGCAAGGGAAACATGATTGGAGTTGAATTTTGTTTTGTTTTGTTTTGTTTTAATATAGAGGAGAAAATATAGGTGTCTCTCTTTTTTATTCTTTCTTTCTTTTTTTTTTTTTTTTTTTTTTTTGAGATGGAGTTTTGCTCTTGTTGCCCAGGCTGGAGTGCAATGGTGCGATCTTGGCTCACTGCAACCTCCACCTCCTGGGTTCAAGCGATTCTCCTGCCTCAGCCTCCTGAGTAGCTGGGATTACAGGCATGCGCCACCATGCCCAGCTAATTTTGTACTTTTAGTAGAGACGGGGTTTTTCCATGTTCGTCAGGCTGGTCTCAAACTCCCGACCTCAGGTGATCCGCCCACCTCAGCCTCCCAAAGTGCTGGGATTACAGACATGAGCCACCGTGCCCGGCCTAAATATAGGTGTCTCTTACAGCAACTAGGGGCTTCACAAAGGTGGCGACAGTGGGCTCTGGTCTTGAGGGATGACTAAAAGTTTTCCAGGCAGGCTAGGAAGGGGAAGGACATTCTGAGCAGAGGGAACAGCATGGGCAAAAGCACGGAGATGTGATGGAGCATCTCGGGATTTTAAGCGAGGAGAGCAACATGCTTAGATTCATTCATTCTCTGATTCAACACATATGTGTCACATACTGTGCTGGGTGGTGACAATGACGGTAGTGAAAAACACCAAGTCCCTAAAATTATGGAGCTTACTTTCTAGGGAGGTAGATTTGAAGCAAATGCAAGTACGAGATGCCTCTGGATAAAAACAAAGCAGGGGATGGGAACAGAGAGGGACCAGAGGGTGTTATTTTCAACAGGGTGGTCAGGGAGGCCTTCCCTGAGCAGGTGACATTGGAGCAGGACTGAATGAAGTGGGGGAGCCTGCTTCATGAGTGAACTGGGAAAGATCACACGAGGCAGAGGGAACTACAGGTGCAAAGGCCCTGAGGTGGGAGAGTGTTCGGTGTGATCAAGGAGCCAGAGGCGGGGTGGTGGAGGACTGGAGCATCCTCAGTGCAGGTCGGGGTGGGGATGAAGTTGGTAGGAGAGGGAGGAGGTGAGATTGCAGAAGACTCAGTCATGTTTTCATGGAGGACCTTGTGAGCCATGGCAAGGAGTGGGGATCTCATTCTAAGAAGGGCAGGAAGTGTTTGCTGAGACTGTGTTGAGATGTGAGAGGAAAGAGAGGCATTTAGATGGCTGGCAGATTTTCACCCAAGCAACTAGGAAGACTTCACTATGGATGGGCTAAGTTTGAGAAGCTTATTAGAGCTCCAAGGGGAGCTGTCAGCAGGCTGCTGGACAGCAGCTGGATCTGTGTGTCTGGAATTCAGAGGAAGGATCGGAGCAGCAGGCGTCTGTGCAGAGGGGTCATTGAAAGACCTGGATGAGATGAGATTCTCAAGGGAGCGAGTACATAGAGACAAGTGGACGAGGTCCGAGCCCCATGGCTCCCCAATCTCCAGACTCTAGAGGATGGAGCCAGCAGGACCAGCAGAAGGAAGGCACTGAGGAATGACTGACTGGCTAGGGAGCTCAAAGGAAAACCAGGAGAGCTGGGTGTCCCAGAAGCCAAGGGAAGCAGGAGTTGCAAGGAGGATGGGGTGATCGACAATGTCCAATGCTGCTGAGAGGGTCCAGTAAGGTGAGGACTCAGACCCAACTGCTGGATTTGACAGCATAAAGGGAGGGCATGGATGACCTTGGTACACTCTAGCTTCATGGGCATGTGATCTGTGTAGTGGGACAGGGCCCCACTCTTAGCAGGGTCCTGCAATTGGTCTAATGCACTTCTGAGACCCTGTTGAATTTTTTTTTTTTTAAGACAGAGTCTCACTCTGTCGCCCAGGCCGGAGTGCAGTGGAGCAATCTCAGCTCACTGCAACCTCCGCCTCCCAGGTTCAAGCGATTCTCCCGCCTCAGCCTCCTGAGTAGCTGGGATTACAGGCATGTGCCACCAGACCCAGCTAATTTTTGTATTTTTGGTAGAGACAGGGTTTCACCATCTTGGCCAGACTGATCTTGAACTCTTGACCTTGTGATCCACCTGCCTCGGCCTCCCAAAGTGCTGGGATTACAGGAGTGAGCCACCGTACCCAGCCCTGTTGAAATTCTTAATACCTTTCTGCAGTGAGTTGAATATGGAACCTCTCTCAAAACATATATCCATCCAGAATGTGACCTTATTTGGAAAAGGGGTCTTTGCAGATGTAATTAAGGTAAAAATGTTATGACGAGATTGTATTGGATTAGGGCAAGCCCTAAATCCAATGACAGGTGTCCTAATAAGGGAAAAGAAAGGGAAAAGACACAGAGAGGTGACATAAAGACATAGGCAGAGGCCGGGCACCGTGGCTCACACCTGTATTCCCACCACTTTGGGAGACTGAGGTGGGCGGATCATCTGAGGTCAGGAGTTCGAAAACAGCCGGGCCAACATGGTGAAACCCCGTCTCTACTAAAAATACAAAAACTTAGCCAGGCGTGGTGGTGGGTGCCTGTAGTCCCCGCTACTCAGGAGGCTGAGGCAGGAGAATGAAGTGAACCCGGGAGGTGGAGCTTGCAGTGAGCCAAGATCGTGCCACTACACTACAGCCTGGGTGAATCCATCTCAAAAACAAAAACAAAAACAAAAAACAAAAAACAAAAACAAAACAAAAAAAAAATTAGCTGGACGTGGTGGCACATGCCTGTAATCACAGCTACTCGGGGGGCTGAGACAGGAGAATCACTTGAACCCTGGAGGCGAAGGTTGCAGTGAACTGAGATCGCGCCACTGCGCTCCAGTCTGGGCGACAGAGTGAGACTTTGTCTCGAAAAAAAAAAAAAGACAAAGGCAGAGATTGGAGTGATGCATCTACAAGCCAAGGAGCATGAAGGATTGCTTGCAGCCATCAGAAGCTTGAAAGGAGGCCGGGTGTGGTGGCTCACGCCTATAATCCCAGCACTTTGAGAGGCCAAGGCGGGTGGATCACTTGAGGTCAAGAGTTCGAGGCCAGTCTGGCCAATATGGTGAAACCCTGTCTTTACTAAAAATACAAAAATTAGCTGGGCGTGACAGCGCATGCCTGTAATCCCAGCTCTTCAGGACGCTGAGGCAGGAGAATCGCTTGAAGCTGGGAGGCGGAGGTTGCAGTGAGCCGAGATCCTGCCATTGCACCCCAGCCTGGGTGAGAGAAAGACTCTGTCGCAAAAAAGAAAAAAAAAAAGAGGCCGGATGCAGTGGCTCACGCCTGTAATCCCAGCCCTTTGGGAGGCCAAGGTGGGCAGATCACGAAGTCGGGAGATCGAGACCATCCTGGCTAACACGGTGAAACCCCGTCTCTACTAAAAATACAAAAAAAATTAGCCGGGCGTAGTGGCGGGCGCCTGTAGTCCCAGCTACTCAGGAGGCTGAGGCAGGAGAATGGCATGAACTGGGGAGGTGGATCTTGCAGTAAGCCGAGATCGCACCCGTGCCACTGCACTCCAGCCTGGGTGACAGAGCGAGACCACGTCTTAAAAAAAAAAAAAAAAGGCCGGGCGCAGTGGTAATCCCAGCACTTTGGGAGGCCTAGACAGGCGGATCACGAGGTCAGGAGATCCAGACCATCCTGGCTAACACGGTGAAACCCCGTCTCTACTGAAAGTACAAAACAATTAGCCGGGCGTGGTAGCGGGCGCCTGTAGTCCCAGCTACTCGTTAAGGCTGAAGCAGGAGAATGGCGTGAACCCGGGAGGCAGAGCTTGCAGTGAGCCAAGATAGCGCCACTGCACTCTAGCCTGGGTGACAGAGCGAGACTCCGTTTCAAAAAAAAAAAGTGTTCACATCCAAGTTCTCATTTGATCCTTCCAAAAGGCCTATGAGGTAATAAAGTAATTCCTTTCATGTCCATTTTTCAGATGACAAAATGGAGGTTCAGAGAGGTTAAGTAATCACTCAAGGTCACACAGCCAGTGACCAGCAGACCTAGAACTCCGATCACAATAAGATCTTTACCCCTCTTCGTGGCTGCCCATTTTAGCCAGCTTTTTTTTTTTTTTTTTTTTTTAGACGAAGTCTCACTCTAGCCCAGGCAGGAGTGCAGTGGCATAACCTCAGCTCACTGCAACCTCCACCTCCCGGGTTCAAGCAATTCTCGTTCCTCAGCCTCCCTAGTAGCTGGGATTACAGACACACAGCATCACGCCCAGCTAATTGTTGTATTTTTAGTAGAGACGGGGTTTCACTATGTTGGCCAGGCTGGAACTTTTGGCCTCAAGTGATCTGCTTGCCTTGGCCTCCAAAAGTGCTGGGATCACAGGTGTGAGCCACCTCACCCAGCCTTTAGCCAGCTTTTGACGCACAACGAGTGGGGGTAGCAAATTCTTGGGCATGTCCGCTTACAAATGTGGAACCCAATGTTTCTATGTGGGGTGGTGGTGGGGAGGTGGCTGCTCCTCTAGCAACAGTGATCCAGGCCAGCCCTTGGCAGGACTTCCTCACCAGAGTCGGCTGCAAAGCCAGCCAGCTGGCAGCCGGCCAGGCTCATAGAGTGAACCCACTTGGAGCCGAGAGCCCCACAGAGGGCACAGCAGGGGCATGAGGTCCAACAAACTCAGGCTGTGTGTGCTTCTGCCCCAGAGAATACAACGGCACTGGGAGAGACAGCAGCCACAGCTTCCCGAGAAGCACTGGAATCCTAGGAGCGGCTGCCGGGCAGGGGCAGGCAAGGCAGACAGATGGAAGAGTGCCCAGGCTGCATCATGGTAGCAGTTTGAGGTTCTGTTGAAGGAGGGAAGTGACAAGCTGGGCTGAGTGACAGGCATGGATGAGAGGGCAGACCAGGCTCTGGAGAAAACAGCACATGAACCCATCTTTAGTGACAGTGAACTGAGCAGAGAAATGTCACTTTCAGGCCTGGAAATGGCCAGGGAGGCATAATAGTGACTCCTGCAGGGGGCTTCTCCTCAACCGGGAGCTGGGCGTCCAGGGCAAGGTGGCCAGGCTTGTGCCATCTCAACTACTTGGGAACAAATAGACTTGGCACTCTATGTTTAGCCACCAAAGTCAAGACCAGGAGCCCCGAAGTCCCATCCCCCAAGGAGCTGAGGAGCCCAGATGCTAGAAAGAGGGCCACAGGATGAGCAGGGCCAGCAGCTGCCTGGCAGGACATCTGTCACAGCCCATTGGGCAGCAACCAAGAGGAGTGCGGAGGCTACGCGGCCCCATTTGCTGAAGGGGAGGGCTGCAGACTGCTCATCTGGGAGAGGGACAGATGAACCCAGAGCCAGCCAAGGAGGTCACAGCCCAGTCAGATCACAAAACAAAACAAACCAAACCCAGCTCTCATTAACTGAAGCTTGGCACATGCTGGGCATTGTGTGATGTGCTGTCTTTGGAAGAGCTGCCTTAATTCGTAGGATAGCTAAAGTGTAATTATTATGTGATTACACCTTATTATGTAATTATTAGACAGAACCCACTTGGAGCTGAGAGCCCCACAGAGGGCACAGCAGGGGCGTGAGGTCCAACAAGCTCAGGCTGTGTGTGCTTCTGGCCCAGAGAAGACGACAGCGCTGGGAGAGACAGCAGCCACAGTTTCTCTAGAAACACTAGAATCCCAGGAGCAGCTGCTGGGCAGGGGCAGATGAGGGGGCAGGTGTCATTATCATGACCTCCACTTTATAGATGGGGAAGCTCAGGTACAAAGAAGTAAAGTGCCTTATATAAGTCACGTAGTTAAGTCTTCAGGCTGAGATTCAAACCAGGTCTGTCTAACTTTAAAGCCTGTTTTGTTCACTCTCCCTGGCAGGGCTATTATAACCATTACATGAAATAAAATATGATATTAGTAATAGTGAAGGCAGCCGGGCATGGTGGCTCACGCCTGTAATCCCAGCTAAGATGGGCGGATCACGAGGTCAGGAGATCCAGACCATCCTGGCCAACATGGTGAAACCCCATCCCTACTAACTTACAAAAAAAAAAAAAAAAAAAATTAGCCAAGCATGGTGGCGCAGTCCTGCAGTCCCAGCCACTCAGGAGGCTCAGTGAGGCAGGGGAATCGCTTGAACCCGGGAGGCAGAGGTTGCAGTGAGCCAATATTGCACCATTGCATTCCAGCCTGGCGACAGAGCAAGACTCTGTGTCAAATAAATAAATAATAGTGAAGGCCAGGTGCGGTGCCTCACGAGTGTAATCCCAGCACTTTGGGAGGCTGAGGCAGGCGGATCATTTGAGATCAGGAGTTCAAGAGCAGCCTGGACAACATGGCGAAACCCCATCTCTACTAAAAATACATAACTTAGCCGGACCCCAGGAGGTGGAGTTTGCAGTGGGCTGAGATCGCACCACCGCACTCCAGCCTGAGTGACAGAGCAAGACTCTGTCTCAAGAAAATAAAAAATAAAAAAAAGAAAGAAATGGGCCAGGTGCAGTGGCTCACGTCTGTAATCCCAGCACTTTGGGAGGCTGAGGCAGGCAGATCACTTGAGGCCAGGAGTTCAAGACCAGCCTGGGCAACATGGTGAAACCCCATCTCTACTAAAAATATAAAAATTCACTGGGTGTGGTCGCGGGTGCCTGTAATCTCAGCTACTCGGGAGGCTGAGGCGGGAGAATCCCTTGAACCTGGTTGGTGGAGGCTGTAGTGAGCCAAGATTGTGCCACTCCACTGCACTCCAGCCTGGGTGACAGAGTGATACTCCATCTTAAAAAAAAAAAAATGGCAGGGCGCAGTGGCTCATGCTTGTAATCCCAGCACTTTGGGAGGCCGAGGCGGGCAAATTACCTGAGGTTGGGAGTTCAAGACAAGCCTGACCAACATGGAGAAACCCTGTCTCTACTAAAATACAAAAATTAGCCGGGCGTGGTGGCACGCGCCTGTAATCCCAGCTACTAGGCTACTTGGGAGGCTGAGGGAGGAGAATCGCTTGAATCCGGGAGGTGGAGGTTGCGGTGAGCCGAGATCGCACCATTACACTCCAGCCTGAGCAACAAGATCGACACTCCGTCTCAAAAAAAAAAAAAAAAAAAAAAAGAATCTTCTAACCTAAAAGTTGGAAAAGCCCCTAGAAGTGATGTACTCCAACCCTCTTTTGTATGCAGGAATTCCTCCATGCAGCCTCCAAGAAAATACTGATCCAGTCTCTGCTTAAGTATCTCCAGTGATGAGGAACTTACTATTTCCCAAAGCAGCCATTTACATTTTAAGATTCCTATCATGGTTAGATAGCTCTTAATGGAACTGCGCCAAAATCTGCTTCTTTGTCAATTTCACCCAGGGGACCAGGCTCTGTGCTGTGGGACCACAGAGACGCACAGTAATATCAACTGTCAGGTGCTTTGAAGATTTCAAGCACTCTCCTTTTTTTTTTTCTTTTTTTTTTGAGACGGAGTCTCTCTCTGTCGCCCCAGGCTGGAGTGGAGTGGCGTGATCTCAGCTCACTGCAAGCTCTGCCTCCCGGGTTCACGCCATTCTCTGGCCTCAGCCTCCCAAGTAGCTGGGACTACAGGCGCCCACCATCGCGCCCGGCTAATTTTTTTTTGTATTTTTAGTAGAGACGGGGTTTCACCGTGGTCTCGATCTCCCGACCTTGTGATCTGCCTGCCTCAGCCTCCCAAAGTGCTGGGATTACAGGCGTGAGCCACCGCGCCCGGCCTCAAGCACTCTTTTACAGACCACCCCCCACCACCACTGACCTCACAACACACAGTGAGGAAGGTATTGTCCTCCCCATTGCACCAATGAAGAAATTGAGGCTCAGGGAGACGAGATGACTTACCAAAGGGAGCAGGCCTAGTAAGGTGCAGAACTGTGAATTCAGCTGAGGGTTCCTGAGTCCAAAGCCCACACTCTTTCTACACCTCCTCTCTTCCTTGAGTCCCCTCCCTCTCCCCCATGGGCCAGCTCTTCAGTTTTTTAAAGGCAGCTCTCATGTTCCTCATGAGTCTTCTCCTCCTCAGCTAAACATTCCCAGGGCTTTCAACCATTTCTTATCAGGAGTCCCATCACTCCAAAAGCTGGATGGGCTCCAGAAACTGAGCACAATATTCCAGGTGGAGTCTGGCCGGTCCTGTGCAGAGCAGACCTCTTGTGCCCTCTCCCCTTTGCTCTGGACACTGTACTGCCATTCCTGCAGCCTGTGTTGGTAGGAATCAAATTCCTGTATTGGTAATAAAGTCTCATCAATCTGTCGACTTACTTATTTTTCACTCATAAATATGAATAATTTGCATGTAAGTTTGGTCTCTTGTTCCTTTGCAAAATCTTCAGTCCCCAGGAGCCCTGAGAAACAAGTGTTATATGAGCACAGAAGGAGATGCATGAGGCAGCCCGGACACTTAATTATACTTTGAAATGTGTGGAGAAGTGTGAAACCTACCCAGCTTGCTAGATCAGGCATGTGGGCCCTATCTGTCTTTGGAAGGAGTGCATCCTCCCTCTGGATCTCGATGAATGAAACCAAGTTGAGTTATTGCATCCGCATGGATTTCCAGCAGCTCTGAGCGTCTGGCAGACAGGAAACAAATCAAGTGACTATTCTTCCCAGACCGCTCTTGCCAAACTGGCTGTCAGGGGCCATAGGAACAGAACTCCTCATGATGCCAGCTGGCCAAGTGAAACAGTGGCCAGGGGTAGATTCTTCCCTGCACCTTAAGGGAGATGCCAAACTTCCAAAAAAATGGGAACCACCTTGTGATAGGCACTGCTGAGCGGCAGGTTTCAGGGTCTTAGTATACCCAGTAGGCAGCTCAACTGTCCTGGCGAGGCCAGGCAGGGCTCTCATGCAGAGATGGTGTGCAAATCCGTTAACAATGGCACCAGGACCAGCTGCAATGCTCTCTCTCCCTGCTGTTTGTGGGCACCATTGGCCACCCACTGAATGAACTGACCCATGGATAGTGTCTTCTTTTTTTTTTTTTTGAGATGGAGTTTCAATCTTGTTTCCCAGGTTGGAGTGCAAGGCACGATCTTGGCTCACTGCAACCTCTGCCTCCCAGGTTCAAGCGATTCTCCTGTCTCAGCCTCCCGAGTAGCCGGGATTACAGGCGCATGCCACCATGCCCGGCTAATTTTTGTATTTTTGGTAGAGATGGGGTTTCATCATATTGGTCAGGCTGGTCTCGAAATCCTGACCTCAGGTGATCCACCTGCCTCGGCCTCCCAAAGTGCTGGGATTACAGGCATGAGCCACTGCACCTGGCCTGGATAGTGTCTTCTCTTGAGAGCCCGTGCTCAGCTTGAGATCCCCCTTGTACCCTCTACCAACCTGCACAAAACCCCCAGCACATCAAAGGGACCACACTGTTAGCAAACTAATTGTGAGAGACTGCCCACACCTGCCTTGATAAGTGGAAACAGAAACAGGGTTTGGCCACAGAATGCACAGGTGACAATGAAAGACTCAGTGCCAGAAAAGGCACAGGCCCTTTTTCTTGATTTCCAGATGACAACAAAGTACAATACAAAAATACAACCGACGGCCAGGCACGGTGGCTCACGCCTGTAATCCCAGCACTTTGGGAGGCCGAGGCAGGCGGATCACGAGGTCAGGAGATCGAGACCATCCTGGCTAACATGGTGAAACCCTGTCTCTACTAAAAATACAAAAAATTAGCCTGGCGTGGTGGCGGGCGCCTGTAGTCCCAGCTACTCGGGAGGCTGTGGCAGGAGAATGGTGTGAACCCGGGAGGCAGAGCTTGCAGTGAGCCGAGATAGCACCACTCCACTCCAGCCTGGGCGACAGAGCAAGACTCTGCCTCAAAAAAAAAAAAAAAAAAAAAGCAACTGACAATGTTTCATATTGAAATCTCTCCAGACTCTGCCCATTTTAAGTGTGAACAATGTTCACATGAACCCAGCCCATATAAGAGTCACTCAAATATGGAGGCTGACAATTGACAAATAGCACCAACCTGGAGGCTTCAGGTAATTTAGAGAGATGCCACAAGCCCAGTTAGAAGGCTATTTTCCTGGCCGGGTGCAGTGGCTCACGCCTGTAATCCCAGCACTTTGGGAGGCCGAGGCAGGCGGATCACCTGAGGTCATGAGTTTGAGACCAGCCTGGTCAACATGGTGAAATCCCATCTCTATTAGAAAAACAATTAAAAAAAACAAAAAATTAGCCGGGCGTGGTGGCAGGTGCCTGTAGTCACAGCTACTTGGGAGGCTGAGGCAGGAGAATCACTTGAACCCAGGAGGTGGAGGTTGCAGCAAGCCGAGATCGCACCACTGCACTCCAGCCTGGGCAGCAGAGTGAACCACCGTCTCAAAACAAACAAACAAACAAACAAACAAACAAACAAAAAAGGCCTGGTGTAGTGGCTCACACCTGTAATCTCAGCACTTTGAGAGGTCAAGGTGGGCAGATCATGAGGTCAGGAGTTCAAGACCAGCCTGGCCAACATAGTGTAACCCCGTCTCTACTAAAAAGTATAAAAATTAGCCTGGCATGGTGGTGCATACCTGTAGTCCCAGCTACTAGGGAGGCTGAGGCAGGAGAATCGCTTGAACCTGGGAGGCGGAGGTTGTGGTGAGCTGAGATCACGTCACTGCACTCCAGCCTGGGCAACAGAGTGAGACTCTATCTCAAAAAAAAAAAAAGACTATTTTCCCTTGTTTATTTCACACAAGAGGGGCCACCATGAAACGTAAGGCTCAGATGGCAGAGTTGAGTGTGCTACCAGGAAAAGTCTCCAAGATAAGAATCCTCACTACTATCAGGCTCCCTCATGTCTGAGATCCCTACCATTAGAACCACTCCTTTGGGTTAAGGCATTGAAGGCCCCAATCACAAGACAAATATTTCAGTGTATGAGCTATTGACTCAACATGTGACTCTTGAGCCACACTGCCTGGGGTTGAATCCCAACTCTACCAGATACTAGTTGTGCAATCTTGAGCAAGTCACTTAACCTCTCAAATTCTTTGAGCCTTAATTTTCTCATCTGTAAAATAGAGGTAATAAGGGAACCTACCCATAAGGCTATTTTGAGGAGTGATATGATTTGGCTGTGTCCCCACCCAAATCTCATCTTGAATTGTACCTCCCACAATTCCCACGTGTCGTGGGAAGAACCTGGTGGGAGGTAATTGAATCATAGGGGCAGGTGTTTCCCGTGCTGTTCTCATGATAGTGAATAAGTCTCGTGAGATCTGATGGTTTTAAAAATGTGAGTTTCCCTGCACAAGCTCTCTTCTCCTGTCTGCTGCCATGTGAGACATGCCTTTCACCTTCCACCATGATTGTGAGGCCTCCCCAGCCATGTGGAACTGTAGGTCCATTAAACCTCTTTTTTCTTTTTCTTTCTTTTTTTTTTTTTTTTTTAGATGGAGTCTCATTCTGTCACCCAGGCTGGAGTGCAGTGGCGTGATCCTGGCTCACTACAACCTCCACCTCCCAGGTTCAAGCAATTCTCCTGCCTCAGCCTCCCAAGTAGCTGAGATCACAGGCATGTACCACCATGCCCTACTAATTTTTGTATTTTTAGTAGAGATGGGGTTTTGCCATGTTGGCCAGGGTGGTCTCAAACTCCTGATCTCAGGTAATCCTTCCACCTCGGCCTCCCAAAGTGCTGGGATTACAGGTGTGAGCTACCACTCCTGGCCTAAACATCTTTTTCTTCTCAGTCTCAAGTATGTCTTTATCAGCAGGGTGAAAATGGACTAATAAAAGGAATTAATAGTACATATAAATACAAATGAGCTAATGAATTAATACATATAATACATATAAACTTGGAGCAGTAGCTGGCACATAGAAAGCTGTTATCAGGCCGGGCACAGTGGCTCACGCCTGTAATCTCAGCACTTTGGGAGGCCGAGGCGGGCAGATCACGAGGTCAAGAGATGGAGACCATCTTGGCCAACATGGGGAAACCTCCTCTTTACTAAAAATACAAAAATTAGCTGGGCGTAGCGGCACACGCCTGTAATCCCAGTTACTCAGGAGACTGAGGCATGATAATTGCTTGAACCTGGGAAGTGGAGGTTGCAGTGAGCCAAGATAGTGCCAGTGCATTACAGCCTGGGTGACAGAGGGAAGCCCTGTCTCAAAAAAAATAAAAAAGAAAAAGGCCAGGCGCGGTGGCTCATGCTTGTAATCCCAGCACTTTGGGAGGCCGAGGCAGGCGGATCACGAGGTCAGGAGATCGAGACCATCCTGGCTAACACGGTGAAACCCCGTCTCTACTAAAAATACAAAAATTTAGCTGGGTGTGGTGGCGGGCACCTGTAGTCCCAGCTACTCCGGAGGCTGAGGCAGGAGAATGGCGTGAACCCAGGAGGTGGACCTTGCAGTGAGCCAAGATCGTGCCACTGCACTCCAGCCTGGGCGACAGAGCGAGACTCCGTCTCAAAAAAAAAAAAAGAAAAAGAAAGAAAAAAAGAAAAAGAAATCAGGAATCAGGCCGGGTGCAGTGGCTCATGCCTGTAATCCTAGCACTTTGGGAGGCCAAGGCAGGAGGATCCCTTGAACCCAGGAGTTTAAGACAACCCTGGGTGACATAGTGAGACCCTTGTCTCTACAAAACAATTTAAAAATTAGCCGGGCCTGGTAGCTCAAGCCTATAGACCCAGCTACTCGGGAGGCTGAGATTTGAGGATTGCTTGAGCCCAGGAGGTTGAGGCTGCAGTGAGCCATGATGTGTCACTGCACTCCAGCCTGGGTGACAGAGAAAGACCCTGTCTCAAAAAAAGAAAAAAGAAATCAGCACCCCCTAACCAAAAAAATAAATAAATAAATAAAGCAAATACCACAAAGGCCTACTTAAAGTATGATTCCTATTCACTATTTTGTTTATTTGTTTGTTTTTTGTTTTTTTTTTTGAGACAGAGTCTCGCTCTGTCGCCCAGGCTGGAGTGCAGTGGCCCGATCTTGGCTCACTGCAGGCTCTGCCTCCCGGATTCTCCTGCCTCAGCCTCCCGAGTAGCTGAGACTACAGGCGCCCGCCACCACGCCTGGCTTTTTTGTTTGTTTGTTTGTTTTGTATTTTTAGTAGAGACGGGGTTTCACCTTGTTAGCCAGGATGGTCTCATTCTCCTGACCTTGTGATCCGCCCGCCTCGGCCTCCCAAAGTGCTGGGATTATAGGTGTGAGCCACCACGCCTGGCCCCATTCACTATTGTTAATAATAAATGCACTTTAAGTGGATAATTTGCCTTGAGAGATTAGCTAATAATAGTACGAAGCCATTAGGATTAATGAGAGCTTTAAAATCTAAGCCTCTACAAGGTGGATGCATCACGAAACTACAGTGGGAGACGTCCAGATGATGGCTGCTTTTCGTGGCAGTTTGGAAGCATATCCACAAATTATTTGACACTCCTCCTTTTGAGAGGAGGAATCTATATGCCATTCCCTCGAATCTGAGCAGCCGACAGAGTATGGTAGAGGAGATGCTGCCTAACTTCCAAAGCTATGTCATAAACCGCGGGCAGTGGCTGCCTCAAGTGTCCTGGCCAGCAGCCCTCAGCTGAGGTCCCAGCCAGCAGCCAGCAGCAAATGACAGACATGTGAGGAAATACATCTCCAGAGGATCCCACCCCAACCAGTGTCAAGTCACCCCCAGCTCTCACATCTTCCCAGTCAATGTGCCAGACATCATGGAGCGGATGCTAGTCATCCCCTTGTGCCCTGTCTAAATTCTTGACCTCCAGAATTCATGAGCATAAGAAAATAGTTATTTTTCACCACTAAGTTTTGGGATGAGGCCGGGCGCAGTGGCTCATGGCTATAATCCTATAATCCCAGCACTTTGGGAGGCTGAGGCATGTGCATCACCTGAAGTCAAGAGTTCGACACCAGCTTTTGCAACATGGTGAAATCTCGTCTCTACTAAAAATACAAAAATTAGCTGAGTGTGGTGGCATGCACCTGTAGTCCCAGTTACTTGCAGGGCTGAGGTGGGGAGGATCACTTGACCCCGGGAAGTGGAGGTTGCAGTGAGCCGAGATTTTGCCACTGCACTCCATCCTGGGCAACAGAGCAAGATTCTGTCTCAAAAAAAAAAAAAGTTTTAGGATGATTTTTTACACAGCAGTAGGAACTAGAAGGGTAGTGGCAGAGAGGGGCCACAAAAGAGGCTTCTGGGTGCTGTGATATTCTATGTCTTGATCTGGGTGCTAGTTACACAAGTGTGTTCAATTTGTAATGACCAGCCTGGCCAACATGGTAAAACCTCGTCTCTACTAAAAATACAAAAATTAGCTGGGCGTGGTAGCGGGTGCCTGTGATCCCAGCTACTCGGAAGGCTGAGGCAGGAGAATCGCTTGAACCCAGGAGGCAGAGGTTGCAGTAAGCCGAGACTGCACCATTGCACTCCAGCCTGGATGACAAGAGCAAAAACTCTGTCTCAAAACAAAGCAAAACAGAAAACCGTGTCAAGCTATACACTTATTTGTGCATTTTTTTATGCACGTCACCATATTTTAAAACTTTACATTAACAAACCCTGGATATACAGAACATAAAGACACGTCTCTGCTATTTTTTCAGCAATGCCAAAAGTCATGTGATTTTCAAAACAGTACTTTATTAGATCTCACTGAACGGAAAGACACATGTTTAGAAGCTTCATTCGAAGTTTGTTACTTAATAACAAAAAACAAAAGTTCATAGATCCCCTTGAGGAAGCAGTTGTTTTTACTATCTTAGTAAACATGGTCAAAATAGTTCATTTGAAACAAAGTGGTAATAAACTCTAACACATTTATTTGTCAGTAAATACCATTGGAAGGCATCTAGCTAACATTGCCGAAGATTTGAACAAACTATGAGTAAATGATACAGTGTAGGAAGTTTTCTGTACAGTTGGACAAAACTTTTTCAGCATTTTCAGCTTTGTATTTGCTAGATACTGTTTCAATAATAAAATCCACAAAGAATTTATTTATTTATTTTGAGATAAGAGTCTCCCTCTGTCACCCAGGCTGGAGTATAGTGGCAGCATTGTAGCTCACTGCAGCCTTTAACTCCTGGGCTCAGGCGATCCTCCCACTTGAGCCTTCTGAGTAGCTGGGACCACAGGCGCATGCCACCACTCCAGGCTATTTTTATTTTTTAATTTTTTGTAGTGACAGGGTCTCGTTTTGTTGCCCAGGCTTATCTCAAACTCCTGGCCACAAGTGATACTCCCACCCCAGCCTCCCAGAGTGTTCGGATTACAGGTGTGAGTCACCATGCCCAGCCAAAAAACTACTTTTTTGTGTGTGGTCTACCAAAGGAGAAATGTAAAGGAGAAGATATATTATGAACACAAAGTGACTTGTTTACTTTTGTAACATCTTATAGGAAAACTGGAAATAAAGATTTTTACACTGATGAAGTGCTACTCTGACAGGAAACTTTCCAAAAGTGGGGGTGGATTTCAAGGTAACTTTACTGAGAAAGTTGGCGAGCTATCACAGCAAAGATATTGAAGCCTGAAATGTACAAAGTGCTATAGGATTCATTAATCTGGTTAACGGTATAAAAATAAGACTTTTTTTTTTTTGGAAACAGGGTCTCACTCTGTTGCCAAGGCTGGAGTACAGTAGCACAATGTCGGGTCACTGCAACCTCTGCCTCTGGGTTCAAGTGATTCTCCTGCCTCAGCCTACCAAATAGCTGAAATTACAGGCACGTGCCACCAAGCCCAGCTAATTTTTGTATTTTTAGTTGAGACAGGGTTACTCCTTGTTGGCCAGGCTGGTCTCAAACTCCCGACCTCAAATGATCTACCCTCATCGGCCTCCCAAAGTGCTGCGGTTACAGGCATGAGCCACCGTGCCTGGCAAAATAAGACTTGATATACAGTAATTTTTTTTTTTTTTTAGACAGTCTCACTCTTTCGCCCAGGCTAGAGTTCAGTGGTGTGATCTCAGCTCACTGCAACCTCCACCTCCCAGGCTCATGCAATTCTCCTGCCTCAGTCTCCCAAGTAGCTGGGACCACAGGTGCGTGTCACCAGGCCCGGCTTTTTTTTTTTTTTTTTTTTTGTATTTTTAGTAGAGATGGGGGTTTCACCATGTTGGCCAGGCTGGTCTCAAACTCCTGACCTCAGGTGATCCTCCCTCCTTGGCCTCCCAAAGTGCTGGGATTACAGGTGTGAGCCACCGTGCCCAGCCAATATACCAGTAAAATCTTTAAAGAATTCTATTATGTAAGTCCTTAAAAGAGTTTTCAAACTAAAAGATGCACTTTTTTTTCCACATAAAGATACGCATTTCAAATTTACTGACATTTTCAGGGGTGTCTTAGAGTAGTCAGAAGACTTTTTTTTTTTTTTTTTGCCGTGAGGTTTTGCTCTTGTTGTCCAGGCTGGAGTGCAATGGTGCAATCTCGGCTCATTGAAACTTCCGCCTCCCAGGTTCAAGCGATTCTCCTGCCTCAGCCTCCTGAGTAGCTGGGATTACAGGCACCTGCCACCATGCCCAGCTAATTTTTTTGTATTTTTAGTAGAGACAGAGTTTTGCCATGTTGGCCAGCCTAGTCTCAAACTCCTGGTCTCAGGTGATCCGCCAGTCTCGGCATCCCAAAGTGCTGGGATTACAGGTGTGAGCCACCGCGCCCAGCCAGGAGACTTTTAAAAAAAAATCATAATAAACACAGCCCATCCAGTTCTTCAAGATAAAGTTGATATTTTAACAATGAGTGAGAAAGTAACTGCTTTGGAAGGAAATGCAGAACAGGCAGAGAACATTTGGAAAATGGATGTTTGTGTTTTCATTGTTATGTAATTTTGTGGCCAAAAATGATGTAAGTAGCATACCTAGAAAACCTATCATATCTGCACATTTTAAAACTTCAGAATAAAAATTCCTAACCTGCTTTTTAAACATATTTCAAATGTAGAGTTTTTTGTGGGTTTTCGGCACATTTGTTAAAAACACAAAGGTGCAACAAGTACTTACCGTTTTGCAAGAACAAATGATTGCCATCAGCAAAAATGACCGTTTACCAACTGAATTTCATCAGAAACCTTTGCATAATTGGTGGGTGGAATTGAAAAACAAGAATTATGATGTACTAAGCCCAGCCAATTAAATTTTTCTTCCATTTGGAGCTGTGTATCTTTGTGAGACATCTTGCTTATGTGTGACATCCACTAAAACTGAGTGCTGCAATAAAGTAAGATCCGCACCTTCAAAGAGCTGCATTATAGTGTTAACCTAAGAACGGTCATAGTAGCCTAGCACTTTTTTTTTTTTTTTTTTGAGACGGAGTCTTGCTCTGGTGCCCAGGCTAGAGTGCAGTGGCGAGGTCTCGGCTCACTACACCTCCACCTCCTGAGTTCAAGTGATTCTCCTGCCTCAGCCTCCCGAGTAGCTGGGACAACAAGCGTGTGCCACCACACCCAGCTAATTTTTTATTTTTAGTAGAGACGGTTTTTCAACATGTTGGCCAGGCTGGTCTCGAACTTCTGACATCAGGTGATTCACCTGCCTTGGCCTCCCAAAGTGCTGGGATTACAGGTGTGAGCCACCGCACCCAGCCAGCACTTTCTAATAACAATGATGTTAGATTTTTAAAAAATGGCTAAGTAAAGTGGCTCACCCCTGTAATTCCAGTACTTTGGGAGGCCAAGGTGAGTAGATTGCTTGAGCCCAGGCGTTCGAGACCAGCCTGGGCAACATGGTGAAACTCATCTCTACAAAAAATACAAAAATTAGCCTGGCATGGTGACACACGCCTGTAGTCCCAGATACTTGGGGGCCTGGGGGTGAGGATCACTTGAGCCCAGGAGGTTGAGGTTGCAGTGAGCTGTATTCTTAACACTGCACTCCAGCCTGGGGAACAGAGTGAGACCCTGTCTCAAAAAAAGAAAAAAAAAAAGATGTTTTAAAAACGAAGCATATGCAATCACATTCTCTTGTGAAAAAATTAATAATAAAATTTTAATGAATATCCAAATAGTTTTGTACTACAAGCATTATAAAACTGTAAATTATTTTAAACTATATTTTATCTTTGTCTCATCCTTTTAAAATTTCCTTTTTGTGTATGCTTTATAATATACATATTTCATAGAGTAATACACACACATCATTTTGAAATTGCAAAATATTCACGAATGTTGAGAATATCTGCTCAAAATATTTTTATTATAGGGGCATGCAATTTAAAACGTTGGGACACCAGCCTTGGCAATATGGTGAGATCCCATCTCTAAAACAATTTTTAAAAAATTAGCTGGGACTGGGTGCAGTGGCTCACGCCTGTAATCCCAGCACTTTGGGAGGCCAAGGCAGGCGAATCTCCTGAGGTCAGGAGTTTGAGACAACATGGCGAAACCCTGCCTCTACTAAAAATCAAAAAAATTAGCTGGGCGTGGTGGTGGGCACCTGTAATCCCAGCTACTCGGGAGGCTGAGGCAGGAGAATCGCTTGAACCCGGAAGGTGGAGGTTGCAGTGAGCCAAGATGGCATCATGGCACTCCAGCCTGGGCAACAAGAGCGAAATTCTGTCTCAAAAAACAAACAATTAGCTGGGCATGGTGGCACATGCCTGTACTCCCAGCTACTCAGGAGGCTGAGGTGGGAGGATGGTTTGAGCCCAGGAGTTAGAAGCTGCAGTGAGCTATGATGGTGCCACTGCACTCCAGCCTGGGTGACACAGCCAGATTCCCATCTCAAAAAAAAAAAAATTGGAGATTATTGCTTTAATATCTACCATAATGTTAAGCATCATGAATGTGATGTGATTAGCATAGTGTTTGGCACATATTAAGGCCTCAATGAGTGTTGGCTTTTACAACATCCTCTATGTAAATGAGGGATGCATTAGACCCAGTGTAACATGATGGTTAAAAGTATGAGCCTTGGAATCAGTTGAAGCTGGATGGGTTTCCTGCCAATTACTAGCTGTGTGAACGTGGTCAATTAACTTCATTGGGCCTCAGATTCTCATTAGTCTCTTAGAGTTGTTGTAAAGATTAAGGGACATAATGCACTTTATGGCAACAGCTTTACTGAGCTATAATTCACATACCATACAATTCACTTTTTTTTTTAAACGAAGTTTAGCTTTCGTTGGGCAGGCTGGGGTGTAATGGTGTGATCTCGGCTCACTGCAACTTCCACTTCCCAGGTTCAAGCGATTTTCCTGCCTCAGCCTCCTGCGCAGCTGGGATTACAGGCATGCACCACCAAGCCCGGCTAATTTTGTATTTTTAGTAGAGATGGGGTTTCATCAAGTTGGCCAGGCTGGTCTTGAACTCCTGAGCTCAGGTGATCTGCCCACCTCGGCCTCCCACCGTGCTTGGATTACAGCCATGAGCCACTGCGCCCAGCAACTCACCACTTTAAAGTGTATATTTCAGTGCTTTTTAGTATATTCACAAGGCTGTGCAACCATCACCGTGTCTGGAATTGGTGGGTTTTTGGTCTCACTGACTTCAAGAAGGAAGCCGCGGACCCTCGCGGTGAGTGTTACAGCTCTTAAGGTGGCGCGTCTGGAGTCTGTCCCTTCTGATGTTCAGATGTGTTTGGAGTTTTTTTCTTCTGGTGGGTTCGTGGTCTCACTTGCTCAAGAGTGAAGCTGCAGACCTTCCCGGTGAGTGTTACAGCTCTTACGGCAGCGCGTGGGGAGTTGTTCATTCCTCCCAGTGGGCTCGTAGTCTCACTGGGCTCAGGCGTGAAGCTGCAGATTTTGGCGGTTAAGTGTTACAGCTCATAAAAGCAGCGTGGACCTAAAGAGTAAGCATTAGCAAGATTTATTGCAAAGAGTGAAAGAACAAAGCTTCCACAGTGTGGTAAGGGACGGGAGCGGGTTGTCAATGCTGCTTCGGGCAGCCTGCTTTTATTCTCTTATCTGGCCCCACCCACATCCTGCTGATTGGTAGAGCCCAGTGGCCTGTTTGGTCAGGGCGCTGATTGGTGCGTTTACAATCCCTGAGCTAGATACAAAGGTTCTCCACGTCCCCATCAGATTAGTTAGATACAGAGTTTTGACACACAGGTTCTCCAAGGCCCCACCAGAGCAGCTAGATACAGAGTGTCGATTGGTGCATTCAAAACCTTGAGCTAAACACAGGGTGCTGATTGGTGTGTTTACAAACCTTGAGCTAGATACAGAGTGCCGATTGGTGTATTTACAATCCCTGAGCTAGACATAAAGGTTCTCCAAGGCCCCACCAGAGCAGCTAGATACAGAGTGTCGATTGGTGCACTCACAAACCTTGAGCTAAACACAGGGTGCTGATTAGTGTATTTACAATCCCTCAGCTAGACATAAAGACTCTCCACTTCCCCACCAGACTCAGGAGCCCAGCTGGCTTCACCTAGTGGATCCCGCACTGGGGCCGCAGGTGGAGCTGCCTGCCAGTCCCGTGCCGTGTGCTTGCACTTCTCAGCCCTTGGGCGGTCGATGGGACTGGGCGCCGTGGAGCAGGGGGTGGTGCTCGTCGGGGAGGCTGGGGCCGCACAGGAGCCCATGGAGTGGGTGGGAGGCTCAGGCATGGCGGGCTGCAGGTCCCGAGCCCTGCCCCGCGGGAAGGCAGCTAAGGCCCAGCGAGAAATCCAGCACAGCGCCGGTGGGCCGGCACTGCTGGGGGACCCAGTACACCCTCCACAGCCACTGGCCACTGGCCTGGGTGCTAAGTCCCTCATTGCCCGGGGCCGGCAGGGCCGGCCGGCTGCTCCGAGTGCGGGGCCCGCCAAGCCCACGCCCACCCAGAACTCCAGCTGGCCCGCAAGCGCTGCGCGCAGCCCCGGTTCCTGCTCGCGCCTCTCCCTCCACACCTCCCTGCAAGCTGAGGGACCTGGTTCTGGTCTTGGCCAGCCCAGAAAGGGGCTCCCTCAGTGCAGCGGCGGGCGGAAGGACTCCTCAAGTGCCGCCAAAGTGGGAACCCAAGCAGAGGAGGCGCCGAGAGCAAGCGAGGGCTCTGAGGACTGCCAGCACGCTGTCACCTCTCATCACCACTATCTAATTCCAGAATATTTTCAACACCCCCAAAGAAACCCATACCCATTAGCAATCATTCTCTATTCTCCCTCTTCCCTCATGCCTGCCTTGACAACCACTGACCTACTTTCTGTTTGTATGGATTTGCCTCGTCTGGACATCTCCTGTAGGAATCAGAAGAGTCTTTTGTGTCTGGTTCTTTCACTTAGCATAGTATTTTTCACATTCCTCCATGTTGTAGCATGTGTCAGTTATTTCGTTCCTTATTTTTTATTTATTTATTTTTTTTGAGACGGAGTCTTGCTCTGTCGCCCAGGCTGGCGTGCAGTGGCGCGATCTCGGCCCACTGCAAGCTCCGCCTTCCCGGTTCACGCCATTCTCCTGCTTCAGCCTCCGGAGTAGCTGGGACTACAGGTGCCCGCCACTATGCCCAGCTAATTTTTTGTATTTTTAGTAGAGACGGGGTTTCACCGTGTTAGCCAGGATGGTCTTGATCTCCTGACCTCGTGATCCGCCCTCCTTGGCCTCCCAAAGTGCTGGGATTACAGGCGTGAGCCACCGCGCCCGGCCTTTTTTTTTTTTTTCCGAGACTGAGTCTCGCTTTATCACCCAGGCTGGAGGGCAGTGGCGCAATCTTGGCTCACTGCAACCTCCGCCTCCAGGGTTCAAGCGATTCTCATGACTCAGCCTCCCAAGTAAGTGGGATTACAGGCGCCCACCACCACGCCCAGCTAATTTTTGGGGTTTGTTGTTGTTGTTGTTTTTGAGATGGAGTCTCGTTCTGTCTCCCAGGCTGGAGTGCAGTGGCACAATCTTGGCTCACTGCAACCTTCACCTCCCAGGTTCAAGCAATTCTCCTGTCTCAGCCTCCAGCATAGCTGGGACTGCAGGCACGCACCACCATGCCCGGATAATTTTTGTAGTTTTAGTAGAGATGGTGTTTTACCATATTGGTCAGGCTGGTCTCAAACTCCTGACCTCAGGTGATCCACCCACCTCGGCATCCCAAAGTGCTGGGATTACCGGTGTGAGCCACTGCATCTGGCAATTTTTGTATTTTCTTTTTTCAGTAAAGACAGGGTTTTACCATGTTGGCCAGGCTGGTCTCGAACTCCTGATCTTAGGTGATCTGCCCGACTCAGCCTCCCAAAGTGCTGGGATTACAGGCGTGAGCCACTGTGCCTGGCCTATTTCATTCCTTTGTATGGCCAAATAACATTCCATGGTATGGATATACTATGGATATCGGGATTGTTTCTACCTTTTGGCTATTGTAAATAGTTCTGCTGTGACCATTCATGTATGAAAATGCATATTTAATGCTTGGCACAGGACCTAAGTCACCAGCCACCTAAGTGCTTAATGAACAGTAGGCAGCTGTAATCACTGTTATTACAGAGTGCTACGTTAGGTGATCTGGGGTACAGGATGCCTGGATGTCAGAAATAGATGGCTGAAGGCGCCAAGGACAACATTTACCCACTGCACAATTTTATTAAGAGCTGTTCCTGTCAGCCGTACCCAAATGTACAGTATGGCAGCATCAAACAGAGGCATGAGCACGGACCCTGCTCTACCACTTTCGAGACGCGTGACCCTGGGCAGGCCACTTAACCTCCCTCAGCCTTGTGTGTGAATTGCATATAAATACTGTCTTCTCTACATATCTCACAAGCTTGCTGTCTGGGTCAAGAGATAATTAAAAATATGAAAGCACTCTGAAAACTAAGAGTTTATTATTCCAAGCCTTACGTATGACAGAAGCCAACTGATAAAGTAAGGAAGGAACCACTTTGTACTGCTCACTGGCCTCCCCCTCTCTCCTGATGGTTCACATTCCTTTCAAGATGAGGCCAGCCCCCTCACCCCTAGGGCTAGTACCTTCTTCCCAGCAACTACTTAAGGGCCAATGACCTGCTCCAGGGTAGAAGCCTGAATTCATATAAACAAAGGGCTTATTGCTGGGCGCAGTAGCTCACGCCTGTAACCCCAGCACTTTGGGAGGCAGAGGTGGGTGGATCACTTGAGGCCAGGAGTTCAAGACCAGCCTGGCCAACACAGGGGAATGACATCTCTACTAAAAATACAAAAATTAGCTGGGTGTGGTGGTACACACCTGTAATCCCAGCTACTCGGGAGTCTGAGGCAAGAGAATCGCTTGAACCTGGGAGGCAGAGGTTGCAGTGAGCCGAGATCGTGCCACTGCATTCCAGCCTGGGTGACAGAGTGAGACTGTCTCAAAACAAAACAAAACAAAACAAAACAAAAGGGCCTGTTGCTGGGCGCGGTAGCTCATGCCTGTAATCCCAGCACTTTGGGAGGCTGAGGTGGGAGGATCGCTTGACCCTAGGAGTTCAAGACCAGCCTGGGCAACATAGCGAGACCCTGTCCTAAAAAAAAAAAAAATTAAACAAAGGGCCTGCCATGCCTCTTTCGTTGCCTACAGGTTGAAACAGACACAGCCTTTCTACTTTTCTCAGTTGCTAGTTGGTCAGAGCGCCCTCATGTGTCTCCATATGGTAATACCTTAAGTCTTTTACAGGATGTGGCATTCTTTTAATCTCAGTATCAATAAAATGTGTAATGGAAATTTTTTTCTCGTCACACTTCAAAGCCCATGCTTGACTCTCAGGCTCCAATTAAGCCATTCCAGCTTGAGTTTAGGCAGGTTTCCTGCTTCCACTCAGGCCTACAGATTTCTTCCTGCTCCCTGCCCACCCCTTTCTCCTTAGTCATTTTTAGAAGCCCTGGTGTCAACTTGGTTCTACCACTTTCTACTCTTCCAAGCTCAGTAAGCTCTCAAAATAAGATTGTAAGTTCTTTTTTTAACTGGATACATCAGGTCTTACTGCAGGATTGGCGGGGGAGGGGGGTGGGAAGGTGGGGGTAATTCCAAAGTACTAGGAAATAATTTTTAAAGTGTTTACCAAATATGACTTGTTCCATAGTCTAAGGAAAAGGGATCCAAAATGAGATCTCATGTAAAGGTCTGACATTTGGGAAGGGGAAAGTGATGTTTGGCAGAGTACATACACACAGACACATACACATTATACACACAACCAGACAGTGATGTCTGGTACACATACATACCACTCAAACATCCATTCTTGCACACACATTCACATGCAAACAGAGAGAAAGGAGCTCTCTCTCTTTCATAGGTTTCTCATTGAGAATCATGATGATATCAGCACAGGTCTTTGGAGGAAAGGAAATTTACATTCTATATCTGGAACCCCAAGAATGTTCCAGCCGTGTGTGGTGGCTCACACCACCGGGTGTGGTGGGAGGCCAAGGTGGGTGGATCACTTGGGGCCAGGAGTTCGAGACCAGCCTGGCCAACATGGTAAAACCCCGTCTCTACTAAAAATACAAAATTTAGCTGAGAATGGTGGTGCACGTCTGTAATCCCAGCTACTCAGGAGGCTGAGGCATGAGAATCACTTGAACCAGAGAGGCGGAGGTTGCAGTGAGCCGAGATCACACCACACTGCACTCCAGCCTAGGCAACAGATGGGACTCCGTCTCAAAAAAAAAGAAAGAAAGAAAAAAAAAAGAATGTTCCCCATTCCCTCCATGACCGAGGGTTATGGACGCCTGAGGGACTTTACTTCCCATATTCCACACATCTGCTTCTCAACTGTTTTGCACTCATGGATTTTTCTGAATCCATAAGCCCCCGGGGCAAACTCCATTGAGAGCCCAAGGATACACCAGCATTTGGCTTCGCCCAAGGAGCATGTTTCTGAGAAGTTTCATGTAAATTAAATTTTTGCAGATCAACTATGATTTCCTACTGACATCCCCTAAGATTTCTGAGCTGCTCTCTTCATCAAGATAGATTTTCAGTGTACGCCTAACACATCAGCTTCTCTGTTCCTCTGCCTTCTGCCATGCTCCCTGAGTTAGTTAAACCTCATCTGGAAAATAAAGGCCAATGAAACATTAAGATCTCTTCTAGTTCTTTTTTTTTTTTTTTTTTTGAGACGGAGTCTCGCTCTGTCACCCACACTACAGTGCAGTGGCGTGATCTCAGCTCACTGCAAGCTCCACCTCCCGGGTTCACGCCATTCTCCTGCCTCAGCCTCCCGAGTAGCTGGGACTACCCACCACCACGGCCGGCTAAGTTTTCGTATTTTTTAGTAGAGACGGGGTTTCACCGTGTTAGCCAGGATGGTCTCGATCTCCTGACCTCGTGATCAGCCTGCCTCGGCCTCCCAAAGTATTGGGATTACAGGCATGAGCCACCGCGCCCAGCCGATCTCTTCTAGTTCTAATAGTCCAAGATCTAGTAAATAAACCCACAAATATATTAGAGAGGCTGCTATTTGGAAAAGACATCAGTATTATTACAATTTGCAATGCAAATATCTACTCTACCTCCAGCTTTTTGGGAAGTCATTTCCCAGGGCTTGAGGGGTTTTTGCCCCACTCCCTTGGAGGGGTAGCAGATGTTTCAGATAACTGGCATGTTAATTTTAGGTGGGTGGGTACTATCCCTTCTGTTTTCCACTCCCTCTGCCCTACTCCCTGCTATCAAATTCCTGAGACCCTCTCTACTAAAATAGAGATGGGTGTTGCGGTTCTGGGGAGTGGTGTGTGCAGCTGGTGACCTAGGGTAGAAAGCACTTGCTAATTAAAGATGAAACAAGTTGCTAGGGAGGCACCGTGGCTTTGGTCTCTAGCAGCAGAGTTAAGCAAGGGCACATGTATCATGGGTCTGTGGCACTGGTCAGGCGGCTGCCTTTGCAATCTTTGAACTGGAAACAGATATTATTCATGCTGATAGGGAAGAGAGTTGCCTGCTTAGTGGTGACGAAAATTAATAGTCCAAGCATTCTTCCATCCTGCATTTTCCATGCTGGCATTTTGACTTAAAAAAAAATATTGCTGCAGCTGTTTGCATATTCTGGAAGTGTGTGTGCCTGTGTGCGGTTTGGTGTTTACAGATCTGGGGTTGCGGAGAGGAGTCTCCAGAGCAACGGAAGTAGCTGCTTGTCAGTCAGGATTCATTTTGAAAATGAAAGCCTGAAAGCTTGGGGCCCATTCTGGGCCTAGGCCTGGTCTCTGAGAAGTCAGCGAAGGCCAGGAGGTGGCTTTGGCCAGTCAACTCAGTGAATAAACCACTGAATCTCTTTTAAAGAAAAATGAATTGACCAAATCTATGAGTTGCTTTTGATGTCCTGCAGATTGGAGTCTGGAGCAGGGATGTGGGAGCAGGCATTGAGGTGCTGATTGTGGATACATGTCCCCCGCCCCCAACATACACACACACAATCACATTTTCCCAGCCTGCCAAACCAGAACAAGGTAACAAATATTTCTTGGATAACTACTAGGTGCACAAGGATAGTATGACATAGCTGTCCAAGAGTTTATAGTTTAATTGGCATATGAGAGCAAGGGGAGAGAGATGTAACACAAGGCAGTCTTGGGGCCAAAGAAGTAGCAGAAACACAGGGCTGGGGAAAGAGAGGGATCACTTTGGGCTGGGATAATCAGAGGAGGCTTGCTAGAGGTGGAAACTAAGCGCAACCTTGAAAGAAAAGAACTTCACTACATAGAAGCTCTTCCAGGCAGAGGAGTGTAAGTTATAGATACGCTCACGTTACAAGTCTATCCTTTTGGCTGGAATTTGGGGCTTGTATGTGATTTGCAGTTGATAAGCCAGGCTTGAATGCCAGTTCCTGTGTACCAGAACAAAGGCTATGGTGTCGCACAGACCTGCTCTGCCACTTCCTGCTGGGTGACCTTGAGCAAGTAGCCTAACCTCTCTGCAAACTGGGGACAGTAATGATTCCCAGCACTTGAGGTCACTGGGAGGATTAAAAGAGTTAACATATATAACGCAACAAGCACAGTGCCTGGCACATAGTAAATGTTCAAAACCAAATTACAAATGCATAAACTGTTCTGAAGGAAAGCTCTAGATATTTAGGACTTGTTCCAAATACGTGAGGGCCAAGGAAGAAAAGCTTCCGATACCTTCTATCACTGCTGCCACAGGTGGCCCCGAGGGAGTGGGCTGATTTGGCCTGAGCCTCCATCCCCCTTGGCCTAGACTGCTGGAACAGTCTTCCGACTTCCTGCCTCTGCACCTCCCAAATCACCTTTTTAACACAACCTCCATCATGGCTGTGTCTCTCCCCGGCTCAACAATCTTCTATGGCTCCCCGTTGCTCACTGACTGAGCTCCTTAAGATGCTGGGGGTGTGGAGGCAAGAACCACTATTTACTAAGGGAAGGGAAGAGCAAAGAGTACGCTGGTATTAGGAGTGAAAAAGAAAAAATATCCTTTTTTAAAAAGCCCCTAAGCTTTGAATTTGTAGAAAGCGGGGCCCTGGGGAGAGAGCAGGGATGCATCTCTAAAGAGAACAGGGCGCTCCTGCGGCGCCGGCTCAGATTCACCTGTAGCTGCTTCTCCAAGCCAACCTGGGAAAATTGACGGGAGGGAAGAGGGTGGAGAGCAGGACAGAGAGGGCGGTGCAGAAGGGGAATATCCCTCCTGAGTTCCCTGGAAGAGCGTCAGCCTGGACCCTGGTCTTGGGCTTCTCTGCTGGAATCCTGGGCAGCCCCGGGTGCTGCGGCGAGGGTCAAGGCCACACAAAGGGCAAGGCAGGCAGACGAGCCAGTCACATGGGGCAGTCGAGCTGCCTGCGTGAATGCTAGGCGCGGGACAATGGCAACTCCGGGACAAAGTGCAGGGAGACTCCTGAAGAGATAAGAGGGAAGGGCGAAGGAAGGGGGCGGGGAGCCAGAGCCTCGGAGCTCCAGGACCGCGCTTTGGGAGACCGTGGCTGGAAGCCGAGCTCGGCCCGCTGCGGAAGGGGCGCCCTCGCGCCTCTACACTCTAGCCCCGGCTGGGATGCTGAGAACCGCGGCTTCCAGGGCCGCAGGCGAGCTCCCAGCCAGTCCCCGCGCCCGCCCTTCGGTGCTGGAGGCGGGGCTGCCGAGCTCACCTGGCCGTTTGGGGTGGGACCGCCCGCGACCCGGGGGAGCTGCAGAGGCGGCGGTACCCAGGGAAGTGGAGCTGGGCTTGCCCTGGGGACTTGGCTGGAGCTCACACCCCTCCACGCCCCCCAAGGCCTGCGCGGGGGCCCTCCCCTAGCTCCCTCCCTCCTCCTCCTCCTCCTCCTCCTCCTCTCCTTTGCTCCCTCCCTCCGAACCCAATTGCTCAAGCAGCTTCCTTCCCCAACGCCAGCGCCAGTTCCTCTCCCGTTGGGGCCCGGGAAGGGCAGCTAACGCTGGACACTGGGACGGCCGCGGCGGCAGCTTCAAGACCATGGCCCAGCTCGGAGGGGCCGCGAACCGGGCACCCACGGCCTCTCTCGCGCCGACCTCGCAGAGCCTGCGGTGCGCCCCGCAGCCCCGCCCCTCGAGAGCGGACACTGGTAGCCTGGGCAGGTACTGGGGCAAAGCCGCAGCCGCCGCCTCCCGGGAGCACCCCTTCCCAGGCACGCTGATGCACTCTGCAGCGGGCTCAGGGCGCCGGCGGGGAGCGCTGCGGGAACTGCTGGGGCTGCAGCGGGCGGCTCCTGCGGGGTGGCTGTCGGAGGAGCGCGCCGAGGAGCTGGGCGGGCCGAGTGGGCCGGGCAGCAGCAGGCTGTGCCTGGAACCGCGGGAGCACGCGTGGATTCTGGCAGCCGCCGAGGGCCGCTATGAGGTGCTGCGGGAGCTGCTGGAGGCTGAGCCGGAGCTGCTGCTGCGGGGCGACCCGATCACCGGCTACTCGGTTCTGCACTGGCTGGCCAAGCACGGGCGCCACGAGGAGCTCATTCTGGTACACGATTTCGCCCTACGCCGGGGGCTGAGGCTCGACGTGAGCGCCCCAGGCAGCGGCGGCCTCACGCCCCTCCACCTGGCGGCCCTTCAGGGCCACGACATGGTCATCAAGGTGCTGGTGGGCGCCCTGGGTGCTGACGCTACGCGCCGCGACCACAGCGGCCACCGGGCCTGCCACTACCTGCGGCCCGACGCGCCTTGGAGGTTGCGGGAGCTGTCGGGAGCCGAGGAATGGGAGATGGAGAGCGGCAGCGGGTGCACCAACCTGAACAACAACAGCAGTGGCACCACTGCGTGGAGGGCCGCGAGCGCAGTGGGCGCGACGGCTGTGGAGACAAGCAGGAGAGTGGCAGCGTCGCGGACCAAGGCGAAGGACACCGCGGGCAGCCGGGTGGCGCAAATGCATAGCCTTTTCCGCCATCTGTTCCCCTCATTCCAGGACCGTTGACAGGGACAGAGACTGGAGAGCTAGGAGGGGCTGTGACACTGTGGCGATGGCTAGGTCCTGGGTTGTCCCGGGTTCCACCGAAGGAGAGGCGCCTTGGACGCTGCTTGGGCCTGCAAGGAACAGAACACGTCGGGGTCCGACTCAGGTACTTGTCTCAGGTCTCCTGTAACCACCGGCCTGGAGGACCCGGGGACTCGGGCACCACCTCACCAAGAGAGAGTGAAGGACCAAGCTGGCCTGGCTCCGAGTTCCAAAGCTACAGGACTAAGGAGTTGGGAGCAGGGAGCGTGGTCCTGCTTGGGAGAGGGCAAGTTAAGCTTCCAGGGGCCATTTCTGGGCAGGCCGACGCGCTGGGTTTATTAGGAAACATTCGCTAGAAGAATGAGTTAAGATTGTAAACCACCAATGCAGAGAAAACGCCTAACTCTGCCGGCCTCGCTCGGCCATTAATGGGTCTTGGGGTGCGGGTAGAGTCAGCCTCTGACAACCTCCTCCTGAGACGACCCAGCCTTACTGGTACTTTTTCTCATGTATCACAGGTTACTTCTTATGTATATTAAAGTGGAATATGTGTTCTTTTCACATGACAAGGCTGTCCTTTCAGTGTTTTCCCCCACCTCCCTTACTAACCACAAAGGAAGAAACTGCATATGTTTGCAGGGTAGAGGTCACCCAACCATGGCCGTGATGTTGTGCCCCCCGGGGCAGGCTCTGGGCCTCCTTCTCAGAACAAATGGCCAGAGCTGTGCACAGAAGAAGCTACTTCCACTTGGATCTGAGGAGAAACATACAGTTCACCTCTGTCCTGAGCTCTTTGATGGTCTGGCCTCAGGCACCAGCCTCATCCTAGAAGAGTTGTCATATAGGGGCCTTGGGTTGGGGGTAAAAGGCAAAAGTTTCCAAATTTACATTTCTGATATTTCCACGGTCAGTCATGTAATTTACCTTGATTTGTGGCCTCTAATGAGACACACCCACGGGCACTTTTTTTTTTCCAAGATGGGGCTTTCCTCAGTAGCATTTATTTATTTATTTTTGAAATGGAGTCTCACTCTGTCACCCAGACTGGAGTGCAGTGGCGCAATCTTGACTCATCGCAACCTCTGCCTCCCGGGTTCAAGCAATTCTCCTGCCTCAGCCTCCCAAATAGCTACAGGCACCCGCCACCACGCCCGGCTGATTTTTTTTTTTTTTTTTTTTTTTTGGTATTTTTAGTAGAGACGGGGTTTCACTATGTTGGCTGGGCTGGTCTCGAACTCCTGACCTAGTGATCCGCCTGCCTCAGCCTCCCAAAGTGCTGGGATTACAGGCATGAGCCACCACGCCCAGCCAGCAGCATTTATTTATTATTACTGTTTTTTGAGACAGAGTCTCACTCTGTCGCCCAGGCTGGAGTGCAATGGCGTGATCTAGGCTCACTGCAACCTCTGCCTCCTGGGTTCAAGCGATTCTCCTACCTCAGCCTCCCAAGTAGCTGGGATTACAGACGTGCACCACCACGCCTGGCTAATTTTTGTATTTGTAGTAATGATGGGGTTTCGCCATGTTGGTCAGGCTGGTCTCGAACTCCTAACCTCAAGTGTTCCCCTGCCTCAGCCTCCCAAAGTGCTGGGATTACAGACACGAGCCACCACACCTGCTCAGCAGCATTTAAAAAATTAAGTTTAAGGCTGGGTGTGGTGGCTCACAGCTGTAATCCCAGCACTTTGGGAGGTTGAGGCAGGAGGATCCCTTGGGCCCAGGAGTTCTAGACCAGCCTGGGCAATATAGGGAGACCCTGTCTCTACAAAAATATACAAAAATTAGCCAGTTGTAGTGGTGCAGGCCTGTAGTCCCAGCTACTAGAGAAGCTGAGGTGGGAGGATTGCTTGAGCCTGGGAGGTGGAGGCTGCAGTGAGTAAAGCATTCCACTGCACTCCAGCCTGGGTGACAGAGTGGGACCCTATCTCAATAAATATATATATTTCACTTACGTAAAATTCTTTTTAAAAAGTTAAGTTTAATGCATAAATTGTAGCTTGCAAAATTGCTCCCATTCAGAAATGGCATGAATTAAATAGACTACAGGAGGGTTGACTGAGCCTGAAAGGCCAGGAAAGCAGTTGCTGGCTACAGACCCATGCTGCCTTGGAGAACAGTGCATTTTAAAAATAGCACTGTATCCCTGAAGGCTTGGGTAGCCCTTGCAATGGACTGTCGCGTTCCCCAGCCCTCTCATCCCAGTCCGTGAACACCAGCCAGAAACAGTCACCACTAACAAACAGCCCAGAAACGCCACCCTGAGCCCATCCATCCAGGTTTCCATCTCTGCCTGGTGGGCCTGTTTGCTTCTGTGCTCAAAACTTTCCTACTTTCCTTTATTTTTTATTTTTGAGATGGCGTCTCACTCTTACCCAGTCTGGAGTACCGTGGCAACGATCATAGCTCATTGCAGCCTCAAACACCTGGGCTCTGGTGAACCTCCTGCCTCAGCCTCCCAAGTAGCTGGGACTACAGGCACATGTTGCCATGCTCAGCTATTTTTTTTGTGTGTGTGTCTGTACAGACAGGGTCTCGCTATGTTGCTTAAGCTGGTCTCGAACTCCTGGGTTCAAGTCATCCTCCCACCTCAGCCTCCCAAAGTGCTGGAATTACAGATATAAGACTCTGTGCCTGGCCCACACTGCCTTCCTTTAGTAACCCATGAGGGTCTTCTCAATCATGAAATGATCCAAACCCCCTTGCTGTTTTCAGCCTGTCCCATGTCTCCAGGAGCTACACCTTAAACACACTTACACAGTGTAATAGAGCATTTCCTTTGTCTTTTCTTTCTTTCTTTCTTTCTTTCTTTTTTTTTAGATGGAGTCTTGCTCTGTTGCCCAGGCTGGAGTGCAATGGTGTGATCTCAGCTCACTGCAACCTCCGCTTCCAGGGTTCAAGTGATTCTCCCTGCCTCAGCCTCCTGAGTAGCTGGGATTACAGGCACCCACCACCACGCCCAGCTAATTTTTGTATTTTTGGTAGAGATGGGGTTTCACCATGTTGGCCAGGCTGGTCTCGAACTCCTGACCTCAGGTGATCCGCCCACCTTGGCCTCCTAAAGTGCTGGGATTACAGGCATGAGCCACCGTGCCTGGCCTTCCTTTGTCTTTTCTAAATGAACTTCTTTTCTTTAGTAATTGAAGGAGGGAGGGCTAACAGTTCCTAGATTCTGGCAGTTGGCATTGGCATCTGGCATTAACTCTCTCCACCCCGTGCCCATTTTATAGATGCGAACAGGCCAACTGATGCAGGACTGTGGTTTCTGTTCCACAACCTCCCCCTTGATAGCTGCCAAGGTGGGTTGGGCTTGGTGAAGGCTGTCAGGGCAGGGCCTTCTTGCCACTTGGCTGAGTCTGCAGGCTCCTGGCTTGCAGGGAAGATTGGTGTGTGCTGAGCATTCAAAGGACACTTATAACAGTAGTCCCCTCTTTATAGGAAAAGTTTGAACCTAAGCATCTTAACTGTTAGCAGATCTGGGGGCCTGAGACAAGCGTTCACCCTACTCTTTCCAAAACGAAAACCAAATTACCTGGAAGATTTGAAAACGGTTTTCTGTAGTTTTCCTGTAGTCAGCTACTCTTCCCCACAGATTTTTCTCATCATGTGATACTGCCTAGCCTATCTCCTCCATGTAAAATTGAGGTTTGGCTGCAGGGGACAAACTCCCATGCTGAAAACTCTCCGTGCCTCACATCAAGCCGTTGGCATTTCTGGTATGCTTTTTGAGGCAAGACTGGTATGCTTACCCCAAGAGAAAGAGCAAATTCCCCGAGAAACCTCTTTCCAGGGGAGCAAAGTGGAGTTAAGCAGATGATGCAAGACTTCATTCTAGCAGGGGAGCCGAGCAAGAAGAGGAGACAGAAGCAGGGCTGTGATGGATCAGGGGGAGGGGGTGCTGAGGGAGCGCAGGAGGCAGGGCCGGATCCAGGTCAAGAGGAATAGAAAAGGCTTTTGGGGAGGAAGGTGGTGCCTGATCTGAGGCTCGAGGGGTGAGTGGGAGTTGACCGTTGAGTGTGGCAAGTACCATGCACTATAAAGGCAGAGGGTTTGGCAGGAGGGTGGAAGCTGGGGAGTGGTTAATGGCAAGGCTGGAGAAGTGGAAGGGGGTCCAGATCACCTAAAAGAGGTTCATGAAGTTTAGCCAAAAGGTAGTTGGGAATCATGGAGGGTTTATAAGCAGAGGAGTAGCATGATGAGATTTTGGAAGATCACTCTAGCAGTCACCTGGAGGATGAATGTGCCAGGGGAGAAAACTGGCGGCAAATGCATCGCAAAAGCAAAACACTTCTAAGCAATGCTTTCAGAAAAGTCATACTAACAAGGCTGTATGCCTGTAGTTGCTGTTTGCCTGTAGTCCCAGCTACTTGGGAGGCTGAGGTGGGAGGGTCACCTGATTCCAGGAAGTAGAGGCTGCAGTGAACATGATCGTGCCATGGCACTCCAGCCTGGGCAACAGAGCAAGACCCTGTTTCTAAAAAAATTAGTCATTCTTCACCCCAGGAAGTTCAAAGACCCCTGTGAGGGCAGTGCCTTTCAAACTTCTCTTTTTTTCTCCTCCAAAGTCTTTGCTCTAATGAAGCTTACCTAGAATCCCCATGTGTAAATCTCCCCACCCCCGCCTCTATTCTAGACAGACAGTCCTACACGGTGGCCCCTGGAGTAAAATTCAAAACCACTGGTGTGGTGGAAAGCTCTCAGCCTTGCCTGGGTTCAAATCCTAGCTCCCGATTCATGACCTTGAGCTACTTGCTGGCCTGAGTGGCAATTTCCTCATCTGTGAAATGGGACCAATAGAATATTTTTTGCAGGTTTGTTCTGAGCATTCAAGATAATGTATGTGCAACATCTGGCACACTGCGTGACACATAGGGAATAGGAAATAACAGCTGTTTGAAAGAATCCTAAGGGGCTCAGCAGGTTCTTGTGGCAAAACTCCATTATCTGCTAGGGTAGTCCAGGAGGGATCTTGTGGTTTACCTGCATTATGTCAGCTTTAAAATGAATTTGCATTTATTGCAAGTTATTTTCCATCTGTGCCAGAGGAGTGACTGTTCCTCAAAAGAGATGTTGGCTCCTCTGCTGATGTTCTTCACAAGCTATATATTTTTACTTTTGACATAACAACCACTTGCTGAAGTGCTTAGTATGGCTAAAAAGGATCCAGATGCTAATAGTCAACAAGATGGGAAAAGGCCCTGAAGGCATTTTAGAATTCACTAAGGGCAGGCTGGCACAGTGGCTCACGCCTGTAATCCCTTCACTCTGGGAGGCTGAGGTGAGGGGTTCAAGACCAGCCTGGCCAACATGGTGAAACCCCGTCGCTACTAAAAATGCAAATAGTAGTTGTGCATGGTGACGGGTGCCTGTAATCTCAGCTACTCAGGAGGCTTAGGCAGGAGAATCTCTTGAACCCAGGAGGCAGAGGTTGCAGTGAGCTGAGATTGCACCACTGCACTCCAGCCTGGGTGACAGAGCAAGACTCTGTCTCAAAAGGTGGATCACCTGAGGTCAGGAGTTTGAGACCAGCCTGGCCAACATGGTGAAACCCCGTCTCTAGTAAAAATATGAAAAAAATCAGGCGTGGTGGTGTGTGCCTGTAGTCTCAGCTACTTGGGAGGCTCTGAGGCACGAGAATCGGTTAAACCTGGGAGGCAGAGGTTGCAGTGAGCTGAGATAGTATCACTGCACTCCAGCCTGGGTGACAGAGCAAGACTCCATATCAAAAAAGAAAAAAAAAAAAATCACTAAGGCCACAGGCCTAGGAGGACAGAATGGGTTTTTTTGGGGGGTGGAAGGGAAGGAAAGAGGGTGCCACGCCTGGGGTACCACTGACCTGCATCCCTACTGCTCTAGCTCCAGCCCAGTCTCAAAGGGCCTCAGGTACTGCTCTGGCTGCTGCTCCCAAAGCCATAAGCCTTGGGGCTTCCACATGGTGCTAAGTCTGCAGACTTGCAAAATTGAAGAGTGACTGAAGGCTTGGCAACTTCCACCTAGATTTCAGAGGAAGTATGGGAAAGCCTAGATGCCCAGGCAGAAGTCTGCTGCAGGGGTGGTGCCCTGCAAGAATTCCTACCAGGGGCCAGTTGAGCTGTGGAAGCAGGGCCACCACCCTCGAGACCACAGAATAGTGCAGCCACCAGCAGCACTCATCCTCAGCCTCAAAAAGCCTGTGGCAATGGACTCTAATCCATGAGAGCAGCCACATGGGCTGCTCCCAGCATAGCCATGGGGATGGGGCTGCTCGAGGCCTTGGCGGCTCACCCCTTGCACCAGTGTGCCCAGGATGATGGGACATGGAGTCAAGGGAGATCATTTTGGAACTTTAAGATTTAATGGCTGGCCAAGGCAGGACGGTTGCTGGAGCCCAGGAGTTTGAGAGCAGCCTGGGCAACATAGTGAGACCTCGTCTCTACACAAAATTAGAAAATTAGCCTGGCATGGTGGTGCAAGCCTGTAGTTTCATCTACTCAGGAGGTGAGGCGGGAGGATTGCTTGAGCCCAGGAGGTCGAGACTGCAGTGAGCCATGATCGCACCACTGCACTCCAGCCTGGGTGACAGAGCGACAGAGCAAGACCCTGTCTCAAAAAAAAAAAAAAAAACAAAAAACGATTTAATGTCTGCCCTACTGTGTTTTGAACTTGTGTGGGGCCTGTTACCCCTTGCTTTTGGGGATATTTCTCTTTTGGAATGGGAGTGTTTACCCAATGTCTGTTCTACCACTGTGTCTCAGAAGTAAATACCTTGATTTTGATTTTTTTTTTTTTTTGAGATGGAGTCTCGCTCTGTGGCCCAGGTGGAGTGCAGTGGCGCGATCTCGGCTCACTGCAAGCTCCGCCTCCCGGGTTCACGCCATTCTCCTGCCTCAGCCTCCCCAGCAGCTGGGACTACAGGCGTCCACACCACGCCCGGCTAATTTTTTGTATTTTTAGTAGAGACGGGGTTTCACCGTGTTAGCCAGGATGGTCTTGATCTCCTGACCTCGTGATCCACCCACCTCGGCCTCCCACAGTGCTGGGATTACAGGCGTGAGCCACCGCGCCCGGCTTGATTTTTTTTTTATTTTTTGAGATGGAGTCTCACTCTGTCGCCCAGGCTGGAGTGCAGTAGCGCGATCTCAGCTTACTGCAACCTCCATCTCCCGGGTTCAAGCGATTCTCCCGGCTCTGCGTCCTCAGTGGCTGGGATAACAGGCACGTGCCGTCACGCCCAGCTCATTTTTGTATTTTTAGTAGAGACAGAATTTCACCATGTTGGCCAGGCTGGTCTCAAACTCCCGACCTCAGGTGATCCACCCGCCTTGGACTCCCAAAGTGCTGAGATTACAGGCATGAGCCACCGTGCCCAGCCTGATTTTGATTTTACAGGCTCACAGCAGGAAGGAACTTGTCCTGAGTCTCAGATGAGACTTTGGACTTTTGGAGTTAATGCTGGACAAGTTAAGACTTGGGGACTATTTGGGGGGATGATTGTATTTTGCAAGAGAGAAGGACATAAGATTTGGGGGGCCAGGAGCAGAATGATATGGTTTGAATATTTGTCCCCTCTAAACCTCATGTTGAAATTTGACTCACGGGCCGGGCGCGGTGGCTCACGCCTGTAATCCCAGCACTTTGGGAGGCCGAGGCGGGCGGATCACGAGGTCAGGAGATCGAGACCATCCTGGCCAACGTGGTGAAACCCTGTCTCTACTAAAAATACAAAAAAATTAGCCGGGCGCGGCAGCACGCACCTGTAGTCCCAGCTACTCGGGAGGCTGAGGCAGGAGAATGGCGTGAACCCGGGAGGCAGAGGTTGCAGTGAGCCGAGACCGTGCCACTGCACTCCAGCCTGGGTGACTCAGCGAGACTCCGTCTCAAAAAAAAAAAAAAGAAATTTGACACACAATGTTGGAGGTGGGGCCTAAAAGAAGGTGTTTGGGTCATGGGGGTGGACCCCTCACCAAGGGTTTGGTGCCATTTTTACAGTAAAGGGTGAGTTCTCACTCTATTAGTCCCTGTGATAACTGATTTTTTTTTTTGAGACGGAGTCTCACTCTGTCATCCAGGCTGGAGGGCAGTGGCACAATCTCGGCTCACTGCAACCTCCGCCTCCCGGATTCAAGCGATTCTCCTGCCTCAGCCCCCTGAGTAGCTGGGATTACAGGCGTGGTGACGCGCGCCTGGCTAATTTTTGTATTTTCAGTAGAGACAGGGTTTCACCATGTTGGCCAGGCTGGTCTCGAACTCCTGACCTCAGGTGATCCACCCACCTCAGCCTCCCTACGTGCTGGGATTACAAGCGTGAGCCACTGTGGCCGGCTGAGAACTGATTGTTGAAAAAAACCTGACACTTCCCTCCTTTCTGTCTTCCTTCCTCTATCACCATGTGATGCCTGCTCCCCTTTGCCTTCCACTATGACTGGTGCAGCCTGAGGCCTTCACCAGAAGCAGATGCTGGTGCCATGCTTCTTGTGCAGCCTGCAGAACCGTGAGCTAAATAAGCCTCTTTCCTTTGTAAGTTATCCAGCCTCACGTATTTCTTTCCTTCCCCACCAAGTATTTCCTTCTTTCTTTTTTTTTTTAATGTGGCCCAAGATGAGATATTTCTTTTTAAAAAAAATTTTTTTTTATACAAACAATGTCTCCCTATATTGCCCAGCCTGGTCACGAACTCCTGGGCTCAAGCAATCCTCTTCCCTTGGCCTCCCAAAGTGTTGGGATTGCAAGCATGAGCCACTGTGCCTGGCCCCCCAAGTATTTATTTATTTATTTATTTTTGAGACAGAGTCTTGCTCTGTTGCCCGGGCTGGAGTGCAGTGGCGTGATCTCAGCTCACTGCAACCTCTGCCTCCCGGGTTCAAGGGATTCTCCTGCCTCAGCCTCCCGAATAGCTGGGATTTCAGGCTTGCATCACCATGCCCGGCTAATTTTTGTATTTTCAGTAGAGACGGGGTTTCCCCATGTTGGCCAAGCTGGTCTCCAATTCCTGACCTCAAGTGATCCACCCGCCTCGGCCTCCCAGAGTGCTGGGATTACAGGCATGAGTCACCGCGCCTGGCCTACAAGTATTTCTTTATAGCAACACAAAAATGGACTAAGACAGACATAATTGCAACCAGCGAACTTACCTTGTTCTTCACTCACGGAAGTAAAAGAGCAACTTGGTAAGTGCCCACCAAATATTAAATATGTTAGATATTGTTTTCAGATAAAGTCATAAACTGGAGTCAGAGTTAAACCTGAAATCCTCTGAAGAGAATCAAATTATACAAGTCCTTCATCTCCTGGCCCTATTCATCTGTGGGAATGCCCCCTAACCCCAGCTAACATAACATATATTCCACACCAAGACTCCCCATCTTCCCTCCTTCCCTTCATTCTGACAAAGGAGCATGCCTGTCCTCTTTCAAGATATCGCTCATGCTCTCAACCGCCTCTCCTCTCAGGGTTTACTGACATCAATTGTCTTCTCCTGCATCTTCAAACTTACCCACAGTTTAGTTCAGTACAACAGACATTTTATTTTTAACTTTTTTCTTTTTTGAGACGGAGTCTCACTCTGTTGCCAGGCTGGAGTGTAGTGGCGTGATCTTGGCTTGGCTCCCAGCAACCTCCACCTCCTGGGTTCAAGCGATTCTCCTGCCTCAGCCTCCCCAGTAGCTGGTGACAGGTGAAGACAGCAGGACTTCCTGGGTCGAGTGGGGACTTGGAGAACTTTTCTGTGGAGCTAAAGGTTTGTAAACGCACCAATCAGCACTCTGTAAAAACGCATCAATCAGTGCTCTGTGTCTAGCTAAAGGTTTGTAAATGCACCAATCAGCACTCTGTAAAAATGCACCAATCAGCGCTCTGTGTCTAGCTAAAGGTTTGTAAATGCACCAATCAGCACTCTGTAAAAACGCACCAATCAGTGCTCTGTGTCTAGCTAAAGGTTTGTAAATGCACCAATCAGCACTTTGTAAAAATGCACCAATCAACAGTGTGTAAAATGGACCAATCAGCGCTCTGTAAAATGGACCAATCAGCAGGATGTGGGTGGGGCCCAATAAGGGAATAAAAACTGGCCACCCAAACCACCAGCAGCAACCTGGTTGGGTCTTTTTCCATGCTGTGGGAGCTTTGTTCTTTGGTCTTCACAATAAATCTTGCTGTTGCTCTACCTTTATAAACTGTAACACTCACCGTGAGCGTATGCAGCTTCATTCCTGAAGTCAGTGAGACCACGAACCCACTGGAAGGAAGAAACTCTGGACATATCTGAACATCTGAAGGAACAAACTCCGAGACACATCATCTTCAAGAGCTGTAACACACCGCAAGGGTCTGCAGCTTCATTCTTGAAGTCAGCGAGACCAATAACCCACTGGAAGGAATACATTCTGGACACATGGGACTACAGGCGTGCTGCATCATGCCTAGCTAATTTTTGTATTTTTAGTAGAGATGGGTTTCACCATGTTGGCCAAGATGTTCTCGATCTCTTGACCTCATGATCCACCCGCCTCCACCTCTGAAAGTGCTGGATTACAGGCGTGAGCCACCCCGCCTGGCCTATTTTAAGTTCAGGTGTACATGTGTGGGTTTGTTATATAGGTAAACATGTGTCATGGGGGTTTGTTGTACAGATTATTTCATCACCCAGGTACTAAGCCTAGTACCCATTATTTAGAGATGGAGTCTTGCTCTGTCACCCAGGCAGGAGTGCAGTGGCACTATTTCAGCTCACCTGCAACCTCCACCTCCCAGGTTCAAGTGATTCTCCTGCCTCGGCCTCCCGAGTAGCTGAAACTATGCCCTGCCTGGCTAATGTTTGTATTTTCAGTGGAGACGGGGTTTCACCATGTTGGTCAGGCTGGTCTCAAACTGACATCTGGTGATCTCCCTGTCTCAGCCTCCCAAAGTGCTGGGATTACAGGCATGAACCACTGCACTCTCCCATTATTTTTCTTGATCCTCACCCTCCTCCCACCCTCCACTCTCTGATAGGCCCCAGTGTGTGTTGTTCCCCTCTATGTGTCCATGTACAACAGACATTTAGTAAGTCATTAATAGGAGTGTCACTCTGAGTGACAAAAAAGCTCAAGTCTTCCCTAGCCTTCTGGCTCAAACTTGTCTCTTCTCTTCATAGTAAAGCCTGTCTGCTGAGAGGTCTCCTCACTTCATCATCTCCATTTCCTTACCTCTTCCTCAGTCCTTAACTTTCTGCATTCTGGCTTCTGCCTCTATCATCCCAGAGTAATTGCTTCCAGAAAGGGCGTGGTGGCTCACACCTGTAATTCTAGGACTTTGGGAGGTCAAGGCAGGGGGATCACCTGAGGTCAGGAGTTTGAGACCAGCCTGGCCAGCATGGCGAAACCCCGTCCCTACTAATAACCAGGTGTGGTGGTACATACCTGTGATCCCAGCTACTCAGGAGGCTGAGGCATGAGAATTGCTTGAACCCGGGAGGTGTAGGTTGCAGTGAGCCAAAAGAAAAAAAAAAGTCCCCCATGATGACCTCCTGTCTTAGTCCATTCTTGTTGCTATAACAAAATACCTTAGACTGGAGGCTGAGGCAGGAGAATGGTGTGAACTCAGGAGGCGGAGCTTGCAGTGAACTGAGATCGTGCCACTGCACTCCACCCTGGGTGACAGAGTGAGACTCCGTCTCAAAAAAAAAAAAAAAATTATCTTAGACTGGGTAATTTATAAAGAGCAGAAATTTGTTGCTCACTGTTCTGTAGGCAGGGAAGTCCCAGATCAAGGCAGGTTTGGTGTCTGGTGAGAGGTGGTTCCTCATTTATGGCACCTTTGTGTCCTCACATGGTGGAAGAGATGGAAGGGCCAGGCAGCTCTCTGAAGCCTTATTTATTTATTTATTTATTTTTGAGACGAAGTCTGTCACTGTTGCCCAGGCTGGAGTGCAGTGGCGTGACGATCTTGGCTCACTGCAACCTCTGCCTCCTGGGTTCAAGCAATTCTCCTGCCTCAGCCTCCCGAGTAGCTAGCATTACAGGCACCCGCCACCATGCCCAGCTAATTTTTTGTATTTTTAGTAGAGATGTTGGCCTTGTTGGCAAGGCCGGTCTCAAACTCCTGACCTCATGATTCGCCCACCTCGGCCTCCCAAAGTGCTGGGATTACAGGCGTGAGCCACCGAGCCCGGCCGCCTCTTTTATAAGGGCATTAATCCCATTCATGAAGGCAGAGCCTCATGACTTAATCACTTCCCCAAAGATCCCTCCTCTTAATATTGTCACCTTGGGGATTAAGTTCCAACATACACATTTTTTTTTTTTTTGAGATAGAATCTCACTGTGTCACCCAGGGTGGAGTGCAGTGGCACGATCTCAGCTCACTGCAACCTCTGCCTCCCAGGTTCAAGCAATTCTCCTGCCTCAGCCTCCCAAGTAGCTGGGATTACAGACGCCCGCCACCACGCCCGGCTAATTTTTGTATTTTTAGTAGAGATGGGGTTCCACCATGTTGGCCAGGCTGGTCTCCAACTCCTGGGCTCAAGTGATCTGCCCACCTCAGCCTCCCAAAATTCTTGGATTAGAGGTGTGAGCCACCGTGCCCGGCCTACAACATACACATTTCAGAGGGACACATATATTCATGCCTTTGCACCTCCCATCTGCCAAATCCAAGTCCTTATCTTAGTTCACTTCTTGGCAGCACTGAACAATGTTGGCTACTTCCTCCTGTTTGAAACTCTTGTCTAGTCTTCCATAACCTCCTATGGCTTTAATTGCTGGGGTTTACCAGGATGAAGTTCTGGAAGCTTTTCTCTTCACTCTACATTCTCTCCCAAAGTCCTGTTTTTTGTTGTTGTTGTTTGTTTTGTTTTGTTTTTTTTTTTTTTTTTTTGAGACAGATGCTTACTCTGTCACCCACGCTGGAGTGCAGTGGTGTGATTACAGCTCACTGCAGCCTCGACCTCCCGGGTTCAAGTGATCCTCCCACCTCAGCCTCCCGAGTAGCTGGGACTATAGGTGCATGCCACCACACCAGGCTAGCTTTTTGTATTGTTTGTAGAGACAGGGTTTCACCCTGTTGCCCAGGCTGGTCTCCAACTCCTGGGCTCAAGTGGCCCACCCTCCTCAACTTCCCAAAGTGTTAGGATTACAGGCATGAGCCACTGCACCCTCCCTGCCTCTCCCAAAGTTGTTTTTTCCCTTCCCCACTTACCCTCCCTCACTCTGCTCCAGCCACTCAGTCCTCCTTGCTGATCCTTCGAACAGCCATGTTCTTCTCAACCCTGGGGTTCCTGCATGCTGTTCACTCTCCAGAAACACTTTCCCCTCTCCCTTGCTCCTGACTTCACCTGACCCACTCATCCTTCATTCACCCACTCATCCTTCATTTCAGGTGTCAGATTAAATGTTACCTCCTTGGGGATGTCTTCCCTGCTGCTCAGGCTATGTTAACACTCTACCCATTACACTCACTCATGAGGCCCCGGGCATCTTTTCTTTTTTCCTTGAGATGGAGTCTTGCTCTGTCGCTCAGGCTGGAGTGCAATGGCGCAATCTCGGCTCACTGCAACCTCCGCCTCCCGGGTTCAAGCAGTTCTCCTGCCTCAGCCTCCCGAGTAGCTGGGATTAAAGGCGCCTGCCACCCCGCCCGGCTAATTTTTTTGTATTTTTAGTAGAGACGGGGTTTCACCATGCTGGCCAGGCTGGTCTCGAACTCCCAACCTCAGGTGATCTGCCTGTCTCAGCCTCCCAAAGTACTAGGATTCTGTAATCCCACAGATTACAGAATCAAGGCGGGTGGATCACTTGAGCCCAGGAGTTCTCAATCAGCATGGGCAACATGGCAAAACCCCATCTCTACAAAATAGAAAACAATTAGCTGGGCATGGTGGCACATGCCTATAGTCCCAGCCACCTGGGAGGCTGAGATGGGAGGATCACCTGAGCCTGGGAAGTCGAGGCTGCAGTGAGCCATGATCGCGCCACTGCACTACAGCCTGGGTGACAGAGTGAGACTCTGTCTCAAAAAAAAAAAAAAAAGCATCAACGTTAGCATGTGGACTGCTGCTGAGAACCCACTGATTCGGGATGGAGAGGAGTAGGCTAGGATTAGAGGGACTGGTAAGAGGCTATGGTCTGTAGAGTCAGATGGACAGATAAGAGAGATTTCATGGAATCAACAAGACTTGTGATTGACTGAATGTAGGGGAGGAGGAAGACAGAGGTGGCAAGGGTGATGCTCAGGTTTCTGACTTGAGCAACAGGGTGGATGGTGGTGTCATTTACTGAGAGGAAGGGCCATGAGAAGAATAGGTTTTTTTGGTGGGTAGGGGAAGGGGATCAAAACTTGTTTTGGATACATTAAGTTTGAGATTGGCTATATGACATCGAGGTGAAGAGATCCAATAGACAGTTGGATACGTGGATAAGCAAATCAAGAGAGAACTGGAGGTAGCTGTGGGGTTACTGGAGGGTTTTTTTCTTTTCTTTTTTTTTTTTTGAGACAGAGTCTCGCACTGTCACCCAGGCTGGAGTGCAGTGGCGTGATCTCGGCTCACTGCAACCTCCCCCTCCCGGGTTCAAGCGATTCTCCTGCCTCAGCCTCCCGAGTAGCTGGGATTACAGGCGCCTACCACCATGCCCAGCTAATTTTTGTATTTTTAGTAGAGACGGGGTTTCACCATGTTGGCCAGGCTGGTCTCAAACTCCTGACCTCGTGATTTGCCTGCCTCGGCCTCCCAAAGTGCTGGGATTATAGGCATGAGTCACCGTGCCCGGCCAGGAGAGGGGTTTTATTTTGGCTTGGGAGGCACAGCTTGTTTGTGTAATGACACAAAGGACTCAAAAGAAAAGGAGAAGTAGGAAGACAGAGGAGTCAACACGAATAGTCAATGGATCAAAGCTCCCAAGAGGTGGGAAGGGATAAGGCAGAGCATAGGACTAGGAATTTGTCTCACAGAGGAGGAGACTCTGGAGTCAGACAGTCTGATTAGAGCTTAGTTCTACCACCTTCTAGCTGTGAGACCCTGGGTAAGTCACTCACTCTCCCTGAGTCTTACTTTCCTTGACTATAATACAATGGAATTGGCCAGGACTGGTGGCTCATGCCTGTAATCCCAGCACTTTGGGAAGCCAAGGCGGGTGGATCACAAGGTCAGGAGTTCAAGACCAGCCTGGCCAAGATGGTGAAACCCCGTCTCTACTAAAAATACAAAAATTAGCCAGGCATGGTGGCAGGTGCCTGTAATCCCAGCTACTCGGGAGGCTGAGGCAGAGAATTGCTTGAACCCAGGAGGCAGAGGTTACAGTGAGCCGAGATCGCACCACTGCACTCCAGCCTGGGTGACAGAGTGAGACTCCGTCTCAAGGGGGAAAAAAAAGGAATTATGAGTACCTGCCTCATAAATTTGGGCTGATCATTAAAGGAGATAATGCATGTAATATGCTTACCATTGTGTCTTGCACATAGGAACATTGCATAAATGGTAGCTGTTATTATTATAACAGGAGTGCAGGAGGAAAAAGAGGGCGCACATACAGGTGAGTTCACAGGTTTGGTTGCAGGAAGTTAAACACATTCTGTTTTTTCTTTTCTTTTTCTTTCTTTCCTTTCCTTTTTTTTTTCTTTTTTTTTTTTTGAGACAGAGTATTGCTCTGTCACCCAGGCTGCAGTGCAGTGGCAGGATCTTAGCTCACTGCAACCTCCGCTTCCTAGGTTCAAGTGATTCTCTTGCCTCAGCCTCCTGAATAGCTGGGATTACGGGCATGTGCCACCAAGCCCAGCTAATTTTTGTGTTTTTAGTAGAGACGGGGTTTCACCATATTGGCCAGGCTGGTCTTGAACTCCTGACCTCAGGTGATCTGCCTGCCTCAGCCTCCCAAAGTGCTGGGATTACTGGCATGATCCACCACGCCCAGCCTACTAACCTCGATGATTTCTTAAACCCAAACCTGATAGGCCACTGTCTACTTTTGAACTCTTTAATGTTTCTCTTGGCCTCAGGATAGAATTGAAGCTCTCACTTAAGACTTAGAGGCTCCTCGTGATCTGGCGTCTGCTTACCTCTCCAGCCTCATTCCTATTCACTACTTCCTGTTCGCATCCTCTTTCTTCACCCACGAATACATCCCCTTTCTACACTCCTGCCATGCAGTAACTTTCAGTTCCCGATCTCCCAGCTTTCTCTTGACTGGGCCTTTTCACAGTCTGTTTCCTCTGCATAGGACATGAACGTTCCACCCGGCAGCCTCAGCCGCAAAACCTAGCTCCTCGTGGGCCTCCAGGGCTCAGTTTGCTCTTCCTCAGTCCCTCCCGTGTTCGGTACAGGTTCCCAAGACCCTAGTGCCTTCCTTGCCGCAGCACTCTGCACTAGGAGCTGTGTCGGCACTGTCATCTGCCTCCATGTAGGCTGGGAGTCCAAGAAGATGTGGGCCTGTGGTTGTGGTTCACTGCTGCAGCTCAGCACCCAGCACAGATACAACACTATGTATCTGCCTCATAGTCTGAAACGGGTGTTTGAGAATGAACAAGTGGGAGTTGGAGGCAGCTGACCTTGAATTTAGATCCACAGGCTTTCTGATTTAACTAATAGTTGTGTTTTTTGTATTCATTTGCCTTCAGTTCCCATGCCCTTCTTCCTTTGGAGAGCCCCGTGGAAACAATTTTTCTTTTTTCTTTCATTTTTTGAAACAGAGTTTCACTTTGTCACCAGGCTGGAGTGCGGTGGCGCGATCTCAGCTTACTGCAACCTCTATTTCCTGGGTTGAAGCGATTCTCCTGCCTCAGCCTCCCAAGTAGCTGGGATTACAGGTGCCTGCCACCATGCCTGGCTAAGTTTTATAATTTTAGCAGAGATGGGGTTTCACCATGTTGACCAGGCTGGTCTCCAACTCCTGACCTCAAGCGATCCACCCGCCTCAGTCTCCCAAAGTGCTGGGATTACAGGCCTGAGCCACCATGCCCGGCCTGGAAACAGTTTTTCTAATGAACACCATGTTAGATGTACATTAGACAGTTACAAATGTGGCATTATAGGTTCATGATTTTAGAGGTTAGCGATCAAGTCCAATTTCCTCATTTCAAATGGAAGAAAACAGGTCCCCAAAGCTGTGGTGGCTTGTTAGTGGCAGGCTAGTTGTAGCTGTAAAACTGGGACTAAGCCTCAGATTTCTTGATACCAGTGCTCTTTCTCCTTTCCCATACCATGCTGTGATGGATTAAAGATGACCATAAGTCCTTTGATACTCTTCCCATTGAGAGGTGGCCTCTATCACACTTTCCCTTGAATCTGGATGGGTTCTGGAACTGCTTAGACCAAAAAAATACAGGAAAAGGGATAACCCAGTCTGGGTGGGACCAGCTACGTAATTTGTGGAGCCCAAACTGAAAATGTGAGACCCCTTTTAAGAAATTAAGAATTTCAAGAAAGACTGGGCGTGGTGGCTCACGCTTGTAATCCCAGCACTTTGGGAGGCCGAGGCCGGTGGATCACTTGAGGTCAGGAGTTTGAGACCAGTCTGGCCAACATGTTGAAACCCTGTCTCTACTAAAAGTACACAAAATTAGCCGGACATGGTGGTATGCATCTGTAATCCCGGCTACTCGGGAGGCTGAGGCAGGAGAATCGCTTGAACCCAGGAGGTGGAGGTTGCAGTGAGCCGAGATCACGCCATAGCTCTCCAGCCTGGGCAACACAACAAGGCTCCATCTCAGAAAAAAAAAAAAAAGGGATTTCAAGATAGCAAAATCAGAGCATCAAGCTAAGCACAGAGCCCTGTGCAACTGCACGACCACCCCCAGGAAGCTGGTCCCGGTGCCAGTTTTAGGGCCCAGGTCTTAAGAGACTGGCAGCTTCCAGTTCCTGTCTCTTGGAACACATGATCAGGCCAGTCATCACATAAGCAGTCATCTACCCAAGACCATCATGCCGTGAGAAGGCCAAGCCACATAAAGCGGCCCTGTAGGATGAGATGCCATGTAAGGAGAGGGAGAGGAAGGCCAAGCAGCACTAAGGCACCCAGCAGGTGAGTGGAAAAGGCATCTTGGAAGCGAATCCTCCAGCCCCAGCTACCCCCACTAGATCAGAAAAAAAGCAATCAGCCAAGGTCTTCCCAACTTCCTGACCCAGGAATGGAAACAAAATGCTCGTTTCAGGCCACTAGGTTTTGGGATAGTTTGTTACACAGCAATAGATAACAGGAACACATACTATCTCTAGCATTCTTCAAAATGCCAGTGAAATGCTGTCTTTTGAAGCACAAAGTTCTGTTTGTATAAAGTGTCATCATTCTGTGATTCCCAAATTACATACTAAATATATGTGTATGCATATTGCAAGCATATGAATGTCACTTTGGTGATAAAAATATATAAATGTGGCCGGGCGCAGTGGCTCATGCCTGTAATCCCAGCATTTTGGGAGGCCGAGGCGGGTGGATCACTTGAGGTTAGGAGTTCGAGACCAGCCTGGACAACATGGTAAAACCCCGTCTCTACTAAAAATACAAAAATTAGCAGGGTGTGGTGGCACACACCTGTAGTCCTAGCTACTTGGGAGGCTGAGGCACAAGAATCGCTTGAACCCAGGAGGCGGAGGTTGCAGTGAGCTGAGATCTCACCATTGCACTCCAGCCTGGGCAATAGAGCGAGACTCCATCTCAAAAATAAATAAATAAATTAATAAAATAAAATATAAATATGCACTTCACACTACGGACATACATTGTTTTGGCATCAGCCATATCAGACCTTTTTTATTTAAAATATGTAAGTTCAGAATATTTTCCTTGGCCTCTGTGAATACTTCTCTATCATTGTGCTTATAACAATGTGTGATAATTGTCTATGTATTTATCTCCTTGACTAGATCCATGCCTTTCAAACTACACAAGCAACCTATTAGTGGGGCATGAAATCCATTTTTTCAATGAAATGGGATAAAATAAAAACATAAGTATGCATTGCACACAAGTAAGTATGAAATCAAGAAACTTGCAGGATTGCAGGATTGTGTGTGTGTGTGTGTGTGTGTGTGTGTGTGTGTTGTGGCCACTGGAATAGATTGTGAGATCCTAAGGGCAGGGTTCATGCCCAACCTATTCACCACTGCATCCCCAGCAGCCAGTGCACTGTTTGGCACATGTAGGTGTTCTGTAAATATGTGTTAAATGAATGAAATTTATTCTTGAATGCTCCTATTAAGAGATGAACATCCTCATCTTCTTGGGACCCTTCACCCTTTCCTAAGAATAGTACTGGGCTCGAGACTTGTACTTCAGGGAGTCTTACAGCAATGTATTTATTATTCATCCATTTTCAGTTTTCAGTTTGGGTCTACATATCTACACCAGTGTGAAATTTCTGTTAACTGCCTGCCGGAACAGAAACTATCTACTCCCTCCCCAAATATGTCAAGAGTAAAAAAGGAGGGAGAGAGAGAGGAAGAGAAGGAAGGAAGGAAGGGAGGGAGGGAAGGAAGGAAGGAAGGAAGGAAGGAAGGAAGGAAGGAAGGAAGGAAGGAAGAAAGGAAGGAAGGAAGGAAGGAAAGGAGGCAGGGAGGGAAGAAACAAATATCAGTTATAGGTTTATATCAGAAACTCTTTTTTTTCTATTTTATATATATATATTTTAAATACGGATGGGGGGGGCGGTCTCGCTGTGTTGCCCAGGCTGGTCTCGAACTCCTGGGCTCAAGTGATTCTCCTATCTTGGCCTCCCGAGGTGCTGGAATTACAGGCATCAGCCACTGTGCTGGGCCTATACCAGACATTCTTAAAGATTGCTATTATACAATAGGCCAGGCAATTTTAACACACCATCTCATTTAATTGCCAAAGCAAGTTATAGCACAATATTTACCCCATTTTACACATTTTACACATGCTCAGGGAGGTTAAGTAACTCCTCTAAAGTCACCTAGGCTGGGCACAGTGGCTCACACCTGTAATCCCAACACTTTGGGAGGCCGAGGCAGGCGGATCACCAGAGGTCGGGAGTTTGAGACCAGCCTGACCAACATGGAGAAACCCCGTCTCTACTAAAAATACAAAATTAGCCAGGTATGGTGGCGCATGCCTGTAATCCCAGCTACTCATGAGGGTGAGGCAGGAGAATCGCTTGAACCCGGGAGGCGGAGGTTGTGGGGTGAGCTGAGATCGTGCCATTGCACTCCAGCCTGGCCAATAAGAGTGAAACTCCGTCTCAAAATAAATAAATAAATAAATGAAAATAAAGTCGCACAACTACTAAGTGAGAGGTATGTATTTGATGTGAACTCAGGCCCGGCCAGCTCCATAGCTTTGTGAGCGCTCCATGTCGCTCTGCTGCCCCCATGCAGTTAACCAAAGCACCTACACGAAGTGTTTTGCTAAGACAAGACATCCTATGAATAGGACATTTTCTCTATCAATCTATGCGGAACTGACCTATGTAGACACAACTTAAGGTGTTTATGATGCAGACATCATCAGTGGAGTTCATCAACTTTTGGTGATTTGTAAATAAACCAGGAACTCACTCTACCATCAGCATGCCTTCTTGAGTGCCACACTTTAAAATGCATATTTCATTAATTTCACTTCAGGTGTAGGTGTTTGCTCGGTTATTTTCATAAATGAATACTCATTTCATTTATTTTGAGACAGGGTCTCACTCTGTCACCCAGGCTGGAGTGCAGTGGCACAAACCTAGCTCATTGCAGCTTCAAACTCCTGGGCTCAGGCGATCCTCCCACCTCAGCCTCCCAAGTAGAAGGACTACAGGTGTGTGACACCACACCTGGCTCATTAAAAGGATTTTTTTTTGTAGAGATGGGGTCTCACTATGTTTCCCAGGCTGGTCTCAAGCTCCTGGTGGGCTCAAGTGATCCTCCTGCCTCAGTCTTCCAAAGTGCTGGAATTACATGTGTAAGTCCCTCTACCTGGCCTTATTTTATTTTAAAATAAAGTCATAAAGTTATATTTTAGAATAGTTTTAGATTTACGGAAAAGTTGCAAGAATATTAGAGAGTTCCTGTATAGCCTGCACCCAGTTTTCCTATGGTTACTTTATTTTTAAATATTTAATTTAATTTAATTAATTTATTTTGAGACGGAGTCTTGCTCTGTTGGCAGGCTGGAGTGCAGTGGCACGGACCTTGGCTCACTGCAACCTTTGCCTCCCGGATTCAAGCAATTCTCCTGCCTCAGCCTCCCGAGTAGCTGGGACTACAGGTGTGTGCCACCATGCCCGGCTAATTTTTGTATTTTTAGTAGAGACAGGGTTTTGCCATGTTGGCCAGAATAGTCTTGATCTCCTGACCTCGTGATCTGCCTGCCTTGGCCTCCCAAAGTGTTGGGATTACAGACATGAGCCACTGCGCCCAGCCAACAAATGCATTTATTGTACCTCCTTCATGCCAGATGCAGTTTGTTGAAAGCAAAGTGTAGCGAGCAAGACATACCCTTCTGGATCTATCCTTGTGGAGCTCACAGTCTAGCAAAGGAGGCAGACATCAATTAATTGACCACACATGTAACCTTATAGTTACAATTGTGAAGGAAAACTACAGGGTAATTTAAGAGGTAGTAAGCAGAAGAACCTAACTGGACTGGAAGAAGAGAGGGGGAAGTCAGGGAAGGTCTCCCTGTGGAAGTGACAAGCAGGTTGAGACCTGAAGAATGAATGGATGTTAACCAAATGAAGAGGGAGAACATTCCAGGACAAGGGAATGGGAGGTGGTACTTTCTGTTTTGTTTTGTTTTTGAGACAGGGTCTCACTCTGTCATCCAGGCTGGAGTGCAGTGGTGCAAGCTGGGCTCACTGCAACCTCTACCTCGCGGGTTCAAGCGATCCTCCCCACCTCAGCCCCCCAAGTAGCTGGGACCACAGGTGTGCACCATCACGCCCAGCTAAGTTTATGTATTTGAGGTAGAGACGGGGTTTCACCATGTTGCCCAGGCTGGTCTCGAACTTTTGAGCTCAAGCAATCCACCCGCCTCGGCCACCCAAAGTGCTGGGATTACAGGCATGAGCCACTGCGTCCAGCTTACCTTTTTCTTACCTGTAAAATGGAAGAATATCTAGTGGAATTGATCCTTTTCTCTTTTTAAAAACTTTTTACGGCCAGGCATGGTGGCTCACGCCTGTAATTCCAGCACTTTGGGAGGCCGAGGCTGGTGGATCACCTGAGGTCAGGAGTTCGAGACCAGCCTGGCCAACATGGTGAAACCCTGTCTCTACTAAAAATACAATTAGCTGGGCATGGTAGTGCAGGTCTGTAATCCCAGCTACTTGGGAGGCTGAGGCAGGAGAATCGCTTGAATCTGCGAGGTGGAGGTTGCAGTAAGCCGAGATTGCGCCATTGAACTCCAAGAGCAAAACTCTGTCTCAAAAAAAAATCCAAAAAACAAAAAACAAAAAAAAACAAACAAGGCTCTGCACAGTGGCTCACGCCTGTAATCACAGCACTTTGGGAGGCTGAGACAGGCAGATCGCGAGGTCAGGAGTCCAAGACCATCCTGGCCAACATGGTGAAACCCCGTCTCTACTAAAATACAAAAAAATTAGCCAGGCGTGGTGGTGCGTGCCTGTAGTCTCAGCTACTCGGGAGGCTGAGGCAGAGGAATCACTCGAACTCGGGAGGCGGAGATTGCAGTGAGCCGACATTGCGCCACTGCACTCCAGCCTGGCGACAGAGCGAGACTCCTTCCCAAAAAAAAAACAAACCTTTTTACCTGGGAGCATAGACTGAAGTTACCTTGAAAATACACTCCTGGAACTAATCCTTTACAGACATCATTCAATCCTTACAAACCTGAGGTAGTCAGGTATGACTGGATATAAAAGTCTTCTAAGAGAGCAAGGTCCCACAGTTGGTTCAGTGATGAAGCTGGGATTCAACCTTAGGCTTGCCTGCAAGACCTTGAGGGGTTACTCTGTCCCTCCAAATTAAAACCCTGGAGTTGGAAGAGAACTGGCATCAATTTAGCAGCTTATGTTGAGCACCAACTCCATGGCAGCTCAGCCTGATTTTATCTCAGCCTCCCATCACAACGTCCCTCTCCCTGTGCCAACATATGGTGCATCTGTGCTGGGGACTGACACCAAAACGTTCTTCCTGCTCACTCCCTACTCCTCATCTCCTTTTCCTAGTCAGGCAACTGAACCAAGTGCTTTGGTGCATTATTAAATTTCATCCTCACAACCTTCTGAGGGAGACCCCATTTTGCAGATGAGGACGCTGAGGGCTTACAACTGGTGAGTGGTGGAGAGCAGGGTTTTGTTTTGTTTAGTTTTGAGATGGGGTCTTACTCTGTGGCCCAGGCTGGAGCGCAATGGCACGATCTCGGCTCACTGCAGCCTCCATCTCTCAGGATCATGCGATTCTCCTGCCTCAGTGTCCCGAGTAGCTGGGACCACAGGCATGTGCCACCACGCCCGGCTAATTTTTGTATTTTTAGTAGAGACAGGGTTTCACCATGTTGGTCAGGTTGGTCTCGAACTCCTGACCTCAAATGATCCACCTGCCTCGGCCTCCCAAACTGCTGGGATTACAGGCATGAGCCACCATGCCCGGCCCGGGAGCAGTGTTTAATGAATCCAGACTATAGTCTGGTGATACACAGACAGCAGCAAACTCAACCAATCTGCTGCCTGCCTCTCAGTAGGTCAAGGGATGGGCAGTGTCATCACAAGGGTGACTTCCTGTCTTTCAAAACCTGTCATCTAATGCTTCCCTTCTTTACTATTTCAGTACCATTTTGAAATCTTAAAATACATCGCAAGTTCCCCTTCCTTCCTTCAAGATGCACTGATCTAACCCAACTCCCTTCATAGATATGGGGAAACAGGTACTGGCAATTGTACAAGATAGCGAGGGGCCACTGGATCCAGACCCCACAGCTTTCAACTCCCAGGCTCCAAATAAACCCCTCACACACGGCTAACCCCATGTCCATGTCATTTTCCCTTTCTCCAAATCCTAATCCTACCTTCCGAGTAGTTGGGATTACAGGTGCAATACTTGGGTGCCTGTAATCCCAACTATTCGAGGTCTGTAGAGAAAGCTGCCTATGCCATTAGATCTTGGCCTTGTCACTTAACCTCCTTGGGCTCTGTTAGCAAACACCCAACCTACTCTGAAGCAGAAGACTGCTTTCTAATGCTCTGAAATGGTTAGAAATGTCCCTGTCTTGTGACTGCCAGTTAATTTTATCAAGTCCCTCTCCTTTGGACTTGAGTATCGTTTTTTGAGACAGGGTCTCACTCTTGTCACCCAGGCTGGAGTGCAGTGGCATGATCACAGCTCACTGTAGCCTCGATCTTCCAGGCTCAGGTGATCCTCCCACTTCAGCCTCCCAGATAGCTAGGACTACAGGTGCACTCCACCCTGGCCAATTTCTTGTTTTGCCATATTGTGCAGGCTGGTTTCAAACACCTGGGCTCAAGCGATCCACCTGCCTAGGCCCCTCAAAGTGCTGGGATTACAGGCGAGCCACTGCGCTCAGCCTTGAGTAACATTTTTAAGTATGTTAATATTTACCAACTGCTGTTCACAGTGGCAACTTTCTTTGAATATGAAGGCATCACTGATGCAATAAGAAAAAATATTTGCAGTCAGGCCGGGGACAGTGGCTCACACTTGTAATCCCAGCACTTTGGGAGGCCAAGGCAGGCGGATTACCTGAGGTCAGGAGTTCGAGACCAGCCTGACCAGCATGGCGAAACCCCATCTCTACTAAAAAAAAATACAAAAATGAGCCGGGCATGGTGGTAGGCACCTGTAATCCCAACTACTGGGAGGCTGAAGCAGGAGGATTGCTTGAACCCGGGAGGCAGAGGTTGCAGTGAGCCCAGATCACGCCACTGCACTCCAGCCTGGGTGACAGAGCAAGACTCCGTCTCAAAAAAAAAAAAAAAAAGAAAGAAAGAAAAGAAAAAGAAAAAAGAAAAAAAATTGCAGTCTAGGGGTTCAGGAGATAGGTTCCAAAGATCCCTTTAAAGCTCCTAATTTCCTTGGTATTCTGGAGCTCACTCTTCACATTTCTGGTGAGCGCCATGCTCTTAGGAATTGCTTTTTTTTTTTTTTTGAGACAAGTCTTGCCGTTGCCCAGGCTAGAGTGCAGTGGGGTGATCTCAGCTCACTGCAACCTCTGCCTCCCGGGTCTGAGCAATTCTCCTGCCTCAGCCTCCTGAGTAGCTGGGACTGCAGGTGCGCGCCACCACGCCCGGCTAATTTTTGTACTTTTAGTAGAGACGAGGCTTCACCACGTGGGCGAGGCTGGTCTTGAACTCCTGACCTCAGGTGATCCATCTGCCTCGGCCTCCCAAAGTGCTGGGATCACAGGTGTGAGCCACTGTGCCCAGCCGGAATTGCTTTCATCTGAACCTCCTAGTGTGGTTGTAAGGCAGGGACCCCTTTGCTGTGCAATCCCACCATTACCACTTGCACACTTTATGCAGCAGCCCACATCTTCTGCCACCTGCCTTCTCAGCTATGTCCAGGCAGCACAGGCCCCCTATCGACTGGGCAGGGAGTTACAGCCAAACCCTGTTCTTTCCCTTGTTGCTGCAGTTTCAATCCTAATTCCACTGGTATTTGGGGGAGCTTTGTTCCCTCTCACGTTTTCTACAGAAAAGATCTGCTAAGGTTTGTATATTGGCCTATTCGTTGTTACCACTTAACATGCCACATAATTTGTCTATCAACCAATGAATTCCAAGTACCTAGAACAGTGTCTGACACAAAGGTGGCCAATAATTTGTTAATGCATCTCTCTAAATATGAAGTTGCTACTGGTTCTTTGAGATGTTAAACATAATTCCCTGATGATTCGTCAGCCAGGGAAACTGCAAGGGGTACCGAAGAAGCTGCACTAACCCAGTAAAAGCTCAAATCCACAAGATTTCCACCATGTACATTCACTCAGCTGTAGCTCTTCAGTAAGTCAGGCAATAGCATTACCTGTTACAATGTCAACAATTAACCTAGATTTTTTTTAAACAAGTGAACTCGCTTGAATCCAGGAACAGGGGTGGGCAATCTTTTTGCATAAAGAGCAAAGTAGTAAATATTTTAGGCTTTGCAGGCCACATTATCTCTGTGCACAAGGGTGCATTTATATACATAATACGTAAGTTATGCATATGGCTGTGAAACAAGAACATTTTATATGGACAGAAATTTGTATTTCAATTTTCAGATGGCATAAAATATTCTTTCAACTATTTAAAAATGTAGGAACCATATAGTTCACAGACTGTACAAAAACAGGCAGCAGATGGCTGGACGCGGTGGCTCAGGCCTGTAATCCCAGCACTTTGGGAGGCAGAGGTGGTGGACCACCTGAGGTCAGGAGGTCCAGACCAGCCTGGCCAACATGGTGAAACCCCATCTCTACTAAAAATAAAATTCTGCGATTGCTATTTCCCTGCACTAGACGTGAATGGGGGAGTTGATTAATTGTAAAACTCATGTGAGGCCGGGCGTGGTGGCTCATGCCTGTAATCCCAACACTTTGGGGAGGCCGAGGTGGGTGGATCTCAAGGTCAGGAGTTCGAGACCAGCCTGACCAACATTGTGAAACCCCATCTCTACTAAAAATACAAAAATTAGCTGGATGTGGTGGGGGGCGCCTGTAATCCCAGCTACTCAGGAGGCTGAGGCAAGAGAATTGCTTGAACCCGGGAGGTGGAGGTTGCAGTGAGCTAAGATCGCACCACTGCACTCCAGCCTGGGCAACAGAGCCAGACTCTGTCTCAAAATAAATAAATACATTAAAAAAAAATAAAATAAAATTTACAGAATCAGTCCTTTACACTAAACACACTTCAAGCACATGGTAGCCAGAGAACATTTCTATCATTGCAGAAAGTTCTACTGGATAGTGTTGTTATTAGGTTTGGCAGGGAAGGGAGAATTCAGTAATTGACAAACCACAATACAACAGCAATTAAAAAGAAAGGCCTTACATATTTATTACTGAATCCAGCCAACCAACGTGTTCATAACAGATTCAGAGAGGAAAACACGTCGAAATCTCCAGATAGTGGTGACATTTTCAGCTTGATATGGTAACATGATCGTGACCTTCAGACAGCATAAATATGTGTGCCATCTCATGTGCAATTCCTTATAGACCCAGCTTGGTTCTTCTCCAATGTCTCCTTTTGGAGTTGTACCTACACAGAAAAAAATGTCAAGTTACAAAGGCAGTCTGACAGCAATGTAGCTGTTCCCATTCACATAACCTTTTAGGTACCACAAAATACAAAGGGTACTGCTTTTCTCTCCTCTAACAAGTTTGGAGTTCTTTCTGGAGAGTAAAAAAAATAATTCCCTATGTGTTTAAAAACTAGCCAAGTCAAGTTTTATCCTCTCAAAATAATTTGAAGGCTAGGCTCTTAACTAGGATCAGAGTAGTGGCGAAGCCCACTCTCTCCAAGTGTACTTGTACCCACTTTTGATTCAATGGACCTGGAGGTACACAGACATACTCTGAACCCCCTCATAATGGGTCACAAACATATAAAAGCTCCCGCATGATATTTTTTTTGAGACAGAGTCGCCCGCCCCCCCAACACCACCCAGCTAATTTTTGTATTTTTGTATTTTTAGTAGAGGCAGGGTTTCACCATGTTGGCCAGGCTGGTCTCGAACTGGCTGGACTTCGAGATCCACCCGCCTCGTCCTCCCAAAGAGTTGAGATTACAGGCATGAGCCACTGCACCTGGCCTCGCATGATCTTTACAATCGATCAACTCCTCCATTCACGTCTAGTGCAGGGAAACAGCAATCCCAGAATTGTCCATGTCAATCTGTCATGATTTTACCCTCATAAAGGCAAAATCAAAAATGATTAACACGGCTTTTCTTTCAGCAGGATAATGGCAGTACTTCCACAAAATGAAGCACTGTAATTGCAACCTGCTTTCAAAAACATTTTTAACGCTGGAAGATAGCTAAAACAATGAAAATCATTCCATTGGGTCAATTATCTGGGTCAAGGGTATATAATCTTACGTACAAAATACCTTCCCAATTCTAGGAGACCACAGAGTTTAATAGCAGGTTATTTATTGAACTAGGCGTTGAGTTTTACATACATTTTTCTTTTTTTGAGACAGGGTCACACTGTTGCCCAGGCTACAATGCAGCGGCCGGATCACAGCTCACTGCAGCCTGTGAATTCCTGGGCTCAAGTGATCCTCCCACTTCAGCCTGCTAAATAGTTAGGACTACAAGCACGTGCCACCAAGTCCAGCTAATTTATATTTTTGGTAGAGATGGACGGGGGTGGTCTCCCTATGTTGCCCAGGCTGGTCTCAAATTCCTGGCCTCAAGCAATCCTCCTGCGTTGGCCTCTCCCAAAGTGCTGGGATTATAAGTATGAAGCACTGTGCCTGGTTTATATATACTTCTTTCACTCTTCACAAGCAGGTCCCACCATCAGGCAGGACACAGAGAAACCCACGTTCAAGTAGATGTATCAAATAATAAAGGACAGTGTCTAGTATCCAGTAAACAAATGGTAAGCAATTAACTAGCCCATAACATTACAATGGGTGGCAATTTTCACATCTAACTAGCTAAATGAACCAAGGAAATAGGCCCTCAACTTTAGCCCTAAGAAGCCACCCCTTTAAGTCTTCTTAGCAAACCAATCCCACTAGCTTTGCCATACAAGTCGAATCAAGTTCTGGCTGGGCGCGGTGGCTCATGCCTGTAATCCCAGCATGTTGGGAGGCAGAGGCGCGTGAATCACGAGGTCAGGAGTTCAAGACCAGCCTGGCCAAGATGGTGAAACCCCGTCTCTACTAAAAATACAAAAATTAGCCAGGTGTGGTGGCAGGCACCTGTAATCCCAGCTACTTGGGAGGCTGAGCAAGAGAATCGCTTGAACTTGGGAGGCAGAGGTTGCGGTAAGCCAAGATCACACCATTGCACTCCAGCCTGGGCAATGAGAGCAAAACTCCATCTCAAAAAAAAAAAAAAGAGAAAGTGCTTTGACTAGCCTGGGCAACATGGCGAAACCCCATCTCTACAACAGGTACACAAATTAGCCAGGCATGGTGGTGAACGCCTGTAGTCCCAGCTACTCAGGAGGAGGCTGAGGTGGGAGGGTTACACCACTGCACTCAGCCTGGGTGAGAGAGCGACTGCTGAACCTTGGGCAACTCTTGCTGATTCTTGATGCTCCCTTCAAAACCTGTCTCAAGGCCCATCAGGACCAAAGAGCGATGGGCTGAAAAAGCCATGCAGGAGACTGTTTCAGGCCTAGCTTTCCCTGGAGTTAGTCTAGATGACCTTGGAGGTCCTTCATAGCAATTCTAGTAATGTTTTTCCTTTGAGATCAACTACTTCTGCAGTAGAGGACAGTTTTCCAATCTTTTCTAGTCTCTTTTTAGAAAAGAGAAACATCTAAAAGACTGGGCTAGGTGTGATGGCTCACGCCTGTAATCTCTGCACTTTGGTAGGGTGAGACAGGAGGATTGCTTGAGCTCAGGAGTTCAAGACCAGCTTGGGCAACACAGAGAGACCCCATCTCTACAAAAAATTTAAAAATTAGCCAGGTGTGGTGGCGTGTGCCTGTAGTCCCAGCTACTCAGAGAGATGAGGTGGGAGGGTCACTTGAGTCTGGTAGGTAGGGAGAGGTTGCAGGGAGATAGTGTCAACGCAGCATGTAAAACAGAACAAGATCCTGTCTCAAAAAACAAAAACAAAGGCCGGGCACAATGGCTTATGCCTGTAATCCCAGCACTTTGGGAAGCCGAGAGGGGCAGATCACTTGAGCTCAGGAGTTTGAGACCAGCCTGGCCAATATAGTGAAATACCATCTCTACTAAAAATATAAAACTTAGCTGGGCGTGGTGACGCACGCCTGTAGTCCCAGCTACTCTGAAGGCGGAGGCAAAAGAATCACTTGAACCTGGGAGGCAGAGGTTGCAGTGAGCCGAGATTGTGCCACTGCACTCCAGCCCGGGTAACAGAGCGAGACTCCGTCTCAAAACAAAAACAAAAACAAAAACAAAAACAAAAAGCCTAAAAATACTGACTGGGTCTTCCCCACCAGGATGTGTATAAGACAGCCTTCCACCTTATGACCTAGCTCAGACTGAAGATGACCAGGAAATTAATAAGTATTGGAGAATTATCTGCCCATAAGCCCAGATGTGGGCTGGATGCAGTGCAGAAACAAAGGAAGTACGTTTTTAAAAACGAATTTGAGAATGCTGTCAAAGGGTGGATTGGATTGCATGCAATTTTAATCATGTATTTATACTCAAAAAGTAACCCTGGCCAGACACAGTGGCTCTTACATTTAGCAAAATACAAGCAGTATGATGGAGGTCTTACCTGATTTTATTTCCAGTTTTCATCCGAATCCACTGGGGAATGGGACGATTTTGCTTTTGTTTCTTGGCCAGGAATCGCTTAATCCTGAAAGTCTTGTGAGAAGACTGGGAAGAAAATGCAATCAATTTAGACAATATTAGAGCCTGCCCGAATGATTCAAAGTCAAGAACTCCTTCAAACCAACATTTGAGTGCTTAACACATACCCCAGCCCCAAAATCTTCTCAATGCTAAGCCATCAAGCCAAGCAAGTCTCTGACCCTCACAACTTCTCTGGGGGCAGATACCACAGTTTCCATCGTTCAGATAAAATAAGTGGAATCCGGTTAAGAAACATGCACAAAATCAGAGCATCAATGTGCAGAACCAGGATTCAAACCCAGGTCCTTTCTGCTCCACAGCCAGAGGCTACCTTTCAATTTACCCTGTGGTCCCCCAAGGACTCAGACGACCACACTGGGAATGGCTAGGGAATCTGGCTTCCTGGGAAGAACACAGCTTTGAGTCAAACAGAACCACCTACCTACCATTTGCAAGTCAACGAATCTCAGTGCTCTACTTTGTAAAACAGGGGTACGTACTTTTCAAGTGTTATTGGGAGGGTAATTAAGACTTAGGGAAAGTCCCTGACATTCAGAAGATCTAACCTACTCACCATTTCGGTATTAATCCTAACTCTATCTCTACTGCTAAATTTCACTGGCTAAAAAAATAAACTTTTAAATTTAAAAATAAATGAAATGTCACTTTTCCAAGGATGACTGTCTCAATTTCTAGTTGCATCTTTTGGCTTTCATCTAAGGCCAACCCCAATACTCCCCCAAATCTACAGAATAATCTTGCAAAATTGGCACGGATGCAGGTTTAATGCCTGGCCAACCTGGACGAACATACCCTTGCATAATAATGGGAGCCAATACAAAGAAGGCAAAGATTACACCCCGTCCCCCATCCACAGTAGCAGTTGTAAATTTTGTCAAGTAATAAATTACTTGACAAGTAATAAAATACCAGTACTTATCGCCTCCATATCTAGAAATCAACATTTTACATTTCCCAGTAAAGAGTGACTGGTTCGCTGCTGCCATTTACTAAGAAGGCCAGAATGACACACAGGTTCGCAAAACACCCCTTGTTCTAGGCGCTTCCACGGGGTGACGCTCAAGTCTCTGAATAAACGTCCTCTAAACAAAAGTCCTGGGATCTAAAAATGCGGTTCGCTTCTCCACGCCAAGCTAAACCCTTTTCGAAAACCAGTAGCCCACAATACCCTCCTGATTACCCTCCACGTTGCGCATGCCACGGGCAGCCCACAGTCAGGCCACGATTTCGGGGGTGGCTGCCACCTCCCACCCCCCGCCTCCAGAACGAGTTCGCTACAAGCGAAGGGAAACCGGAATCCCTGCCCGACTCGGCAGCGGCCGGGCAAAGAAAGAGCCCCCTTGAATCCGCGGCCGCAGCGCAGCCCGTCCCTCTCCAGGTTGCTCGCTGGCTCACTAGCTTCCCTCCAGGCCACGAAAGACAACAGTGGCCGAACTGGATATTTTCTTGAAAAAGCCTTTAAAAGGCTCCCGCCCCTCAACGCTCCGCGCGGCCCAGGCATTTCCTGGCAGCGGCCTCGGGTTTTGGGAAGCCACCCCGGGGCCGATGGGGGCCGATGGACTTACCATGGCGAGCAGCGGAGTCAAGAACACACCACGATGGCGGAGAAAGGAAGAGGAGGGAAGCTGGCGGAAGAACGAGCTTAGAAGGCGCTTCCGATGGGCGGAGTTTAGGAGGTGACGCTATGCACCGACCGCCTCTTCTAGTGCCTTCTCTGTCTAGCGGTGCGCTCCCGTGGCGCCGTGGGAAAGCGCGCTGGTTTCTGCCAAATGCAGTTAGCTTTGCTTCGCTTCCCTAAGTGCGTTCCCCCAGGGGCCCGGCAGTGTGCTAGGGGCACCCTGCTTCGTAAGTGAGGCAGACAGCCCGTGATAAATGCCAAAGTAGAAGCCCCTCCGAAAAATTAAGGAGCCGATTGGGCGGGACTAACCCTAAGGGAGGGCAGGGGAAGCGACCGTCACCTCCGGGCGCCGGGGACTCGGAACGCCGGGTCGGAGCTCGGCAGGCGGAGAGTAAGTGCCATTTTCCCAGAGGGTTACGAGTCATTTCGGCCTGGCTGGGAGGTGTGGGAAGGGACAGTCGTGTCGGAGGAAGCCGGAGAAGTTGGAGGGGGTTGGACCACGTGGACGCTTATGTAAGCCTAGGGGTTTTCGACTAGGCGGAAGGTTGCCAATCAAAGTTTTCAACTCAGAAAGTTAGGGACAGAACCTCTTCCTTGGCTGCTAGAAGTCCAGCCTGACATTGTAGCCCGCCTTTGGCAAGATGTACAATAATTAATAACATGCGTTTGGGATGCTAGTGTTCCCCATTTTCATCCTTTTCCCCATTTAAAAGCAAAAACCTTTCCTTTTTGATGAGTAAATAAAATAAACATAAAAATAAGCTGGGCGTGGTGGCTCACGCTTGTAATCCCAGCACTTTGGGAGGCCTAGGCGGGCGGATTACTTGAAACGAGGAGTTCGAGACCAGCCTGGCCAACATGGTGAAACCCCGTCCCTACTAAAAATACAAAAAAACTAACCAGGCGTGGTGGCGGGCGCCTGTAATCTCAGCTACTGCGGGGGCTGAGACAAGAGAATCTCTTGAACCCTGAAGGCGGAGGTTGCAGCGAGCCGAGATTGCGCCACTGCACTCCAGCCTGGGCAACAAGAGCAAAACTCCATCTCAAAAAAGAAAAAGTAAATAAATAAACGCAAAAACCTCCATGTATATTTGCAGTCACCTCAAGCATTTTTACACCAACGGATTACAGCAAGGGTTTTTAACCTGGAGTCCACAAGAGTCCATGTATAGAATTCAGAGGATCCCATGAACTTGAATGGGAAAATACAACTTTATTTTCACCAAATTTAATGAAATGTAATGCTTTCTTTATTTAGGAATGTAGGCAACAGACCACAGTGGCATTAGCAGTACTCGTGACTTGGTCACTAATAGAAACCATAGATGGCTTCATGTTACATTACAGTTGATGCAGATGTCTCCATATATTATTTACACACTCCCTTTAAATTACATTAGTTATAAGTTCACAAATAGAACTATGTTAAGAAGCCCATGTATTACTATAGCACATATTTCCTTTTTTTTTTTTTCAAGACTGAGTCTCCCTTTATTGCCCAGGCTAGAGTGCAATGGCACAATCTTGGCTCACTGCAACCTCCGCCTCCCGGGTTCAAGTGATTCTCATGCCTCAGCCTCCCGAGTAGCTGGGACTACAGGCACGCACTACCACACCCAGCTAATTTTTGTATTTTTAGTAGAGACGGAGTTTCGCCATGTTGGCTAAGCCGGTCTCGAACTCCTGACCTCAAGTAATCCGCCCGCCTCGGCCTCCCAAAGTGCTGGGATTACTGGAGTGCGCTACCGTGCCCGGCCTAAAGTCACATTCTGAGGTCCTGGGGATTAGGGCTTCAACACATGAATTTTGGGGGAACATAATTTAGCTCATGACACCACCAGTCACCTTCTAAGGCCGAATTCAAATGCTGTCTCTTCCCCTTAGCTGGAAATCATCACCCCTTCAACACTGTTGTAATAGTTTATTTGTACCTTTCTTATGGCTCCTAGCACTATCTGTTCTGTTGCAATGCAAAAGGATGAAAGTAACAGTGGCTGCTGCTTATGGGGCTTGATAGTTACTATGTAGCTGCATGTATTAATTCAAGCCTCACTGTGAGCTTACCATGTTTTACCAGTGACCTTTTGAATCTTCACCAGAACACTACAAGGTAAGTATGGTTAATCATCCTCATTTTACAGAAGAGGGAACTGCAACAGGGACAGATTAAGTTGTATACCCAAGGTCACACAGCTACTATGTTGCACAGCCGGTACTCAGACTCAGGTAGTCCAGGCTTCAGAGTCTGTGCTGTCACCACTACCCTCTACTGCCTTTTCAACACAGATTTTGGGAACCTACTCTGTCTGGTTCGGGTCTTCGTGTTGGGGGTACAGAAGCAAACAAATCTGACCAAAAATCCCTGCCCTCTTGGAGTCTTGTGGCGATGGTATGGTTCTGGATTTTTTTGTGGTGGGAATTACACAAAGCTACACGTGTGATAGAATTTGCCAAGTGTGGTGACTCACGTCTGTAATCCCAGCACTTTGGGAGGCTGAGGCGGGCGGATCACCTGAGGTCAGGAGTTCGAGATCAACCTGACCAACATGGTGAAACCCCGTCCCTACTAAAAATACAAAAATTAGCCAAGTGTGGTGGCGCGCGCCTGTAATCCCAGCTACTCAGGAGGCTGAGGCAGGAGAATGGCTTGAACCCGGGAGGTGGAGGCTGCAGTGAGCCGAGATCGCGCCACTGCACTCCAGCCTGGGTGACAGAGCGAGACTCTGTCTCAAAACAAACAAAAAAAATTAGCCGGGCATGCTGGTGCGTGCCTGTAGTCCAAGCTACTCAGGAGGCTGAGACAGAGAGAATTGCTTGAACCCAGGAGGTGGAGGGTGCAGTGAGCCGAGATCACAACACTGCACCCCAGCCTGGGTGACAGAGTGAGACTCTGTCTCAAAAAACAAAAACAAAAAAACAAAAAAAACAATTCTATACAACTCCCCCCTGCCCACCCCTGCCCCAAGGGGCATATGTATAACTGGTGAAATCTGAATAAGCTCTGTGGACTGTGCCAACGTGAATTTCCTGGTTGTGATATTGTACTATAGTTATGCAAGATGCTAACACTGGGGAAAACTAGATAAAGGGTACACAGGGCCTCTCAGTCCCTTTCTTTGCAACTTCTTGCGAATCTATTGTTATTTCAAAATACAAGTCTAAAAAAACTCTGCCTTCATTGAGTTTAATTATAGTGGGGAGTTAGACAACAAATATGTAAATTACATGGCACATCAGAAGGAGGTGTCATCAAGAAAAGCAAAGCAGGGGCCAGGTGCAGTGGCTAACACCTGTAATCCCAGCATTTTGGAAGGCTGGGGAAGGAGGAATAGTTGAGACCAGGAGTTTTAGATCAGCCTGGACAACATAGTGAGACTCTCTACAAAAAATACAAAATTTAGCCACTGGATGTGGTGGCACGTGCCCGTAGCTCCAGCTACTTGGAAGGCGAGAAGGGAGGAGCGCTTGAGCCCAGGAGTTCGAGGCTGCAGTGAGCCATGATTGTGCCACTGCACTCCAGCCTGAGCAACAGAGTGAGACCCTGTCTCAAAACAAACAAAAAATTGAGGGCTGGGCGCGGTGGCTCACGCCTATAATCCCAGCACTTTGGGAGGCCGAGGCGGGTGGATCACGAGGTCAGGAGTTCGAGACCAGCCTGACCAACATGGTGAAATCTCGTCTCTACTAAAAATACAAAAAATTAGCCGGGTGTGGTGGTGGCGCCTGTAATCCCAGCTACTCGGGAGGCTGAGGCAGGAGAATCGCTTGAACCCGGGAGGTGGAGGTTGCAGTGAGTGGAGATCATGCCACTGTACTTCAGCCTGGTGACAGAGGGAGACTCCGTCTCAAAAAAAAAAAAAAAAAAATTGAGAAAGGGTGGCATGAAAGGTAGAAGGAAAACCAGCAAGAAGTGCTCTTTCTAAAAGCAGTAAGAATTAAAAGGATAATTGACATAAGCACTTAAAAGCTTATTTGCTGCTGCTTCTGGTCACCAGAAAGAAAATGCTTGCTCTTAAATAAATGAGCAATAAAAATCCAAAAAATCCAAGTTAAAAAATGTATATTTGGAAAAATGGCCGGGCGTGGTGGCTCCCACCTGTAATCCCAGCACTTTGGGAGGCTGAGGCGGGTGGATCAACTTAGATCAGGAGTTCGAGACCAGCCTGGCCAACATGGCAGAACCCTGTCTCTACTAAAAATACAAAAATTAGCCGGGAATGGTGGCACACCTGCAATCACAGCTATTCAGGAGGCTGAGGCAGGAGAATTGCTTGAACCTAGGAGGTGGAAGTTTCAGTGAGCCGAGATCGCACCATTGCACTTCAGCCTGGGCAACAGAGTGAGACCCTGTCTCAAAAAAAAAAAAAAAGTTGGAAAAAAATAATGCAGCAATAAAAAATAATACAAATATAGACAGGTGTGGCAGCATGCACCTGTAGTCCTAGCTACTTGGGAGGCTGCGGTAGGCAGATTGCTTGATCCCAGGAGTTCAAGTCCAGCCTGGGCAATGTAGTGAGACCCTATCTCTAAAAATAAATACAAATGAAAAACAATACAGTATAATAATTATTTACATAGCATTTACACTACATTAGGTATTATAAGTAAACAAGAGATGACTTAAAGTATACAGGAGGATGTGTGTAGGTTATATGCAAATATTACATAATTTTATATAAAGGACTTGGACATCAGTGGGTTTTGGTATTAAAGAGATCCTGGAACCAATCCTTCATGGATACTGAGAGACGATTATATCTGCAAAGGTGTAGATGCTAAGAACAGGTATCCAGGGCCTCCCAGAGCCAGCCTAGGAGTCTGAGCTTTATCCTGGGGACCAACAATTTGCAGACTTCTTTTTTTTTCTTTCTTTTATTTTTATTTTTTTGAGACAGAGTCTCGCTCTGTCGCCTAGGCTGGAGTGCAATGGTATTATCTCCACTCACTGCAACCTCCACCTCCCTGGTTCAAGCAATTCTCCTGCCTCAGCCTCCCAAGTGGCTGGGATTACAGACACATGCTACCATCCCCAGCTAATTTTTGTATTTTTAGTAGAGATGGGTTTCACCATGTTGGCCAGTCTGGTCTCAAACTCCTGACCTCAAGTGATCCACCCGCCTCAGCCTCCCAAAGTGCTGGGATTACAGGCGTGAGCCACCACGCCCGATGTAGTTTGCAGACTTCTTTAACAGAATGGCTCTTTGTTTTAAAAGCCATTTTATATAGAAACTCACCATTGACTCTTCTCTGTTACACCCTTAATCCAGTCTCAGCAAATCCTGTCAGCTGTCTCAAAAATGTTTCTCGAATTCAGTGCTCATTTCCCCCACCGTCGTTCATCTCTCACTTGGATTACTGCAAAATCCTTCAAACTCTTCCCCCTTCTTCTGGCCCTGCCCCTCTACAGTTTCTTCTCAACACAGCAGTCAATGACCCTGTTAAAACCTAAGCCTGATCATGTCACTGTATTTAGTGGCTCCTTTTTATTTTTCATTTTTTTGAGACTAAGTCTTGCTCTGTCACCCAGGCTGGAGCGCAGTGGCATGATCTCAGGTCACTGCAACCTCCACCTCCTGAGTTCAAGTGATTCCTGTGCCTCAGCCTCTCAAATGGCTGGGACTACAGGCACATGCCACCACACCCGGCTAATTTTTGTGTTTTTAATAGAGATGGGGGTGTATGTTGGCCATGTTGGTCTTGAACTCCTGAGCTCAAGGGATCTGCCCCCTTCTGCCTCCCAAAGTGCTGGGATTGCAGGCATGAGCCACTGTGCCTGGCCTATTTAGTGGTTCTTAATGGCTCATTTCACTCCAGTAAATATCTAAGTGCCCCAGCCTGGGCGACATAGGGAGACCCTGTCGCTACGAAACGTTAAAAAATTAGCCGGATGTCGGGGCACACACCTGTGGTCTCAGCTATTCAGGAGGCTGAGGTGGGAGGATTGCTTGAGCCCGGAAGGTCAAGGCTGCAGTAAGATGAGATCACACCACTGTACTCCAGCCTGAGTAACAGAGCAAGACTCTATCTCCAAAAAAAATATAAAAAGAAGAAAAAAATTAAAGATTCAAGTTCTCACAACAGGCATACGCTTCCACATCAGCCCCTTCCACCTCACCTCTGTGACCTTATCTCCCACTGCTCTCACCATCAGTTCACTGGGCTTTGGCCATACTGGGCAGTTCTCAGCTCAGGGCCTTTGCACTTGCTCTTCTCGCTACCTGGAAGCTCTTCCCCTAGATGTCCCCACGCCTTCATGGCTTCCTTCATCAGTCTCCTTAGGTCTTTTTTCCAATGTCACCTCAGTGAGGCTTTCCCTAACCACTCTATCTATCTAAAATTGCAGCTCGGCCGGGCGCGATGGCTCACGCCTGTAATCCCAGCACTTTGGGAGGCTGAGGCGGGCAGATCATGAGGTCAGGAGTTCGAGACCAGCCTGGCCAACATGGTGAAACCCCATCTCTACTGAAAATACAAAAAATTAGCTGGGCATGATAGTGTGTGCCTGTAATCCCAGCTACTCAGGAGGCTTAGACAGGAGAATTGCTTGAACCGGGACTCGGGAGGTGGAGGTTACAGTGAGCTGAGATCATGCCACTCCACTCCAGCCTGGGAGACAGAGGGACACTCTGTCTCAAAAATAAAATAAAGTAAAATAAAATAAAATAAAGTAAAATTGCAAACCCCAGGTCGGGCGCAGTGGCTCACACCTATAATCCCAGCATTTTGGGAGGTCAAGGCCCAGCATTCTGGGCTTGAGCCCAGAAGTTTGAGACCATCCTGGGCAACATGGTGAGACCTCCGCCTCTACAAGAAAAATGCAAAGATTAGCTGGGTGTGGTGGCACATGCCTGTAGTCCCAGCTACTCAGGAAGCTGAGGTGGGAGGCTCACCTGAGCCTGGGGAGTTCGAGGCTACAGTCAGCAGTGATTGAGCCACTGCACTCCAGCCTGGGTGACAGAGTGAGACTCTCTCTAAAAAAAATTTGCAACCCCTGGCCCCCACTCAGCACTCCCTACCCCTACTACTGCTTTATTTTTCTCCATATTACTTACCTGAGATAACATATATTTTATTTATTGTTTGACTCCCTGCCTAGAATGTAAGCTCCATGAGGTCATGGATTGTGTATTTTGTTCACTGCTGTATTCCCTGAGCCTGGAACAGTGCCTGACACATAGTAGATGCGCAGTAAATATTTGGTGAATGAATGAACAAACGCTAATACATCAAAGAGACAACATCAAAGAACAGACTCCACAGGGCAGTTTACATCTTCATTGTTTGGCCCGACCCTTCTTGTTTGAGGGTGGATTTTCAAAATTACTGCTGAAGGCAATTGGGAGCCTTGAAAGCTTTTAAAGGGTAAGAGTAAGTGGCAATTATATATTTGTTGTTGTTGATGTTGTTGTTTTTGGAGGCAGGGTCTTGCTCTATCACCCCGGCTGGAGTGCAGTGGTATATTCTCAGCTCCCTGCAACCCCCACTTCCCCGGCTCAAGCCATCCTCCAACCTCAGGCCCCTAAGTAGCTGGGACTACAGGTGCGTGCTGCCAACCCAATTTTTTGTATTTTGGTAGAGACGGGGTCTCACCACATTGTCCAGGCTGATCTCGAACTCCTGACTTCAAGCGATCTCACCTCGGCCTCCCAAAGTGCTGGGATTACAGGCATAAGCCACCGTGCCTGGCCAATTATGTAAGTATTTTAAAAAGATCCTTTGGCCAGCTGGAGAGTAGATGGGGATGGGGACAATAGTGGAAACAAGAAGGCTCGTGGGGGCGGTTGTTAAAATTATGCTTTTTTTTTTTTGAAACAGAGTCTCGCTCTTGTCGCCTAGGCTGGAGTGCAGTGGCACGATCTCGGCTCACTGTAACCTCCGCCTCCCAGGTTCAAGCAGTTCTCCTGCCTCAGCCTCTGGAGTAGCTGGGATTACAGACACCTACCACCATGCCCGCTAATTTTTGTATTTTTAGTAGAGACGGGGTTTCGCCATGTTGGCCAGGCTGGTCTCCAACTCCTGACCTCAGGTGATCTGCCCGCCTCAGCCTCCCAAAGTGCTGGGATTACAGGCATGAGCCACCACGCCTGGTCAGCAAACTTTTTCTGATAGTAAATATTTTAGGCTTTGCAGATGACATACAGTGTCTGTTGCGACTACTCAACTCTGCTGTTGCAGGATGAAAGCTGCAGGACAATATGTAAATGAACGGTGTGGCTGGGTTCCAAGAAAACTTTAGTTACAGATACTAAAATTTAAATTCAATAGAATTGTCATGTGTCCCAAAATATTCTTTTGATTTTTTTCAACCATTCAAAAATACAGAAACCATTCTTAGCTCTCAGGCTGTACAAAAACACGCAGTGGCCAGGTTTGGTCCATAGGCTGTAATTTGCTGAGCCTAGGCCTAGATAATTATGTCAAGACTCTCCTCTCCCTCCTCAAACCTGCAACCCTTCTTCCTCCATTCTCACACTCAGTTGAGGACCTGGCTTCCTAGTCACTGAGAAAATTTAAGCAATCACAAGAGAACTCCCACAGCCCATCCACACATGCTATCTGCCAACACCTCCACGTGACTATTCCCCCATCCCTCTGTTACTGTGAATGAAACGTTTGAACTATGTCCGGCCTGTCTGCTCGCTTGTGCCCTAGATCCAAACCTCTCTCGCCCATTCAACAACCCTGCTCTGACTAGTCTTCCCTTTCTGTCCTTGCTGTTCACTGCATTATTCCCATCAACATACAAATAAATATGCTGTCATCTTAAAAAAGCTGCTTTTTACTCCAACTCCCTTGCCAGCTACTTCTTCTTCTCCTTCCCTTTACAACAAAACCCTGGTAAAGATTTGTCTTCATTCACTGTTTCCAACTTCTCTCCCATTCTTTAAGTGAGATACAATTCACGTAATATGAAAATCACCGTTTTTTTATTTTATTTTATTTTTGAGACAGAGTCTTGCTCTGTCAGGCTGGAGTGCAATGGCGTGATCTCAGCTCACTGCAACCTCGGCCTCCCGAGTTCAAGCGATTCTCCTGCCCCAACCTCCCAAGTAGCTGGGATTACAGGCATGCACCACCACACCCAGCTAATTTTTGTATTTTTAGTAGAGGCAGGGTTTCACCATGTTGGCCACGCTGGTCTTGAACTCCTGACCTCAGGTGATCTGCCCACCTCGGCCTCCCAGAGTGCTGGGATTACAGGTGTCAGCCACCGCACCGGCCACTATTTTATTTTATTTTATTTATTTTTGAGATAGAGTCTCTGTCACCCAGGCTGGAGTGCAGTGGCATGAACTCAGCTCACTGCAACCTCCGCCTCCTGGGTTCTAGTGATTCTCCTACCTCAGCCTCCCAAGTAGCTGGGATTACAGGCATGTGCCACCACGCCTGGCTAATTTTGTATTTTTAGTGGAGATGGGGTTTTGCCATGTTGGCCCAGCTGGTCTTGAACTCTTGACCTCAGGTGATCCACCCGCCTCAGCCTCCCAAAGTGCTAGGATTACAGATGTGAGCCACCGTGCCTGGCCTAGCAGTCACTCTTTCATTCCCACTCTTCTCTCAGCCCTAGGAAACCACTAATCTATTTTCCGTCTCTGTGGATTTGCCTATTCTGGATATTTTATATAAATGGAGACACAATATGTAGCCTTTTGTGTCTGCTTTCTTTCACTTAGCATAATGTTTTCAAGGTTCATCCATGTTGTAGCATGAATCAGTATTTCATTTTTTTTAGAAGTGGGGTCTCACTATATTGCCCAGGCTGGTCTTGAACTCCTGAGCTCAAGCAATCATCCCACCTTGGCCTCCCAAAGTGCTAGAATTACAGGTGTGAGGCACTGTGCCAGGCCAACATTTTTTATTTTTTTTAATAGAGACAGGGTCTCACTATGTTGCCCAGGCTAGTCTCGAACTCCTAAGTTCAAGTGATGCTCCCACCTCAGCCTCCCAAATGCTAGGATTACCTGGAAGAGCTCTCATGCCCGGCTCATTTTTCTTTCTCTTTCTCTTTCTTTTTTTTTCTTTCTTTCTTTCCTTTCTCCTTTTTTTCTTTCTTTCCTTCCTTCTTTCCTTCTTTCCTTTCCTTCCTTCTTTCCTTCCTTCCTCCCTCCCTCTTCTCTCTCCCTCCTTTCCTTCCTTTTTTCCTTCCTTCCTTCTTTCATTCCTCCCTCCCTCCCTCTCTCCTTCCCTCTTTCCTTCCTCCTTCCCTCCCTCTCACTCTTTTCCTTGCTTCCTTTTCTTTCTCTTTTTCTTTTTCTTTCTCTCTCTTTCTCTTTCCCTCCCTCCCTCCTTCTCTTTCCCTCCCTCCCTCCTTCTTTCTTTTTTCTTTCTCCTTCCTTCTTTCCTTATTTCCTTTTCCTTCCTTCCTTCTTCTCTTTCCCTTCCTTTCTCCCTCCCTCCCTTTTCTTTCTCTTTTCTTTCCTTCCTTTCTCTTTCTCCTTCCTTCCTCCTCCTTTTTCTCTTTCTCCCTTTCTCTCCTTCCTTCCTTCTTTCCTTTTTTCCTTCCTTCCTTTCTTCCCTCCCTCCCTCCCTCCCTTTTCTTTCTTTCCCTTCCTCCCTCCCTCCCTTTCTTTCCTCTTTTCTTTCTTTTTCCTTCCTTCCTTCCTTTCCATTTTTTTCCTCCTTCCTTTCTTTCTTCTTGACAGAGTCTTGCTCTCTTGCCCAGGCTGGAGTGCACTGGTGTGATCTTGGCTCACTGCAACCTCTGCCTCCTGGGTTCAAGCAATTCTCCTGACACAGCCTCCTGAGTAGCTGGGACCACAGGCTTGTGCCAACACGCCTGGCTGACTTTTGTATTTTTAATATTTTTTCTTTTTTTTTTTTTTTGGTGTTTATTTTTTTGAGACAGAGTCTCAGTCTGTCACCCAGGCAGCAGTGCAGTGGCGCGATCTTGGCTCACTGCAACCTCCATCTCTCAGGTTCAAGCAATTCTCCTGCCTCAGCCTCCCAAGTAGCTTGGATTGCAGATGTGCACTACCACGCCCGGCTAATTTTTGTATTTTTAGTAGGGGTGGGGTTTCACCATGTTGGCCAAGCTGGTCTTGAAGTCCTGACCTCAAGTGATCCTCCCGCCTCGGCCTCCCGAAGTGCTGGCATTTCAAGCATGAGCCACCACGCCCAGCCGTATTTTTAGTGGCCAACCTTGCTGGCCACTCCTCCTCCTTGAAACACTTTTCTCTTGGATTAAGTAACACCGGAGTCTTCTGGTATTTCTCCTACTCTGGCTATTCTTTCTGTCTTTGTAGATACATTTCCTTACCTCTGTGTAATGTTAAGAGTTCTTTAAGGCTGGGCCCTAGGTCTGCTTCTGTTCCTACTTCACTCTCTCCCCATAAAGTGACAGAATCCATGGTCATGACTTCAATGGACCCCTAAAAATGGATGAATTCCAAATCCATACATCCATTTCCCACCTGCCATTCACCCCTCACTATAACATGGTTTCTATCTCTTTTAGGTCATCAGTTTCATTAGTTCACTAATGAAATCACGACTGCCAAATCCAATGAACACTTCCATTTCTTGTCTTCCTTAATCTCTCTGTGGCATGGGACAATGTCAGCCAATCTCCTTCTTGAAATTTTCCCTTCCCTTAATCCTCTCGCCCATCTGACAGTCATTCACTTTCAATCATTTTTGGTGGCTCTTGTACCTCCCTCTTGGGCTACTTGTTTCTAAAAGCTGAGGAAACAAAGTTATTTAGAAAGTAAAGGCAAAGTGATGCCATGTTAGGAAGGGCTGGCAGAATGAATGAAAATCAGGCAAAAGCTCAAGGATGTTGTCTAAACATTTTGTTCTTAAGGGACCAGAATAGTTGATGTGGTTTGGATATTTGTCCCCACCCAAATCTCATGGAAATATAATCCCCAGTGTTGTAGGTGGGGCCTGGTGGGGTGTTGGGGTTATGGGGCAGATCCCTCATGGCTTGGTGCTGTCCTCTCCATAGTGAGTTTTACAGAGCTGGTTGTTGTAAAGTGTGGCACCTCCTCCCCGCACTCACTCTCTTGCTCACTCTGTGATGTGGGATGTCTTCTGCTTCACTTTCCACCATGAGTAAAAGCTCCCTGAGGCTTTCCCAAAACTCGAGCAGATACCAGTGCCACACTTCCTGTACAGCCTGCAGAACTGGGAGCCAATTAAATCTCTTTTCTTATAAATTATCCAGTCTCAGGTATTTATTTATTTATTTATTTATTTATTTTTCTGAGGCAGAGTCTCATTCTGTTGCCCAGGCTGGAGTGCAGTGGTGTGATCTCGGCTCATTGCAGCCTCCACCTTCCTGGGTTCAAGTGATTCTCCTGCCTCAGCCTCCTGAGCAGCTGGGATTACAGGCACCTGCCACCATGCCTGGCTAATTTTTGTATTTTTAGTAGAGATGGGGTTTCATCATTTTGGCCAGGCTGGTCTCAAACTCCTGACCTCAAGTGATCCGCCCATCTCAGCCTTCCAAAGTGTTGGGATTACAGGCGGGAGCCACTGCACCTGGCCAGGTATTTTTTTTTTTTCTTTTTTTGAGATGGAGTCTCACTCTGTCACCCAGACTGGAGTACAGTGGCACAATCTCGGCTCACTGCAACCTCCACCTCCCTGGTTCAAGTGATTCTTCTGCCTCCGCCTTCTGAGTAGCTGGGGACTACAGGCGTGTGCCACCACGCCCAGCTAATTTTTTGTATTTTTAGTAGAGATGTGGTTTCACCATGTTGGCCAGGCTGGTCTCAAACTCCTAACCTCGTGATCCACCCACCTCAGCCTCCCAAAATGCTGGGATTACAGGCATATGCCACTGCCCCCAGCCCCGGCCAGGTATTTCTTTATAATAATGTAAGAACAGCCTGTATTAGTTCGTTTTCACACTGCTGATAAAGACATACCCGAGGCCAGGAGTGGTGGCTCATGCCTGTAATCCCAGCACTTTGGGAGGCCGAGGCAGTGGATCACCTGAGGTCGGGAGTTCAAGACCAGCCTGGCCAACATGGTGAATTCCCATCTCTACTAAAAATACGAAATTTAGCCAGGCACGGTGGCGGATGGCTGTAATCTCAGCTACTAGGGAGGCTGAGGCAGGAGAATTGCTTGAATCTGGGAGGTGGAGGTTTCAGTGAGTTGAGATCACGCCACTGCACTCCAGCCTGGGTGACAGAGTAAGACCTTGTCTCAAAAAAAAAAAAAAAAAAAAAAAAAGACATACCCGAAACTGGGATGGAAAAGAGGCTTTAATGGACTCACAGTTCCACATGGGTAGGGAGGCCCCACAATTATGGCAGAAGGCAAGGAGGAGCAAGTCATGTCTTACATGGATGGCAGCAGGACAAAAAGAGCTTGTGCCGGGGAACTCCTCTTTATGAAACCATCAGATCTTGTGAGACTTCTTCACTATCATGGGAACAGCACAGGAAAGACCTGCCCCATTATTCAATTACCTCTCACTGGGTCCCTCACACAACATGTAGGAATTCAAGATGAGATGTGGGTGGGGGCACAGCCAAAAAACATCAGGCCTAATATAGGAGTGAACCATGAACTGATTTTTCCCTGGTAGACAAAACAAAGGCATGCCAGTGAAAGCAGAAACTAATATCATTCATGCACTTTTGAAATTCTCCAGAGGTTAATTCAGTATCAAAAATTTAATTTCTCAAATATAACAGCTATTTAGTGAAGTTAATAAACACACTTAGCTTCATACTTGAATGTTGTTACTATTTATTGACATCAAAACAAAACAAGCTGAGACTAAAAGTTGCTATTTAACAGGAACAGACATTGATGCAGTTTCCTTCCTGGAGAGGGTACACACTCAGATCATGAGACCTAAGATAAAACACACACTGGATTGTCAAGAATCAAACAAGGACTACCAATGGGATCTAATTAAACTAAAGAGCTTCTGCACAGCAAAAGAAACTACCATCAGGGTGAACAGGCAACCTACAAAATGGGAGAAAATTTTCGCAACCTACTCATCTGACGAAGGGCTAATATCCAGAATCTACAATGACCTCAAATAAATTTACAAGAAAAAACAACCCCATCAAAAAGTGGGCTAAGGACATGAACAGACACTTCTCAAAAGAAGACATTTATGCAGCCAAAAAACACATGAAAAAATGCTCATCATCCCTGGCCATCAGAGAAATGCAAATCAAAACCACAATGAGATACCATCTCACACCAGTTAGAATGGCAATCATTAAAAAGTCAGGAAACAACAGGTGCTGGAGAGGATGTGGAGAAATAGGAACACTTTTACACTGTTGGTGGGACTGTAAACTAGTTCAACCATTGTGGAAGTCAGTGTGGCGATTCCTCAGGGATCTAGAACTAGAAATACCATTTGACCCAGCCATCCCATTACTGGGTATATACCCAAAGGACTATAAATCATGCTGCTATAAAGACACATGCACACGTATGTTTACTGCGGCATTATTCACAATAGCAAAGACTTGGAACCAACCCAAATGTCCAACAATGATAGACTGGATTAAGAAAATGTGGCACATATACACCATGGAATACTATGCAGCCATAAAAAATGATGAGTTCATGTCCTTTGTAGGGACATGGATGAAACTGGAAATCATCATTCTCAGTAAACTATTGCAAGAACAAAAAACCAAACACCGCATATTCTCACTCATAGGTGGGAATTGAACAATGAGATCACATGGACACAGGAAGGGGAATATCACACTCTGGGGACTGTGGTGGGGTTGGGGGAGGGGGGAGGGATAGCATTGGGAGATATACCTAATGCTAGATGACGAGTTAGTGGGTGCAGCACACCAGCATGGCACATGTATACATATGTAACTAACCTGCACAATGTGCACATGTACCCTAAAACTTAAAGTATAATAAAAAATAAAAAAAGCTGAAGATAAAAGCAGATGTTTGAAAATATTCTTCATGCTAAGCTCATGTAAGCAAACAAAAAACTAAAAGTAATCCTTAAACTTTAGGACATTAGATGCAGAAGTAACATGACTATTTAAATTTTGGCACCAACAAAAGTTTGTTCTATCCTTCACTGTACTTATACTACAAGGACATGCTTGTTGCTTCTACACTTCCCAAAGTCAACAGTTATCATCAACAATGCAATAAAACTAGATTGGAATGGACGGGCACGGTGGCTCATACCTGTAATCCCAGCACTTTGGAAGGCCGAAGCGGGGGGAATCACCTGAGGTCAGGAGTTCAAGACCAGCGTGGCCAACGTGGTGAAACCCCATGTCTACTAAAAATACAAAAATTAGCCAGGCAAGGTGGCGGGCACCTGTAATCCCAGCTACTCGGGAGGCTGAGGCAGGAGAATCAGTTGAACCCAGGAGGTGGAGGTTGCAGTGAACCGACATTGAGCCACTGTACTCCAGGCTGGGCAACAGGGTGAGACCCTGTCTAAAAAAAAAAAAAAAAAAAAAAAAGAAAAAAAAAAAAGAAAATTCAACTCGGGATGAACAACAGCTTTTGATTTTAGAACCAGCTCTTACTTTTCTCTCGTGTCATACGTAATGAAGTCCTCACTTGACATTTCCCTGCAAATTGCAATGCATGTCCTCACCATCAGCTTTTTCTGACACTAAAATTAATTTGTATAAATTGCAAAAGCAATGAAATTGTACTTCCAATTCTGAACCTCTGATCAGATTCCTGCTTTGACACAAGACTTACTCCTCTGCAGTGTACCCCACCAGCACAACCACCCCCTTTCTCTCTATTCTTTGCCCTGAAGGCACTTCTGGATTGCTTAACGTGTGCTCTTTGGCTGCCTAGACAGTCAGTACACCTAAGGCCATCTGGACTTAACACTCCCTTCCTCCTTCTTTTCTATGGTTAATATCACTTTCCTGCTTTCTTTCTACTGCTGAATCTCCAGATTGGTGCTGCCATCTTGCCACCAGAATCGACCTGGGCTTCGAGCTCCTGGATGGTAAAGCTTCATCCCTGGATGATCCTGAAGTATAATGAAATATGTTACTGTTAGAACAATGCTAATATGCTTTAAATGGGATTATCAGGTCATATCTTATATATATTAATATATACTAAAGCTCAGTAATTTAAGACCAAAAATGTGAGGGCATGGTAAATGACAACTTGCCCATTTCCTCTCTCCATCTCCAAAGAAAAGCAACCATTTTATAATTATTATTTTATAAGCCTGGTTCAGTTTCTTTTTTTTCAGAGATATCATCTCACTGTGTCACCCAGGCTGAAGTGCAAGTGGCACAATTGCAGCTCACTGCAGCCTCGACATTCCAGACTCAAGCGATCCTCCCACCTCAGCTCCCTAGTAGCTGGGATTGCAGGCAGGTGCAACCACACTGGGCTAAGTTTTTAAATTTTTAGTAGAGAGGGGGTCTCCCTATGTTATCCAGGCGGGTCTTGAACTCCTGAAGTTAAGTGATCCTCCCGCCTTGGCCTCCGAAATGCTAGGAGACGGGGTTTCGCCATGTAGGCCCAGCTCGTCTCCAACTGCTGACCTCAAGTTATCTGCCTGCCTCAGCCTCCCAAAGTGCTGGGCTTATAGGGATGAGCCACCGTGCCTGGCCTATAGTTATTAAGGACATGAAATTATGCTTTATGAGGAAGTGGTCCTCACCCCCACTGCCTACAACACAAGAAAGGAGAGGAAGGGAGCAAACTAGAAGAAGAAAGGTGGTATTGGGGGAAAGGATATCAATTAAAGATGGATTTTAAAAATTGCTTCGCAGGAGGGAGGGCCCTCCTGTGGTTTCACTGGTTGATCTGGCTGAGGGATTTTCTCCAGCGACACTTGCAGCTTAGGGGCAAGAGGCTCCCACAACACCCTGTGCTACCTCGACCCTTCTGACATTGTGCATCATGATCTGATTATTGCTATTTGCCTCTTGCCAATATTGAACCATGAGTTCAACACAGACAAGGACTTATTTTAATCCTTGACCCCAGGGCCGGGCACACAGTCAGTGATTGGTACATGTTTGCTAAATGAATGAGCAAATGGAAGAAATTGAAGAGGGTGGGGTGGGGACGTGTGGTTTATCCAGAGCTGGACAGGCAAGGCAAGTAGAACAGAAGAGGGAGGTGCTGACGTGAAAACGGCCTTGAGATGGCTGGCAACAGGCTAGACAAAGAGGCAAGGGATGTCAGCTCATGCCTGGTGGTTCAGGAGAATGGCTTCTCTTAAGGCCAACTCCTCTAACCTCTATCTTGGCTTCCATTTTCACCTGCCTTTGCAGGAAGCCTACAGTATTAGTAGTCTCTTTCTCTTGGGTATTCATTCTTTTAGAGCTTTCCTTTTGGCTTCTAAACTTACTTTCTCATATTTAAAATAATGCTTCATTAACACCATTAACCTATGTATCTCAATTTCTTTCACAGCTGTGTTAGTCTGTTTTCACAGTGGTAGAAAGAAATACCCGAGACTGGGTAGTATATAAAGAGAAGAGATTTAATTGACTCACAGTTTCGAATGGCTCGGGAGGCCTCAGGAAATTTAAAATTATGGCAGAAGGTGAAGCAGGCATGCCTTACATGACAGCAGGCGAGAGGTGAATTGCGAGTATAGGAAAAACTGCCACTTTTAAGACCATCAGATCTGGTGTGACTCACTCATTATCAGGAGAACAGCATGAGGGAAACCAGCCTCCTAATCCAATCACCTCCCACCAACTTCCTCCCTTGACACATAAGGATTACAATTCAAGATAAGATTTGGGTGGGGACACAGAGCCCAACCATATCAACAGCCATATGAGAAGTCTTCAAAAAGTCCATGGAAAATGTGTATTATCAAGAAACTGTGCATGGATTGCAAAATCTTTTTGAGGGCTGGGCATGGTGACTCACCCCTGTAATCCCAGCACTTTGGGAAGCTGAGACTGGTGGATCACTTGAGGTCAGGAGTTTGATACCAGCCTGGCCAACATGGTGAAACCTCGTCTCTACTAAAAAACAGAAAAATTAGCCAGGTGTGGTGGTTCACACTTGTATTCTCAGCTACTCAGGAGGCTGAGGGAGGAGAATAGCTTGAACTGGGGAGGTGAGGTTGCAATGAGCTGAGATCGCGCCACAGCACTGCAGCCTGGGCGACAGAGTGAGACTCCATCTCAAAAACAAAATCTTTTTGCACCAAAACAAACTGGTACTAACGCATTATAAAATGTCTCAACAGGATCTAGTTTGAGTCATTAAAAAGGAGAAGTCATCAGTTTGAAAAGAGCTACAATCAGAGCAAAATGAATTCTGCTAAAATTGAAGGAACAACAAACGTCAAATTTAGGGTGAGGTTAGGGTGGAAGAATGGTAAAATCACTGATGCTTTACCAAAAGTTTATGGGGACAATGCACCTAAATAAATCAGCAGTTTATAAAAATAGTTAATTTGTAAGAAAGGACAAGACGATGCTGAAGATGAAGCCTGCAGCAGCAGGTCATCCACATCAATTTGTGAGAAAAAAAATTTATCTTCTTTGTGCCCTAATTTGGAAGGACCAACGATTAACAGCAGAAACAACAGTCAACACCATAGACATCACAATTGGTTCAGCTTACAGAATTCTGACTGAAAAATCAAAAGTTGAGCAAACTTTCCACTTGATGGGTGCCAAAACCAGATCAGCTGCAAAGAACAGAGCTTTCAATGGAAATTTTAAACAAGTAGGCTCTATTGGTTGCTACAAAATTAATTGCAGTTTTTGCCATTGAAAGACATGTCAAAAACCGCAATTACTTTTGCCCCAACCAATAGATCATGAAGCATCTATTGGGAAAGTGTAACAGGAGGTGAAATGTGGCTTTCCAACTATGGAGACAAAGTACAATCGAAGTAATGGCTCCGAAGATGTGGAAGTGGTCCAGTCAAAGCAAAAGTGGTCTGGTCAAGAGCAAAGGTCATGGAAATAGTTTTTTGAGCTGCTTGAGAAATTTTGCTTGTTGACTTTCTGGAGGGCCAAAGAAAAATAACATCTGCTTATTATGAGAGTGTTTTGAGAAAGCCAAAGCTTTAGCAGAAAAATGCCCAGGAAAACTTCACCAGAGAGTCCTTTTCTATCACAGCAAAGGTTCTGCTCACGCCTCTCATCAAACGGGAAATTTTGAGAGAGTTTCAATGGGAAACCAGTAGGCATTCACCCTACAGTTGGTATTTAGCTCCTTCCAACTTCTTTTGGTTTCCTAATGATAAAAAATCTGTAAAGGGTACCATTTTTTTTCCAGTTAATAATGTAAAAAAGATTGCATTGATGTAAATTCCCAGGAACTCCAATTCTTTGGGGATGGATAAAATGGCTAGTATCTAAGTGCTGTGAGCAAGAGACAAAAATAAATAAATAAATGGCTAATATCATTGCCTACAAAAGTGTCAAAGTTTCTTGACCTTGGTGGATCTTATAAGTTTATATTTTTTATCTTTTACGTCTATTTTCCACAAACTTTTTTTTTTTTTTGAGACAGAGTCTGGCTCTGTCACCCAGGCTGGAGTGCAGTGACGTGATCTCCGCTCACTGCAACCTCCGCCTCCCGGGTTCAAGCGATTCTCCTGCCTGAGCCTCCTGAGTAGTTTGTACTACAGGTACGCGACACAACACACAGCAATTTTTTTTTCTATTTTTTTAGTAGAGGTGGGGTTTTGCCGTGTTGGCCAGGCTGGTCTTGAACTCCTGACCTCAGGTGGTCCACCTGCTTCGGCCTCCCAAAATGCTGGGATTACAGGAGTGAGTTACTGCACCCATCATCTGTTCTTTTAAAAATCCATGGCCGGGTGCGGTGGCTCACACCTGTAATCCCAGCACTTTGGGAGGCCGAGGTGGATGAATCACAAGGTCAAGAGATCATAGACCATCCTCGCCAACATGGTGAAACCCCGTCTCTACTAAAAATACAAAAATTAGCTGGGCTTGGTGTCACGTGCTTGAAGTTCCAGCTACTCGGGAGGCTGAGGCAGGAGAATCACTTGAACCCCGGAGGCAGAGGTTGCAGTGGGCAAAGATCGTGCTGCTGCACTCCAGTCTGGTGACAGAGTGAGACTCAGTCTCAAAAAAAAAAAAAAAAAATCCCTCAGGCTGGACACGGTGGCTCATACCTGTAATCCCAGCACTTTGCGAGGCTAAGGTGGGCGGATTGCTTGAGCCCAAGAGTTTGAGATCAGCCTGGGCAACATGGGAAAACCCTGTCTTGACAAAAAATACAAAAGTTAGCTGGGCATGGTGGCCTATGCCTATATTCCCAGCTACTCAGGAGGCTGATGTGGGAGGATCAACTGAACCCAGAAGGTCAAGGCTGCAGTGAGCCGTGATTGTGCCATGGCACTCCAGTGGTGGTGACAGACAGAAACCTTACCTCAAAAGAAAAAAAAAAATCCAGGCTGGGCCCAGTGGCTCATGCCTGTAATCTCAGCCCATTGGGAGGTTTAGGTGTGCACATCACTTGAGGTGAGGAATTGGAGACCAGCCTGGCCAACATGGTGAAACCCTGTCTCTACAAAAAATACAAAAATTAGCCATGTGTGGTGCCAGGCATCTGCAATCCAGCTACTTGGGAGGCAGAGGAAGGAGAATTTCTTCAACTCAGGAGGTGGAGGTTGCAGTGAGCCAAGATGGCACCACTGCACTACAGCCTGGGTGACAGAGCAAGACTCTGTCTTAAAAAAAAAAGAAAAAAATCCACCTAGGAACTAATTGCAAGCCATGATTCTTTCTGATAATTACATATTTATATGTTCAGGAGAATGTGAAGGAGGCCTCAGAGTAGAACTAAGGGTCCAGAAACTTTTGAAGATCCCTCGTACTTCCCTAAAAAGTTGTATATATCTTTTCCATTCTCAACCCAATCTGGCTTCCCTGCCCCATAATTCTAGGGCATCAGTGATTTGCAAGTCACTGAATGCCATGGCTTTTGTCAGGCATCATAATTGACCATTCAGCGGCATCCAACCCTGCTGGCCACTCCTCTTCCTTGAAACACTTTTCTCTTAGATTAAGTAACCCAGAGTCTTCTGGTTTTTCTCCTACTCTCTGGCTAGTCCTTCTCTGTTTTTGTAGATACATTTCTTTACCTCTATGTAATGTTAGTTTTTCGAGGTTGGGCCCTAGGTCTGCTTCTGTTCTTACTTCACTCTCCCTCTTAAGTAACAGAATCAATGGCCATGACTTCAATGACCACCTAAAAAGAGATGAATTCCAAACATACATCCATTTCCCACCTGCCATTCACCCCTCACTGTAACATGGTTTCTGTCTCTTTTAGGTCATCAGTTTCATTAGTTCACTAATGAAATCACGACTGCCAAATCCAGTGAACACTTCCATTTCTTGTCTTCCTTAGCCTCTCTGTGGCACGGGACATTGTCAGCCAATCTCCTTCTAGAAATTTTCCCTTCCTTTAGTACTCTTGCCCAGTTGACAATCATTTACTTTCAGTCATTATTGGTGGCTCTTGTACCTGCCTCTTTGGCTATTTGTTTCTAAAAGCTGGGAAAACATAAAGTGGTGATTAAGAAAGTAAAGGCGAACTGATGCCACGTCAGGAAGGGCTGGCAGAATGAATGAAAATCAGGCAAAAGCTCAAGGATGTTGTCTAACATTTTGTTCTTATGGGACAAGAATAGTGGATGTAGTTTGGATATTTGTCCCCACCCAAATCTCATGGAAATATAATCCCCAGTGTTGTAGGTGGGTCCTGGTGGGGTGTTGGGGTTATGGGGCGGATCCCTCATGGCTTGGTGCTGTCCTCTCCATAGTGAGTTCTTACAGAGCTGGTTGTTGTAAAGTGTGGCACCTCCTCCCCGCACTCACTCTCTTGCTCACTCTGTGATGTGAGATGGCTGCTCCTGCTTTACCTTCCGCTATGAGTAAAAGCTCCCTGAGGCCTCCCAGAAGCTGAGCAATGTGAGATTCCCGACTTGTACAGCCTGCAGAACTATAAGCCAATTAAACCTCTTTTATTTTTTTCTTTTCTTTTTTTTTTTTTTTGAGATGGAGTCTCGCTCTGTCACCCAGGCTGGAGTGCAGTGGTGCTATCTTGGCTCACTGCAACTTCTGCCTCCTGGGTTCAAGCGATTCTCCTGCCTCGGCCTCCCGAGTAGCTTGGATTACAGGAGCGTGCCACCATGCCCGGTTAATTTTTTTGTATTTTTAGTAGAGACAGGGTTTCACCATGTTGGCCAGGCTGGTCTCAAACTCCTGACATCAAGTGGTCATCCCACCTCAGCCTCACAAAGTGCTGGGATTACAGGCATGAGCCACCGTGCCTGGCCAAACTTCTTTTCTTATCAATTACCCAGTCTCAGGTGTTTCTTTTTAGCAGTGCAAGAATGGTCTAATACAGGAGTGAACCATGAACTGATCGTTCTCTGGTGGACAAAACAAAGGCATGCTAGCGAAGGCAGAAACTAATATCATTCATCTGCTTTCCAAACTCCAAAGAGGTTAATTCAGTATCAAAAAATTAATTTCTCAAAATTCACAGCTGTTTGCTAAAGTTACTCACTACACTTAACTTCATACTTGAATGCTGTTACTATTTATTGACATCAAAACAAAACAAGCTGAGACTAAAAGTTGCTATTTAACAGGAATAGACATCGGTGCAGTTTCCTTCCTGGAGAGGGTAGGCACTCAGATCATGAGACCTAAGATCAAACAAACTAGATTGTCAAGAATCCAACAAGGACTACATTTTACCTCTTAATAAAAAAAATGCTGGAGACAAAACAAGATGTTTAAAAATATTCTTCATGCCAAGCTTAGATAAGCAAATAAAAAACTAAAACTAATCCTAAAACTTGAGGATATTGGATACGGAAGTAACATGACTATTTAAATGTTTGCATCAATGAAAGTTTGTTCTATTCTTCCCTGTACTTGTACTACAAGGACATGCTTGTTGCTTCTATACTACCCAAAGTCAACAGTTATCATCAACAATTCAGTAGAAATAGATCAGAACAAGACTTCAAAGCGACTCTGCTCCACCAAAATTTAGAAACTCAATTTGGGATGAACAAAAGCTTTTGATTTTAGAACCAGCTCTTACTTTTCTCTCATGTCATATGTGATGAAGTCCTCACTTGACATTTCCCCCTGCAAATTGCAATGCATGTCCTTGCCATCATCTTTTTCTGACACTTTAATTTATAGAAATTGCAAAAGCAATGAAATTGTACTTCCAATTCTGAACCTCTGATCAGATTCCTGCTTTGAGGCAAAACTTACTCCTCTGCTGCACACTCCTCTACTCTTTTCTTTCTTTCTTTTTTTTTTTTTTTTTTTTTTTTGAGATGGAGTCTTACTCTGTTGCCCAGGCTGGAGTGCAGTGGCAAGATCACGGCTTACTGCAACCTCCGCCTCCTGAGTTCAAGCGATTCTCCTGCCTCAGCCTCCCGAGTACCTGGGACTACAGGCACCTGGCACCACGCCTGGCTAGTTCTTGTATTTTCAGTAGAGATGGGGTTTCACCATGTTGACCAGGCTGGTCTCAAACTCCTGACCTCAGGTAATCCACCCGCCTCGGCCTCCCAAGGTGCTGGGATTACAGGCGTGAACCATCACACCCAGCCTCTCCTCTTCTTTTGTATGGCTAATACAACTTTCCTGCTTTCTTTCTACTGCTGAATCTCCAGACTTGGTTATGTCATCAGGGTGCGAGAGTCGACCTTGGCTTCGAGCTCCTGGATGGTAACGCTGCATCCCTGGATGATTCTGAAGTACAATGAAATATGTTACTGTTACAACAATGCTGCTAAGCTTTTACGTGGGATTTTCAAGTCATAACTTATATATTAATATATACTAAAGTCCAGTCATTTAAGACCAAAAATGTGAAGGCATGGTAAATGACAACTTGCCCACTTCCTCTCTCCATTTCCAAAGAAAAGCAACCATTTCCTAATTATTATTTTATAAGCCTGGTACAACTTATTTTTCTTAGAGACATGGTCTCATTTTGTCACTCAGGCTGAAGTGCAAATGGCAAGATTGCAGCTCACAACAGCCTTGACATTCCAGACTCCAGCCATCCTCCCACCTCAGCTTCCTAGTAGCTGGAATTGCAGGCACGCTCTACCACACTGGGCTAAGTTTTAAAATTTTTAATAGAGATGGGGTCTCCCTATGTTATCCGGGCTGGCTTTGAACTCCTGAAGTTAAATGATTCTGCCACCTTGGCCTCCCAAATGCTAGGATTGCCTGCATAGACGAAGTTTCGCTCTGGTTGTCCAGGTTGGAGTGCAGTAGTGCAATCTCGGCTCACTGTAACCTCTGCCTCCCGGGTTCAAGCGATTCTCCTGCCTTAGTCTGCTGAGTAGCTGGGACTACAGGTGCACACCACCAAGCCCGGCTAATTTTTGTATTTTTAGTAGAGACGGGGTTTCACCACGTAGGCCAGGTTCATCTCCAACTGCTGACCTCAAGTGATCCACCTGCCTCGGCCTCCCAAAGTGCTGGGATTACAGGCATGAGCCACCATGCCTGGCCTATAGTTATTAAGGACATGAAATTATGCTTTATGAGGAAGTGGTCCTCACCCCCCTTGCCTGCAACACAAGAAAGGAGAGCAAGGGAGCAAAGTAGAAGAAAGGTGGCACTGGGGAAAGGATATCAATTCAAGACTGATGGTAAAAATTGCTTAGCAGGAGTGAAGGCTCTCCTGTGGTTTCACCAATTGATCTGCTTGAGGGATTTTCTCCAGCGACACTTGCAGCTTAGGGGCAAGAGGCTCCCACAACACCCTGTGCTACCGCGACCCTTCTGACATTGTGCATCATGATCTGATTATTGCTATTTGCCTCTTGCCAACACTGAAACATGAGTTCCACGTGCACAAGGACTTATTTGAATCCCTGACCCCAGGGCCTGGCACACAGTCAGTGATTGGTACATGTTTGCTAAATGAATGAGCAAATGGAAGAAATTGAAGAGGGTGGGGTGGGGATGGGTGATTTATCCAGAGCTGGACAGGCCAGGCAAGTAGAACAGAAGAGGGAGGTGCTGACATGAAAACAGGCTAGACAAAGAGGCAAGGATGTCAACTCATGCCTGGGGGTTCAGGAGTGTTGCTTCTCCTAAGGCCAACTCCTCTAACCTCTACCTTGGCTTCCATTTTCACCTGCCTTTGCAGGAAGCCTACAGTATTCGTTGTCTCTTTCTCTTGAGTATTCATCCTTGTAGAGCTTACCTTTTGGCTTCTAAACTTACTTACTTTCTCATATTTAAAATAAAGCTTCATTAACACCATTAACCTATGTATCTCCATTTCTTTCACAGCTATATTAATTGGTTTTCACACTAGTAGAAAAAATACCCAAGGCTGGGTAATATATAAAGAGAAGAGGTTTAATTATTTTATTTTATTTTTATTTATTTATAAAATAAATAAAATATGTGACGTAGTCTCGCTCTTGTCGCCCAGGCTGGAGTGCAATGGTGCGATCTCGGCTGACCACACTTCTGCCCTTCAGGTTTAGGCGCTTCTCCTGCCTCAGCCTCCTGAGTAGCTAGAATTACAGGCGGGCATAAGCACACCCAGCTAATTTTTGTATTTTTAGTAGAGATGGGTTTCGCCATGTTTGCCTGGCTGGTCTGGAACTCCTGACCTCAGGTGATCCACCGGCCTTGGTATCCCAAAGCTGGGATTACAGGGGTGAGCCACCAAGCCCAGCCGAAGAGGTTTAATTGACTCACAGTTCCACATGGCTGGGGGAGCCTCAGGAAACTTACAATCATGGCAGAAGGGGAAGTGGACACATGCTACATGGCAGCAGACTAGAGGTGAAGTGCGAGCATAGGAAAAACTGCCTTGTTTAAAACCATCAGATCTTGTGAGGCTTACTCACTATCACAAGATCAGCATGTGTGAGACTGCCCCAATAATCCAATCACCTCCTACCAAGCTCCTCCCTTGACACATGAGGATTACAGTTTAAGATGAGATTTGGGTGCGGGAACAGAGCTCAATCATATCAACAGTCATATGAGAAGTCTTCAAAAAGTCCATGGAAAATGTGTATTATCAAGAAACTATGCATGGATTGCAAAATCTTTTGGCATCAAAATAAACTGGTACTAACTCGTTAAAAAATATCTCGACAGGATCTAGTTTGAGGCATTAAAAAGGAGAAAGCATCAGTGTGAAAAGAGCTCCTATCAGCGAAAAATGGATTCTGCTAAAATTGAAGGAAGAACAAACATAAAATTTAAGATGAAGCTTGGGTGGAAGAACGGTAAAATCACTGATGCTTTACCAAAAGTTTATGGGGACAATGCCCCTAAAGAGATCAGCAGTTTACAAATGGATAACTTGTAAGAAAGGACAAAATGATGTTGAAGATGAAGCCTGCAGCAGCAGGTCATCCACATCAATATGCAAGGGAAAAAATTAGGCCAGGCGCAGTGGCTCACACCTGTAATCCCAGCACTTTGGGAGGCCGAGGCGGGTGGATCACAAGGTCAGGGGTTCAAGACCAGCCTGGCCAACATAGTGAAACCCCGTCTCTACTAAAAATACAAAAATTAGTTGGGTATGGTGGCATGAGCCTGTGGTCCCAGCTACTCAGGAGGCCGAGGCAGGAGAATCGCTTGAACCCAGGAGGCGGAGGTTGTGGTGAGCTGAGATCATGCCACTGCACTCCAACCTGGGCAACAGAATGAGACTCCGTCTTAAAAAACAACAACAACAAAAATCCTCTTCGTGCTTTAACTGAAAAGCATCGGCTGGGTGTGGTGGCTCACCCCTGTAATTCCAGCACTCTGGGAGGCCAAGGCGGGCGGGTCATCTGACCAACCTGGCCCACGTGGTGAAACCCTGTCTCTAATAAAAATACAAAAATTAACTGGGTGCGGTGGCAGGTGTCTGTAATTCCAACTACTTGGGAGGCTGAGGCAGGAGAATCATTGAACCCGGGAGGCAGAGGTTGCAGTGAGCCAAGATTGTGCCACTGGCCTCCAGCCTTCGTGAGAGACTAAGACCAACTATTAATGGCAGAAACAACAGCCATCACCATAGACATCACAATTGGTTCAGCTTACACAATTCTGACTGAAAAATTAAAAGTTGAGCAAACTTTCCACTTGATGGGTGCCAAAACCAGATCAGCTGCAGACAAGAACAGAGATTTCAACGGAAATTTTAAACAAGTGAGATCTATTACGTTGCTGCATATTAATTGTGGTTTATGCCATGGAATGTCAAAAGCCGCAATTACGTTGGCACCAACCAATAGATCATGAAGCATCTATTGGGAAAGTGTAACGGGAGGTGATACGTGGCTTTCCCAGTATGACTCTGAAGACAAAGCAATATCAAAGCAATGACTCTGAAGAGGTGGAAGAGATCCAGTCAAAGCAAAACTGGACTGGCCAAGAGCAAAGGTCATGGCAATAGTTTTTTGAGCTGCTTGAGCAACTCTCCTTATTGACTTTCTGGAGGGCCGAAGAATAGTAACACCAGCTTTTTTTTTTTTTTTTTTGAGACCAAATCTCACTCTGTCACCCAGGCTGGACTGCAGTGGTGCAATCTCGGCTCACTGCAACCTCTGCCTCCCAGGTTCAAGCTGTTCTCCTGCCTCAGCCTCCTGAGTAGCTGGGATTACAGGCACGCACCACCACGCCTGGCTAATTTTTGTATTTTTAGTAGAAACGAGGTTTCACCATGTTGGTCAGGCTTGTCTCGAACTGCTGACCTCGTGATCCTCCCATCTCGGCCTCCCAGAGTGCTGGGATTACAGGCATGAGCCACCGTGCCCGGCCAACACCTGCTTATTATAAGAGTGTTTTGAGAAGGCCAAAGCTTTAGCAGCAAAATGCCCAGGAAAGCTTCACCAGAGAGTCCTTTTCTACCACGGTAATGCTTCTGCTCGTGCCTCTCATCAAACAAGGGCAATTTTGAGAGTTTCAATGGGAAACCATTAGGCATCCACCTTACAGTCGGGATTTAGCTTCTTCTGTCACTTTTTTGTTTCCTAATTTTAAAAAGTCTGTAAAGGGCAACCATTTCTCTTCAGTTAATAATGTAAAAAAGATTTCATTGATGTGGTTAAATTCCAAGGACCTCCACTTCTTAGGGGATGGATGAAATGACTAGTATGTAATTGTTGTGAGCAAGAGACATACATACATACATAAATGGCTAGTTATCATTGCTTATGAAAGTGTCTTGACCTTGGTGGATCTTACGATGAGAAGTTTATATTTTTTTCTTTTATTTCTATTTTCCACAAACTTTTCTTTTCTATTTTTCCTTTTTTTTTTTTTTTTTTTTGAGATGGAGTCTGGCTCTGTCGCCCAGGCAGGAGTGCAGTGGCACGACCTTGGCTCACTGCAATCTCCGCCTCTTGGGTTCAAACGATTCTCTAGCCTCAGCCTCCCGACTAACTGGGATTACAGGAGCCCGCCACTGTGCCTGGCTAATTTTTGTATTTTTAGTAGAGACTGGGTTTCACCATGTTGGCCAGGTTTGTCTTGAATCCCTAACCTCAGGTGAAGTGCCCGCCTTGGCCTCCCAAAGTGCTGGGACTACAGGCATGTGCCACCTCAATCCCCTGCCTTTTTGTTGTGGGGAGGATGGAGTCTCCCTCTGTCGCTCAGGCAGGAGTGCAGTGGTGAGATCTAGGCTCACTACAACCTCTGCCTCCCGAGTTGAAGTGATTCTCCTGTCTGAGCCTCCTGAGAAGTTTGGACTACAGGTGTGCTCCACCAAGCCCGGCCAAATTTTTTTTTTGTATTTTTTGGTAGAGATGGGGTTTTACCATGTTGGCCAGGCTGGTCTCAAACTCCTGACCTCAGGTGATCCACCTACCTCAGCCTCCCAAAGTGCTGGGATTACAGGCATGTGCCACCAAGCCCGGCCTTTTTTTGGGTGTGGTGGTGAGGGGGGCAGATGGAGTCTAACTCTGTTGCTCAGGCAGGAGTGCAGGATTGAGATCTCTGCTCACTGGAACCTCTGCCACTCAAGTTCAAGTGATTCTCCTGCCTGAGCCTCCCGAGGAGTTTGGACTACAGGTGCGCTCCACCAAGCCTGGCCAATTTTTTTTTTTTTGTATTTTTTGGTAGAGATGGAGTTTCACCATGTTGGCCAGGCTGGTCTCGAACTCCTGACCTCAGGTGATCCAACCGCCTCAGCCTCCCAAAGTGCTGGGATTACAGGCATGAGCCACTGCCCCTGGCTTCTGTTCTTTTAAAAATCCATATAAAGCTGGACACGGTGGCTCATGCGTATAATCCCAGCACTTTTCGAGGCTACAGTGGACAGATTGTTTGAGCCCAGGCATCTGGCAAACAGATGCCATGTTAGGAAGGGCTGGCAGGATGAATGAAAATCAGGCAAAAGCTCAAGGATGTTGTCTAAACATTTTGTTCTTATGGGACCAGAACAGTTGATGTAGTTTTGAAATTTGTCCCCACCCAAATCTCATGGAAATATAATCCCCAGTGTTGTAGGTGGGGCCTGGTGGGGTATTGGGGTTATGGGGCGGATCCCTCATGGCTTGGTGCTGTCCTCTCCATAGTGAGTTCTTACAGATCAGGTTGTTGTAAAGTGTGGCACCTCCTTCCCACACTCACTCTCTTGCTCACTCTGTGATGTGACATGCCTGCTCCTGCTTCACTTTCCGCCATGAGTAAAAGGTCCCTGAGGCCTCCCAGAAGCTGAGCAATGTCAGATGCCATGCTTGTACAGCCTGCAGAACTGTGAACCAGTTAAACCTCTTTTCTTATAAACTACCCAGTCTCAGGCATTTATTTATAGCAATGCAAGAACGGCCTAATACAGGAGTGAACCATGAACTGATCTTTCTCTGGTGGACAAAACAAAGGCAATGCCTGTGAAGGCAGAAACTAACATTATTCATCTGCTTTTGATACTTCCAAGAGGCTAATACAGTATAAAAAATTTAATTTCTCAAAACTCACAGCTGGCTGGGCGTGGTGGCTCACGCCTGTAATCCCAGCACTTTGGGAGGCTGAGGCCGGTGGATCACGAGGTCAGGAGTTCAAGACCAGCCTGGCCAAGATGGTGAGACCCCCATCTCTACTAAAAATACAAAAAATTAACCAGGCGCGGTGGCAGGTGCCTGTAGTCCCAGCTACTCAGGAGGCTGAGGAAGGAGAATAATTTGAACCCGGAGGGTGGAGGTTGCAGTGAGCCGAGATTGTGCCACTGCACTCCAGCCTGGGTGACAGAGTGAAACTCTGTCTCAAAAAAAAAACAAAAAAAACAAAAAAAACCTCACAGCTGTTTACTAAAGTTACTCACCACACTTAGCTTCATACTTGACTGCTGTTACTATGTATTGACATCAGAACAAAACAAACTGAAACTAAAAGTTGATATGTAACAACAACAGACATTGGTGCAGTTTCCTTCCTGGAGAGGGTAGGCACCAGATCATGAGACCTGAGATAAAACAAACTAGATTGTCAAGAATCCAACAAGGACTACATTTTACCTCTTAATAGAAAAAATGCTGGAGACAAAACGAGATGTTTAAAAATATTCTTCATGCTAAGCTTATGTAAGCAAATAAAAAAACAAAAGTAACCCTAAAATGTTAGGACATTGGATACAGAAGTAACATGACTATTTAAATGTTTGCATCAATGAAAGTTTGTTCTATCCTTCCCTGTACTTATAGACAAGGACATGCTTGTTGCTTCTACACTACCCAAAGTCAACAGTTATCATTAGCAATGCAATAGAAATAGATGGGAATAAAGCTTCAAAGCGACTCTGCTCCACCAAAATTTAGAAATTCAATTCAGGATGAACAACAGCTTTTGATTTTAAAACCAGCTCTTACTTTTCTCTCGTGTCACACGTGATGAAGTCCTCACTTGACATTTCCCCTGCAAATTGCAATGCATGTCCTCGCCATCAGCATTTTCTGACACTTTAATTTATAGAAATTGCAAAAACAATAAAATTGTACTTCCAATTCTGAACCTCCGACCAGATTCCTTCTTTGAGACAAAACTTACTCTTCTGCTGCGTACTCCTCTCCTCTTTATTTTTTTTTAATTTTTTTGGAGATAGAGCCTCCCTAGTGTCACCCAGGCTAGAGTGCAGTGGCACGATCATGGCTTACTGCAACCTCCACCTCCTGAGTTTAATCAATTCTCCTGCCTCAGCCTCTCGAGTACCTGGGACTACAGGCGCCTGCCACCAAGCCCGGCTAATTTTTGTAGTTTTAGTAGAGACTGGGTTTCACCATGTTGGCCAGGCTGGTCTCAAAGTCCTGACCTCAGGTGATCCACCCATATCGGCCTCCCAAAATGCTGGGATTACAGGCATGAGCCACCACGCCCGGCCTCTCCTCTTCTTTTCTATGGCTAATACCACTTTCCTGCTTTCTTTCTACTGCTGAATCTCCAGACTTGTCATCAGGGTGCCAGAGTCGACCTCGGCCTCGAGCTCCTCGATGGTAACACTGCATCCATGGACAGTCCTGAAGTACAATGAAATATGTTACTGTTACAACAATGCTACTAAGCTTTTACATGAGATTTTTAGGTTATACCTTATATATTAATATATACTAAAGCCCAGTCATTTAAGACCAAATATATGAGGGCATGGTAAATGACAACTTGCCCACTTCCTCTCTCCATCTCCAAAGAAAAGCAACCATTTCCTAATTATTATTTTTTATGTCTGGTTAAATTTATTTTCTTTGGAGACAGGGTCTCACTGTGTCAGCCAGGCTGCAGTGCAAGTGGCATGATCCAGCTTCGACATTCCAGACTGAAGGAATCCTACCACCTCAGCTCCCTAGTAGCTGGGATCGCAGGCCCGTGCTACCACATTGGGTTTTTAAATTTTAGCAGAGACGGGGTTGCCCTATGTTGCCCAGGCTGTTCTAGAACTCCTGAAGTTAAATGATCCTCCTACCTTGGCCTCCCAAATGCTAGGGTTACCTGCAGGAGCCATCACGCCTGGCCCATTTCTTTTCTTTTTTTCCTCTTTTTTTTTTTTTTTTTTTGTCTGAGACAGAGTCTTGCTCTGTTGCCCAGACTGGAGTACAGTGGTGTGATCTCGGCTCACTGCAACTTCTGCCTCCCCAGTTCAAGCGATTCTCCTGCCTCAGTCTCCCAAGTAGCTGGGACTACAGGCATGCGCCACCATGCCCGGCTAATTTTTGTATTTTTAGTTGGGACAGGGTTTTACCATGTTTTTCAGGCTGATCTCACACTCCTGACCTCAAGTGATCTGCTCGCATTGACCTCCCAAAGTGCTGGGATTATAGGCATGAGCCACCAACACTGGCCCCAGGCTTGTCTTGAACTCCTGGCCTCAAAGTGATCCTCTTGCCTTGGCTTCCCAAAGTGCTAGGATTACAAGCATGAGCTATGGTGCCTGGCCTATAGTTATTAAGGATGTGAAATTATGCTTTATGAGGAAGTGGTCCTCACCCCCACTGCCTACAACACAAGAAAGGAGAGGAAGGGAGCAAACTAGAAGAAGAAAGATGGTATTGGGGGAAAGGATATCAATTAAAGATGGATTTTAAAAATTGCTTCGCAGGAGGGAGGGCCCTCCTGTGGTTTCACTGGTTGATCTGGCTGAGGGATTTTCTCCAGCGACACTTGCAGCTTAGGGGCAAGAGGCTCCCACAACACCCTGTGCTACCTCGACCCTTCTGACATTGTGCATCATGATCTGATTATTGCTATTTGCCTCTTGCCAATATTGAACCATGAGTTCAACACAGACAAGGACTTATTTTAATCCTTGACCCCAGGGCCGGGCACACAGTCAGTGATTGGTACATGTTTGCTAAATGAATGAGCAAATGGAAGAAATTGAAGAGGGTGGGGTGGGGACGTGTGGTTTATCCAGAGCTGGACAGGCAAGGCAAGTAGAACAGAAGAGGGAGGTGCTGACGTGAAAACGGCCTTGAGATGGCTGGCAACAGGCTAGACAAAGAGGCAAGGGATGTCAACTCATGCCTGGTGGTTCAGGAGAATTGCTTCTCTTAAGGCCAACTCCTCTAACCTCTACCTTGGCTTCCATTTACACCTGCCTTTGCAAGAAGCCTACAGTATTTGTTGTCTCTTTCTCGTGGGTGTTCATCCTTCTAGAGCTTTCCTTTTGGCTTCTAAACATACTTTCTTATATTTAAAATAATGCTTCATTAACACCATTAACCTATGTATCTCCATTTCTTTCTTTTTTTTTTTTTTTTTTTTGAGATGGAGTCTTGCTCTGTCGCCCAGGCTGAAGTGCAATAGCATGATCTCTGCTCACTGCAACCGCCGCCTCCTGGGTTCCAGCAATTCTCCTGCCTCAGCCTCTCGAGTAGCTGGGACTACAGGTGTGCACCACCATGCCCGGCTAATTTTTCTATTTTTGGTAGAGACGGGGTTTCACCATGTTGGCCGTTCTGGTCTCAAACTCCTGACCTCAGGTGATCCACCGGCCTTGGCTTCCCAAAGTGCTAGGATTACAGGTGTGAGTCACTGCGCCCAGCCGTATCTCCATTTCTTTCACAGCTGTATTAGTCCGTTTTCACACTGGTAGAAAGAAATACCCGAGTGTGGGTAATTTATAAAGAAAAGAGGTTTAATTGACTCACAGTTCCACATGGCTGGGGGAGCCTCAGGAAACTTACAATCATGGCAGAAGGGAAAGCGGGCATGTCTTACATGGCAGCAGACTAGAGGTGAAGTGCGAACATAGGAAAAACTGCCTTGTATAAAACCATCAGATCTTGTGAGACTTACTATCACAAGATCAGCATGTGGGAGACTGCCCCCATAATCCAAGTTCCTCCCTAGACACATGAGGATTACAATTCAAGATGAGATTTGGGTGGGTATACACAGCCAAACTATATCAACAGCCATATCAGAAGTCTTAAAAAGTCCATGGAAATTGTGTATTATGAAAAACTATGCATGGATTTCAAAATCTTTTTGCACCAAAATAAACTGGTACTAATTCATTATAAAATATCTCAACAGGATCTAGTTTGAGGCATTAAAAAAGGAGAAGTCATCAGTTTGAAAAGAGCCCCTATCAGAACAAAATGAATTCTGCTAAAATTGAAGCAAGAACAAACATCAAATTTAGGGTGAAGCTTGGGTGGAAGAATGGTAAAATCACTGATGCTTTACCAAAAGTTTATGGGGACAATGCACCTAAAAAAATCAGCAGTTTACAAATGGATAACTTGTAACAAGGGAAAAGATGACGTTAAAGATGAAGGCTGCAGCAGCAGGACATCCACATCAATTTGCAAGGAAAGAAATTAATCCTCTTTGTGCCCTAACTGAAGAGTCAGCCAGGTGTGGTGGCTCATGCCTGTAATACCAGCACTCTGGGAGGTCAAGGCAAGTGGATCACTTGAGGTCCAGAGTTTGAGACCAGCTTGGCCAACCTGGTGAAATCCATTCTCTACTAAAAAAATACAAAAATTAGCCATTCATGGTGGCGCACGCCTATAGTCCCAGCTACTCGGGAGGCTGAGGCAGGAGAATCGCTTGTGCCCGGGAGGCGGAGCTTGCAGTGAGCCGAGATCGTGCCACTGCACTCCAGCCTGGGTAACAGAGTGAGACTCTGTCTCAAAAAAAGAAAAGGACCAACGATTAACAGCAGAAACACGGCCAGATGCGGTGGCTCATGCCTGTATTCCCAGCACTTTGGGAGGTCTAGGTGGGTGGAAAAACTGAGGTCAGGAGTTTGAGACCGGCCTCGCCAACATGGTGAAACCCTGTCTCTACTGAAAATACAAAAACTAGCCGGGCCTGGTGGTGCGTGCCTATAATCCCAGGTACTAGGGGAGGCTGAGGCAGGAGAATAGCTTGAACCCAGGAGGCAGAGGTTGCAGTGAGTCGAGATTGCCCCACTGCACTCCAGCCTGGGCGACAGGGCGAGTCCACGTCTCAAAAAGAAAAAAAATAAACAGCAGAAACAACAGCCAACACCGACATCTCTATTGGTTCAGCTTACACAATTCTGACTGAAAAATTAAAAGTTGAGCAAACTTTCCACTTGATGGCTGCCAAAACCAGATCAGCTGCAGACAAGAACAGAGATTTCAATGGAAATTGTAAACAAGTGGGATCTATTAGGTTGCTGCAAAATTAATTATTGTTTTTGCCATTGAAAGGAATGTCAAAAACAGCAATGACTTTTGCTCCAACCAATAGATCATGAAGCATCTACTGGGAAAGTGTAACAGGAAGTGATACGTGGCTTTCCCAGTATGACTCTGAAGACAAAGCACTATCAAAACAATGACTCCAAAGAGGTGAAAGTGATCCAGTCAAAGCGAAATGGACTGGCCAAGAGCAAAGGTCATGGCAATAGCTTTTTGAGCTGCTTGAGGAATTTTACTTGTTGACTTTCTGGAGGACCAGAAAATAATAACATCTGCTTATTATGAGAGTGTCTTGAGAAAGTTAGCTAACTCTTTAGCAGAAAAATGCGCAGGAAAGTTTCACCAGAGAGTCCTTTTCTACCACGGCAATGCTCCTGCTTATGCCTCTCATCAAACAAGAGCAATTTTGAGAGTTTCCATGGAAAACCATTAGGCATCTACCTCACAGTCAGGATTTAGTACCCTCTGACTTCTTTTTGTTTCCTAATCTTAAAAAATCTGTAAAGGGCAACCATTTCTCTTCAGTAAATAATGTAAAAAAGATCTCATTGATGTGGTTAAATTACCACGATCTCCAATTCCTTGGGGATGGATGAAATGGCTAGTATCTAGGTGCTGCGAGCAAGAGACAAAAATAAATAAATATATAAATAAATGGCTAGTATCACTGCTTACAAAGTGTCTTGACCTTGGTGGAGCTTATGAGAAATATATATATATACACACAAACACGCACCCATATATATATATTTTCGAGACGGACTCTCTGTTGCCTAGGCTGGAGTGCAGTGGCTGGGTTCAAGCGATTCTCCTGCCTCAGCCTCCTGAGTAGCTGGGACTACAGGTGCACCACCACGCCCAGCTAATTTTTGTATTTTTAATAGAGACAGGGTTTCACCATGTTGGCCAGGATAGTCTCGGTCTTTTGACCTCGTGATCTGCATGCCTCGGCCTCCCAAAGTGCTGGGATTGTAGGCGCGAGCTACCGCGCCCAGCCTTTTATTTCTACTTTCCACACACTCTTGGGTTTTTTTTCCTCTTCTTTATTTTTTTGAGATGGAGTCTCACAGTGTCACCCAGGCTGGAGTGCAGCAGTGCGATCTGAGCTCACTGCAACCTTTGCCTCCGGGTTCAAGCAATTCTCCCACCTCAGCCTCCCGAGTAGCTGGGATTACAGGCACCCACCATCATGCTCGGCTAATTTTATTTTTTTATATTTGTAGAGATGAGGTTTCACCATGTTGGCCAAGTTGGTCTGGAACTCCTGACCTCAGATGATCCGCCTGCCTCGGCCTCCCAAAGTTCTGGTGTTACAGGTGTGACGCCGTGCCCGACCTTTTTTTTTTTTCTTTTTTCAGGTTTTCTTCTTTTTTCGAGCCGGAGTCTCGCTCTGTTGCCCAGACTAGAGTGCAGTGGCTCAATATTGGTTCACTGCAACTTCTGCCTCACAGGTTCAAGCGGTTCTCCTGACTCAGCCTTCCATGTAATTGGAGCTGGAAGGAAAGGCACATGCCACCATGCCTCGCTAAATTTTTTTTGTATTGTTTAGTAGAGACCAGGTTTCACCACGTTGGCCAGGCTGGTCTTGAACTCCTGACCTCAGGTGATCCACCTGCCTTGGCCTCCCAAAGTGCTGGGATTACAGGCGTGAGCCATCACGCCTGGCCCCTGTTCTTTTGAAAATCCATATGAGGCTGGGCACAGTGGCTCATGCCTGTAATCTCAGCACTTTGGGAGGCTAAGGTGGGCAGATTGCTTGATCCCAGGAGTTTGAGACCAGCCTGGGCAACATGGGAAAACCGTATCTCTACAAAAAATACAAAAAGTAGCTGAGTGTGGTGTCACATGCCTGTAACCTCAGCTACTCAAGAAGCTGTGGTGGGAGAATCAACTGAGCCCAGAATATCAAGGCTGCAGTGAGCCGCGACTGTGCCACTGCACTCCAGCTTGGGTGACAGAGGGAGTCTTTACTTAAAAAAAAAAAAAAAAAATCTCCTTATAGGAACTTACTGCACATCATGATTCATTCTTTCTTTTTTTGAGACAGAGTTTTGCTCTTGTCACCTGGGCTAGAGTGCAGTGGTGCCATCTCGGCTCACTGCAACCTCTGCCTCCTGGGTTCAAGCGATTCTCCTGCTTCAGCCTCCCGAGTAGCTGGAATTACAGGCGCCAACCACCACACCCAGCTAATTTTTGTATTTTTAGTAGAGACGGGGTTTCACCATGTTGGCCATGCTGGTTTTGAACTCCTGACCTCAGGTGATACATCCACCTCTGCCTCCAAAAGTGCTGGGATTACAGGCGTGAGCCACCATGCCTAGCCAATTCTTTCTTTTTTTTCTGAGATGGAGTCTCACTCTGTCTCCCAGGCTGGAGTGCAGTGGCACAATCTCGGCTTACTGCAATGTCCGCCTCCCCGGTTCAAGCGATTCTTCTGCCTCAGCCTCCTGAGTAGCTGGGACTACAGGCGTGCGCCATCATGCCTGGCTAATTTTTGTATTTTTAGTAGAGATGGGCTTTCACCATATTGGCCAGGCTGGTCTCAAACTCCTGACCTCGTGATCTGCCCGCCTTGGCCTCCCAAAGTGCTGAATTACAGGCGTCAGCCACCCTGCCTGGTGATTCTTTCTTATAATTATACTTTGATATGTTAAGGATAATGTGAAGGAGGCCTCAAAGTAGAACTAAGGGTCCACAGACTTTTGAAGTTCCCTTGTACTTCTCTAAAAAGTTGTATATATTGTTTCCTTCCTCAACCCAATCTGGCTTCCCTGTCCCATAATTGTAGGTCATCAATGATTTGCAAGTCACTGAATGCCATGGCCTTTGTCAGGCATCATACTTGACCATTCAGCAGCATCCAACCCTGCTGGCCACTCCTCTTCCTTGAAACTTTTCTCTTGGATTAAGTAACCCAGAGTCTTCTGGTTTTTCTCCTATTCTCTGGCTAGTCCTTCTCTGTCTTTGTAGATACATTTCCTTACCTCTATGTAATGTTAGGGTTATTCAAGGCTGGGCCCTAGGTCTGCTTCTGTTCTTTTCTCTCTCCCTAAAGTGACAGAATCCATGGTCATGACTTCAATGGACCCCTAAAAATGGATGAATTCCAAATCCATACATCCATTTCCCACCTGCCATTCACCCCTCACTGTAACATGGTTTGTCTCTTTTAGGTCATCAGTTTCATTAGTTCACTAATGAAATCACGACTGCCAAATCCAATGAACACTTCCATTTCTTGTCTTCCTTAATCTGTGGCATGGGACAATGTCAGCCAATCTCCTTCTTGAAATTTTCCCTTCCTTTAATCCTGTCGCCCAGCTGACAATCATTCACTTTCAATCATTATTGGTGGCTCTTCTACATGCCTCTTGGGCTACTTGTTTCTAAAAGCTGAGGAAACATAAAGTTATTTAGAAAGTAAAGGCAAAGTGATGCCATGTTAGGAAGGGCTGGCAGAATGAATGAAAATCAGGCAAAAGCTCAAGGATGTTGTCTAAACATTTTGTTCTTAAGGGACCAGAATAGTTGATGTGGTTTGGATATTTGTCCCCACCCAAATCTCATGGAAATATAATCCCCAGTGTTGTAGGTGGGGCCTGGTGGGGTGTTGGGGTTATGGGGCAGATCCTTCATGGCTTGGTGCTGTCCTCTCCATAGTGAGTTCTTACAGAGCTGGTTGCTGTAAAGTGTGGCACCTCCTCCCCGCACTCACTCTCTTGCTCACTCTGTGATGTGGGATGCCTGCTCCTGCTTCACCTTCCACCATGAGTAAAAGCTCCCTGAGGCCTCCTAGAAGCTGAGCGATGTCAGATGCTATGCTTGTACAGCCTGCAGAACTGTGACCCAATTAAACCTCTTTTCTTATAAACTAACAACTCTTAGGCATTTCTTTATAGCAATGCAAGAATGGCCTAACATAGTAGTGAACCATGAATTGATCTTTCCCTGGTGGAAAAAACCAAGGTAAGCTAGTGAAGGCAGAAAGTAATATCATTCCTCTCCTTTCAATACTTCCAAGAGATGAATTCAGTACTGTGTCTCAAAAAAAAAAAAAAAGAAATAAAAAATAAATATTTGCATCAATGAAAGTTTGTTCTATCCTTCCCTGTACTTGTACTATGAGGACATGCTTTTTGCTTCTACACTACACAAAGTCAACAGTTACCAACAACAATGCAATAGAACAAGATCGGAACAAGACTTCAAAGACACTCTACTCCACCCAAATTAAGAAAATTCAATTCAGGATGAACAACAGCTTTTGATTTTAGAACCAGCTTTTACTTTTCTCTCATGTCATATGTGATGAAGTCCTCATTTGACATTTCCCTCCTGCAAACTGCAATGCATGTCCTCACCATCAGCTTTTTCTGACACTAAAATTAATTTGTAGAAATTGCAAAAATGATGAAATTGTACTTCCAATTCGGAACCTCTGATCAGATTCCTGCTTTGACATAAAACTTACTCCTCTGCCGTGTACCCCACGAGCAGAGCGACCCCCTTTCTATTCTTTTGCCCTGAAGGCACTTTTGGATGGCTTACCATGTGCCCTTTGGCTGCCTAGACAGTCAGGACACCTAAGGCCATCAGGACTTATCACACACCTCTCCTCCTCCTTTTTTTGTTTTTTTTTTTTGAGATTGAGTCTCACTTTGTTGCTCAGGCTGGAGTGCAATGGCACAATCTCTGCTCACTGCAACCTCTGCCTCCTAGGTTCAAGCAATTCTGCTGCAGCCTCCCAAGTAGCTGGGACTACAGGCACCTGCCCCGACACCCGACAGATTTTTGTATTTTTAGTAGAGACTGAGTTTCACCATGTTGGCCAGGCTGGTCTCGAAGTCCTGACCTCATGCGATCTGCCCGCCTCAGCCTCCCAAAGTGCTGGGATTACAGGTGTGCGCCACCACGCCTGGCCTCCTCCTTCTTTTCTACAGCTAATACTACTTTCCTGCTTTTCTTCTACTGGTGAGTATCTATAGTTGGTGCTGTCATCAGGAAAATAGTGTTGATAGTGGCTTTGAACTCCTGGATGGTAAGACTGCATCCCTGGACGACCCTGAAGTACAATGAAATATGTTACTGTTACAACAATGCTACTAAGCTTTTACATGGGATTTTCTTTATCATAAGTTATATATTAATATATCCTAAAGCCCAGTCATTTAAGACCATAAATATGAGGGCACAGTAAATGACAACTTCTCTACTTCCTCTCTCCATCTCCAACGAAAAGCAACCATTTTGTAATTATTATTTTATAAGCCTGGGTAAATTTCTTTTACAGGATCTGTGTCACCCAGGCTGAAGTGCAAGTAGCACAATTGCGGCTCACTGCAGCCTTGACATTCCAGATACAGGCGATCCTCCCATCTCAGCTCCCTAGCAGCTGGGATTGCAGGCACACTCTCCCACACTGGGCTAAGTTTTTAAATTTTTAGTAGAGATGGGGTCTCCCTATGTTGCCCAGGCTGGTCTTAAATTCCTGAAGTTAAGTGATCCTCTTGCCTTGGCCTTCTAAATGCTAGGATTACCTGTATGAGCCATCACACCTGGCCCATTTCATTCCTTTTTTTGAGACGGAGTCTCACTCTGTTGCCCAGGCTGGATTGCAGTGGCATGATCTTGGCTCACTGCAATCTCTGCCTCCCAGGTTCAAGCAATTCTCCTGCCTCAGCCTCCAGAGTAGCTGGGATTACAGGTGCCCACCACCACACTCGGATAATTTTTGTATTTTTAGTAGAGACGGGTTTTTGCCATGTTGGCCAGGCTGGTCTTAAACTCCTGACCCCATGTGATCCACCCACCGTGGCTTCCGTGGCTTTCCTAAGTGCTGGGATTACAGGCATGAGCCACCATGCCTGGCCTTTTGTGAGATTTCTAAGGATGACTAATCCTATGTATATAGCTGTCAGCATACACTTTCCAAGAATTTACCAAGTGTAATCTTGGCTACCTTGAATAATGATATAATTGGTTTAATAAATTTTTGTAGTATAAAGGACAGCCCAGAGACAGTAAAGAAAAATCTAGGCAGCCTGACCCCACCCTGCCATCAAAAACATGTAACATACAGGACTCTTTATACCAACAAAAGGTTACAAAACCTCCTTAACCTTTCCTCTATGGAATTAAAGATAACATCTGTGAATACCATAGAAAGTTACATCTTAATTTTATAATCAAAGCTTCATTACTGTCTCCGGACTACCTAACGTATGCATGCTGTGGAGGGTGGTCCAGTTCCAGTTCCTCCAGATTTTGAAGGCATTAAAGCTTCATGAATGCCCAAGTCATCCTTTTTCACTTCCCTGGAACTAGCTACCCCCCACTGCCCTCACCCTTTCAATTTTTCCTGCCTCCTTCCCCTAGCATCACTTCTCTCCACCAGAGCAGCTAACTCCCCATGGCTGTAAGCATCATGAGAAAGCAACCACGTTGTGTTCACTACCATAGTGTCAGTGCCAACACATACTAGGAGGTGCTCAAATATTGTTTAGACAGCCAAGGTCTGAGTTGTCTCCATACTACCTTTATTTCCAAAGAAATCAAACATGTATCTGAACAAAAGGAGGCAGAAATTGATCAAACACTTGCTTTCCTATTGTTTCTAACAGTTTATATTTATTTTTAAATTATTATTTTTTTAAATTTTTTGAGGCACGGTCTCACTTTGTAACCAAGGCTGGAGTGCAGTGGTGTGATCATGGCTCACTGTAGCCTTGACTTCCCAGACTGAAGTGATCCTCCAGTCTCAGCCTCCTGAGTAGCTGGGGCTACAGGTGCACACCACTATGCCCAGCTAATTTTTAAAAATTATTTTAGAGATGGGGTCTTGCTCTGTTGCCCTGGCTGGAGTGCAGAGGCACAATCTTGACTCACTGCAATCTCCACCTCCCAGGCTCAAGCAATTCTCGTGCCTCAGCCTCCCGAGTAGCTGGGATTACAGATGCCCACCACCACGCCCAGATAATTTTGTATTTTTAGTAGAGATGGGGTTTCACCATGTTGGCCAGGGTGGTCTTGAACTCCTGACCTCAAGTGATCCGCCCACCTTGGCCTCCCAAAATGCTGTGATTACAGGCGTGAGCCACTGCATCCAGCCTATTTTATGTTTAAATTAATAGACTTTTATTTGTTTTATTTAGAACCAGCTCTTACTTTTGTTTACAGTTTTGGGTGAGATGCCTGCTTCTACTTCACCTTCTGCCATGAGTTAAAGCTCCCTTAGGCTTCACTAGAAGGTGAGTGATGTCAGATGTCAAAAATTTAATTTCTCAAAACTCATAGCTATTTAGTAAAGTTAATAAACACACTTAGCTTCACACTTGAATGCTGTTACTATTTATTGACATCAAAACGAAACAAGCTGAGACTAAAAGTTGCTATTTAACAGGAATAGACACTGGTGCAGTTTCCTTCCTGGAGAGGGTATGCACTCAGATCATGAGACCTAAGATCAAACACACTGGATTGTCAAGAGTCAAACAAGGACTACATTTTACCTCTTAATAGAAAAGATGCTGATGACAAAACACGAAGTTTAAAAATATTCTTTACGCTAAGCTCATATAAGCAAACAAAAAACTAAAACTAATCCTAAAACTTTAGGACACTGGATACAGAAGTAACATAACTATTTAAATTTTTGTATCAACGAAAGTGTGTTCTATCCTTCACTGTACCTGTACTACAAGGACATGCTTGTTGCTTCTACACTACCCAATGTCAACACTTATCATCAACAATACAATAGAATTAGATCGGAACAAGGCTTCAAAGCGACTCTGCTCCACCCAAATTCAGAAAATTCAATTCAGGATGAACAACAGCTTTTGATTTTAGAACCAGCTCTTACTTTTCTCTCGTGTCATATGTGATGAAGTCCTCACTTGACAATTCCCCCTGCAAATTGCAATGCATGTCCTTGCCGTCACCTTTTTCTGACACTTTAAAATTAATTTGTAGAAATTGCAAAAGCAATGAAATTGTACTTCCAATTCTGAACCTCTGATCAGATTCCTGCTTTGACACAAGACTTACTCCTCTGCAGTGTACCCCACCAGCACAGCGGCTCCCTTTCTCTCTATTCTTTGCCCTGAAGGCACCTCTGGATTGCTTAACGTGTGCTCTTTGGCTGCCTAGACAGTCAGGACACCTAAGGCCATCTGGACTTATCACTCCTCTCCTCCTTCTTTTCTATGGCTAATACCACTTTCCTGCTTCCTTTCTGCTGCTGAATCTCCAGACTTGGTGCTGTCATCAGGGGGACAGAGTCGATTTCGGCTTCGAGCTCCTGGTTGGTAAAGCTGCATCGCTGGACGATCCTGAAGTACAATAAAATATGTTACCATTACAACAATGCTACTAAGCTTTTATATGGGATTTTTAAGAGTCATAGTTATGTATGAATATATGCTCAAGTGAAGTCATTTAAGACCAAAAATGTGAGGGCACGGTAAATGACAACTTGCCTACTTCCTCTCTCCATCTCCAAAGAAAAGCAACCATTTGGTAATTACTATTTTATATGCTTGGGTAAATTTTTTTTTGGAGATAGGGCCTCACCCTGTCACCCAGGCTGAAGAGCAAGTGGGATGATCAAGGCTTATTGCAGCCTCGACATTCCAGACTCAAACGATCCTCCCACCTCAGGTACCTAGTAACTGGGATTATAGGCACGCACTACCACACTGGGCTGTTTTTACATTGTTAGTACAAACAAGCTCTCCCTATGTTGCCCAGGCTGCTTTCCAACTCTTGGGCTTAAGTGATCCTCCTGACTTGGCCTCCCAAATTGTTGGGATTACAGGCATGAGCCATCATGCCAGGCCCTAAGTGCCAGTTTTAAAGGAAGCACAGAAGACAGAGGAACACGTTAAATAACAGCATGGGGATGTAATCTGCCAATTCAGAACAGGAAAAGCCCTACAAGACAAATTGGTTTCTGCAACAAATGGTAGGAAAACAAGAGAAGGGGAAATTGTTTAGATTAAAAGAAAACTTGGCTGGGTGCAGTGGCTCATACCTTTATTCCCAATACTTTGAGGGGATCGGCTGAGCTCAAAAGTTTGAGACCAGCCTGAGCAACATAGGGAGACCTCATCTCTACAAAAAAACTTAAAAATTAGCTGGGCATGGTGATGCATGCCTGTAGTCCCAGCTACTCTGGAGGCTGAGGTAGGGGGATGGCTTAAGCCCAGGAGGTCGAGGCTACAGTGAGCTGAGATTGTACCACGGCACTCCAGCCTGGGTGACATAGCAAGACTCTGTCTCAAAAAATAAACTAAAAACAAAAGAGAACTGAAGAAGACATTTCAAGGAAGCATAATTTGTGGAATTTGTTTAGGTCCTATTAAAAAAAAGACATTAGGCTGGGCACGGTGGCTCATGCCTGTAATCCCAGCACTTTGGGAGGCTGAGGCGGGAGGATCACCTGAGGTCAGGAGTTCGAGACCAGCCTGGCCAACATGGTGAAACCCTGTCTCTACTAAAAATACAAAAATTAGCCGGGCATGGTGGCTTGAGGCTGTAGTCTCAGCTATTCGGGAGGCTGAGGCAGGAGAATCACTTGAACCCGGGAGGTGGAGGTTGTGGTGAGCTGAGATCATGCCACTGCACTCCAGCCTAGATGACAGAGCGAGACTCCATCGCAAAAAATAAATAATTAATTAATTTTAAAAAGACATTAATGAAGCAATTGGGAACATATGAACACTGAATAGACAGGACGTTAAGGAATTATTGTTAGTTTTTTTTGGTGTGAAAATGCTACTAGGGTAATATTAATAGAGTATTTATCTCATATACTGAAGTATTTAAGGAAGAAATTATGTGCAGGGTTTGTTTGAAAATAATCTAGTAGGGGTAGGGATGAAGTAGAATAGAAAGAAGGTTGGCTATGAACTGCTGGGTGATGGGTACAGTACATGGAGTTCATCATACTATTCGATTTTTTTTTTTTTTTTGAGACAGAGTCTCGCTCTGTTGCCCGTGCTGGAGTGCAGTGACGCGATCTCGGCTCACTGCAAGCTCCGCCTCCCAGGTTCACGCCATTTTCCTGCCTCAGCCTCCCGAGTAGCTGGGACTACAGGCGCCCGCCACCACGCCTGGCTAATTTTTTGTATTTTTAGTAGAGATGGGGTTTCACCATGTTAGCCAGGATGGTCTTGATCTCCTGACCTCGTGATCCACCCGTCTTGGCCTCCCAAAGTGCTGGGATTACAGGCGTGAGCCACCGCGCCCGGCCAGTTTTTTTTTTGAGACTGAGTCTCGCTCTGTTGCCCAGGCTAGAATACAATGGCGTGATCTCGGCTCACCTCAACCTCCACCTCCCAGGTTCAAGTGATTCTTCTGCCTCAGCCTCCCGAGTAGCTGAGATTACAGGTGTGCGCCACCACATCCAGCCGATTTTTTGTATTTTTAGTAGAGACGGGGTTTCACCATGTTGGCCAGGCTGGTCTAGAACTCCTAGGCTCTAGCAATCCACCCACCTCAGCCTCCCAAAGTGCTAGGATTACAGGTGTGAGCCACTGCACCTGGCCCATCATACTATTCTCTATTCTACTTTTGTGTATGTTTACAATTTCTATAGTAAGTTAATAAAAGCCCAGCCAAGACTGAAATAAAAGTTGGTCAGGCGTGGTGGCTCACGCCTGTAATCCCAGCACTTTGGGAGGCTGAGGCAGGTGGATCACGAGGTCAGGAGATCAAGACCATCCTGGCTAACACGGTGAAACCCTGTCTCTACTAAAAATACAAAAAAATAAGTCAGGCGTGGTGGTGGGCGCCTGTAGTCCCAGCTACTTGGGAGGCTGAAGCAGAAGAATGGCGTGAACCCAGGAGGCGGAGCTTGCAGTGAGCCGAGATTGTGCCACTGCACTCCAGCCTGGGCAACATAGTCAGACTCTGTCTCAAAAAAAAAAAAAAAAAAAAGTTGCAGATGATTAAAGTTCCCCTTTAAAAATTCTATAATAACAGTGCCCTTTACACTTTCTTTACACTTGCAGGAAAAGGGAAAAAAACCCTCATAAACAAGTTTAATGACAAGCAGCACCTTGTTTCTTATTCGATCTCTCTTGACCACTTCTTCTTTCTTTTCAGTTTTTTCTGAGCTGCCTATTGATTCTGTACTTTCAGCCTTCTTTCCTTTATCCCGAAGTGTGTCTTTCTCTTTTTTCATTTCTTCTTCTTTTCTCTTAAAAGTCTTCTCTTTCTCATAGCGCTCCTTCTGCCTACGGCGCTCTTCTTCTTGCCGCTTCAGCCTCTCTCTTTCTCGAAGTATGCGCTCCTGATCTCGTTCATATTCCCGTTCCCTCTCCCTATAGTCTCTGCCGCTCTCATCTTCAGGTCTGCATGAAAAACAAATCTGAGACAGAACCCTGAAAGATCTTGTAATCACAAATGCAGGAACACTGTGATTCTGATTTGGCCCCTGCAATGAGGTTGCACTTTTAGAGCAGAGTGAAAAATACTAGTGTTTTAAGAAGGAACAAAACCCCAAAACCATTCACCCAGATTAAGATACAAGAATATTCTGAAACTGTTCCTCCTCATCCCCCTGCCCTGCATAAAACAGCTTATCTTAATTCAGGTACATGTCCAGGACATAGCAGCAAAACTAGCATGTATAAATCAAACATAACAAAGAGTCCTTGACTACTGACCTCTTTGGTTTTTCATCTTTAAGTTCGCTATCAGAACGCTTGGGCAATGTACAACTTTGCCCACTGGCTCTTTCATCACTGAGATTCTCTTTGTCCAATTTCTTGGCTTTTTCTCTTTTGTCCAATTCTTTTTCATCTCCTTTTTCTGGCTTCTTGAGCAGCTTTAAAGATAAAATGTTTATTTTTATTTTGAAGGCTGGGACACTATCTTCTATTAAAAACCCAGTATACCAAATATTTAAAATTTAGACTAGACAAAGCCCCCTATCTCTGCAGGTACACTTAATCTTTCAGGTGAACAACTAGTGCATAAGAGTAGTAATTTACTAAAAGGATGCTATTAATGTTAAAGTGTTATCCACTTGAACGAAGTGGTTTAATCACTTTGTGGCAATAGGATCAAGACTCCTTTGGCTTTTATTCTGAGGCAGGGTCTCACTACTCTGTTGCCCATGCTGGAGTGCAGTGGCATGAACATGGCTCACCGCAACCTTGACCTCCTGGGCTTAAGTGGTCCTCCTGCCTCAGCCTCTTGAGTAGCTAGGACAACAGATGCACACCACCACATATGGCTAATTTTTTAATTTTTTTGTAGAGACAAGGTCTCATCATGTCACCCAGGCTGTTCTCAAACTTCTGGGCTCACACCATCCTTCTGCCTCGGCCTCCCACAGTGCTGAGATTACAGGTGTGAGCCACTGTGCCCGGCTTCCTTTGGCTTTAAATGGGTCAACCTTTAAGTGAACCAATGCATACTTCAAAGTATGCTTCTGTAGCAAACCAGCATGTTGATATAACTTAATGGGAAACAGCCCACAAATTTTAAGTGATAGGCAGATCGTTTCTGTTGGGACTGTTTTTATGTAGTACTTGGAATGACAAATACCTTGGTCACCAAAGGAGAGATCCATTGCAGGAATAATTTTGCCTTGAGCCTGAGAATAACATACTTATGATGGTACAATTATCTTGCCATTAGAGATTAATAACAAGAATTATTTGGCATTTGATTTAAAAATCTAAAGGCCTTATACAACCAAATAGTGAAGTTCCATCTCTACTGAGTAGGAACTCTGTATTTAATGCCATATTTACGCATGTTCAAAAATGCCATTGTTTTTTACATTGCTGCTATGAATCTCTCGAGAATACCTCCAAGTGTCGGATAATCAGAGAGATTCTTAGGCAAAATAGAAGAATTTCAAGTCTCAGAGTGAAGGTATCACACAAGGTTCATCTCAGGGTGAAGGCATCATGTAAATTACTAAGCAAAAGGCAAAGCACCACAAGACATAAGCACAAAGCATTTTGGCACACAGACAGCCACTGCAAATGGTGAGTCCAAAATGGACACTGAGAAGGCACCAGTGTAAAATGAGGATACCATGTGCAGGTTTCATTGGAAGTGCTCTTATTTCTCCAATGAACATCCTTATTAGAAACCAAGGTGTTCATTACTCTAATAAGAACATTAATGAATGTCTCTAGCATGGCTGGCTCTACCTTCTGCCTTGCTGATTGTTAGGAATAGCAAGTCAAGTCACTTGTGGCATAGCAGACAGAGAGATTGCTGGAAAGAATTAAGATGAGAAACTCCATCCTCCCCCAAGCCCCTCATCATCAGTAATGAGCCCCGTAGAGACTTAGGGAACCCTTGCTACATAAACTGCTGAGTTTTCAGGAAATAAAATAAGGAGACCCTGCCACCCTCTCTGTGAGATTTTCTTTGACTTTATCTGAAGTGCTAGGTACTAGTACTTCCCCAGGAAATATGTTGAAACAAGGGCTGCCCAAGCCATGCCCTTAGAAGGGAAGTGGCAAGGTTGGGATCTTTCTGCAGGTTTTCTTCTTCCCAAATGCAATGCATGAATCCGAATCTGCTGCTCACAGATTCCCAGATATATGCAGGAAGATACTACGGGAGTCATGTGAGAGGGAAAGGCACATATTGCAGGGTATTTATCCCTAGTCCTCCCACAAGGCAGCCAGTTATGAGAAGCATATAAGAAGATGAGAAAGAACTATATAGGCATGGTTGTCCTCTGGCTGTAGGTCAATGAAGCTTCTGGGCACACAGCAGAGCATCAGGAAGTCACCTGGGCTTCCTTTTAAAGTAGAAATTTATAATAAAATAGCTCAGCTTTTAAGAAGACTCAAGTCAACCTGAAGGGGTTTTCAACAAGTAACACTACCACCACCACCACCAAAAGGACTTATTAGCTAAGACCTGTGTGTGTGACATGATACTAGATGCTCTGTATCATGTACTTGGTCCTTACATTTTTCTGATTCACAGCTTGTAACAGAAACCTGTGTACCTGAAGACAGTGGAAAACAAACAGATGAGGTAACTTCATGTATCAATTATGAAGAAAAAGCTGAAAAAAAACCATAAATCATGCCAGCCAGCCCTAAGCCCTCATTTACTATGAATTTAGAGGACAATAGTCTAAAAATCCAACATTTTCAATGACAAAAACAGCACAGATCTGCACTGAAGAAATAACATACTACTTTATCCTTTTAAATGATCTTAAATTTAAAAACTAATACTATTACAGGAAAGATTTTTATTGGATCACTTCCCCCCAAAAGAGAACAAAAACAAAACAAAAAATTCATTTACACCAACACAAGACGCATGCATATTTAAAGAAGTAGATACGTGCAATTTTTAGCAACATGCAGTCAGTTTCAACATTCTTATACCTTAATCTTTGGTTCATCCTTTAATTTGTCCCTTTCTGGAATTCTGTCTATCTTCTTTAGCTTTTCTATATCTTTCCTTTTTCGTTTCTCTTCTTCTTTCCATTTCCTCCTCTCTTCTTCTCTTTGTCTTTTTCTTTCTATTTCTCTCCTCCTCCTTTCTTCTCTCTTTTCTTCTCTCATTCTCTAGAAAGAAACATCAACACAAGCCTTCAAATAAAATAATCATCACCAAAACCCTAATAAATCCTGAAGTCATGGTAGGCCCCAACTGAATAATCTTTCCTTCCTACTTTCTACAAAGTGGCATTCTACCACCGTTATCCCCACTCCACCCAGAAAACGAAAGACAATGAAGACCAGAACCTGCTAATATTATTCTTCCACTGCTGCCTTACTATCTCTCCAGAGGCTTTCAGAATATCAAATGAGTGTCTCTGGGACAACCTAAGAACATTCCACGTTTGTAGAGTGAACTCCTGGTCCAACAACCAGAGTGAAGGAGCAGGCTAGAGAGTGAGACCAAGAAGGCAAATCCTTAAAGAGTAATGGTGGAAAAAGCAGCTATTTCTCCTCTAGAAACCCAATGCTCTTAAAATGTTTATAGAATGCAAAGCAAAGAAATTAAAGTATTGAGAGAACTATAAAGACAAAAGATTTACCTGCTTGTTTTTCAGGAAGCTCAAAAGTGGGGTTGTCTTTTTAGCTACATAAATGTAAACAGATTATTAATCATACTTATCAACCCCTAGAAACGATTCCATTTTCTGACATTCCCTGCCAACCACCCAAGGTGGGAAAACATGTACACCCCTTATGCAGAAAGATCACAATTGTAATATCAGAAAGAAGTTTTACAGCATTCGATTTCAACAATACGGGATTAAAATACCTTTTAAAAAGTAAAGAAATTCAAATTAAAACAACAAAATAATTTATTAAAAGAGTCATTCCCAACTGATGAGAATTAAGTACTTAGGACATTCTCTTGTTTTACTGATAGGAGTGTAAACTTGTTCAACTGGAAGAAGTTGGGGGGAAGGGGCTAAAAATATCTAATCCTTTTGACCCCATAATTCCACTTCTGGGAATTTATTCTAAGAAAGTTACCAGAAATAGGCTTGTACTATCCATCTATTAATAAAAGTCAAGTTTTGGAAGAATATTTTTCATTTTCAACATTCTGAATAAGCTATTGGCCTTACAGCCATCTTAAAACACATATTCCTGGCCGGGCACAGTGGCTCATGCCTGTAATCCCAGCACTTTCAGAGGCCAAGGCAGGCGGATCACTTGAGGTCAGGAGTTCGAGATCAGCCTGGCCAACATGGTGAAACCCCGGCTCTACTAAAAATACAAAATTGGCCGGGCGTGGTGGCGGACACCTGTACTTCCAGCTACTCGGGAGACTGCGGCAGAATCGCCTGAACCCAGGAGGCGGAAGTTGCAGTGAGCCGAGATTGCGACACTGCACTCCAGCCTGGGCGACAGAGCAAGACTCCATCTCTCACACACACACACACACACACACATACACACACACACACACACACACACAGAGAGAGAGCGAGCGAGCAAGCAAGCAAAAAAAACAAACAAACAAACAAAAAAACCCCACATATTCCTTAGGATAAATTCCTGAGTAGAAATCCTGGGTCAAAGATTATGCTCATGTTTAGAGCTACTGATACAGTAGTGACAGCCTATTACTGAGAACCAAGATCCAAGCTAGAATTCCTCAAGTAGTTTTCAATTTTGCAGTAACTAATTTCATTTTTTCGTATTTTCAAGTCAAAATTTTTTTAGGAATATGAACTTATTACTAGAAAATACCAATTGACCTTCAAAGGCTTACCACTGTCTAAACATTCCTTATCAGTCATCGAACTTTTTGTATTTATATTACATTTGTGTGAAACTAAATAGGTCAAAGAATTTTTCCCACTTTAATGGATTCTCATAATGCTGTGAGGCAGGTATTACCATCTGCAATTTACAGTAACAGTCTCAGAGAAACTAGTAACTTCCCTGAAGTCACACAGCTAGCAACTGATGGAGGTAGGAGACTTAGGTACTGTGATGAAAAGACTGTTGCCCTGATTCTTTTTGCCCACTTACCTATTAATTCTCTATTTTTTGCTTCTATTTCCTCTAGCAGTGTCTCTGGAGTAGATGTCATTTTCTCATTATCTGTGGCATAACTTTCCAAAAACTTTCTATATTCTGGATCTAAATAATCATTTGAGGAAACAGAAAATATAATAGACTTTAAACAAAAAAAGAAGACATTATCTACAATACTGATTTATCAAAGAAGATAATTTTTTACTTCGTGGAAGATTAAAAAAAACCAAACCATACCCACAAGGTAGACTATTTAGAGCTTAATTGGTCACTTGCTCTCAGGACTCCTATCACTGATACTCACTATAGGAATCTGGTATAACATGGGGTCAGGAAAAATGAGACGCCATGCATTATAACAGAACCACTAGGGGTATTACATAGTTTGCTTTTAAAAGTCACTGTCCTACTAAACTAAGTTAGGTGTTCCAAAAAGATAAATTAGAGAGAAGTCCTAGATGTGGCACTTGAGGTGATGGGAATTCCTGGAGTTCTCTCCTAGACCTCTAACATCAGAAAGGGTGACACATCTAAGCCATTATATTGCTTGTTTCTATGTGTCACTTGATCAAGTCTTCCAGATCTAAATCTGTAATAAAACCAGTATCACAGCTATGTGTTATTGAGTCCTTACCGTGTTTTCTTTATAAAATACCTGTAATAGTAACAAATGATGGAAATTAAACTAGATGATTCTAAAGTAACAATCTGATATAAAATATGGTCCTAGTCCTTATCCAACATAAAGAGTTGTGTAACAGCTATCTAACATAACATTACAGAGGTCTCAAAATCTGGAGCCAGTGTACCTTAAATGGCAATTATTTTGGTTTTTCAGTTCTTGTATTTCTTTCTTTCTTTCTTTTTTTTTGAGACGGAGTTTTGCTTTTGTTGTCCAGGCTGGAGTGCAATGGTGCGGTCTCAGCTCACTGCAACCTCCGCCTCCCGGGTTCAAGTGATTCTTCTGCCTCAGCTTCCCAAGCAGCTGGGATTACAGGTGCCCGCCACCATGCCTAGCTAATTTTTGTGTTTTTAGTAGAGATGGGGTGTCACCATGTTGGCCAGGCTGGTCTCGAACTCCTGACCTCAGCAACTCTGCCCGCCTTGGCCTCCCAAAGTGCTGGGATTATAGGAGTGAGCCACCGCGCCTGGCCTCAGTTCTTCTATTCCTGTTCAACCTAATACTATGTGTGTAGCTAATTGTATATCCAAAGACCAGAAAATAGGAGTGACAACTTCAGCTACTTTATACAAAGTTACCTGGGTATGGAAATTTTCCCATGACAGTTCAAACCTTCTTCTTTATAAATATAATGGAAACCAAAAGTCAAATAAATAATCATAAAAATGGTGAGGCCTCAAGAAGCACCTGTTAAACTTTGAAACCTGATTTTTTTCCACTATTTTCTTTTTCTTTTTTTTTTGAGATGGAGTTTCGCTCTTGTTGCCCAGGCTGGAGTGCAATGGTGTGATCTCAGCTCACTGCAACCTCCGCCTCCTGGGTTCAAGAGATTCTCCTGCCTCAGCCTCCCGAATAGCTGGGATTACAGGCATGCACCACCATACCCGGCTAATTTTATATTTTTAGTAGAGACAGGGTTTCTCCATGTTGGTCAGGCTGGTATCAAACTCCTGACCTCAGATGATCCGCCCGCCTTGGCCTCCCAAAGTACTGGGATTATAGGCGTGAGCCACCACGCCTGGCCTTTCCACTATCTTCTAATCAATAAACCTATGGTGATTTGTTACTCAATAGTCAACATTATATTGTTCAATGGTTGAAGAATGAAATGCCCTAGCCAAAGAGAGCAGAGATTCTGTGCAAGAAACTCTCTCTAGTCTAACAATTAAGCAAAGCTTCCATCGGCAAATAACATTTCTCACTTACTTTATTTTGTATATTTTCTAATTTAAAATTTTGGGGTCGAATTAACTCTCACAAAGATATTATTTTTAAAAACCCCACAGCAATAGCATTATATAATTAGAGCTATACTGTACCATCATCGATAGTCCCGACTTTGGTATCTCTTTTCTTAGTCTTCTTTTTTGCAGCTTTTTGAAAAGGTGCAAATTCTACTATAGCGGGATATTCCTGACCTGTTTAGAAAAAAAATACCACACTTGCTATAACAAAGAAAATGTCAAAAGTGGATATAAGGGAATCAACCCATTGCTTTCTATGACTCTTTTGATGGCAGTCATCTGAAGAGGGTCTCCCAAAGGCATAAAGCACACTGGCACAACCATAATCAACATACTACAAAAGGAGCCACAAATTCACACTGATAACATAGTGAAACAACACGGCATGAAAGTAAAATATTCATATAAATTCAACTTATAAAATGTGATATTTTAATGTGAAAAAGACCCTACAAACTATTTTTCATTTTAAAATGTTAGAAATCTCCAAAATAGGCAAATCTATAGAGACAGAACGTAGAGTAGTAGCTGCCTGGAGTTTGGGGTAGAAGTGGTGAGAAGAATGAGGAGTGACAACTAATGGGTGGGGTTTCTCTTAGGGGTGATGAACATGTTCTAAATTTAGATTGTGGTGATAGGCTCATAAGCCTATGAATATACTAAAATTCACTGAACTGTATACTTTAAAAGGGTGACTATTTCAGGCATGTGAATTATATCTCAATAAAGCTGTTATTTTTTAAAAGTGTAACTATTTGAGGTGATGTGTTATGTGAGGTGATGAATGTGTTAACTTGATTGTATATATTTCATAATGTATATATGTATACATTATGTATACATTTCATAATGTATATATGTATACAATATGTATACATTTCATAATGTATACATTTCATAATGTATACATATATAAAATTATCACGTTGGGCTGGGCACCGTGGCTTATGCCTATAATCCCAGCATTTTGGGAGGCCGAGATGAGAGGATCACCTGAGGTCAGAAGTTTGAGACCTGCCTGGCCAACATGGTGAAACACTGTCTCTACTAAAAATACAAAAATTAGCTGGGCGTGGTGGCACGTGCCTGCAATCCCAGCTACTCTGGAGGCTGAGGCATGAGAATCACTTGAACCCAGGAGGCAGAGATTGCAGTGAGCCGAGATCATGCCACTGCACTCCAGCCTGGGCGACAGAGTAAGACTCCGTCTCAAAAAAATAAATACATAAAAATAAAAATAAATAAAAATACAAAAATTAGCCAGGCGTGATAGTGCACGCCTGTAATCCCAGCTACTTGGGAGACTGAGGCAGGAGAATCACTTGAACCTGGGAGGCGGAGGTTGCAGTAAGCTGAGATTGTGCCACTGCACTCGAGCCTGGTAAAAAAAAAAAAAAAAAAAGAAAAAGAAAAAAGAAAAAACAATTATTACATAGTAAAATTTAAATATATATTATTTTATTTGTCAATTATAGCTCAATAAAGCTGGGGAAAAATCTGTTAACACTTAAAAAAAAATACACCAGGACACCAAAAGCACAGGCAACAAAAGTAAAAATACAGAGGGTAGATCTCATGTTAAGTGTTCTTACCACAATAAAACAAAAATATAAAGTATATCTCTTATTTAAAAAAAGTAAAAAATAGATAAATTGGACTACGTCAAAATTAGAAACTTCTATGCATCAAAAGACACAATCAACAGAGTGAAAAGGCAACCCATGGAATGGGAGAAATATTTGCAAATTATATTATCTGATAAGGGGTAATATCGAGAATATATAAAGAACTCCTATAACTCAACAACAAAAAACCAAATAACCCAATTTAAAAAATGGTCAAAAGACTTGAATAGACATTTCTTCAAAGATAATATACAAATGGCTAACAAGCATATGGAAATATGTTCCACATTACTAGTCATTAGGGAAATGCAAATCAAAACCACAATGAGGTATCATCTCACGCCTATTAGGAGGACTACTATCAAAAAGCAGAAAATAACAAGTGTTGGCAAAGATGTGGAGAAACTGGAACACTCATGTATTGGTGGGAATGTAAAATGATGCAGCTGCATGGAAAACAGTATGGCAGTTCCATAAAACATTAAAAATAGAATTATTGGGCCAGCCTGACTAACATGGTAAAACCCCATCTCTACTAAAAATACAAAAATTAGCTGGGTGTGGTGGTGGGCACCTGTAATCCCAGCTACTCAGGAGGCTGAGGCAGGAGAATTGCTTGAACCCAGGAGGTGGAGGTTGCAATGAGGGAAGATCGCGCCATTGTACTTACTCCAGCCTGGGCAATGAGGGCGAAATTCCATCTCAAAAAAACAAAACAAAACAAAAAAGAACTACCGGCGGGGCACAGTGGCTCACACCTGTAACCTCAGCACTTTGAGAGGCCGAGGTGGGCGCATCACTTGAGGTCAGGAGTTTGAGACCAGCCTGGCCAACATGGTGAAACTCCGTCTCTACCACAAACATAAAAAATTAGCAGGGTGTGGTGGCAGGTGTCTGTAATCCCAGATACTTGGGAGGCTGAGGCAGGAGAATTGCTTGCACCTGGGAGGTGGAGGTTGCAGTGAGCCAAGATCATGCCACTGCACTCCAGCCTGTGTGACAGAGACTCTGTCTCAAAATAAATAAATAATAAAATAAAAATAGAATTACCAAATGACTCCAGAAATTCCATTTCTCGGTATATATCCAAAAGCAGTGAGAACAAGGACTCGAATATGTGCACATCTGTGTTCATAACAATATTGTTCACAATAGCCAAGAGTGGAAGCAACTCGAATACCCCTTGACAGATGAATGGATACACAAAATGTGGTATATACATATACTGGAATATTAGTCTTAAAAATGAGGCTGGGGGCAGTGGCTCATGCCTGTAATTCCTAGCATTTTGGGAGGCTGAGGCAGGCATGTCACTTCAGGTCAGGAGTTTGAAACTAGCCTGGCCAACACAGTGAAACCCCATCTTTACCAAAAGTACAAAAAAATTAGCCAGCTGTGGTGGTGGGTACCTGTAATCCCAGCTACTTGGGAGGCTGAGGCTGGAGAATTGCTTGAACCCAGGAAGCGGAGGTTGCAGTGAGCTGAGATCGCGCCACTGCATTCCAGCCTGGGCAACAAAGTGAGACTCCATCTCAAAAAAAAAAAAAAAAAAAAAAAAGATGAAAATTCTGACACATGCTACGACATGGATACACCTTGAAGATATTATGCTAAATGAAATAAGCCAGACAGACACTGTATGTTTCCACCTATATGTGGTACCTACAGTAGTGAAACTCATACAGACACAAGGTATAATGGTGGTTGCCAGGGGCTGGAGGAAGGGAAATAAGGAGTTGTTTAATGGGTAAAGAGTTTCAGTTTTTCAAGATGAAAAAGTTCCCAAGATTGTTGCACAACAGTGTGAATATACCTTAATGCTACTGAACTGTACACTTAAAATGGTTAAGATGGTAAATTTTATGTTACGTGTATTTTTACAATTTTTAAAAATGCAAAAGGAATGAGGTAATGATATATGTTATATGTTACAACATGGATGGACCTTGAAAACATTGTGCTAGGTAAAAGAAGCCAGTCAGAAAAGACCACATATTGTATGATTACATTTATATGAAATGGAGGGAAATCATAGATACATAAAGTAGATTAGTGGTTGCCAGGGGCTGGAGGGAGAGAATGGGAGGTAACTACTAATAGATATGGGTTTCTTTTTGGAGGGATGAAAACATTCTGGAATTAGTACTGATGGTTGTACTACCTTGTGAATATACCAGAAACCACTGAATTGTACGCTTTAAGAGGATGAATTTTATTATAGGTGAGTTATATTTCAATACAAAAACCCCAAGTGACTAATGGGAAAAAAATTCACAAGCACCCTGTCACAGAATGTCAAAAACAAGGTATCCTATCCTTAAATCATTGGCATGTAGACATAAGCAGAAAAATAAAAATAAACAGAATTGACCAGAAGGCACTGCAAAGCAGTCATGGAGGAAAAATTATGTTGGGAATCCCAGTGAGTAGAGAATCAGATTAGCTTCAAAACTGTGATATATTAGGCCAGGCATGGTGGCTCACGCCTGTAATCCCAGCACTTTGGGAGGCTGAGGCGGGTGGATTGCTTGAGGCCAGGAGTTTGAGACCAGCCTGGCCAACATGGTGAAACCCCATCTCCTAAAATTACAAAAATTAGCTGGGCGTGGCGGCACACACCTGTAATCCCAGCTAAGTCGGCAGGCTGAGGAACGAGAATTGCTTGAACCCAGGAGGCGGAGGTTGTAATGAGCCAAGATTGTGCCACTGTACTCCAGCCTGGGCGACAGAGTTAAGACTCTGTCTCAAAAAAAAAAAGAGAGAGAGAGAGAAGAAAAAGAAAAAAAACAAAAATAAAAACCAAAAAACAAAACTGTGATATATTTGAGAAGGAATAGATAAACCAGACTGAAACAGAGGGAAATTGTGGAAGACAGGCTGAAGAAACAGAAGTGAGGCCAGAATATGGAGGACCCTGACTACCAGGCTAAGGAGTTTGGACTTTTTCCCCCAACTGTTAATTTAAATCATTATTTTCAAAAAGATTAATTTCATGGCAATATAATAGACTGAATTATACAAGAATGAAAAAAATGGAAAATCCTGTAAGTTTAGAGACAGTGGTTGTCTAGGCATTAAGTGATGAGGACATAAAGTGTGACTGTTTAAGGCTAGGTGAACAAGATATTAAAAAAAAACAATAAAATCCAGCCTGGGCAACATAAGCAGACCTTGTCTCTAAGATTTAAAAACAAAACAAAACAAACAAACAAACAAAAAACACAATGAGGAAAGGATAGTCTCTTTAATAAGTGGTGTTGAGCTGGGTATGGTGGCTCGCACCTGTAATCCCAGCACTTTGGGAGGCTGAGGTGGGGGGGGGGAAATCACTTGAGCCCAGGAGTTCAAGACCAGCCTGGGCAACGTAGTGAGACCCCATCTCTATAAAAAATTTAAAGAAAATTAGCCAGGCATGGTGACATACATCTGTAGTCCCAGCTACTCAGGAGGCTGAGGTGGGAGGATTGCTTGAGTCCAGGAATTCCAGGCTGCAGTGAGCTCTGATTGCGCCACAGCACTCCAGCCTGGGTGGAGACCCTATCTCAAAAGATAAACAATAAATTGACAAGATTCATAACTTACATGTAAGAGATTTTTAAAAAAGGAAAAAATTAAACACAACTCAGATTTCCAGGCTAAGTAACTAGAATCTAGTTAAATATCTACTGGAATAAAATAGTTGGAGTGGAAAAATAGCTGGCTTGGGGAGATTAATAAAAGTTGGACAAACAGTGGCAATCCTTCAATTTTTACTGGCATAGTCCCTGACAAAAATTTAATTTTTACCAACTTTGAAGTAATATTGAAAAAAACAAAACAAAACAAGAAGACACACTATTTACCTATAATTGCAAACCAAAAAGAAAAGTGGCAAATGGCAGCTTAGATATTCTCTGGCTAAATGTAGGTAGCAGATAATAGAGTGTTAAAGTAGAAATGTGTCTTCCCTATAGACTGGACCTTTCTGGATATAAAGTAAGAGATGTATCAAGTTTCTTTTTTTCGATTTTGAGACAGAGTCTCGCTCTGTCGCCAGGCTGGAGTGCAGTGGCGTGATCTCAGCTCACTGCAACCTCTGCCTCCCAGGTTCAAGCGATTCTTCTGCCTCAGCCTCCCAAGTAGCTGGGATTACAGGCGTGGACCGCCACGCCTGGCTAATTTTTTTAGCATTTTTAGTAGAGATGGGGTTTCACCACGTTGGCCAGGCTGGTCTCGATCTCCTGACCTCGTGATCCACCTGCCTCGGCATCCCAAAGTGCTGGGATAACAGGCGTGAGCCACCACACCAGGCCGAGATGTATCAAGTTTCATGTTTTAATTATATACAACTTTGTGAGAATGTTAAACAGTATCCCAATTGGGAACTGTTGGCTTAATGGATTTGAATTAAATAAATGTTTGTCCTCGAAGCAAAATAAGAAGTAAATATTTAAAACTTATCAAACAAGTTTAAGAGTCACTTATCAGTACTGCGGCTGAAATTCTACAGTCAAAACAGCAGGTTTAAGCCAGGGCAAAAAATGTGTCACACGAGGAGAAAACAGTTGCAATTTCACTCAGTTGATCAAACTAAAAAAATAGTAGGTTAATAAAAATAACCAAGGACTGTGAAAAGTCACGTCTATTTATAAGACTGCAATAAGCTTATTAAATGTGTAAAACTCTAGGAAGCAACGCAATGCACGAGTTGTCTTAAACATACAAATGACAAAGAAATTCCCTTTTTACTTCAGTTACCAGGACTCACCTTTATTGTCAAGGAATACATAACCATCAAAGCGATCCCTGAACAAAATAATGTCCTCTTGGTTTTTAAAGTTGATGTATGCTCTGGCATACATATGAGGATACAAACTGCAGAGAGGAAAGCAATTATGTAAATGTACTCGCAGGTGTCTGGCCCAATTACAAGTATGCATATATTAAAGACAAGCTCAAAAATCAAATGAAAAACAGTAGGATAAAAAGAATGAAAGAAACCTTTTTCATTTACCCCTTTCCTTTTTTTTTTTTTTTTACCTCGTATCATTAGAAAAAAACTCAAAATAATCATGCTCAGGCATAGGTTGAAGATGTTCCTGAAGCTGCTCCTTGGTCAAAGTGGGAGGTAATCTTCGAATTACCACCTTAAGAAATGCATAAGGAAAATAAAATTAGTACAAATCAGTTTTCTGTCATACCTGAAAGAATCACAGTTCCTGAAGAAGGCTGGGCTTTAAAATATGAGATCACTTGTAAAAACCCAGGAGAAAATATTCTTCTGCAGCCCAATGCTCAGAATTAGTCAAACATAATAGTAACGCGGTTTAAAAAAACCCTTGGAAATGAGAACCACCTGGAGCAAGGAAAAATCGCAGGTTTTGCTCTTTACAGCAGCCCTGCAGTTTACCAGGTTTGTGCATCATTTTCGATCACCCATTTTTTAACAGATCTAGTGGCAATAACTTAGTAAGCCAACGCTGGTCTTTGTGGGTGCCACGAAATCTTGATTTAGCAACAAGTTTCTCCCACGTCCAACACATCTTAAAACAAAATCCTTGCCCATTGAACTTAAGAATTCAAAACTCTAACGAATACAAAAAATCTACCCATTGCTCTCAAAATAGGATGCTCTCGATCTACCCTCCTGTACCATTAATCACCCTGCACTCTCCCCCAACTCGCCTCCATGAATAATATTCCCATCCCTCATGTCTCCTTCACTATTTAATATTTCTCCCCAATTACACCTTTAGTTCCTCATTCTTTATACCGTCGCTCTTCCCTCCCATTATCATCTCACAGCTCTGACCTAAACCCTTCCCGTTTGGGGAGTCCCCTCTTTTCCTCACCCCCACCCAGGATTTGGCCGGGAGGGGCTCTCCCCATTTCGGGTGAATGGATGAACCAGGATGATGCGACTTCCATTCAGGCGAAGAGATAGAAGGAGAACCTGAGAAAGAAAGGGGGCAGCCCCATTCCCAGCCATCCTCCCCGCGCTGCGGACTCGTCCCGCCCTCTCCCGGGCCAGCGGCCGACCGGGCACCTTGCTCAGCGCTTCTTTCTTCTCCTTGTTGCGATCCTGCTTATCTTCCCCCTTGGAGCTGTCCCCCGAGGTCCCACCACCGCTGCCTGTGGCCCCGGCGGGGGTTAACAGGGTTACTCGCTTCTCCTTAGGCCTGTGCTCCTTCTCTTCCTTCATGGCTACGTCCCCCGCTGAAGCGGCTTGGCCGGAACGGGGTTACCCCGGGCACAAACGGCTCCCGGGAAGCTCCCGTCAAAGCTCCGCCCCCAACAAATGCCCCTTGTGATAAGTCGGGCCCCACGTTCCATTGGGTCCTGCCAAGCTCTCGCGAGACTTGGGCCTTTCCCAGTGCAAAGGTTTTAACACCTGGTTTTTACTTCCCGCCCGCCAAGTTCCTGCGCCACCCAATCCCCTCGCGGCCCAGACTCCCTCGGGGCCCGCCCCTTCGCGCGTCATTAGCAATTCCGCCATCTTGAAGTGACTCTGTCGGGGACTACAAATCCCGGCATACAAAGCAGCTACCCGCTTTTGTTGGGCGTTCAGGGGCCAGAGCTATCTCAGGGTCCCTGTTTGTGAGTAAATCGAATCCTTTCATCTTCAGAGTTTTCCAGGTCGAAAGATAGGTTCTTCACGCTTAGTTTCCATCAGATAAACTCAATGCCGTCCAAATTTTGCCTCACTAGGGGAGCGACTTGTATTTTTTATCATTGAATTCAGAGGCTTTAGCATTTATTTTCCTACAACTAAAAGAAAAAGCCTAACATTTAAAAAACTTTATTTTCCTTATATTGATTAGGATTTACAGATACTTAGTAAATACTACAATATTAGCCGAGTTCAGTGGCGCACGCCTGTAGTCCCAGCTGCTCGGGAAGGTTGAGAAGAGAGGATCTTGAGCCCAGGAATTCGAGGCTGCAGTGAGCCATGATCGCGCCGCTGCACTCCAGCTTGGGCGACAGAGCGAGACCCTGTATATAAAAAAGAAGGATAATAATAAATAAACACAAGATACTGATATTTAAAGGAGTAATATGACTAAAATATACAAGATTTGTTTTCATCACCTTATTTTAGCAAAAGGATCCTTCTCCCCAGGTACTGATGTCCCACAGGGAGGGGAATAAAAATAAAACCCAACTTGATTTAGTTGCGATCACCATCTTCACTTAAAAAGGGCCAATTTTACATTATTTATAATAACTCCAAACTGGAAACAATCCAAATGTGAATCTAACAGTGATTATGTTGAGTGACAGAATCTAGACACAGAGTACATGTTGTACAATTCCATTTATATGAAATTTTAGAAAAATAAAACCACAGTGATAGAAAGCAGATCAGTCGGCCAGGCGTGGTGGCTCACGCCTGTAATCCCAGCACTTTAGGAGGCCAAGGTGGGTGGATCACCTGAGGTCAGGAGTTCGAGACCAGCCTGGCTAACTTGGCGAAACCCTGTCTCTACTAAAAACAAAAAAAATTAGCAGGGCGTGGTGGCACATTCCTGTAATCCCAGCACTTTGAGAGGCCGAGGCCGGCGGATCACCTGAGATCAGGAGTTCGACACCAGCCTGGCCAACTTGGTGAAACCCTGTCTCTACTAAAATACAAAAATTATCTGGGCATGGTGGCAGGCGCCTGTAGTCCCAGCTATTTGGGAGGCTGAGGCAGGAGAGTCACTTGAACCTGGGAGGCGGAGGTTGCAGTGAGCCGAGGTTGTGCCACCGCACTCCAACCTGGGTGACAGAGTGAGACTCCATCTCAAAAAGAGAGAGAGACACAGACACCCATAGAGGACAGAAACCAAATTAAAGATGCAATAGGAGCCCAAGGCAGAAAGCTGCCTAAGGGCCAACTCCCATTTTTGCCGACCTCTAGAATATATTCCCCTGACTCTGCACTTAAATTTTCTCACTCCAATTGTCCAGCCTATTCTTGGATTCCTATTCCTGTGGCTAAAACGGTTTCCCTGTATTTGACATCTGTTACTCTTGCTTTCAGTACCTGGCCGTTCTTATGAGCCTTGTTTATGCATCTGCCTCTGACCTACTGCTTAGCTCTGCACTTGCATGTTGGTAGTGTATGCCTCTGTTTTGGTGTCCTCACTAGCTTTAAACCACCAGCTGTTTGTCAGTTGCCAGAATAAAGTGTCCCAGGGCTCAGTCCTTAGACCTCTTTTCTATGTACACTCACTCCTTTATTAATCTCATTCATTCTTTTGGCTTTTCTGTCTTTGCTGACAACTCTACTCTAGAATTTACATGTCCAGGCCGGGCGTGGTGGCTCACAGCTGTAATCTCAGCACTTTGGGAGGCCGAGGCGGGTGGATCACCTGAGGTCGGGAGTTCGAGACCAGCCTGGCCAACATGTGACATCCCGTCTCTACTAAAAATACAAAAAAATTAGCCGGGCGTGGTGGCAGGCAGCTATAATCCCAGCTACTCAGGAGGCTGAGGCAGGTGATTCGCTTGAACCCAGGAGGTCGAGGTTGCAGTGAGCCGAGATTGTGCCAGTGCACTCCAGTCTGGGCGACAGAGCGAGACTCCGTCTCAAAACCAAAACAAAACAAAAAAAGAATTTACATCTCCAGCCCATACCTCCCTGATGATTTCCAGAGTCATGTATCCAACTGCCTATTGAACATCTCCACTTAAGACGTCTAACGTGTTCAGCCACCGAATGCATCCAAAACTGAACACTTGATCTTCCCCCACACCAACTGTATTAGCCTCCTATTCCTGCTGTAACATTACCACAAATTTAGTGGGTTTAAATAATGCAAGTGTATTATCTTACAGTTCTGTAGGTTAAAAGTCCAACAAGGTTTTAGCTTTGTCCTGTGAGGGGGCAAAAAAATATAGTAATAATAAATAAACAAACAGTCCAATATGGGTCTCACTGGGCTAAAATCAAGGTGTTGGCAGGACTGAGTTCCTTCCTGGAGGCTCTAGGAGATAATAGATTTCCTTGTCTTTTTCAGATTCTTGAGGCGGCCCATATTCCTTGGCTTATGAACCCTTCGTCTTCAAGCATCTCTCTCTGACCCTGCCCCTACTTCTGTCTATTGTCTATATCTCTTTTATTCTCTGCCTTGCCATTCCAAGTTTTTTTTTCAGGGTCACAGTTCACTGAAGGCTTAAACTCCTGAGCTGAAGTGATCCTCCTGCCTTAGCCTCCCAAATAGCTGGGACTACAGGTGCATGCCACCATGCCCAGCTAATTTATTTTCATTTTTGTAGAGAAGGGGTCTCACTGTGTTGCCCAGGCTGGTCTCCAACTCCTGGCCTCTGCACTTTCCCCTTTCACTTTGAAGGACTCCTGTGTTTACATTGTGTCCGCCTGTAAAATCCAGGATAATCTCCCTATTTTAAGGACAGCTGATTAGCAACATTAATTTCCTTTTGCTATATAACCTAACACAGTCATGGGTTCTGGGGATTAGGATGTGTACAACTTTGGGGGAGATATTATTCTACCTAACACATACTGTAGACTTCCTTTTTGATGAAACTTTTAATTGCAGTATAACAGATGTACAGACAAGTGCACTAAAAGTAAGCATCCAGCTTGCTGAATTTTCACAAAGTGAACACACTTATGTAACCAGCATGTAGATCAAGAAACAAAACATTGCCAGCACTCCAGATGCTCTCTTCCTACTTGTTCCCAGTCATTTTCGCCACCAAGAATACCACTATCCTTTTTGCTTTTTCTTTTTTAGCAGCTACATCCTTTTATGAATGACTTCTAATACTATTGAGTTTGTCTGTTTTGAACTTTATGTAAATTGAATCATACAGCATGTATTCTTTTATGTTAGGCTCCTTTCTCTCAACATTTATGACTGAGATTTCTTTATTTATTTATTTAGAGACGGAATCTCGCTCTGTCGCCCAGGCTGAGGTGCAGTGGCGCCATCTTGGCTTACATCTTGGCTCACTGCAACCTCCACCTCCCGGGTTCAAGCGATTCTTCTGCCTCAGCCTCCCGAGTAGCTGGGAGTACAGGCGTGTGCCACCACGCCCGGCTAATTTTTGTATTTTTAGTAGAAATGGGGTTTCACCATATTGGCTGTTGGATACAGTGAGATCTAGATCTCTCTTCAAAGAATCAGTATGTCAGTATGTTCAGTTCTTTGTCCTCCATTGTAAAGTTTAACTTCCTCGTAGTTTCAGTAAACAACATTTTCCACCAGTTTTCATCAGTAGTTCACATCTGTTCCCCTGGTTACCTGCTCCGTCCTGACTCACCCCGGTCATCCGCTTTGACCTGAGTCACCCCTGGTCCCTGCTCTGACCTAAGTCACCTTTAGTTACCTGTTCCTAACCGTCCTTCCCACCAAACTATTCACCCCGCCACTCTGGCTCATACCCCTGGTCTCTTTAAAGTAGCCAATCAGAATTAGCTTAGACTGTGCAGTCCAACCCTAGCCAATAGGGGAGCGACACAGCAGTAGGGGCTACCTGTGTCAGGAATAAGAACCCCTTCCCCTCCCTTGTTCAGGTGTGCTCTTGCCATTACTCCATTCACGAGTCGCACCCTTCTATAGAAGTAAAAATTGTCTTGCTGTGAAAATTAAATTTATGTTCGAGTGCTATTTCTTTGTGGCACCGAGGAACAAGCATTTTGTTTCTAACATTGGCCAAGCTGGTCTTGAACTCCTGACCTCGTGATCCGCCCGCCTCGGCCTCCCAAAGTGCTGGGATTACAGGCTTGAGCCACCACGCCCAGCTTATTTATGTTATATGTAGCTGTGGATTATTCCTTTTCACTGTTACATAATATTCCATTGTATGAGTCTGCTGCAATTTATCCCACTCTTAGGGGCTAATACAAATAGTGCTGCTGGGATTTTAGTGCATATTGTTTGATGATTCATGTCAGATACATACCTAGGAGTGGAATTGCTGGATCACAGAGTAAGCATATGCTCAACTTTAGTAGGTACTACCATAGAGTTTTCCAACAGGGTTGTACCAATTTACACTTATCAGCAGTGTGTGAGAGTCCTGAGTGCTTCATACCCTTCCCAACATCTGGTATTGTCTCGTGGGTGTGTAGGGGTGCCTCATTGTAGTTTCACTTTGCATTTCTCTAATGATTAAGTTAAGCACCTTTTCATACATTTTTCACTGTGTGCCTTTCTATCCTTTTGGTTATTGCACCAGGTTATTATATTATTTATGCCAGAGCAAAAGAAACAAAACAAAACAGGGATGGTGATATGGCTCCTTTCCACCAAGTAAGGGGGAGAACAAGAATAAGTGTGTGCGTGTGTGTGACAGAGAGGGAGAAAGAGAGCTGTCCCTAAAGTTCCTCACACCACTGATTCTCACAGTTTCACTGTATGCTCCAAGGTTCCTCTTCCCACTTCTGATGATGAGCAGTATCATGTTTGGGACCCCATTTTAGAAAAGTAGAAGGAGGCTCTGCCTGTAATCCCAACACTTTGAGAGGCTGAAGTGGGAGGATTACTTGAGCCCAGGAGTTCAAAATCAGCCTGGGCAACATGGCAAAACCCGTCTCCACAAAAAATTAAAAAATTAGCCGAGTGTGGTGGCACACACCTGTGGTCTCAGCTACTCAGGAGGCTGAGGCGGGAGGATAGCTTGAGCCCGGGAGTTAAGGCTGCAGTGAGCTGTGATCGCGCCACTGCACTCCAACCTGGGTGACTGAACAATACCTTGTCTCAAAACAAACAAACAAACAAACAAAAACCCAGAAAGAAAATATCTATACACAAATGGAAGAATCTTACTTTAAAACATCTTCCCTGCCCTCCATTGAACAGGCTACTTTTAATAAATTGTCTTGCCCGTTTTTTATTAATTCCTTTCACAAATAAAACTCCTTGTGGAAATCTTGTGGAACTGCCTGGTGTTCAGCTCCATCTAGCTTAAAGGTGGTTTAATATCCAATTTTAAGATCAAGTTGACTTTTATTTAAATGTTATATTCAATGTTGTTTTTAATTAATTCTTGACCCAGATCAGCTCTGAAATTATCCAAATTCTAAACAGATAATTAGGAAAGGAGTTGGATAATTTGTACAGTACAAAAAATTATTTCACATGAGCGCCTGCTGATCCTAATATTACCTATGAAAGAAAGGGTAATATTTTATGAATTAGCCAAGTTAAAAATATGTATGAGAACGTTGGACTCCTTCCCAGTCAGTGCATAAAGGAGGCTTACATAGTATAATTATTTGAAGTACCTTCCCACAGTTTAAGGATTATAACGAAAGATGTTAACCAGCTATTCCTGATGTCTACTGATGACATAAAACAGGAGGAGGTGGCCGGGCGCAGTGGCTTGATAATCCCAGCACTTTAGGAGGCCGAGGTGGGCAGATCACTTGAGGTCAGGAGTTCGAGACCAGCCTGGCCAACATGGTGAAACCCCATCTCTACTAAAAATACAAAAATTAGCTGGAAGTGGTGGCGAGCACCTGTTATCCCAGCTACTTGGGAGGCTGAGGCAGGAGAATCACTTGAACCTGGGAGGCGGAGGTTGTGGTGAGCAAGATTGCACTACTGCACTCCAGCCTGGGCAACAGAGTGAGACTCTGTCTCAAAAAAAACAGGAGGAGCTAATGAACAATATAAGGAATTCAGTCACATGGGAAACAGAGATGAATTTCTCAATTAAGAAAAGTTTTTAGTTTAAAATTGGTAGCTGAGCCTTGGAGGAGTGACATTAGATTCTGAGGGAGAATACAAGTTGAGTATGCCTTATCTGAAATGCTTCAGGCCAGAAGTGTTTTGGATTTCAGAAGTGTTTCGAATTTTGGAATATTTGCATATATGTAATGAGATAACTTGGGGATAGGACCCGAGTCTCAACATGAAATTCATTTATGTTTCATATGCCCCTTGTACACAGAGCCTGAAGGTAATTTTAATTTTTTCCTTGGAGACACTGAATAAACTGTGTGTCGTGTGCCTGTGTTTTGTCTGTGGCCTGTCCCACGAGGTCAGGTGTGGAATTTTCCACTTGTGATATCATGTCAGTGCTCAAAAAGTTTCAGATTTTGGGGCATTTCAGATTTTGGATGCTCAAACTGTACCACACATGTAAACTTTATTTATTTATTTATTTATTTTTGAGATGGAGTCTCGCTCTGTTGCCCAAGCTGGAGTGCAGTGGCATAATCTCGGCTCACTGCAGCCTCCACCTCCCAGGTTCAAGCTATTCTCCTGCCTCAGCCTCCCAAGTAGCTGGGATTACAGGCGCCAGGCATGGGACTAATTTTTGTATTTTTAGTAGAGACGGGATTTCACCATGTTGGCCAGGCTGTTCTCAAACTCCTAAGCTCAAGTGATTCTCCCGCTTCGGCCTCCCAAAGTGCTGGGATTACAGCCATGAGCCACCGCACCCAGCCGCACTCATGTAAACTTGTAAGTAAATCCAGTAAGCTTTAAAAATCCTGAAGTTGTGTAATTTTCTCAGGGGAATAATTTTACAGGTATAAGCGTAGAAAATTATCAGTTCTATTTCTATAATGTAGACTTAGAAAGATCCTGTGTACTGAGAGTGAGATGAAATTTGGACAAAAGGAGACTTATGGACTTTCACAACAACAAAACAATCATGATCAAAGCTTATTTTTGCCCTGTGCTGGGCACTTTGTGTGCGTTGACTTGGTTAGTCCTCACACCAGCCCTATGAATTGGGTACTGTTGTTTTCCCTATTTTGCAATGAGTGAAATTAAGACACGTGGTCACTCAAACCCAAAATTACATGGCTAGAAAGTAATACAGCTGATTCATAAATCTAAATTACATCTCCAAGGCTGGTAGTTAAAAAAACAAAACAAAACAAAACGAAAACCCTAAATCCTGTGAGTTTGTGTAGGGGCTATTAAAAAAAACTAGAAAAAATTATAGAGTTATCTTAAAAATACTGGTAAATTCTCAGATGTAAAAGTAATGTTAATAAAATTAATAAAATGTTTGTTACATTACAAAAATATGAAGAGATTATTTATGTCAAATGTTAAATGCAGTAACACATTATATGGATATGAAAGTAAGGAGGCCGGGCGTGGTGGCTCACGCCTGTAATCCCAGCACTTTGGGAGGCCGAGGCAGGTGGATCACCAGGTTAGGAGTTCAGGACCAGCCTGGCCAACAGAGTGAAACACCATCTCTACTAAAAATACAAAAATTAGCCAGGTGTGGTGGCACGCACCTGTAATCCCAGCTACTTGGGAGGCTGAGGCAGGAGAATTGCTTAAACCTAGGAGGCGGAGGTTGCAGTGAACCAAGACCATGCCATTGCACTCCAGCCTGGGCAACAGATTTGAGACTCCATCTCAAAAAAAAAAAAAAAAAAGGCTGGGCACGGTGGCTCACACCTGTAATCCCAGCACTTTGGGAGGCCGAGGTGGGCGGATCACAAGGTCAGGAGATTGAGACCATCCTGGCTAATACGGTGAAACCCGGTCTCTACTAAAAATACACAAAAAATTAGCTGGGCATGGTGGCGCACGCCTGTAGTCCCAGCTACTCGGGAGGTTGAGGCAGGAGAATCACTTGAACCTGGGAGGTGGAGGTTGCAGTAAGCTGAGATCGCACCACTGCACTCCAGCCTAGGCAACAGAGCAAGACTCTGTCTAAAAAAAAAAATAGCCAGGCGTGGTGGTACACGCCTGTAATCCCAGCTACTTGGGAGGCTGAGACAGAAGAATTGCTTGAACCCGGGAGGCATAGGTTGCAGTGAGCCGAGATCTTGCCATTGCACTTCAGCCTGGGTGACAGAGTGAGACTTCGTCTCAAAAAAAAAAAAAAAAAAAAAAAAAAAAAAAACAAAAGAAACGAATTAGATTAAAGAAAGCTCTGATATATAGAGCTCTTAAATCCCTCAGAATTTCCTGGATCATAGTAGCATCTTTTGTTTTAATGAGGTGACTCTTGGTGGGATCCTGGATAGCCTCAGGATGGGGGCTGGTTGCCAGGGGAACCAATCATGTAATTAGAGGGTTGGAACTTTCAACCCCACATCACCCCACAAACCTAGACCTCTGGGGAGGGGAGAAGGGCTGAAGGTTGAGTTGATCACCAATGGCCAGTGATGTAATCAATCATGCCTATGTAATGGAGCCTCCATAGAAGTCCCAAAGGACTGAGTTCTGAGAGCTTCTGGCTAGCTGGACATGAGTTACCTTGAGGGTGGTTCTGAGAGAGAGAGCATGGAAGCTCTGGGCCCCTTCTCACATGCCTTGCCCTACACAGCTTTTCTATCTGACTATTTGTCTATATGCTTCGTAATATCCTTTATAATAAATGAGTAAATTTAAGTAAAGTGTTTCCCTGAATTCTGTGAGCTACTCTAGCAAATTAATGGAACCTGAGGAGAGGGTAGTAGAAACCCCTGATTTATAGCTGGTGGGTCAGAAGTATAGATGACAACCTACTACTTACTATTGGCATTTGAGGTGGGGGGCAGTCTCATAGGACTGAGCCCCAAATCTCTGTATAGGATCTATGGGATCTGATGCTATCTCCAGGTAGGCAATGTTGGAATTGAATTGATTTAGAGGAGATCCAGCTGATGTCAGCTGGAGAATTGCTTGGTTGGTGTATGTGTGTATTTCCCCACACATTTTGGTGACCACAGGTGGAGTGTTCTGTGTTTCCTTGAGTGTGAGAGTAGGAAAAACACTTTGTTTTGTTTTCCTATCTTTAAAACATCCAAAAATCAATTACTGTAATAGACCATATCAGTAGAATAAAAAGCAAAAACCACATAATCATCTCAAAAGATGCAGAAAAAATATTTGCCCCAAATCCAACTCCTTTTCATGATAACAACACTCAACAAACTAGGAATACAGGGGAACTTTTCTCAACTCAGAAAAGAGCATCTACAAAAAACTCGCAGCTAATAACATACTTAGTGGTGATAGACTGGATGTTTTCCTCCTAAGATCAGGAACAAGAGAAGAATGTCTAATCTCACCACCTCTATTCAACATTGTCCTGGAAGCTCCATCAATGGCAACTGGGCAAGACAATGAAATAAAATGTATTCAGATTGTAAAGGAAGAACTAAAACTTTATTGGCAGATGACATAGTCTTGGTTCATGTACATAGAATATCGTGGTCATGTATATAGAAAATCCTAAGGAATCCACTAAAAAACAACCTGCTAGGACCAATAAATGAGTTCAGCATGGTTCCAGTATATAAGATCAATATTGGAAAACAATAAATTTTATTTCTATATGCTGTTGATGAATAATCTAAAAATGAAATTAAGAAAATTATTCTATTTGCAATAGCATCAAGAACAAAATATTAGGAATAAATTTAACAAAGGAAGTGCAATACTTATTCTCTAAATACTATAAAACATTGTCAAAAGAAGTAAAAGATTTAGCTGGGTGCAGTGGCTCATGCCTGTAATCCCAGCACTTTGGGAGGCTGAGGTGGGCGGATCACATGAGGCCAGGAGTTCGAGACCAGACTAGCCAAGAACGTGAAACCCCGTCTCTACTAAAAATACAAAAATTAGCCGGGCATGGTGGCAGGTGCCTGTAATCCCGGCTACTTGGGAGGCTGAGGCAGGAGAATCACTTGAATCTGGGAGGCAGAGGTTGCAGTGAGCCGAGATCGTACCACTGTACTCCAGCCTGGGCGACAGAGCCAGACTCCGTCTCAACAAAAAAAAAAAGAAAAAAAAAATTAGCCAGGCATGGCGTTGTGCACCTGTAGTTCTAGCTCCTCAGGAGGCTGAGGTAGGAGGATCACTTGAGCCCAAGAGTGTGAGGCTTCAGTGAACTATAATCTGGCCACTGCACTCTAGCCTGAGTGACAGAGTGAGACCCTGTCTCTTTCTCTCTCTCTATATATACATATATAAAAAGTTAAACATAAACTTAACCATATGACCCAGCAACTACACTCCTAAGTATATACCCAAAGGAATTGAAAACAGACACTCAAACAAATACATGTACACCCATAGTCAGAGCTAAAAGGTAAATGAACAAATATCCATCAACAGATGATTGGTTAATAAGCAAATTGTGTTCTATGCATACAATGGAATACTGTTTAGCCATAGAAAGGAAGTACTGATACATACTACAATGTGGATGAACCTTGAAAACTAAATGAAAGAAGCCAGACATGAAAGATTCCATATTGCAATTCCATTTATATGAAATATCTAACATAGGCTGGGCGAGGTGGCTTACGCCTGTAATCCCAGCACTTTGAGAGGCCGAGACGGGCAGATCACGAGGTCAGGAGTTTGAGACTAGCCTGGTCAACATGGTGAAACCCCATCTCTACTAAAAATACAAAAATTAGCAGGGCGTGGTGGCGCGCACCTGTAATCCCAGATACTTGGGAGGCTGAGGCAGGAGAATTGCTTGAACCTGGGAGGTGGAGGTTGCAGTGAGCTGAGATCACTCCACCGCACTCCAGCCTGGGTGACAGAGCAAGACTCCGTCTCGGGAAAAAAAAAAAAAAAAAAAGAAAAGAAATATATAACATAATTAAATCCACAGAGAATGCAGATTGGTGGTTGCCAGGGATTGGGGGGGGGGTTGGTGGAGGGGAGGAGGAAATGAGGAGCATTTGCTTAATGGGTGTGGGGTTTTCTTCTGGGGTGATGAAAACAATGTTTTGGAACTATATAGAGGTGGTAGTTGCACAACATTGCAAATGTATTAAATACCACTAAATTGTTTGCTTTAAACTGGTTAATTTTATGTTATGTAAATTTCACCTCAGCAAATAAAAAAGTGTTTACAGAAAGGTTCAACAGCCAGGCGTGGTAGCTCACATCTGTAATCCCAGCGCTTTGGGAGGCTGAGGGATGAGGACTGCTTGAGCCCAGGAGTTCCAGAGCAGCCTAGGCAACATAGGGAGACCACTGTCTCTACCAAAAAAAAAAAAAAAAAAAAAAAAAAAAAAAAAAAAAGCCGGGTATCATGGCCCACACCTGTAGTTCCAGCTACTTAAGAGGCTGAGGTGGGAGGATCACTTGAACCCAGGAGGCGGAGGGTGCAGTGAGCTGAGATCGCGCCACTGCACTCCTGCCTAGGTGACAGAGTGAGACTGCATCTCAAAAAAAAAAAAAATCAATATAGTGATTAAGTGATTACCTGAGGGTGTGATCCTGAGATCCTGAGATCCTGAGATCCTGAGGGTGTGATCCTGAGATCCTGAGGGTGTGATCCTGAGGGTGTGATCTGGAGGGGATCCTTGAGGGGCTTCTTCAGTGTTTTCAGTCTTGTAGTTCTTGACCCGGGTGGTGGTTATGCAGGTGTTCTTCTATAATTATTGGTTCTATTACAAAGTTGTGTTTTATGCACTTTCCTGCCTCAGGCCTTTGTACTAGGTGTTCTCTGTCTGGAATGCTCTTCTCCCCGATATCTGTTTCATGTAGGTCTCTGCCCAAATGTCACCTTATCAGAAGAGGCCCCTCCCTGACTACCATATATAAAATAGCATTCCCCTACACCCCTGCACTCTTAGCCCATTACCTTGCTTTATTGTTTTTCATAGCACTCATCACAATCTGATATATATATATATATCTGTCACTGTCTCTCATGTATGTTCTTTTTTTTTTTTTTTTTTTTTAGATGGGTTCTCTGTCACCCAGGCTGGAGTGCAGTGGCATGATCACATCTCACTGCAACCTCAAACTCTCAGGCTGAAGGGATCTTCCTGCCTAAGCCTCCTGATTAGCTGGGACTACAGGCACATGCCACCATCCCTTGCTAAGTTTTTTATTTTTTATTTTTTGTAGAGATGGGGTCTCACTTTGTTTTCCAGGCTGGTCTCCAACTCCTGGCCTCAAGTGATCCTCCTGCCTCAGCCTCCTAAAGTGCTGGGATTACAAGTGTGAGCCACTGTGCTCACTTCATGTAAGTTCTATGAAAGCAGGGACTTGTGTGCTTTTGTCATGACTGTATCTCCAGTGCTTAATGCCTGTCATGTAATGGGTGATCAATACAAATTTATTAAATGAATGTTCACAGCCACCAGTCTAGTCCAGTCTACCATCATCTGAGTTGGACCAGTGCACCACCCCCATAACTGATCTCCCTGTTTCATGTCTGGCTGCCTTCAATCCATTCCCCACTCTTCAGAATTATCTTTTTGAAATTTAGATCTGATCATTTCATTTTCCTTTTTAAACCCTTAAAAAAATTTTTTTTTTGGGACGGAGTCTCGCTCTGTCACCCAGGCTGCAGTGCAGTGGTGCAATCTCGGCTCACTGCAACCTCTGTGCACCCCCGACCCCGGGTTCAAGCACTTCTCCTGCCTCAGCCTCCTGAGTAGCTGGAAATACAGGTGCGTGCCACCACCCCTGGCTAATTTTTGTATCTTTAGTAGAGACGGGGTTTCACCATGTTGGTCAGGCTGGTCTCGAATTCCTGACCTCGTGATCCATCCACCTCGGCCTCTCAAAGTGCTGGGATTACAGGTGTGAGCCACCGCGCCCAGCTCCCCCCACTTTTTTTTTTTTTTTTTTTTGAGACAGAGTTTTGCTCTGTCTCCCAGGCTGGAGTGCAGTGGCACAACCTTGGCTCACTTCAACCTCCACCTTCCAGGTTCAAGGGATTCTCCTGCCTCAGCCTCCCAAGTAGCTGGGATTAAAGGTGCCCGCCACCACACCCAGCTAATTTTTTGTATTTTTACTAGATACGGGGGTTTCACCATGTTGGCCAGGCAGGTCTCGAACTCCTGACCTCAAGTGATCCGCCCACCTCGGCCTCCCAAAGTGCTGGGATTACAGGCGTGAGCCACTGCGCCTGGCCCTTAAAATGCTTTCATGGCGCATTTTTGCCCTTCAGATAAAGTCCAAAGTCCTTAACATGACTTGCAAGGTGTCTGCTCTTTGGCCCTGACTACCTTGTCTCTTTTCCCCAGCCACCTTAGACTGCCTTGAGTTTTTAGCTGGAGGCAGTCTCTCACATCAGGGCCTTAGTATATATACTTGTCCCTCTACCTGAGATACTCTTTCTCCAACTCACCTCTCGGGTCTCAGTTTGAGGCTCATTTCCTAGGGGAGACATAGGTGCCCTGACCTTTCAAACTAGGTAAGCTCCTTTAGGGTCCAGCTGCAACCTCATCTCTTCTGGAGCGCTTGCTTCCCTCTACATATTTAGTTTCTTTTAAATTGTAAGAATAACTATTTAGTTCCCACCTATGAAATGAAGTTGTACCATTTAATTAAAGGTGATGAAAATATTCCTGAACTGTAGAAAATGTAATCATAAGCTTGTAAACATGAAAAGTACTTTGAGTACACTATTGATTTAGGTGCTTTTATGGAGTTACGGTCCCTTTTAAGAATCTGCTGAATGCTACGGACTCCAGAATAATGCTCATTTGCAAGTACATTGTATACTTTTTCAAAATTCACAGAAAAGGCTGGGTACGGTGGCTCACATCTGTAATCCCAGCACTTTGGGAGGCCAAGGCAGGCAGATCACTTGAGGCCAGGAGTTCCAGACCAGCCTGGCCAACACAGTGAAACCCCATCCCTACTAAAAATACAAAAAACTAGCTGGACGTGGTGGTGCATGCCTGTAATTCCAGCTACTTGGGAGGCTGAGGCAGGAGGATTGCTTGAACCTGGGAGGCAGAGGTAGCAGTGAGCCGAGATTGCGCTACTGCACTCCAGCCTGGGCGACAGAGTGAGACCCTGTCTCAAGACCAAAAAAAAGAAAGAAGAAAAAAAGATTCACAGACAAGTATTAAAAAACGTCATGTGGAGAGTAGTGCACAAACGTCATCTTTCTCTTGCCCTCTCAACTCTTTAAGACTGATTTATGCTCTTAATTCTGTCGCTTCTCTGTTCTACCTCCTAGAATTTAGTCATCAGCAGCATTCTTTCACCTTTTATCATCTGTGTTTTCTCCTGGACCTTTTCTCTCAGCTTATATAATAGATAACAATTCAAAGTATATCTTTTTCCATAACACTTTATTCTACTTTTGAATAACTTTTTTTATTTTTATTTTTTAGAGATGGGAGTCTTGCTATGTTGCCCATGCTGTTCTCAAACTCCTGAGCTCAAGTGATCCTCTAATCTTGGCCTCATGAAGTCCTGGGATTACAGGCATGAGCCACTGTGCCCAACCCTGAATAACTTTTTTAGTATAAATTATCAGAAATAGTTAAAAAAATGAACATTTTTTCTGGTTCTTTTGCTACTCATTGCCATATTTTTCTCTCTTTTTTTTTTTTTTTGAGACAGGGTCTCACTCCTGTCACCCAGGTTGGAGTGTAGTAGCGCAATCATGGCTCACTGCAGCCTTGATCTTCTGGGTTCAAGGGATTCTCCCACCTCAGCCTCCTGAGTAGCTGGGACTACAGGTGCACATCACCACACCCAGCTAAAATTTTTGCTTGTTTTTTGTAGAGACGGGGGTCTCCCTGTTGCCCAGGCTGGTCTCCAACTCCTGGCCTCAAGTGATCCTCCCATCTCAGCCTCTAAATGTGCTGAGATTACAGGCGTGAGCCACTGCGCCTTGCCTCCGTGACACTTTTCATTTATTTCCTTTTCGTCCGAAGCTTTGTGTAGGACATGACACTTTTCCAAATGCTTTCCTAGGCCAGGTATGGTGGCTTACGCCTGTAATCCCTGCATGTTGGGAAGCTGAGGCGGGAGGATTGCTTGAAGCCAGGAGTTTGAGATGGGCTTGGGCAACATAGGAGATCCTATTTGAAATTAAAAGAAACGAAACAGGCAGGGCACGGTGGCCTGTAATCTCAGCACTTTAGGAAGCCCAGGCGGGTGGATCACATGAGGTCAGGAGTTCGAGACCAGCTCAGGAGGCTGAGGCAGGAGAATTGCTTGAACCTGGGAGGTGGAGGTTACAGTGAGCTGAGATTATGCCACTGCATTCCAGCCTGGGTGGCACAGCGAGACTCTGTCTCAAAAACAAACAAACAGTCATTATTTAATGTCCAGCTCCATGAGGGCAGGGGCTGTGTCCATCTTGTTCACTGCTAATATCCCCCATGCCAAGCACAGTGCCTGATTTAGAGTAGCTACTCAAAGAATATCTTTAGGCCAGGCGCAGTGGCTCATGCATGTAATCCCAGCACTTTGGGAGGCCGAGGCGGGCGGATCACGAGGTCAGAAGTTCAAGACCAGCCTGACCAATATGGTGAAACCCTGTCTCTACTAAAAATACAGAAATTAGCTGGGTGTGGTGGTGCACGTCTGTAGTCCCAGCTACTCGGGAGGCTGAGGCAGGAGAATTGCTTGAACCTGGGAGGCGGAGGTTGCAATGAGCCAAGATCGCGCCACTGCACTCCAGCCTAGACAACAGAGCAAGACTCTGTCTCAAAAAAAAAAAAAAAGAATATCTTTAAATGGATTAATGAATGTGAATAAAAACCACTAACCCAGAATTTATTCTTGCATCTGTTTCGTGGGATTAGCCCAAATTCTAGCCATATCAATAAAAATTTACTAATCATTTGGCCTAACTGGCCTCCCGGCCTCGTGTTCCATCTCCCTTGTGAGCCATCCTATAGCCGCAACCACAGTAACACTAAAACAAACAAACAAACAAAAAAACCCAAGTCTGATTGTGTTCTCTTCCCAAACCTCTGCTATCTCCCCCGCTGCCTACAGAATACAGTCAACGCTCCTCAGCTTGGATTCAAGGCTTTGGCCCCAATCTCCCTTTTTAAACCTCTCTAGGCTTATTTATTAAGTGCTTATTATATGCCAAGCACTAGGCTAGTCACTGAGTTCATAAACCAGTTGGAGAGACAGGTACATTGACTAATTTTAATAAGGTGTGATCAGCACTATTACAGAGACTGTGAGAACACAGATAGTTTCAGGTAATGGATGATAAAATATTGTTTTTGACCTCTGCAGGTTCACGAGTTCTGTCTACAATAGTAATGTCCAATACAGTGGTCAGACACATTTCAAGTGCTCAATAGCCACCTGGGGCTAGTGTCTGTCACACTGGATAGCTGAGCACAGATACTTTTATCACCCATGGACGTGGGGGTTAACTATAGCTGCTTCCAAGACAGCAAGGGAGCCGGGCTCGGTGGCTCACACCTGTAATCCCAGCACTTTGGGAGGCCAAGGCAGGTGGATCACGAGGCCAGGCGATCGAGACCATCCTGGCTAGTATGGTGAAACCCCGTCTCTACTAAAAATACAAAAAAAAAAAAAAAAAATAGCCGGGTGTGGTGGCATGCGCCTGTAGTCTCAGCTACGCGGGAGGCTGAGGCAGGGGAATCGCTTGAACCGGGGAGGCGGAGGTTGCAGTGAGCTGAGATCGCGCCACTGCACTCTAGCCTGGGCAAGAGAGCGAGACTCCGTCTCAAAAACAAATAAATAAATAAATAACCAAGACAGCAAGGAACATTTCCCATATGTGAAGCCTGTGGTGCTAGCTACCAGTTCCCCAAACACAACCCCTCTCCCCAACACCTTGGCTCGGGTATATTTTGTAGTACAGGCTCCCAAGAGAAAGAATGCATGAAAGTACTTTGTAAACTATTAAGTGATACAGAAATGTGATATAATAAACAGGCTCAGAGGTCTTGCTTTCATCATGGCTTTGGTTACTTCGAGCAAATTATAGCTCTTTTCTCAAACTACTCCCACCCCTATAATTTATGCCAAAGTGTTCTGAAAAGAAACACAGGCAAAATGGTTATCCTAGGGCTAAAAATCCTGATTATACCTACCTTGAAGCTTTTAATCCAGGACCCTACTTCACCACCCGCCTGCTCTGTCACTTTCTCTACAAAGGAAGGACACGAAGTAAGACTTCCAAAAGAACAAAACGTTTATTTTTTAAATTTAAGAATTATGGGAAACCTAAGTAATGGGAATTGCATCCTCATCGGGGTCTTCTGGCAAGTCGGAAGCACCACCCTCTCCTGTAGCTCGATGCTTCTCTAGTTTAGCAATCAATTCTTTCGCTGGATTGAAGACGCCATTGGTCTGCTGGTCACAGACATAGCAGCGCGGGGTGGTGCGGAAATGCTGCAGTGCACAGCTCTCGCAGAAATAATGCCTGCACTTGGTGACAACTGGGTTTTGGAAGCTCTGGCGACAGATGAAACACTTGAATGGTATTTCCTCATCATCGCTTCCCACTTCATAGTTTTCATCCTCATAGACACCATAGCGACCCTCATCAAGCTCACGTTCGATCTGCCACCCATGCTTGTAATCTGAACGGTCATGGAGGAATTTGCAGCTGTCTCCGAAGCCGCAGAAGCCAGTCTCTTTGTAGTCCTTACAGATGTCGGGCTGGTAATCCCAGCGCACGGTGGCACGTAGATGCTCGGGCGCTCGGATGGGGCCCTTCCTCACCATCCCGGAAGAGGCATTGCCCATAGACGTATCCTTGGGCTTCATGTATTTCTGATAATTGTTGATTCCCCGATAGATCTTGTCATCCTCCTTGCCCCTCAGCTCCTCCTGGATCTTCTGGCTGCGCTCAAAGATGGCTTGTGCATCGCGCTCTTTCTCTGTGTCCAGCTCATAGACAGCTGTCGCTCCCATATCCTCTGGTCCCACGGGTTTCGCCGAACGGGTGGATTTATAAACCACGCCGAGACTCTCGGGCTCATTTTCCTCTTCCTCTTCGCTGCTCAAGTCGCCGTAAGCCGCCTTCTGTTTACCACTGTCACGGGTCTTCTGTATCATTGGATTGTGGGTCACCCGCTTCTTTTCCGGTCGAACCACAGTGCAGCCTTCGTCGCTACTGCTGCCGCTTTCTCCGGGCTCTGGGTCGCAGGCCGGGCGCTTTCTGCGTCCAGCAGCCCCTTTCCGCCCAGGCTTTTTGAAAAGGAAGGTGCACACCTGATCCACCGCCTTTCCTGGAGAAAGCTGCTCTGCCATTTTAGAGTCCTGAGCTCCGAAACAGCCGTGGCTGCCTGGGTTGCACTTGGCCCCTGCACGTCACTCCACGTTGCGCGCTCCGCCGGGAGTCGAAGCAAAAGACACTGACGGAAGAGGACTGCGAGAGCCCGAGCGCCCGTCTCTCTTGTGCCCTAGCAGATTCCGTCGCTTCTTCCGGAGCCGTACGTGGCACCGCCCCGCTCGCGGGCGGCCGCGGGGCTTGCTGGGAAGAGAGGCGAAGCCAGGTCACCTTTCAAGGACCCAGAAGTAGGGTTTTGGCCTAGGTAACGGGGCAGAGATGTGGTTCGAGATTCTCCCCGGACTCTCCGTCATGGGCGTGTGCTTGTTGATTCCAGGACTGGCTACTGCGTACATCCACAGGTTCACTAACGGGGGCAAGGTAAGCCGGCTTCGGCCCGGGGGCCGACTCCACGGGCTGATTTCCGAAAAGGGTGGTGGGCAGGGAGACCGTCAGCCTGCGAACCCTCTCTCCGAGGTCGGCCCTCTACTTGCTTCCGGTTGCCTAGAAGCCGAGGCTTGCGAAACGAAGCCCGATAGAAACTACATCCTGCTCTAGTGAAAAACAGCGTTTCTGGGTGTATCAGAGTGGGCCTTAGGGCAGAGTAGCGACGCGGGGGCCGGGAAGGTAGATTAGAAAAGGTGGCTCAAGCCTGAGAATCGCTCACTGCAACCTCCGCCTTCTGGGTTCAAGAGATTCTCCTGGTTGGGCGCGGTGGATCACGCCTGTAATCCCAGCACTTTGGGAGACCGAGGCGAGCGGATCACCTGAGGTCGGGAGTTCGATACCAGCCTGACCAACATGGAGAAACCCCGTCTCTCCTAAAAATACAAAATTAGCTGGGCGTGGTGGCGCATGCCTGTAATCCCAGCTACTCGGGAGGCTGAGGCAGGAGAATCACTTGAACCCAGGAGGCGGAGGTTGCGATGAGCCGAGATCGCGCCACTGCACTCCAGCCTGGGCAACAAGAGCGAAACTCCGTCTCAAAAAAAAATAAATAAAGAAAGAAATTTTCCTGCTTCAGCCTCCCGAGTAGCCGGGACCACGCCTGGCTTTTTTTTTTTTTTTGTAGAGGCGGGGTTTCATCATGTTGGCGAGGCTGGTCTCGAACTTCTGACCTCGGTTGATCCACCCGCCTTGATCTCCCAAAGTGCTGGGATTACAGGCGTGAGCCGCCGCGACCGGCCACCCTTGACTTTTTTATTCCCCACTTTCTCTTGCAAGCCTTTAGGAATTTACTGCGAGATCTTGTTTTTTTACATCAGGATTCATTTTCCCCTCTTCCTAGTCCTTCACATCATCTCAAGAGTACAGGATATAAATTTATTTACTTTTTGATTTTGTTATTGTTCTTCACGTGTGATCTACAGCTGTTGTTTCTTAGTGTCCCAAAAGACAACAACTAGATATTTCTTTTTTTTTTTTTTTAAAAAAAAAGGAAAAAAAATTCATGTTGGTTAAAATAGTGTAAAAAGTCACAGGTACCAACTTAATCCTAAAGTTTAGTGGTCTGATTTTATTTAGGAGATTCTGTTCTTTGTACTACTAATTTGCATTTTTATTTAAACGATGATTCCATTTCTCTGGAATGTCCCTTTTAAAAATTGTAGTATCTATCAATTGGGTCACTCACTTTTATAAACTGCAACAATAATTGTCTCTTATTTGAAGGAAAAAAGGGTTGCTCATTTTGGGTATCACTGGAGTCTGATGGAAAGAGATAGGCGCATCTCTGGAGTTGATCGTTACTATGTGTCAAAGGTAAGATGCCACTCTGATGCCAGCCTTTTGCCAGGGTTGAGGTGGGTTCTGGTAATGCCTTGCCAAGGGTCATACAGTGCTAATATATAACTAGCATTTTCTTATCTACTAGTGAGGTTGGCATCTTTTTACATATTTAATCTTTTATATTTCTTTTTTTTTTTTAGTTTTTCTTCTGTCATATATTTCTTATTCTGTGGATTGTTGCCTATATCCTTTGCCTGTTCCATTGTCTTTTTCTTTTTGAGCTATGGTTCTTTATATATTCTAGACTTTAATTTTTTTGTCTATTTTATATATGACATTTTTCCCAGTCTGCTGTTTGTCTTTTTTACTTTATGATGTTTTTCATCAGGTAGTTCTAAATTTTGATATTCAATGTATCATGTTTTGTTGTTCTGGATTCTAGGTTTTTATGTCTCCCGTACAAAGGCCTTTTCTATCTAAGATTATAAAAATACTTTCAAAAAATAAAATAGAGACAGTCTTGCTGTGTTGCCCAGGCTGGCCCTCAAACTCATAGGCTCAAGTGATCTTCTTGCCTCAGCCTTCGGAGGAGCTGGGACTGCAGGTGTGCCACTATACCTGGCTCATAAAAATACTTTTAAAAAATAATTTCTCCTAATATTGTTAGTTTCTTTAAAAAATTAGTTATTTGGTTACATCTACAGGTCATTTTGGAGTATAATGTGAAAGGAGGATTAACTTTACTTTTTTCCAACAGGTAGCTAGTTATCGCAATTACCCATTTATAGAAGAGTTTAGTAGTCCTAGCTACTCAGAAGGCTGAGGCAGGAGGACAGCTTGAGCCCAGGGGTTTGAGGCTCCAGTGAACTAGGATCGTACCACTGCACTCCAGCCCGGGCGAGAGAATGAGAGCCTGTCTCAAAAAAAAAAAAAAAAAAAACCACCAAGCACCCAATTTATTTTTATTTGTAATACCACTCTGGTAAACTAAATTTCCATGTACACATGGGCCTGTTTCACGGATGTGCTTTTCTATACTCTAGGTCTGCCTATTCCTGCAACAATACTTCATTTAAAGAATTACTATAATTTTATATTTTGATTCAATTATGACATTGCCATTTTTGTAGGTCAAAAACGACCAAGCAGTAGCATTTCATAAGGCTCAACTTAATAGTATATTTTTTGTTTTTCTGTCTTTTTTTTTGTTTTTTGAGACAAGGTCTCACGCTGTCACTCAGTCTGGAGTGCAGTGGTGCAATCTTGGCTCACTGCAACCCCCGCCTCCCGGGTTCAAGCGATTCTTGTGCCTCAGCCTCCTGAGTAGCTGGGATTACAGGCACCTGCCACCATGCCCAGCTAAATTTTTTTTTGTACTTTTTGGTAGAGATGGAGTTTCACCATGTTGGCCAGGCTGGTTTCCTAACTCCTGACCTCAAGTGATCCGCCCACCTCAACCTCCCAAAGTGTTAGGATTACAGGCGTGAGCCCCTACTCCTGGCCCTAATAGTATGTTTTTATATTTTGTAGGAGTAGTTCATTCTCATACTTCTTTTAAAAATGTTTACTTTTTAATATTTTCTCCTTCCTCATTTATTCCTCACAACAAACCTAAGTAAATAGTATTTCCATTTTATAGACAAGGGTCAGAGTGATTAAGTAATATTATAAGGACTCAACCTGGGTGATACACCTCTCAGTAGAGAGGTAGTTGAGAATCTAATCCAATGAACATGATAATAGATATCTACTTATCTGGAGCCATATTTCTCAAAGTATGGTCCAAGAATAACCATCAGAATCACCTAGCATGTGAGACAGAATTAGGATTTCTAAGAGATGGCTCCAAGGAAGATACAGTTTTAACTTCTCTTAAGGCAGTTCTTCCTGTAATAGTAAACCAAATACCTGGACTATGTTATTTAATACCTAGAAGAAGTGTCATCACTGATGAGTCTTTTTTTTTTTTTTTTTTTTTTTTTGAGACGGAGTCTTGCTCTGTCGCCTAGGCCGGAGTGCAGTGGAATGATCTTGGCTCACTGCAAGCTCCACCCACCAGGTTCAAGCAATTCTCCTGCCTCAGCCTCACGAGTAGCTGGGATTACAGGTGCGCTGTAATTTTTGTACTTTTAGTAGAGACAGGGTTTCACCATCTTGGCCAGGCTGATCTTGAACTCCTGACCTCATGATCCACCCACCTCGGCCTCCCAAAGTGCTGGGATTACAGGCGTGAGCCACCACGCCAGGTGTAATCTTTTAATTTATAGCTTCTGAAGTATTTGGTTGTCAACTTAGTAAGATCCAGTAGGTATTTTGAATAGATAGTGTAGTGCTTGTCAGAGAAGGGTTCGGGAGTTGGGGTCCCTGAATTCTGGCTCTGCTAATTCCTTATGGACTTAAGCAGGTGACTTTTAACCTCTCTGAGCCTCCATTTCCTCATTTGTAAAAAAAATGGAATGAGAATAATAGTATCTACCTCATGTTGGCTGTTATTTTTTAAAACAGATTTTACCTTCTTGTCCTCTGACTCACTGAGGTGCTTTGTAAAAGGATCCAGGTGGAGGCCAGGCATAGTGGCTCACACCTGTAATCCTAGCACTTTGGGAGGCCGAGGCAGGTGGATCCCCTGAGGTCGGGAGTTCTAGACCAGCTTGGCCAACATGGCGAAACCCCTTCTCTACTAAAAATACAAAAATCAGCTGGGCATGGTGGCACATGCCTTTAATCCTAGCTACTTGGGAGGCTGAGGAAGGAGAATTGCTTGAACCTGGGAGATGCAGGTTGCAGTGAGGCAAGATCGCATCACTGCACTCCAGCCTGCATGACGGGAGTGAGACTCCATCTCAAAAAAAAAAAAAAAGGATCCAGGTGGTAAAGAGTTGCTTGACTTTAGTTCTGATTGGGGGTCGGGGAAGGTTTGTTTCATATAAAGCAATATGCTGCTGTCAGAAAATGAAAACTAGAAATCATTACAGGTTATTCTTTAGTGATTATAAAATTTAATCCAATGTATTGTTGCAGTTAGAGAAATGTGGGATGTGGAAGCACTCTTTTTAATAACAATGCCATTTAATGACACTGGAAATAAAAGTACATGGCATATCTTTGATGGGAACAGACTTGTCACATTCTCCTTTTTAAACTGTTTTTCAGGGTTTGGAGAACATTGATTAAGGAAGCATTTTCCTGATTGATGAAAAAAATAACTCAGTTATGGCCATCTACCCCTGCTAGAAGGTTACAGTGTATTATGTAGCATGCAATGTGTTATGTAGTGCTTAATAAAAATAAAATGAAAAAAATGCATTTCTTTTTTTTAAATATGTTACACAAAATCAAGCAATCTACCCAATGTAGTCTTTATCACTTAAAAAAAACTAGAAGGCAACTGTGAGGCTTGTATAGACATAATGTACATCCATAATGTACATCAAGCACCTGTCTCTGTGCCTAGCAGCTAATACTTCATAAATTGTAGTTGCTACTATTGTAATAGACACTAGTATATTTTATTTAACTTTATTTATTTATTTTTTTAGACAGAGTCTTGCTCTGTTGCCCAGGCTGGAGTTCAGTGGCTCAATCTCGGCTCATTGCAACCTCCGACTCCCAAGTTCAAGTGATTCTCCTGCCTCAGCCTCCTGAGTAGCTGGGATTACAGGCACCTGCCACTGCACCTGGCTAATTTTTATATTTTTAATAGAGACGGGGTTTCACCATCTTGGTCAGGCTGGTCTTGAACTCCTGACCCCGTGATCCACCTGCCTCGGCCTCCCAAAGTGCTGGGATTACAGGTGTGAGCCACCGGGGCTGGCCAGTTTTTATATTTTTAGTAGAGACAGGGTTTCACCATGTTGGCCAGGCTGGTCTCGAATTCCTGACCTCAAGTGATCCACCCACCTTGGCATCCCAAAGTGCTGGGATTACAGGTGTGAGCCATTTTGCCCGGCTGATATTAGTAAATTTTACAAACATAGTTTCTTCAGAGATGACCAGGGGAATACAGAAAAAGTATTTTTTTTCTAGTTCCTTTTCTGAGTGGATCCTACAATGTTTAAAATTCCAGTTGGTTAGGTTTGAGCTGAGAGGGGTGTAAGAAGATAATTCCAGGCCGGGCGCAGTGGTGGTGTGAGACAGGAGAATGGTTTGAAACCGGGAGGTGGAGGTTGCCGTGAGCTGAGATTGTGCCACTGCACTCCAGCCTGGGTGACAGTGACAGAGTGAGACTCCGTCTCCAAAAAAAAAAAAAAAAAAAATTCCAGTTGGGATATGTTTAAAACGGATTGCACCTTCAACCTTCATACATTCTGTATAGTATCTAACAAATAGTATATGCTTAAGTTAATTTTTGTTTTAGTATACAGCAACAGCAATCATTCGGTTTATTAAAATGAGAGTGTACTGAGCACTTGAAATAGAGATGCATGTTCAACATTAAAGGTAACCAAAGATGAAGATCTGAAAAGATAAAACTAAAGATGGTGATAACTCCATGTGTATAAAGCAACACCACAGATGACACTTCCAGGTGAGAATACTAAGTTGCTTTTCATTGCTTATCCAGTTTAACATTTGATCTGGTTACCTTGAACATGCCTGCACTGTGTGATTGCCATTGATCTAATTTTATAGGGCGGGGCTTATAGAAGGAAGTGGTGTTTAAACTTACAGTGGTGGCTGGATTGTGCCATCCCTTGATCGGCAATGACCTTTTACTTTTTACTGTATAAGGAAAGCCTGGTCATGATTACAAACTTAATAGAACCTGTATTATCATTTAATGCTTCACAGGCCTTGTGTAATTGACTGTTAGGAGAACTATCGCCGGCCGGGCGGTGGCTCACACCTGTAATTCCAGCACTTTGGGAGGCGGGTGGATCACCTGACATCGGGAGTTCAAGACCTGACTGATCAACATAGAGAAACCCCGTCCCTACTAAAATTAACAAAACTAGCTGGGTATGGTGGCGCATGCCGGTAATCCCAGCTACTCTGGAGGCTGAGGCAGGAGAATTGCTTGAACCCAGGAGGCAGGGGTTGCAGTGAGCTGAGATTGCGCCACCGCCACTCCAGCCTGGGCAACAAGAGTGAAATTCTGTCTCAAAAAAAACAAAAAACAAACAAAAAAGCTATCCCTGGAAAGGAAGGAAGAGGGCAAGTAGTACACCTAGGGAGTTGTGGATACAGAAGATGTGTTGAAAACATGACTTATCTATTACTACTTTTATTGATTTTTAGGTCTGTTATTTCTCCATTTTGCCTGTAGGCAGGGATCATCCCCTACATTTTTATGTCCTTAGACGACTGTCACAGCTACACAGCTGTATAGTGAGGGGCTACAAAATGACAGGTAGAGTTGGTTAGGTTCACGGTTAAGAGTCCAAATTCTTCACTGCCCTTTTTTGTAGCATCTGCTGTGAAATTGAGCTTTATTTTTGTACTCTACTGCTAGGGGGTGAGCCAGATTAAAGCACTTTGAAGATAGAAGATTTAACGGTGGATTTCTTTTATTTTTTCTTTTCTTTTTTTTTTTTTTCTGCAAGTGCAATTAGAAGGGTTTTCTTAAGCAGCTCTAACTGATGTGGTAAAGCTACTGATGTCAGATCCATCTGTCACCAGCTCTTAAGGCCTGTTAAAATGCTGCTTAGGAAACTATCCCATTTGCTCGGTTTTATTTACTATCATTAAGTTTTTAAAAAATAGATGTTATATTCACCTAGCTCAAAATCCAACAATATGAGGTATGCAGTGAAAATAGTTGCTCTAATCCCCTGCCCAACACCTGTCAATTGTCACACCACCCCAAAGGGTTTCTTTTTTTTATTTTTTTGAGATGGTGTTTTCGCTCTTGTCACCCAGACTGGAGTGCAATGGCGTGATCTCAGCTCACTGCAACCTCCGCCTCCTGGGTTCAAGCAATTTTCCTGCCTCAGCCTCCCAAGTAGCTGGGATTACAGGTGCCCGCCACCACACTCAGCTAGTTTTTGTATTTTTAGTAGATAAGGGGTTTCACCATGTTGGCCAGGCTGGCCTCGAACTCCTGACCTCAGGTGATCCACCTGCCTTGGCCTCCCAAAGTGCTGGGATTACAGCTGTGAGCCACTGCGCCTGGCGTGGGTTTCTTTTTACTTTAAAAATAATCCTTTTTGGCTGGGCATGGTGGCTCAAAAAAAAAATCCTTTTTTATTAAACCCAAACCAAAAATGGTCAATAGTGTTTCTTTTTCTTTTTTTCTTTTTTTCGAGACAGGGTCTCACTTTGTCACCCAGGCTGGAGTGCAGTAGCAAGATCTTAGCTCACTGCAACCACTGCTTCCTGGGCTCAAGTGATCCTCCCACCTCAGCCTCCTGAGTAGCTGGGACCACAGCAGGCACTTACCACCACGCCTGGCTAATTGTATTTTTTGTAGAGACAGGGTTTTGCCATATTGCCCAGGCTGGTTTCGAACTCCTGGGCTCAAGAGATCTGCCAGCCTCGGCCTCCCAAAGTGTTGGGATTACAGGTATGAGCCACCGTACCTGGCCAATAGGGTTTCTTTTTGCACATACAAATACAAACGGGTTCTTCTGTCTTGTATGCAATTGTAGTATCTGACACATACTGTTCACTTCTTTGGAAGTTTGGAATAATGGTTCTTGTTTGAAATTACATGTACCAGGTTGTTACTTGTAGGGTCAAATAAAGTAGTCAATAGGAAAAGACTGAAAAAAGATAGAGGAAGCCACACATATTCAGAAGGAAGAGGAAGACAATGGCGTTGCCTTTTGTTTGGGAACCAAATGATCACTTAGCCAGTGGCAGAGCTGGGACTAGAATCCTGATGTTTTGACTCCCAACCTAGTGTATTGTTCTTTGTGGTTTACTTCACTAAACACTGATTGAGTAAATGCTACATGCCAGGTGCTGTACCTCAGATTTGAATATGACACCACAGGCCGGATGTGGTAGTTCACCCCTGTAATCCCAACACTTTGGGAGGCTGAGGCGGGCAGATCACTTGAGGCCAGGAGTTCGAGACCAGCCTGGCCAACATAGCGAAACCCCCATCTCTACCAAAAAATAAAATGACCTAAAATAAATGAATGTGACACAGAATTGCTCTGCAGGAACTCAGTCAGTGGGAGTGACAGACAACTATGTGAAGGATAAGTGCTGTGACAGAAGTTTGCAGAAGGTGCTGTGGGAGCGCAGAAGTGGGGCAACCCAGCCTTGGGTTGAGGGGAAAGGAAAGAGCTTAGGGATACGTTTCCAGAGGATGTCTACACTAAGCTGTCTGGAAGGCTGGATAGGATTTACGAGACAAACAACTGAGGGGAGGACATTCCAAGCAGAGGGAACAGCATAAGGGTGGGGACACAAATAGCATGGCTATGTGGGAAACTACAAGCAGTTCTGCAGAGCGAAGAGTGTGAGGCAGAAGAGAGGGACCAGAGAGGTTGGCAGGGCCCAGAACGTGAATGTCTCCCCCTGGGTGTCGGAATTCCTCCTGAGGGCGACTGGGAAGTCTAGCAAGAGGTAGGAGAGTGATGTGACTTGCGCACATCTGCCTGGCTGCTCTGCACAGTGGTTCTCAGCTGGGTGAGTTTGCCTCCCAGGGCATATTGCAACGACTGCAGACATTTTTCCTTGAGGCAACAGGAGGTATGGGTGGGGAGGTGTTGCTGACATCTAGTGGTTAGAAGCCAGTGATGCTTCTAAACATCCTAAGATGTACAGGACAGTCCCACATTGACAGTTTCCAGTAGCCTTAAGTGTCAATAGTGCCAAGGTTGAGAAACTCTGAAAACAGTAGCAGGTTCTCCATTAAGGAACACAGTGGGAAGTGTTTTTTAAAAAGATTCTGCCTGGGCACAGTGGTTCACACTTGTAATCCTAGCACTTTGGGTGGTTGAGACAGGAGAACTGCTTGAGCCCAGGAGTTCAAGACCAGCCTGGGCAACACAGCAAAACTCCTTATCTATTTTGAAAAAAAGTATTAAAGAGTCCGGGCGCAGTGGTTCACACCTGTAATCCCAGCACTTTGGGAGGCCAGAGCGGGCCAATCACTTGAGGCCAGGAGTTTGAGACTAGCCTGGCCAACATGGTGAAACCTCATCTCTACTAAAAATACAAAAATTAGGCCAGGCGTGGTGGCTGACACCTGTAATCCCAGCACTTTGAGAGGCCGAGGCAGGCGGGTCACCTGAGGTCAGGAGTTCGAGACCAGCCTGGCCAACATGGTGAAACCCCATCTGTACCAAAAGTTACAAAAATTAGCCGGACGTGGTGGTGTGCATCTGTAATCCCGGCTACTTGGGAGGCTGAGGCAGGAGAATCACTTGAAGCCGGGAGGTGAAGGTTGCAGTGAGCCGAGATCAAGCCACTGAACTCCATCCTGGGTGACAGAGGGCGACTCTGTCTCAAAAACAAACAAATAAATAAAAATACAAAAATTGCTGGGTGTTGTGGTGGGCACCTATAATCCCAGCTACTAGAAAAGCTGCAGCACAAGACTCACTTGAACCCAGGAGGCAGAGGTTGCAGTGAACCGAGATGGCGCCACTGCACTCCAGCCTGGGTGACAGAGTGAGACTCCCTCTCAAAAAAAAAAAAAAAAAAAAAGCGTTAAAGAGAGAAAAAAGTTTTAAAAAGTCCTAATTATTCAGAAATGTATGGGAGCAATTTCCCTTCTCCCTCCCTCTCCTGGTTCTTTTTTTCATTCAGATCTCTGTTGGCTCATCTGTAAACTTGAAGCATATCCCTTCCCTGGAGGCGTTTGTTTTTCCAAGGAAGTATCCTAATGTACTCTTCTTTCTTTCTTTTTTTTTGTTTTGAGGCGGAGTTTTGCTCTTGTTGCTCGGGCTGGAGTGCAGTGGCGCAATTTCAGCTCACTGCAACCTCCACCCCCGGGGTTCAGCCAGTTCTCCTGCCTCAGCCTCCCGAATAGCTGGGATTACAGGCATGTGCACTACACCCAGTTAATTTTTTGTATTTTTAGTAGAGACGGTGTGTCACCATGTTGGCCAGGCTGGTCTCGAACTCCTGACTTCAGGTGATCCACCTGCCTTGGCCTCCCAAAGTGCTGGGATTACAGGCATAAGCCACCGTGCCCAGCCTCCCAATGTACTCTCAGTGATGTGCCTCAGCTTGAGAAGGCACAGAACAACATGTTTCTTTTCCAAATAGATGATGTAAGATGTGGAGACACAGAAAGTTGGGAGTAACTTCACATCAGGAAGCTGCACCACCTGTGGGTTGTGTGGCCTTTGGTAGGTCACATCACTGATCTTAGCTTCAGTTCTCCCATCTCTCAAGTGAGGACAGTATGTGCCCTGCATACGTCCCTGGGTAGCTGAGAAGATCTCACGAAATCATGTATGTGAAGTAGTTTCTAAGTGTACAGCCTCGTGCATGTGGAATGGACCATTGCTGCATTTTGAGCACCCCTTTAACAGCTCTCCAGCCAACCCCCAAATCCCTCAGGCACTTACACAAAAGTGATGTTGGGAGGACCCTCAGGCCAGGTCTTTGGTCCCCTGTTAGAGTGGTCACAGCTAGGGAATCTCAGAGCACTGCAAGGACAACAGACGGTAGGAACTTTGATGAAGACACTAATTGTTTGGAAGCTGTTTTCTGAAAGCAGAGCTAAAAACGCAGTTTCATGCCACTGTGAGAACCGAGTGCCTGGTTACCCCTCTCAGCTCTTGCTGCTTGCTCTGCTCTAAGGGAAGGTGCTGAATGGATAGGACTGAAGCTGGCCATTCTCACCAAGAAGCTTCTGGTTGAGGGTAAGGGATGGAGGATGAGAGTTAAACATCAGTTGGTTTTCAAGAGTCCATATCACTCTGATACTTCTGTGAACTGAGAAATTATTCTCCTGTACTTCTGTGGGAAACAAGGCACATGGTACAATTTTAGGGTTTTTTTTTTTTTCTATACCAAGTGTATAGATTTGGATTTTAGATATCAAAAGAGACTGTCATTCAGCTTACTGGTTTGGGTCTGTGTGTGCTTGTGTAATGCTCCCTCTGTCACCTCATCCATACCCTCCTGACCAAATATTTTATCTTTGAGGTTTGAATACTCTAGAATTTTTTTTTTTTTTTGAGATGGAATCTCACTCTGTCACCCAGGCTGGAGTGCAATGGCATGAGTGGTGGAGTGCTTGGCTCACTGCAACTTCTGCCTCCTGGGTTCAAGTGGTTCTCCTGCCTCAGCCTCCGAGTAGTTGGGATTACAGGCGCCCCCCCACCATGCCTGGCTAATTTTGTATTTTTAGTAGAGACGGGGTTTCACCATGTTGGCCAGGCTGATCTTGAACTCCTGACCTTAAGTGATCAACCCATCTCGGCCTCCCAAAGTGCTAGGGTTACAGACGTGAGCCACCACACATGGCCAATTGTCACATTTTGATGCAGTTTTGATAAAAGGCAGAGAGAAAGAAATTCCTATAAAGAATAAATCCTGTGTTACGTTTGCATAATCTTTAATTGTTAAGTTTTTTTGGCATATTTCTGTACCCTATATGTCTTATGCTATTGTCTGTAATACTCCTTCCTCCAACCCCAAAGACTCTTCTGCAACAAAAATCCAAATAATTGCTTTTAGGATTTCCACAAATCTTGATTCACCATTAGACACATAATTGTTCTTTACAGGGAACCACTGAGAAAATGACCCAGCAGATATTACTTGTATAAACTCAAGTAACTGTTGCTTTATTCGTTTGAACACATTTGGTATCATCCATTGTTTTGGTTCTTCGTAGGTGCCTTCCTCAGTTCGAGCAAACATGGAGAGACCAATTATTATATTTGGGCTGGAGAGTGATCAGGCAATAAAACTTATAAACAACCATGCAATTTTAATTATGACCCCAAAAAACTAATCCCAAAGGCAACAGAAAGAAGGTAGGGAAAACACTGGGAACACTGAGCATTACTGCCCCAAGAAAACAAAGATATTTTCCACGTGGTTAAGAGTTTCTTTGGTGGCTGGGCGTGGCAGCTCATGCCTGTAATCCCAGCACTTTGGGAGGCCGAGGCAGGCAGATCACCTGAGGTCAGGAGTTTGAGACCAGCCTGACTAACATGGAGAAACCCCGTCTCTACTAAAAATACAAAATTAGCCGGGTGTGGTGGTGCATGCCTGTAATCCCAGCTACTCGGGAGGCTGAGACAGGAGAATTGCTTGAACCTGGGAGGCGGAGGTTGCGGTGAGCTGAGATTGTGCCATTGCACTCCAGCCTGGGCAACAAGAGTGAGACTCCGTCTCAAAAAACAAAACAAAACACCACCACCAAAAAAACCCCAACCAAACAAAAAAACACAGTTTCTTTGGTATACTGTGCCTATCTGCTCTGTACCACCTGCCATGTTGCTGGGGAGTGTTTCATTCAGCAGACAGATTTTCCCTCTAAGCCTAATACGCTTCATTTCTAGAGGCCAGAAGTCACCCCGGCTACCAGAAGCTTGTTCTTCTCTCTTACCTCTAAGAACTTAGTATTTGGGGTGGGGTTGGTCTGGTCTCTAGGGAAACTCTGGAGTTTTCATACAGTGCCTACAAGAGCAGCCCACTCTAGTTATGACCGTGGATCTGAACATCAAGACATCACTATCAAAAATCCAGCCATTGGATTATAAATCATGCTGCTATAAAGACACATGCACACGTATGTTTATTGCGGCACTATTCACAATAGCAAAGACTTGGAACCAACCCAAATGTCCATCAATGATAGACTGGATTAAGAAAATGTGGCACATATACACCATGGAATACTGTGCAGCCATAAAAAAGGATGAGTTCATGTCCTTTGTAGGGACATGGATGAAGCTGGAAACCATCATTCTCAGCAAACTATTGCAAGGACAGAAAACCAAACATCGCATGTTCTCACTCATAGGTGGGAATTGGACAATGAGATCACTTGGACACAGGGTAGGGAACATCACACACTGGGGCCTCTCGTGGGGTGGGGGGAGGGGGGAGGGATAGCATTAGGAGATATACCTAATGTAAATGACAAGTTAATGGGTGCAGCACACCAACATGGCACATGTACATATACGTAACAAACCTGCACGTTGTGCACATGTACCCTAGAACTTAAAGTATATATATATATATATTTAAAAATCCAGCCATCAGGAACAGCTTTGCCATAGTACTTTTGTTCTGAGGAAGGCACTATTCAATGAGGCACTCATGCTCAAGGATGGCCAGGATATTCTGAGAGGTTTTCGTGACATCATGACTCTCAAGGACCTACCCACCTGGGCCTGACTACCACAGTACTCAGGTCTGTGGCCTTTACTGTTAGAGGATGGGCTTCTGCTTGGGAAAGGCCCTGGGTTCCTACCACCTCCTCCCTCTTTCTTCCTAGGGCAGTCTGGTGGCCTTTGAGACATGAAGCAAAGTCACTTGCTTAGAACTGAGGCAGGAGAATAGAGTCTGGAAGCAGGGAACCTAAGGCCATTTCATGCTGACTTCCTAGAACTAAATTGAAAGGAAAGCCCTACCTTTCCACGCCTACGTAACAAAAGAACCAGAGGTTGCTCCCCTTGCAAATCCCCACCTTTCTGTGTGGCAGATGGGAAATTGAAAGTACCTCTGATTGGTTGGAAAAAAAGCAGATGGCAAATTGAAAGTACCTCTGATTGGTCGCTTTTTGCAACCAATCAGACGTTTGCATAGGAGTGTAACTTTGTAACTTCACTTCAACCTCTGATTGGTTGCTATCCTAACCAATCATACGGATTGGGGGCCAAGTCTTCGTTTGTATAGAAGGGCAACTTTCACTCTAGCCTCTGATTGGCTGCTTTCCACAACCAATAAGATGTTTGCATAGGAGTGTGACCTTTGTAACTTCATTTCAGCCTCTGATTGTGGGCTGCAACTTCATGAACATGGGGTGAACACCAAGTGGCCAATGGTAAACCTCTAGCGGGTATTTGGACCCCAGAAGATTGTGTATCAGGGCCCTTGAGCCACTGCTCCGCCCGTTCTCACACTGTGGAGTATACTTTCACTTTCAATAAATCTGTGCATGCTTGCTTCTTTCTTTCCTGTCTTTGCTGTGCGTTTTGTCCAATTCTTTGTTCAAAACGCCAAGAACCTGGACAACTTGCAGTAAAGACCCTCTACTGGTAACAGAACCTGCCCAAATCCAACATGCCTCATGTTTTGGGTAAGAAAGCATTTCATTGTCCCCTGCTTTGACTTACTTGCTAGTTATTTTTTCATGTGAACACACTTTGTCTTCCCAACTATATTGTAAGTGCATCGAGGGTGGGAACCTTGTCTTAAGCCAGTTTTACTTCTCACAATTCCTGCCACCTGCGCACTTTACAGTCACTTAAAAGATACGTGGTGGCCGACTGGGTTCATTCGACAAGCAGAGAATGTCAGCTTTAAGCCTAGGCTTGTGGCTAAGAGGCATCAGCCTTGCTAGGGATTGGTAGGATAAGAGAAAGAAGGGGAAAAAATAAGTAAGGGTAGGGTTGAAAGGGTGAGCATGAGAGTATAAGGGGAGGAGAGGGAAGAAACTGAGAGGGAATGAAAATGAGGCATAGGTGGAAAAGAGTATAATTCAAGGCCCAGGGTGTGGAGTCCCAAGAGAGAGCTCTGTCCTCTCTTCCTTGTGCTGTGATGTAGACTACCCCTATCTAGGGCATCTCCCTGGATTTTCTTCAGTTCAGGAAGAACCTAGGCCAGGCGCGGTGGCTCACGCCTGTAATCCCAGCACTTTGGGAAGCTAAGGTGGGCAGAACACTTGAGGACAGGAGTTCGAGACCAGCCTGACCAACATGGTGAAACCCTGTGTCTACTAAAAATACAAAAATTAGCAGGGTGTGGTGGTGCATGCCTGTAATCCCAGCTACTCAGGAGGCTGAAGCAGGAGAATCGCTTGAATCCGGGAGGGGGAGGTTGCAGTGAGCCAGGATCGTGCCATTGCACTCCAGCCTAGGCGACAAGAGCAAGACTCTGTCTCAAAAGAAAAAAAAAAAAAAAAAAGCAGCAGCAGCAGCTAAGAGAGTGTAGGCCAGGCGCGATGGCTCATGCCTGTAATCCCAGCAGTTTGGGAGGCTGGGGCGGGCGGATCACTTGTGGTCAGGAGTTCGAGACCAATCTGGCCAACATGGTGAAATCCCGTCTCTACTGAAAATACAAAAATTAGCTGGGTGCGGTTGCACACACCTGTAATCCCAGCTACTTGGGAGGCTGAGACAAGAGAATCGCTTGAACCCGGGAGGCAGAGGTTGCAGTGAGCCGAGATCGCACCACTGCACTCCAGCCTGGGCGACACAGTGAGACTCCGACTAAAAAAAAAAAAAAAGTGTGTGGATCTGCAAGACTCTCCAAAGCAGTTCTCTCTAGTGAGCACAACATCCTTGATACAAATTTCCCCCTCCCCTCCACTCCCCACATTCAGGACAAGGGAGGCGCTGGCCCTCTCGCCCCCTGGCGGTCTGTCTAGCTCCCGGCAGCCTCGGAAAGCCCAGGACAGTAGGGCAGTGTACTTGCGACCGACCCCGCCCATCGGCTCCTGGGGAGCTGACAGGACGCACTCCACTTGGCCAGGCCTGTATCAGGCTCTGGCTCTGTCGCCCAGGCTGTAATGCAGTGGTGCGATCATGGCTACTGCAGCCTCGACCTCCCGGGCTCAAGTGATCTTCCATCTCAGCCTCCCAAGTAGCTGAGACCACAGGAGCGCGCCGCCACGCCCGGCTAATTTTTGTTACTGGGGCGGCGCGTATTGGTGCAGTCTCCACGTTCTTTCAGAAGAACGCGGGCGCATCGCTGGACCACGCGCCAGTGGGCAGCCGGCGCAGCCTCCCTGCCCCCCATAGTCCCGATGCTTCCAGAGGCCCATGGCGGGGGTGCGGCGCGGGGGTGGGGAGTCGGGTGGGAGTTATGGCTTCCCAAGCAGCCAAGTCTATTTTCTTCCCGAAGAGGGAGGGGCTGAGCTTGGCAAGGCTCTAGCCAGCTCCTCCCGCTCTGCCCCACCTGCTCCTCCCAGCTCTCCCCTCCATCTCTGCTTCCAAGCCATTTTTCTCCACTCATACCTGCACTAGCATCCGAGCAGGGAGTAGTTTGGAAGAACTTGTCCTCGGCGCTGCATGAGGATTCAAAAGGCCTCTCAACCTAGAGAGCCCTGGAAGCCAAAATTTGTGCGTTTCAGTAAGGGGCTTGGCTGGGGGTAAGAAGTAAAGTTCTGGCCACAGAATTTAAGCTTCTGCTTCAAAGAAGGAGCCTTTCTAATCTGCTGGGAAATCTCTCCAGGTTCCCTCCACGAAAGTATTTTGCCTGCATTTGTCTCCTCTGGGCAGGCAATAAGGAATCCTACTCCCAGCCCGTTGGGGTGGCTTACGCCTGTAATCCTAGCACTTTGGGAGGCTGAGGCAGGAGGATCGCTTGAGGTCAGGAGTTTGAGACCAGCCTGGGTAACATAGTGAGACCTAGTCTCTACAAAAAATTAGCTGACCTTAGTGGTGTGTGCTTGTGGTCTCTGCTACTTGGGAGGCTGAGGCGGGAGGATCAGTTGAGTCCAGGAGGTGGAAGCTGCAGTGAACCGTAATCGCACCACTGCACTCCAGCCTGGGTGACAGAGTGAGACCCTATCTCTCCCCTCCCCCCACCAAAAGAAAAATGTAAACAAAACAAAGGGGAAAAAAACAAATCCTGGCCCTGCGTGGTAGCTCGCACCTGTAATCCCGGCACTTTGGAAGGCTGAGGCTGGCGGATCCCTTGAACTCAGGAGTTCAAGACCAGCCTGGGAAACATAGCAAAAACCCGTCCCCACAAAAAAATACAATAATTAGCTGGGCATGGTGGCGGGCGCCTATAATCCCAGCCACTCAAGAGGCTGAGGCAATAAGATTGAAATTCCATCTCAAAATAAAATTAAAATAAGGCCGGGCGTGGTGGCTCACACCTGTAATCCCAGCACTTTGGAAGGCCGAGGCGGGAGGATCACCTGAGGTCACGAGTTCGAGACCAGCCTGGCCAACATGGTGAAACCCCGTCTCTACTAAAAATACAAAAAATTAGCTGAGCTTGGTGGCGTGTACCTGTGATCTTAGCTATTAGGGAGGCTGAGGCAGGAGAATTGCTTGAACCCGGGAGGAGGAGGTTGCAGTGAGCCGAGATGGCGCCGCTGCACTCCAGCCTGGGTGACAGAGTGAAACTCCATCTCAAACAAAACAAAACAAAACAAAAAAACGAAAAAAGAAAAAAGAAAGAATCCCACTCCCCTTCCCACATCAGGTCCTCACCACCATGTTCTTCTCACCAGTGGCCTCTGGGGTGCCTAGGAGAGGTCTTGCTGTCCTTGCCCACCTAAGCTCGACACGAAGGAAACGGGAGCTCTGCTTTACACAATGCAGCTACTGTGGGGCCTGTTTCTAACCCCCATCCCAGAAGCAGCACAACTCCCCCACCCTGAACCCAGGAGGAGGGCAGGGCTGTGGTTCCTGGCCTGTTGTGGCACCAGAGGGTTAAAGACAGTTGGTGTGATGGGCTTTCTGGGAATCAGACCGGTGAGCAGAACCGAGGGCAGTCACCATCGTCAATCACAGCTCCGGAGCTTATGTGCTCAACAACAACAACATCCACACAAATCCTCTTATTTATTTATTGAGATGGAGTTTTGCTCTTGCCGCCAAGGCTGGAGTGCAATGGCGCGATCCGGCTCACTGCAACCTTTGCCTCCTGGGTTAAAGCGATTCTCCTGTCTCCGCCTCCTGAGTAGCTGGGATTACAGGTGCCCGCCACCATGCCCGGCTAATTTTTGTATTTTCAGTAGAGACGGGGTTTCGCCAAGTTGGCCAGGCTGGTCTGGAACTCCTGACCTCAGGTAATCCGCCCGCCTCGGCCTCCCAAAGTGCTGGGATTAGAGGCATTAGCGACCATGCACGGCCCATACAAATCCTCTTTCAGGCTTGGCTTCCGGGCACTGACCCTACCACATGAGAGCTCAGGACACACTGGTCCCTGGAGTACTGGGCTAATTCTCCCAGCTCAGCAGAGTGGTGGGCTCTTCCCGGTTCCTCTGCTTTTGGAGTCTGTGCTGGTCATTGAGAGGTGACAGCGTGCTGGCAGTCCTCACAGCCCTCGCTCGCTCTCCGCGCCTCCTCTGCCTGGGCTCCCACTTCGGCGGCACTTGAGGAGGCCTTCAGCCCACCACTGCACTGTGGGAGCCCCTTTCTGGGCTGGCCAAGGCAGGAGCCGGCTCCAGGGAGGTGTGGAGGGAGAGGCGCCAGCGGGAACCGGGGCTGCGCGCAGCGCTTGCGGGCCAGCTGGAGTTCCGGGTGGGCGTGGGCTTGGCGGGCCCCGCACTCGGAGCAGCCGGCCGGCCCTGCCGGCCCCGGGCAATGAGGGGTTTAGCACCCGGGCCAGCGGCTGCGGAGAGTGTACTGGGTCCCCCAGCAATGCCGGCCCACCGGCGCTGCGCTGGATTTCTCACTTGGCCTTAGCTGCCTTCCCGCGGGGCAGGGCTCACGACCTGCAACTCGCCATGCCTGAGCCTCCCACCCTCTCCGTGGGCTCCTGTGCGGCCCGAGCCTCTCCGACGAGCGCCGCCCCCTGCTCCACGGCGCTCAGTCCGATCAACCACCCAAGGGCTGAGGAGTGCGGGCGCACGCGCAGGACTGGCAGGCAGCTCCACCTGCAGCCCTGGTGTGGGATCCACTGGGTGAAGCCAGCTGGGCTCCTGTGTCTGGTGGGGAGGTGGAGAACCTTTATGTCTAGCTCAGGGATTGTAAATACACCAATCGGCGCTCTGTATCTAGCTCAAGGTTTGTAAACACACCAATCAGCACCCTGTGTCTAGCTCAGGGTTTGTGAATGCACCAATCGACACTCTGTATCTAGCTACTCTGGTGGGGACTTGGAGAACCTTTGTGTGGACACTCTGTATCTAGCTAATCTGGTGGGGACTTGGAGAACCTTTATGTCTAGCTCAGGGATTGTAAACGCACCAATCAGCGCCCTATCAAAACAGACCACTCGGCCCTACCAATTAGCAGGATGTGGGTGGGGCCAGATAAGAGAATAAAAGCAGGCTGCGGGAGCTAGCAGCAGCAGCAACCTGCTGAGGTTCTCTTCCACAATGTGGAGGTGTTGTTCTTTTGGTCTTTGCAATAAATCCTGCTACCGGCCACTCTTTGGATCCACACTGCCTTTATGAGCTGTAACACTCACTGTGAAGGTCTGTAGCTTCACTCTTGAAGCTTAGCAGGACCACGAGTCCACCGGGAGGAATGAACAACTCCAGACTAGCCGCCTTAAAAGCTGTAACGCTAACTGCGAAGGTCTGCAGCTTCACTCCTGAGCCAGCGAGACCACGAACCCACCAGATGGAAGAAACTCCGAACACATCCGAACATCGGAAGGAACAAACTCCAGACGTGCCACCTTAAAAGCTGTAACACTCACCAAGAGGGTCCGCGGCTTCATTCTTGAAGTCAGACCAAGAACCCACTAATTCCAGGCCCAGTCAGTCTTACCATCATCATGATACGTTAACTAATGTTTATTGAGCATGTACAATGTATCTGTCCTTGTTTTGAGGTCTCTGTTTGAATCACCTAAATTCATCTTTTTACCAACCCTATAAAAAGCCTATTAAGATCCCCATTGTGCACATGAGACTCAGAGAGGTAAAACTATGGAATGAGACCACTGCTTCTCCTGTTGTCCTTCTTAGCTTCTCCCCCACCTCCCCTTTGCCCTAGTTTATGAGACAGGAGAAAAGGGAGAAAGCAAAAAGTTGGAAAGAAACAGAAGTAAGATAAATAGCTAGACGATCCTGGCGCCAGCACCTGGGTGGTGGTTAAAATAATAACACCAGTAGTTTTGGTCAGGGGTTATCTGTGAATTCCAGACATTGTATGAGAAAGCACTGTAAAACCTTTTGTTCTGTTACCTGATGTATGTAGCCCCCAGTCACGTTCCTCACGCTTACTTGATCTATTATGACTCTTTCACGTAGACTCCTTAGAGTTGTAAGGCCTTAAAAGGGCTAGGAATTTCTTTTTCGGGGAGCTCGGCTCTTAAGACGTGAGTCTGCCGACGCTCCCAGACAAATAAAAAACCTCTTCCTTCTTTAATCCGGTGTCTGAGGAGTTTTGTCTGCGACTCATCCTACTACAAAACAACCTGCCTGAAGTCACAGTTACAACGCCAGTATGTGGCAGAGCTCGGATTTGAAACCCTGTACTGTATCTGCATTCAGAGTCTGTGTTGTTTCTTTTTTTTCCTTTGTGACAGAGTTTCGCTCTTGTTGCCTGGGCTGGAGTACAATAGCACAATCTTGGCTCACTGCAACCTCTGCTTCCCAGGTTCAAGCGATTCTCCTGCCTCAGCCTCCCAAGTAGCTGCGATTACAGGCCAGCACCACCATGCCTGGCTAATTTTTGTATTTTTAGAAGAAATGGGTTTTCACCACGTTGGCCAGGTTGGCCTCGAACTCCTGACCTCAGGTGATCCACCCGCCTCAGCCTCCCAAAGTGCTGGGATTACAGGCGTGAGCCACTGTGCCCGGCCCAGAGTCTGTGTTTCTTCTACTAAACCACACTGTCTCCAAAACTCCTCCCTTCCCACCCTCCATTCCCCTGCCTCACCACTCCACCTCCACAGCATGATCTCTGGGTGTGGGACCTCAAAACATGTGATGTCTTCCAGGCAGTGAGCTCAGCATTTCTTCCTGGATAAAGACACTTAACATTGCAGTTTTCTTCCTTTGTTGGGTTTGAAATCCACTGTCTTTTTTTTTTCTTTGAGCCGGAGTTTCGCTCTTTTCGCCCAGGCTGGAGTGCAGTGGCGAGATCTCGGTTCACTGCAACCTCCACATCTCCGGTTCAGGTGATTCTCCTGCCTCTGCCTCCCAAGTAGCTGGGATTACAGGCGCCTGCCACCATGCCCAGCTACTTTTTAGTAGAGACGGGGTTTCACTGTGTTGGCCAGGCTGGACCTGAACCCCTGACCTCAGGTGATCCACCCACCTCAGCCTCCCAAAGTGCTGGGATTACAGGCGTGAGCTACCATGCCTGGCCAATACCACTACTATAAATAATACTATTAATAGAAATGATATCTACGCTGGGCATGGTGGGTCATGCCTGTAATCCCAGCACTTTGAGAGGTGGAGGTGGGAGCCTAGGAGTTCAAGACCAGCCCAGGCAACAAATAGAGACCTTGTCTCAACAAAACAAACAAACAAACAACAAACTGGGTGTAGTGGCACATGCCCGTGGGCCCAGCTACCCAGGAGGTTGAGTTGGGAGGATCACTTGAGCCTGGGAGGTTGAGGCTGCAGTGAGCCTTGATCACACCATTGCACTCCAGGCTGGGAAACATTTTGAGATCCTGTCTCAAAAAAAAAAAAAAAGAAAGAAAGAAAAAGAAAGGCTGGGCACAGTGGCTCACACCTGTAATCCCAGCAGTTTGGGAGGCCAAGGTGGGCGGATCACCTGAGGTCAGGAGTTTGAGACCAAAAATTATTTGGGCGTGGTGGCAGGTGCCTGTAATCCCAGCTACTCAGGAGGCTGAGGCAGGAGAATCGCTTGAACCTGGGAGGCGGAGGTTGCGGTGAGCCGAGATAGTGCCACTGCACTCCAGCCTGGGCAACAAGAGCAAAACTCTGTCTCAAAAAAAAAAAAAAAAAAAAAAAAAAAAAAAAAAAAGAGAGAGAGAGAGAGAGAGAAAGAAAGGCTATCTAATCATTATAGAGAGAGATTATGATGTACCAGGCATTGTTCTTGGTCTTCACATGAATTGCCTGGTTTGATCCCCATAAAATCCCTATTCTGTAGGCATTGTTATTAACCCCATTTTATAGACAAGGGAACTGAGAAAGAAAAATGTTAAATTGTTCCTGAGTGTAAGCTGATAAGCACTATATCTCTTTCATCTTTGATTCATAAAAGACATCTTTGAAAGCTGTAAAAGGAAAATAAAAACTTGGGACCCCAATTCACTCTGCCAAAAGGAAAAAAAATTAAACTGAAAGCTGAGTCATGCAAGAAGCTGCCTTTCCTTTTGTTCCTAAGCAGACAGCTACAAATAACAGGTTAAATATCTCCACCTGTAGCTACTCTATGTTTACCTTATCTTATGTAAAGTGCTGATTTACTGAGCAGGAGACGGATACATAATTGATTCTTCCTCTACCTGCTCTTTTTCTCTTGCAACATGTGGATTCAATCATGTGACCATACCTTCCCTCTCTTCCCTCAAGCTCGCATTTCCCCTTTATTATTATTATTTATTATTATTATTATTGTTATTATTTGAGACGGAGTCTAGCTCTTGTTGCCCAGGTTGGAGTGCAGTGGTGCAATCTTGGCTCACTGCAACCTCTACTTCCCGGGTTCAAGCGATTCTCCTGCCTCAGCCTCCCAAGTAGCTGGGATTACAGGTGCCCCCCACCATGCCCAGCTAATTTTTGTATTTTTGGTAGAGACAGGGTTTCACCATATTGGCCAGGCTGGTCTCCAACTCCTGATCTCAGGTGATCTGCCTGCCTTGGTCTCCCAAAGTGCTGGGATTACAAGCGTGAGCCACTGCACCTGCCCTTGCATTTCTCCTTTAAATACTGAAGCCTAGGCCGGGCGTGATGGCTCAGGCCTGTAATCCCAGCACCATCAGAGGCCGAGGTGCATGGATCGCCTAAGGTCAAGAGTTCGAGACCAGCCTGACCAACATGGTGAAATCCCGTCTCTATTAAAAATACAAACACTAGCTGGGTGTGGTGGCAGGAGCCTGTAATCCCAGCTACTTGGGAGGCTGAGGCAGCAGAATCGCTTGAACCCGGGAGGCAGAGGTGGCAGTGAGCCAAGATCGTGCCATTGCACTCCAGCCTGGGCAACAAGAGTGAAACTCCATCTCAAACAAACAAACTAAAACCTGAAGCCTGGCCAGGTGGGGTGGCTCATGGCTGTAATCCCAGCACTTTGGGAGGCTGGGGCAGGAGGATAGCTTGAGCTCAGGAGTTCGAGACCAGCCTGGGCAACAGAGCGAGACCTTGTCTCTACAAATAATTTAAAAATTGGCCAGGTGTGGTGGTGGCACACCTATAGTCCCAGCTACCTGGGAGGCTGAGGTGGGAGAATCACTTGAGCCCAGGCAGTGGAGGCTGGGGTGAGCCATGACTGTGCCACTGCATTTCAGCCTGGGTGACAGTGAGACCCTGTCTTTAAATAAATAAATAAATACTGAAGCCCTCAAAGTCATCTTTGGAGAAAGGCACAGACCTGTCTCCCAGACACATCCTTAACCTTGGCAAAATAAACTGGTAAATTGAGACCTGTTTCAGATACTTTTTGGTTTGCAAAGCAATGAAGTACACATGGGAAGTCCTAACCTCAGAATTTGGAAATGAAAAAGTAAAAGCTCAGCCAAAGAAGTCAGCTTTGGGTGTGAGTTTGGGACAGTACTTTCTGTACCTCAGTCTGTTCAACTGCAATATGCAAATACTAATACCTCATAATGCTATTGTGAGGAGTAAATGACTTCAGACACTGAAGGCTTAACACAGTGACTGGCATATCATAGGGATGCCCAATACATACCAGCTGTGAGGCTTATCACCACTGTTCTTCCTGGCATGGCCCTGTAAGCTCATCTTCGGCTGAAGAGAAGCTAGGTATAGCTACTACAGTTTGGTCCTATTATTGCGGTCAGACAGTTGCTGTGATTGGCTCTCCCCTCCTTCCCTCACCCCCTCCCATCTTACCCTCTGTTATTAACATAAGCAGTCAGAAACATGTAGGCTATGCTTCCCATTGGTTGAAATTGTTGTTTCCTTGGCAGCACTTGCAAACATTCCATCTGGCAATCTGAGAGAAGCTACTGAGAGAATCCTGAGACATCCCCAGCCACCTACCACTGCTCCTGTTCCAAGCAAAGAAGATCTGCTCACTCCGGTACTGGGGATTCTCCGGGGTGGGGGAGTCCACAGAAAGGACTTGCAGTGGTTCTCCCTATTCATCACCCAGACCCCAAACGTTACCATTCCCCCCATCTCTTCCTACCCACCCTGCCTATCTGGCCTCTGAGAAGGGGAGGGGAGGAGAGGGGAGGGGAGGGGAGGGGAGGACAAGGGAGAGGGAGGGGGAGGGGAGGGGAGCGGAGGGGAGGGGAGAGGAGGGGAGGGAAGGGAAGAAAAATAACTAGGAGATGCCAGTGGGAGGGAGGCTTAAGAATGGTGTGGGCCCACAGACGTGTGAGGGTAAAAATTGAGCTTCTTCCTGGGCACTGCTCCCCATCTTCCCTCTCCTGTTGGAGCACAGGCTCCCCAGGGAAAGTCTTAAGGAGGTCCTTCCATGCATAAAGCACACACCCCATGTGCTTCGTGTTGGAGGTCACAGATTTGACTTCTCATCGATTTATCAATAGGAAATTTGCTGAAAGCAAAGTTACTGAATGTCCAAGTTACCAAATGGGCAATTTTCTTTTCTTTTCTTTTTTTCTTTTTTTTTTTTTTTGAGACAGAGTCTCGCTCTGTCGCCTAGGCTGGAGTGCAGCAGCGCGATCAAGGCTCACTGCAACCTCCGCCTCTGGTTTCAAGTGATTCTCCTGCCTCAGCCTCCCGAGTAGCTGGGACGACAGGCATGCACCACCATGCCTGGCTAATTTTTGTATTTTTAGTAGAGACGGGATTTTGCCATGTTGGCCAGGCTGGTTTCGAACTCCTGACCTCAGGTAATCCTCCCACATTGGCCTTCCAAAGTGCTGGGATTACAGGTGTGAGCCACCGCGCCCGGCCCCAAATGGACAATTTTCTTTCTTTCTTTTCTTCTTTCCTTCTTTCTCTCTTTCTTTCTTTTCTTTTTTGAGGTGGAGTTGCACTCTGTTGCCCAGGCTGGAGTGAAGTGGTGAGATCTTGGCTCACTGCAAACTCTGCCTCCCGGATTCATGCCATTCTCCTGCCTCAGACCCCCAAGTAGCTGGGACTACAGGCACCCGCCACCACGGCTGGCTAATTTTTTGTATTTTTAGTAGAGACGGGGTTTCACTGTGTTAGCCAGGATGGTCTCGATCTCCTGACCTCGTGATCCGCCCGCCTTGGCCTCCCAAAGTGCTGGGATTATAGGTGTGAGCCACTGCGCCCGGCCCAAATGGACAATTTTCTAAAGGATCAAGTTGATATATGGCTACCTCACCAAAGTCTACTGAAATTACCAATTTACCCAAAAACCTTTGTACAGTTGTCTTTAACTACAGAGTTTATAGCAGGTTGCTCTGGCCAAATTGGCATGGCCTAAGTAAGGGCTAGGGAGAGCCAGTTCTCTAGTGTTAAGGACCTTTAGGCTCCTCACTGACCACCCTTTAGCCTCTGGCTGCTCTGGAGTGGGCAACCTGGAAATGCTCTGTGTGCTCTGGCAGATGATCCTGTCTACCTCCAGCTGCAGCAACAAGGAACTGGGGCAGAGGCAAACTGAGCTTAAAAATGCCAACATCAGTCTGGGCAACATACTGAGACCTATAAAATAAATAGCCTGGTGTAGGCAGGACACGGTGGCTCATGCCTGTAATCCCAGCATTTTGGGAGGCCGAGGTGGGCAGATCACCCGAGGTCAGGGGTTGAAGACCAGCCTGGCCAACATGGTAAAACCCTGTCTCTATTAAAAATACAAAAATTAGCTGGGCATATTTTTGTATTTACAATACTTTTGTATTTTGTATTTACACACCTGTAATCCCAGCTACTCAGGAGGCTGAGGCAGGAGAATTGCTTGAACCCAGGAGGCGGACGTTGCAGTGAGCCGAGATTGCGCCACCGCACTCCAGCCTGGGTGACAGAGTGAGACTCTGTATCAAAAGAAAAAAATAATAGCCAGCTGTGGTGGTATAGGCCTTTAGGCCCAACTACTCAGGAGGCTGAGGTGGGAGGATCACTTGAGCCCAGGAAGTTGAGGCTGCAGCTAGCTGTGATTGCGCCACTGTACTCCAGCCCAGGTAACAGAGCAAGACTCTATCTCAAGAGGAAAAAAAGGAAAACAAAAAGCTAAAATGAACAATAGCCAACATTATTTCAGGGATGTTCAAAGGCTGTCCCAGTGGTTCTTGAACTGATGGCCGTTGGAGCCAGGTTGCCTTTTGCAGTATCTACTACCCCCTGGGATCAATGATGATGTCAAGAAAGGAAACAGAGAGTTGCCCTTTGTCCGGGCGTGGTGGCTCACACCTGTAATCCCAGCACTTTGGAGATTACACCAAGGCAGGTGTATCACCTGAGGTCAGGAGTTCAAGACCAGCCTGGCCAACATGGTGAAACCCCATCTCTACTAAAAATAACAAAAACTAGCCGGGCATGGTGGCGGACACCTGTAATCCCAGCTACTTGGGAGGCTGAGGCAGGAGAATCACTTGAACCCAGGAGGCAGAGGTTGCAGTGAGCCGAGATTTCGCCATTGCACTCCGGCCTGGGCAATAAGAGTGAAAACTCCGTCTTGAAAAAAAAAAAAAAGAGTTGCCTTTTGTGAAAGAGGCTCCCAGAGAGAGAGTGGGTCACTGGACTCTAGATGAAAATGTGAGAATAAGGCCAGGCGCGATGGCTCACACCTGTAATCCCAGCACTTTGGGAGACTGAGGTGGGTGGATCAGGAGGTCAGGAGTTCAAGACCAGCCTGGCCAAGATGGTGAAACCCCGTCTCTACTAAAAATACAAAAATTAGCTGGGCGTGGTGGCAGGTGCCTGTAATCCCAGCTACTCGGGAGGCTGAGGCAGCAGAATTGCTTGAACCCAGGAGGCGGAGGTTGCAGTGAGCGGAGATCGTGCCACTGCCCTCCAGCCTGGGTGACAGAACAAGACTCTGTCTCAAAAAAAAAAAAAAAAAAAGGAAGAAAGAAAATGTGAGAATAGGGCCCTACTGCTCTTTCTCAATCTTGGAGGGAGAAGAGCAGCACAGTTGAGAGCATGGGCTGTGAAGCCAGACACTGTGGGTGTACAGCTCAGTTTCCTCATTTTCACATGGCAGCAACAGGCCCTCTGTCTGTGACTCAGGGCTCCTGTAGGAAACTGTTGGCATATTAAAATGAGGATAGCTGTAGAAGGGTTAAGTAAGGGAATATTTACAAAGGTGTGGCCAGATTGCAGGGCAACAGAGGAAGGTGCAGCTCCCCGGGGCTAGTAACAGTGGGCCTAAAACGTTGAGGGGAGAGAATGCTTACCCTTACCACACTGGGAAGCTGGGAGAGCGCCACCCTGAAAGACGCTGGGGACTTCATGCAGCCAGCCATCAGCCAACTCGCAGGGAGAAAACCACCAGGGACATACATTTTGACTTCCTGATCTCCTTATTGTGTGGAACCCCCTAGAAGCCAGAGGGCACCATTTATGGGTGCAGTCAGGTTAGTTTTCCAGGGCAGGAAGCAGGAGGAGATGCAAGGACAGTGGATTTGGAAAGGCAAATGGAAGGTGCCCAGCGCACTCTTTCATAGGGCTGTGATGACAGTTAAATGAAACATAGCACATTAAACACCCCCAAATTGGGAGCTGTTATTTATAGAAAAATAGCTCCATTTGGAGAGAGATACCCACTTTCATGTAGCCCTTCCACTCAATGGAAGGATTGCTTGCAACATACTTATTTTTTATTTTTTGAGACAGCCTTGCTCTGTCACCAGGCTGGAGTGCAGCGACACAATCTCGGCTCACTGCAACCTCTGCCTCCCGGGTTCAAGCAATTCTCCTGCCTCAGCCTCACGAGTAGCTGGGATTACAGGTGCTGGCCACCATGCCAGTCCAACTTTTTTTTTTTTTGAGATGGAGTCTCACTCTCATTGCCCAGGCTGGAGTGCAATGGCGTGATCTGGGCTCACCACAACCTCCGCCTCCCAGATTCAAGCGATTCTCCTGCCTCAGCCTCCCGAGTAGCTGGGATTACAGGCACGTGCCACCACACCTGGCTAATTTTTGTATTTTTAGTAGAGACGGGGTTTTGCCTTGTTGGCCAGGCTGGTCTTGAACTCCTGACCTCAGGTGATCCACCCGCCTCGGCCTCCCAAAGAGCTGGGATTACAGGCATGAGCCACCAAACCTGGCCCAGGCCAATTTTTGTATTTTTAGTAGAGATGGGGTTTCTCCATGTTGGCCAGGCTAGTCTCAAACTCCTCACCTCAGGTGATCTAACCCCTTGGCCTCCCAAATTGCTGGGATTACAGGCGTGTGCCACCGTGCCTGGCCATGTTTTTTATTTTCTCTGAGACAGGGTCTCGCTCTGTCACCCAGACTGGAGTACAGTGGTGAGATCACGGCTCCCTGCAGCCTCGACCTCCCAGGCTCAAGTGATCCTCCTACATCAGCCTTGTGAGTAGAAAGCTGGGATTACAGGCACACATCACCATACCTGGCTAATTTTTTAAACTTTTGTAGAGATGGGGCCTTGCTATGTTGTCCAGGCTGATCTCAATCCCCTGCACTTAAGCGATCCTCCCACTTTGGCCTCCCGAAGTGCTGGGATTACAGGCCTGAGCCACTGCACCCGGCTGCCTGTAAGGAATTTAAAGCTGTGCTGGAAGTAAGCAATTTTTCATAAGCAAAGAGACTTAAACAGTAGCAAGAAAAGAAAGGATTTAAGACTCAAGGGAAAAGATGTAAAAAACATTGAAAATGAGGAAAGACTTCTAGCTCTGTGATGGAGCCATCTTTACAGCCCTAGTAACACAAATTTTCACATTGTCAATACATGTTAAAGGCATCTGGAAGATTATAGCTATCATTTATGATAAAAATCTTACTAGAACAGGAACAGACGAATGTTTTCTTGATGTGATACATCTCAAACCACAAACCAGCATCATACTAATGGTGTAACACCAGAAAGCAAGGCCATTAAAGTCAGACACAATAGGAGGATGCTCATTATTTCCACTTTCATTTTACATTTTTCTGGAAGTATTAACCAAAGCTAATACTCATAAGAGATATATACTCCTGGAAAAAAGATGATAAAAGTGACAGTTTATTGGAGATGATATAATTGTATACTGTACTGGAAAAACCCAAGAGAGAGAATTATGAAACCAATATTCCTCTGCTGTAATGCCTCTACTCATTTTAACACTATCTTTATAGGCCAGGTGTGGTGGCTCACACCTGTAATCCCAGCACTTTGGGAGTCCAAAGTGGGTGGATCACTTGAGGTCAGGAGTTCAAGACCAGCCTGGCCAACATGGTGAACCCCCGTCTCTACTAAAACTACAAAAAATTAGCCAGGCATGGTGGCACACGCCTGTAGTCCCAGCTACTCGGGAGGCTGAGACAGGAGAATCACTTGAATCCGGGAGGCGGAGGTTGCAGTGAGCCAAGATTGTGCCATTGCACTCCAGCCTGGGCGACAGAACGAAACTTTGTCTCAAAAAAAAAAAAAACACTATCTTAGCCGGCGCGCTGGCTCACGCCTGTAATCCCAGCACTTTGGGAGGCCGAGGCGGGTGGATCACCTGAGGTCAAGAGTTCGAGACCAGCCTGGCCAACTTGGAGAAACCCCATCTCTACTGAAAATACAAAATTAGCCGGGCGTGGTGGCGCATGCCTCCAATCCCAGCTACTCGGGAGGCTGAAGCAGGAGAATCACTTGAACCTGGATTCTCCCGGGAGGCGGAGGTTGCGGTGAGCCGAGATAGCGCCATTGCTCTCCAGCCTGGGCAACAAGAACAAAACTCTGACTCAAACAAACAAACAAACAAACAAAAAACAAAACACTGTCTTTATACTTTTTTTTTTTTTTTGAGATGTAGTCTCCCTCTGTAGCCCAGGCTGGAAGGCTGGAGTGCAGTGGTGCGATCTCGGCTCACAGCAACCTCTGCCTCCTGGGTCCCGGTTCAAGCAATTCTCCTGCCTCAGCCTCCTGTGTAGCTGGGATTACAGGCATGAGCCACCATGCCCAGCTAATTTTTGTATTTTTAGTAGAGACGAGGTTTCACCATGTTGGCCAGAGTGGTCTTCAACTCCTGACCTCGTGATATGCCTGCCTCAGGCTCCCAAAGTGCTGGGATTACAGGCGTGAGCCACCGCGCCGGGCCTTTATATTTCTTTTTAAAAGTTAAGACAGGTTGGGGAGTGGGGAGATCTCACTATGTTGCCCAGGCTGGTTTCAAACTCATAGCCTCAAACTGTCCCCCTGCTTCAGCCTCCTGAATAGCTGAGATTACAGGCACATGCCACCACACCCACTTCATTTTAACATCATTTTAAAAGAGCCAGGTGCCCTCAGTTGCTCCTAGCAGGGATTGGGTTTCTTATCAAAGATTCAACTTGGAATCAATATTGCTAGGCACTCCAAAGAAGTGCTACTTTTTTTCTACTACATTTTGATTTAAGTCATTATGGTGTTTTTTTTGTTTTTTGTTTTGTTTTTGAGATGGAGTTTTGCTCTTGTTGCCCAGGCTGGAGTGCAATGGCGCGATCTTGGCTCACTGCAACCTCCACCTCCCAGGTTCAAGCAATTGTCCTGCCTCAGCCTCCCAAGTAGCTGGGATTACAGGCGCCCGCCACCACACCCGGCAAATTTTGCATTTTTAGTAGAGACGGGGTTTCACCATGTTGGTCAGGCTGGTCTTGAACTCCTGACCTCAGGTGATCCGCCCGCCTCGGGCTCTCAAAGGGCTGGGATTACAGGCGTGAGCCACCGCGCCGGGCCTCATTATGATTTTGAGAATGTGAGAATCCTTGGTTTTCAGGAAAAGTAGATAGCAGCAGCCAGGCACAGGTCTGACTCCTACCCTTAAACCCCTAATCCCCTCCCTAGAGGCAATAACTGCTTCCTGTCTCTTGTGATTCTTCAAGAGATGATCTGTACTTATATGAGTGCGTTCACATGTGTGTACACACACAGGCACACAGTAACTTCTTTTTTTCCCCAGGAAAAAGAAAATGAGTGAGACTCAAAATTCAACAAGCCAGAAAGCAATGGATGAGGATAACAAAGCCGCAAGCCAAACAATGCCGAATACACAAGACAAGAACTACGAGGATGAATTGACTCAAGTAGCTCTAGCTCTGGTTGAGGATGTCATCAATTATGCTGTTAAGATTGTGGAAGGTAGTGATCCTGTTTGTTTGGATGCCTAAATAATTGTCTATATAGTCTAAATATAGCACCACACTACCTGGCAACTAACGAACTCACACCTTTTTTTTGCAGAGGAGCGAAACCCTTTGAAAAACATCAAGTGGATGACTCACGGTGAATTCACTGTGGAAAAGGGTCTTAAACAAATTGACGAATATTTTTCGGTAAGTTAGGCCGACCACTCCAGCATGGTACACCGGTGTGAAGAACAATAAAGAGACTCTCAGCAGATCAAAAGTTTGAAGTCTGGAAAATCTAGGAGATGGTATCAAAGGGGGCTGACTAGAATAAGTAAACATCATCTCCATCTCAGTTCCAAAATCAAGGTGGGATAGTCTTTGAAGGTGAAATGCACAATCACAATCATTTTCCCTGTGTCTGTATCATTCTAACCTTACATTTCCCTGGGAAAATCTGCTCTTCCTACTTAAGCAATTTGTCCATGCTGGTGCATTAAATGGGGGCCTAGTGGCCTAAGGAGGGAGATGCTCCTCCAAAATAGGAGTTCTCCACCACCATTATTTTGTTTATTTTTTTTAGAGACAGGGTCCCACTCTGTCACCGAGGCTGCAGTGCAGGGGCTCGATCCTAGCTCCCTGCAGCTTTGAACTCCTGGGCTCAAGCGATCTTCCCACCTCAGCCTTCCAAGTAGACAGGCACGTGTCACCACACCTGGCTAATTTTTAATTTTTTTTTGTAGAGACAGGGTCGTGCTATGTTGCTCAGGTTGGCCTCGAACTCCTGGCCTCAAGGGATCCTCCTGCCTTGGCCTCCCAAAGTGCTGGGATTACAGGTGTGAGCCATTGCACCCAGCCTCCACCACCAACTTTAGAATGCTCCTGTTAACAGAGGGGATGCAGATGGATCAAAAGACTTTTTGATTTGGCTTTGGAATATATTGCCTGCATAGTAAGATGTACAATCCCATGAATTCCTTTGTTCTTCTGCCTGTGTCTGACTCTGACTTCTTCGTGTGGCAGCTTTGCTGAGAAGGCCCTGGATTACTTTGCATAACTGGTGAGTGAATAAAGGAGAATGGCTTGGGCCAGGCGCAGTGGTTCACATCTGTAATCCCAGCACTTTGAAATACCAAGACGGGAGAATCAATCATTTGAGCCTAAGAGTTTGAGACAGCCTGGGCAACATAGTGGGACCCCATCTCTATAAAACTAAAAAATTAGGCCAGGCATAGTGGCTCACGCCTGTAAGCCCAGCACTTTGGGAGGCCGAAGTGGGCAGATCACAAGGTCAGGAGTTCAAGTCCAGCCTGGCCAATATGGTGAAACCCCGTCTCTATTAAAAATACAAAAATTAGCCAGGCGTGGTGCTGGGCGCCTGTAATCCCAGCTACTCGGGAGGCTGAGGCAGAAGAATCGCTTGAACCCAGGAGGCAGAGGTTGCAGTGAGCTGAGATTACACCACTGCATTCTCAATCCTGGGCGACAGAGCAAGACTCCGTCTCAAAAAATAATAATAATAATTAGCCGGGCGTGGTGGTATGCACGTATAGTTCCAGCTACTCAGGAGGCTGAGGTGGGAGGATCACTTGAGCCCAGGAGGTCGAGGCTGCAGTAAGCTGTGATTGTGCCACTGCACTCAGCCTGGGTGACAGAGTGAGACCCTGTCTCAAAAAAAAAAAAGGCTTGAAATCCTTCTCATTGTGCTTCTGTGGAACAGAGACCAGTTGAAATTGGTGGAGGCGAACTCCCCTACCCCTGGGAAAAGTTCCAGCTCTCTCTGTTCCCCAGGCCAGCACCTCAAAGCCTACAGCCCTCAGGGCAGTTTCCCAGGCCTTAGGAAGGCCTGGTCAGGTGTGAAGGAGGAAAAGTCAGGGATTTCTGGCTCCACGCCTTCTATGCTCCAGCGGACGCCACTCACCGTTCTCATTAGGAGGGGTATCTTGAGCATAGTGAAGATGAATGGTGCAAGTTATTCTTGAGCCTTCCTGCTGTGGAGCACTTCTCCATTTGGGGTTGGGCAAAGGCCCCTGCCTACTGCACTCAGGGTTCCTGAATCAAACTAGAATGGAACACATAGCAAGTAGGAAAAATTTCCCTTGCAAATCCCACTGGTCATTCTGAGTAAAAGGCAAAAGTAAGTCCTGACAATGGTCTACAAGGCCCAATATGATCTGAGTTCCCTTTCCCCTCCTGATTTATGGTTCAGCTCCCATCACTCCTTCCCCCCTCTCACCTTCTTCCCTCGGCCACACTTGCCTCCTTGCCGTTCCTCGACTGCCAGGCATGTTCCCCTGTCAGGACCCTTGCTCTTGCTGTTCCCTCTGCCTGGAACCCTCTCCCCTAAGATGTATACCCATGGCTCACTGCTTTACCTCCCTTCAGATCTTTGTTGAAAACTATCACCTGCTCATTGAGGCTTTTCTTGGCCACTTCATCTAAAATCACAACCCTCTCCACTTCTCTGATTCATTTTTCCCTTCGCACTTCTTTCTGCCTACTAGAGTCTATTTACTTGTCCTACTGCCTGTCTTCCACCCCCAGACCATATGGTCCATGAGGGCAGATTTCTCTTGACTGCTCTCTTCCCAGCCCCTAGCAATGTCAGGTACACAGATGCTCAATAACTCTATGTTGAATACATGAGCAGATTTATTATTGCATTACCGTATTTCTTCACAGATGAAGAGCCAGGTCAAAGGATTTGTCTTACCTATTTCGTAGGGCTGTTGTGAGGACAGAGACAATTAAAAAGTAAATGACTGAAAAGCTAAACATGTTATATTAACTCATGATGTAAAATCGCCCTGTTCCCAGCCCCACTAATGCAGCATGCCTGGCATTTCTTTTTTTTTTTTTTTTTTTTTTTTTTTGAGACGGAGTCTCACTCTGTCGCCCAGGCTGGAGTGCAGTGGCGTGATCTTGGCTCACTGCACCCTCCGCCTCCTAGGTTCAAGTGATTCTCCTATCTCAGCCTCCCGAGTAGCTGGGACTACAGGCGTGTGCCACCGTGCTGGCTAATATTTTGTATTTTTAGTAGAGACAGGGTTTCACCATGTTAGCCAGGATGGTCTCGATCTTCTGACCTTGTGATCCGCCTGCCTCGGCCTCCCAAAGTGCTGGGATTACAGGCGTGAGCCATCGCGCCCGGCCCTTCTTTTTTTTTTTTTTGAGACAGAGTTTCACTCTTGTCACCCAGGCTGGAGTGCAATGGTGCGATCTCGGCCTACTACAACCTCCACCTCCTGGGTTCAAGTGATTCTCTTGCCTCAGCCTCCCGAGTAGCTGGAATTATAGGCACCTGCCACCATGCCAGGCCAATTTATTTTTTATTTTTAATTTTTAGTAGAGATGGGGTTTCACCATTTTGGCCAGGCTGGTCTCGAACTCCTGACCTCAGGTGATCCACCCACATTGGACTCCCAAAGTGTTGGGATTACAGGTGTGAGCCACTGCACCCGGCCAAAGTGTGAGGCATTTCTGATGGAGAGCTTTTTCAAGCTTATTGCCAGTTTCCCAGGGTCCACTACACATCAGGGGATGGTAAATTAGGAGTTGCCATTTACTGAGTACTGCTATGTGTTAAGCACTGCAGTGCACATCATCATGCATTATCTCGTTTAATCCTCACAACAAAACTGTGTGTGGGTATATCAGTGTACCCATTTAAAAGATGAGAACTTTGCACAAATTGCCCAACCTCTCTCTGATTGAGCAGCAAAACAAAGTTATGATCATATGTCTGTCTGATTTTTTTTTTTTTTTTGTGGGACAGGGCATTGCTCTGTCACCCAGGGCTGCAGTGCAGTGGCACCATCTTGGCTCACTGCAACCTCTGCCTCCTGGGTTCAAGGGATTCTCCTGCCTCAGGCTCCCGAGTAGATGGGACTACAGGTGCATGCTACCATGCCTGGCTAATTTTTGCATTTTTAGTAGAGATGGGGTTTCACCATGTTGGCCAGTCTGGTCTCAAACTCCTGACCTCAAGTGATCTGCCCACCTCAGCCTCCCAAAGTGCTGGGATTACAAGCGTGAGCCACTGTGCCTGGCCTGATACATTCTTTTTAAAAAATATTTATTTATTTATTTATTTATTGAGACAGAGTCTTGCTCTGTCGCCCAAGCTGGAGTGCAGTGGCGCAATCTCGGCTCACTGCAGCCTCAAACTCCTGGGCTCAAGTGATCCTCCTGCCTCAGCCTCCTGAGTAGCTAGGACTATGGGTACACAGCACCATGGCCGAGTAAATTTTTTATTTTTTTGTAGAGATGAGGTCTCACTTTGTTGCTCAGGCTGGTCTTGAACTCCTGGCCTCAAGTGGTCCTCCTGCCTCGGCCTCCTAAAGTGCTGGGATTACTGCCAGCCACTGGCAGTGGCCACTGCACCCGGTGTGAGCCACTGCACCCAGTCAGTTCTATCTGATATATTCTTTCCACCACAGTAGGAAAAGTATTTTTTTTTCTTATTTGTTTTTTCTCATCAGCTTCTACTGACCCAGGAAAAGTACTTTTGGATGACAAAAATAATGCAGACTTTTATTATCATTTAAAAATACAAATTCAAATGATTTTAAGGTACTACAATGTGAATACGAATAATTAAACCTGGTATCAGAAGGCTGGTACAGGCTGGGCGCGGTGGCTCACGCCTGTAATCCCAGCACTTTGGGAGGGCGAGGCGGGCGGATCACTTGAGGTCTGGAGTTTGAGAACAGCCTGGTCAACATGGTGAAACCCTGTCTCTACAAAAATACAAAAAAATTAACTGGGTGTGGTAGTGTGTGCCTGTAATCCCAGCTGCTTGGGAGGCTGAGGCAGGAGAATCACTTGAACCTGGGAGGCGGAGGTTGCAGTGAGCTGAGATCGCACCACTGCACTCCAGCCTGGGCAACAGAGTGAGACTCTGTCAAAAAAAAAAAAAAAAAAGAAGGATGGTATAGGATGGTATAGTTGTGGGGAGGGAACACTTACACATTGCCAATGGCAAAGTTGGTTCATTCTCTTCAGGAACACAGTCTGGCAACAGGAATATACAAATGGGTTCCTTATAAAAGAAAAATCAGAGAATGCCCATCACCTCAGACAGTTAAAATTACTTTTATAATAAAAAAAAGACATCACTATAAAAAATGCCCAGTGAGCAAAAAGATACAAATTAGAAAATGAAATTACCCAAAATACCCGTTTCTATTACCCCAAAGGTCACTTAACCATGGATAACAGTTTTGTGCATATACTTTTTCATTGTTTTTTGCCTTGTGCATATACTTCTATGTGTCTGTTGATTGTGAGTGTCCAGTAGTATGTAGTTGGCTAAGCCATCCATGATCAAGTAGTACAGTGAGATACTGTTTCCTGGAAGTGAGTATATGAAGCAGTATCATGTAAAAATCACAAAACACACTCACTGCTGATACATAAAAGTCTGCTGCCTGCACACGGATAAAAATGGGAGGAGATTCGCCTGATGAAAATAGTTAAATTTAATGTCATGTGTAAGGCTGCCTTCATTCACAAAAGGGAGGAAAAATCCACTAAGAGCCAAGCTGAGAAGAAGAAACTCTTAGAACTGAGGCTTCTAGTGGGGTGGAGAAAGCACTGAGCGGGCTGCTCAGGAGTCCTGGGTACCAGTCCCAGTTTATTGTGTTAGACTGTCCCTACCTACTTCTAGGCCCTGGTATCCTCATCTGCAAAGTGAAGGGCTGCATTAGATTATCTCTAGTGACCTATTCAATGTTATAAAGTCTGTGATTGTGTGACAGATTAAACATTAGGGCTAGAAAAGTATATTGAGTAATATAGAACAGTTGAAAAAAAAGGCATGCTCTGGCTGGGTGCGGTGGCTCATGCCTGTAATCCCAACACTTTGGAAGGCCGAGGCAGGTGGATCACCTGTGGCCAGGAGTTTGAGACCAGCCTGGCCAACATGGTGAAACTCCGTCTCTACTATATGTGCTGCCGAAGCGAGCACAGAAACTCCATCTCTACTAAAAATACAAAAATTAGCCAAATGTGGTGGTGCACACCTGTAATGCCAGCTACTCGGGAGGCTGAGGCAGAAGAATCACTTGAACTCGGGAGGCGGAGGTTGCAGTGAGCCGAGAAAACGCCACTGTACTCAAGCCTGGGTGACGGAGCAAGACTTCATCTCAAAAACATAAAAAAAAAAAAAAAGAGGCATGCTCCAATGAGCCATAAGGGGTTGACTGTTGGGCCCCTTCATTAAAAGGAGTAATGATTTTGGGGCCAGGCGTGGTGGCTCGTGCCTATAATCCCAGCACTTTGGGAGGCCGAGGCATGTGGATTACCTGAGGTCAGGAGTTCAAGACCAGCCTGGATCTCTACTAAAAATACAAAAATTAGCTGGGCGTGGTGGTGAGCACCTGTAATCCCAGCTACTCAGGAGGCTGAGGAAGGAGAATCGCTTGAACCCAGGAGGCGGAGGTTGCAGTGTGCCGAGATCACGTCACTGCACTCCAGCCTGGAAGACAGAGAGGGACTCCGTCTCAAAAAAAAAAAAAGGAAGGAATAATGACTTTGGGAGGCCGAGGCCAGTGGATCACTTGAGCCTAGGAGTTTGAGACCAGCCTGGGCAATATAGGGAGACTGTCATCTCTACAAAAAATATAAAAATTAGCCAGGTGTGGTGGTGCATGCCTGTATGTAGTCTCAGCTACTTGGGAGGCTGAGGCGGGAGGGTCACTTAAGCCCGGGAAGGTTGAGGCTACAATGAGCCATGATCGTGCCACTGCACTCCAGCCTAGGTGACAGAGTAAGACCCTGTCTCAGAAAAAAGGAATAATGATACATGAAAGAATACACAGCTCCTGATCTCAAGGAATCTCGAGTCCAGTGCTCTTCTCTGGACTGAAACAGCCAATTGGGTACAAGTTTGAAATAAGCTGAGGCAAAAGGCCAGCCTACATTTTTTTTAAAGGAGGGCCTGAAATCTTTTTGATGTCTCCTGTACTCCCTCTCCACATTACTGGGACTTGTTAGACTCTCCCAATTCCTTCCTTCTGTGAACCTTCATCTTAATTCAGGCTCTTCTTTGATTCAGAAGCTTCTGGTGCCCTGAGAGCCAGCCCAAGGAAGTTCAGTTGAATTGAATTTGTTGAATACCTGTGAAATCTAAGGCCCTGTGCCAGGAATCAGGGATGCATTTTGACTTCTGTGGGCCCTAGGCACTCTTCCCTTTGTATCCCCCTTTCTCCTTCAAAAGATGAAAAAATTCAAGACAGCACTGGTATAAAGATGAATATAATCATGACCCTAAAATTCATATATTCTTCTTCTTTTTTTTGAGGCAGAGTTTTGCTTTTGTTGCCCAGGCTGGTGTGCAATGGCGCAATCTCGTCTCACCACAATCTCCGCCTCCCGGGTTCAAACGATTCTCCTGCCTCAGCCTCCCAAGTAGCTGGGATTACAGGCATGCACCACCACGCTGGGCTAATTTTGTATTTTTAGTAGAGACTGGATTACTCCACGTTGGTCAGGCTGGTCTCGAACTCCCGACCTCAGGTGATCCGCCCTCCTCGGCCTCCCAAAGTGCTGGGATTACAGGCGTGAGCCACTGTGCCCGGCCTTTTTCTTCTAATTTTAAAAGAAATGAACACATTTTTTTTGTGGGCCCTAGGTATTGAGCTTACTATGCCTTACAGATAAGTCAGCCCTGTTAGAAATGTTTTAATATTGGCCGGGCATGGTGGCTCACGCCTGTAATCCCAACAGTTTGGGAGGCCAAGGTGGGCAGATCACGTGAGGTCAGGAGTTCAAGATCAGCCTGACCAACATGGTGAAACCCTGTCTCTACTAAAAATACAAAAATTAGCTGGGTGTGGTGGTGGGCGCCTGTAATCCCAGCTACTCAGGGAAGCTGAGGCGGGAGAATTGTTTGAACTTGGAAGGCGAAGGTTGCAGCGAGCCGAGATGGTGCCATTGCAGTCCAGCCTGGGTGACAGAGCGAGACTCTGTTTCAAAAAAAAAAAAAAGAAAAGAAATTTTTTAATATGGAGACTACAACGCAGACAGTTCCTTATGGCTGTACTATGCGGGGATGTCTCAAGTGCCATAAGACAGGCAGAAAACAAGTTCCACCAGTGTTCAAAGGGAAAGGGTGTGAAGTCACATCTGGTTGGAAGAGGGATCAGAAAGACTTCTTGGAGGTGGTAGTTTTAAGGAAAACAGAATTTATCAAGTAGGTGATAGAGAGAAGCTTCTCAAGAAATGACAACAGCTGGATCAAAAGCATGGTGTAAACATGGGGAATAGTGCTAGCTATAGCTTGATGGGAATATGAGCATTTTGTTGAGAAAAGTGTGACATGAAACTTGTTTTTTTTTTTTTCTGAGACAAGGAGTTGCCCAGCCTGGAGTGCAGTGGCACGATCATAGCTCACTGCAGTCTTAAATTCCTGTGCTCAAACGATCCTCCTGCCTCAGCCTCCCAAAGTGCTGGGATTACACCACGCCTGGCCATTGTGGGAAGTCTTAAATGACACAGTGAAACATTTTCATTTTGTTTGGCAGGCAATGGGGGAGCTGCTGGAGGTTGCTTTTTTTTTTTTTTTCTGAGATGGAGTTTCGCTCTTGTCGCCCAGGCTGAAGTGCAATGGCGCGATCTCAGCTCACTGCAACCTCCGCCTCCTGGGTTCGAAGGATTCTCATGCCTCAGCCTCTCAAGTAGCTGGGATTACAGGCGCCCACCACCACGCCCGGCTCATTTTTGCATTTTTAGTAGAGACGGGGTTTCACCATGTTGGCCGAGCTGGTCTCGAACTCCTGACCTTAAGTGATCTGCCCGCCTCAGCCTCCCAAAGTGCTGGGATTACAGGCGTGAGCCACTAAGCTTGCGCCCGGCCCACGGGAGGTTTTTGAGCTGATCAGCTATGACTGAAGCTGTGCTTAAGGAAAATAACTCTGGCTTCATTGTGGGTGGGGGATTGGAGAAGTGAGGTTGAGGACAATGGAGTCTAGATGGGTTATTGCCTAAGTCCAGGTGAGAAACACTAAGAGCTGAAGTAGAGCAGTGGCAGTGGGACTGGAGAAGAATGGATAGATTTGAGACACATTTCAGGTAGAATAGATATGATCGAAGGTTAATAAAAAATGGATTAAGGAAGGAAGGAAAGAAGGAAAGAAGAACTGAATGAATGCTACTTTTTTTTTTTTTTGAGATGGAATTTCACTCTTGTAGCCCAGGCTGGAGTGCAATGGCATGATCTTGGCTCACTGCAACCTCCTGACTTCAAGTGATCCGCTCACCTCGGCCTCCCAAAGTGCTGGCATTACAGGCGTGAGCCACTGTGCCCAGCCTAAATGCTACTTTCAATAATGTAGTTAACCTTAGTTGTGTACAGTTGGCTCTCCATATCTGCAGGGGAATACGTTTTCAGACCCTCCATGCATATCAAAATCCACGTGCGCTCAAGTCCCTTAGTCGTCCCCCCATCCATGGATGTAACCAACTGTGGATTGAAAAGGTTGGCCCTATGTATTAGAATCCGCAGTGGTGGGACTGTATTCCCATCTCAACTCCAAGAATAGGCCCAGACAAAGGAGACATTCCAAGGAAGATTTTGTTTCTCAACTCTCATCACTACGAAGATTTGTGCCTTGAAAGGGGAAAGCGCCTGGGAGTGGTGGCTCATGCCTGTAATCCCAGCACTTTGGTAGGCTGAGGCAGGCGGATTGCTCGAGCCCAGGAGTTCAAGGCCAGCCTGGACAACATAGCAAGACCTGGTCTCTAAAATAAATAAATAAATAAATAAATAAATAAAATAAAATAAAATAAAATAAAATTTTAAAAAGAAAGGGGGAAGCTTCTCCAAGGGTGCAAACAAGGAATCCCTCCTTTCTGTAGGATGTGGATTATTCTATTGCCTCCCTGAACTTATTTTATATACCACCTATGGCTACAATTAAGTGAGTTGGATTTTCACAAATGGCTAAAGCCAGCCTCATTACTTTCCAGTCACACATTTAGGTCTCCTGGGATGAGCAGAACAAGTGTTCTAATCACTTTCTAATTATTTTCCAATTAATTGAACCTGCCTCCTGTGAGGGGGTCTGAAGCAACATCTGTGTGTATGTACATGTAGACATTGAAGGGTGTGCCTTGCTGGGCATGGTGGCTCACACCTATAATCCCAGCACTTTGGGAGGCCAAGGCAGGTGGAACACTTGAGCTCAGGAGTTTGAGATCAGCCTGGGCAACATGGTGAAACCCCATCTCTACCAAAAATACAAAAATTAGCTGGGCGTGGTGGCGCATGCCTGTAATCCCAGCTACTCGGGAGGCTGAGGCAGGAGAATCGCTTGAACCCAGGAGGCAGAGGTTGCAATGAGCCAAGATCACGCCACTGCACTCCAGCCTGGGTGAAGAAGTGAGGCTCTGTCTCAATCAATCAATCAATCAATCAATCAATCAATGTGTGTCCCTACAGTCCAAGGCTCAATCTCAACTGATGTTTGCATTCTTCACTTGTTTCATTTCAGCTTAACCTTTTCTCTCCTCCACCCATGGTGATAATTGGGAGCTGACCCTAGTTTGACCCCAATAAAAAAATATTAGGAGTGGCCAGGTGCGGTGGCTCACACCTGTATTCCCAGCACTTTGGGAGGCCAAGGTGGGTAAATCGCTTGAGGTCAGGAATTTGAAACCAGCCTGACCAACATGGTGAAACGCCGTCTCTACTAAAAATACAAAAAGAATTAGCCGGGCTTGGTGGCATACGCCTGTAATCCCAGCTACTTGGGAGGCTGAGGCAGGAGAATCGCTTGAATCTGGGAGGCACAGGTTGCAATGAGCCGAGATCATGCCACTGCACTCCAGCCTGGGCAACAGAGAGAGACTCCATCTCAAAAAAAAAAAAAAAAATTAGGAGCGGACTCCAGAACAGAGCTCTAACCCTGACTGTTACATGCCACACTTATCCTTTATTTTTATTTATTCGTTTTTTTAGGGATAGGGTCTTGCTCTGTCACCCAGGCTGGAGTGTAGTGGTGCGATCACAGCTCACTGCAGCCTCAAACTCCTGGACTCGGGCAATCCTATTGCCTCAGCCTCCCCAGTAGCTGGGATTACAGGTGCGTGCCACCATGCCTGGCTAATTTTTAAATTTGTTTTGTAGAGATAGGGTCTTGCTACATTGCCCAGGCTGGTCTGGAACTCCTGGGCTCAAGCAATCCTCCTGCCTCGGCCTCCCAAAGTGCTGGGATTACAGGCATGAGCCACTGCACCCAGCCATGCTGCATTTATCTACAGGACTTGAACAGAAGGCTTTTCTTTTTCTGTGTGCTTTTTCTTTTTTCTATGAAACAGAAGTGTGTTTCTAAAAAATGCTGGGCACATGGCGTAGAGTTTGTAGAGAGGAAAGACTTAATTCACAGCTTCCTCTACATCTACTATGTACACTGGAGTATCTCAACTGCTGACCTACCCGTAGCACGAATCTCTGCTGGTACCTACTTCACCATGAAGGTCTCCAAAACCAAACCACCGGTAAGTTCTTCTTTTTCTCCCTTCAGTGAGGCTTCAGTGAGAATGGAGACTTCTCTTGTCAAGGTCATCAATAACCCCATTTTTACAAAATTTAATAGTCATACTTCTGTCCTCATCTTACTGGCCTATGCACGGCACTTGCCAAAACTGATCACTCCCCGCTCCATGAAACTTTCCATTTGGCTTCTAGAACAACATACTTTCCTGATTTTCCTCCTGCCTCACTGACCATTCCTTCACAGTCCGTCTCTACTGGTAGTTTCCCTGCCTCATACCAACCTCTTCATGTTGGAATGTCCTGAAACTCAGGCCTTGGACCTCTTCTCTAATACTCAGTTCTGTGGTTATCTCTTCCAGTCTCATAGCTTTAAATGCCACCTAGAGCTTATGTTCCCCAAATTTGTATCTCTAGCACAGACCCGTCCCACGTGGATGTTTAATAAACATCTAATTTATTGTATGTAAAACTGAACTTCTGATTTTCCCTTCCAAGCCTATCTACTTGCAGTCTTCATCTTAGTTAATAGCCAAAATCCTTGGTGTCATCCTTGACTCTTCTCTCATATCCCTCATCTAATCCATTAGGAAATCCTATTGGCTCTACTTTCAAAAATATATCCAGAATCCAACAAATTTTTTTTTTTGAGACAGAGTTTCACTCTTATTGCCCAGGCTGGAGTGCAGTGGCACGATCTTGGCTCACTGCAACCTCCACCTCCTGGGTTTAAGTGATTCTCCTGTCTCAACCTCCCAAGTAGCTGGGATTACAGTCGTGCGCCACCATGCCTGGCTGGTTTTTGTATTTTTAGTAGAGATGGGGTTTCACCATGTTGGCCAGGCTGCTCTCGAACTCCTGATCTCAAGTGATCCACCCACCTTGGCCTCCCAAAGTGCTGGGATTACAGGCTTGAGCCACCGTGCCCGGCCCCCCCAAACAATTTCTTACTACTCCACTTCTATCATCCTGGTCCAAGACACCATCTTCTCTCACCAAGATTATGTCAGTAGCCTCCTAATCAGTCTCTCTGCTTCCACCCTTGCCCTCATCATGTCTGTTTTCAATGTTGCAGGCAGCCTGAATGAGTCTTGTAAAACAAATTTTTCTTTTTCTTTTTTTTTTTAAGAGATGGTGTCTTGCTTTGTTACCCAGGCTGGTCTTGAACTCCTGGCCTCAGGCTATCCTCCTGCCTCAGCCTCTCAAAGTGCTGGACTTACAGGTGTGAACCACCACGCCCAGCTGTAAAACAAATTTGTCACTTTTGTGTTTAAAATTTTCCAAAAGTGCTTCTCAAACTTCTCTCTCTTTTTTTTTTAAGACAGAGTCGCTCTGTCATCCAGGTTGGGGCAGAGTGGTACAATCAGAGCTCACTGAGGCCTTGACATCCCAGGCTCAAGTGATCCTCCCACATCAGCCTTCCTTGTAGCTGGGACTACAGGTGCACACCACCATGCCCAGCAAACTTTGTGCTGGGATTACAGGCGTGAGCCACCACACCCAGCTGTAAAACAAATTTCCGTCACTCCTCTGTTTTATCTATATCTGTCTGCCTATCTAATCTATCTATCTATCTATCTATCTATCTATCTATCTATCTATCTATCTATCATCTATCTATATCTATCTACTTATTGAGACAGGGTCTCACTTTGTCACCCTGGCTGGCGGGCAGTGGCATGATCAGGGCTCACTGCAGCCTCTACTTCTTGGGCTCAAGCCATCCTCCTGCCTCAGCCCCCCAAGTATGGGACTACAGGCATGCACCACCACGCCTGGCTTTTTTTTTTTTTTTTTTTTGAGTTTTCGTAGAGACAAGGTCTTGCTATGTTGCACAGGCTGGTCTTGAACTCCTGAGCTCAAGTGATCCACCCGGCTTAGCCTCCCAAAGTGCTGGGATTACAAGCGTGAGCCACCGCGCCTGGCCCATTCTTCTGTTTAAAACTTTCCAAGGGCAGGCGCGGTGGCTCATGCTTGTAATCCCAGCACTTTGGGAGGCTTACGCGGGCAGATCATGAGGTCAGGAGTTCGAGACCAGCCCGACCAACATGGTGAAACCCCATCTCTACTAAAAATACAAAAATTAGCTGGGCATGGTGGCGCATGCCTGTAATCCCAGCTACTCAGGAGGCTGAGGCAGCAGAATTGCTTGAACCCAAAAGGCGGAGGTCACAGTGAGCCGAGATTGCGCCACTGCACTCTAGCCTGGGTGACAGAGCGAGACTCCGTCTCCAAAAAAAAAAAATTAAAAAAATAATAAAAATAAAAATTAAAAAAAAATAGATAAACTTTCCAAAAGTGCTTCTCAAAATTTAAAGTGCTGGCAGGGCATGGTAGCTCATGCCTGTAATCCCAGCACTTTGGGAGGCCGAGGTGGACAGATCACCTGAGGTCAGGAGTTCAAGACCAGCCTGGCTAACATGGTGAAACCCCGTTTCTACTAAAAATACAAAAATTAGGCCGGGCACGGTGGCTCATGCCTGTAATCCCAGCACTTTGGGAGGCCAAGGCAGGCGGATCACCTGAGGTTGGGAGTTCCAGACCAGCCTGACCAACACCCTGTCACTACTAAAAGTACAAAATTAGCCAGGCGTGGTGGCTCATGCCTATAATCCCAGTAACTCGGGAGGCTGAGGCAGGAGAATTGCTTGAACCCAGGAGGTGGAGGTTGCGGTGAGCTGAGATCATGCCATTGCACTCCAGCCTGGGTACCAAGAGCGAAACACCATTTCAAAAAAAAAAGAAAAACACAAAAATATAGCCGGGTCTGGTGGCTCATGCCTGTAGTCCCAGCTACTTGGGAGGTTGAGGCAGGAGAATGGCTTGAACCCAGGAGGTGGAGGTTGCAGTGACCAAGATGATGCCATTGTACTCCAGCCTGGGTGACAGAGTGAGATTCCATCTCAAAAAAGAAAGAAAGAAAGAAAGAAATTTAAAGTTTGTACAAATTACTTAGGGATCTTGTTAAAATGAAGAATCTGATTCAGCAGGTGTGGGGTAGGGATTCAGATTCTGCAAGACTAACAAGCTCGCAGACCATGCTGAGGCTGCAGGCCTAGAGACCAGCTTTCAGTAGTAAGGGCCTACAAGGCCCTGTGTGATCTGGTCCCTTGTTACTTGTGCTTTCCCACTACTCCTTCCCTCTCACTGTGCTCTGGCCATTCTGATCTTGCTTCTCCTCAAATAAGTCAGGTATAGTCCTGCCTCAGGGCCTTTGCACTTGCTTTTTCTTTTGACTAGAACACTCTCCCCTAGGCATGTGAATTGCCTGCTCCCTCACCTCCTCTTTCACTCACTTTCCTATGCTTTTTCTCCATAGCACTCACCACCTTTTCATATTCTATATAATTGTTTTTGTTTTGTTTTGTTTTTTTTTTAGATGGAGTCTCGTTCTGTCTTCTAGGCTGGAGTACAGTGGCCCAATCTCGGCTCACTGCAACCTCTGCTTCCTGGGTTTGAGTGATTCTCCTGCCTCAGCCTCCTGGGTAGCTGGGATTACAGGCACATGCCACCACACCCAGCTAATTTGTGTATTTTTAGTAGAGATGGGTTATCACCATGTCGGCCAGGCTGGTCTGGAACTCCTGACCTGAGGTGGTCCATCTGCCTCGGCCTCCCAAAGTGCTGGGATTACAGGCATGAGCCACCACACCCAGCCCTGTAATTGTTTTATTATTGTCTATTCCCTCCATCAGAATGTAAGCTCCATAAAGGCTGGGATTTTTGTCTTCCTGTAAAACAAGGCCTGGCAAATAGTAGGCACTCAATAAATACTTGAAAGAATGATTGCTGGTATCCACGAGGTAGACCATGAATAAGAAATATGTTAACTTGATAGCTGGTGTGAAAAGAGCCAAAATAACATCCATGAATCTAGGGGAAGGGTCGTCAGAGGAGCAGGGCTGGTACCAAGCATAGTGCCTGAAACATAACAGACATAAACATTTTATTTCCTCTTTGCCTTCCCATCCTTTCCCAAAAGTTATTTGCACCTTGGCCTGATGTTAAGATTTTGTATATGACCACACAGTCAGTGAGCCATCTATGTCCTATATTCATCCTATCCTAGTACAAATGTGCCTATTCAGAGCGTTTGGAACCTGCAGTAATCTAAAGAGGTGCAATATGCGGAGATCTTACTTCTGGTCATATATCCCTCTACCAGCTGTCTTGCTAATTGGCCAGGTCAGAGGTCAGGAAATGAGACTGGTGGAGGGGAACAAGACTACACCAGAGACCACACAGAGAGAGGTCTTGGGAGAATGGCTCTTGCTCAAAATTCCAAGTATAATTTTGGAGGCGAGGATGGGAGGGACTACTGAGACAATATTACAACCTACATGTTTATGCTGCTTTAAAAATGTTTCTCACCTTTTCATCTATATTAATTCATTTTCATGCCATTCCTATGAGGTAGAGATTGTCAGTTGAGTAAAGTGGAGCATGTAAAGAAGGTTAATGACTTACACTCCTATTAATGAGGAGCACAAGCCTGTCCCAAGTTATTTCCAATATTGTAAAGATTCTTAAGGTATTTGTTGTCAAAAAGATATTTTGGGGAACGGAGGTTTAAAGTGACAAAAAACTATCACCTATAGATTCCCAATTCATAAGCAAGATGAATTCTAGAAATTCAAAAGTATGCATATGGGCAAGTGTAGGGAAGTAAGGAATTAAGTTTGTACGATTGGGCTGGGCGTGGTGGCTCACGCCTGTAATCCCAGCACTTTGGGAGGCCGAGGTGGGCGGATCACCTGAGGTCAGGAATTCGAGACCAGCCTGGGCAACAAGGTAAAACTCCGTCTCTACTAAAAATAAAAAAAATAGCTGGGTGTGGTGGCGGGCATCTATGATCCCAGCTACTCAGGAGGCTGAGGCAGGAGAATCACTTGAACCCAGGGGGTGGAGGTTGCAGTGAGCTGAGATTGCACCACTGCACTTACACCTGGGAGACAGAGCAAGAAGACTCCATCTTGAAAAAAACAAAAAGAGTTGGTATGACTGGTCTGGGCTAACAGTTGTCCTTCTCTTTTTTAGGATGCACCCATTGTTGTTTCTTATGTAGGTGACCACCAAGCATTAGTTCACAGGTAATGAACATTTGGAGGTTTGTTTTAAAAGGGTGGGAGAAAGGTCATCACACTCCAGGAATCCAGCAGTTGCGCAACAACAGATAGTTCATGTAATGGTCACTTTTCTTCTTTGGACCACCAAGCCCATTAGAATGGGCTGAAACTGTTCTAGAAAATTATTTTTCTTAGTGTCTGGTTTTTCATTCATTATAAGCTTGAGGATTAGTTGCTGGAGTGGGGTGGAGGCAAAGTGGGTCATGTCTATCGTTTCTAAGGAAAACTTCAATATCACATAAAATTAACTCATGTATAATAATCCCTTTTATAGCAGCTCTCTTAAAGTATCTTTACATATAAGCTCATAAATCCTTTCATTGACTGGGCTTAAGAAACAGTAAAGGATAGACATAGAGAACCTTAGCTACCTCCCCTCCCCCGCCAATAAAAGAGGCTTCTTGCTTACTAGGAATATAAAAGAGTAAATAGGGAATCCCCTTTGTTTGATTTTAAAAGCTTTTGATTTAAAAATACTTTAAAAGTGTTTGTTTTTCTTCCTTTGTAGACCAGGAATGGTTCGCTTTCGAGAAAACTGGCAGAAGAATCTTACTGATGCCAAATATAGTTTCATGGAGTCATTCCCCTTCTTATTCAATCGTGTCTGATACTTACAGGATGTCTTAGGATTGTTTTTCTCATCAGGATACATTAAAAATACAATACAGCACGTCAAACCACAGAATATTTATTGAGTAATAAACTTGTGGCACACAATCCAGCTGTATTTTTTTGCATTCATTCATTTTCCATTCTGCAACCTCCATCACATTAGCAGAGTAACCAGTAAGTTGTTTTCTATTTTCTAAAGTATTTTTTTCTATCACTATATGTATCACTTCTGAGTCTTACAGGTATAGAGCTGAGTTTAGAGAGTTGCTAAAATTCACCTATTGGACCAAACTAAGGTTGGTACTTGGCTGTTTGTTCCCCATCTGAGCCTAAGTCTCCAGCTCAGACACATCTCTTTATGGGCACAACTGGGAACAACAAAATGGCAACAGTTCTACAGCTCATAATATAACCAGTCTGAAGGGTTCCCCTACTCACAGACCCCTTCATTTACTGGGAGTTAAGCCTCACTGCTAAATAATATATTTTGAAACTGGAAAACTGGGCATGCTGCCTTCCACAATACACCACTATACTCATGATTGCAGGAGGGTGGCTTGGGGACTAGGGGCAATGACACGGGAAGGATACAATCATTGCCCTTACTTATCTTTGATCTTCTTCCCATCCTCACACTGAATAATCACTTGTTCCTACCTTCCCTGTGAACCTCTCTTGCCTGGCTGCAAAATTTTAAGACACCAAAGACAAAATTACATTATGCTCTGAGTGATTACTTACAAGTACATCAGAATATTTACTTACATAGAAAAGCACTGGAAAGGAGGAACACAAAATATGAAAGACAATTGATATGGTACTGAAATTTTTCTTTTTTAACTGTTAGATATTTGTGCAATAAATAAAAAAGGAGGGAAAACCACATCAGAGCAATAGGCAAGGAGGTGGCAAACTAGATAAGTCTCCTTGGAGAACAAAAAATATATTTAAAATACAATAGCCCTACTACAACTGATTTATGGCTCAGGTGACTAAACACAATTTGAAGCAGTAACAACACTCATAAGCTGAAAATAAAATACTTTTAGCCCTTTTATTCTTCTTGCCTCTTTCCCAAAGAATATGCCAATGAAGCTGTTCTTGATGTCACAATATTCATATATCGCAGAATTTCTGCATTTAAACTACCTTGCCTACTGAAAATAAGATAATCATTTCATCTCTAGGAACCAGTAACCAAAAAAAAAATGTCCTTAGAGAATACATTTTTATTTGTTTGTTTATTTAGAGACGGAGTCTCATTCTGTCTCCCAGGCCGGAGTGCAGTGGCTTGATCTCGGCTCACTGCAACCTCCACCTCCCAGGTTCAAGCAATTCTCCTGCCTCAGCCTCCCGAGTAGCTGGGACTACAGGCACGTGCCACCATGCCCGGCTACATTTTTTGTATTTTTAGTAGAGATGGGGTTTCACCATGTTAGCCAGGATGGTCTTGATCTCCTGACCTCATGGTCCGCCCACCTCGGCCTCCCAAAGTGCTGGGATTATAGGTGTGAGCCACCACGCCCAGCTGAGAATAAAATTTTTAAGTGGGTATTACAAAATTCAGGTTTTATTATTCAGGGAAGTAGATGGATTGAGACTCAAAACTTTGGGAACTAGTTTCTTTTAACTTTTGAAAACTACAGATTTATTAGGCTAGGCAGCAACTACAATTAGGTATAAATAAACAGAAATCATTTCAAATTCAGGGGTCATTAATGCTGCTACATGCTGACTCTTATTTTCAGTAGTTGCGGGTTAAAAGTAGACATTTCCTGGAACATATATTTAATAGTATTTAAGACTGTTAATACTGTTTAATTATAAAACTTTGGGCCGGGTGTGGTGGCTCACGCCTATAATCCTAGCACTTTGGGAGGCCGAGGCGGGCGGATTGTTTGAGGTCTGGAGTTTGAGACCAGCCTGGGCAATAAGGTGAAACCTTGTCTCTACTAACTATACAAAAATTAGCTGGGCATGGTGGTGCACACTGGTAGTCCCAGCTGCTCGGGAGGCTGAGGTGGAGGATTGCTTGAGCCCAGGAGGTGGAGGTTGCAGTGAGCCGAGATTGCACCACTGAACTCTAGCCTGGGTGACAGAGGGAGACCCTGTCTCAAAAATAATAATAAAAAAACTTTTGCTCTATACTTTGAAATATGACTGCCTTATTTAAACACTTTTGAAAAACAACCACTTAAAAATATAAGGCAAGCGGGCATTTTACAATAGTATAATCAGAATGTCCTTATCACTCAGGTAATTTAAATTTATCATAGGCATGTAATAATAATGCAGATCAAATAACCTTAACAAAAACGGCCAGGCACGGTTGCTCACACCTGTAATCCCAGCATTTCAGGAGGCTGAGGCGGGCAGATCACTTGAGGTCAGGAGTTCGAGACCAGCCTGGCCAAGATGGCGAAACCCCATCTCTATTGAAAATACAAAAATTAGCCAGTTGTGGTGGTGAGTGCCTGTAATCCCAGCTACTTGGGAGGCTGAGGTGGGAGGATCACTTGAACCCAGGAGGCAGAGGTTACAGTGAGCCGAGATCACACCACTGGGCTCCAGCCTGAGTGACAGAGTGAGACTCTATCTCAAAAAACAAAAAACAGAAAACCAACCTTAATGAAAACAGCCAAAACTTCCTGGGTTCCCTCCCCCATTCACTCTTCTGACCTAATTAAAATTGAACGAAATAAACAAAGGAACAAGACCACGATATCATAGTCCCACAATTTTCCATTTCTCCCCAACTTAAAAACAAACAGAAAGGTTTAAGTGTTTAAAATGAAATCTACTTAGTATATGAAAGACAGTTAAAAATATTTAATATCATTTTAGTTTCTCTTATGAAACAATTAAGCTAAAATACTGACTCATTATATTTTTCCTTATCAAAACTCTTGACCATAGTTGACTCCTATTCTTTTGGATGTTATCCTATCCTCAAGCTCATATCAGCTCAGATTGAAATAAAGTATTTACATGGGGATAAGAGTAGACTTCTTAAGACTTTATATTTCAAATAACTATTTTTAAGTAACTTATTAAGAATTTAGGCTGGACGCAGTGGCTCATGCCTGTAATCCCAGCACTTTGGGAGGCCAAGGCGGGCGGATCACCTGGGGTTGGGAGTTCGAGACCAGCCTGACCAACATGGAGAAACCCCATCTCTACTAAAAATACAAAATTAGCCAGGCATGGTGGCACATGCCTGTAATCCCAGCTACTCAGGAGGCTGAGGCAGGAGAACTGCTTGAACTTAGGAGGTGGAGGTTGTGGTGAGCCGAGATCACCCCATTGTACTCCAGCCTGGGCAACAAGAGCGAGATTCCATCTCAAAAAAAACAATTTAAAATATCTAATGTTCACATTTTCAATTCAACAAATCTGTGGGTTAGTTTGCTTTTTGGTTTGTTTGTTGGTTTTAGAGTGGAGGTAGGGACTTAAATCAAAACCCATTATTTCCAGGGTAGATCATATATTATAGTACACAAGTCAGTTTTCAAATTCCAGATTTGCTTTTCGCAGCAATGCCTTCATTTTGTTAACAAAAGTGGCCTCCTATATGTTCCTATCAAGTCCATTTATAACACATTCAACACAGAGGAGTGATAATTTCCCAAAAGTTCAGCTGGGGTAGAGGTCGGGGTGGGGCAGGCATCACATAGAGCTAATAGTAGCACTGTCTCATGGTGTGAGATTGAAGTTTCTCATCTCACTAACACTTTTTGTTCAAGCCACCTCCTCCAATACAGTAGCATTTTATTCATAATTTGGATTTTTTTTTTTTGAGACAGAGTTTCACTCTTCTTGCCCAGGCTGGAGTGCAATGTCACAATCTCGGCTCACTGCAACCTCCGCCTCCTGGATTCAAGCAATTCTCCTGCCTCAGCCTCCCGAGTAGTTGGGATTACAGGCGCCCACCACCACGCCCGGCTAATTTTTGTATTTTTTGGTAGAGACAGGGTTTCACCATGTTGGCCAGGCTGGTCTCGACTCCTGACCTCAGGTGATCCACCCGCCTTGGCCTCCCAAAGTGCTGGGATTACAGGCGTGAGCCACCGTGCCTGGCCTTTTATTTTTTTCTGAGACACAGTCTTGCTTTGTCGCCCAGGCTGGAGTGCAGTGGCACAATCTCGGCTCACTGCAACCTCCACCTCCTAGGTTCAAGCAATTCTCCTGCCTCTTCCTCTCGAGTAGCTGGGACTACAGGTGTGCGCCACCACTCCTGGCTGATTTTGTATTTTCAGTAGGGACAGGGTTTCACCATGTTGGCCAGGCTGGTCTCGAACTCCTGGCCTCAAGTGATCCACCCGCCTCAGCCTCCCAAAGTGCTGGGATTACAGGCGTGAGCAACCGTGCCCAGCCCATAATTTGGATTTTTAAACCAGAAAGTTACTATGGTCAATCCAAAATAACCCAAAGAACTTGCTAAAGTTATATCAATAAGCAGCTTTTTATTGAAGGACTGAAAGAATTAAATAGAAGGCACAGTAGCACTGTAAAGCTTTCTCAGAACATAATAATCTTTTTCTATGTATGTGTGGAACCCAGACTTTCTTTTTTGTTGTTAAAAATGTCTTCTGGACAATCAGAAAATCTTTATTTGTCATCCTTCCCTTTGGTCTTTCTGTAAACCATTTCTCGAAAACTGGCCAGAATCTTGTTCTCTCTCTTTCGTCTCTCTTCTTGGTTAAAGGATGCAAGGGCTCTCTTCTCATCAGCACTGTAGATCTGGTTCTCTTTTCGCAGTCGCACAGCCTCCATTCGGCGATGCCTGGAGAGAATTTTATTTTTGGCTTAATTTCTCAGTAATTATTTTCATAGTACATCATCATTAATCCTTTCTTACCCAGAGTGGTCTATTTAACAGCTGACAAAAATTGAAATGGGTTAAATTTCCAAAAGATCATTTATTAATATTTTAGCTGCCTGACACGTCCTTTTTTTTTGTTTTGTTTTGAGATGGAGTCTTGCTCTGTTGCCTAGGTTGGAATGCAGTGGCACGATCTCGGCTCACTGCAACTTCCACCTCCCTGGCTCAAGCAATTCCCCCATCTCAGCCTCCTGAGTAGCTGAGATAACAGGTCTGGCTAATTTTTGCATTTTTAGTAGAGATGGGGTTTCACCATGTTGGCTAGGCTGATCTCGAACTCCTGACCTCAAGTAATCCGCCTGTCTCAGCCTCCCAAAGTGCTGAGATTACAGGCGTGAGCCACCGTGCCCGGCCCTGATATGTCTTTGATTCATTTCCACTATTCAAATAATGATCTCTGATTTCCTGTCAACATAGTAAATGTTATCCTTTTTTCTTTTTTTTTTTTTTTTAATTTTTTTTTTTTTTTTTTTTGAGACGGAGTCTCGCTCTGTCGCCCAGGCCGGACTGCGGACTGCAGTGGCGCAATCTCGGCTCACTGCAAGCTCCGCTTCCCGGGTTCACGCCATTCTCCTGCCTCAGCCTCCCCAGTAGCTGGGACTACAGGCGCCCGCCACCGCGCCCGGCTAATTTTTTGTATTTTTAGTAGAGACGGGGTTTCACCTTGTTAGCCAGGATGGTCTCGATCTCCTGACCTCATGATCCACCCACCTCGGCCTCCCAAAGTGCTGGGATTACAGGCGTGAGCCACCGCGCCTGGCCTATCCTTTTTTCTTTTCTCCTTTTTGTGAGTCTTAAAGTCTGGCTCTGTCACCAAGGCTGGAGTGCAGTGGCACAATCTTGGCTCACTGCGACCTCTGCCTCCTGGGCTCAAGTGATTCCCCTGCCTCAGCCTCCCGAGTAGCCGGGAGTACAGGTGTGTGCCACCACGCCCGACTAATTTTTGTATTTTTAGTAGAGATGGGGTTTCGCCATGTTGGCCATGCTGGTTTCGAACTCCTGACCTCAGGTGATCCACCTGCCTTGGCCTCCCAAAGTGCTGGGATTACAGGTGTGAGCCACCATGCCTGGCCGCTATCATTAATTTCAAATACTAAGGGTATACGTCTAATTTGTTTCCAGTAAAACAATCAGAAATGGGCAAATTATTAAACTTCCTAGGTGACATATCCATTTGCCTTTGTGGAATTGGAAGTAGGATAGATAAAACATTTAACTAGTCATTAATCAGATGGAACTTCCTTCAAGGTTCTACTTTACCATAAAACCAAAAGAACCAAGTCTAGGCTGGGCATGGTGGCTCACGCCTGTAATCTCAGCACTTTTGGAGGCTGAGGCAGGCAGGTCACCTGAGGTCAGGAGTTTAAGACCAGCCTGGCCAACGTGGTGAAACCTCGTCTCTGCTAAAAATACAAAAATTAGCTGGGTGTGGTGGTGGGCACCCGTAATCCCAGCTACTTGGGAGGCTGAGGCAGGAGAATCATTTGAACCCAGGAGGTGGAGGTTGCAGTGAGCTGAGATTGCGCCACTGTACTCCAGCCTGGGAGACAAGAGTGAAACTAGGTCTCAAAAAAAAAAAAAAAAAAAAAAGAACCAAGTCTAAATCTGTAATTGAACAGCAGTTTTTATCAGTGGATTTAACTTCCAAGTCTCCCTCTGTCACCCAGGCTGGAGTGCAGTGGCATAATCTCGGCTTATTGCAACCTCCGCCTCCCAGGTTCAACCGATTCTCCTGCCTCAGCCTCCTATTTCATGTACTGAATAGTTCTTTCTTTCCCCATTGATCTGACATGCTATCTCTTTCATACACTGAAGTTCCATACGTGTATGGTTATCTTTGGGCTCTGAATTTTATTTTATTTTTTTTTGAGATAGTGTTTTGCTCTTGTTGCCCAGACTAGAGTACAATGGCGAGGTCTCAGCTCACTACAACCTCCACCTCATGGGTTCAAGCGATTCTCCTGCCTCAGCCTCCCAAGTAGCTGGGACTACAGGCACTAGCCACCACGCCCAGCTAATTTTTGTATTTTTGGTAGAGATGGGGTTTCACCATGTTGGCCAGGCTGGTCTTGAACTCCTGACCTCAGGTGATCCACCCGCCTCAGCCTCCCAAAGTGCTGGGATTACAGGCATGAGCCACCACGCCCGGCCTGAATTTTATTCCACTGAACAATTCAGTTGTTCTCCTATGCTTTCTAAAGTGCTGTAAGCTTCATAATAAGTCCTCCTATTTGTAGGGGAAATCTTACCTTCCTGCTCTTCTTTTTCAGGAGTGACTTGGCTATTCTTGTCCTTTTAGTCTAGTATATAAATTTTAGAACTGGCTTATTAAGTTTCATGAAAAACTGTGTTCTGATTTTGATTGGGACTGTATTGAATATAAAGATCAATTTGGGAAGAAATGACAACTTTACAATATTGCCTTCCTATCCGTGAACCTGGTATCTCTCCAGCTATTTAAGTTTTCTTTAATCTTACCTTCTTGCTCTTCTTCTTCAGAAGTGACCTGGCTATTCTTGTCCTTTTAGTGTAATATATAAATTTTAGAACCAGCTTAATAAGTCTCATAAACAACTGTGTTGTGATTTTGATTGGAACTATATTGAAGATATGGACTCTTAATGTCTTACATTTTTCCCCATAGAACCTTGGGCATCTTTTGTTAAGATTTATTCTTAAGTCTCTCATATTCTGACACTGTTATAAACGTTCAAGGTTCTAGGTTTCTGTTGTTAGTAAATAGAAATGCAGTTCATTTTTATTGGAACTGTATTGAATACACAATCTCTTAATAATGTTTTATAGTTTTCCTCACAGAGCCCTGGGCATCTTTTGTTAAGATTTATTCTGAAGTCCTTCATATTCTCTGATACTATTACAAATGTTTTCTTCTTATTTAGTTACATTTTCTAGTTGTCTGTTGCTGGTAAATAGAAATGCAATGGATTTTTGTGTACTAACCTTATATCCAACCAGTTGTTAAACCCTCCTCTCATTTATAATTTATCTGGAGATTCTTTGGGATTTTCTATGTAAACAATCAAATCATTCACCATGTCATTCACAAAAAAATGACATTTTTTTTTTAAGACGGAGTTTCACTCTTGTCACCCAGGCTGGAGTGCAATGGCACGATCTTGGCTCACTGTAACCTCCTCCTGGATTCAGGTGATTCTCCTGCCTCAGCCTCCTGAGGAGCTGGGACTACAGGTGTCCGCCACCATGCCCAGCTAATTTTTGTATTTTTGGTAAAGACAGGGTTTCACCATGTTGGCCAGGCTGGTCTTGAACTCCTGACCTCAGGTGATCCACCCAACTATGCCTCCCAAAGTGCTGGGATTACAGGCGTGAGCCACCACGCCTGGCTAAAAAATGACATTGTTATATCGCCCTTTCCAATCCTTATTATTATTATTACTGTTTTTTCAGGCTGAGTTTTGCTCTCCAGGCTGGCATGCAGTGGTGTGATCTTGGCTCATTGCAACCTCCGCCTCCTGGGTTCATGCGATTCTCCTGCTTCAGCCTCCTGAGTAGCTGGGATTACAGGTGTGTACCACCACGTCTGGCTAATTTTTGTGTTTTTAGTAGAGAAGGGTTTCGCCATGTTGCCCAGGCTAGTCTTGAACTCCTGGACTCAAGTGATCTGCCTGCCTTGGCCTCCCAAAGTGCTGGGATTACAGGCATGAGCCACCGTGCCCAGCCTTCCTTTCCAATCCTTGTGTCTCTAATTTCTTTTTCTTGCCTTACTGTGTGGGTCCTCCAATGCAATGCTTCAAATATTGGTCCTCAGTATTACAAGATTCTGGAGGTGCTTCAGGGTTTCTGCAAATATTTGCCTTCAGTGTCATTTAAAAATAGTTATCTACTTAAAAAAAAAGTTTATCAAGTTTTAAAGAATCCAAAATTCAATTTGATCTAAGTACTGCTGCCCTATTTGCTCATTCTCCTGGTTCTTCCTGGAACTTTTCTCTTTCCTAATTTTATATTCATTTCCCATGCTGAATCCAGTGTCTTTTTAAAATTTATTTATTTATTCATTTATTTATTAGCCAGGATATATTCTCAGCTGACCAATGTCTTTTATCATCTTTTTCTGTTATTCAGTCTCAGAAATCTGGGTCCATAAAAAACTGAAGACAAACTTGTAACCAGGAAACACTGTCTTGTGAAAATATTTTCCTAACTGCCACATTCCTCATGGGGCAGTGATAAATAGCTGAATTTAACTATATCCTCCAGTGGATAAAATATCTGTAAGCAAATACCAACTAGGAAAGGACATTAGGAAGATTGATTCTTTGAAGTCAGAGATATAGCTGAGTTTGAGGCTGAGTTGCATATATACTTGGAATTGCAGAAAACCATGTTATACTAACAACACTAATATCAAACCAATATTTATACTCTACTTTTCATAAGAAACAGTCACTTAATGAAAATCAATTACCAAAATATAATTCTGGTAGTAAAAAAGAAGAAAAAGATCTAATCATGGAAACTGAGCTTAATGCCAACAACATACCTGCTACCACTCATTACATAACCTGAGCATTCAAATGATGCAATTTCTTCACTTGTCAAGCCAATTTCACCTCTTCGTGGGATACGTTTTCCAGCTTTTACATATTCAGCCATAGCTGCACCTTCACCAGGTAACAGAGCATGGCCATAGCTACAAAGTAATTCAGAATTCAGAAAAGGTCCATTAAATCATCTTAATATTAAAAGCTTATAATCTAAAGAGAGCACCAAAAATCCCCACATTTTCTCTCAAACAAGAGTAGGAATAACAGTGCTCAGCAGTAGTGTGCTAGGAAGCTCAATGTGAATTGCTTTATCCTAATTAGTGTATTAAACATTGCATTGCACTATGACCTATACAACTAACCCAGAAATGCAGAAATATTTTGAAAGAAAAGAACTGCTGTGAGTATAGATTCACAGTTTACAATTATGGATTAATTTATCCCTACAGGTATTGTCATTACTGGTTCTGGCTCCAGCTGATTCCCTTTCCCTTTTTCCCTTAAAAAATCCAAAGTATGCCAGGCACAGTGGCTCACGCCTACAATCTGAACACTTTGGGAGGCTGAGGCGGGAGGATCACCTGAGATCAGGAGCTTGAGAGCAGCCTGGCCAACATAGCGAAACCCCGTCTCTACTAAAAATACAAAATTAGCCGGGCATGGTGGTGCATGCTTGTAGTCCCAGCTACTCAGGAGGCTGAGGCAGGAGAATCACTTGAACCTGGGAGGCAGAGGTTGCAGTGAGCCGAGATCGTGTCACTGCACTCCAGCCTGGGCGACAGAGTAAGGCTTTGTCTCAAAAAACAAAACAAAACAAAACAAAAAAAAAAAACAAAGTAGGCTGGGTGCAGTGGCTGACGCCTGTAATCTCAGCATTTTTGGAGGTTGAGGCGGGCAGATCACTTGAGATCAGGAGTTCGAGACCATACTGGCCAACATGGCGAAACCCCAGCTCTACTAAAAATACAAAAATTAGTCCGGGCGTGGCGGCAGGCGCCTGTAATCCTGGCTACTTGGGAGGCTGAGGCAGGAGAATCACTTGAATCTGGGAGGTGGAGGTTGCAGTGAGCCAAGATCATGCCACTGCACTCCAGCCTGGGCAACAGAGTGAAACTCAATCACACCACTGTGCTTCAGCCTGGGAGACAGAGTGAGACTCCATCTCAAAAAAACAAAACAAAACAAACAAAAAAAAAATTCTAGACCAGGTGCGGTGGCTCACGCCTGTAATCCCAGCACTTTGGGAGGCTGAGGCAGGTGGATCATGAGGTCAGGAATTTGAGACCAGCCTGACCAACATGGTAAAACCGTATCTCTACTGAAAATACAAAAAAAAATTAGCTGAGTGTGGTGGCGCGTGCCTGTAATCCCAGTTACTCAGGAGGCTGAGGCAGGAGAATCGCTTGAACCTGGGAGGCAGAGGTTGCAGTGAGCCAAGATCACGCCACTAAACTCCAGCCTGGGCAACAGAGCGAGACTCCGTCTCACAAAAAGAAAAAAAAATTCTGCTGGTAAAAAAAGAAAAAAGAGAAAAAAAGGAATAAAAAATTCTGTGAGGATCAAAGAGAAACAGAAATCACACCTACTTGTGGAGGGGAAGTATTGGGAATCAGCATATGCATCTCCTTTTGAAAAGGGCTTCGAAGGATAGTAAGGATTTTAACAGGAAGAAACTGGCGATAGGGAAGAAAACAGAGGGCAGGGAAAAGAAGGGAAGGCATACTGGATGAAGAAATAAGCTGAACATGGCATAAAAGTTGCAAAGTGCACATTAAGCCCAGGGAATATTTAGTAGTCCAGCTCAGCTGGAACCTGGAGTAGAAATAAGGGAATAGAGTCAGATAAGCTTGGCAAGGTAAGTTAGAACCAGACTTTTTGGTAGGTACTTTAGATATTATAAACACACTGCTGCTTACTTCAAAGGTTTATCATCTTGAGAGGTAAGTGTTTTTGGAGCCTCTGGGCCAATTAAATCTGATGGTTCTTCAGCCTCTGCATGAAAGATATTAAGAAACACATTCACATTCTGACTAATTGGTTACTTTAATGTTTCATCTGTTCTGAGTTAGTCTATCAGAAGAACCTACTTGTTCGATCCTTCCAGGGATTTTCCAGAAACTCTTCTTGGGATTCTTTAGAGCTTGAATCACTGGACTCTTTTCTGCTCTTCTTAGACCTCTTTTTCTTATATTTCTTCCTATAGGGATTTTAATTTGATACAAATTCACTTAATCTTCCTATGTTAGAGGGCATCTTAATTTTTCTTTTCTTTTTAAATTTTGAACTGGTGACTATACATCTTAATTTTTCAAGGCAAAGAAAGGTGACAATAAAATGATCTGAATTCCCAGCTTATTCAAACTTACAAGATAATTTTACTTAAAAAAATCTGCTTCTAACTGAACCTGGGAAACAGAGCAAGACCCCGTCTCTATTAAAAAAAAAAAAAAGTAGCTGGGTGTGATGGCACACATCTGTAGTCTAAGCTATTCAGGAGGCTGAGGCGGGAGGATCACTTGAGCCCAGGAGTTCGAGGCTGCAATGAGCTATGATTAGCCCACTGCACTCCAGTCTGGGCAACAGAGCGAGACACTGCCTCTTAAGAATTTTTTTAAAAAGTATTCTAACTTATTTAACCAAATCATCTTTTGCTATAAAAATTATCACTAAAGGAGGCTGGGTGTAGTGTTTCACCCCTGTAATCCCAGCACATTGGAAGACTGAGGCGGGTGGGTCACTTGAGCCCAGGGGTTAGAAACTAGCCCTGGGCAACATGACGAAACCGTGTCTCTACAAAAAATACAAAAATTAGCCAGGTGTGGTGGCACACGCCTGTAGTCCCAGGTATGGGGAAAGTGGGGGCAGAGGTGGGAGGATGGCTTGATCCTGGAAGGTTGAGGTTGTAGTGAGCTGTGATCGTGCCACTGCATTCCAGCCTGGGTGACAGGGTGAGACACGGTCTCAAAAAAAAAAAAATTCACTAAAGGGAACAATGAAATACAGTTCTGATGTTGTAGAAAGACAACAGAAATAAAACAGCCTAAAAAGTCCCAACAATTTGAACATTATGAATAATTTTATGTGTAATGGATTAAAATATGTCAAATATGTTTAAATCCTTGGGTTAATAATACTTTTTAAAAATCCAATTCATTATTTGAAAAGTCATTAAAACAAAAAAAATCAAGCAATTATCCTGCTCTTACAATATAAACTATATTTCAGGGTATCTAAATAGTTGATGAGGGTAAGTTTCTCTTATAGAATCATTCTGCCTAATAAATGAAGGATAAAGCCAGGATTAGACTATCACCATTTTACAACCCCTAATGAAATAATGGATCGAGATAATGACCATCAATGGCTGTTAATATGACAAAAAGTGACAACCAGACATTATTTGCCTCCTGACAGTAAACAGCACCACTTATGAAGTATTCTTGCCCCAACTCAAATCTGAGCCTTCTCAGGCCTCTAGACCTATTAATCTATTGGAAATACAGAGGACAGAACATGCCAAAGAATACCATAAGAATACGGTCACTGCAATTTAGGGACATTATTTGGATCCTGATTGGAATAAACTACAGAAAAAACTGCTGAGAATAGAGGAATTATTATTAAATGTTTTAGGCACAATAATAGCATTCTGGTTATGGGTTTTTGTTTTTTTTTTAAATATAGAGACAGGATCTCGCTATGTTGCCCAGGCTGGTATTGAACTCCTGGGCTCAAGCGATCCTCCTGCCTGGCCTCCCAAAGTGCTGAGATTACAGATATGTGCCACTGTGCCTGGCCAGTTTTTTGTTTTGTTTTGTTTTAAAGAATGCCTATCTTTGTGAACCCGGGAGGCGGAGCTTGCAGTGAGCCGAGATCGCGCCACTGCACTCCAGCCTGGGCGACAGAGCGAGACTTCATCTCAAAAAAAACAAAACAAAACAAAAAGAATGCCTATCTTTTAGAGAAAGGTACTGAATTGCTTATGGATGGAATGATATCTGAGATTGGGTCCAAAATAAATGATGGATGGCAGATACTGCCCATGAGTTGATAATTATTTAGACTGCATGACAGGTGCAGGAAGGATCATTATACTATTTTATGTAATTTTATATGCATTTGAAATTTTCTGGCCGGGTGCAGTGGCTCACTCCTGTAATCCCAGCACTTTGGGAGGCCAAGGTGGGAGGATCACTTGAGGTCAGGAGTTCGAAACCAGCCTGGCCAACATGGTGAAGCCCCATCTCTACTAAAAACACAAAAATTAGCCAGGCATGGTGGTGGGTGCCTATAATCCCAGCTACTCGGGAGGTTGGGACATGAGAATCGCTTGAACCTGGGAGGCGGAGGTTGTAGTTAGCTGACATCGAACCACTGCACTCTGTTGCCTGACAGAGTGAGACTCTGTCTCAAAAAAAAAAAAAAAAAAAAAAAAAGAAAAGAAATTTTCCATAATAAAACTTAAAAAACTGACGATCTGTGTTTCTTCTTCTTTTCCTTTTTCTTGGCTTTCTTTGCTCTCCTTTTGTTATCTTCATCTGCAAATTAAAGCACATTACAATTAAGAAAAAAATTTTTTAACTCTAAAACCGTAGTACTTTTGAGTAGGTAACTATCCTATTGCTGTCCCATTTATTGTTACAAAGAAATTACCTCATTGAAACATTTATTGCTATTTGTCACGAACTGTAGGGAGGTACTATGAACATAGAAATTAAAGTCACTAGGTTTTGATGATATAGGGTATTATTATTAATTTTATTGTGTGAGATAGTGTGGTGGCTAATTAGGAAAATGCCTCTTTTTACGGGATGCATACAGAAATATTTAGGGTGGAAGTGTGATGATATTTGTAATTAACTTTGACTATCTCAGTGAAAAACCCATATTTGAAGCAAATATGTAAAAATACCAACAACTGCCAAATCTAGGTGATTAAGTATATGGTATTAATTATACTATTCTCTTCGCTTTTCTGAATATTTAAATATTTTTGTGATAAAAAGGGAAAGAAAACTATGTGTGTGTTGGAGAGGGGAGAGAGAATCCTTTCCTGGAGCTCAGTCTAATGGAGGAGACAGATAGGTAAAGAGATCAATACAATCTGGAATGATAGAGGGAAGCTTGGGGAACCTGGACACACAGAGGAGTCTCAAAATCAGACTGATTTGAGGAGGGTGGCTGAGGAATGGTTGATCAGGAAAGGTGACTCTTAAAGTAGTTCTTTGATTACAAAAGTAATGCATGCCCATTGGTGCAATGAGTAAACCAAGCTGGATGGAGGGAGAGACTGGCATTGTAGGCAGAGGGCCTCTCTACCAAGTAACAAGAGAAAGAACATGGAATACTGAGGAGACAGAAAGTAGTTTTCAGATTACAGAGGATGTTGCAAGAGAGTGTAACAGGGTATATGTGATTAGAGAGAAATGAGTCAGGGTCTGAACTTTACCCTGAAGGCTATGGAGTGCTATTGAAGGATTTTAAGTAGGTATTTGGTGTATAGGGTATTATTACTAATTTTATTGTATGAGATAGTGTTGTAGTTAAGTATAAAAATGCCTCTTTTTAAGTGTTGCATACAGAAATATTTGAAAGTTCTGTCTTCGAGCACTGAGGAAGAGAAGTGACAGGGAGGGCCAGGAAACTTCGGCGATATCAGAGGAAGGTGAATCTTTGTGTAATGTGTTAACCTCAGAGGAGGCACCTTCTGGTCAATCATCAGCCAGGAGAGAGTACAAAAAGGAGACTCTTTGTGATGCACTACCCCAGATAGGGTGCCTTCCACAAATAGGCAGCCAGCATGAAGTAGGCACTTTATGGCATACCTTTTTGAAAACTGTAGAGGTGCTCATTGGGCATGAGAATTAAACAAAAGAGCCCTTCCACTGGGCCGATGCAGCCCTGTAAGGCTTACTTTGGTACAGCCCAACCCCCTGACTTGGTCTGGTGCCATGTGCCTTGTACACTTTGCACAACCAATCCCAATCCGGAGTCAGATTGCTTAGGTTTGAATCCAAACTGTGTGACCTTAGGGATAGTACTTATAACCTGCTCTGTCTCCATTTCCTCATCTATAAGATGTACCCTACAGTTATTGTATGGATTAAATGGCAATAATAAATATAAAGCACTTATTGGGGTACCTGGCACAAGGTTAGCAAGTGTTCAAAAACTCTTCAGTATTATTATTGTTTTCAGGAACCTTCTTCTAAAATAAGTTTTAAGAAGTAAAACTAGTTTTGAAGCAAGGCTTGCAGAATGCTGTTGGCGTTCTTACCACTGGAGTCTGTTTCAGAATCAGAGTCACTGTCGCTATCTTCAGAATACTTCTTATGTTTTCTTTTCGATGATTTTTTCTTTCTCCTTTTCTTGGACCTTTCTTTTGAACGGCTAGACTTCTTCTTTTTTTCTTCTAAGAAAGTACAAATTAAAAAATTATATTCTAAAAAACTATTTCTGAACATCAAAAGAAACAGACGATGGGCAATTTGAGTAAAAGCAAAGTCTAATGTTCAACTATTTACAAACTGATTTTTTTAAATCTCTCAATAAAATAGCTTGTATTTTAAAAATACCCTTTTTTTAAAAATACCTTCTGAAGTAGAAGCTGAAGTAGTGCTTTTCTTTGGCTCTTCATCCTCCACTGGTGTATGTTCATCAGAACTGAATTTAAATAAAATGGTTATAAGAATTAGGAAAGTGATGAGATATGGACCATGGAGTGTAAAGATATGAACTCCAAATTTTTCAGTAACAGCATCGATTGTCCAAGAACCATTAAAAGCAAGCATTGGAGATCCTAAGGCAGAACTTGGGAATCAAAAAAACCAAAACAACAACAAAGCAAGCACTGAACTACTTTCATAAACGTGCAGTTCAAGGGTCTACCATCTTTGTAATAATAAAATAACTTATCATTTGCATAACACTTTAGAGTTTACATAGTACTATTTAAACAAAGCAGCATGGAGGATTTATATTTTCACAAGAAACCACAGGGAAAAAGTAGAGAAACAGGAACCATAGGAAAGATTAAAGAAACTGGGTATAAGAAGGCTGAAGAAAGACTTTATAATTTTATTTTAAGCACGTAAAAGACAAATGGTAAAGCAGCAACTGTTCTGTCTCCTCAGAGCAAAAACCTAACAAACTACAGTCTAAAGAGATGTTGTTCTGTTGCAGAGAATTCTGAAAATGAGTATTATTCAAATTCTACAATAGTTTAGAAAAGGAGTTTCCACATCATATAATCTTTTCCTCTGAAGATCATACTTGGAGTAATTTAAATATTATCTAGAAAATTATTTTGGCTGGGTGCAGTGGCTCACGCCTGTAATCCCAGCACTTTGGGAGGCCGAGGTGGGCGGATCATGAGGTCAGGAGTTCAAGACCAGCCTGACCAACATGGTGAAACCCCATCTCTACTAAAAATACAAAAATTAGCCAGGCATGGTGGCATGCACCTGTAATCCCAGCTACTCGGGAGGCTGAGGCAGGAGAATCACTTGAACCTGGGAGGCGGAGGTTATGGTGAGCCAAGATCGCACCACTGCACTCCAGCTTGAGTGACAGAGTAAGACTCTGTCTCAAAAAAAAAAAAAAAAAAAAGAAGAAAGAAAACTATTTTTAGGGTTCCTTCCAACTCTAATTCAATACATTCAGGTTCTTCAAGTGTTTTCTTTTTTTTTTCTTTTAAATAGTCTTGTTATTTGCCCAGGCTGGTCTTGAACTCCCGGGCTCAAGGAATCCACCTGCCTTGGCCTCCCAAAGTGCTGTGATTACAGGCGTGAGCCACCGCACCTGGCCTCTTCAAGCATTTTCTAAAGGTATCTGTAAGAACAAGTTTCAGATAATAATGCTTTATTATCCAATCACAAATTACAGGTTTACCTGTCAAGCACATTGTCTCAACTCAACCTAAAGTTGGCACAGAAACAGAGAGGGAAGAAGAAACTTATGAGTAGCATCAAAGAGAAAAGAAATAAGCAAAAAGAAAAAGCATTAAGTCTGCAGATAGTATTGGATATAGGAATATTAACAAAACCATACTGGTATATTCGTTTTAAAAAATCTCTTTGTAGGCTGGGCGCAGTGGCTCACGCCTGTAATCCCAGCACTTTGGGAGGCTGAGGCAAGCGGATCACGAGGTCAGGAGCTCGAGACCAGCCTGGCCAACATGGTGAAACCGCCGTCTCTACTAAAAATACAAAAATTAGCCGGGCATGGTGGCAGGCACCTGTAATCCCAGCTACTCGGGAGGCTGAGGCAGGAGAATCGCTTGAACCCAGGAGGCGGAGGTTGCAGTGAGCTGAGACCGCACCATTGCACTCCAGCCTGGGCGACAGAGCAAGACTCCATCTCAAAAAAAAAAATCTCTTTGTAATGTTAATATCTGGCATGCAATCTGCCACTGAGTTTAGTTGAGAAAAAATAATTCAAAATAATGTGTATTATTTAACAATGAACCCTTCTATTAATAGGAAAATTATATTCCAGGAATTATTTTAGATTATGCTAAAACCTACTAGCAACATGTTTTAATCTTTAGATATGTTCTATGTTTTTAAAACTTAAGGGGTAGAAGAACATAAATCACAAGAAAGAAAAATGTGAGATATATTTAAAGTTCTTCACTTAAACATTTTCACAATAGATTCAGGATTTAAACACATATTATAACATTTTAAAAATATATTTTTTAACCACTTACTCTGGTTCAGGATTCTTTGGAGAAAGTCCCCATACTTCAGGAGCTCCCAATTCTCCAATTCTCTCTCTCTCACTTAATCTCCTAGCAGATAAAGACATGTAAATTATAACTCAATGGCTGAGTTGTTTCCTAAATATATAATCAAATTCAATAGGAGTCTAGTTAAGCCTTTTTTCCCTTTATATTTTAAACATGGATAAAAACTTGGTTTAAATGTAAACTCATCACTTAAGGTCTGATGTTCTGATGATACTATCAAATGGTACAGACTATAGAAATGATGGCCTGGGAGACTGTCAAGTGCATCCATTCTGCTGAATGCATGACACAGCTCTTAACTGCTCATTTCATCATCTGTAATATGTGACAGAAACAGCTTCACATTTGTAAGTAACTTCATTTGTTTACAGATTTATGAAAGGTGAAGAGAAGTCTCTTTTGATATGGTCAAACCTTCAGTTTTCAGAAATCGAGGAATTAATGAAGAAAATAAAAATGATGCATTAGACGTAGAAAACAACTGAAGTTCTGAAAATGAAAGAAAAGTTTTTATTTTATTTTATTATTTATTTTTTTAGATGGAGTCTCGCTCTGTCGCCCAGGCTGGAGTGCAGTAGCACGATCTTGGCTCACTGCAACCTCCGCCTCCTGGGTTCAAGTAATTCTCCTGCCTCAGCCTCCTTAGTAGCCGGGATTACAGGCATGCGCCATCACGCCTGGCTAATTTTTGTATTCTTAGTAGAGATGGGGTTTCATCGTGTTGGCCAGGCTGGTCTCAAACTCCTGACCTCAGGAGATCCACCTCAGTTGCTGGGATTACAGGCGTGAGCCACTGCACCGGGCCCGAAATAAAAGTTTTTTATTTTTTTGTAGAGATGAGGTCTTGCCGCCAGGTGCGGTGGCACATGCCTGTAATCCCAGCACTTTGGGAGGCTGAGGCGGGCGGATTGCTTGAGATCAGGAGGTCAAGACCAGCCTGGCCAACATGGTGAAACCCCGTCTCTAGTAAAAATACAAAAATTAGCCAGGCGTGGTGGCGCATGCCTGTAATCCTGGCTACTAGGGAGGCTGAGGCAGGAGAATCGCTTAAACCCAGGAGGTGGAAGTTTCAGTGAGCCAAGATCGCACCACTGCACTCTAACCTGGGAGACAGAGCGAGACTCCGTCTCAAAAAAAAAAAAGAGGTCTTGCTTTGTTGTCCAGGCTGATCTTGAACTCCTGGCCTCGAGCAATCCTCTTGCCTCAGCCTCCCAAAGCGTTGGGATCACAGGCATGAGCCACTGCACCTAGTCAAAAAGTTTCATTTAACAAAAAATATACTTGGGGCTGGGCGTGGTGGCTCACGCCTGTAATCCCAACACTTTGGGAGGCCGAGGCAGGTGGATCACCTGAGGTCAGGAGTTCAAGATCAGCCTGGCCAACATGGTAAAACCCTGTCTCTACTAAAAAAAATACAAAAATTAGCTGGACACGGTGGCATGTGCCTGTAGTCCCAGCTATTCAGAAGGCTGAGGCTGGAGAATCTCTTGAACCCTGGAGGTGGAGGTTGCAGTGAGCCAAGGTCACGCCACTGCACATGACAGCCTGGGTGATAGAGTGAGACTCTTATCTCAAAATAAAAAACCAAAAAAAAAAAAAAAAAAACTATACTCAATGAGATACAAGGTTTGTTCCCTCTCTGTTTTCCTTTTAGTTCCTTTTTGGAAAAGGAGTGCATTTTGTATCTATTCTTTGAAGGACACTAAAATTTGTTTCTTCTTTTGTTTTATGCCTATGGTTTCTTCTGTTTTAATTTTTGTTATTCCTCATAAACTAAAAAACAAAACAAAACAAAGACTAAGGCTCATTCTCTCAAATTTTAGCTGCTTGTGACTCCATTTGTTTTTAAAAATCCTTCCAAAATAAATATAATTGCAATGAGTTTTTGTATAAATCGTTTTTGCCTCCTTAATCAGGGGAAAAGGTATTATAACTATGCAGAGTCAGACTGAGAGGGTTTCCCACCTGAAGTAACAGACAATTTAAAAGGTAACATATTTATAGCTGTACTTGGAATGTATGGATATCGGGGGAAGAACGCCTACCAGGCTGTAAATAGCAGGAAGTCCTGTTGTCACCTGGTTTCATCTGTAATGTTAAGATAAATTATTGGCCGGGCCCAGCACTTTGGGAGGCTGAGGCTGGTGGATCACCTGAGGTCAGGAGTTCGAGACCAGCCTGGCCAACATGGCGAAACCCCGTCTCTACTAAAAACACAAAAATTAGCTGGGTGTGGTGGTGCATACCTGTAATCCCAGCTATTCAGGAGATTGAGGCAGAAGAACCACTTGAACCCAGGAGGTGGAGGCTGCAGTGAGCCGAGACTGCACCACTGCATTCCAGCCTGGGAGACAGAGTGAGACTCCATCTCAAAAAAAAAAAAAAAGATAAATTATTTATTTTCTAAATGTACATATGCAAGTTTCATCCAAGCACTTCTGACATCTTTTGGTGAGGATTCTCCAAGAAGAAACTATTTACTTTTTGACTGACATAGCCTGTGGGTATGTTTCTGAAAAATGTAACTTGGAGAGATGGGTCTCCAACCTAACTCAGGACTGTTTTTACTGTTTTTGCTCCCATGCATGAAACATTAATAGCTAACACTTATGGAATAGTTATGTTCCAGCCACTTAATTATTACAATCCCCAAATCCCTAGTACTTATTTTATCCCCTTTTTAATCCATAGTACTTATTTTATCCCCCTTTTAATGATGAAGAAATGGAGCCCAGAGAGGTTAAGTAACTTGACCAAGGTCACACAGCTATTAAGTGGCAAATAAAGGCTTCATACTCAGTCTGATTCTGGAGTTTGTCCTTTTCCTTTCTTTCTTCCTGTTCTTCTCTTTGTTTTTTTTTGTTTGTTTGTTTTTGAGACAGCATCTCCCTCTGTCACCCAAGCTGGAGTGCAGTGGTGAGATCATGGCTCATGGCAGCCTTGACCTCTCCAGCTCAAGTGATCCTCCCACTTCAGCATCCCCAGTACCTGAAATTACAAGCACATGCCACCACGCCCAGCTGATTTTTAAAACACTTTTTGTAGAGACAGGGTATCCCTATATTGCCTAGGCTGGTCTTGAACTCCTGGATTCAAGTGATCCTCCTGCCTTGGCCTCCTAAAGTGTTGGGATTACAGGCATGAGCCTCTGTGCCCAGCCAAAAAATGCATAGTTTTAAGGAGAAAGGAAAAGGCTCATAATTATTGCTGTGTAAGTCTTAATATCTTGTTTATTGTTAAATTATGTGTCAGGCACTGTACTAAGTTATTTACGTGCACTTATATGTTTAAAAAAATGAGAAACTTAGAAATATTACAGGCATTGAGAGGTAGGTTAAAGTTCCAACAGTTGGGAGATGTCTTGAGTCTTTTTCTTCCGGCAGTGGGAGGTAATAAAGTATAGTGATGAAAAGGACAGGCTCGGCAGGGCATGTGGGGTCATACCTGTAATCTCAGCACTTCCGGAGGCCAACGTGGGAGGATCACTTGAGCCCAGAAATTCGATACCAGCCTGGGCAACATGGTGAAACCCTGTCTCTACCAAAAAATACGAAAATAAGCCGGGTGTGGTGGTGCGCACCTATAGTCCCAGCTATGAGGGAGGCTGAGGTGGGAGGATCACTTGAGCCCAAGAAGGTGGAGGCTGCAGTGAGCCAAGATTGCACCACTGCACTCCAACCTGGGCGACAGAGCTAGACCCTGTCTCAAAAACAAAACAAAACAATCCCCAAGCTATGCATTTTTCCACTCCAATACTCACTTTGATTAGAGATCTAGTCTCATCCTGGCGTCATTTTTCGAGGTCAAGACTGAGACCACTTAACAAGACCTTCCTCAAAGTGGGGTCATCTATAGCTTATCAGATCACTTTTCCTACATGCATCTAATCGTCTTGTCTGAGGGGAAGGTTTATTTCCTCTCCAACTTAAACCCTTGATTTCATTCCTTCCTAATTCCCCACAAAACGTTTCTACATAAATATCCTGTTATCTCAGACCTGTAAGTTCCTTCATTCAACAAGCAATGGTTGAGCGCCTATAAAGTACCAGGCACTTAGAATTCTGTGATCAGAATTCTCCTCCGTTCACTGGCTCCTCCTTTCCATGAGCTCAGTCTAGTGGGGAATACAAATATATTCACGAATGATAATGACACAACCAGGTAAATGCTACAGTTCTGGTAGGTCTGAACTCTCGGCAATATTCGCTAACAAGACAGGAGGCGGAAGGGGGTAGCGGGAGACCAGGGCACTATATGAAGGGGCCTGAGGGTAAGGGAAAATGAAAAGGACGAATAAAGGGTTGTCGTGGGTGGATTAAAGAAAGGGATGAAAATGGGCGCAAGGCAAGCAGAGTGAGCGAAATGCGAATAGTCAGAAGCGGAATGAATGATAGATCGGACTCCAAAGGCACGTAGGCTCGTACAAGAGAAAGTGCGGCCGTCTCACTCACTTCTGCCGCAGGCTCTCCTCCCTCTCCTTGTCGAGGAGGCTAGGCCAAGGCTTGTCGCTCCCGTAGGGGCGCGAGTAGCTGCCGTAATAGACTGACGAGGAGGCAGAAGCGAAGGGGATGCCCCGGGGCGCAGAGGGCCGCTCTCTAGAACGCGACCGCGAGCGTGAGCGGTAGGACTGGTTTCGGGAGCCTTGGCTGAGGCCACCCAGCTGATGGGTGAGTCCATTCCGGTCCCCGGACCGAGAGCAAGAGTGCGAGCGAGAGCGGCGGCCCCGCGGGGAGCGGGCAGATTTGCTGGGCTTCGGACTCTTCGACGAACTGCGACGTCTTCCCCCCGAGCCCGAGGCCTCCCTATCCGGGCTGCGTGAGCCGGACACCGGAGCCATGGCTACTGGGGGGCCCCAGCAGCCGTGGGACAAGGGGGCGCTCTCGCGAGCCTAGGAAGATGTCTGTTGCCTTGGTTCCCGGGACCTGCCGCTGCGGAACAGCCCAAATCTGAGGAAACCTTGGACACAGTTCTGGGTACTTCTGCAAAACCCTTCCCCGGATCTAGGCGGTCGTCACCGACAGGAAGCGATGTGTGCATCAATATAAATAAGCCGGTGGGGCAACTAGATTGCGTGCATCCTTCCAGTTCCGAGTGAGGCTCCTCAAGTCTAAGCAAGAGACCAAGTTCTTTCTCAGCCTTGAACTTGAAACACTTGAAGGGAAGTATATATTTCAAACACAATATACAGTATACATTTCACTGAGTGGCCGTATGAACAAGACAGTTAATTCTGCTTGTGTTTCCTGTGCTTTCTGTGTGTATTTATATATAAATGTGTGTGTGTGTGTGTATGTCATGTATGAAAGTATGAATGTGTATTTTCTTTTTCTTTCCAATCCCAAGCAAATCGGGAGGGTTTTTCGCGACTGGGGATTAGCTATGGTGTCTAAGCCCCATATTGCCGTGTTAGCTTAGAGGGCGCAAATTTTGTTAATGACTCGCGCCTGATAAACTTCAATTAAGTTTCCCGCCTAGAGAAAAACTGCATACTTATCCCCTAGCCACCGTCTCCACCAATATGCCCCAGCAAAAGGAGGTTTTTTTTTTTTGAGACTGGAACTCACTCTGCTCACTCTGTCGCCCAGGATGGAGTACAGTGGCAAGATCTCAGCTCCCTGCAAACCTCCGCCTCCCCGGGCTCAAGCTATCCTCCCACCTCAGCCTCCTGAATAGCTGGGATTACAGGCGCATGCGACACCAAGCCTGGGTAGTTTTTTTTTTGAGGGGGGTCGGGGGAAACAGGGTTTCACCTTGTTGCCCAGGTGGTCTTGAACTCCTGGGCTCAAGCGATCCGCCAGCCTCGGCCTCCCAAAGTGCTAGGATTATAGGTGTGAGCCACTGCGTCTGGCTTGTATTTTTTTCCCCAAAAAGTGTCATTTTATTTTTTATTTTTTTATTTTTGAGACAAGGGCTCCCTCTGTCATCCAGGCTGGAGTGCAGTGGCTATCCTGGCTCACTGCAACCTCCGCCTCCCAGGTTCAAGTGATTCTCCTGCCTCAGCCTCCTGAGTAGCTGGGATTACAGACATGTGCCATCATGCACAGCTAATTTTTTATTATTTTTTAAATTTGTACAAATCTATGGGATACATGTGAAATTTTGTTACATGTATATAATGTGTAGTGATGACGTCAGGGTATTTAAGGTGTCCATTATCTGAGCACAATACATTTTTGTTAAGTGTACTCTCGGCCTGGTATGGTGGCTCACGTCTGTAATCCCAGCACTTTGGGAGGCAGAGGCGGGTGGATCACTTGAGGTCAGGAGTTTGAGACCAGCCTGGCCAACATGGCGAAACCCTGTCTCCACTAAAAATACAAAAATTAGCTGGGCCTGGTGGCACGTGCCTGTAATCTCAGCTACTAGGGTGGCTGAGGCACGAGAATCGCTTGAACCCGGGAGGCTGAGGTTGCAGTGAGCCGAGAGTGAGATTGCACCACTGCACTCCAGCCTGGGCAACAGAGTGAGACTGTGTTTCCAAAAAAAAATAGTGTACTCTCACTCTACCATGCTGTCAATATCAAACATTGAATTTGGGGCTGGGCATGGTGACTTACACCTGTAACTCCAGAAATTTGGGAGGCCGAGGCGGGCCAATCACTTGAGCCCAGGAGTTGGAGACCAGCCTGGGAAACATAGGGAGACCCTGTCTCTACAAAAAATTTAAAAATTTGGCGAGTGTGGTGGTGCATGCCAGCTACTCAGGAGACTGAGGTGGGAGGAACACTTACTTGAGCCCGGAAATCGAAGTTGCAGTGAGCCGTGATTGATCCACTGCACTCCATGGGCGACAGAGTGAGACACTGTCTTAAAACAACAACAAAAACCATTGAATTTATTTCTTCTATCTTACTGTATGTTTGTACCCTTTAACCTATTTCTCTTCATCCTTCTGCTTCCTCCCACATACCCTACCCAGCCTCTATTATCTATCCAGCAAAAGGAATTTGTAATCCCCTCTTTGTCCAGCTCCTTAAACTAGTCTCATTGTATGCCAGCCCAGCAATATAGAGTTAAGGATCAGTATTCCTATTCTTTTTTTTTTTTTTTTTTTTTTTTTACATGGAGTCTCGCTCTGTAAGCAGGCTGGAGTGCAGTGGCGTGATCTTGGCTCACTGCAATCTCTGCCTCTAGGGTTCAAGCTATTTTCCTGCCTCAGCCTCCTGAGTAGCTGGGATTACAGGGGCGTGCCACCATGCCCAGCTAATTTTTGTAGTTTTAGTAGAGACAGAGTTTCACCATGTTGGCCAGGATGGTCTTGATCTCTTGACCTTGTGATCCGCCCGCCTCAGCCTCTCAAAGTGCTGGGATTACAGGCGTGAGCCACCACGCCCAGCATTTCTATTCATTTTATACTGTTTTTCTTTTCTTTTTTCTTTTGTGAAACAGTGTCTGGCTCCCTCACCCAGACTGGAGTGCAGTGGTGTGATCTTGGCTCACTGCAACCTCCACCTCCTGAGTTCAAGGGATCCTCCCACCTCAGCCTCCTGAGTAGCTGGCATGTGCCATGGTTCGCTAATTTTTAAATTTTTTGTAGACATGGGGTTTTGCCATGTTGCCCAAGCTGGTCTTGAACTCATGGACTCAAGTGATCCTCACACCTCGGCATCTCAATGTGCTGTCATTACAGGCTTGAACCACTGCACCTAGGCCTCTACTGTTTTTAAATCAAAGGGCATTCCAACATTAATTCTACTGATTTCGACTTTTTTTTTTGAGACAGAGTCTTGCTCTGTTGCCCAGGCTGGAGTGCAGTGGCAGGATCTTGGCTCACTGCAACCTCTGCCTCCTGGGTTCAAGCAGTCCTCATGCCTCAGCCTCCCAAGTAGCTGGGATTACAGGTGCCCACCACCATGCCCAGGTAATTTTTGTATTTTTGGTAGAGACTGGGTTTTACCCTGTAAGCCAGGCTGGTCTCAAACTCCTGACCTCCAATGATCTGCCGGCCTCCGCTTCCTAAAGTACTGGGATCACAGGCGTGAGCCTCCATGCACAGCCCTCAATTTGGATTTTTGAAGGTACATAGGTTTGCTGAAGAAATTCCAAGTCCAGCCTGCCAGTAGCATGATGGCCTCTGGGATTTTCCTAAGAAGTAATTTATCAGATCATGAAAATTAATGCCAATTGATTATCAGAAATCTCCTTTTTTTGGAATTTAAGGGAAAGACGTATGAAATAATGTTAAATGGAAAGAGTGGACCACACTATTGGATATCTTCTATGTATAACTAATTTGTCATGGGGCCAGGTCCAAAAACTTAATCGAGTAAGAGAAATTCTGTGATTTGGGATGGAGATTGGGGAGAATTTCTAATAAGAAAGTTTTCAATGGAAAACCTACTGCCTAACTTTTGCGACAACAGGCAGTACACCTTCACATCAGTTGCCTATAAAACCAACTCTGCAACAGTGATTGGTCTACCTGCCCCATGGCTGGTGGACATGTACTTTAGTTGGAAAGAGAAAACCCCTACTCCTGCACATCTGAATGGCATGGTGCTCTTCTTGCCAGGTATCCTGGGAGCAGCCTGTGTTTCATGAGTTGGCAGTGAGGGGGAGCTAGAGCACACAGGGAGGTGCAGACAGCCAGTGGGATCAGGCTTGCAGAGTTTGGGTCCTGCCACTGCACTCCAGCCTGGGCAACCTCTGCCTCCCAGGTTCAAGTGATTCTCCTGCCTCAGCCTCCCAAGTAGCTGGGACTTCAGGCATGCGCCACCATGCCCAGCTAATTTTTGTATTTTTAGTAGAGACAGGATTTCACTGTGTTGGCCAGGCTGGTCTTGAACTCCTGACCTCATGATCCGCCTGCCTCACCCTCCCAAAGTGCTGGGATTACAGGCATGAGCCACCGCGCCTGGCCTATTCTTCTTTAAATTTTTTTTTTTTGAGATGGGGGTCTCACTCTGTCACCCAGGCTAAAGTGCAGTGGCACTATCTTGGCTCACTGCAACCTCCGCCTCCTGGGTTCAAGCGATCTTCCCACCTCAGCCTCCCGAGTAGCGGGGACAACAGGCGCATACCACCATGCCTGGCTAAGTTTTGACATTTTTGGTAGAGACAAGGTTTCGCCATGTTGCCCAGGTGGGTCTGGAACCCCTGAGCTCAAGTGATCCGCCCACCTCGGCCTCCCAAAGTGCTGGGATCACAGGCGTGAGCCACCTCACCTGACCTGATCCATTCTCTACAGGAATTAAACCATTTGTGTGTTATGGGATATGGAGGTATTCAGCTTCCATTCACTACTCCTCTTCAAAGTCTGAGACTCTGCAGCTGTCTGGGCAGGTGCATGGCTAACACCCAGCGGACTGAGGCAGGGATCTGGGTTGTGGAAATGGAATTTAAGGAGTGGGTGTTAGGGGGACTCTTGTAGTTTGTGTCCATTTGAATTTGAGGATGCTTTCCAATTATGCCAACAATTGTTTTAGAGACTGCGAGATTAAAACAATGTTTTTAATCACTAACCTCTTTTGAAAGAATTTGCAGGATCAAAACCCGAACTACATAATTTCTAAAAAGAATTTTCTTTTAGAATACTTCTTAGTCAATACAGACCTGTGATCCCTGATAACTTAACTGGCGTGCTGGCTTTGTCAGTTCCTCTAACACCTCACTTATCTGCATTTCTTCTCTGATAATGAATTGCTACTACTTCTACAGGAAGAAATTGGATGATATTAGGCCCCTAAATATGGAAAATTTCGCACTCTTGGGTTAGCCTATTTGAATCTCACATTGGAAAGACTGTCATAAATGGAGAACTGTTTCTAATTTGACTCCACTAGGAGGAGCTGTATCTACCAACAGGTAGAAATATGGCTGGAACTTGCAGGTGTGTTCTGAGGACCAAAAGCACAGGATAAAATAAGTGATGTGACCATTCTAGGATATATTCGAGCTAAAGATCGTGTGTGCTCATGCGCACCCAAAAGATAGAGAGAGGAACATTGAATGAAGCAGAGCTCAGTGCTAGACATGGATGGAGAATTTGAGTGCTCTGCTGCCCACCGGGTCCCTAGGGGACTAGGATGTTAGCCAGGGGGCGAGGCCGCCCCAAAACTTGGCCAAACAACTGATATCCTAAAGCACAGCCAATAATCACAATAGACACAATAGTTGTGTCACAGATTCCAAATACAATTGAACAGCTTCCAGTTTGCGTCTATGTGAGAAGGGGCAAAAAAGGGAAAGAGGGTTGATCACAGAGAGAAGTAAGATATAACCCTCTGTTCCTGTGTTGCTTAACTCCAATTAACTGACATTCCTTATTTGCAGTATCTAGAGTACAAAACTTTGGTGCTGATAGTGAGAAATCAACGTGCCGCACATTTGCTATTCCTGTAAGGGCAAATGTTAAATATGGGACTGTGGCATTTGATTCCCTCATGCTCCCCCCTTCTTTTCCTCCTCCTTCCCTTCTGTCCCTTCCCCCTCTCTTCCTGTAGCTTTAAAAATGAAAGAACAGGACTTCCTCAGAATGCAGTTTTGCAAAATTTAACTAAACACTACATGAAGTACTCGTATCTATTATCGGATAAGCCATGCTAATAAACTGAAAACCCAAAATAGGCACACCCTGAAAACATTGGACTCAGTGAGCAGAGATGCTAGCTGTAGTCATGCTTTGATCTTGCCTTGTTTTTTTTTTTAATTAATAGACTTTATTTTTAAGAGCAGTTTTAGGTTTACAGAAAAATGGAGCAGAAAGTACAGAGCTCCCATATACTCCCCCTGCCCTGCCCCACTCCACCTCCACAGTTTCCTCTATTATGAACATTTTGTTTTGGTATGGCACATTTGTTTTTTTGTTTATTTGTTTGTTTTTTAGGCGGAGTTTTGCTCTTGTCGCCCAGGCTGGAGTGCAATGGCGCGATCTTGGCTCACTGCAACCTCTGCCTCCTGGGTTCAAGTGATTCTCCTGCCTCAGCCTCCCAAGTAGCTGAGACCACAGGCATGTGGCACCATATCCAGCTACTTTTTGTATTATTAATAGAGACGGGGTTTTACCATGTTGGCCAGGCTGGTCTCGAACTCCTGACCTCAGGCCTCCCAAAGTGCTGGGATTACACCTGCCTTGGCCTCCCAAAGTGCTGGGATTACAGGCGTGAGCCACTGCACCTGGTGGTGTGGCACATTTGTTAATTGATGAACGAATTTCGATATATGATAATTAACTAAAGTCTGTAGTTTACATTAGGGTTCATTCTTTGTGTTCTACTTTCTATGGATTTTGCCAAATGCATAATGTCATGTACCTACCATTACATCATCATACAGAGCAGTTTCACTACCTTTAAAATCTCTCTGTGCTCTACCTATTCATCCTTCCTTCCTTACCCTCTCCCTTCTTCCCTGCCAAACTTCTGGAAACTGCTGATCTTTTTACTGTCTCTACAGTTGTACTTTTTCTAGAATGCCATAGTATTAGTCAGGGTTCTCTAGAGGGACAGAACTAATTATATATATACATATATATGTGTGTGTATATATGTATACATATATTGTGTATATACACACATATACAATATATGTGTATGTATACTATATGTATATATAGTATATATGTATATATGCTGTATATGTATATATATACTATATATGTATATACATATATATTAGCAGTAGAACTAATAGTACTATATATATGCTATTAGTAGAACTAATAGCATATATATATATATATATATATATATATATATATATATATATGGAGTTTATTAAGGAGTATTGACTCACATGATCACAAGGTGAGGTCCCACAGTAGGCTGTCTATAAGCTGACGAGCAAGGAGCCTACTCCAAGTCCCAAAGCTGAAGAACTTGGAGTCTGATGTTCAAGGGTAGGAAGCATCCAGCACAGGAGAAAGATGTAAGCCAGAAGATTAAACCAGTCTAGTCTGTTCTTCTGCCTGCTTTTATTCTGGCCCCCTGGCAGCTGATTAGATGGAGCCCACCCTGACTGAGGGTGGGTCTGCTTCTCCCAGTCCACTGACTCAAATGTTAATCTCCTTTGGCAACACCCTCATGGACACACCTAGGAACAATACTTTGGAACATTCTTCAGTGCGATCAATTTGACACTCAGTATTAACCATCACAGCCATATATTTGCAATCAGACTGGCTTCTTCCACTTGGCAATGTGCATTTCACATTCCTCCATGTCTTCTTGTGACTTGACAGTTCATTTCTTTTTAGTGCTGAATAATATTCTATTGTATGGATACACCACAATTTGTATATCTATTCACCTATTGCAGGACATCGTGATTGTTTCCAAGTTTTGGCAATTATGTATAAATCTGCTATAAACATTTATGTGTAGGTTTTTGTGCAGATATATGTTTTAACCTTACTTGGGTACATACCTAGAGGTGTGATTACTGGATCATATGGTAAGACGATGTTTAGCCTTGTAAGAAACTACCAAACTGTCTTTGAATGTGGCTGAACCATTTGGCATTCCCACCAGCAATGAATGAAAATTCTTGTTGGTCTACATTCTTGTCAGCATTTGGTGCTGTCAGTATTGTGGATTTTGGCCATTCTAATAGCTGTGTAGTGGTATCTCATTTTAATTTTCAATTTGCAAACTACATATGATGTTGAACATCTTTTCATGTGCTTGTTTGCCATGTGTATGTCTTCTTTTGGTTCACATCTTTTTAATTGGGTTATTTTCTTATTGTTGAGTTGAAGAGTTCCTTGTGTATTGTGGATACAAGCCTTTTATATGTATTTTGAAAATACTTCCTTTCAGTCAGTGGCTTGTATTTTCATTCTCTCTCTCTCTCTCTTTTCTTTTTTGAGACAGAGTCTTGCTTTGTCTCCCAGGCTGGTGTGCAGTGGCACAATCTTGGCTCACTGCAACCTCTGCCTCCTGGGTTCAAGCGATTCTCCTGCCTCAGCCTCCTGAGTAGCTGGGACTTCAGGTGCCCGCCACCAGGCCCGGGCTAATTTTTGTATTTTTAGTAGAGACAGGGTTTCACCATATTGGCCAGGCTGGTCTTGAACTCCTGACCTTGTGATCTACCTGCCCTGGCCTCCCGAAGTGCTGGGATTACAGTCATGAGCCACTGCGCTCAGCCCCATTCTCTTAATGATGTTTTTTGTAGGACAGATGTTTTTAATCCTAATGAAGTCCAAGTTATCAATTTTTTTTTCATGGAATATTCTGTTTGCTTTTTACCTAAAAACTTATTGACAAACCCCAAGTCACCCAGATTTTTTCATATGTTATCTTCTTGAAGTTTTATAGCTTTACATTAATTTTTTTTTTTTTTTGAGACGAAGTCTCGCTGTGTTGCCAAGGCTGGAGTGCAGTGGCGAGATCAGGGCTCACTGCAATCTCCACCTCCTGGGCTCAAGCAATCCTCCACCTCCGCCTTCTGAGTAGCTGGGACTACAGGCAGGCGCCACCATGCCTGGCTAATTTTTTTTTTCTTTTGGTAGAGACAGGGTTTTGCCATGTTACCTAGGCTGGTCTCAAACTCCTGAACTCACGAGATCCAGCCGCCTCAGCCTCTGAAATTGCTGGGATTTCAGGTGTGAGACACTGCACCTGGCCTAGTTTTACATTTTATATTTAAATCTGTGATCCATTTTGAGTTACTCTTTGTGAAAGGTGTAAGATTCATTTTTTTGCATGTAGCTGTCCAGTTTTTCCAGCACCATTTGTTGAGAAGACTATCCTTTCTCCATTGGATTGCCTTTGTTCCTTTATCAAAGATCAGTTAACTATATTTGTGTGGGCCTATTTCTGAGCTGTCTGTTATGTCTCATCAATCTATTCTTTCACCAATACCCCACTGTCTAGATTACTGTAGCTTTATAATAGTAATATCTTGTTGTTGGGAAATGTCAGTCCTCTCACTTTATTCTTATTCTTGAGAATTAATTTGGCAATTTCTGGGTCATTTGATTTTTTATATAAACTTTAAAATCAGTTAGTTGACTTCCACAAAATGATTTGCAGGGATTTTGATGGGAATTGCATTCAATCTACAGGTCAAGTTGGGAAGAAGTGACATCTAAACAATATTGAGTCTTCCTATTCGTGAACATAGAATCTCTCTTCATGTATTTATTTATTTTTATTAAATTTTTTACCTTGCAGCTCAAAGGATCTCCATTTAGATCTTTGATTTATTTCATCAGAGTTTTGTAGTTCTCTGCATATAGATATTGAGATATAACACATATTTTGTTATGTTATACCTAAGTATTTAATTTTTTGGTGCTAATATAAATGGTATTGTGTTTTTAATTTCAAATTCCAGTTGCTCATTGCTGACATATAGGAAGATGATTGACTTTTGTATATTAACCTTGTGTCCTACAATCTTGCTATAATTGCTCATTAGTTTCAGGAGTGTTATTTTTTATTGTTGTTAATTCCTTGGGATTTTCTACACATATAATCATGTCATCTGTGAATAAGGACAATTTTATTTTTTTCCTCTCAGTTCATATACTGTTTATTTTATTTTATTTTATTATTGCATTAGGCAGGACTTCCAGGACAATTGTGAATTGGAGTGGTGAGAGGTGATGCCTTTGCCTTGTTCCTGATCTTAAGGGGAAAACATCTAGTTTCTCACCATTAAGTGTAATGTAGGCATTTTTAGATGTCCTTATCATGGTGAGGAACTTACTCTCTCTTCCTGGGTTTCTGAGAGTTCTTAACATGAATGGGTGTTGGATTTTGTCAAATGCTTTTTTCTGCATCTGTTGATATGATCATGTTATTTTTCTTCTTTAGCTTGTTAATGTGATGGGTTACATTAATTGGTTTTCAAATGTTGAACCACCTTTGCATGCGTGAAATAAATTCCACTTAGTTGTGGTGTATAATTTTTTTGTATACATTGCTGAATTTGATCTAACATTTTGTTGAAGATTTTACATCTATGTTCATGGGAGATGTTCATTTGTGGTTTTCCTTGCTTGTAATGCATTTGTCTGATTTTGATATTTGGGTAATGCTAACCTCAGAGGATGAGTTAGGACGTATTTCCTATGCTTCTATTTTTTAGAACAGATTGTAGAGAATTAGTATAATTTCTTCCTTAAATGTTTGGTAGAATTCCCCAGTGAAACTATCTTGGCCAGGTGCTTTCTGTTCTGGAAGATTATTGATTCAATTAAAAATACATATAGATGTTGAGATTGTCTGTTTCTCCTTGTGTGAGTTTTAGTAGATTGTATCTGTTGGGAGAAAAGCTGAGTGTAGGGAGAAAAGCTGAGTGTAGGGAGAGAAGCTGAGGCAGGGCTTGCATGTCTGCTAGACTTGCTGGCTCCTTACTTCTAGCACTCCCATTATCCCAAGTAGCCATATGTTTTTCATTCACTTGATACACTGTTTCCTTTCAACCCCCACATCCTCACCACCTGTTTCTTTGAGCACTAATAAATAGCGTGGGCTCCCAGAGCTCAGGGCCTTTGCAGCCTCCACACTTGTGATGGCCCCCGGTCCCACTTTCTCTCAAACTGTCTTTTTCTCAATCCTTTGACTCCACTGGACTTCATCGTCCCCACAACCTGGTGTTGGGTCTGATCATCCCAACAGTATCTTTCAAGGAATTGGTCCATTGCATCTAAGTTATTAAATTTGTGGCCATAAAGTTTTGCAAAATATTCCTTTCTCATCATTTTAATGTCCATGAGATCGGTAGTAATGACCTCTCTTTCATTTCTGATATTAGAAATTTGTTTCTGGGCATGGTGTCTCATGTCTGTAATCCCAGCACTTTGGGAGGCTGAGGCAGAAGATCCCTTGAGCACAAGAGTACAAGTTTACAGTCAGCCTATGATTGCATCACTGCACTCTAGCCTGGGTGACAGAGCAAGACTTTTGTCTTCCGCCAAAAGAGGAAAAAAAATTATGTTTTGTCTCTTTTTTCCCTTGGTTACCCTGACTTGATATTTACCGATTTTGTGATCTTTTCAAAGAGCCAACTTTTGGTTTTGTTGCTTTTCTTGTTTTCTGTTTTAAATTTCCTTGATTTTTGCTCTGAGTTTTTATTCCATTTTTTCTTCTGCTTTCTTTTCATTCAATTTACTCTTCTTTCTCTAGTTTCTTAAGGTTGAAGTTTAGATTATGAATTTTAGTTCCTATTTTTTTTTTTTTTTTGGCAGAGTTTCGCTCTGTTTCCCAGGATGGAGTGCAGTGGCACAATCTCGGCTCACTGCAACCTCTGCCTCCTGGGTTCAAGCAATTCTCCAGCCTCAGCCTCCCGAGTAGCTGGGACTACAGGCACGTGCCACTATGCCCGGCTAATTTTTTGTATTTTTAGTGGAGATGGGGTTTCACCATGTTAGCCAGGATGGTCTCGATCTCCTGACCTCATGATCCACCTGCCTCAGCCTCCTAAAGTGCTGGGATTACAGGCGTGTGCCCGGCCCTGTTTTTCTAATGCATGCACTAAGTGCTAATGAATTTTCCTCTATGCATTGCTTTCATTGATTACCACACATTTTGAAAAGTTGTATTTTCATTTTCACGTAGTTCAAAATATTTTTCAAATTCCCCTGAAATGTCTTCTTTGATCCATGTGTTCTTTAGAAGTGTGTCTTATGGCAAAGAAGTGGTCTACCTTGCTGAATGTCCCATGCGAGTTTGAGAAGAATGTGTATTCTATTGTAGGATAAAATGCTCTATAAATGTCAACTAGATCCAGTTTATTGATGGTTCAACCATATCCTTACTGATTTTCTGCCTGCTGGATTTGTCAATTACTGATGTTGACGTGTTGATGTCTCCAAGTATAATAGCGGGTTTAGCTCATTCTCCTTGCAGTTATGTCAGTTTTCGCCGCACATATTTGGATACTCTCTCATTAGACACATACACATTAAGGATTGTTCTGTTTTCTGGAGAATTGACTCCTTTATCCTTATGAAGGGCCCCTCTTTATCCCTAATAATTTTCCTTACTCTAAGGTTTGCTTTGTCTGAAATTAATATAGCTACTCCGGCTTTCTTTTTCTTTTTCTTTTTTGTTTTTTGAGACAAGAGTCTTACTCTGTCACCCAGATTGGAGTGCAGTGGCATGACCTTGGCTCACTGCAATCTCCGCATTCCAGGTTTAAGCGATTCTCGTGCCTCAGCCTCCCAAGTATCTGGGACTACAGGTGCATGCAACTGTGCCCGGCTAATTTTTGTATTTTTAGTAGAGATGGGAGGTTTCACTATGTTGGTTTTCACTATGTTGGCCAGGCTGGTCTCAAACTCCTGGCCTCAAGTGATCTAGCCGCCTCAGCCTCCCAAAGTGCTGGTGTGTCTGGAATTTGTTCCTTCCAGTGGGTTCTTGGTCTCGCTGACTTCAAGAATGAAGCCGCAGACCCTCGTGGTGAGTGTTACAGTTCTTAAAGATGGTGTGTCTGGAGTTTGTTCCTTCAGATGTTCAGATGTGTCCAGAGTGTCTTCCTTCTGGTGGGTTCGTGGTCTCACTGACTTCAGGAGTGAAGCCGCAGACCTTCGCAATGAGTGTTACAGCTCTTAAAGGTGGCACGTCCGGAGTTGTTTGCTCCTCCTGGTGGGTTTGTGGTCTTGCTGACTTCAGGAACAAAGCCACAGACCCCGGCAGTGAGTGTTATAGCTCTTAAAGGTGGCGCACGTCCAGAGTTGTTTGTTCCTCCCAGTGGGTTTGTGGTCTCGCTGACTTCAGGAGTGAAGCCGCAGACCCTCGCGGTGAGTGTTACAGCTCATAAAGGTAGTGCATACCCAAAGAGTGAGCAGCAGCAAGATTTATTGTGAAGAGCAAAAGAACAAAGCTTCCACAGCGTGGAAGGGGACCTGAGTGGGTTGCCGCTGCTGGCTCGGGTGGCCAGCTTTTATTCCCTTATTTGGCCCCACTCACATCCTGCTGATTGATCCATTCTACAGAGTGCTGATTGGTCCGTTTTATAGAGTGCTGATTGGTCCATTTTACAGAGTGCTGATTGGTGTGTTTTCAATCTTTTAGCTAGACACAGAGTGCTGATTGGTGCGTTTTTACAGAGTGCTAATTGGTGCATTTACAATCCTTTAGCTAGACACAGAGTGCTGATTGGTGCATTTTTACAGAGTGCTGATTGGTGCATTTACAATCCTTTAGCAAGACAGAAAAATTCTCCAAGTCCCCACCTGACCCAGAAGTCCAGCTGGCTTCACCTCTCACTGGGATTACAAGTGTGAGCCACCGAACCTGGCACAGCTTTCTTTTGATTAGTGCTACTATAGCATAATCTTTCTCCATCCTTTTTCAGAAAAAACTCCTGTCTCCAAATCAAAACCATTCTTTTACTTTTGATCCATGTCTTTATATTTTATTTATTTATTTATTTATGAGACAAGGTCTCACTCTGTTGCCCAGGCAGGAGTGCAGTGGCGTGATTATGGCTCATTACAACCTCAGCCTCCCTGGGCTCAGGTGATCCTCCCACCTCAGCCTTCTGAGTAGCTGGGACTACAGGCACAGGCCATCCTGCTTGGCTAATTTTTATATTAGCAGGGGTTTTGCCATGTTGCTCAGGCTGGTCTTGAAATCTTGAGCTCAGGTAATCTGCCTGCCTCAGCCTACCAAAGTGCTGAAATTACAGGTGTTAACTACCACACCTGGCCTGTTTTTGTATTTAAAGTGAGTTTTTTGTAGCCAGTATAGAGTTGGGTCTTGTATTTTTATCCACTCTGAGTGTTTCTGTCTTTTTTTTCCTCTTCATGCTCATATCATGAAGTTTCTGTCTGTCTTTTAATTTGTGTATTTAGATCATTCACATTTAAAGTGATTATTGATGTATTTGGATTAGTGTCTACCATATTTGTAACTATTTTCAATTTGTTGCCTTTGTTCTTGGTTTCTATTTTGTCTTTTACTCTTTTTCTGCCTTCTTTGGTTGTAATTGAGCTTCTAATTATGATTCCATTTTCTCTCCTCTCTTAGTATATCAGTTATACTTCTTTTTTAAAATTTTATTTAATGGTTTGTGTGTGTGTTTTCTTTTTCTTTTCTTTTTTTTTTAGGGTAAGGTCTCACTCTGTCACTCAGGCTGGAGTGCAGTGGCACGATCATAGCTCACTGCAGCCTTGACCTGCTGAGCTTAAGCAGTCATCCTGTCTCTGCCTCCTGAGTAGCTGGCAGTACAGGTACACGCCACCACACATGGCTAATTATACTTCTTAAAAATATTTTTAGTGTTGCCCTAGTGTTTGCAATATGCATTTACTACTAATCTAAGTTCACTTTCAAATAACACTATATCATTGTATGGGTAGTACAACTATTTTATAACACAGTATTCCCAATTCCTCCCTTATAACATTGCTGTCCTTTATAACATTGCTGTCATTCATTTCACTTATCTCTAAACTATAATCACTGAACCCATTGTTTCTATAATTAATTTGAACACTGTTATCAGTTAGATCAAATAAGAAAAATGAGATATTTATTTTATTTTACCTTTATCGATGATTTCTCTAATGTTTTTCCTTTCTTTATGTAAATTGGAGTTTTTGGTTTTTTTTTTTTTTTGAGTCTCGCTCTTGTCTCCCAGGCTGGAGTGCAATGGCGTGATCTTGGCTCACTGCAACTTCCTGGCTTCAAGTGATTCGCCTGCCTCAGCCTCCCAAGTAGCTGGCACTACAGGCACCTGCTACGACGCCCAGCTAATTTTTGTATTTTTAGGAGAGATGGGGTTTCACCATGTTGGCCAGGCTGGTCTCAAACTCCTGACCCCAGGTGATCTGCCTGCCTCGGCCTCCCAAAGTGCTGGAATTACAGGCCTGGGCCACTGTGCCCAGCCGATCATTTTTCTATTCTTTGAAAAACTTTTGGCCGGGCGCAGTGGCTCACGCCTGTAATCTCAGCACTTTGGGAGGCAAGGTGGGCGGATCATGAGGTCAGGAGTTCGAGACCAGCCTGGCCAACATGGTGAAACCCCGTCTCTACTAAAAATACAAAAATTAGCTGGGTGTGGTGGGGGGGGGGTGCCTGTAATACCAACTACTCAGGAGACTGAGGTAGGAGAATCACTTGAACCCGGGAGTTGGAGGTTGCAGTGAGCCGAGATCGTGTCACTGCACTCCAGCCTGAGTGACAGAGCAATACTCTGTCTAAAAAAAAAAAGAAAAAAAAAAACTTTTAACATCCATTGCAAAGCGGTTATACTGGTGACAATTTCTCCCAGTTTTGTTTGTCTGAGAAAGTCTTTATCCTCTTGAAGGGTAATATCACTGGGTGCAGAATTCTAGGTTGTTGGTGCTTTTCTTTGAATACCTCTTCTTGCTCCTCTATAGGTAAGGTATTGTTTTCATCCATCTTCTTTTAAGAGTTTCTCTTTGTCTTTGATTTTCTATAGTTTGAATATGATATGCTTAAATATAGATTATTTTGGTATTTATTCTACTAGATGTTCCTTGACTATATTGGATCTCTGGTTTGCTCTCTGTATTAACTTTGAAAAATTTTCTGCCATTATTATGTTAATTATTTCTTCCATTCCTTTCTCTCTTCTCTCATTATGCATATGTTACACCTTTGTAATTGTCCAGAGTTCTTTGATATTCTGTTTGTTTTTTGTTTCATTATTTTTTCTCTTTGCTTTTCAGTTTGGGAAATTCCTATTGTCATATTAAGAGCTTTTCTTTTCTTTTCTTATTTTACTTTATTTTTGAGACAGCGTCTCAGTCTGTCATCCAGGCTGGAGCACAGTGGATTGATCATAGCTCACTGCAGCCCCCAACACCAGGGCTCATGCAATCCTACCGTCTCAGCCACCACACCTGGATAATTTTGTTTAAGAGATGGGGTCTTGCTATGTTGCCCCCGCTGGTCTCAAACTTGCCTGCAGCAATCCTCCCACTTTAGCCCCATGAAGTGCTGGGCTTACAGGTGTGAGCCACCGTGTCCAACCCACATATGGAAGTCTATTGTCATATCTTCTAGTGTACTGTTTCTTTCCTGCCTTCTCTAGTCTAACCATAAGCCCATCAGAGCATTCTTCAATTCTGTTACTATGTTTGTGATTTGTAGCATTTCTTTTTTAATTTTTTTCTTAGAGTTTTTATCACTCTATACATTACTCATCTTTCTTGCATGTTATCTGCTCTTTCCAATAGAGCACTTAGCATAATAATCATAGTTATTTTAAATTCCCAACCTAATCATTCTAAAATCTGTGCTGTATTTTAGTTGGGTTCTGATGCTTGCTTCGTCTCTTCAGAACATGATTTTTTTGAGACAAGGTCTCACTCTGTTGCCCAGGGTGAACTGCAGTGGCATGATCATGGCTCATTGCAACCTCCTGGGCTCAAGCGATCTTCCCACCTCAGTTTCCCGAGTAGCTAGGGTCTACAGGCATGTGCCACCATGCCTGGCTAATTTTTCTTATTTTTTGTAGAGACAAGGTCTCACTATGTTGTCCAGGCTGGTCTAGAACTTCTGGGCTCAAGTGTTTCACTTGCTTTGACCTCCTGAAGTGCTGATATTAAAGGTGTAGGCCACTGCACCTGGTTCTAGAATATGTTTTTTGAGTTTTAGCAGTCTTATACATTTTTGTTGAAAACCATACATGATGTACTGGGTAGAAAGAACTGAGGTAGGCTGGGCATGGTGGCTGTGCCTCTCTATTCCCAGCACTTCGTGAGGCCAAGTCAGGAGGCCCACTTGAGGCCAGGAATTCGAGACCAGCCTGGGCAATAATATAGTGAGACCCTGTCACTACAAAAAAAGGAAAAATAAAAAAGCACTGAGGTAGGTAGTTCTTTTGTGTGAGGTTTTATGGTTCTCTGGCTAAGAATTATGCTGTTTACTGTTGGCCGTAGCTTTAAGTGTCAGAAGCTAAAATTTCTTGTAGGGCCCTTGTCTTTGTCTTCTTTGTTGTCTTTGAGTTTTTCCAGAGGCTCCTTAAATAGGATCTGAGGCTTGCAGTCTTTTCAGCTGTAATTCACTTATAATCTGTGGTTATTATGCAGGATTCTTACTGATGTGGTGGTAAGGTTGGGAGGAGCACAAGCATTCTATCATCCCATGATTAGATCTCAGTCTTTCACTGAGCCTGTGTCCCTGGGCTGTGACCTTTACAAGTCCTTCTCAGTGTCCCCACCCATCCCTTTAGCCTAGATGGAAGGCTAGACAGGGCTGGAGTTTAGTACTTCCTTTCCCTGTGTTTGGTCAGGCTTTGGGGAAACAGAACTTGGTTAGGCTCTGGTAAAATAGTTTCCTCTCAGGGTAGTCCTTGGCTAGGGAAAACAGAGATCTCTGGGCATATTTCAAAATGATTGCTTTTCTTGTCTACCTGCTGGAAGCAGAGAGGGATTCCCACCCCCTCCCTTCACAGTGACGACTTGGTGGGGCTTCTGGAGATAAAACTCATGAAAGTGTGGAGTCCCCTTAAAGCTGCCCCCACCCTTGAAGTTTTAACTCTCTAGATAGGCCATACTGAGCTTCTAGAAGTTCATCAGAACAGTTGTTCCTACAGAGTGTTCCTACTCGTACTGGCTCCAACTGTGGGTTTCTGCTGATGGCCTTCTACTCTTGGTAAATGGTAATTCTCTGTATCTGCCTGTCTGTCTCTAGTTTTCATGCCTTCCACTGTAATTCTCTGATATATCTAGGAAGAGTTATTTTTAGTTTGTTCAGCTTTTTTCTTGTGAGGACAGGAATGATGACTTCCAAGCTCTTTACGTGTTGGACTGCAAACGCGCAAGTCCTTGTCTTGCTGTTTAAAGTGTGAGAATTTGAGGTTTCCAAGATGGCCGAATAGGAACAGTTCCAGTCTACAGCTCCCAGTGTGAGTGACGCAGAAGATGGGTGATTTCTGCATTTCCAACTAAGGTACCGGATTCATCTCAATGGGGCTTGTCAGACAGTGGGTGCAGCCCACGGAGTGTGAGCCGAAGCAGGGCAGGGCATCGCCTCACTTGGGAAGTGCAAGGGGTTGGGAAATTCCCTTTCCTAGCCAAGGGAAGCTGTGATAGACGGTACCTGGAAAATCAGGACACTCCCACCCTAATACTGCACTTTTCCAATGGTCTTAGCAAACAGCACACCAGGAGATTTTATACTGCGCCTGGCTCGGAGGGTCCCACGCCCACGGAGCCTTGCTCACTGCTAGCACAGCAGTCTGAGATCAAATTGCAAGGTGGCAGTGAGGCTGGGGGAGGGGCGCCTGCCATTGCTGAGGCTTGAGTAGGTAAACAAGGCGGCCGGGAAGCTCGAACTGGGTTGAGCCCACCACAGCTCAAGGAGGCCTGCCTCCCTCTGTAGACTCCACCTCTTGGGGCAAGGCATAGCTGAACAAAAGGCAGCAGAAACTTCTGCAGACTTAAACGTCCCTGTCTGACAGCTTTGAAGAGAGTAGTGGTTCTCCCAGCATGCAGTTTGAGATCTGAGAATGGACAGACTGCCTCCTCAAGAGGGTCCCTGACCCCCGAGTAGCCTAACTGGGAGGCATCTCCCAGTAGGGGCTGACTGACACCTCATACAGCTGGGTGCCCCTCTGAGACGAAGCTTCCAGAGGAAGGATCAGGCAGCAACATTTGCCATCCTGCAGTATTTGCTATTCTGCAGCCTGTGCTGGTGATACCCAGGCAAACAGGGTCTGGAGTGGACCTCCAGCAAACTCCAACAGATCTGCAGCTGAGGGTCCTGACTGTTAGAAGGAAAACTAACAAACAGAAAGGATACCCACACCAAAACCCCATCTGTACGTCACCATCATCAAAGACCAAAGGTAGATAAAACCACAAAGATGGGGAGAAACCAGAGCAGAAAAGCTGAAAATTCTAAAAATCAGAGTGCCTCTTCTCCTCTAAAGGAACACAGCTCCTCACCAGCAATGGAACAAAGCTAGATGGAGAATGACTTTGACGAGTTGAGAGAAGAAGGCTTCAGACGATCATTAATAACAAACTTCTCCGAGCTAAAGGAGGATGTTTGAACCCATCACAAAGAAGCTAAAAACCTTGAAAAAAGATTGGAGGAATGGCTAACTAGAATAAACAGCATAGAGAAGACCTTAAATGAATTGATGGAGCTGAAAACCATGGCACGAGAACTACGTGACGAATGCACAAGCTTCAGTAGCCAATTCGATCAAGTGGAAGAAAGGGTATCAGCGATTGAAGATCAAATGAATGAAATAAAATGAGAAGAGAAGTTTATAGAAAAAAGAGTAAAAAGAAACAAACAAAGCCTGCAAGAAATATGGGACTATGTGAAAAGACCAAATCTATGTCTGATTGGGGTACCTGAAAGTGATGGGGAGAATGGAACCAAGTTGGAAAACACTCTGCAGGATATTATCCAGGAGAACTTCCCCAACCTAGCAAGGCAGGCCAACATTAAAATTCAGGAAATAGAGAATGCCACAAAGATACTCCTTGAGAAGAGCAACTCCAAGACACATAATTGTCAGATTCACCAAAGTTGAAATGAAGGAAAAAATGTTAAGGGCAGCCAGAGAGAAAGGTTAGGTTACCCACAAAGGGAAGCCCATCAGACTAACAGCTGATCTCTCAGCAGAAATTCTACAAGCCAGAAGAGAGTGGGGGCCAATATTCAACATTCTTAAAGAAAAGAATTTTCAACCCAGAATTTCATATCCAGCCAAACTAAGCTTCATAAGTGAAGGAGAAATAAAATCCTTTACAGACAAGCAAATGCTGAGAGATTTTGTCACCACCAGGCCTGCCCTAAAAGAGCTCCTGAAGGAAGCACTAAACATGGAAAGGAACAACCGGTACCAGTCACTGCAAAAACATGCCAAATTGTGATGACCATCGATGCTAGGAAGAAACTGCATCAAATAACAAGCAAAATAACCAGCTAACATCATAATGACAGGATCAAATTCACACATTACCATTTTTTTTTTTTTTTGAGACGGAGTCTCGCTCTGTCACCCAGGCTAGAGTGCAGTGGCGCGGTCTCGGCTCACTGCAAGATCCACCTCCTGGGATCATGCCATTCTCCTGCCTCAGCCTTCCGAGTAGCTGGAACTATAGGCGCCTGCCACCACGCCTGGCTAATTTTTTGTATTTTTAGTAGAGACGGGGTTTCACCGTGTTAGCCAGGATGGTCTTGATCTCCTGACCTCGTGATCCACCCACCTTGGCCTCCCAAAGTGCTGGGATTACAGGCGTGAGCCACCGCGCCCTGCCCCACACATCACAATATTAACCTTAAACGTAAATGGGCTAAATGCTCCAATTAAAAGACACAGACTGGCAAATTGGATAAAGAGTCAAGACCCATCAGTATGCTGTATTCAGGAGACCCATCTCATGTGCAGAGACACACATAGGCTCAAAATAAAGTGGTGGAGGAAAATCTACCAAGCAAATGGAAAACAAAAAAAAGCAGGGGTTGCAATCCTAGTCTCTGATAAAACAGACTTTAAACCAACAAAGATCTAAAGAGACAAAGAAGGCCATTACATAATGGTAAAGTGATCAATTCAACAAGAAGAGCTAACTATCATAAATATATATGCACTCAATACAGGAGCAGCCAGATTCATAAAGCAAGTCCTTAGAGACCTACAAAGAGACAGAGTCCCACACAATAGTAATAGGAGACTTTAACACCCCACTGTCAACATTAGACAGATCAACGAGACAGAATGTTAACAAGGATATCCAGGAATTCAACTCAGCTCTGCAGGAGCTGGTTTTTTTGAAAAGATCAACAAAATTGACAGACCACTAGCAAGACTAATAAAGAAGAAAAGAGAGAAGAATCAAATAGACACAATAAAAAATGATAAAAGGGATATCACCACTGATCCCACAGAAATACAAACTACCATCAGAGAATACTATAAACACCTCTACACAAACAAACTAGAAAAATCTAGAAGAAATGGATAAATTCCTGGACACATACACCCTCCCAAGACTAAACCAGGAAGAAGTTGAATCCCTGACTAGATCAATAACAGGCTCTGAAATAGAGACAATAATTAATAGCCTACCAACCAAAAAAAGTCCGGGACCAGACAGATTCACAGTCAAATTGTACCAGAGGTACAAAGAGGAGCTGGTACCATTCCTTCTGAAACTATTCCAATCAATAGAAAAAGAGGGAATCCTCCCTAACTCATTTTATGAGGCCAGCATCATCCTGATACCAAAGCCTGGCAGAGACATAACAAAAAAAGAGAATTTTAGACCAATATCCCTGATGAACATCGATGCAAAAATTCTCAATAAAATACTGGCAAACTGAATCCAGGAGCCCATCAAAAAGCTTATCCATGATGATCAAGTTGGCTTCATCCCTGGGATACAAGTCTGGTTCAACCTATGCAAACCAATAAATGTAATCCATCATATAAACAGAACCAAAGACAAAAACCACATGATTATCTCAATAGATGCAGAAAAGGCCTTTGACAAAATTCAACAGCCCTTCGTGCTAAAAACTCTCAATAAACTGGGTATTGATGGGACGTATCCAAAAATAATAAGAGGTATTTATGACAAACCCACGGCCAATATCAGACTGAATGGGCAAAAACTGGAAGCATTCCCTTTGAAAACTGGCACAAGACAGGGATGCCCTCTCACCACTCCTATTCAACATAGTGTTGGAAGTTCTGGCCAGGGCAATCAGGCAGGAGAAGGAAATAAAGGGTATTCAATTAGGAAAAGAGGAAGTCAAATTGTCCCTGTTTGCAGATGACATGATTGTATATTTAGAAAACCCCATCATCTCAGCCCAAAATCTCCTTAAGCTGATAAGCAACTTCAGCAGTCTCAGGATACAAAATCAGTGTGCAAAATTCACAAGCATTCCTATACACCAATAACAGACGAACAGAGAGCCAAATCATGAGTGAACTCCCATTCAGAATTGCTTCAAAGAGAATAAAATACCTAGGAATCCAACTTACAAGGGATGTGAAGGACCTCTTCAAGCAGAACTACAAACCACTGCTCAACGAAATCAAAGAGGACACAAACAAATGGAAGAACATTCTATGCTCATGGATAGGAAGAATCAATATTGTGAAAATGGCCATACTGCCCAAGGTAATTTATAGATTCAATGTCATCCCCATCAAGCTACCAATGACTTTCTTCACAGAATTGGAAAAAACTACTTTAAAGTTCATATGGAACCAAAAAAGGGCCCACATTGCTAAGACAATCCTAAGCCAAAAGAACAAAGCTGGAGGCATCACGCTATGTGACCTCAAACTATACTACAAGGCTACAGTAACCAAAACAGCATGGTACTGGTACCAAAACAGAGATATAGACTAATGGAACAGAACAGAGCCCCCAGAAATAATACCACACATCTACAACCATCTGATCTTTGACAAACCTGACAAAAAAAGAAACAGGGAAAGGATTCCCTATTTAATAAATGGTGCTGGGAAAACTGGCTAGCCATATGTAGAAAGCTGAAACTGGATCCCTTCCTTACACCTTATAGAAAAATTCATTCAAGATGGATTAAAGACTTAAATGTTAGACCTAAAACCATAAAAACCCTAGAAGAAAACCTAGGCAATACCATTCAGGACATAGGCATGGGCAAGGACTTCATGACTAAAACACCAAAACCAATGGCAACCAAAGCAAAAATTACAAATGGGATCTAATTAAACTAAAGAGCTTCTGCACAGCAAAAGAAACTACCATCAGAGTGAACAGGCAACCTACAGAATGGGAGAAAATTTTTACAATCTACCCATCTGACAAATGGCTAATATCCAGAATCTACAAAGAACTTAAACAAATTTACAAGAAAAAAATCAAACAAACCCATCAAAAAGTGGGAGAAGGATATGAACAGACACTTCTCAAAAGAAGACATTTATGCAGCCAAAAGACACATGAAAAAATGCTCATCATCACTGGCCATCAGAGAAATGCAAATTAAAACCACAATGAGATACCATCTCATGCCAGTTAGAATGGCAATCATTAAAAAGTCAGGAAACAACAGGTGCTGGAGAGGATGTGGAGACATGGGAACACTTTTACACTGTTGGTGGGACTGTAAACTAGTTCAACCATTGGGGAAGACAGTGTGGCGATTCCTCAAGGATCTAGAACTAGAAATACCATTTGACCCAGCCATCCCATTACTGGGTATATACCCAAAGGATTATAAATCATGCTACTGTAAAGACACATGCACACGTATGTTTACTGTAGCACTATTCACAGTAGCAAAGACTTGGAACCAACCCAAATGTCCATCAATGATAGACTGGATTAAGAAAATGTGGCACATATACACCATGGAATACTATGCAGCCATAAAAAAGGATGAGTTCATGTCCTTTGTAGGGACATGGATGAAACTGGAAACCATCATTCTGAGCAAACTATTGCAAGGACAGAAAACCAAACACTGCATGTTCTCACTCATAGGTGGGAATTGGAGAATGAGAACACTTGGACACAAGATGGGGAATATCATACACTGGAGCCTGTCATGGGGTGGGGGGAGGGGGGGAGATAGCATTAGGAGATATACCTAATGTAAATGACAAGTTAATGGGGGCAGCACACCAACATGGCACATGTATACATATGTAACAAACCTGCATGTTGTGCACATGTACCCTAGAACTTAAAGTATAATAAAAAAAATAATAATAAAGTGTGAGAATTTGGCCAGGCACAGTGGCTCAGCCATGTAATCCCACCACTGTGGGAGGCTGAGGCAGATGGATAACTTGAGGTCAGGAGTTTCAGACAAGCCTGGTTAACATGGTGAAACCAAGTCTCCACTAAAAATACAGAAATTAGCAGGGCATGGTGGCACTTGCCTGTAATCCCAGCTACTTGGGAGGCTGAGGGAAGAGAATGGCTTGGGCCAGGCGCAGTGGCTCATGCTTGTAATCCCAGCACTTTGGGAGGCTGGGGCAGGTGGATCACTTGAGGCCAGGAGTTTGAGACCAGCCTGGCCAACATGGCGAAACCCCATCTCTACTAAAAATACAAAAATTAGCCGGATGTTCTGGCGGGCGCCTGTAATCTCAGCTACTTGGGTGGCTGAGGCAGGAGAATCACTTGAACCCGGGAGGCAGAGGTTGCAGTGAGTGGAGATCACACCATTGCACTCCAGCCTGTGCGACAAGAGTGAAACTCCATCTCAGAAAAAAAAAAAAAGAATCACTTGACCTTGGAGATGGAGGTTCTAGTTAGCTGAGATCATGCCACTGCACCCTAGCCTGGGTGACAGAGTGAGACTCTGTCTCAAAAAAATAAATAAAATAAAGTGTGAGGAACCAGTTAGAATGGCAATCATTAAAAAGTCAGGAAACAACAGGTGCTGGAGAGGATGTGGAGAAATAGGAACACTTTTACACTGTTGGTGGGACTATAAACTAGTTCAACCATTGTGGAAGTCAGTGTGGCGATTCCTCAGGGATCTAGAACTAGAAATACCATTTGACCCAGCCATCCCACTACTGGGTATATACCCAAAGGACTATAAATCATGCTGCTATAAAGACACATGCACACGTATGTTTACTGCGGCATTATTCACAATAACAAAGACTTGGAACCAACCCAAATGTCCAACAATGATAGACTGGATTAAGAAAATGTGGCACATATACACCATGGAATACTATGCAGCCATAAAAAATGATGAGTTCATGTCCTTTGTAGGGACATGGATGAAACTGGAAATCATCATTCTCAGTAAACTATCGCAAGAACAAAAAACCAAACACCGCATATTCTCACTCATAGGTGGGAATTGAACAATGAGATCACATGGACACAGGAAGGGGAACATCACACTCTGGGGACTGTTGTGGGGTGGGGGGAGGGGGGAGGGATAGCATTGGGAGATATACCTAATGCTAGATGACGAGTTAGTGGGTGCAGCACACCAGCATGGCACATGTATACGTATGTAACTAACCTGCACAATGTGCACATGTACCCTAAAACTTAAAGTATAATAAAGTAAAAAATAAAAAAATAAAAAAAAATTTAAAAAAAGTAAATAAAGGGTGAGGATTTTAGACTTCCATGATGTTGTACACTCATCATACACTGCTTCACACAGGGAAAAGGACGTTGTGTTTTCTTTGATAAATAGCAGCTTAATCCACTGTTAATTGTTTTAAAGAATCACTTTTCATTTTTATTTTCTTATTGTATTATATGCATCTTATGTTATATATTGCCTTAATTTTTAAGATGACAGAATAAATGGATGAATAAATGAATATCAAAAAAGGCAGTTTAAAGCAATGAAATGGAATCTATTTAATTGGTCTGGGTATAAGAACAAATGAGAAATATTTGGTCCATATCCAATGGTTTAATCTCCTTAATTTTTATCCAGAACTAACCCCGTATCTTTGGCATTTTGCAGAAATAAGGATTCACTTTAATATCACTATGCAATATTTCTGGATCATAATCCACCTCAGGGAAGGACAGATTTGGTTATGGAGACCTCGGAAGTCCAAGTCTCTATGCTAAATAGACAGCAGAAGAACCAATTTAACAGCTTTCAATATTTCTGTCTGACTCCCTGTTGGAATTGCAGTTTTGATGTGGTGAGTAGGCGCATAGAATTAATTGGACATTCTTGGAAATATTTTGTGATTCAAATGAAGAAATAGGAGAATCCTGGATGTTTCCTGGGGTGTTGGGCTTGGGGACCTGGACTGGGGCCAATCACATTGTGAGATGCCCCTCCCAGTCCTGACTTTCCCTCCTTCTTAATCAATATTTCAATCCTTTTAAGCCCCAAGATGACCAACTGAGTTAAAAGGCAGGTAGGTGAGTGAGAAAAAGAGAAAAGACAGCCCCACTGCTTGACCTTGTGATGGGCCTGTAGAATGAGATCTTAGAAATTCATTTGCATATGAACCCTAATTCTGTGTTTCCTTTCTCCTACAAAGCCCAGTTGACCACAGCCATTTTTTTGTGCCTCACTGGCTAACACTCAGAGGATGCCTTACTCTAGCTCCCCCTTACTACAAAGCTCCCTAAAAGTGAACATCACCTCTGGACTCACTCATTGCCATGGATTTCTTTCTCCCCTAGGTTTCCGCAGCCTCCTTTTCCACTTCGGATTTGAAAACATCTTTTGTTTCGTCTTTTTTTCCCCTTGTTCAAAAAAGAAATGGATAGAGATTCTTCCTTGCTTTCTACCTTGCCTCCATTTTTTTTTTTCTTAATCCAGAATTCTTGGGCCTAGCATAGGAAAAAGTAATGCTCCAAATCTGCACGTCTCATAGTGGCCCTAATTTTATCTGGGTGCTGTGCTTGGGATGAGTCTAGGCACATCAGTTATGGTGCCTATGCCTAAATGTCACCACTTCAATCTCCTGTGTCCCTTGATTGTGAAAGTAAGAGCGTGTGTACAAGGCACTTTTTGTAAGAGCCTGTGTAGGAGGCACTTTTTGTATTCCTAGAATCTAAAATACTGGCATGTAAATGTTAGGAATTCACACATTGACTTTAAGATCTACCCTTTGGTTGGATGTGGTGGCTCATGCATGTAATTCCAGCACTTTGGAAGGCTGAGGTAGGAGGACTGCTTGAGGCCAGGAGTTTGAAACCAGCCTGGGTAACAAAGCGAGACCTGGTCTCTACAAAAAAATAATTTTAAAAAGATCTACCCTTTGTATGGCCGGGGGGGGGGCGGGGGGCGGGGGGCGGTGGATCCAGCCCATTGGTGTGTAGTTGATAATTAAATTTTGTTCATACCATAGTGTTACCGGACGAGGGTGTCCAGGTTCCTGGCGTTTTGAACAAAGAATTGGACAAAACACAGAAACAAAGCAATGAAGCAATGAAGCCACAAAAGCAGAGATGTATTGAAAACGAAAAGTACACTCCACAGGGTGGGAGCAGACCCGAGCAGCCACTGAAGGGCCCAGTTACAGAATCTTCGCGGGTCCAAGTACCCCCTAGAGGTTTTCCATTGGCCACTTGGTGTTCACCTTATGTAAATGAAGTGGTGGCTTGCAATCAGTCTGATTGCAGAGAGCAACCAGTCAGAGGCTGAGTGAAGTTACAAAGTTACACTCCCATGCAAACGTCTGATTGGTTGCAAAAAGCAACCAATCAGAGATACTTTTAATTTCCCATCTGCCAATGCAGAAAAATGGGGGTTTGCAAAGGGAGTAGCCACTTGTCCTTTTGTCCTTTTGTTACTTAGGCATGGAAAGTTAGGGTTTTCCTTTCAATTTCGTTTTAGGAAGTCAGCGTGAAATGGCCTTGGGTTCCCTGCCTCCAGACCTTATTATTCTGCCTCAGTTGCACTCAGGGTCCCTGTCCCATAGTTCTGTGCTGATATCTGAGATATCAAGTGTGATATTGACTGAGGCAAACGACAAATTACCAATTCCAAAACGAATACTAATTGCATAATAACAGTTTCCAAGCTGTTAGTCTGCTTTCCTAAAAAAGCTAATTTAACACAAGCACAGAACTGGCTCTTGCCCATGGGTTATATTTTCGGTTGGCAGATTTTGCTTTGCAAAAAGATTGGGGGAAATGAGGACTGTTGTAGAAGAAGCATACTTGGCCTTTTGTGAAGAGGGTACAAATTGCATCAACCTCTCAAGGCCTGAAAGTGTGAACACAAGGACACTTAATACCTTCAAGAGAGGTCGATTACCTTTCCCAGAGGTAAAATGACCTAGTGCTTTGGCTTGAGTGGGATCCTTGAATTTTCAGCCCTTCGAAGGAGAGTTTTGTGCAGGATGGAGGTGCTTGAGTGCTGAGGAACTGAACCTGGGTTGGTACGCATTGTCCATAGGATTCAGGGCCCAGGGGAGGGCATGGTCACTAAATGGCTGATCCTCTCTGGAATGAAACTTTAGAAAGCAAAACGCAAAATTTTTTGATTACTATAGAATGCTGAAGTTACTGGACTCCTCCTGAGATTATGTTCATAACTTTTTAGCTGAAACTAACATCTACAAAGACCATCTATCTTGGATGAACCTATTTTCTGGTAACCAGTGTTAAATATTTTTTAATCAAAAATTTAAAACTTGCATTAGAATAATTTCTGATTTTCACCTTTTTAAATAGAATTTTTTAAAATATATTTTTTAAAGATGAGGTCTCACTACATTGCCCTGGCTGGTCTGGAACTTGTGCACTCAAGCAGTCCTCCCACCTCAGCCTCCCAAAGTGCTGGGATTACATGTGTGAGCCACAGTGCCCAGTTTGATTTTTGCCTCTGAAATATTTGAAGTATATTTTAAAATACATGCTTTTTGTGGGATTACATTTAGAAGACTTCTCTTTTTTGAAACTTAGAAAGAGTGGAAATTATTATCCGCAGCAGTGTTTTTGAATATTACCTTTGCCTCATGCCTTAATTCTTGTGGAACCTGGAAGAAGTAGAGATGCATTAAAAATAGTATATGTATCAACCAGGCGCCGTGGCTCATTCCTGTAATCCCAGCAGTTTGGGACGCCGAAGTGGGTGGATCGCTTGAGCCCAGGAAGTCGAGACCAGCTTGGGCAACATGGTGAAACCCCATCTCCACTGAAAATACAAAAATCAGCCAGGCATGGTAACGCATGCCTGTGATCCCAGCTACTTGGGAGGCTGAGGTGGGAGGATCCCTTGAACCTGGGAGGTGCAGGTTGCAGTGAGCTGAGATCACGCCACTGCACTCCAGCCAGGGTGACTGAGTGAGAACAGGTCTCAAAAAAAAAAAAAAAAAAAGTATATATATGTGTCTCTTGAAGACCCCGTCAGTTATGGGAAAGGGTATTCACTATTCTTTCCCAGACAGCCTGAGCATGAAAAAAAAAAGTTCTGTTAGTGTGTGTCAAATTGAATGTTGGTGTTAATTGCAGGATTTGTGGGGAGTAGTTGTCCAGCTTTCAATCTCAATATGGCAAAGCCATGTGCTCAACTGTGAACACAGGTTAGAAGAGGTCAGAACTCAGTCTGATGGTGTCCTGTGGCTTTTATCTTTATAGATCCTGTAGTTCTGTTTTGAGGGTACTTATAACATTGAGGAAGCTGATGTTTAAAAAGAACAGGTGCCAACATTGGGAAATAAGAAATGTTGGTTTCAAAATTTTCTGGTGAGGATGGCAGTGGGCATGCGCAGGTGCATTCCTAGATGTTCCCCACTCCCGCCAGGCGCTGGGGGCTCTGGGTAGCAATAACCTCCTCTCTGTGCAGAAGTCCCACATTACATGCAACTGCTTTGTTGACATTTCGTATCCACAACTGTGAAGGTCGCAGAGTGAGATAGTGGGCAACACAGCAAAAAAAATGCATGCTTTCCTAAGAAAACAGAGCCTCACTTTACACTGGGAACACACAGGTGCTGTGAAACTGGACTTTGATTTTTCCCGTGAGAGGAAATTCTGATGGAACTATGGCACTTATCTTAGCAATCACTTCATAGTGCAACCTTGGTGCTCACAATTAACCACTTTTTTTTTTTTTTTGAGACAGAGTCTCGCTCCATTGCCCAGGCTGGAGTGCAGTGACACGATCTCGGCTCACTGCAAGCTCCACCTCCTGGGTTCACGCCATTCTCCTGCCTCAGCCTCCTGAGTAACTGGGACTACAGGTGCCCGCCAACACGCCTGGCTAATTTTTTTGTATTTTTTTTAGTAGAGACGGGGTTTCATCATGTTAGCCAGGATGGTCTCGATCTCCTGACCTCGTGATCCACCCGCCTCGGCCTCCCAAAGTGCTGGGATTATAGGCGTGAGCCACCCCGCCCGGCCCACAATTAAGCATTTTTAATAGCAAATGAAAAGCCTTGCATTTCTAGAGATTGCTCAAAAGCAAAGGCTGTATTGAGAAGAACTTAATGCTTTTTAAAAAGTGGGCCTGGCCTCCTTCAGCTCTCCCATTTTTCTTTTTCTTGTTTTCTATTCTGGCAGTTGCACGGGAAGAAGACAGCATGAACAATTTACTGCCTGTTCCAGTGAATGATGAGTCTGGATCACTGTTCAGGGGACTGTCTCTTTGCTTTGAGTCCCAATAACCCCAAATATTCCCTTTCTATTTTTAATTAGCAGGAATTCAAGATCTCTTAAGGATGAAGAGAGCAACAAAATACATTGGAAGTTGTGATTGTCAGTTTTGAGTTGGGGAAGGTGTAATAATATGCCTTCTGGGCTGGGGATGGGGGAGAAAAGGGAGAACAGCCTCATTCTGGCTTTGGTGGAGTTTCCTCTCATGATTCTTCTGAAGCAGCAGGACCTTTGGGCCGGAATGGCTCCTATTCTCCTGTGTCCCCCACAAAAAGGGAGGGCAGTGGACAGAATTTGGAGCATGTCGAATCAATGCTTAGCTGTTGCCTTCGCATAAATACTGAGTAGCCACTTAGGAAGCTTCCCCTAGAGTCCGGAGTTGGGCATGAATGTTCCTATTAGCACGGATGGGGCTCTACTCTGTCTGAAAACACAGTTCTCTCACTAGGAACTCACCCACCCCATCATGCATATGTATGTGGTCCCAAAGGGTAAGAATGAGGATGGGGTGATGGAGAGCAGAGGAGAAAAAGTATGGGTCAGTAAACACACAACGGGTACCTGGAGAACTTCTGTGAAGTGCAGGGCCTATTCATGCTGACGCAGAAAGGTCACCTCATGAAAAGAGGACTCCTCACCATTCTGTTTCAATGTCATTCCCTTATAAATACCAATCCATACATTATTAACCCCATTTGATACACACACAGACACACACAAATGGGGCACTGACTTTGTTTATTTGGCATTTGGTGAACTGCTCTTGATGTTGTGCTCCGCACAATTAAAATCTGCCAGAAAAACACTTTGGAAACTGTCATGAAGATAGTACCTTAGAGAAGGGGGACTACAAAATGACGGCTGATGACGGGGGCTCATTCCAGGCCAACTGGGGCCAGGCCAAAGGAAGGCAAGGGCAGACGAGGCATAGGTGGCATCGGCAGCCTGAGCAGTGGTGGCTCCAGAAGAGCCCATCTCCAACAGGGCTCTGGAACACGGATGACATGATAGGGCCCATCCAAGATTATGCCTACCCAGTGGCTCAGGGCGACAGGGCCACTGTCATGTTATTTCTGAACATTAATTAATGTCTCCTGATATCTCCTCTACTTGACTCACCTATTTTTATTTTTGTTTTATTTTATTTTTTTGATATATTTAATTTTGTTAACTAAATCTTAAGTTTAAATATTGACAATGTCACACTTGAATTATTGAATATATTTAACTTTATGAAATATGTTGCTCTAAATATGCATATTTAGTTTAATGTGTATTGTTTTATGTAGATAACTTAGAGATAATTTTGTATTTGTCAGTAATCCTAACCACAGAATGTTACAGTTTTCAGTGGCACTAACACTTTCTTCTCTAAGAACATTAAAATAAATGAGCCAACTGGAATAATGCCAACACTTCTAATTATTGGGCCTTAGGAGTAAATAGATCAATTGAGAACTATGTCTTCTAAAATAGCAAGCTTAGAGATGTGCTCGGATGTGACAGGTGCTTGTTCCTGATGACAAGGGTGAATGGCCTTGTAGGACTCTTTAAGGAGATTGCACGTTAGCCTAGGTTTTGTAATAGCCAGTCTCCAAGATGGTCCTCAGTGATCCTTGCCTGTTGGTATTCATGCCCTTGTGTAGTTTCCTCCCATATTGAATTAGGGTTGGCCCTCTGTGACCAATAGAATACAGCAGAAGTGATGGTGGGCCTTCCAACGCTGTCATGAAATCCACTGATGCTTCTGCTTTGGTGTCTTGGATCACTCACTCTGGGAAAAGCCAGCTACAATCCTATGAGGATCCTGAATAACCACTGTAGGAAGGCCCATATGGAGAAGAAGGAAGGTGTGCAAGCAACAGCCAGCACCACTTTGCCAGTCACGTGAATTAGTCAGCTTGGAAGTGAATCCTTCAGCCCCACTCAAGCCTTGAGATGACTGCAGCCCTGGCCAAAATCTGATTGCATCCTTCTCAGAGCAAGAACTTCCAGGCCAAATTCTTCCAAATTTCCTGACCCATAGAAACCATGAGAAATAATAAATGATTATTGTTTTTCTAACCCACTAAGTTTTAGAATAACATGTTACTGATACAGAAGGTATGGAAGTGATGTGACTCATTCAAGGAATTTTTGTTTTGTTTTGTTTTCGGGTTTTTTATTTTTTATTTTATTCATTTATTTATTTTTTTTGACAGGGTCTCACTCCTGTCATCCAGGCTGTAGTGCAGTGGTGCAACTATGGCTCACTGCAACCTTGACTCCCTGGGCCCAGGTAATTCTGCTACTTCTGCCTCTCAGGTAGCTGGGACCACAGGTGCACACAACCACCATTGGCTAATTTTAAAATTTTTTGTAGAGATGGAGTCTTGCTATGTTGCCAGGGCTGGTCTTGACCTCCTGGGCTCCAGTGAGCCTCCTGCCATGGCCTCCCAAAGTGCTGGGATTACAGACATGAGACACTGCAGCCAGCCATAGGCCTGGATTTAGAAACAACTCTGCCTGAGGCCAGGCATGATGTCTCACGCCTGTAATCCCAGCACTTTGGGAGGATGAGGCAAGAGGATCACTTGAGGTCAGGAGTTCAAGACTAGCCTGGCCAGCATGGTAAAACGCTGTTTCTACTGAAAACACAAAAATTAGCTAGGCGTGGTGGTTTGTACCTATAGTCTCAGCTACTCAGGAGGCCAAGGCAGGAGAATCGCTTGAACCCAGGAGGCAGAGGTTGCAGTGAGCCAAGATCGAACCACTGCACTCCAGCCTGAGCGACAGAGCAAGACTCCCGTCTCAAAAAAAAAGTATATATATATATATACACTTATATATATATACTTTTATATATATACACATATATATATACTTTTATATATATACACTTATATATATACTTTTATATATATACTTATATATATACTTTTATATATACTTATATATACTTTTATATGTATATACTTATACTTTTATATGTATATTTATACTTTTATATATATTTATATATACTTTTATATATACTTATATATGTATTGTATACTTTTATATATATATTTTTAAAGACATCAGCAACATTGTCTGATTTTACTTATTTATTTGTTATTATATATTTTTTCATACAGAGACAGGATCTTGCTGTGTTGCCCAGGCTGATCTTGATCCTGGCCTAAAGTTATCCTCCTGCCTTGGCCTCCCAAAGTGCTAGGGCCTCCCAAAGTGCTAGGGCCTCCTGCTAGGCCTCCCAAAGTGCTAGTGGCAGTGTGAGCCACTTCCCAGCTCATAATCTGATTCTAAAGAGACAAATGATTTACTAAACCGAAATTTATTTTTTAATTTAATTTATTTTATTTTTTAATTATACTTTAAGTTCTAGGGTACATGTGCACAATGTGCAGGTTTGTTACATATGTGTACATGTGCCATGTTGGTGTGCTGCACCCATTAACTCGTCATTTACCTTAGGTATATCTCCTAATGCTATCCCTCTCCCCTCCCCCAACCCCACGACAGGTCCCGGTGTGTGATGTTCCCCACCCTGTGTCCAAGTGTTCTCATTGTTCAATTCCCACCTATGAGTGAGAACATGTGGTGTTTGGTTTTCTGTCCTTGTGATAGTTTGCTCAGAATAATGGTTTCTAGCTTCATCCATGTCCCTACAAAGGACATGAACTCATCCTTTTTTATGGCTGCATAGTATTCCATGGTGTATATGTGCCACATTTTCTAAATCCAGTCTATCATTGATGGACATTTGGGTTGGTTCCAAGTCTTTGCTATTGTGAATAGTGACGCAATAAACATACGTGTGCATGTGTCTTTATAGCAGCATGATTTATAACCCTTTGGGTATATACCCAGTAATGGGATGGCTGGGTCAAATGGTATTTCTAGTTCTAGATCCCTGAGGAATCGCCATACTGACTTCCACAATGGTTGAACTAGTTTACAGTCCCACCAACAGTGTAAAAGTGTTCCTATTTCTCCACATCCTCTCCAGCATCTGCTGTTTCCTGACTTTTTAATGATCACCATTCTAACTGGTGTGAGATGGTATCTCATTGTGGTTTTGATTTGCATTTCTCTGATGGCCAGTGATGATGAGCATTTTTTCATGTGTCTGTTGAGTGCATAAATGTCTTCTTTTGAGAAGTGTCTGTTCATATCCTTCTCCCACTTTTTGATGGGGTTGTTTGATTTTTTCTTGTAAATTTGTTTAAGTTCTTTGTAGATTCTGGATATCAGCCCTTTGTCAGATGGGTAGATTGTAAAAATTTTCTCCCATTCTGTAGGTTGCCTGTTCACTCTGATGGTAGTTTCTTTTGCTGTGCAGAAGCTCTTTAGTTTAATTAGATCTTATTTGTCAATTTTGGCTTTGGTTGCCATTGCTTTTGGTGTTTTAGTCATGAAGTCCTTGCCCATGCCTATGTCCTGAATGGTATTGCCTAGGTTTTCTTCTAGGGTTTTTATGGTTTTAGGTCTAACATTTAAGTCTTTAATCCATCTTGAATGAATTTTTCTATAAGGTGTAAGGAAGGGATCCAGTTTCAGCTTTCTACATATGGCTAGCCAGTTTTCCCAGCACCATTTATTAAATAGGGAATCCTTTCCCCGTTTCTTTTTTTGTCAGGTTTGTCAAAGATCAGATGGTTGTAGATGTGTGGTATTATTTCTGATGGCTCTGTTCTGTTCCATTGGTCTATATCTCTGTTTTGGTACCAGTACCATGCTGTTTTGGTTACTGTAGCCTTGTGGTATAGCTTGAAGTCAGGTAACGTGATGCCTCCAGCTTTGTTCTTTTGGCTTAGGATTGTCTTGGCAATGCGGGCTCTTTTTTGGTTCCATATGAACTTTAAAGTAGTTTTTTCCAATTCTGTGAAGAAAGTCATTGGTAGCTTGATGGGGATGGCATTGAATCTATAAATTACCTTGGGCAGTATGGCCATTTTCACAATATTGATTCTTCCTATCCATGAGCATGGAATGTTCTTCCATTTGTTTGTGTCCTCTTTTATTTTGTTGAGCAGTGGTTTACAGTTCTCCTTGAAGAGTTGACCCACCTATTTTTAAAGCAAACCTTCAGTCAGAGGTTTTATAAGGTATTGGTTTAGTATATCGAACAATTAATATCATAAGAAAAAAAACCCCACAACATGTAACTCTATGCCATTGACATTTTAAACTACACTGGGAGAAGCTATTTCCTTATTGGAAAAATATTTTAGGAAAGTTAATGCTGTATCCCTTTCCCTTCAGTTCTGTTTTGGACTATGCTTATTGCTTTGTCTTTCTCCTCCCATTGTTAATATTCTTTAAGGGTTTTTACCCAGCTCCTGGATGTAAGTCTAGTGGACACATTGCAATCAGTACCTGCTGTTAACGCTATGCTTGGTAACAAGATGAAGAAATTTCAGTATCCTGACAGTGGACCATTGGGGTGTCCTTGAGCAGCTGCCTCTGGTGCCTCACTTCATAGTGTCACCCTGGTTGTGGGGATAGTTGAGCGAGGTATAAGGTGGGCCCCATTTGCAGTTATATGGAGGGGAATGGTCCCTCCATTTGGGAAGCTAATTTTCTCACATTGTTCTCACAATAACTTCTTATTGCTTATTGGAAAAATGAGTTAATACTAGAGATACCTACTGATAACTTGGTAACTACTTAAATGCAGGCATAAAGCAATCATGGCTTGAAGCCAGATACTGCAAAACCAATCTTTTCTCACATCTGAATTCCTGTATATTAATTAATGAGTTTGCCCAATAGGTAATTAGTCACACCTTGTTAACTAGATATAACTAGATATACTGATTTAATTTAGAATTTTAATTAACCCACCCTTCTCACATTTAAATATTTATATCTTTTGTAATATGGAAGTAGTGCTATAAACAGAGTTATCTATGTAAGATGTATGTAAAGATAACTAGATATTACTAGAACTAGACTGAGTATGTGAAGTCAGGATGCTGTCAAACAAGTTTTCCTCAAATTTAACTTCATAATTCTTATTTTAGAAAACTTGCTATAATATAGATAATATGTGGTTCCTAGTTAAGTACTTACTTAGAGATATTGGAAATAACTAGAAAAATACCTGAATCTAGGATGTTGAAAAACACATTCTTTTTACATCCGAATTTAATTTCTTTTAACATAAGGTATTGGAAATATAGATAACTAGTGGTAGCTATGTAATTTTAAATTAGAGATACCTAGAATTAGCTAGAAAGCTACTTAAAGCCATAAAGCTGAAAAATACATGCTTTTCATCTCTAAAATATTCCTTTTTTAATATTTCTTTTTGGAATGTGCATTTAGTACTCAAAATACCTAGCATACTAAGGTAAGCTTTATTTTCATTTTTTTGAGACAGGTTCTCACTCTGTTACCCAGGCTGGAGTGAAATGGCACCATCATGATTCACTGTAACATCAAACTCCCTGGCTCAAGTGATCCTTCTGCTTCAGGCTCCCAAGGAGCTAGGACTACAGGCATATGCCACCATGCCTGGCTAATTTATTTTTTATTTTTTATTTTTTATTTTTTTAGGTAGAGATGAGGTCTCACTACGTTTCTCAGGCTGATCTGGAACTCCTGGTCTCAAGCCATCCTCCCACCTTGGCCTCCCAAAGCACTTGGGTTGACAGGTATGAGCCACTGCACCCAGCCTCTAAGGTAAGCTTTATATAAAGATAACTAGATATAACCTAGCCTGGGCAACATAGGGAGAAGCTATTTCTACCAAAGATTTAAAAATTAGCCACGTGTGGTGGTGTGAGCCTGTAGTCCCAGCTACTCAGGAGGCTGAGGCGGGACGGTCAATAGAGCCTGGGAATTAGAGGCTGCAGTGAGCTTGATGGGCTCAGTGTACTCCAGCCTGGGCGACCAAGTGAGGCCATCTCAAAGGTAAATAAATAATAAAAAATAGATACAACCTGAATGACTAGTTGAAGGCAGAAAGCTAAATAACACATTTTTTTTAATCTAACTTCTCATCATTGAAGGAATATGTTAGTAATATAGATGACTAATGTTACTTATATAACTACTTATAGAGAAATAACTGGAAATAACTAGAAAATTAATTGAAGCCAGGATGTTGGAAAACATTTTTCTCAAGTGCAACTTATTATTTCTTCTTGAAGTAAAGTACTGGAAAGGTAGATAACTAGTGATACACAGATATATCGAAATAACTGGAAAACTACTAGCTGTCCAAAAAAGAACAACAACAACAAAAAACTATACTTATCTGTTCTATATTTTTTGAATGCTATTACTATAAATAAGTAGTAATCAAGAGGCATTTGGTTTACTCTGGATAACTAAACATGAGTGGAATAAGTAGTTAAAGCTGGAGAGCTAAAAAACACAACACAAAATTGTCAATTGTAAATTCTCCTTATCATTGGAATAATTAGTTAATACTGTAAATGTTCAGTTGGTACCTTTGTAATTATTTACCTAGAAATAACCAGAAATAGCCAGAATAGCTAGTTGAAGGCAGGAAGTTGCCAGTCACGTTCTTTTCAACACTAAATTCTCTGCTGAAGAAAAGTTGATCAATCCAGGAAGTTGAAACAATATTCTTCTCAACACTATAGTCGTATCTATTGTGGATATAATGAGTTAGTGCTGTAGATAACTATTTGTACCCAGGACACTAACTACTTGGATATAACTATTAATATGGAAATGAAGATGAGGTAGGAGGCCAGAGAAGTTATTTTCCAGTCACAGGGTCACGACCCCACTGATGGAAACAGGATCAGGTCAAAACAGGATGCAGCCGTCCCAGCCTGTTGGCTCGAGCCTGTAATTCCTGCACTTTGGGAGGCCGAGGTGGGCGGATCACTTGAGGCCAGGAGTTAGAGACCAGCCTGGCCAACATGGTGAAAACCCATCTATACTGAAAATATAAAAATTAGCTGGGCGTGGTGACGGGTGCCTGTAATCCCAGCTACTTGGGAGGCTGAGGCAGAAGAATAGCTTGAACCCGGGAGGTGGAGGTTGCAGTGAGCCGAGATCGCGCCATTGCACTCCAGCCTGGGGACACAGTGAGACTCCCTTAAAAAAAAAAAAGAAAAAGAAAAACAACAACAAAAACCCAAAAAACCAGGATGCAGGGAAGAAGCCAGCGAAATCCAGCAGATGGCGACAAAAGCTACCTCTAGTTGGCTTCACTGCCCATTAGCATCAAGACACTCCCAGTGTAAAGATAACTTACAACTGCCATAGCCAGGGGCCATGGCAATAGCCAGGAAGTTACCTTGAATTTTCTGGATACTCCTCACTCGTTTTCTTGAAAGTTCTCAATAACCTGCCTGTTGATTAGCACATAATTAAAAGTGGTATAAATACAGCTGCCAACAGCCCATCAGCTGCTGGCTCTGGGTGCACTGCCTATGGGTTAGTGCTGTTCTGCAAGAAGCAATACCAGTTCAATAAAAGTTGCTCTATCTCACTACCTGCTCATCCTCCATCCGGGCAAAATCCCAATTTGGCAGCTTGCCTGTCCTACGTCAAAGATAAGGAGGTGAGAAAATATTCTCATAAATACCTTCTTTCTTTTCTTTCTTTTTCTTCTTTTTTCCTTCCTTCTTTCTCTTCTTTTTATTTTCCTTCCTTTTTCTTTCCTTCTTCCTTCTTTTCTGTCCTTTCTTTCTTTCTTTCCTTTCTTCCCTTTCTTCCTTCCTTTCCTTCTTTTTCTTTCTTTTTTTGAGACAGCACCTCGCTGTGTTGCCTACACTGGAGTGCAGTGATGTTTGAAAGCACAGTCTTCACAGACTCAAATTCTTATTTTTTTGTGAAATAATGAGTTTATACTACAGATATCTGGTGGTACCTATGTCAGTAGTGAAATAGATTTAACTAGAAATAACCAGAAAAAAAATACGAAGTCATGAAGTTGAAAAAATCATGATTTACCACTGCAACTTCTTATTTCTTATTATTATAATGAGTTAGTATTATAGATATCTGGTGATGTCTACTTCATTACTTACCTCAAAATAACTGGAGATAATTAAAATAAGTATTGTAATCCTGGAAGGTGATAAAGAAAGTCATGCAGTACTATGTTCTCGTTCCTTGTTGGAATTTTGCCTTAGAACTATAGCTAAGTATTGGTACCTGAGAAACTAGATATGTGGAGACATCTGCAGATAACTAAAGTATCTAGTGTAAGAAGAAAAATATTCTTCTTGATTCTAAAATGTTATTTCATGTTGGCATGATGTGTTAGTACTGCAAATAACTGGTGGTACCTAGGGAATGAGTAAACTGGAGATCACTTGTGATATGTAGAATAATTAGTGGAATCCAGAGAATTACCTCATTTCTTGTTGGAATGATGGGTTAGTATTAGAAATAACTAGGTATCCCTTGTGAAATATACAATTAGAAATAAGTAGAGAGAAGCAGAAAAACTTGTAGAAACCCAGACCCTGGAAACACATTTTTTCAAATCTAAATTCTTTTTACTTGTGGAATAATGAGTGAATGGTATGGTTATGCAGTGGTACCTAGGTAATTGGACACAACCAGAGTAAACGTTTGACAGCAGGAATGTAACAAAGAATTAAAAAAGATTATTTATGAAAATTAATATTATTAACATAAAAATAAATTAATAATGAGCAATACCATAAAACAAGAAGTAAGTATCACAAACAAGAATACAAACATTATTTGGAAATCTGACTTTTATTTTTTTGTAATAGAGTGTTAGTATTATTGATAAGTAGTGGTATCTATTTATTTAGAGGTAACGACTTAACTCAGTCAAGTAGACACATAAAATTAACCACCACAGTATGTAACTAGTTTAGTAGGGATAGTTAGAGATAATCCGGAAATCTATTTGAATTCAGAAGTTGAAAAACCATTCGTCACACCCCTAATTCTTATCTCATATAGGAATACATATTTAGTACTATGGTTAACTACTGGTCACAAGATTACTAGTTAACTACAGAGAACTGGTTGGAGCTAGAAGGTGGAAACCACAATCCTCACAACTGGGAATTCTTGATTAGAGTTCCCTCTAATTAACTATACTACTGATACATTATTTCAACCAGAATTAAGAATTTCATGCTGAGTAGATTATGGTTCCACTTTTTAGCTTCAGCCAGTTATCTGTAGTTAACTAGCTAAGCTGTTACTACTAATTATCCATAGTAACAAATCCTTATTCAAACAGGAGATTAAGATTTAGGGTGGTAATCCCAGCACTTATGGAGGCCAAGGCAGGTGAATTGCTTGAGCCCAGGAGTTCGAGACCAGCATTGGGCAAACAGTGAGACCTCGTCTCTATAAAAAAATTTTTTTTAATTCGCCGGGCATAGTGGCTCCTGCCTGTCATCCCAGCTCCTCAAGAGACTGAGGTAGGAGGATGGCTTGAGCATGGGGAGTGGAGGTGGCAGTGAGCCGAGATGTTGCCAGTACACTCCAGCCTGGGCAACGGAGTGAGACTCTGTTTCAAAACCAACAAGCAAACCAAGATTTAGGGTGGTATGAAACAGTTTTTCAACTTCCAGATTCAAGCAGATTTTCTGGTTATTTCTGGCTATCCCTAGTAAAGTAGTTACCTCGCTACCAGTATTTGTCTATAGCACTAATACATGTTGCAAATATTAAATTTAGTGTTGAGAAAAAATGTTTTTTCATTTTCCTGCCTTCAAATTATCGTTCTAGGTATATCTAATTATCTCTAATTAAATAAATAAATAGATATTATTCCCAGAATCGAGCCGGGTTTGGCTGCGTTTTCTTGTGGCCCAATAAGGACAAACAGACAAATTAGGAAAGAAGGGAATTTATTGCTGTAACCGGATACAGGGAGAAGGTCAGAGATATTCCACCAGACCAACTCAAAGCGTTAAAATTTTCTTAGTGCTTACATAGGTTGGGGTTATGTGCCTATGTGCAGTATAGCATTTGCCTAAGTCTGTAGGTAACTAATTTTGTTTCAACTAGGTCAGAGGCAAAAAAATGCTTGCTAAGTCCGAGTATGCTGTGAGGGGCCCAGTGCCTTCAAGGCATGTCTATTGTGGTACTGGAGTGATTATTTCTGTCTTATCTCCTTTATAACTTGGCCCGGAGTACTGTCTTAGACTCTCCAATAAATCTGTTTGAACAGCTGCCTCTGTTACCTTGACTCGTCTCAGATTTCATCGACCCAAGACAGATCCTGGCACTAGGAATTTAAGGCTGTCTGCATTATTTTGACTTGCTCCAGGTTAGGGACAAGCTTATGCAAGGCTCCTACTGACCATGTGTTTCATTTCTAGCTTTGATGTCTGGACACCGATTTCCCTAGATTTAACTATTTGCTCAATGTTAAGGCAGCTCTGTGGAAATTTATGTAACTGAAGTGTTATGCAGGCCTGTGTGTGATTGTCAGGGAGAATTGGCCTGCCACAATAGCACTATGTATCAATAATATTACCTCATTGTTATTTTAAAATAAATGAAAGAATTAAAAACAAGTCTTTACTAACTTCCTGGTGTCGTATATTCATTCTGGTTATTTCTCTTCACCTTTATTTAACTGATTACCTATGTAACACTAGATACCTGCACTACTCACTCATTATTCCACTATAGTAAGAAATTAGCTTTGACAAAAATGTGTTTTTTCAATTTTGGGCTACTATGTACTTCTCTATTTAACTGTACTTATGTCTAGGTACTCCCAGATATCTGTAGTATTAACTCCTTATTCCAACAAGAAATTAGAAAGTAGACTTGAGAAAATGTTTCTCATCTTCCTGCATTCAAATAATTATTCCACTTTTCACAAGCTATCAGTTTGCTTTTTCCCTAGCTACCATGACTTACATGTAGTATTAACACATTATGCCAACAAGAAACGTGATGTCAGAATTGGGAAGAATGCTTTTTAGCTTCCTGGCTCATACTAGTCATTCTAGTTACCTCCAGTTATCCCTAGATACCTACTTTTTTAGGTATCACTACTTTTCTATAATTCTAAAGCAACAGTCCACCAAAGAATAAGGATCTAGTATATAAGACTGTGCGTTTCAGGCAAACTAAAATACACAAATGGGACTTCATTAAACTAAAAAGCTTCTGCACAGCAAAAGAAATAATCAACGGACTGAAGAGACAACCTGTTGAATGAGAGAAAATATGTGCAAACTGTTCATCTGACAGGGGACTAATATGCAGAATATACAGGGAACTCAAACAACTCAAGTGGAAAAACCCACAAATAATCTCATTTAAAGGTGGGCCAAAAACATGAATAGACATTTCTCAAAAGAAGACATACAAAAGGTATACGAAAAACTGCTCGAATTCGTTAATCATCAGAGAAATGCAAATGAAAACCACAATGAGATATTATCTTATGCCACTCAGAATAGCTATTATTAAAATGACAATAAATAACAGATGTTACTGAGTATGCAGAAAAAAGGTAAGTCTTATACAGTGTTGGTGGGCATGTAAACTAGTATAGCCACTATGAATGACAGTGTAGTGATTTCTCAAAAAACTAAAAATAGAATTACCATTCGATCCAGCAATCCCAACACTGGGTCTACCCAAAGGGAAAGAAATCAATATATCAAAGGGATACCTTCATTCGCATGTTTATTGCAGCACTATTCACAATAGCAAAGATACGGAAGCAACTTGTGCTCATCAACAGCTGAATGGATAAAGAAAATGTGGTACATATATTCCACAGTGGAATAGTATTCAACCACAAAAAAGAATGAAATCATGCCATTTGCAGCAACATGGATGGAACTGCAGGTCATTACCTTAAGGGAAATAAACCAGGCACAAAAACACAAGTATCACATGATCTCACTTATATGTGGGAGCTAAAAAATGTGGACACATGGAGGTAGAGAGTGGAAAAATAGATAACATAGAATGGAAAGAGTGGAGGGAGGGGGGATGATGAAGAGAAGTCGGTGGAAGGGTGCAAACATACGGTAAGATACAAGGAATAAATTCAATGTCTGATAGCAGAGTAGGGTGAATATACTTAACAAAAATATACTTGGGTGAGGGATACCCTAATACCCTGACTTGACACTATGCATTAAATACATGCAACCAAATTTATTCTGTATCCCCTAAACTGGTACAAGTACACATGTCTCACGCCTGTAATCCAAGGTACTCAGGAGGCTGAGGCAGGAGGATTGGTTGGGTCCAGGAGTTCAAGACCAACTTGGGCAACACTGTCTCTAGAAAAGAAAAAAAAAAAACTGTGCATTTCAATTTTGACCACAAACGCATGTTCCAACTATCTTTAGTTACCTCTAGTAACCTCGTTGAATAAGTATCACCAGCTATCCATAGTATTAGCTGATTATGATAACAAGAAACCAGAGGTTAGAGTGGTAAATCATGATTTTTCAGATTTGTGCCTTCAAATATTTTTTCTTTTTTTTTTTTTTTGAGACGGAGTCTCGCTGTGTGGCCCAGGCTGGAGTGCAGTGGCACGATCTGGGCTCACTGCAAGCTCAGCCTCGCGGGTTCACGCCATTCTCCTGCCTCAGCCTACCGAGTAGCTGGGACTACAGGTGCCCGCCACCACGCCCGGCTAATTTTTTGTATTTTTTTTTAGTAGAGACGGGGTTTCACCATGTTAGCCAGGATGGTCTCAATCTCCTGACCTCGTGATCTGCCCGCCTCGGCCTCCCAAAGTGCTGGGATTATAGGTGTGAGCCACCGCGCCCGGTCGCCTTCAAATATTTTTTCTAATTACTTCTACTTAATTCAAATTTACTAGCGACCTACATACCACCAGATATCTGTAGTACAAACTCATTTTATCAAGGAAAGATAAGAATTTCGTCTTGTCGAGGATTGCTTTCCAGGTTCCAGGCTTCTCTGAGGTTTTCTAGTTATTTCTAGTTATCTCCAGTTCAGTAGTTACCATGTACTCCTGCTTATATAGAACTAACTCATTATGCTAACAAGAAATAAGAAGTTGGTTATAGGAAGACGTTGTTCTCCACTCTCTGGCTTTATCTGTTATTGACATTTTACAGGTGTGACATTATTGAGTCACAGAGACGTTAAGTAACCTGGTCAAAGTCACCCACTTGGGAAATGTCCAGCGCTGGGATTTGAACCTATCTTGAGTACTATCCGTGATACAGAGGATGTTTGTTATCATGCTATATGCTATAATTTTCTTTTGTAATTAGTAGCTGTAATTATCGCTATTTAACTAGTTTCCTGTGTTCAAGCAGTTATCTCTAGGACTAACTGATTCCAACAACAGACAAAAATGTAGTGTTGAGGAGAATGGTTAACTTCCTGAATTCAACCACTTTTCTTCAGCATCCTGGTTTAAACTTCTTATTCTAGATAATCTCATTTATCCCTCGGTTACTAATGAGGGAGGTACCACTAGATATCTATGGCACTAATTCGATATTCAAACAAGTGAAGGAAATTTTGAGCTGAATGATACTTTATTTCTGTTTATCTCTAGTTAACTAATTACAAAAGAATAATAATTATAGCATAATAGCAAACGTTATTGAGCACATCCTCTGTGTCAGGGATGGTACTGAGGATGGGTTCAAATCTCAGCTTTGGACATTTTCCAAGTGAGTGACTTTAAGCGGGGTACTTAACATCCAGGTGACTCAATAACACTACCTATAAAATGACAATAATAGCACATCAATATGTACCAGTTTGTTAAGAGGATTACATGTGTTCATATAAACAAATCACTTAGATCATTGCCTAGAACACAGTAAGAACCAGGTAAGTGTGAGCTACCATTAGTATCATCTCAATTAATCTCCACAACAGCTCCATGAGGTAGGTATTATTATAACAGGTTTTACAGATGAGAAAAATGAAGCACAGGGAGAAAAAACCACTCCCCAGGTTAGCTAGGTAGCAAATGTCAAGCAAAGCCATGATGCAGATGCCAGCAGTCTAACTCCAGGGTCCCTGCCCTCATAAATCTAGGACATCAAACTCATCATTTGGGCCTATTTTTGCTTGGATGATGCTCAATTACGTACAAAACATTTGCAAGAAGTGACTCAATTTAACTAAAAATTTTAAGTGAATACTAATTGATTGGTGGCCCGGTAGGTAACACTCACCGAAGGGGCACAGAAATGACTACTGAAGCTTAGAAAGCACTGAAGCAAGTCATGGAAATCTCTCAGACACCACACAACTCCAATTCTGACAGATGTCCTAGCTGGGCTAAGGCACACCATGATTAAAATCATTGTAGGTCTCTCACATAGTAACTGATCCCAGGCCAAATTTCATCTCAGAGTGTCTGGCCACGAGAAGGGTGAGGTCTACAGAACCCTGCAAGCGGCAGCCTGAGGAGGAGACGTCTTGGTTAATGTCAGGGAGAGTCTGTGGGGGTGAAATTCCTTGACAGCATTTTCAGAGTGAATTGTTCAACCAACCATCTTGTAGCTGGTTTCCTCTCTATCCTCCTGGAACAGGAGAAAGGAGAGACTTACCTGTCTAGCACAGTGGGCGAAGTGAGTGGGTGTACCTTTATGGGCCTATGAAAATGGTTTATTTTATTAAATGGGTCTGATGGCAATGGTGTTTATCATGGCAAAAAAAAAAAAAAGGATAAATAATCCCAATATTCAGGAAACCAACTCATTCCAAGGAACAATTCTTATTTTTAATTAATTAATTAATTAATTAATTTTTATTTATTTATTTTTTTAGAGCCAGGGTTTCATTGAGTCACCCACGCTGGAGTGCAGTGGTGTGATCATAGCTCACTGCAGCCTCCAATGCCTGGGGTTAAGCGATCCCCCCACCTCAGCCTCCTGAATAGCTTGCACGACAGCGCATGACACCATGCCCAACTATTTTGTTTTTTATTTTTTTAGAGATGGGTTTTTTTCTATTTTGCTCAGGTTGGTCTCAAACTCCTGGTCTCAAGCGATTCTCCCGCCGAAGCCACAGGAGGAGCTAGTATTTACAGGCGCGCACAACCGAGCCCAGAATCGTACGGGGGCACGATTTTTAAATTTTTTTGTTTTGAAATACAGGGTCTCGCTCTGTCGCCCAGGCTGGAGTGCAGTGGCTGGAGTGCAGTGGCGTTATCATAGTTCACTATAACCCACATCCTGCATCGTCCTGAGGCACACTTCTTAAGGGAAAAACATAGAGGTCCCAATCGGCCCTGGCTCTTTTTTATTTGACATTTATCAGTAGGGAGCAAAAGGTCAGAATGATAGTTCTAGACAAAGAGTAGGAAATGAGAAGCAGGAGGAGGAGGATGGGTAACAGAAGTGGGTGAGGATGGAGGGAAGACGGGAGCTAACCCAAGTCCCCAGCGCCTGCCCAGCACAGTGAACACTGGCACTTCTGCAGAGGGCTTGCAACCTAAGGCGCCAGAGCCCAGCATAGCTTAGCAGACATTGCATGCTCCACAGTCGCGTCTAGCGCCAAAGGAAGGGCCACTTGCAGTGTAAGCCTTCTGGGATGCACTAAACACCAGGCAGGGTTCTATGTGTACTCTGACGTGGAGTACCTGGAGCTTTTGCAAGGGGCGTGTTAGGTTTCTTGCAACTTGCACCTGAGCATCCAGAGTGCTCTGCAAATCCCAGCCCCAAACTTCTGCTTCCACAGATCTCCTGGAGAGCGTGGCGCACTCAACTTTCTGGACATTGCTGCAAAAACCTAGCATGCAGCCTCTGACTTCATCATTTCATCTTAATTACGGTCCGATTCGCGGACTTTGGGTGGGAACAGACCAGAGCTAGAGAGACTCATCCATTAGTTACTAACTACCCAGAGGGGAGAGCAGTGCTGGCAGTCCAAATTGCAAGGTGCGCTGCCTTCAGCGTGCGGCGTCTTCGCCCTGGAGAAGCATTACGCTGGCCCGCCTGCCTCCAGGGCCACACGGAAACGTGTTCTGCAAACTTTCTCCAAGGGCTCGGGGGCTAGATTGTGTCTCGCTCCGCTGCCTCTCCCCCTGCCTCAATTTCGACTCCTGCCAGACAGCTCAGCCCCTCCCTCTGGCAGTCACCCCGCCCGGAGTGGGAGTGGTCAACGAAGCTGCAAAATGGATCGCAAGTCCCCACACACGTCCGACCCCTCCCCGCGCCCTGACCACGAACGCATCCCTGACTTAACCGCCACACTCGGGCCGTGAGCGCCTGCCAGCAGGGCCTTCCGCCACACACACACACACACACACCGCAAGCAGCGGCGACCAGGGCAGGAGCCCACTCCCCGCCACCTGCAGGCGTCGGACCCGAAGTCCACGAGCCGGAACTCAGAGCAGGAGCCGAAGGACCCCAGCGCAGAATCCGTGGAGGCGCACGGCTTCATCCACCGCGCTCCCAGATGGGGTCCCAGCCCAGATCCGGCCACGAAGACACAGGCAACCCCGGCCTGGGTTTCCTGTTCCATGAGCTCCAGGAAGGCGACAGTCAGTGCTTGTCTGGGGACCCGGACCGGTGCTTTGGGGAACTCCCCCGGAGGGAGAGAGTTTGGGGAACTCTCCCGAGAAGGGAACTTTCCCGGAGAGGGGGGCGTGGACCGGACGCTGCTGCGCCTCCTCTCTCAGGCCGCGGTTCTATGCTGCCCTGTGCCCGCGCCAAACGCCCTGATCTCTCTCTGTCTCCTCTCTCAATCTCTCTTTGCCTTTCCTCCTTTCCAGATGCGAAGGCTGTAGGGACTTTGGTGACTGAAGCTGGAGGAGACGAGGAGAAGAAAATACGGTCCAAACCCGAGCAGGGAGCTGGAGCAGAAGAAGAAAGTCACTTCTGTGCGGGAGCTGCCGACCCCACGATCAAGGATAACCAGAAGCGCGGCGGTGGCGACCAGGAGCCCTCGCAGCAGCAGCCTGAGGCTTCCAGCCCAGGACTCCTCCGCGGAGGAGCCACAACCCCAATATTAGCGGCGTCTCTTCAGCCCCAGTGCGTTCAGCAGGTTGCACCTGAAGGAGCTAGACAGCATTTTCCCACGCTCTGAATATCTCGACGTGTTCGCTCGGTAAGCGGCTTGCTCTGGAGCTTCCCAGTTCCCAGGACTCTGGGGCTCTTCCCTGGACGCCTTTGGCTCTACCCATGTCTCTTTACCAGGCTCCAGTGCCAAGAGCTATTTAGGGGGCTCAAGGCCACTGGCTCAGGGCCGCTCTTGAGCTGTGGGATGCGGGCGATAGCAACTGGGCATCAAGGTATTTTTCAAGCAGTATAGATACGAATCAAGTTAAATATTTGCATTAAAATTATTAATCTTCGGGCTGGTGCTGTGGCTCATGCCTGTAATCCGAGCGCTCTGGGAGGGCAAGTCAGGAGGATCACTTGAGTCCAGGCGTTCAGGGCCAGGCTGACCAATATACTGAGACTTCATCTCTACAAAAAATTTTGTAAAATTAGCTGGGCATATTAGCAGCACGCACCCGTAATCCAAGGTGCTCTGGAGGATCGCTTGAGCCCAGAGTTCAAGGCTTCAGTGAACTGTGATCCGGCCACTGCCTTCCAGCCTGTGCTACAGAGCTAGACCCTGTCTCTAAAATTAGATACATAGATAAATTACATGAATAGATGACAGATAGATAGAGATAGAAAAATCTTGAATCCTAAGTGTTTTAGCCCTCTCTGAAATTCTGCACACAAAGGAAAACAATCCCCTACCTAATGCAAGCCTGGGGCTATTTTTAGGTATCACAGAAAAATGTGCAGGAGCAGTTGGGAGGCTAGACATTTTCAAACTGGTATGAAATGTTCATAGGTGTATTTCGTTTCATCCACAATTCCAAATACTGAATTTTTGTAGTTTTCTTTCCCAGAAAGCAGCTTGCAATCTGCATGGATGTGAGTGAAGCCGAAGTGGAAGCCAGTAAGCCTGATGAAAGCAATTGGTCAGAGTAGCCACTCTCTGAAACCTGCCTCAGTCCTTGAATACCTTTGTCCTACACATTCTCCAATTGGCCTGTTTTTGTTGCCTTTTCTATGTTTGCCAAGTGAGTTTTGAACTTTAGCGGGGGAATAATGGGATACATAAACCTTAGCCTATGGAAATTTCCCATTACCAGAGGGAATATGCTTTCTAATGCGAAACAGAACTAAACTGTTACTTCTATTTCCTGTACAAGGTTAAGTGTAAATAAAGTTCCATTCCTTCTAACAATGGTATCCTTTAGAGAACACTTCTGTGTGGAGTTATGTTGGGACTGAGTCTGACTTGAGGAGTTTGCAAATTAATGCACCAAGGACCCATATTGTGAGAAGGTTCAACTGTATTTAAAATATTTAAACCAGGCTATGTTCTTAGCTAAATGACCAAATTTATAAATATTCAGGCATTGGGATAAGGGAATAAGTTACATACAGAAAGAACACATTATATGAGTAATTAATGTATGTTTAGTTTCACTGAGACTTATGGGGAGGACATAGCTTAAAAGTCCAAGTGCCTGGTAGTCCTGCTGTTGTTTTTAAGGGTCTGATGAAGCCATGTAGAAAGTGGCAGCCCGCAATTTTGATTTTCTCCAATACTTTTATTTGTAAGCCGGAATACACTGCTAATATACTTGCATTACACTGGGGGTGTGGGGGGGCAGGTTTGCAAACAGGAAATTTGTTTAAAAATTGGAATAAAAAAGAACAATTTTGAAAAAGTTTTCACTTAACTAAGAAGGGTGAAAAGGTTAAAGAAAAATTGCATACACTCAAATATATACCTTGAAGGTATGGCACAAATGGAGCTCTATGAGGGAATATTCTCTTTAGGAATTTCTGACAACTAAGAAGTTTTTTTTATGTTACTGTTTTAAACTGGTGGGTTTTATGTAATTTGTTTGGTGGTGGGGTGGGGCACGCTCAATTTAGACCAGGTTCTTACCTGTGCTAATTTGAAATGGTTTTTCATTTTCCCAGGCAGTGGTGATTAATTTGTAAGTCATGAGATCAAGAAATTACTAAGATTCCTTCAGTATTATTGACTGAGTATATTTTCAAAACAAAGAGAAAATCCAGGATTAGGTTATGAGCAGTGCTGTGCAGTTCATGTGAGTGCAGTGATGGGCCCCCCATGACTAAGCCTTTTTTTTCAGACCATCTTTTTCACTCTCAAGAGTTTTCAGAGGATGAAGTCTGGCCCAGTGGCTCACGCCTGTAATCCCAGCAATTTGGGAGGCCAAGGCAGGCAGATCACGCGAGGTCAGGAGTTCGAGACCAGCCTGGCCAACATGGTGAAACCCCATGGTGAAAATACAAAAATTACCTGGACTTGGTAGCGCACCACTGTAGTCCCACCTACTAGGTGTAGCATGAGGCAGGTGGATCGCTTGAACCTGACAGGCAGAGGTTGCAGTGAGCCAAGATCGTGCCACTGCACTCTAAATCTGGGTGACAGAGCAAGACCCTGTCTCAAAAAAAAAAAAAAAAAAAAAAAAATTTCAGAGGATGAATGGCCCCTTAGGCATCCTTTACGAAACCTGATTAAAGATCCAGCCTGCTCCTATTGATGTAGTTACTTCAGACTGAAGATGGGCTTTTCAAACGGGGTTGCAGTGTGTAAAGATCCGGCCATTGCACTCCAGCCTGGGTGACAGAGTGAGACTCCGTCTCAAAAACCACAACAAAAAAGAAACTTTAGAAAGCAAAACCCCCAATTTTTTTGATTACTATAGAATGCAGAAGCTCCTGGACTCTTCCCGAGATTGTGTTCATAACTTTTCAGCTGAAACTAACATCTGTGAAGACCATCTATCTTGGGTGAACCTATTTTCTGGTAACCAGTGTTAAATATTTTTTAATAAATAAAAATTTTAAACTTGTATTAGAACAGTTAATTTCTCGTCTTTGCCTTTTTTCCTTTTTTAATATGTTTTTAAAATCCCTTTTGAGAGATGAGATCTGAATATGTTGCCCAGACTGGTTTTGAACTCCTGAGCTCAAACAATCCTCTCACCTCGGTTTCCAGAAGTGCCGGGATTACAGGCCTGGGCGATCACACCTGGCCTGGTTGTTGCCTTTGCAATATTTGAAGTACATTTTAAAATACATGCGTTTTGTGGGATTACTTTTAAAAGAACTCTCTGTTTTGAAATTTAGATTGAGTGGAAACTATTATCTAAAGCATTATTTTTTACTATTTCCTCTGCCCCACGCCTTAGTTCTTCTGGAACTTTGAAGAACTAGAGAGACATTAAAAATAGTACATATGTCGGTGAGTTGCCGTGGCTCCGTTCAAGCGATGCCGGGGGGTGGATTGCATGAGCCCAGGAGTTTGAGACAAGCCTGGGCAACATGGTGAAACCACAGCTCCACTAAAAGTACAAAAATCAGCTGGGCATGGTGGTGCATGCCTGTAGTCCCAGCTACAGGGGAGGCTGAGGTGGGAGGATCCCTTGAGCCTAGGAAGTGGAAGTTGCAGTGAGGTGAGACCGGGCCACTGCACTCCAGCCTGGACGACGGAGTGAGACCCTGAGTCAAAAACAAAAACAAAACAGACAAACAAGTAAATACATGTCTCTTGAAGACTCCATCACTTATGGGAAATGGTATTCACTATTCTTTTCCTGAGCATGAAAAAAATGTTCTGTTAGTGTGTGTCAAATTGAATGTTAGTGTTTACTGCATGATTTGTGTGGAGTATTTCTTTGGCTTCCAATTGCAATATGGCAAAACCATGTGCTCAACTGGGACAAAGGCTAGAAGAGGTCAGAACTCGGTCTGATGGTGTCCTGTGGCTTTTATTTCTATAGATTCTGTAGTTCTGTTTAGAGGGTACCTACAGCATTGAGGAAGCTGATGTTTAAAAAGAACAGGTGCCACCTTGGGAAATAAGAAATGTTGGTTTCTGGCCAGGTGTGGTGGCTCACGCCTGTAATCCCAGCACTTTGGGAGGCTGAGGCAGGCGGATCATGAGGTCAGGAGATCGAGACCATCCTGGCTAACAAGGTGAAATCCCGTCTCTACTAAAAATACAAAAAAAATAGCCGGGCTTGGTGGCGGGCGCCTGTAGTCCCAGTTACACGGGAGGCTGAGGCAGGAGAATGGTGTGAACCCGGGAGGCGGAGCCTGCAGTGAGCCCAGATCGCACCACTGCACTCCCGCCTGGGTGACAGAGTGAGACTCCGACTCAAAAAAAAAAAAAAAGGAAATGTTGGTTTCAAAATTATCTGGTGAGGATGGCAGTGGGCATACACAGGCGCATTCCTAGATGTTCCCCAATTCAGCCAGGCGCTGGGGGCTCTGGGTATCAATAATCTCCTCTCTGTGCAGAAGTCCCACATTACATGCAACTGCTTTGCTGACATTTCATATCCACAACTGTGAAGTTCGCAGAGTGAGATAGTGGACAACATAGCAAAAAATGCATGCTTTCCTAAGAAAACAGAGCCTCGCTTTACACTGGGAACACATACGTGCTGTGAAACTGGACTTTGATTTAACCCCTGCGAGAGGAAATTCTGATGGAACTGTGGCACTTATCTTAGTAATCACTTCATAGTGCAGCCTTGGTGCTCACAATTAACCACTTTTAATAGCCAACGAGAAGTCTTGCATTGCTAGAGATTGCTCATAAGCAAAGGCTGTATTGAGAAGAACTTAATGTTTCTTTAAAAATGGGCCTGGCTTCCTTCACCCTCCCATTTTTGTTTTTGTTGTTTTCTACTCTGGTAGTTGCACAGGAAGAAGACACCATGATCAAATGACTGCCTATTCCAGTGAATGATGAGTCTAGATTACTGCTCAGGGGACCATCTCCTTGATTCCAGTGCCAATAACCCCAAAGATGCCCTTTCTATTTTTAATTAGCAGGAATTCGAGATCTCTTAAGGATGAAGAGAGCAACAAAATACATTGGACAGTGTGATTGTCCGTTTTGAATTGGGGAAGGTGCAATAATATGCCTTCTGGGCTGGGGATGGGGGAGAAAAGGGAGAACAGCTTCATTCTGGCTTTGGTGGAGTCTCATCTCATGATTCTTCTGAAGCAGCAGGACCTTTGGGCCAGAATGACTCCTATTCCCCTGTGTCCCCCACAAAAAGGGAGGGCGGTGGACAGAATTTGGAGCATGTCGAATCAATGCTTAGCTGTTGCCTTCCCATAAATACTGAGTAGCCGCTTAGGAAGCTTCCCCTAGAGTCCGGAGTTGGGCATGGATGTCCCTATTAACATTGATGGGTCCCTATTCTGTCTGAAAAAAAGGGCCAAACTAGTTCTAAATTCACTAAAAGTCACCCGCACCAGCTCTGCAGCTCCTTTCCATCACTGCCCTCACACAAACTGCAGAGCGAGGCTCATAACCTCATCCTGGATTTTGTTTTCGTTTTGGAAAATTCTCTCTTAATAAAACTTAAGTAATCTTAGAAATCTTTTGATCCCATGACCTACAAATTAATCATCACTGCCTGGGAAAATGAAAACGTATTTCAAATAAGCACAGGTAAGAATCTGGTTTAAATTGAGCGTGCTCCCCATCACCAAACAAATTTCATAAAACCCACCTCTTTAGACAGTCCCATCAAAATAATTCCTTAGTTGTTAGAAATTCCTCAAGAGAATATTCACTCATAAAGTTCAATTTGTGCCATTTCTTCAAGGTATATATGTAAGTGTATGCCATTCTTCTTTAACCTTTTCACCCTTCTTAGGTGACTGGAACCTTATTCAAAATTGTTCTTGTTTGTTCCAATTTTTAGGCAAATTTCCAGTTTGCAAACCTGTCTCCCCCCGCCCCCCACTGTAATGTGCGTATATTAGCAGTGTTTTCAGGCTGACACATCGAAGTATTCCAGAAAATTACAATTTCAGGTAGCCACTTTCTACATGTCTTCATCAGACACTTCGAAAAAATAGCAGGACCACCAGGCACTTGGACTTTTAAGCTATCTCCTCCCCATCAGTCTCAGTGAAACTAAACGTACTTAATTACTCATATAGTGTGTTGTCTGTGTGTGTGACTTAGTCCCTTAACCCAATGCCCGAATATTTATAAACTCACTCACTGAGCTAAGAACCTAACTTGGTTTAAATATTTTAAATACAGTTGAAGCTTCTCACATCGTAGCTCTTTGGTGCATTAATTTGCATACTTCTAAGTCAGACTCAGTCCCAAGATACCTCCACACAGAAGTAGTCTCTAAAGGATACTATTGTTAGAAGGAACCGAACTTTGTTTATTCTTAATTTTGTACAGGAAATAGAAGTAGCAGTTTGGTATGTATAGTTTTATTTTTCCATTAGAAAGCATATTCCCTCTGGTAATGTGTAATTTCCATAAGCTGGGGTTTCCTTATCCCATTTTTCACCCTCTAAAGTTCAGAACTCACTTTGCAAACATAGAAAAGGCAACAAAAATAGGCCAACTTGAGAATGTGTAGGACAAAGGTATCAAAGGACTGAAGCAGGTTTCAGAGTGGCTACTCTGACCAGTTGCTTTCATCAGGCTTACTGGCTTCCACTTCGACTTCACTTACATCCATGCATATTGTAAGCTCCTTTCTGGGGCAGAAAACCACAAACGTTCAGTATTTAAACTTTTTCAGAATTGTGGATGAAATGAAATACACTGATGAACGTTTCATACCGGTTTGAAAATGTCTATCCTCTCAACCGCTCCAGCATATTTTTCTGTGATACCTAGCCCCAGGCTTGCATTAGGGATGGCTGTCCTTGGTGTGCAGAATTTAAAAGAGCACTAAAACACTCAGGATTCAAGATATCTCTTTCTATTTAACTGTCCATCTATCTATTTAATTTTAGAGATAGGGTCTAGCTCTGTTGACCAGGCTGGAGGAGGGGTGACACAATCATGGTTCACTGAACCCACGAACACCTGGGCTCAAGCGATCCTACGGAGTAGCTGAGACTACAGGTGTGTGCCACCATGCCGGTCTAATTTTTTAAATTTTTAATTAATTAATTAATTAATTTTTTGAGACGGAGTCTTGCTCTGTCGCCCAGGCTGGAGTGCAGTGGCGCTATCTCAGCTCACTGTAAGCTCCGCCTCCCAGGTTCACGCCATTCTCCTGCCTCAGCCTCCCGAGCGGCTGGGACTACAGGCGCCCGCCACCACGCCCGGCTAATTTTTTAAAATATTTTTAGTAGAGACGGGGTTTCACCGTGTTAGCCAGGATGGTCTCGATCTCCTGACCTTGTGATCCGCCCGCCTCGGCCTCCCAAAGTGCTGGGATTACAGGCTTGAGCCACCGCGCCCGCCCTAATTTTTTAAATTTTTACGTAGCGACAGAGTATCATTATATTGCTCAGGCTGGTCTTGAACGCCTGGACTCAAATGATCCTCCCGCCTTGGCCTCCCAGAGTGCTAGGATTACAGGCATGAGCCACCGAACCAGCCCGAAGATTAACAAATGTTAAGGCATTATTTTAAAAATCAAGACCAATGAAAAAAATCCACAGTAACCAAATTGTTAAAATGTTCAATAAAGGCAAGATCCAACCGTGTAGGACTCACTCTCCTCACCCTGATGTCCATCGCAATTCCAACAAAACATTTCCAAAACAGGAGTCTGGCCAAAGTTTCCTGGCTTGATTCGTTTCTATAATGCGTGAAAAAATACCTTAATGCCCAGTAGGCATCGCCCCCACCCCACAGCTCAAGAGTGACCTACTCCAGTGGCCTTGAGCCCCATATGTAGCTTTTGACTCTGGAGGGGAGGGAGCGAGACTGGGGCAGGGCCAAAGGCGTCCCGGGAAGAGCCCTAGCGTCCTGGATAATTGCGCACCTCTAGAGCAAGCCGCTTACCTAGCAAACACGTCGGGATACTGAGAGCATCGGAAAATGCTGTCTAGCTCCTTCAGGTGCAACCCACTGAATGCACTGGGGGAGAAGAGATGCTGCTGATCTTCTGGCTGCAGCTCCGAGGAAGAAGAGTCCTGGGCGGACTCCTCAGGCTGCTGCTGCCAGGGCTCCTGGTATCCACCGCCGCCCTTCTGGTTCTCGTCGAACATGGGGTCCGCAGCTCCCGCGCAGACGTGACTTTCTTCTGCTTCTGCTCCCTGCTCGGGTTCGGACTCTTCTTCTTATCCTCTCCTCCCACTTCAATCACCGAAGGCCCTATAGCCCTATAGCCTTCGCATCTGGAAAGGAGGAGAGGGAAAGGAAGGGAGGGAGGGAGGGAGGGAGGGAGAGAGAGAGAGAGAGAGAGAGAGAGAGAGAGAGAGAGAGAGAGAGAGAGAGAGGCGCACAGGGCAGCCTAGACTCGCGGCCTGAGAAAGGTGGCACAGCAGCTTCCCGCCCACGCGCCTCTCTCCGGGAAAGTTCCTTTCCTAGAGTTGAACAAATCACCGGTCCGGGTCCCCAGCCAGGCACTGACCGTCGCCTTCCTGGAGCTCATGGAACACGAAGCCCAGGCAGAGGTAGCCGGTGTCTTCGTGGCTAGATCTGGGCTGGGACGCGATCTGAGAGCGCGGTGGATGAAGCCCTGCGCCTCCGCGGATTCTGCGCTGGGGTCCTCTAGCTCCTGGTTCGAGTTCCAGCGCGTGGACTTCGGGTCCAACGCCTGCACGTGGCGGGGAGCCGGCTGCTGCCCTGGTCGCCTCCGCTGGCGGGGTATGTGTGTGTGTGTGTGTGTGTGTGTGTGTGTGTGTGTGTGTGTGTGGCGGACGGAAGGTCCTGCTGGCACGCGCTCACGGCAGGAAGGTGGCGGTAAAGTCAGGGGCGAGCTCCTGGTCAGGGCGCGGGGAGGGGGTCGGGCGTGCAGGGAACCCGCGCTCCAGTTTGCGGCTTGGTTGACCACTCCCAACCCGGGTGGGGTGACTGCCAGGAGGAAGGGGCCAAGCTGCCTGGCGCCAACAGATTGGGGCAGGGGAAGGGGCGGAGGAGCTAGACCCAATAGAGAAAGTTAACAGAACATGTCTCTGTCCAGCCCTCCAGGCACGCGGGCTTGCAGAATGCTTCTCCAGGGCGAAGGCGCTGCAAGCTGAAGGCAGTGCACCTTGCGGCGTGGGTTCCTGGCACCACGCTGCCCTCTGACTAGTTGGTGACTAATGCATGAGACTCTCTGGTTGTGTTCCGTTCGCACTCAAAGTCCTCGAATCGGACCGTAATTAAGATGAAATGATGAGGTCGGAGGCTGCATGCTAGGTTTTTGCAGCAACGTCCAGAAAATTGAGCACGCAACGCTCTCCAAGGGGGTCTGGGGAACCCTGAGTTTGGGCCTGGGTTTGGCAGACCGCTCCGGATGCTCAAATGCAAGCTGCAAGAAACCTAACACGCCCCTTGCTAACTAATTACTCCACCTCAGAGTACAAGCGTAGAACCCTGTTCGGTGTTTAGTGCATCTAAGAAGGGTTACACTGCAAGTGAATCTTCCTTTGGCTCTAGACGCGACTGCGGAGCATGAAATGTCTGCTAAGCTATATTCTGCTCCAGAGCCTCAGGTTGCAGGCCCTCTGCAGAAGCGGGAGTGTTTCGTGTGCTGGGCGGGCGCTGTGGACTTGGCTTAGTTCCCGCCTTCCCTTGCTCGTCATCACCTTCTCTTACCCACCCTCCTCGTCCTCCTCCTGCTTTCCCTTTCCTACTCTTTGTCTAGAATTATCTTTCAGACCTCTTGCTCCCTACTGATAAATGTCAAATAAAAAAGAGGCAGGGTAGATTGGGAGCTCTATGTTTCTCCCTTCAAGAAGTGTGCCTCAGAACGATGAAGGCTGTGGGTTACAGTGATCTATGGTCGCCCCACTGCAATCCTGCCACTGCACTCCAGCCTGGGAGAAAAAGAGAGACCCTGTACCTTAAAAAAGAAAATGGTTCCTCGGGATGATGCTGGGCCCGGTGGTGCGTGCCTGTAATCCTAGCTACTCCAGGAGGCTGAGGCGGGAGGATCGCTTTAGCCCAGGAGTTTGAGACCAGCCTGAGTAACACAGCAAGACCCCCATCTCTCAAAAAATAAAAAACAAAAATAGCGGGACGTGGTGGCACGCACCTGAAGTCTAAGCTACTCACCTAGCTGAAGCGGGAAAATCGCTTGAACCTAAGCGTTGGAGACTGTAGTGAGCTATTTTTACCAGCGGAGGCTGTTCAGTTTGTTGGCGTTTTGAACAAAGAATTGGACAAAACTCGCAAGGAAACAATGAAGCAACAAAAGCAGAGATTTATGGAAAACGAAAGTTCACTCCACAGGGTGGGAGCAGGCCTGAGCAGCCACTCAAGGGCCCCGATACAGAATCTTCTCGGGTCCAAATACCCCCTAGAAGTTTCCCATTGGCTACTAGGTGTTCACCTTAGGTAAATGAAGTGATGACTGGCAATCAGTCTAAATGGTTGTGGAAAGCAACCAATCAGAGGCTGAAGTGAAGTCACAAAGTTCCATTCCTCTGCAAAGGTCTGATTGGTTCCAAAAAGCAACCAATCAGAGGTACTTTTAATTTCCCGTCTGCCCAGCAGATAAGGTGGGGGTTTGCAAAGGGAGTAGCCACAGGTGCTTTTGTTACTTAGGCGTGGGAAGTTAGGGCTTTCCTTTCAATTTAGTTCTAGGATGTCAGCCTGAAACGGCATTAGGTTCACTGCTTCCAGACCCTATTCTCCTGCCTCACTATGATCACACCACTGCACTCCATCCTGAACTACAGACTGAGACCCTAGCTGTAAAACATAAAACAAAATAAAAAATAAGAATCAGGCCTTGGAATGAGTTGGTTTCCTGAATATTGGGATTATTTAGCCAATTTTGGCCTTCAGAACCACCACTGTCATCAGGCCTATTTAATAAATTAAACAATTTTCATAGGCCCCTAAAAAGAACTGGGACCCCCACTCACTTTGCCCACTCTGCCTGACAGATAAATCTCTCCTCTCTCCCATTCCTGGATGGTAGATAGGAAGCCAGCTACAGAATGGTTGGTTGACCAATTCACTCTGAAAAAGCTGTCAAGGAATTTCACCCACAGACTGTCCCTGACATTAACCAAGACGTCTCCTCCTCAGGCTGGATCTTGCAGGGTCCGGCAGACCTCACCCTTCTCATGGCCAGACACACTTTGATGAATTTTCGCCTGGGATCAGTTACTATGTGAGAGACCTACAATGGTTTTAATCATGGTGTGTATTAGCCCAACTCGGATATCTGTCAGAATTGGAGTTGTGTGGTGTCTCACAGCTGAGATTTCCATGACTTGCTTCAGTGCTTTCTAAATTTCAGTAGTCATTTCTGTGTCCCTTTGGTGAGTGTTACCTACCAGAGCACCAATCAAAGTAGTATTTACTTTAAAATTTTTAGTTAAATTGATTCACTTCTTGTAAATGCTACGTACTGAATTGAGCCTCATCCCAATAAGCATAGGCACAAATGATGGGTTTGATGTCCTAGATTTATGAGGGCAGGGACCCTGGAGCCAGACTGCTGGCATCTGCATGATGGCATTGCTTGACATTTGCTAGCTAGCTCACCTGATGAGTTGCCTTTTCTCTCTGTGCTTCAATTTTCTCATCTGTAAAATGAGGTGATAATAATATCTACCTCATGGAGCAGTTGTGGAGATTAATTGAGATGATACCAATGGTAGCTCACACTTACCTGGTTCTTACTGTGTTCTAGGCAATGATCTAAATGATTTGTTTATATGAACACATGTAATCCTCTTAACAAACCTATATACACATTGATGTGCTATTATACGTCATTTTACAGGTGGTGTTATTGAGTCACCAAGGTGTTAAGTATCCTGCTCAAATTCACTCACTTGGGAAATGTCCAAAGCTGAGATTTGAACCCATCCTCTGAGTATTATTCCTAACAGAGAGGATGTGCCCAATGACATTTGCAATTATGGTATAATTATTATTCTTTTGTAATTAGTTAACTAGAAATAAGCAGAAATAAAAGTATCATTCATCTCAAAATTTCTTTCACTTGTTTGAATATCGAATTAGTGCCATAGATATCTACTGGTACCTCCCTCATTAGTAACCGAGGGATAAGTGAGGATATCTAGAATAACAAGTTTAAACCAGGATGCTGAAGAAAAGTGGCTGAACTCAGAAAGTTAACCATTCTCCTCAACACTGCATTTTTGTTTATCGTTGGAATCAGTTAGTCCTGTAGATAAGTGGTTGCACACATGAAAATAGTTAAACAAATCCCAGCTCTGGACATTTCCCCAGTGGGTGACTTTGAGCAGGTTACATAACATCTGTGTGACTCAATAACATCACACCTGTAACATGTCAATAACAGATAAAGCCAGAGAGTGAAGAACATCTTCTTCCTATAACCAACTTCTTATTTCTTGTTAGCATAATGAGTTAGTTCTATATAACAAGGGGCACATAGGTAACTACTGAACTGGAGATAATGAGAGATAACTGGAAAACAGAGAAGCCTGGAACCTAGAAAGCAATTTTCAACAAGACAAAATTCTTATGTTTCATTGATAAAATCAATTTGTACTATAGACATCAAGTGGTAGGTAGGTCAATAGCAAATTTAAGTAAAGTAGAAATAATTAGAAAATAACTTGAAGGTATGAATCTGAAAAATCAGGATTTACCACTCTAACTTCTGATTTCTTGTTATAATAATGAGCTAATACTATAGATAACTGGTGATACGTATTGATGTGGTTTGGCTCTGTGTCCCCACCCAAATCTCATCTTGAATTGTACTCCCATAATACCCACATGTTGTGGGAGGTACCCGGTGGGAGATAATTTGAATCATGGGGGCGGTTTCCCCCATACTGTTCTCGTGGTAGTGAATAAGTCTCATGAGATCTGGTGGTTTTATCAGGGGATTCTGCTTTTGCATCTTCCTCATTTTCTCTTGCGGCTGCCATGTAAGAAGTGCCTTTTGCCTCCCACCATGATTCTGAGGCCTCCCCAAACACGTGGAACTGTAAGTCCAATTAAATCTCTTTTTCTTCCCAGTCTCAGGTATGTCTTCACCTGCAGCATGAAAATGGACTAATACACCTCTTTAATGAGGTTACAAGAGGTAACTAAAGATAATTAGGACATGCATTTGACGTCGAAATTGAAATGCACAGTCTTAAAAAATTGTTTTTCTGGCTGGGCATGGCAACTTATGCCTGTAATCCCAGCACTTTAGGAGGCCGAGGTGGGCGGGTCACCTGAGGTTAGGAGTTTGAGACTAGCCTGGCCAACATGGTGAAACCCTGTCTCTACTAAAAATATAAAAATTAGTTGGGCATGGTATTGGGTGCCTGTAATCCCAGTTACTCGGGAGGCTGAGACAGGAGAATTGCTCGAACCTGGGAGGTGGAGGTTGCAGTGAGCCATGATTGTGCCATTGCCCTCCAGCCTGGGCAATGGAGCGAGACTCTGTCTCAAAAACAAACAAAAAAATTGTGTTTCTTTTCTAGAGACAGGGTTTCACTATGTTACCCAAGCTGGTCTTGAATTCCTGGGCCCAAGCAATCCTCCTGCCTCAGCCTCCTGAGTAACTTGGATTACAGATGTGAGACATTTGTATTTGTACAAACTTATGGGATACATGAGGAATTTAGTTGCATGAATTTAATGCATAGTGTCAAGTCAGGGTATTAGGGTATCCATCATCCAAGTACATTTTTGTTAAGTATACTCATCCTACTCTGCTATCAAACATTGAATTTATTCCTTCTATCTTACTGTATGTTTGCACCCTTCCACCCACTTCTCTTCATCATCCCCCCTCCCTCTGCTCTTTCTATTCTATGTTATCTATTTTTGCCCTCTCTGCTTCCATGTGTCCACATTTTTAAGCTCCCACATATAAGTGAGAACATGTGATACTTCTCTTTTTGTGCCTGGTTTACTTCCCTTAAGGTAATGACCTGCAGTTCCATCCATGTTGCTGCAAATGGCATTATTTCATTCTTTTTTATGGCTGAATATTATCTCTTCCTGAGAGGCCTTAGACTGAGCCAATATTTAACGCTGGCTACAAGAAAATAGGTTCACCCAAGATAGATGGTCTTTGTAGATGTTAGTTTCAGCTGCAAAATTATGAACCAGTCTCGGGAGGAGTCCAGTAGCTTCAGCATTCAAGGCCCCAGATACAGAATCTTCTCAGGTCCAAGTACCCCCTAGAGGTTTCCCACTGGCCACTTGGTGTCCACCTCATGTAAATGAAGTGGTAGCCTGCAATCATTCTGATTGGTTGCTTGTCACAACCAATCAGAGGCTGAAATAAAGTTACAAGGTTCACAGCCAATCAGAGGTGAATGTGAAGTTACAAAGTTGCACTTCTATGCAAAGTAAGACTTGGCCCACAATCAGTTTGATTGGTTGCAGACAGCAATCAATCAGAGGCTGAGGTGAAGTTACAAAGTTACACTCCTACGCAAAGGTCCAAATGGTTGCAAAAAGTACCAGTCACAGGTACTTTCAACTTCCCATTGGCCCTGCAGAAAAAGTGGGTTTTGCAAAGGGTGTAGCCTCTGGTCCTTTTGTTATTTAGGCATGGAAAGTTAGGGTTTTTGTTTCAATTTAGTTCTAGGAAGTAAGCGTGGAACGGCCTTAGGTTTTCTGCCTCCAGACCTTATTTTCCTGCTTCAGAAGGGCTGAAAACTCAAGGATCCCACCCAAGCAGAAGCACTGGGTCATTTTACCTTTAGGAAAATTAATCAACCTCCCTTGAAGGTATTCGGTATCCTTGTGTCCACGCTTTCTGGCCTTGAGAGGTTGATGCACTTTGTACCCTCTTCACAAATGGCCAAGTATGCTTCCTCTGCAACAGCCCTCATTTCCCCCAATATTTTTGCAAAGCCAAGTCAGCCAACCAACAGTACAACCCGTGAGCAAAAGCCAGTTCTGTGCTTGTGTTAAATTAACGTTTTTAGGAAAGCAGGCTAACAGCTTGGAAACTGTCATGATGCAATGCAATTGGTATTTGTTTTGAAATATGTAACTTATGGTTTGCCTCAATAAATATCACACTTGCTCCTTCTCAGATATCAGCACAGAACTATGGGACAGGGACCCTCACTTCAGTGGTATAAACAAAATTTAATTTTCAACTACACACCAATGGGCTGGATCCCCCCATACAAAGGGTAGATCTTTTTTTTTTTTTTTTTTGAGACGGAGTCTCGCTCTGTGGCCCAGGCTGGAGTGCAGTGGCATGATCTCGGCTCACTGCAAGCTCCACCTCCCGGGTTCACGCCATTCTCCTGCCTCAGCCTCTCTAGTAGCTGGGACTACAGGCGCCCGCCACCTCGCCCAGCTAATTTTTTGTATTTTCAGTGAGACCGAGGTTTCACCGTGTTAGCCAGGATGGTCTCGATCTCCTGACCTCGTGATCTGCCCACCTCGGCCTCCCAAAGTGCTGGGATTACAGGCATGAGCCACCGCACCCGGCTGGTAGATCTTTTTAAAATTTTTTTTTTTGTAGAGCATGGGTTTCGCTTTGTTACCCAGGCTGGTCTCTAACTCCTGGCCTCGAACAATACTCCTACCTCAGCCTCCCAAAGTGCTGGAATTACAGGCATGAGCCACCACGTCCAGATGAAGGGTAGATCTTAAGGTGAATGTGTGAATTCCTAACATTTACATGCCAGTGTTTTAGATTCTGGGAATACAAAAGATACCTCGTACACACATTCTTGATTTTACAATCAAGGGACACGAGAGATTGAAGTGGTGACATTCAGGCATAGACACCATAACTGATTTACCTAGACTCATCCCAAGCACAGCATCCAGACTAAATTAGAGCCACTATGAGAAGTGCAGGTTTGGAGCGTGACTTTTTCCTCTGATAGGCCCAAGAATTTTGGTTTAAGAAAAAAAAAAAAAATAGAGGCAGGGCAGAAGGCAAGGAAGAATCTCTGTCCATTTCATTTTTGAACGAGGGGCAAAAAGATGAAACAAAAGATGTTTTAAAATCAGAAGTGGAGAAGAAGGCTGTGGAAACCTAGTGGAGAGAGGAATCCATGGGAATGACAGAGCCCAGAGCTGTTGTTCACTTTTAGGGAGCTGTGTGGTAACGGGGAGCTGGGAGTAGGGCATCCACTCAGTGTTAGCCAGTGGGGCACAAAAAGATGGTTGTGGTCAACTGGGTTTTATAGGAGAAAGGAAAACAGAACTCAGGTTCATATACAAATGGATTTCTAATGTCTCCTTCCACAGCCCCCATTACAAGGTCAAGCAGTAGGGCCTGTCTTTTCTCTTTTTCTCTCTCACCTACCTGCCTTTTAACTCAGTTGGTCTTCTTAAGGGGCTTACCAGGATTGAAACATTGATTAAGAAGGAGTGAAAGTCAGGACTGGGAGGGGCATCTCACAATGTGACTGGCCCTGGCGCAGGTCCCTAAGCCTAACACCCCAGGAAACATCCAGGATTGTCCTATTTCTTCATTTGATCAGAAGATATTTCCAAGAATGTCCAATTAATTCTATGCGCCTACTCACCACATCAAAACTGCAATTCCAACAGGGAGTCAGAAAAATTTTGAAAGGTGTTAACTTGGTTCTTCCGCTGTTTGTTTAGCATAGAGACTTGGACTTCTGAGGTATCCATAACCAAATCTGTCCTTCCCCGAGATGGATTATGATCCAGAGATATTGCATAGTGATATATTAAGCTGAATCTTTAATTCAGCAAACCAAGATAGGGGGTTAGTTCTGGATAAAAATTAAGCAGATTAAACCATTGGGTATGGACCAAATATTTCTCGTTTGTTCTTTTACCTGGACCAATTAGATGGATTCCTTTTTCATTGCTACAAACTGTCATTTTTGCTATTCATTTATTCATCCATTTATTCCCTGTTGTCTTAGAATAGATAGGCAGATACAGAGAATTACAGTTTACCAGGAGTAGAAGCCCACCAGCAGAAACCCACAGTTGGAGCCAATATGAGTAGGAAAACTTTCAACTGTCATTGTTGAATTTCTAGAAGCTCAGCATGGACTATCTGGAGAGTTAAAACTCCAAGGGTGGTGGCAGCCTTAAGGGGACTGCACATTTTCATGAGTTTTATCTCCAGAAGCCCCACCAAGTTGTCACTGGGAAGGGAGGGCATGGGAATCCCTTCCTGCTTCCAGCAGGTGGACAAGAAAAGCAATCATTTTGAAATATGCCCAGAGCTCTTTGTTTTCCTTAACCAAGGACTACTCTGGGAAGAAACTATTTTATCAGAGCCTAACCAACTTGGGTTTCCCCAGACTGACCAACCACGGCGAAAGGAAGTACTCAACTCCAGCCCCGTCTAGTCTGCCATCTAACCCAAAAGGATGGGTGGGGACGCTGAGAAGCACTTGTAAAGGTCACAGCCCAGGGACACAGGCTCAGTGAACAACTGAGATCTAATCATGGCATGATAGAATGCTTGCCCTCCTCCCAACCTTATCACCACATCAGTAAGAATCCTGTATAATAACTGCAGATTATAGGTGAATTACAGCTGAAAAGACTGCAAGCCTCACATTATATGTAAGAAGGAGCCTCTAGAAAAACTCAAAGACAACAAAGGACCCTACCAAGACAAGGACCCTTCAACAAACTTTAACTTCTGACACCTAAAGTTACAGCCAACAGTAAACAGCCTAATCTTCCTAGCCAGAGAACCATAAAACCTCACACAAAAGTACTATCTACCTGAGTTTTTTTTTTTTCCTTTTTCCTTTTTTTGTAGTGACAGGGTCTCACTGTATTATTGCCCAGGCTGGTCTCGAATTCCTGGCCTCAAGTGATCCTCTGACTCAGCCTTCCAAAGTGCTGGGATTACAGGCATGAGCCACCACACCCAGCCTACCTCAGTTCTTTCTACCCAGTACATCAGGTATGATTTTCAACAAAAACGTATAAGACTGCTAAAAGTCAAAAAACACATTCTGGGACCAAGTGCAGTGGCCCATACCTGTAATCCCAGCACTTCAGAGGCCAAGGTGAGGGGATCACTTGAGCCCAGAAGTTCTAGATCAGCCTGGGCAACATAGAGAGACCCCATCTCTACAAAAAATAAGAAAAAGTAGCCAGCATGGTGGCGTGTGCCTGTAGTCCTACTTACTAGGGGACTGGGGTGGGAGGATTGCTTGAGTACTGAAGGTTGAGGCTGCAGTGAGCCATGATTGTGCCGCTGCACTCCAGCTTGGGCAACAGAGTGAGACCCTATCTGAAAAAAAATCACATTATGAAGAGACAAAGCAAGCATCAGAACCCAATTAAAATACAGCAGAGATTTTAGAATGATTAGATTGGGAATTTACAATAACTATGATAATTATGCTAAGGGCTCTATTGGAAAAAGTAGACAACATGCAAAAACAGATGAGTAATGTATAGAAAGATAAAAACTCTAAGAAAAAAATAAAAAAACAAATGCTAGGTATCACAAACATAGTAATAGAAATGAAGAATGTCTTGAAGGGCTCATCAACAGACTAGAGAAGACAGCAAAGAATCAGTAAACTAGAAGATATGACAATGGAAACTTCCCAATATGGGCTGGACATGGTGGCTCACACCTGTAAGTCCAGCACTTTAGGGGGCCAAAATGGGAGAATTGCTTGAGGCAAGTGTGAGACCAGCCTGGGCAACATAGCAAGACCTCATCTCTGAAAAAAAATTATCCAGACGTGGTGCCTGAGGCAGGAGGATTGCATGAGCCCCAGGGTTGGAGGCTTCAGTGAGCTATGATCATGCCACTGCACTCCAGCCTGGGTGACAGACTGAGACCCTGTCTCAAAAAAATAAATAAATAAATAAACGAAAGAAAGAAAAGAGGAGAGATGAGAAGAGATGAAAATAAAACTTCCCAATAGGACAATAAAAATTTTCTAAACTGAAAAGCAAAGAGAAAAAAATAATGAAACAAAAACCAAACAGAATATCAAGGAACTGTGGACAATTACAAAGGTGTAACCTATGCATAATGGGAGAAGAGAGAAAAAATTGAAGGAATAATTGATGGAATAATGGCAGAGAATTTTCCAAAGTTAATGGCAGAGACCAAACCACAGATCCCAGAAGGTCAAAGAACATCAAACGGGATAAATACCAAGAAATCTACATTTAAACTTACTATATTCAAACTATAGAAAATCAAACACAAAGAGAAACTCTTGAAAGGCGGTGAAAACAATGGCTTACCTATCGAAGAGCAAGAAGAGGTGTTCAAAGAAAAACACCAACAACCTAGATTTCTTCATCCGGTGAAGTTACCCTTCGAGAAAAGGAGAAATAAAGACTTTTTCAGAGAAACAAAATTGAGAGAAATTGTCACCAGTATAACTGCCTTGCAATAAATGTTAAATGTTTTTCAAAGAAAAGAAAAATGATAGAGGTCAGAAACTCTAATTTACATTGGAGGCCAGTTCTTATTGGTAAAATATTTTAGGAAACTTAATGCTGTACCCCCTTGCCTTCCGTTCTGTTTTGGATTATGCTTATTGCTTTGTTTCTCTCTCCTCCCATTTTTAATATTCTTTAAGGGTTTTTCCAGCTCCTGGATATGAGTCTAGTGAACAAACTGCACTAAGTATCTGCTGTTAACGCTATGCTTGGTAATAGGATGAAGAAATGTCAGTATCCTGACAGTGGACCATTGGGGTGTCTAGCTGCCTCTACTCCCTCTTCATTAGGAATAGTGTCACCCTGGTAGTGGTGATAGTTGAGCAAGGTATATGGTGGGCCCCATTTAGAGTTATAGGGTGGGAAGGCCCCCCATTTGAAAAGGCCATCTTCAGTCTGAGGTGACTACATCAATAGGAGCAGGTTGGATTTTTAATCAGGTTTCCTCAAGGATGTCTAAGGGGTCATTCATCCTCTGAAAACTTTTTTTTTTTTTGAGACAGGGTCTTGCTCTGTTACCCAGACTGGAATGCAGTGGCACAATCTCGGCTCACCTCTCGGGTCCAGGCGATCCTCCTGCCTCAGCCTTTGTAGTAGCTGGGGCTACAGTGGTATCCCAGCACGTCTGGCTAATTTTTGTATTTTTACCATGAGGTTTCACCATGTTGGCCAGGCTGGTCTCAAATTCCTGGCCTTAAGTGATCCACCGGCCTCTGCCTCCCAAAGTGTTGGAATTACAGGCATGAGCCACTGGGCCCAGACTTCATCCTCTGAAAAATCTTGAAACTGAAAAGGATGGTCTGAAAAAAAAGCTTGGTCATGGGGGGCCCAGAGAGTTTGTGGCTTGTCTAGCTGGGACAGAATAGTCCTGATGCCCTGGATATTGCCTTGATATTTTAGCCTGCAGAGTTAAGGAAAATTTGGCCAAACTAGGTCTAAATTCACTAAAAGTCACCAGCACTAGTTCTGCAGCTCCTTTCCATCACTGCACTCACACAAACTGCAGAGGGAGGCTCATAATCTCATCCTGGGTTTTCTTCTTGTTTTGAAAAAATACTCTTAATAAAACTTAAGTTATCTTAGTGACTTTTTGATCCCATGACCTACAAATTCATCATCACTGCCTGGGAAAATGAAAAACTATTTCAAATTAGCATAGGTTACATTCGGGTCTAAATTGAGCGTGCCCTACCCCACCAAAAAATTTCATAAAACCTACCAGTTTAAAACAGTAACAGGCCGGGCACGGTGGCTCACACCTGTAATCCCAGCACTTTGGGAGGACGAGGCGGGTGGATCATGATGTCAGGAGATCGAGACCATCCTGGATAACACGGTGAAAACCCATCTCTACTAAAAATACAAAAAATTCACTAGGCGTGGTGATGGGCGCCTGTAGTCCCAGCTACTCGGGAGGCTGAGGCAGGAGAATGGCAGGAACCCGGAAGGTGGAGCTTGCAGTGAGCCCAGATTGCGCCACTGCACTACAGCCTGGGCGACAGAGCGAGACTCCATCTCAAAAACAAAAACAAAAACAAAACAAAGCAAAAAAACCAGTAATACCAAAAACTCCTTAGTTGTTAGAAATTCCTCAAGAGAATATTCCCTCACAAAGCTCAATTTGTGCCGTATCTTCCAGGTATATATTTGAGTGTATGCAATTCTTTTTTAACCTTTTCAGCTTTCTAAGGTGAGTGGAACCTTATTCAAAATTTTTCTTGTTTATTCCAATTTTTAGGCAAATTTCTAGTTTGAAAACCTGCCCCCCCACACCCCCACTGTACTGCAAGTATATTAGCAGAGCATTCACGCTTACAAATCAAAGTATTCCAGAAAATTTAAATTAAGTGCTGCCACGTTCTGCATGGCCTCATCAGACACTTAAAAACAACAGCAGGACCACCAGCCAAGAGTACTTTTAAGTTATGTCCTCCCCATCAGTCTCAGTGAAACTAAACATACATTAATTACTCATTTAGTGTCTTCTCTCTCTGTGTAACTTACTCCCTTTCCCCAATGCCTGAATATTTATAAATTCAGTCATTTAGCTAAGAAGGTAGCCTGGTTTAAATATTTTAAATACAATTGAAACTTCTCACATCCTGGCTCCTTGGTGCATTAATTTGCGTAGTTCTTAAGTCACACTCAGTCACAACATAACTCCATACAGAAGTGTTCTCCAAAGGTTACCATTGTTAGAAGGAATTGAACTTTATCTTAATTTTGTATAGGAAATAGCAGTAGCAGTTCAGTTCTGTTTAATTTTATTTTTCCATTAGAAAGCATATTCCCTCTGTTAATGGGAAATTTCCACAAGCTAATGTTTACATATCCTACTTTTCACCCCCTAAAATTCAAAACTCACTTCGCAAACATAAAAAGGCAACACATACAGGCCAATTGGAGAATGTGTAGGACAAAGTATCCAAGGTCTGAGGCAGGTTTCAGAGTGGCTACTCTGACCAATTGCTTTCATCAGGCTTACTGGCTTCCACTTCAGCTTCACTCACATCCATGCATATTGCCAGTTGCTTTCTGGGAAAAAAAAACCACAAAAGTTCATTATTTGGAATTGTGGATGAAATGAAATACACCTATGAACATTTCATACCGGTTTGAAATTATCTATCCTCGCAACCGCTCCAGCACATTTTTCTGTGATACCTAGCCCCAGGATTGCATTAGGTAGGAATGGTTGTCCTTTGTGTGCAGACTTTTTTTTTTTTTTTTTTTTTTGGACAGAGTCTGGCACTGTCACCCTGGCTGGAGTGCAGTGGCACAATCTCGGCTCACTGCAACTTCCGCCTCCCGGGTTAAAGTGATTCTCCTGCCACAGCCTCCTGAGTAGCTGGGATTATAGGCACCCGCCACCACGCCCAGCTAATTTTTTTGTATTTTTAGTAGAGATGGGGTTTCACTATATTGGCCAGGCTGGTCTTGAACTCCTGACCTCATGATCCGCCTGCCTCGGCCTCCCTAAGTGTCGGGATTACAGGCATGAGCCATCATGCCCCACCTGTGTGCAGAATTTAAGAGAGCACTAAAACACTCACGATTCAAGATATCTCTGTCTATGTATCTATCTATGTGTCTATCATCTATCTAATCTATCTATGTATCTAATTTTAGAGATAGGGTCTAGCTCCGTGGCACATAGTGGAGGGCAGTGGCATGATCACAGTTCACTGAAACCTCGAACTCCTGGGCTGAAGCGATGCCTCAGAGTAGCTTGGACTACAGGTGCCTGCTAATACGCACCACTAATTTTACAAAATATTTTGTGGAGATGGAGTCTCACTATATTGCTCAGGCTGGTTTTGAACGCCTGGACTCAAGTGATCCTCCTGACTTGGAGTCCCAGAGCACTGAGATTACAGGCGTGAGCCACCCACCAGCCCGAAGATTAATAATTTTTAATGCAAATATTTTAAAAATCACGACCGATGAAAAAAAATCCACAATAACCAAATTGTCAAAATTTTCAATAAAGGCAAGATCCAATCCTGTAGGACTCACTTTCCTCACGCTGATGTCAATCGCGATTCCAATAAAACATTTACAAAAACAGGAGTCTAGCCAAAGTTTCCCAGTTTGATTCGTTGATACACTGTGTGAAAAATACCTTAATGCCCAGTAGGCATCGCCCCCGCCCCACAGCTCAAGAGCGGCCTTGAGCCCCATACTTAGCCTTGTGGCCTTGGGCCTTGTGGCCTTGGGACCCCTACATAGCCAGGGGCCTTGAGCCCCCTACATAACTTTTGACTTTGGAGGAGAGGGAAGGCGACTGGGGCAGAGCCAAAGGCGGCCCTAGAAGAGCCCTAGCGTCCTGGGAACTGGGCACCTCCAGAGCAAGCTGCTTACCAAGCGAACATGTCCGGATATTGAGAAGGTCAGAAAATGCTGTCTAGCTCCTTCAGGTGCAACCCGCCGAACGTGCTGGGGCTGAATAGACGCTCCTGATCTTGGGGTTGCGGATCCTCAGCGGAGGAGTCCTGGGCCAACTCCTCAGGCTGCTGCTGCCAGGGCTCCTGGTGGCCACCACCGCCCTTCTGGTTCTCGTGGATCATGGGGTCCGCAGCTCCCGCGTACACGTGACTTTCTTTTCCTGCTCCTGCTCCCTGCTCGGGTTTGGTCCGTATTTTCTTCTCATCGTCTCCTCCAGCTTCAGTCACTGAAGTCTCTATATCCTTCGCATCTGGAAAGGAGGAAAGGGAAAGAGAGGTCGGAGGAGAGAGCTGGAGAGAGAGAGAGAGATCAGGGCGTTTGGCCCAGACACAGGGCAGCCTAGACCCGTGGCTGAGAGAGACAGCGCAGTAGCCTCGGGTTCACGCTCCTCTCTCCGGGAAAGTTGCTTTCCAAGAGTTCACCAAATCACCGGTTCGGGTCCCCAGACAGGCACTGACCGTCTTCTTTCTGGAGCTCATCGAACAGGAAACCCAGGCCGAGGTCGCCGGTGTCTTCGTGGCCGGATCTGGGCTGGAACGCCACCTGGGAGCGTGGTCGACGAAGCCGTGCGTCTCCGCGGATTCTGCGCTGGGGTCCTCTGGCTCCTGGTCCGAGTTCCGGCGCGTGGACTTCGGGTCGGACGCCTGCAGGGGACAGGGAGTGGGCTGCTGCTCAGGACGCCTCCGGTGGCTGTGTGTGTGTGTGTGTGTGACAGAGAGAGAGAGAGAGAGAGAGAGGAGAGGGAGAGAGAGAGAGAGAGAGGAGAGGGGAAGAGAGAGAGAGAGAGAGAGAGAGAGAGCGAGCCTTGCTGGCACGCGCTCTCGGCCGGGCGTGGCCGTAAAGTCAGGGGCGCGCTCCTGGTCAGGCGCGGGGAGGTGGCGGGCAGGTGTGGGGAACCGCGCTATATTTTGCGGTTTCCTTGACCACTCCCACCCTGGGCGGGGTGAGTGCCAGCAGGAAAAGGCTGAGCGGTCTGGTGGGAACCTATTTGGGGCAGGGGGAGGGGCGGAGGAGCGAGACCCAATCTAGCTCCGGAGCCCTTGGAGAAAGTTTGCGCAACACGTCTCTGTCCAGCCATCCAGGCAGGCAGGCAGGCCAGAATAATGCTTCCCCAGGAGAGAGCCGAGGCAAGCTGAAGTCAGTGCACCTAGCGGTGTGGGCTCCCGGCACCACTCTCCCCACTGGGTAGCTGGTGACTAATGGATGAGCCTCTCCAGTTCTGTTCTGTTCCCACCCAAAGTCCGCTAATAGGACCGTAATTAAGATGAAATGAAGAGGTCGAAGACTGCATGCTAGGTTTCTGCAGCAACATCCAGAAAGTTGAGGGCGCCACACTCTCCAAGGGGTCTGCGGAAGCGGGAGTTTGGGGCTGCGATTTTCAGGGCACTATGGATGCTCAGATGCAAGCTGCAAGAAACCTAACACGCCCCTTGCAAAAGCTGCAGGTACTCCACGTCAGTGTACAGGTATAGAACCCTGCCTGGTGTTTAGTGCATCTAAGAAGGCTTACACTGCAAGTGTCCCTTCCATAGGCTCTAGATGAGACTGCGGAGCGTGCAATGTCTGCTAACTATGCACCGCTCCCACGCCTTAGGTTTCAGGCTCGCTGCAGAAGCGCGAGTGCTCCATGTGCTGGGTGGGCACTGTGGACTTGGGTTAGTTCCCACCTTCCCTTGCTCCTCATCCCCTTCTGTTACCCACCCTCCTCGTCCTCCTCATGCTTCTCCTTTCCTACTCTTTGCCTAGAACGATCATTCTGACCTTTTGCTCCTTAATGATAAAATGTCAAATAAAAAAGAGCCAGGGCAGATTGGGAGCTCCACGTTTCTCCCTTCAAGAAATGTGCCTCAAAACGATGAATCTGTGTTCAGTGAGCTATGATAGCGCCACTTCACTCAAGCCACTGCACTCCAGCCTGGGCGACAGAGTGAGAACCTGTACCTCAAAAAAAAAAAAAAAATTGTGCCCCCAGACGATTCTGGGCCCGGTGGTGCGGACCTGTAATCCTAGTTACTCCTGACGCTTTTGCAGGAGATCCTTTGAGCCCAGGAGTTCGAGAGCAACCTGAGCAACATAGAAAGACCCCCATCTCTAAAAATATAAAAAATAAAAATAGCTGAATGTGGTGGCATGCGTCTGTCATCCAAGCTACTCAGGATGCTGAGGCTGGGGGATCGCTTGATGCCAGGCATTGGAGGCTACAGTGAGCTATGATCACACCACTGCACTCCAGCCTGGGCGACTCAGTGAAACCCTGCTTAAAAAAAAAAAGGAAAAGAAAAGAAATAAAAGTAAATTTAAAAAAATTAAATTGTTCCTTGAAATGAGTTGGTTTCCTGAATATTGGGATAATTTATCCAATTTTTGCATAACCACCATTGTCATCAGACCCATTTAATAAAATAAATCAAACCATTTTCATAGGCCCTTGAAAGTATGCCCACTCACTTTGCCCGCTGTGCCAGAAAGATAATTCTCTCCTTTCTCCTGTTCCTGAGAGGGCAGATAGGAAACCAGCTACAGGATGATGGGTTGACCAATTGACTCTGAAAAAACTGTCAAGGAATTTCACCCCCACAGACTCTCCCTGACATTAACCAAGATGTCTCCTCCTCAAGCTGCCTCTTGCAGGGTTCTGCAGACCTCACCCTTCTCGTGGCCAGACACCCTGTGATGAATTTTGGCCTGGGATCCGTTATTATGTGAGAGACTTACAATGATTTTAATCATGGTATGTATTAGCCCAGCTATGACATCTGTTAGAATTGGAGTCCTGTGGTGTCTCACATCTGAGATTTCCATGACTTGCTTCAGCGCTTTCTCAGCTTCAGTAGTCATTTCTGTGCTCCTTTGGTGAGTGTTACCTACCGGAGCACCAACCAAGGTAGTATTTACTTTAAAATTTTAGTTACATTGATTCACTTCTTGCAAATGTTATGTTCCTTATTGAGCGTCAGCCAGGTAAAAATAGGCACAAATGATGGGTTTGATGTCCTAAATTTATGAAGGCAGGGACCCTGGAGCCAGACTGCTGGCATCTGCATTACGGCATTGCTTGTCATTTGCTAGCTAGCTAACCTGGTGAGTTTGTTCTCTTGTGCTTCAATTTTCTCATCTGTAAAATGGAGTAATAATAATACCTACCTCATGGAGCTGTTGTGGAGATTAACTGAGATGATACTAATGGTAGCTCACACTTACCTGGTTCTTACTGTGTTCTAGGCAACGATCTAAGTGATTTGTTTATGTTAACATATTTAATCCTCTTAACAACCCTATACACACGTTGATGTGCTATTACTGTCATTTTACAGGTGGTGTTATTAAGTCACGGAGATGTTAAATACCCTGCTCAAAGTCACTCACTTGGGAAATGTCCAGAGCTGGGATTTGAACCCATCCTCTGAGTACTGTCCCTGACACAGACGACGTGCTCAATAACCTTTGCTATTATGCTATAATTAGTGTTCTTTTGTAATTAGTAAACTAGAGATAAACAGAAATATATGTATCATTTAGCTCAAAATTTCCTTCACTTGTTTGAATATCGAATTAGTGCCATACATATCTAGTGGTACCTCTACTCTGTTAATTACTTCTTTTACTGTGCAGAAGCTTTTTAGTTTAATAAATGCCATTTGCATATTTTTTTGCCTGAAATGCACAGTCTTATTTACTATATCCTTATTCTTTGTTGGAATGTTGCCTTAGAACTATAGAAAAGTAGTGATACATTAAAAAAAAAACATAACTAAGTGTCTAGGGATAAGTGGAGATAACTGGAATGACTAGCATAAGCCAGAAAGCCAAAAAGCATTCTTTCCAACTCTGACATCATATTTCTTGTTGGCCTAATGTGTTAATGCTATACATAAGTCATGATACCTAGGGAAAAAGTAAACTACAGACAGCTTGCGATAAGTGGTATAATTAGTTGAATCCAATAAGATGAAAAACATATTCTCAAGTCTACCTTCTAATTTCTTCTGGAAATAAGGAGTTAATAATACAGATATCTGGGAGTACCTAAAGAACTAGTTAAGTAGACACAAGTAAAGTTAAATAGAGAACTACATAGTAGCTCATTATATAAAACCCATTTTCCCCAAATCTAAACCCTAACCACTCCTAACCCCTTAGTATTTGCAGAGTATATTAAAAAACACAGATATATTGAAAAACACAGCAGGCAAGGGTCTCTGCCTTTGCTTCAGGCTCTCAGAGAGATGAGAGTTATTATTCCTGGCAGATTGTAGCAACAACCATCCAGGTGTATGTAAAGAACATTCTTGCAAATGTGTGTAATCTCCTCTGATCTAACATCCTATGGGTAGGTGGAGATGAGGCAAGAGGAAAAGACTACAGTAGCAAATCATTTCATTTGGATACTTAATAAATTAAGTAAACTACTAAATTATTTGACCAGCTTGCATTTGTAATTATATGCCAAAAAGTATGCTTTTTTATTTTATATTGAAATCATATTTTTTTCTTTGGAGAAGAATGGAATTGGTGGTGAAGTGTCACAAAGTCTGAAATTTACCTGTGAACGTTTCAGCAAAAAGCAAAGAAGCAAAAGCACATGCACACATAGCTATAGAAAGAAAATATAGCAAAATGTTAACAAAGTTTGAACCTACTTGGTGAGTATACCAGTGTTACTGTTCATTCTTTAAAGTTTTCTGTATGTTTGAAAATTTTCATTAACAATTTTTAAAAAATAAATGGAAGGTTTCAACAAAGTACATAAACCCAAAAGCCTTACACTTAACATCTAAGGCTCAAATAGCAACGAAGTTTGACTTCTACAATAAACAATAAAGACCCTTGGCTTTTATTTCACTAAAGTATTGCCACATTATAAGCATTGCCTTAAAACGTCTGCTCTCAAAAAGACATTTGGGGTTATATGGCAAAAGTGTCAAAGCAAGGCACTGAAAGACCAAAGAACTCCATGTAAAGATTATCCTAAACCGAATTGCCTTGGGATTTCTAAAAGTACTGCAAACACTACCCAAGGCTGATTTTGTCCACGTCTAGCGATTTCCCCACCTCCGTCCTTGGATGCCGGCATTCCAAGTGGCTCACAATATCTCCCAGCCAAACACACTGAAATTCTTAGACTTAAGACAAGTATGCCACAGAGCAGCCTTCTGACACTGCAACTGGGGACAATCAGTGCACCCTCACTTCTCTCTCCACCACTCCTCAACATCTTCCCCAAGATCCTTTATTTTAATTTTTTTAGAGACAAGATCTCACTCTGTTGTCCAGGCTGCAGTGCAGTGGCCTGATCATGGCTCACTGCAACCTCCACCTCCTGGGCTCAAGCTATCCTCCCGTCTCAGCCTCCAGAGTAGCTGGGATTACAGGCATGCACCACCGCGCCTGGCGATTGAAATTTTATTTTATTTATTTTCTTCAAGACAGAGTTTTGCTGTGTTGCTCAGGCTGGTCTCCAGCTCCTGGGCTCAAGAGAGCCTCCCGCTTCAGCTTCCCCAATAGCTGGGACTGCAGGTGAACACCATCATGCCTGGCATCCCCCAGGATCCTTGAGCCTTAAGTATTGCACGCACCTCTCAGGCAGCCACACCCACCATCAGAGTGTGGTCAAGCCCATGAAACCTCAGGCAGCCCCACTGAGCTTGCTGACGATTTCACTTTGCACAGGCTAGGGTGGAGTATGGCAGCCCCACTGAGCTTGCTGACGATTTCACTTTGCACAGGGCTAGGGTGGAGTATGGCACCCCCTTCTCCATTCCCTGCAGATCTTCCTTAAAAAAAAAAAAAGTTTTCCTTTTATTTTTTCATTTTAGTTCTCCATGTATGTATGTATGTATGTATGTATGTATGTATGTATGTATGTATTTATCTTGTTGCCCAGGCTGGAGTGCAGTGGCGTGATCCAGGCTCACTGCAACCTCCGCCTCCCAGGTCAAGTGATTCTCCTGCCTCAGCCTCCTGAGTAGCAGGGATTACAGGCACGTGCCACCCATGCCTGGCTAATTTTTGTATATTCAGTAGAGACGGGGTTTCACCATGTTAGCTAGGCTTGTCTTGAACTCTTGACCTCAGGTGATCCGCCTGCCTCAGCCTCCCAAAGTGCTGGGATTACAGGCATGAGCTACTGCGCCCGGCCTTATTTATTTATTTTGAGAGGGTACATGTGCAGGTTTGTTACATGGATATATTATGTGATGCAGAGGTTTGGGCTTCTATTGAACCCATCATCCAAATAGTGAACATAGTACCCAATGGATAGTTTTTCTTTTTAAAATTTTTATTTATTTATATATTTTTTAAATGCAACGTAGTTGTTATTGTAAGTGCTCATCCATTTAAAAATAAATCTAGACTGGGCATGCAATAGCTCATATTTGTAATCCCAGCTACTCGGGAGGCCAAAGCTGGAGGATCACTTGGCCCAGGAGTTCAAGGTTACAGCGAGCTATGATCATGCCATTGCACTACAGTCTGGGTGGCAGCGTGAGACCCTGTCTCTAAAAACAAAACAAAACAAAACAAAATAAAATAAAATAAATCTATACTGCCTTACATTTTTGGATTTTGTTTTCCATTGACAAAAACATTAGAATCGATTTTTCCAAAGCACTTTCTTTTCTCCTATAAACTTTAAAGTAGGTTTAAGATGTGCATACTCAAAAATCATATGCTTATGATTCTTTAAATTCTTTAAAAAACAAAATTCTGAAATAATTTTTACACCTTACAGTTCAGCTTAAAAGTACATCTGTTGCAGTAACAAAGCATTCAACCAGCACTTTCCTGACAAGTGTTACCATAAGCTACATAGGCTACAACTGTGTTTAAGCACTTTTATTATTTCACAGGAGTTATTATGAGCTGCCAGTTCTCCTATTTGCACAGTTCATTCACACTTTTTAAAGTAGTTTCATATTCACCATTTTATTTGCCCCTCTCAATTGCCCCCTAAAGGTGAGGCACCCAGGAGACTTCTCATTCCTATTTTAAAGTTGTGGAAACCAAAGTAGGACGTAAGCTAGTTACCACACTGGGCCCACAATTCAAGTCTCATGAGCCTGCAATTCATGCCCACCAACTGCCGCTTCATCCCCTTAAGCTATCTTTCAGGGCAAAGAGAACTCTAACTAAAAGGATACAATAGCTTGATTGCCAAACCTGCAGCGACGACTTCTGTCAAAATATTTACCCCTTGTGGCCCTTGGAAGATAATGTGCTAAGTGAACTGTAGAGTTAAGATAGCAAGGTGTGGGGCAATACTGACACCCACTTGCAGATAGGTCAGAAAATTTCTGTTGTGCAACATTCACTCCAACACATAGTTCACTTGAGCATTATCATGATCCAGTTATCTGGCTTGTTTGTGCACCCTGGTTGATGCAAAGGAGAACTCCCACATAGTTCTCTAAGTATAATTATAGCAAATGTACAACATTTGATTAACATGGCAATTGATTCTATTCATGACCCTCAGTCACTGCTGGCTGCTGGGAAAAGACTGAGATACAGAATGATTTTAAAGATCAATAAAATTCTTCTCCTTAAAAAAAACTCATTAAAAAAGTAAACAAAATCTTCCATTTCCTAAATTAGAGGCAAAAAGACTTAACTATGGTTCACCTTGTTCTCTCAAGCTTTTACTATTAAGCTCAGTTTAACTTCCTTCAAACAGCAATCACTTGTGTCATACCCCGCAGTTAATTCACAATGTCCAGTTTCTTCCATCATCATAACTGGGACTTCATGTCCTGGGAGACAGGACTTAACCAGTTTAAAGACTTTGATGTCAGTGTAGTGGTCCAAAGGCATTCAGATTATAATAATGTATTGCAATAATTATCGAGCAGTTACTAAATATCAGACTTCCCTGTATTATTTTATATATATCCTAAATTAATCCTCAAAAATCCATCAGGCAGGCACTGTTATATCCACTACTTGACAAGAACTGAGGCACAAAGGGTAAGAAAACTGCTTAAGTTCACATAGCAACAAATGGCCAATGAAGGACTTGAGCCAGGGCCTTAACGTCAGCCACTACACCAAAACTGCCTAGTCCTCAACTATAATCCCAGATCAATCATTAAACGAATCACATGACCTTGGGCCAGTCATTTCATACCTCTAGGCCTCCACTGTAAAAAGAGACGCACTAGGTGAGCTTTCACGTGCTTTCCTGCTTTTAACGTTCTGCCAATCTCTGCCTGGATTGCTCCCCTCCAGAATAAGTGCTGTAACTGCTAAGACTAAAATTTCTCAGTCACTGTGAGTTCCTGTTCTAGTACATTCCTCTCACTCTTCAGGGTGCTAGGGTCCAGTCTTCACTTTGGGTTTTATTTTCAAATACTCAACTGCAATGCTAATCCTAAATATTCTCTCTCGGTCTAAGATCACCTTTCTCTACTACTAGGGGTAAGCAGGACCGACCCCACTCCACACTTTTACCCCATTACTCCAGCCCACATGGCAGCTGCCCAGGCAGCCCAGAAGGAGGCCTAAGAAAGCCCTAGAAGCAAAGCCATAAGAATAAGTCAGTTTTCCTAGAGGTCAAACAAGGCTGTAGGGCACCTGCCAAGCCTCCCGATCTCGTTGGCAGTATTCCATAGTGTATATGTACCACATTTTCTTTGTCCAATCCACCGTTGCCAGGCACCTAGGTTGATTCCATGACTTAACTATTGTGAATAGTGCTGTGATAAACAAATAAGTGCAGGTGTCTTTTTGGTAGAATGGTTTCTTTCGGATATATGCCCAGTAATGGGGCTGCTGGGTCAAATGGCAGTTCTTTTATTCATTATTTTATTGTAAACTTGTCTTTCTCTGTTCTATGTTGTCAGTTTTTGCTTCATGTATTTATGGCTCTGTTTTTAGATGAATATGTTTATAATTGTTATATATCCTTTACTCAATTTTTTGTTTTTGAGACAGAATCCCACTCTGTCACCCACGCTGGAGTGCAGTGGTGTGATCACAGCTCACTGCAGGCCTGAACTCCTGGGCTCAAGTGATCCTCCTGCCTCAGCCTCCCCAGTAGCTGGGACTACAGGCATGTGCCACCAAGCCAGGCTAATTTTTTTTTTTTTGGAGAGACAGGGTTTTGCTATGTTGTCCAGGCTGTGGTAGTTCTATTTTTAGCTCTTTGAGGACTCTCCAAACTGCTTTCCACAGGGGATGATCAAATTTACTTTCCTACCAACAGCATATAATCATTCCCTTTTCTCTGCATCTTTGCCAACATGTGTGATCTTTTGCCTTTTTTATAATAGCCATTATGACTAGTGTGAGAATGGCGCTCTGAAAACTGGCTAGCCATATGCAGAAAAATGAAACTGGACTCCTACTCTTCACCACATAAAAAATTAACTCAAGATGAATTTAAGACTTAAATGTATTTTCTTTATATATTTTTTTAGAGATGAGGTCTCTGTCACCTAGGCTGGAGTGCAGTGGCATGATTCTGGCTCACTGCAGCCTCAACCTCCCAGGCTCAAGTGATCTTCCCACCTCAGCCTCTCAAGTAGCTGGGACTACAAGCATGTGCCCCCTCACCCAGCTAATATTTTAACTTTCTGTAGAGACGGGGTTTCACCATCTTGCCCAAGCTGGTCAGACTCCTGGGCTCAAGTGATCCTTTGGCCTTGGCATCCCAATGTACTAGATTACAGGCATGAGCCACTGCACCAGATTATTAAAGAGTTAACTGCAAGATGTCAAACTATAAAAATCCTGTAAGAAAATCTAGGGAAAACTCTTCTGGACATTGTCCTAGGCAAACAATTTAAGACCTCAAAAGCAAGTGCAACAAAATAAAAAATTGACAACTGGGGCCTGATTAAGTGAAAAAGCTTCTGTACAGCAAAACCAACGATAAACAGAGTAAACAGTCCACAGAATGTGAGAAATATTTGCAAACTATGCATTCAACAAAAAACTAACACCCAGACTCTAACAAGAACTTACAAATCAATAAAAAAAAACCCATCAAAAATTGGGCAAAGGACACAGACACTTCCCTAAAGACATACAAGTGGGAAACAAATGTGAAAAAAGTATTCAACCTCCCTGTCACCCTTTTGACAGCCCTTACTTCCTACTATGTTCGCAATTGGTGGGTTCTTGGTCTCACTGACTTCCAGAATGAAGCCGCAGACCCTTGCGGTGAGTGTTACAGTTCTTAAAGGTGATGTGTCTGGAGTTTGCTCCTTCTGATGTTCAGACATCTTCGGAGCTTCTTCTGGTGGGTTCAGGGTCTCACTGGCTTCAGGACTGAAACCGGAGACTTTCAAAGTTGAGTGTTACAACTCCTAAGCCAGCGCATCTGAAGTTGTTCCTTCCTCCCAGCAGGTTCGTGGTCTCGCTGGCCTCAAGAGCGAAGCTGCAGACCTTCGCGGTAAGTACCACAGCTCATAGAGGTGGTGCAGATCCAAACAATAAGCAGCAATAAAGTTTATTGCAAAGAGGAAAAGCGCAACACTTCCACACTATGAAACATTACCAGACCAGATTACCACTGCAGGCTCAGGCAGCCTGCTTTTATTCCCTTATCTGGCCCCACCCACATCCTGCTGATTGGTTCATTTTACGGAGAGCTGATTGGTCTGTTTTACAGAGAGCTGATTGGTCCGTTTTGACAGGGTGCTGATTGGTGCGTTTACAATCCCTGAGCTAGACGCAAAAGTTCTCCAAGTCCCCACTAGATTAGCTACACACAGAGCACTGATTGGTGCATTCACAAACCTTGAGCCAGACACAGGGTGCTGATTGGTGTATTTACAATCCCTTAGCTAGACATAAAGGTTCTCCAAGTCCCCACTAGACTCAGGGCCCAGCTGGCTTCACCCAGTGGATCCCGCACCTGGGCGGCAGGTGGAGCTGCCCACCAGTCCCGCGCCGTGTGCCTGCACTCCTCATCCCTTGGGCGGTGGATGGGACTGGGTGCTGTGGAGCAGGAGGCGGCGCTCGTCGGGGAGGCTCGGGCCGCACAGGAGCCCACGGTGGAGGGGGGCTCAGGCATGGCAGGCTGCAGGTCCTGAGCCCTGCCCCGCGGGGAGGCAGCTGAGGTCCTGCGAAAATTCGAGAGGTCCTGCGAAAATTCGAGTGCAGCGCCGGCGGGCCGGCGCTGCTAGGGGACCCGGCGCACCCTCCACAGCTGCTGGCCCGGGTGCTAAGCCCGTCACTGCCCGGGGCCAGTGGCGCTGGCCGGCCGCTCTGAGTGCGGGGCAGGTTGAGCCCACGCCCACCCGGAACTCGCGCTGGCCCGCAAGCGCCTTACGCAGCCCCGGTTCCTGCCCGCGCATCTCCCTCCACACCTCCAGGCAAGCTGAGGGAGCCGGCTCCAGCCTCGGCCAGCCCAGAAAGGGGCTCCCACAGTGCAGTGGCAGGCTGAAGGGCTCCTCAAGCGTGGCCAGAGTGGGCGCCGAGGCCGAGGAGGCGCCGAGAGGGAGCGAAGGCTGCAGGGGCTGCCAGTACGCTGTCACCTCTCACTACCTTGCATGGATGGTGGAGCCATAGTGATTGGGTGACCATCCTGGCCTCACTGCCTGCTGTGTGACCTTGGCTTTTCTAATAATGTTCTTTGAGTATTTCAGATTTATCTCTGAGGTGAAATGTGCTTAATGAGGCCCCTGGAATCATTCTAAGACCCTTGTCCTTAGAAAGAAGCTAATGATCCTCTCAGTGTGTGGCTCGGAGGAAGTGACAAAATCATGACTTCCTGACATGATAAATGGTCCGCTGTTCTGTGGTCCAGCTTTCCTTTCAATGCTCAGTTGCTGGGCTGAAAAGACAACCATATTGACTCTAGAATGTCAGTTACAATGTCTGTCCTCACAAGGGAAGTCATGATCAAACTGAAACAAGCAAGGTGTTCCCATGCTAGATGCCAGAGACAGGTTTACCCGTGGGTGAATGATGCAGTTCTTGTCCATGGTATAGGATGGGATGGTGTGGTGTCAGGGGAGGGGGCAAGAGGGGCACTGGAAGTAAGAGAGTGGGAGAAGAGGAGGGGTCCCTGTCAAATTCCCCTCAATCCTGAGAGAGACACTTAGGAACAGAGTGTCTCTGCTCCCTCTGGATATTCCCGTGTATATTTTGAAGCCTGGGAGGCAGGATGGAGGACATCCTGCTGATGCCTGAAGGATGGCAAAGCAGAATAGAAGGATGCTCCCTTAACCCCATGACCGAGCCTCTGAATTAACCAGCTCCAGTGTTTAACCTATCTCTGGACTTATTTATTTTTTTATTTTAATTTCAACTTTATTAAAATACAGTGTCCCTTTTGATTTCATTTTTTTTTTTCAGAAGGAATTTCACTCTTGTTGCCCAGGCTGGAGTGCAATGGTGCGATTTTGGCTCACCGCAACCTCTGCCTCCCAGGTTCAAGCGATTCTCCTGCCTCAGTCTCCCAAGTAGCTGGGATTACAGGCATGCACCACCACGCCCAGCTAATTTTGTATTTTTAGTAGAGAGGGGGTTTCTCCATGTTGGTCAGGCTGGTCTCAAACTCTCGACCTCAGGTGATCCGCCTTTCTCAGCCTCCCAAAGTGCTGGGATTACAGGTGTGAGCCACTGCGCCCAGCCTACAGTGTCCCTTTTCTTGTGACAGTCTTTATCTAAAACACTGCAGCTGATCGCACACAAGAAAGCCCACCTGGGGAAAGTATTGGCCTCCCTGATTGGTGAACCATTTTTGCCAACAGCAGCAGGACAGAAAACATGAGAGTTGTCACAGAGACACAAATATGCTGAAATAAATAAAAAGATATCCCATGTTCATGTATTAAAAGACCTGATAGTGTTAAGATGGCAATACTGTTTAATTTGATCTACTCCCCAGATTGATTCAGTGAAATCTCTCAAAATCCCAGCTAACGTCATTTGGAAATTGACAAGCTGATCCTAAAATGTACTTGAACACTGAAGTGACCAAGAATTGCCAAAATAATCTTGAAAAAGTTAAACATTTAGAAGACTCACACTTCCTGATCTTAAAACACACTACAGAGCTACAGTAATCAAAACAATGGGATACTACCATAAGGATAAGCATATAGACCAATGGAATAGAATTTAGAGTCCAGGAATACACTCATATATGTATGGGTAATTGATTTTCAACATGGGCATTAAAGCCATTCAATGGGGAAAAATAATCTTTTTAAGAAATGGTTCTGGGAAAACTGGATATCCACATGCAAAAGAATGAAGTTGGACCCTGTATAACACCATATACAAAAATTAATTCAAAAGGAATAAAAACTTTAAGAGCTAAAACTATAAAACTCTTAGAAGAAAATATAGATGCAAAATTCATGACCTTTCTATAGTCAATGGATTCTTAGATATGACACCAAAAGCACAAGCACAGAAGAAAGATAGATAAACTGGACATCATCAAAATTTAAAACTTGTGTGCCTCGATGGACACTATTGGCAAAAAGTGAGGAGGCAAACCACAGAGTTGGAGAACAATTTTGCAAATCACACATCTGATAAAATATATCTAGAATATGTAAAGAATGCTTAAACTTGATAATAAAAAGACAATCCAGTTAAAAAGGGGGCAAAGGATCTGAATAGACAGTTCTCTACAGAAAGTATACAGATGCACAATAAGCACAAGAAAACCTGTTCAGTATCATTAGCCATAAGGGAAATACAAGTTAAAAGCACAATGAAGTGCCATTTCATATCCACTAGATGGCTATAATAAGAAAGACAGATAATACCCAGTGTTGGTAAGGATGTGGAAAAATTGGGACCTTCCTACACTACTGTGTATGTGATGTTGAAAAGCAATTTGGTGGTACCTATCAACATTTATACATTTAAAGATTTTTTAAAGCACTTTGCAAAAATAAGTAAAAGAACTTTGCTTTCCCTTAGCCATTCCACTCCTGAGTAGTATCCTACAGAACTACTCACATATATGCCTAAACAAGGCATGTACTATATTTATTGCAGCAGAATTGGAAAGTTTCAGTTAGACAGGAAGAATGTTTTAGAAATTTATTGCACAGCATGATGACCACAGCTAATAATAATGTGTTGTATGTTTCAGAATTGGTAAGAGTATATTTTAAACATTCTCATCACAAAAAATAAGTAGGTGAAGTAATGGATATATTCATTAGATTGATTTATTCTTTCTACAATATATACATGTATCAAAACATCACATTTTACCCCATAAATATATACAACTGTTATTTGTCAATTAAAAAATTTCAACACAAATTAATATTAAAAATAAAATAAATTGTAACTTAAAAAAGGAATCCTAGGGCGGCCCTCCTGCCCACCCTCTTTCTCCCGTCCATCTGTCTGATTCTCTTAGACTTCGTGTTCTTTTTTCTGTCTTAATCTCAACTTGTTTTTAAACTAGATTGCTTTGAGAAGATGACTAAATAAAGTTTCCTTTTGATTAAAAAAAAAAGGAAACATCCCAAGTGTTCACTAACAGAATGACCTATGGAGAATAAACTAATAGGAGAATAAACTAATTCATAGTTCTTTCCTTATGAAACAACTATGGAATACCATACTACAGTAAAATAATGATATAGACTAGGGTTTGTGAAACTGATATTTTAGATTGTATAGTTCTTAGTTGTGGGTGGCTGACTTGTGTGTTGTAAAATGTTTAGCCCTATCGCAGGTCTCTATCAGTAGGTGTCAGTAGCACTCTCTCACCGCAGCTGTCTCAACCAAAATGCCACTAGATTGCCAAATGCTGAGGGGGTAGCAAACTAGTCCTTAGTTGAGAACCACTGATGGTAGCCTTATATTTACTGATGTGAAAAGAACTCCAAGACGTTTTGTTAAATAATAATTTAGAAATAGCCAGGTATCTCTTTGATGTACCAATTTCATTTCCTTTGAATAAATACCCAGAAATGGAATTGCTGGATCATATGGTAAGCTTCTTATTTAAAATTTTTGAGAAACCTCCAAGCTGTTTTCTATAATAGCTGTACTTATTTACATTCCTATTGAAAATGTACAAGAATTCCCATTTCTCCACACCCTCACCAACACTTGTTATCATTTGATTTTTTAAATAATAGCCATTCGAATGGGGGTGAGATGATGTTGCATTGTGGTTTTGATTTGCATATCCCTGAAGATTAGTGATGTTGAGCACCTTTTCGTATACCTGTTGGCCATCTGTATGTCTTTGGAAAAATGTCTACTCAGGTCCTCTGCCCATTTAAATTTTTTTAATTATTATTTTTGCTATTGAGTTGTATGAATTCTTTATATATTTTAGATACTGGCTCCCTTTTGAATATATAACTTACAAATATTTTCTCCCATTCTGCAGGTTGCCTTTTGATTTTGTTGATGATTTTACTGACTGTGCAGAAACTTTTTCTTGCCGTGTAATGGTGATACTCATTTCACAATTGATATGTATATCAAAACATTATGTTTAACATCTTAAATATATGCAATTTTTGTTTGTAGATTATACCTTAATAAAGCTGGGAAAAAAGAATGAAAATGATATGTGCAGGATGATTCAAATTCTGTTTTTAAAAAACTATATATTTGTATTGGTAATATGATTATGTATGAGGATACAAAGGAAAAATGTCAAGGATACATACTAAATTGAAAACAATGGTTACCTCAGGAGAGAGGGCTAGGATTGCATGAGTGTTCATGCATGTTGAAGGTGTGGGGTAAGGAGAAGAGGGGCCTTTGGTTTTACTGCTTGAATTGTCAAAGTTTACCAAAAATGTGCATTCATAGATTACTTATATAATTTAAAATGTAGTTAAATAAACTTATGGAAAGCATTTTGTAGAGAGTAGGTCACCAAAGAAGCCTACACTCTTACTATATCAGCTGCCAAAAGAGATTTGGATGAGTGCTTAATTGTACTTAGCTCATGATTTAATCCTCAAATACCTATAATGTGCAATTTCTGTTAGGGACTGAAATGATTATGTCATTTCTTTTACCAATCAGTTATAATCTATATTTAATATAATGTCAGATGATTCTATGGAATTTAGAAATGGAAAAAAACTGGCATTTAAAATTATAGATATAATGTACATCAAAAACCTATCACTGTGACTAGCACTTAATACTTCATAAATGGTACTTGCTAATATTGTTATACATGTTAGTATGTTCGAAAACATTGTTCCTTCAGCATTCACTAGAATACAACAAAAGTTTTATTTTTTTCTAGTTTTTTATCTGAATCCTATAGTGTTTACAATTCCAGTTAGGACACTTTTAAAACTGAGATCACACTTTCAACATTCATTCATCCTGTATGGTATTTAACAATAGAGTAAAAAAGTAAAAGCTCAAATTATTACAAGTTAATTGATGTTTCCTATAGTCAAATGCCACGAAAAGGGAGGTGAAGAATTTGGACCCTAATGCTGATTCTGACCAACTCTCATTCTTTCTGGTCATTTTGTCAATCTGTAAGTCAACAGAGCAGAAACAGCTACCATTATTTATTTATTAAAAGAGTGTAGTTGTCACTTGGAATAAGGAGTTGCATGTTCAGTGCTAAAGGTAACCAGATAATATGAAGATCTGTAACCAGATAATATGAAGATCTGAAAATGTATAACTACTGTAAAGATAGTGATATTCCATGTATATACAGCAATTCCACAGATGACATCAGGGTCTAGTAAGTAAGAAAAAATCATTTTTGATATTGATATTTTATCCAATTTAACATTTGTTCTGATGCTGACTTTAAACACACCTGCACTGTGTGATTTATGTTGTCCTCATCATACAAGGCAAGGTTTACAGAAGGAGGGAGGTGGCTTTCATGCTGAGAGTGATACTCTTTTATTGTACTACTCCATGTTAATTAGGCAATGACTTGTTACATGACAAACTTCATGTAATACAGCCTCTAGTCTTTATTTTGTGCTTCACAGATCTCATTTCTCTGGAAAGGAAGAAAGAGAACGAGTAGTTGTATTTCTATTACAGACAGTCAGGGATATAGAAGACTATTAACAACATTACTAAGTCTATTACTAAATCTGTCAATGTGTAGTTCTGATATCTTTCCACTTTGCCTTCGGAGGAGAAATTACACACTAAGTTTATGTCCTTAGATGAATTTCACAGCTGAATAGTGAGGGACTGCAAAATAACCGGTGAAAATGAGAGTTGGTCAGAATCAGCATTAGGGTCTGAATTTTTCACCTTTCTTTATGGTATATGCTATGGAAAATATCAATTAACTTGTAACTTGAGCTTTACCTTTTTACTCTATTGCTAGGAGTGAATCATATTACAACTATTTGAAGCTAGAAGACTGTAGTGGTGCTGTGTATCTTGGATTTCTCTTGATTTTTTGCAAGTGCAGTTAGCCAGAAGGTTTTTTTATTTTTTATTTTATTTTATTTTATTTTATTTTATAGCAGTTCTGACTGATGTGGTCCAGCTACCCTCAGAGCCACTGACCTTGGGCCAATATGTTGCCTACTCTTAAGTATTTTGAAATACTGCATGGAAAAAAATGTCATTTATTTGGTTGTATTACTATATTTAATTAGTTGAATAGATATGGTTAGTTTAATTTGTTAACTTGGCTAGGTGATGGTACCCAGTTATTCAAACACTAATCTAGATGCTGCTGTGAGGGTATTATATAGATGTGGTTAACATCTATAATCAGTTGCTTTAAGTAAAGGAGACTGTCTTGGATAATCTTGGTGGGCCTCATCCAATCAGTTGAAATGCCTTAAGAGCAAAACTGATATGCCCAGAGGAAGAAGAAATTCTGCCTGCTGACTGCAGCCTCAGTTTCCACCTGAGAGTTTCTAGGCTTCCCAAGTTCCCTACAGATTTTGGACTTACCTAGCTGGACCCCACAATCATCTAAGGCAATTCCTTGAAACAAATCAAATACATATATACCCTGTTGGTTTTTTTTTTTTTTTTTTTCTGAAAGAACCCTGACTAATACAGATTTTGAAACTAGAAGTGGGATGTTGCTGTACTAAAGACCTAAAATGTGGAATTGGCTTTGGAATTAGGCCATGGATAGAGACTAGAAAAATTTTTGAGAAGCGTGATAGAAAAAAACCTAAATTGCCCTGAAGAGACTGTTGTTAGAAATAGGAATATTAAAGTTGATTGTATAGAGGTCTTGGAAAGAAATGAAGAAAATGTTACTGAAAATGGGAGGAAAGGCAATGCTTGTTATACAGTGACAGAAAACTTGGCTGAACTATGTTCTTCAGTCACATGGAAAGCAGAACTTGAAAGTGATGAACTTGGATATTTGGCAGAAATTTACAGGCAAAATCCTTAAGATTTTTCTTTGTGAACCCCAAGATCTTTACCCTAAAATGGTTCTGTTGAATTTTACCCTGACAATGTAAATTGATAGCTTATCTTCATAACCTGGTTTCTCCTTGCTGCTTATAGTAAAATGTAATATTGATACAGACAGGAGACAGGGAAATACTGGGTAGAAGAGGGTGGTTTCCCAGCAAAGGCCCCACCCTCAAGTCTGGAAACCCGTGGCCCTAAATGGGAACAAGCGTTCCTGTTTTTGTGCCCAAATGCTGCCTTTTGGCCTGCCACGCCCCTGTATCCTGTACCTGTATAAACTCCAAACCCCAGGATCCACAAGCAGATGAGCAGACAAGCAGAAGAGCAGAGGAACAGAAGAGTGGTGTGGCAGAGAAGGAGAGAAGAGAAGGAGCTTCTGAACATCAAGAGGAGTTAGGCTGGGGACGGTAGGAGAGGAGATCAGCCAAGGGACGACTGAACTCCAGGGGAAGATTATCTTCCCACTCCATTCCCTTTCCAGCTCCCCATCCATCCTGCAGAGAGCCACCTCCATCCAGCAATAAAATACGCCACATTTACCATCCTTCAATTTGTCTGTGTGACCTGATTCTTCCTGGATGCTGGACAGGAACCCAGTACCAAGAGGGCACTGAGCTGTTTAACACTTAAGCTGTCCCTGGATGGCAGGGCTAAAGGAGCATTGTAACATCCCTGGATATTGCTGTAGGCCCAGAGCCCAAAAGTGCTTGCCCTAGCTCAAATGCGTGCTCCCCCTCCCATAAGGGGTTTGAGCATGCAGTGGCCAAACAGACGAGCCACACCCCTGTTGCAGGCCCTGCAAGGGGGGTCAGTGAACTCTCCCATTTCAATGTGAAAGATATAAATTGAGGAAAGAACTATTAGGCAAAAAGTAACTAGCACTTGATTTTGGAGGTTCTCAGCCTATCGTGATTCCAAAGGATGCCAAAATTAGAAAATTTATTGTCGCAAAAGCATACTCTGAAGAGAAGGCCAACAGTATGGCTGGACAATCTTGCTAAAGAGATTATATATGTGATTCATGGATCCAATCAACCATATCAGCTGAAGGCAGGAATAGAGATGGGTTTATCCAGGAAGGATCTTGTCTAATGACATGGACTCCCATAACACACACGAGACTGATAAGGATTTTGAGAATGTTATATCAACAGAAATACTGGCATCTTGGAGTAAAGGAGATAGATATGGGATGAAATGAAGGAAGACTGTTGGACTTCTGGAAATCTATAGGCAGGATATGAGCTGACAGGGCTACTAGACTGCAAAGACACATTAGCCTTCAAGAAAAAGGAAGAGTGAATTATGAGGGTGGCACAGAAGCTGGTGGATCACTGCAAGACCAGATGGCAGAACATTGAGCTAAAGAGGATTGTTCCTAGGCCTTGAAATCTAATGGAATTAGCTATGCTAATTATTTATTTATTTACTTTTTTGAGATGAAATCTCATTCTGTCACGCAGGCTGGAGTGCAGTGGTACAATCTCAGCTCACTGCAACCTCCACCTGCCAGGTTCAAGCAATTCTCCTGCCTCAGCTTCCTGAGTAGCTGGGATGACAGGAACTCACCACAATGCCCCTCTAATTTTTGTATTTTAGTAGAGACGAGGAGGGGGGTTTCACCATGTTACCCAGGCTGGTCTCGAACTCCTGACCTCAAGTGATCCACTCACCTCAGCATCACAAAGTGCTGGGATTATAGGCGTGAGCCACCACACCTGGCCCTGCCATGCTAAATTTTGAACTTACTTGGGACAAGAAACCACTTTATGCCTCCCATATTCATTCTTTTGGAATGGTAATGTCTTGTAAAAGGAAAATAAATCTCAGGACTCCAAAATCATTAAGCCAAAGGGAAAAGTCAAGCTGGGAACTGCATCAGGCAAACCTACCTCCCATTTTATTCTTAAATAAGATAGCTACAAACAAAAAAAAAAGCTACATACATGTCTCACAATTTGTCCACTGGGACATTCCTTTTGAGCCCCAAGATGTTTACCTTAAAATGGTTCTGTTGAATTTTACCCTGACAATGTAAATTGATAGCTTATCTTCACAGGTTCTAGACAAAGAACAGAACTCAAAGTCATCCTTCTGTTCATCTGAGACAGATGCATATCTGATTGCTTTCCTAATGTAAAAATGCAGATTCACTGAGCTGACAAAGGCATAAGTAACTATTCCTCTACCCTTCTCTCACATGTAAACTGTGTATTCAGTGAAAGGTTTATCAAACACTCAAAATAATGCAACCATTTGTCTGTTATCTACCCACACCTTTAATTTTTTTTCCTTTTCCCCCAATATCTGCCCTTTTGCCTTTAAATACTGAAGTCCACAAAATCTTCTTTGGAAAAAGGCATAGACCTGCCTTCCAGATGCATGTTCTTAACCTTGGTAAAATAAAATTTCCAAGTTAATTGAGACCTAGCTCAGATACTTTTTGGTTTACAAATTGGTAACCACCAAGGGATTCTGAGTGGAGGTGCCCCTGACCTTTGACAAATCTTCTATTACTGCTTGGTACCAGCTTGAGATATCTTTATTGCTCAAATCAATAGGCAGATTTGCTGAGGCCTGGGAACTTCCCCCCTCCAGACAATCCCTTGTAGCAGGACGAGCTGCAGACAAAATCTTTCAGACACTGAGTTGTAGAAGGAAGGGCTTTATTCAGCTGGGAGCATCGGCAAGCTACTGTCTTAAAATCCGAGCTCCTCGAGTGCACAGTTTCTGTCCTTTTTAAGGGCTCATAACACTAAAGATTTCACATGAAAGGGTCGTGATTGATTGAGCAATCTAGGGGGTATGTGACAGGGGCTTCATGCACCGGTAGTCAGAGTGAAACAGAACAGAGCAGGGAGTTTCACAGCGTTCTTCCATACAATGTCTGGAATCTATGGATAACATCGGTTGCTAAGTCATGAGTTGATTTTTAACTACTAGGTTTAGGCCAGGCAGGCCCAGGCCTGGTTTCAGTTCTGGTTTTGGGTCTGGTGCCTGGCTGCCTGCCCTTGGTTTCACTTCCTTGTTTTTTTCTTAAAACAGGTACTGAGTATAAAACAATATAAAACAATATGAGAGGGTCCGTCTCTTCCCTCACCCTGATCTCCCCAAATTTGGTCGATATCTAAGGTTTTTTTTTGCTGTACAACTCCTTTTCTGGAGTTTTACTCACTTTCAACAAGGAAGGTGAGTTTTCCTGCTTCCATGATGATGGAGGGCAGGCAACTCCTTTCTGGAGTTTCAGCTCAATTCCAACAGGGAAGGCGAGTTGGAGTTTTTTTCCTGCTTATAGGCTGGTAGAGAGCAGTGTTGAGCCTGGACTCCATTCCTAGGTAAGTAGCTGAATTGGGGTTTTATCTTGAAAATTCTCCTTAATGACCTAAAGTTAAGATTAACAACCAGCAGCTCTTAATTTCTCCTTACCATTAGAGTGCTCAGGAATTGTATACATAGTATGATCATTTGTTTGTTTTGCCAAACTGTTTTTTCATTTATTTGTTTGTTTTGTTGTTTTGGTCTTTTTCCCATTGGATTTGACTAACTCTACCCAACTATATCAAATGTGAAGGAAAGTTACAAATGGTGAGGAACAACGCCTCTGCATTGGGTAAATTCCTGCAGCTGGGGGGGAAAAGGGAAAAGGATAAACAGCCATCAACAGGAAAAAAGAAAGATTTTGACTACCTGAGGGGCTTTATTTACATAACAAGGCCACCTTTTGCTAGCCAAGCCAAACTGTGCTCCACACTGCAGTTCTGTAGCTAAGGTTTTGCCCTTTTTTCCACCACAACAGCCTGGGTTTGGTTCCTAAATCAAGTTCTTTCTGGTTTGATATTTGTGTTATTTTTGAAATATCAGCAATTTGTTCCAGCTAAAATAGGGTAGTGAGATTTAGAAGAATTTTTTAAGAGCTTAGTGGCTAAAAGTCAGTTTAATTAAAAGCTAATATCCACGATGTGTGTGTGTGTGTGTATATTTAAAAGGCCTTTATGGTTTTTTGTTTTGTTTTGTTTGTTTGAGAAGGAGTTTCACTCTTGTTGCCCAGGCTGGAGTGCAATGGTGCGATCTTGGCTCACTGCAACCTCTACCTCCCGGGTTCAAGCAATTCTCCTGCCTCGGCCTCCCAAATAGCTGGGATTACAGGCATACGACACCACACCCAGTTAATTTTGTATTTTTAGTAGAGATGGGATTTCTCCATGTTGGTCAGGCTGGTCTCAAACTCCCGACAACCTCAGGTAATCTGCCTTCCTCAGCCTCCCAAAATGCTGGGATTACAGGCGTAAGCCACCGTGCCTGGCCTGTTTTTTTTTTCTCTCCTAGTACCTTGTTTTTTGAGAAAAAGGTTTTTTCCTTCTCAGTCAGTCAAATGAATTCTGTTTTCTCCATTTACTTCTGCCTATCTCTCCTTTCTCTTGTTCCCCTCTGCTGCATGAGGGACCCAAAATAGTTTCTAACAGCCTGTAATTCCTTAAATAAAACAGAGAAGGCACTAGAGTCCTTTTTGAGGAGAAACATCTGTTTTTCCTTATGGAACCCCAAGAGTCTAAACAGACAAGTTCCTCTCAGATCTTAAACTGCTTGCTTTTGTACTGTGTTACCTGATTTTTGGACTAAGTTATTACAACAGAGGCTACTCTTCGGGTGTTTAAGATAAGAAAAGGTATACTTTAGACACTTAGAGGAAAGTCTTTGTAACAAAGTGCAGTGCAAATGCATCACATGGTCTAGAATCATGATAATTCTATCTTTTGGAGATCCAGGATTCAGCGTGGGCTCTGCCCAGAGCTGAGATCCAGTTAAAAGCTAGAGACTAGGCTGGGCACAGTGGCTCATGCCTGTAATCCCAGCACTTTGGGAGGCCAAGGTGGGCAGATCACGAGGTCAGGAGTTCAAGACCAACCTGGCCAACATGGTAAAACCCCATCTCTACTAAAAATACAAAAATTAGCGGGGCATGGTGGCAAGTGCCTGTAATCCCAGACACTTGGGAGGCTGAGGGCATGCCCAGCCGATGCTACACTTTTAAACAGCCAGATGTCATGATTACTCACTATCATTAGAACAAAACTAGAGGGGAAATCTGCCCCTATGATCTAATCGCCTCTCACCAGGCCCCATCTCCAACACTGGGGACTACAATTTGATATGCCTTTGCAATATCAATTGCTGCATACCAAGTTCTCTCTGTTTTGGGCCTCTGTAATAGTCACAATGTCAGGTACTGCTGGTGCCAAAGGTGGTATTACGCATTGAGCTGCCTAAAATCAGTGGTAAGTCTCCAAGAAACCAAGGTCTTGTGCACAGGCCAGATGGGGCTATTGAATGGAGAAACAGTCTCATGAAACATTTTGGCTTCCTTAAGCTCAGCAATGATGGCAATTATTCTTTTTCTCCCCTAGGCAGCTGACATTGTTTTTTGGGAAACAACAGTACTAGGTGTTGGTCATCAGATGGGTCCATGGTCTTCTATATTTCTCACTAAGATGGCCATAACTATTGCAATTCCTGTCAGGGCTTGGAGGCAAAGGCAAGTGGGGCTGCACATGGAAAACACATCACTGCCAATATTTCATTCAGTAGTGGGGGCCATGACAACGGAGGTTAGTAGGAGCCCAAAGTCAGAGAACACGATCTGTTTTCTCCTCATCTTGATGCAAGGGTTTGTGGGGATCACAGTCACCTGTGTACTGGTATCTAAAAGGCCTAAGAAGTGCAATTCCTCTCCACTGTTCAGTTGAACTCTAACCTTGGCATAGGGCCTCTGGGTCCCCTGAGTACAGAAGGATCTTGTTTATAACCCCTAAAATCTTTGGATTTTTGTTTGTAACCCCTAATCTTGTTTATATTTGAAAGCTGAGTGTCAGAGCAAAAGTTGCTCAGGATCTCTGATTTGTCTCCAAATCCACCAGGAGAGGTGGAAGGCCATCACTGTGCAGACTCTAGCGGGACCACTTATCAAATCCCCATGGCCTGGTACTTGGCCCTGAATTTTTTAGTGGGGAGCCCATCAATCTGCTTTCGTGGTTCCATTATTGAGTAATCAGACTCAGAGATCTCTTTGGGAAGGCCCTTGCCCAGACAGTCCAGAAGAGGGCACTCAAGTACTATTTTTATGCTCCCTTTTTGGAGGGGAGGGGTCAAATTTTGCTATTTTATCGGAAGCCATTTCTTCTGTGCCTGAGAATTTCTGAGTTAAGATCTGGATCACACTGCAGATTGATGGACTTGACCTCAGGAGGTGGCTTAATTGGGCTTGACAACAAGCAGGAGCAGCATGAACAAACCCGTAAATCTAAGTCTGGTTAATCTTCTCATCTACCGTTCCCACTCCCTCGTAGTAGACCCAAGAGACCACCAGGAGGGCTGCAGGACCTCCATAGTCTCTGCGAAGGTGGTTGAGACATGTTTTTCAGTGACTAGGTACTCATTATGTGTGGACCAAATCTGTCAGAGACCAAATAGTACCCAGCTGAGGAAAGAGATGGTCGTTGGTATACATACACTCTCATCTCCCCACCTTGCTCCTCCTCCTCAGAGAAAGTGGCCACTATCAAGGCACTATGGAGGAGGGGGTCTGTAGTGATGTACCCCTCAAGGAGCCACTTTCCTTTATGAAGTTTATTTAACAAGATTACCTTTTTCGTAATGGAAGCAAACTAGCCAAGTCTCTGTGGTTTCTTCCCCTAAGCAAGTCTTCCTTCTGGCTTGGCTGCTGGGCATTGACCCTATCTAGTGAGATCACTGGACAAAGTGATTCTAAAGAGCTCTACATTATTTTTATTAGAAGCATGAGTCTCAGTAACATGCTGCATGGCATGTTGTCCGTCAGCCCCAGGGAACTGCTTAGATCTAGGAATAGTTTTGGGGTACAGGTCAGTTTACAGGGTCTCCAACGACTTCTGGCCCCATCATCAGAGAACGGTGTCCAGGGAATTGTTTCTGTGGCTTCTTAGAGCCCCTCTGCTGGATCTCTTATTTGATCCACTAGGTTATCTCAGCCGAGGTGATGGGGATAAACAGGAGGACCGATGGTTACCTTGGAACCAAAAGCTTTTATAAACAATTTTCTATCATCCTCCAAGTATACCCTGTGACTTACAATAGCAATTCCTGAGACCTGCTGGCATGGCTGGTAAAGTGCCACGTGAGGTCTGCTAGCACTTCCCAGGACTCACTGGCAGAGTGCCCGGTCAGATCCTCTGACTCTGGCAAATAATCCATTAGCATCCTCCAGGAGTGCCCTGCAAGGTCTGCTTACACCCATCATTAGTGAATTGCCCCACGAGATTTTCAGGCTCTTTGCTCTTCAGAAACGACATTGTGCATAATCAACTACCCAGCTTGCCATTCCAATTTTTCAAGAGCTCAGCTGAGCTAGAGAGAGCTGAGCTGCTGGGTGTCAGAGTAGTCGATTAAGACGAGTCAAAATAAAAGTAACAGTCAGACTTTAATAACTGCCTTTGATAGTATAAGCAAGGGACTGAACCAGAAAAAGTACCGACTCCTCCATTATTCCATTTTTCCACATGGGGTGGCTCCAACAGGGGTCTGACCACAGATGCAGGGCATCATCATCTCACTGTTAAGGGAGCCCTGAACAAGAGGCTCCTGCCATTTTATGGACCCAGGGGCAGGAGGAGGTGACAGGGAAGGGCTAGGAGTAGAAAAGTACTGAGTACTGAGTCAGCTTGAAGAAAAAAATATTTTTAGGCATCCCCCACTCCCACCATGGCAACAAGAGGTCTTAGCTCAGGTGCTTGAGAAAGGCCTCTGCCAAAGGCTCCTGATAAGGCGGACTCCAAATGGAGGCATCTGGTCTAGGAATGCCGACATGTGTGAGAGCATGATCAGTTCGGGACGTCTGAGTCCTTGACTGCAACTCCATTCACAGACTGCAATGCACGGCTGTGCATCAGGTCTGATGTGGGGAGGGCACGTCCCCCCATGATCCCTGCCAGGTAAAGCTTTTGTAATTGCCTATGGCGAGGCCTGAAAGATCACCCATAGGTTTTTGGCCAAGAGTTGAATTCACTCTCTCCAGTGGTCCTAGCACTTCCTGTGAGAGGTCTTGCTGTCATTGTCTCTAAAAGCATGAAACAAAGGAAGTCAGATCTCTGCCCCTTTGGAATGCAGCTACTGTGGGGCTACGTGTTTCTAGTTTCCATTACAGAAATACTGAATCCACCCGTGCCCCTACCACACCCACACCGGGAACTCAGGAGAAGGGGAGGCAGGGCTGTGGTTTCTGGCCTGCTGTGGCACTAGAAGGTTCATAGCGGTGAGTCTGATCGGCTTTCTGGGTGTCAGACCAGACGGAAGAACCAAAGCCAGTCACCATCATCAGTAGTATTCTAGCTCTGGAGCTTACGTGTTCACCAATGACAGTGTCTGCCCAAATCTTCCTTCTGGCTTGGCTGCTGGGCATTGACCCTACCTAGCGGAAGCTTAGGACACACCTATCCCTGGAATTCTGGGCAAATTCTCCCAGCTCAGGAGAGTGGTGGGCTGTTTTTGGTTCCTCTGCTTTTTAAATTCTATCTGTTATGGTTAGTATCAGGCCTCTGAGCCCAAGCTAAGCCATCGTAACCCCTGTGACCTGCACGTATACATCCAGATGGCCTGAAGCAAGTGAAGAATCACAAAAGAAGTGAAAATGGCCGGTTCCTGCCTTAACTGATGACATTCCACCATTGTGATTTGTTCCTGCCCCACCTTAACTGAGCAATTAACCTTGTGAAATTCCTTCACCTGGCTCCAAACCTCCCCCACTGAGCACCTTGTGGCCCCTGCCCCTGCCCATAAGAGAAAAACCCACTTTGATTGTAATTTTTCACTACCTACCCAAATCCTATAAAACAGCCCCACCCACCCCTATCTCCCTTCACTGACTCTCTTTTTGGACTCAGCCCGCCTGCACCCAGGTAAAATAAACAGCCCCGTTGCTCACACAAAGCCTGTTTGGTGGTCTCTTCACATGGACGTGCATGAAATTTAGTCCCTTAATCATCATCACTGTGGAAGGTAATGTTTATTAAACACCTACAGCATGGCAGGCCTTGTTCTGAGTGTTCTACTTGAATCTCTTCATTTCATCTTCTTTTCAGCCCTATGAACTAATTACTGTGAAAATTCCATTGTACAGATGAGGCTCAGAAAGCTAAAACAACCTGCCTAAAGTCACAAATCCAGTAAGTGGCAGATCTGTGACTTGAAACCCTCTGTCTGCATTGAGAGTCTCTGTTCCTCCTATTTAGCCACACTGACTCCCATACTTCTGAAACCGCCTTTGCAAAATTATGACTAAGACAGTGAAAGAGATTTAACTTAACCAACTCCATTTTGCTTCTAACCTCCAAGCTGTCCTTGTTCATTCCTGGGCGTAGGCCCAACTAACCTTGGAGAAAAACTTAGTTTATAGTTTGAACAAAGATGGTAATAGCCTTTCCCAAAGCAGACTTCCTTCTTGCCTGGGAACTAGATTGCCTTTGTAGGACCAACATTGGCCACAAGACTAGAAATTATAGTTTAGGAGTCATGCAGCTGGAGGCTACAAGATTCTAACCCTTCCTAAACTGCTCCTAAGATCAGTGGTTGAGATATTTTGTAAACCCTGCACTTGATGGATCAGCTGGCACCACCCAAATGGATAAACTGGCTCATCTGATCTTGTGGCCGCCACCCAGGAACTGACTCAGCACAAGAAGACAGCTTCGACTCGCTATGATTTCATCTCCGGCCAATCAGCACTCCTGGCTCACTGGCTTCCCCCCACCCACCAAGTTATCCTTAAAAACTCTGCTCCCTGAATGCTCGAGAAGACTGATTTAGGTAATAATAAAACTCCAGTCTCCCACACAGCCGGTTCTGCATGAATTACTCTTTCTCTATTGCAATTCCCCTGTCTTCATAAATCGGCTCTGCCTAGGCAGTGGGCAAGGTAAACCCCTTGGGCAGTTACACTTCCTCCTCCCACCCCAGTGCCCTGACCCCTCCATGCCATCTCAGCAGCATGATGTTTACATATGGGTCCTAGATTTGTGTAGTGTTTTCCAGGCAGCAAGCTTAGTATTTCTTCCTGGATACAGAGGACATTCAACGAAGCACTTCCCTTTCTGTATTGCAATTAAGACCAATTGTCTTAAGGTGGGAAACTACTCCACATACAAAGCATAGTGGTTAAAGGCAGGGGTTCTGATACTTGGAGATGTCAGGGACTAATAAAGTTAATAAAATTGGGTCCTGACATAGGTTATTATCTTTTTATTTCACTAATTAAGGACATTTAAAACAACACCATTTACACTACTATTAAAATAATAGTAGACTGAACATGGTTGCTCACACCTGTAATCCCAGCACTTTGGGAGGCCGAGGCAGGAGGATCACTTGAGGTCAGGAGTTTGAGACCAGCCTGGGCAGCATAGGAAGAACTAGTCTCCACACATAATAAAAAAGTTAGCTGGGTGTGGTGGTGTGTGCCTGTGGTCCCAGCTACTTGGGAGGCTAAGGCAGGAGGAGTACTTGAGCCTGGGAGGTTGAGGCTGCAGTGAGCTGTGATTGCACCACTGCACTCCAGCCTGGGTGACAGAGTGAGGCTGAAACGGCTTTTGCAAAAATTACAACACTGAGAAAATTATAGCAGTGAAAGAGATCTGATCATGCCAAAGTCCCATCTTGCCTTTGGCCTTCAAGCTGCCCCTAATTATTCCTGGGTTAGGCCAAGCTAACCTGGAGAGACATTTAGTTTATACTTTAAATGATAATAGCCCTTTCCCAAAATTCAACTGCCTTTGTAAAGCTAATGAGAGACCACCAGGCTAGGGGGATAGAGGAGCCTAAATTCTGCTAAGGTGTAGACATAAACGATTGCCAGCTATTGTTCTGGAGGTCACAAGATATGCTACTTCCCCAATTACTCCTCCAGATAACATTACTATTGTAGAACCTAAGACTGGCCTTTTGAGATATCTTTTCAGATTTGTTTGCCTGTCTGACACCAATGGCTTCACCTGGACCTGCCAGCCACTCCTGTGGCCCCACCCAGAAGATATTCAGTGGGCAGAAGGACCATTCCTGCACCCTTATGATTGCACCCCCAACCAATCAGCAGCAAGCACCCATTGCTTAGCCACCCTAACTCCCTCCCTAAAACTATCTTTGGAAAACCCTACCCCTAAATGCTCAAGAAGATTGATTTGAGTAACAATTCTATCTCCCATGTGGCGTGGCCAGCCTTGCATCAATTAAATTCTTTTATTTACTACCATGCCATGGTCTTCATTTGTGCAGCAGGCAGGAAGAACCCATCAGGTGGTTACAATCCTCTCTCAAAATATTTAATAACAGAAATAATATCTAAACCTTGTAAAGAAAGATTACAATGTGGCAGGTTCTGCTCTCAGTCTTTCAATGAAATATCTGATTCAATCCTCATAAAAATCCTGTTCAGTAAGCTTGTTATCCCCATTTTATAGGCAAGGAAATTGAAGAAAAAGAAACAATATGTAAATTGCTTCTGCCTCTGCTGATAACCATTATAGTTAGCATACTATAATATACTGTCTCTCTCTTTCATAAAAGACAAGAGTAACCTTTAGGCCCACAAGGGAGGCCCTGATCTCAGAATTTAGGAATAGCCAAGTAAAACACAGACACCTCTGAGTTTGAGCCTTGGGAAAATGAGCATTGTGTCTGTTTCCTGAAATTTAAGATGAAAACACTAATATCTGTTGTGAGGAGTAAATGACAACATATACCGAGTATTTACACAGTAACTGGCACATAAGAACCTCCGAATACATACCAGCTGTAAGGCTTATTGTCACTCTTCCTCCTTGCACAGCCCTATGAGTTCATCTCTTGCTGGGAAGGAGCTGAGTATGGATACTACAGACTGGTCCTGTTATTGAGGTCAGATAAATTTGATGTTCCTCCTTCCCTCACTCTCTCCCATTTCCTCCTCCTTGACCGAACTGAAACGGGCAGAAATATTTGGGCTTTACTTCCCATTGGTTGAAATTGTTGCTATAACAGCATTCATAAGCATTCTTTCTGGGAACCCTGGGTAAGAGCTGCTTAAAGACTTCTGAGGCTTCTTCAGCTACTGCTGCTGGTACTCCAAACAAGGATCTGATCATTCATGTATCAGAGTTTGTTAGGAATGGGGACTGTCTACAAAAAAAAGTACCTACAGTGGTTCTCCCCATTCATCACCAAGACCCCACACTTGACCATGCTCCCAGCTCTTTCTGCCCATTCTGCCTACCTAGCATCTCATTAGGAAGGTACAGATAAAAAAAGAGCTAGAAAAGGTCATTGGGAGGATCAAGAATGATTTGTCCCCACAGATATGTAAGGATAAAATCCTAGTATTTTCCTTCTCCCGTTGGAACACAGGGCTCCATGGAGAAAGTTCTAAAGAGGGTCTTCCCATGGACAAAGACTTCGCCTTAATTGCTTGGTGTTGGCGGTCATGATTTTGACTCCTGGTTAATTCATCAAGAGCCATTTTGCCAAAATCCAAGTCACAGAATGACCAAGTGAACAAGTGAGCCATTCTTGGAGCAATCAAGTTGCCAATGACTAGTTCATGCAAGCTTAAGAAATTAACTGATTTACAAAACACTTTGTTGTTTTTGCAGAGTTTACTACAATTTACTCTGAGTGAATGGGCATGGCATAAGGGCTATGGAGAGCCAGTTCTATAATGTTCTGTGCCTTCAGACATATCCTCTCCCATCGGTCGGTCTTTCCCCAGTCTGGAATGGGCAGTTTCAGGAGACTGTTTTCCCCCAGTAGATGACCCTCTCTCCCATCCCCAACCCACAGCTACAGCAACAGGAACTTAGCTGAAGCCATCCAGCTGACGCCCAAGACCATTCCAGTCAATGAACTAAGGACAAGCGTATGAGTGTCCCCCCACCCCCATCCCAACCCCATGCTCCAGACCTACCCTCATGGCCACTGAGTGGGACACTGGAAACTTTGCCTTCCTGAGAGAACGGGGCTCTCTCTGAGAGTGGAAACATCTCTGTTGTCTTGGCTCCCAGACTGCTGCCACCACAGTGCAACCACCCAAAGCAAAGGGAATCATGGAAGCTATTTCACGTATGCTGACAAAGCCCTGCCCCAGTCCTAGGGGACCTCCCACCAATGTGAAGAGGTGTGTGTGTGTGTAATACAATTGTGGGGGCTTTTTTCTTTTTTTTTTTTTATTGTACTTTAAGTTCTAGGGTACATGTGCACAACATGCAGGTTTGTTACATATGTATACATGTGCCATGTTGGTGTGCTGCACCCATTAACTCGTCATTTAATATTCGGTATATCTCCTAATGCTATCCCTCCCCCCTCCCCCCACCCCACAACAGGCCCCGGTGTGTGATGTTCCCCTTCCTGTGTCCATGTGTTCTCATTGTTCAATTCCCACCTATGAGTGAGAATATGCGGTGTTTGGTTTTTGGCCTTGTGATAGTTTGCTGAGAATGATGGTTTCCAGCTTTATCCATGTCCCTACAAAGGACGTGAACTCATCATTTTTTATGGCTGCATAGTATTCCATGGTGTATATGTGCCACGTTTTCTTAATCCAGTCTATCATTGTTGGACATTTGGGTTGGTTCCAAGTCTTTGCTATTGTGAATAGTGCCACAATAAACATACGTGTGCATGTATCTTTATAGCAGCATGACTTACAATCCTTTGTGTATACACCCAGTAATGGGATGGCTGGGTCAAATGGTATTTCTAGTTCTAGATCCCTGAGGAATCGCCACACTGTCTTCCACAATGGTTGAACTAGTTTACAGTCTCACCAACAGTGTAAAACTGTTCCTATTTCTCCACATCCTCTCCAGCACCTGTTGTTTCCTGACTTTTTAATGATCGCCATTCTAACTGGTGTGAGATGGTATCTCGTTGTGGTTTTAATTTGCATTTCTCTGATGGCCAGTGATGATGAGCATTTTTTCATGTGTCTTTTGGCTGCATAAATGTCTTCTTTCAAGAAGTGTCTGTTCATATCCTTTGCCCACTTTTTGATGGGTTGTTTTTTTCTTGTAAATTTGTTTGAGTTCATTGTAGATTCTGGATATTAGCCCTTTGTCAGATGAGTAGATTGCAAAAATTTTCTCCCATTCTGTAGGTTGCCTGTTCACTCTGATGGTAGTTTCTTTTGCTGTGCAGAAGCTCTTTAGTTTAATTAGATCCCATTTGTCAATTTTGGCTTTCGTTGCCATTGCTTTTGGTGTTTTAGACATGAAGTCCTTGACCATGCCTATGTCCTGAATGGTATTGCCTGGTTTTCTTCTAGGGTTTTTATGGTTTTAGGTCTAACATTTAAGTCTTTAATCCATCTTGAATTAATTTTTATATAAGGCGTAAGGAAGGGATCCAGTTTCAGCTTTCTACATATGGCAAGCCAGTTTTCCCAGCACCATTTATTAAATAGGGAATCCTTTCCCCATTTCTTGTTTTTGTCAGGTTTGTCAAAGATCAGATAGTTGTAGATAACAGGACTCTGTTCTGTTCCATTGGTCTATATCTCTGTTTTGGTACCAGTACCATGCTGTTTTGATTACTGTAGCCTTGTAGTATAGTTTGAAGTCAGGTAGCATGATGCCTCCAGCTTTGTTCTTTTGGCTTAGGATTGACTTGGCAATGCAAGCTCTTTTTTGGTTCCATATGAACTTTAAAGTAGTTTTTTCCAATTCTGTGAAGAAAGTCATTAGTAGCTTGATGGGGATGGCATTGAATCTATAAATTACCTTGGGCAGTATGGCCATTTTCACGATATTGATTCTTCCTACCCATGAGCATGGAATGTTCTTCCATTTGTTTGTATCCTCTTTTATTTCATTGAGCAGTGGTTTGTAGTTCTGCTTGAAGAGGTCCTTCACATCCCTTGTAAGTTGGATTCCTAGGTATTTTATTCTCTTTGAAGCAATTCTGAATGGGAGTTCACTCATGATTTGGCTCTCTGTTTGTCTGTTATTAGTGTATAAGAATGCTTGTGATTTTTGCACATTGATTTTGTATCCTGAGACTTTGCTGAAGTTGCCTATCAGCTTAAGGAGATTTGGGGCTGAGACGATGGCGTTTTCTAAATATACAGTCATGTCATCTGCAAACAGGGACAATTTGACTTCCTCTTTTCCTAATTGAATACCCTTTATTTCCTTCTCCTGCCTGATTGCCCTGGCCAGAACTTCCAACACTATATTGAATAGGAGTGGTGAGAGAGGGCATCCCTGTCTTGTGCCAGTTTTCAAAGGGAATGCTTCCAGTTTTTGCCCATTCAGTATGATATTGGCTGTGGGTCTGTCATAGATAGCTCTTATTATTTTGAGATACATCCCATCAATACCTAATTTATTGAGAGTTTTTAGCATGAAGGGCTGTTGAATTTTGTCAAAGGCCTTTTCTGCATCTATTGAGATAATCATGTGGTTTTTGTCATTGGTTCTGTTTATATGCTGGATTACGTTTAGTGATTTGCGTAAGTTGAACCAGCCTTGCATCCCAGGGATGAAGCCCACTTGATCATGGTGGATAAGCTTTTTGATGTGCTGCTGGATTCGGTTTGCCAGTATTTTATTGAGGATTTTTGCATCGATGTTCATCAGGGATATTGGTCTAAAATTCTCTTTTTTTGTTGTGTCTCTGCCAGGCTTTGGTATCAGCATGATGCTGGCCTCATAAAATGAGTTAGGGAGGATTCCCTCTTTTTCTATTGATTGGAACAGTTTCAGAAGGAATGGTACCAGCTCCTCCTTGTCCCTCTGGTAGAATTCGGCCATGAATCCATCTGGTCCTGGACTTTTTTTGGTTGGTAAGCTATTAATTATTGCCTCAATTTCAGAGCCTGTTATTGGTCTATTCAGAGATTCAACTTCTTCCTGGTTTAGTCTTGGGAGGGTGTAGGTGTCGAGGAATTTATCCATTTCTTCTAGATTTTCCAGTTTATTTGCGTAGAGGTGTTTATAGTATTCGCTGATGGCAGTTTGTATTTCTGTGGGATCAGTGGTGATATCCCCTTTATCATTTTTTATTGCGTCTATTTGATTCTCCTCTCTTTTATTCTTTATTAGTCTTGCTAGCGGTCTATCAATTTTGTTGATCTTTTCAAAAAACCAGCTCCTGGATTCGTTGATTTTTTGAAGGGTTTTTTGTGTCTCTATTTCCTTCAGTTCTGCTCTGATCTTAGTTATTTCTTGCCTTCTGCTAGCTTTTGAATGTGTTTGCTCTTGCTTCTCAAGTCCTTTTAATTGTGATGTTAGGGTGTCAATTTTAGATCTTTCCTGCTTTCTCTTGTGGGCATTTAGTGCTATAAATTTCCCTCTACACACTGTTTTGAATGTGTCCCAGAGATTCTGGTATGTTTTGTCTTTGTTCTCGTTGGTTTCAAAGAACATCTTTATTTCTGCCTTCATTTCATTATGTACCCAGTAGTCATTCAGAAGCAGGTTGTTCAGTTTCCATGTAGTTGAGTGGTCTCGAGTGAGTTTCTTAATCCTGAGTTCTAGTTTGATTGCGCTGTGGTCCGAGAGACAGTTTGTTATAATTTCTGTTCTTTTACATTTGCTGAGGAGTGCTTTACTTCCAACTATGTGGTCAATTTTGGAATAGGTGTGGTGTGGTGCTGAAAAGAATGTATATTCTGTTGATTTGGGGTGGAGAGTTCTGTAGATGTCTATTAGGTCCGCTTGGTGCAGAGCTGAGTTCAATTCCTGGGTATCCTTGTTAACTTTCTGTCTCGTTGATCTGTCTAATGTTGACAGTGGGGTGTTAAAGTCTTGGAGTCTAAGTCTCTTTGTCGGTCTCTAAGGACTTGCTTTATGAATCTGGGTGCTCCCGTATTGGGTGCATATATATTTAGGATAGTTAGCTCTCTTGTTGAATTGATCCCTTTACCATTATGTAATGGCCTTCTTTGTCTCTTTTGATCTTTGTTGGTTTAAAGTCTGTTTTATCAGAGAATAGGGTTGCAACCCCTGCCTTTTTTTGTTTTCCATTTGCTTGGTAGATCTTCCTCCATCCCTTTATTTTGAGCCTATGTGTGTCTCTGCACGTGAGATGGGTTTCCTGAATACAGCACACTGATGGGTGTGCTCTTTATCCAATTTGCCAGTCTGTGTCTTTTAATTGGAGCATTTAGCCCATTTACATTTAAGGTTAATATTGTTATGTGTGAATTTGATCCTGTCATTATGATGTTAGCTGGTTATTTTGCTCATTAGTTGATGCAGTTTCTTCCTAGCCTCGATGGTCTTTACAATTTGGCATGTTTTTGCAGTGGCTGGTACTGGTTGTTCCTTTCCATGTTTAGTGCTTCCTTCAGGAGCTCTTTTAGGGCAGGCCTGGTGGTGACAAAATCTCTCAGCATTTTGCTTGTCTGTAAAGGATTTTATTTCTCCTTCACCTATGAAGCTTAGTTTGGCTGGATATGAAATTCTGGGTTGAAAATTCTTTTCTTTAAGAATGTTGAATATTGGCCCCCACTCTCTTCTGGCTTGTAGAGTTTCTGCCAAGAGATCAGCTGTTAGTCTGATGGGCTTCCCTTTGTGGGTAACCCGACCTTTCTCTCTGGCTGCCCTTAACATTTTTTCCTTCATTTCAACTTTGGTGAATCTGACAATTATGTGTCTTGGAGTTGCTCTTCTCGAGGAGTATCTTTGTGGCGTTCTCTGTATTTCCTGAATTTGAATGTTGGCCTGCCTTACTAGATTGGGGAAGTTCTCTTGGATAATATCCTGCAGAGTGTTTTCCAACTTGGTTCCATTCTCCCCGTCACTTTCAGGTACACCAATCAGGTGTAGATTTGGTCTTTTCACATAGTCCCATATTTCTTGGAGGCTTTGTTCATTTCTTTTTATTCTTTTTTCTCTAAACTTCTCTTCTCGCTTCATTTCATTCATTTGATCTTCCGTCACTGATACCCTTTCTTCCAGTTGATGGAATCAGCTACTGAGGCTTGTGCATTCATCATGTAGTTCTCGGGCTGTGGTTTTCAGCTCCATCAGGTCCTTTAAGGACTTCTCTGCATTGGTTATTCTAGTTAGCCATTCGTCTAATTTTTTTTCAAGGTTTTTAACTTCTTTGCCATGGGTTCGAACTTCCTCCTTTAGCTCAGAGTAGTTTGATTGTCTGAAGCCTTCTTCTCTCAAGTCGTCAAAGTCATTCTCCATCCAGCTTTGTTCCATTGCTGGTGAGGAGCTGCGTTCCTTTGGAGGAGGAGAGGCGCTCTGATTTTTAGAGTTTCCAGTTTTTCTGCTCTGTTTTTTCCCCATCTTTGTGGTTTTATCTACCTTTGGTCTTTGATGATGGTGACGTACAGATGGGGTTTTGGTGTGGATGTCCTTTCTGTTTGTTGGTTTTCCTTCTAACAGTCAGGACCCTCAGCTGCAGGTCTTTTGGAGTTTGCTGGATGTCCACTCCAGACCCTGTTTGCCTGGGTATCAGCAGCAGAGGCTCCAGAACAGCGGATATTGGTGAACAGAAAATGTTGCTGCCTGATAATTCCTCTGGAAGTTTCATCTCAGAGGAGTACCCGGCCGTGTGAGGTGTCAGTCTGCCCCTACTGGGGGGTGCCTCCCAGTTAGGCTACTCGGGGGTCAGGGACCCACTTGAGGAGGCAGTCTGTCCGTTCTCCGATCTCAAGCTGCATGCTGGGAGAACCACTACTCTCTTCAAAGCTGTCAGACAGCGACATTTAAGTCTGCAGAGGTTTCTGCTGCCTTCTGTTTGGCTATGCCCTGCCCCCAGAGGTGGAGTCTACAGAGGCAGGTGGGCCTCCTTGAGCTGCGGTGGGATCCACCCAGTTCGAGCTTCCCGGCCGCTTTGTTTACCTACTCGAGCCTCAGCAATGGCAGGCGCCCCTCCCCCAGCCTCGCTGCCGCCTTGCAGTTTGATCTCAGACTGCTGTGCTAGCAATGAGCGAGGCTCCGTGGGCGTAGGACCCTCCGAGTCAGGCGTGGGACATAATCTCCTGGTGTGCTGTTTGCTAAGACCATTGGAAAAGCGCAGTATTAGGGTGGGAGTGACCTGATTTTCCAGGTGCCATCTGTCACCCCTTTCTTTGACTAGGAAAGGGAATTCCCCGACCCCTTGCGCTTCCCGGGTGAGGCGACGATGCCTCACCCTGCTTCGGCTCATACTCGGTGCGCTGCACCCACTGTCCTGTACCCACTGTCTGACACTCTCCAGTGAGATGAAACCAGTACCTCAGTTGGGAATGCAGAAATCACCCATCTTCTGCGTCGCTCACGCTGGGAGCTGTAGACTGGAGCTGTTCCTATTCGGCCATCTTGGCTCCACCAGTTGTGGGTTTTGTTTTCTTCAGTGCCATCTTGACCCAATTTTGAGGCCCTGGCTAGAGGCTAGTCAGTTCCTCTTCTTGAGCAGCTGATTAAATCCACATCTCAACCATTTCCCTTATGGGGCTCTCACATTCCTGGCAACTATGTACCTGCCCTAATCACCACAGGGATAGGTACCAGACAACTAGGGACAGCCCTTTTGCCTAAGTTTCAAATTAACAAATCCACAGGGAGCCCATGAAACCTCCCTTGCCATACCTGGACTGCCTCCTACAGGTATAGCTCTATCCTGCGTTACAACTTCAGGTGTGGCTCTACCTGGCAGCCTTCTCTCATTTGGAGCTGTAAGTAACAAAGAGTTCTGCCTTTCATCTATCTGAATATATTTATGTGGTATCCTTCCATCCAAGGACCCTATGTTCCTGTCTAACATTTTATAATTATGAAACAATATGGGCATAAAGAGGACAATAAGGGAATCTAGTCCCCTGCTTGTTTCTGATTTTACATGAGGCTCTCCAAATTTAAGGTGGGTAGGGGACCATAAGTGGATATAAATACAATTGCCAACAGCCCACAAATGTGGCTCTGGGCACTATGTCAATGAGTTAGCCCTGCTTCACAAGGAACAGCTCCAGTTAAGTAAAAGATTGCTGTTTAATACCACCAAGTCACCCTTGAATTCTTTCCTGGGCAAAGCCAAGAACTCTCCCAGGCTAAGCCCCAGTCTGGGGGCTTGCCTGCCCCACGTCATCTGAACACATACTCCAAGTAATTTTCTAGGTTTAACAGAATTTCAATTAACACAGAAAGATAAGCAAGAAAACACACGGTCGACCTAAAAATAAGTATGGAATTCACTTAACTACATATTTATTAGAAAGACAAAACATTAATCTTTAAGACTGACGATGACTGAAAAATGAAATACTAGTCAATCAAAAAGAGATGTCTGAAGTAGCTGTTGGCATATATGACATTAACAGGTGCCAAATATATATGTAGAATGATGGAAGAAATATTGTTTTCCTTGTTTTGAAAAAAGAAGAATGGCTTCTGATTGCTTCTGAATGCGAGTACATGAAATTGCAGGAAATACTCCACAAAGTAGTTGTATATATACTGTTACATAAACCATATCAATATACTGAAACACTAAACAAAATATGCATATCTTGGAATGATGGGATTCAAACAAGCAGACCTATGGCTGTATTCAAGCTTTGATCATGTCTTACTTTTTAACACGTGAGACTTCCAAATCCCAGTGATACTGTGAGTTCACAAACTGCTTAGCATTCACCCGGGCAAAGGAAAATGGCTTTATCTTTTGAAAAAGATGTCTTAATCCACAGTTAACTTTTTTTTTTTTTTAAGAGAGAGGATCTCACTCTGTTGCCCATGCTGGAGTGCAGGAGCGCGATCATAGCTTATTACAGCCTCGAACTTCTGGGTTCAAGTGACACTATTAACGTTATTTTCTAAAACAACATTTTTTCAGTTTTCCTTTCTTATTATATTCATTGCATATATGTTGCCTTACTTCCTAACAGACAATAAATGGATGGGTTAATGATTATAAAGAAAAAAATGGCAGCACAGAAAAGGGAATCTAATGAGCAAATAGAAGAATGAAAGAAAAATATCTAGTACATACCCAGCAGTCTATTCTGTTTAATTTGTATCCAGAAATATTGTGTACTTATATATTAAAATGAATCCTTAATTCAGCATAATACCCAAGGGTTAGATTTAGTCTGGTTAATGGACTGTTTTAAAGAAATGAGATTGAACAAGAATCCCATGTCATTGTTTATTTCCTCATTTTCTTTTTATTTTAATTAACTAATTTAGAGATGGGGTCCTGCTCTGTTACCCAGGCTGGAGTGCAGCGGTCTGATCATAGCTCACTGCAGCTTTGAACTCCTGGGCTCAAGCAATCCTCCTATCTCAGCCTCCCAAAGAGCTGGGACTACATACAGGTGCATGCCACCACACCCAGCTATTTTTTTCCTAGAGATGGGGTCTCACTATGTTGCCCAGGCTGGTCTCAAACTCTTGGCCTCAAGCAATCCCCCCACCTCAGCCTCCCAAAGTGCTGGGATTACAGGCATGAGCCACTGTGCACAGCTTATTTCCTTATTTTCTGTTGAAAAAAAATGTGAGATTATGTATGTCTATTTTCCCCTCACATTTGAGTCTACTGAACAGAATGGGATGTTTGGTCAATGAATTCCATTATAGCCACTTGTCAGCTGTGATTTGGACAGATTATTTAATCTCTCTCTGTCTTTATTTCTTCATTTGTGAAATAGCAATAAGCTTAATTCACACACAGTACTTGTCACACATTAAGCCTTCCAAAAATTTTAGCTGTTACGATAATCATTGCCCTTTTAAAAATTACACATAAAGCACCACTGCTAGCTTCCGTGAAGGAAACAAGAAGAGTAGGAGACCCAGTCTGAAAATGCAAGTGCTTACCATGCAGGTAGGGAACATAAGAATTACACCCACAAAACAGTTATGTTTCAGTGAGAGGCCATAAGTCATGACTGTTGCCTCTTAATTAGCGATTGAGACTTCAGGTCTACAGGGGGTCTGGAAGGGGAGACAATTGGGCAGGTGAGGTTGAGAAACAGAAGGAAAAAGAAGAAGATGGGTGAAAGGAGGCAGAAAATGTGAGAGGAAAACAGACATGAATGATTTGGCTAGATGAGGAAAGGAGTATAGGAACAGCACAAGCAAAGATAGTCAGAAATGAGCATGGTATATTCCAGAGATTCACTGTGAGTTTGTAGTGTCTAATATGGTTTGGCTGTGTCCCCATCCAAAATCTTATCTTGAATTGTAATCCCCATAATCCCAATGTGTCAAGGGCAGGACCAGGTGGAGGTAACTGGATCACGGGGGTGGTTTCCCCCATTCCGTCCTCATGATTGTGAATGAGTCTCGCAAGATCTGATGGTTTTATAAACATCTGGCATTTCCCCTGCTTGCACTTCCTCCATCTTGCTGCCCTGTGAAGAAAGTGCCTGCTTCTCCTTTGCCTTCTGCCACGATTGTAAGTTTCCTGAGGCCTCCCCAGCCATGCAGAACAGTGAGTCAATTAAACCTCCTTCCTTTATAAATTACCCGGGCTTGGGCATTTCTTCATAGCAGTGTGAGAACAGACTAATACAGTGTCTAAGAGCCATCACTCCAAAGAGCAAACTTTATTGCCATGGCGTTAGCTGAAAAACACTTAGGCTATTAGATTGAATGTGTGCTGATCCCTGAGACTTTCTCTAAATAGTTATATAAAGCAACACATATGGAAAAAACAGCTAAGCAAAGAAAAAGATTCAGCAGAGGAAAAGTGGCTTTCTTGGTTATTTATCTTTTCCTGCAATAAGTATGCAATCATGATTAATTCAAGTTCCCTCCTAGTGTTATTCTATTTAACTGAGATATTGATGTACAATATTAGAATGCTACCAATTGTGAGAGGGAACAAGACAGTTTGGGCATGGTGCCTAAATATCAGGAGGGTGTTAAAAGAGTTATTCAGAGTATCATTTTTATTTTGCCTATGGATTGAGTCTTTCCTATGGTTCATAGGGGAAAGAATGGTGAGAAGGAGCAGAGTGAGATGAATGAAATTTGATCTCTGTCGTTGGCTGTGGTTGCTACTCTTGGACAGTAACTCGATGACCATGAAGAAGACTTCCTCATTTCATCACATCCTGCATGTTGACTAGGATCACAGCTGGCAGCTAGTCTCCTTCCTTCCAGTTCAGAATGAATGGACTAAACATTTACTTAGTGGAGAGTTATGCAAAATTTTGATACTATAGAATGTGTTCACCTAACGGGTTGAGCCAAGAAGAGGCTCCTAAATCTAAGTCTGTATGTTAAATAAATAGAAGAGACGATTTAGCATCTTACAATATTTCTGTCGGACTCACTTTTGGAGTTGACCTTTTTGATGTGGCGGGTAGGCCTGTGGAATTTCTGAGAAATCCTTGGAAATTCTTTGTGCTTAAAATGAATAGAATCATATTTTGTGCTCCTTGAGGTGCTGGGGTTGGGGACCTGGGCCAGGGAAAATCAGATTGTGAAACCTCCACTCAGTCTTTACTTTCCTTTCTTCCTTATAAATAATTTCAATCCCACTGAAACCCCTTAATGTGACCAGATGAGTTAAAGGGAGGATAGGGATCAGAGGTAAAGAGAAATTGGTCTTACTGCTTGGCCTCGTGATGAGGGCTATGGAAGGAGATGTTAGGGACTGATTTATATAGGGACCAGAGTTCCATTTTTCCTTTTTTTTTTTAATGGTAAAGCCCAGCTGGCCAGAGCTACCTCCTTGTGCCCCACTGGCTACCTTCCAGAGGCAGTACCTAGCTGCTAGCCGCTGTTTATCATCAAGCTCCCCACACCTCAACAACAGCTCCAGGCTCAGCCATTGCCATGGATTTCTTTCCTCCTATGTCTCCACAGACTCTTTCACCTTTTGATTTTAAAACATCCTTTGTTTAATTTTTTTGTTTCTCTCGTTCAAAGGGAATGGACAGAGACTCTTCCTTGTTCTCTGCCTTCCCTCCATTATTTTGCCTAAACCAAGATTCTTCGGCTTGAAACAAAAAATCATAATCCAACTCTGCAGTTCTCATAGAGGCCCTAGTTTTGTCTGTGGCCTGTGCTTTAGAGGGGTCCAAATGTATCAATTATGATGCTCACACCTGAATGCTACCTCTGAAATCATCTTTGTCCCCTTGCTTGTGTAACACAACAGAACGTGCTTTTAGAAGGGGTCTTTTGTATTACTAGATTCTAAAATATTGACAGAACAATTTCCAACCTGTTAGCCTGCTTTCTTAAAAAAGTTAATTCAACACCAAGCACCAAGCTAGTTATTGTTCATGTGTTGTGCTTCCAGCTTCAGGCACAGATTTGCAAGAAGATTGGGAGAAATGAGAGTTGTGAGGAGGGTACAAGTTGTATCACTCCCTCAAGGGCCTGTAAGAATGGACACCAAGATACTGAATGCCTTTAGGGGAGGTTGTTTACTATTCCTAGAGGTAAAATGGCCCAGTGCCATGATTGGGGAAGGGACTTGAATCTTCAACCCTTTAAGTGAAATAGTTCTGGGCTAGATAATGTGGTAGGTGCTGAAGAGCTGAACTTGGGCTGGTGTGTGTTTCTCTTAATTGAATGATCTCTGGCCCAGGGGAGGGCATGGCCATTCAGCGGCTGGCCTCTTCTAAGCTGAGCTATGTGTGTTCTCTTACGTAGGCCACTCCATTGCTCTGGGCCTGCAGAAAGCCCTCTACAGTGCTGTATAAAGGATATAGTCAAAAGCAGGTCAGTATAACAGAGTTCATTTTAGTGGAATTCAAATGTACCATTGGCCAAATCTCTACATCAGGATAACCGTGTTTTGGGTCCATATTCCCAATACTGTTTTCATAAAATAGTTTTAGTATATTTGCAAAAGGGAGGAGAGCATCTGCTAAAAGTTTCTTGGGGAAATTCATGCTATAGTTTGGAAATAGATAAAAACATACTTTGTTTTCACTTTAAAAAAAATCTTCGGCTGGGTGCAGTAGCACACACCTGTAATCCCAGCACTTTGGGAGGCAGAGGCAAGAGGATCACTTGAGCCCAGGAGTTTGAGATCAACCTGGGCAACATGGCAAAATCCTATCTCTACAAAGAATACAGAAACTAGGTGAGTGTGGTGCTGCATGCCTGTAGTCCGAGCTACTCGGGAGGCTGAGGTGGAAGGATCACCTGAGCCTGTGAGGTCAAGGCTACAGTGAGCCAAGATTGTGCCACTGCACCCCAGCCTAAGAGATAGAGTGAGACCCTGTCTCAAAAAAAATATTTTGTTTGGTTCATTTTCCCTCCAGAACTCCATAGAGGACTGTATAAATTCACATAAGGAGAAAAAGCAACTCACCAAACCTTAAGATGGTTTCTCAAAATTCCCAGACCCTGGTATACACACATATTCTCCCATACCAGGACACTGAATGCCTTTGGAGGAGGTTGATTACTTTCTTTAGAGGTAAAAAGGCTCAGGCTTAAGACAGAGCCTTGAGCCTGCAGGCCTTTGAAGGAAAGCATTCTGGGCAGGATGGACTTGGTAAGTGCTGAGGAGCTGAATCTGATATAGTGAGCACTTCCTGTATCTGGGTGACTGGGGAGCTAAGGAAGGGCATGGCCACTTAGAAGCTGGCCTTCTCCAGGGTGCAGTCTATATGTTCTCTTTTGCAGACCACTCCCTTGCTGTGGGCCTGTGTTCCTTCATCTGTAAAGTGAAAAGAGTAGGCTCGATGTTCCCTAAATTCTCTCCATTGTTTACGCAACACATCCTCCAGGAAGGACTCCCTAGCCAACACAGGTGGGACTGGGGACGAAGTGTGGGCTTGTCCCTTCAGATATCCCACCCTCAACAGACAGATTGTACCATAAGAGCAGAAAACATGCCTGGGTCATCTTTGTGACCCCATCGTCTAGCCAGGAGCTGGGAACAGAGCAGGTATCTCCAACAGTCTGTGTAATATATACATGAGAAACTGTTCAGGCAAGTAATCTTGACAACCCCTCTAGCAAAGTTCTGCTGTTCTTTTCAAACCTCTCCATTCACGAAATCAAGTGGTGGCTAAGACATGGTCATCAGATAACACTGAGCTCAAATCCTGGCCCTTTCAGGATCTTTGGCAGGTCATCTATAGCAGATGTTGTCTGTGTCCTACTAGATCTCAGCCATATGTACTTGGCCCAATTTGCAACAGCTTGATGCTTCCTCTGGGGTCTGAAGCCCCTCTGCCTGAACAGGGAAGGCTGGGGAATAAATGCCCCCAGGAGCAGCCCTCAACCAATGATTATTGGGAGTTGGTGGATAAATGCCCAAGCTTCCTTGCCCCTTAGACAGAATAATTACGAAGTGATTGTTCTACACTGTGAGAAGGTGATAAGCAGTCTGTACTAGTCCGTTCTCATACTATAAAGAACTACCTGAGACTGGGTAATTTATAAAGAAAAAAAGGTTTAATTCACTCACAGTTCCACAGGCTTAACGGGAAGCATGACTGGGAGGCTTCAGGAAACTTACAATCATGGCAAAAGGTGAAGGGGAAGCAAGGCATATCTTTTCATGGTGACAGGAGAGCAAAAAATTAAGGGGGAAAGTGCCACACACTTTTAAACCATCAGATATTATGAGAACTCACTCACTGTCATGAGAACAGCAATGGGGAAATCCTCCCCCATGATATAATCACCTCCCATCAGGCCCCTCCTCCAATTCGACATCAGATTTGGGTAGGGACACAAATCCAAACCATATCGCAGTCCCTGACAGCCAGCACTGGCCTGGTACGCACAACTAGGTCTTGATGTTTTCCTGTTGAACATAAACAGTCTCACAGAGCACTACTGCCAGACAAAATCACTCTGTGATCTTGACGAAGTGAGAAAAAAAATACCACTTCATAACCTTGTCTAGGCATAGAAAAAACAAGATCACTGTGCAAATGAAAAAAGTACCAAACACGGAGTTCAACTTCCAGCATGACAGCTTGAGGAACTCTGCTGATGCACTCCCAAGTGAAAGTGGTAAATATTATTTTTAAAACAACAACTTAAAGCCCCTGGAAATGGTCCTAAGGGAAAACAGCAAATGAAGAAACGTCTTTCTAAGAGAACCTACAAAAATTCAATAAGAAAAGCAAGTCTGTGGTATTTGAATCACTACAGCTTCTTCCTTTTCCCCTCCCAGATCAGTAAGGCAGAGATTCTACTTCAGACTGCTGCAGACAAGAGCATAGGGCTCCCTCTCCCCTCTGGCTCCCAGCCAGAGGACTTTCTTCCCAAGAGGAGCAGCACTTCAGCATCATTCATACTGACACCAGCTACTTGTTTCTGAGGCTAAGTATCAGGTGAGTACAGCTGAGTGATGGTGGCTCATTTAATCTGCCGACTCTGTCCCCCAGTTATTTAATGGAGGCTCTACCTTAGATGCAACACACTGAGGAAACCGCGGCTCAAGTTTTCCTTGCCTCGCTCATGAGGTGGTGGTTACATGCTGAAGAGGCAAGCCGAGAGCACCTTAGGCTGCTGCACCCCACTCTGCCAAGGCCTCAGCCCATAGAAAGGGGTTGCCATTCAGGCAGAAGCTTGCCACCGTCCCCACCTTGTCTCTAGAGCTCTTGCTCAAAGATTTTGCCTTGGAGGAGGAACAGGCTACAAAACAGGTAGCTCCTAATCTCTTCCCAAAGGGATTGACTTCATTTGCAACAGAGTGTAAAGTTCAAAGCTAAGAGTGCTCTCAAGAACAGTGGACGTTGTCATACAAGGCAGTTGAGATTTGTGGATCTAATGAAGATAAAGCATGGCCTGTAAGCTGGATAGTTTTCAGGAGAAAACCAGGAAATAAGATGGCTGGTAAGAGCACTCCTGGTATCAGAACAAATATCAGACGTGGACCTCAAAAACTATTCCTTCAAATAAACCACAATTTAATTGAATTAGTTTGTAGAACAATTTATGTCCTAGAGCATTGCTGAAAACAATAGAATGATCAGCAGGCAATTAGTGGAGTTTAATAGTTGGGCATGGTAAGGGAAAGACAGAGAGCCCTACTAACACCACTGCCATCCTAGAGTGACGGTGTACACACCCAAAGTCATGTCTTCCTGAAGAGCAACATCAGAGGCTTAAGACTATGAGGAGAAGGAATAAGCTTCATTAAAATAATCCAGCCAATCACTAAAAAAAATATACCAGCAAATAACAAGTCCCAGAGGCCAGGGTTGGGGGCAGTTGCTACAACATATTATCAAAAATTTTGTGGCCAAGCATAATGCTTCACACCTGTAATCCCAGCACTTTGAGAGGCCAAGGTGGAAGAATCACTTGAGCCCAGGAGATCAAGAACAGCCTGGGCAATACAGAGAGACCCCCCATCTCTACAAAAGTAATAAAAAAAAATTAGCCAGGTGGAATGGTGCACGCTGATAGTCCCAGCTACTCAGGAGGATGAGGTGGAAGGATCACTTGAACCTAGGAGGTCGAGGCTGCAGTGAGCCATGATTGCACCACTGCACTCCAGCCTGGGTGACAGAGTGGGACCATGTCTCAGAAATGATTTCAATTTCCAGCAAAAAGTTTATGAGGCATGTGATATGGTTTGTCTATGTCTCCACCCAAAATCTCATCTTGAATTGTAATCCCCTTAATCCCCATAATCCCCATGTGTCAAGGATGGGACCAGGTGGAGGTAATTGGATCATGGGGGCGGTTTCCCCCATGCTGTCCTCGTGATAGTGAGTGAGTCCCACATGATCTGATGGTTTTATAAGCGTCTAGCATTTCTCCTGCTTGCACTTCTCCTTCCTGCTGCCTTGTGAAGAAGGTGCCTTGCTTCCCCTTCACCTTCTGCCATGATTGTATGTTTCCTGAGGCCTCCCCAGCCATGCTGAACTGTGAGTCAATTAAACCTCTTTCCTTTATAAATTACCCACTCTCGGCTATTTCCTTATAACAATGTGAGAACAGACAAATACAGACCTGCAAAGAAACAGGAAAGTATGCCCCATACAGCAGAAAAAAAGCAGACAACACCAACTGCCTGTGAGAGCAACCACATGATGGATTTAACAGAGAAAGACTTCAAAATACCCATTATAAATATGTTTGCAGGCCAGGTGTGGTGGCTCATACCTGTAATCCCAGCACTTTGGAAAGCTGAAGCGGGAGGATTGCCTGAGGCCAGGAGTTTGAGACCAGCCTGGTCAGCATAGCAAGACCTCCATCTCTACAGAGAAAAAAAATAATATGTTTACTGAACTAAAAGAAAGCATGATTCAGAAAATAAAGGTATGATAACAATGTTGCATCCAGTAGAAAATATCATTAAAGAGATAGAAATTATTTTAAAAGAACCAAATGGAAATTCTGAATCTGAAAAGTACAATAACTGACATGAAAAAATCACTAGCAGGTTCAATAGCACATTTAAACTGGCAGAAGAAAGAATTAGCAGATTTGAAACAGGATTGATAGTGATTATGCAAGATGAAGACTAGAGAGAAGAAAGAGTGAAGAAAAATAAATAGAGCTTCAGACAAATGTAGGACACCATCAGCCACACAAACCTAAGTGGGATCTACTAGAAGAAAGGAAGAGATAGAGAGGAGATGAAAGGAAGAGATAGAGAGGAGCAGAAAAAATAGTCAAAGAAATAATGGCAGAAAATTTCCCAAATTTATTTTAAAAACAATAACCTACACACTCAGGAAGCTCAGTGAATTCTAAGAAGGATATATGTAAAGAATCCACAAACAGATTACATCATAGTAAAACCGGCTAAGATCAAGGAGAAAATCTTGAAAGTGGCAAGAGAAAAATGTCTCATCACTTACCCCAGTAAGATTGGTAGTTGACTTCTCAGCAGAAACAATGAAGGCCAGGAGGCAGTAAGATTAAATACTCAAAATGCTTAAAGAAAAAACTATCAACCAAGAATCCTACATCCAGCAAAGCTACCTTTCAGAAATGAAGGCAAAGACATTCCCAGTTAAATAAAAATGGGAGGATTTGTTGTTAGTAGATCCACCTCACAAGAAATAATGAAGTTCTTCAGGTTGAAAGCAAGTGCTTCAGATGTTAATTGCAACCTATGAGAACAAGCCAAGGCCCACTTTATCCACTGCCTCTTTCCCTTCCAGCCTCACAAGTGTCAGAAAGTCTCAGCCACAAGTCTGACATACCAGGATAAAAACCCCACTTTATCAATTACAGACTGAATATTTTTGGGAAGTAACAGCCACTCTGGGTATGACAGTTAATACTGAGTGTCAACTTGATTAGATAGAAGGATACAAAATATTGATCCTAGGTGTTCTCTGAGGGTGTTGCCAAAAGAGATTAACATTTGAGTCAGTGGGCTGCACAGGGCAAATCCACCCTTAATCTGGTGGGCACAATCTAATCAGCTGCCAGTGAATATGAAGCAGGCAGAAAAATGTGAAAAGGAGAGACTGGCCTAGCCTCCCAGCCTACCTCTTTCTCCCATGCTGGACACTTCCTGCCCTTGAACATCGGACTCCCAAGTTCTTCAGTTTTGAGACTCAGACCGGATCTCTTTGCTCCTCAAGCTTGCAGACAGCCTACTGTAGGACCTCGTGATCATGTAAGTTAATGCTTAATTAACTCCATATATATATACATGGAGGATATATATATATATATGGAGGATATATATATATATATATATATGGAGGATATATATATATATGGAGGATATATATATGGAGGATATATATATATGGAGGATATATATATATGGAGGATATATATATATGGAGGATATATATATATGGAGGATATATATATATGGAGGATATATATATATCCTATTAGTTCTGTATATATATATATATATTCTGTATATATATATATAAGTTCTGTATATATATACATATATATATCCTACATATACATATATATATCCTACATATGCATATATATATCTATATCTCCTACATATACATATATATATATATATCTATATCTATATCCTATTTGTTCTGTCCCTCTAGGGAACCCTAATGCACTGGATCTCAAAGTTTCTATGGTGAGACCAAATGTTTAAAGATGTCTGATGTCCCCAAGACCAGGAGAACAAGGGAGTAAGGAAAGAGAGTGCTGGAACTTTATGACTTCAGGCAGTCACTGTCTCTCTCTGGGCCTCAACTTCCCCTTTGAAAAATGAGAATGTTTGCCCTCTCTAAGAATACCAGACCCAAAGTGCTCAGGAGCATTTCTCAAGATTATTGGAAGTGTCAAAATGAGAATCAGATCAAGTTAGGAAACATTTTAAAGTTTATTGTTATACAGTAAGAGAAAGTACAGCTCATGACCCAGGAGACTTCAAACAAAGTGGTAGAAAGCTCACCTTATGGCAGTCATAGCACACTTTATAAAGCATAAAGGAGAATATTTTGATTTTTTTTTGTGGTTGGCTGTTTTACGTTATCATTCTTTTTAAGGTAAACAGAGCTGTTTAAACTGATTTGCCTATAGCTGATTGGTTTAATTTCACTGAATCATGCTGACAAAGATGTAAAGGTTATGTTTGATATTTATGATTAGAGACAGTGTTTTGGGGAAATTGGGAAGAATTAAATTTTGGTTACCTGGTTATGAGTGGTTGGCCTTCGGGTACACCTAAAGTGTGGCTTCATTTTTATCTTTAACAGAAGATAACTGAGCTCTCATTATGTGCTAGGGCACTGTTTAAATTCTGAATCCTGCCCTCTGGTAGGAAGACAGAGATTAAACAAGAGAGCCAATAACCAAACAAAAAAGTAGAGAGACTGCGGGGTTAGGGATTTTAGCTCAGGTGCTTAGAGAGGGCATTTGAGCAGAATCATGAATGCAGTAAAGGAGGCAGCCATGCAAAAACCTGTAGGAAGAGCATTCCAGGCAGAGAGAACAGCCAGTGCAAAGGCCCCAAGGTGGGAAGGAGCTTGGTGTGTTCTCAAGACCCATGTGCTCAGGACCCAGGGGGCAGAGGAGGAAGCAGGGGGAAATGAGGCTAGGAAAGGAGGCAGACGAAGATGGCAGAATAGAAAGCTCCGCTGATCGTCCTCCTGCCACTCTGTGCAAGGACACCAAGTTAACAACTACCTACACAGAAAAAAACACCTTCTTAAAAACCAAAAATCAGGTGAGCACTTACAGTACCTGGTTTTAATTTCATATCACTGAAAGAGGCACTGAAGAGATATAGAAAACAATCCTGAATCACCAATGCTACCCCTTCCCCACCCTGGCAGCCATGGCATGGTGTGGAGAGTGTTTCTGGGCACTGGGGAAGAGAGAACACAGTTCTTTTGCTTCACAATTCAATTGTGAAGCATTGCACTCAGCAATGTCCTGTTACAGCAGAAAGGAAAACCAGATCAAACTCAGTTGATGCCCACTCACAGAGGGAGCATTTAAACCAGCCCTAGCCAGAGGGGAATCACTGATCCCAGCAGTCTGAACTTGAGTACCTGCAAACCTCACCATGAAGGGCCAAAGTGCTGTCAGTCTCTAAGTAAACTTGAAAGGCAGCCTAGGCCATAAGGACTGCAACTTTTAGGTAAGTCCTAGGGCTGAACTAGGCCCAGACACAGTGGATTGGGGGTGGCGGGGCGGGGAACACAACATGCTGAGACACTAGCTAGGACAGCCAAGGGAATGCTGGCATCACTTTTCCCCTAACCCCAGGATGCACAGCTTGTGGCTCTAAAAGAGAGCCCTTCCTTCTGCTTGAGGAGAGGAGAGGGAAGAGTTGGGAGGACTTTGTCTTGCATCTTGGATACCAACTCAGCCACAGCAAGATAGGGCTCCAGTCAGAGTCAACAGGCCCCTGTTCCAGCCCTAGTTCCCAAATGACATTTCTAGACAAACTGTGGGCCAGAAGGGAACCCACTGCCTTGAAGGAAAGGACCCCATCCTGCCAGCATTCATCACCCGCTAACTGAAGAGCCCTTGGGCCCTGAATAACCAACAGCAATGCACAGGCACTACATTGAGGGCCATCATGAGCCTCTGAGACTTGCTGGCTTCAGGTACCAACACCACCACGGGGGCTAGAGCACCAAGCAGGTTCTTGAGGTTCCAGATTCCAGGACTTGACAGCATTTCTGGACCTGCCCCAGGCCAGAGGGGAGCCCACTGCCCTGAAGGATGAGTCCCAGACCAGGCAGCATTCACCACAAGCTAACTTAAGAGACCTTGGGCCTTAACGGAACATTGATGGTAGTCTGTCAGTGCTCCTTGTGGCCAGGGGTGGCAGTGGCTGTGGAGTGAGGCTCCTTTGCCTTTGGAAAGGGGAGGGAAAAGCAGGAAGGACTAGGTCTTATGGTTTCAGTGCCAGCTCAGCTGCAATACAATAGAACACCAGGTAGACTTAGAAGGTTTTTGACTCTAGTCCCTGACTCCTGGATGATACTTCTAGACCCACCTGGGGCCTGGGGGAACTCACTGACCTGGAGGGAAGGACACAGGCCTGGCTGGCTTTGCCACCTGCTCATTGTAGAGCCCAGGGTCTTAAGCAAACAGAGAGACAGTAGCCAGGGAGTGGTTACAGCAGGCCTTGGGTGAGACCCAGTGCTGTGCTGGCTTCAGGTCTGACCCAGCACAGTCATAGTGGTGGTGACCACAGGGGTGTTAATACCTATGTCACTCCACCCCCAGCTTTAGTTGGCTCAGAACAGAGAGAGCGATTCTGTATGTTCGGGAGAAAATAAGAGAACAAGAGGCCAGGTGCGGTGGCTCAAGCCTGTAATCCCAGTACTTTGGGAGGTCGAGGCAGGTGAATCACAAGGTCAGGAGACCGAGACCATCCTGGCTAAACACAGTGAAACCCCATCTCTACTAAAAATACAAAAAATTAGCTGGGCGTGGTGGCATGCACCTGTAGTCCCAGCTACTCGGGAGGCTGAGGCAGTAGAATCGCTTGTACTTACAGTGGAACGTTCCAAATGAACAACAACACATTGAAATACATTTAAAAATGAGGGCTCTTGGTAAAATCCCTTTTGGCTAAGGACGGGTTTGGCACTATGGAATGTTAAGTGCTATTCTCTTTGGATTAATCGGTCTTACACTTTTTGCTGACGGCTATGGGTGACAGGATTAGGCATGTGCAGGACCGTGGGAGATGGGGAGCTTTTTCCTCCCCAGAAGGGGAATCCTGACAGCTGATGGAACTGCTGGAAAAGATCCCTTCACTACTGGCAAGTGGTCCCCTGAACTTTTCATTTTCAGTGTCACTGCAATGAATGAGTGGGTCCTTCTCTGGCCTCTGTGAGCTCTTCACCTTCCCCACCCTGCCACAGGCAATGCTTTTCTCTCTCTCCTTTCCCTTTCTTATCTTTTCTATTACTCAGGGTGACCATCTTGCCCAGGGACGTGTTGAAATTCCTAGTCAGAAGCTGGATTAAAGATGACGGGAGCCATCTAAGGACAAATTTAAGCCTTGCCAGTTTAATATTGGGTGCTAAGCAGAGTAGCTGATGTCTATGTTTCGTCACACATATTTTACTCTGGCCCAAACAGAAAAAGATAATTTTCCTTTGTGTTGCGGCTTGGCCCCCCAGGTCTATGGTGCAGCGAGGTGGGTCACTAGGGCCACTTAGGGAAACGGAACACAGAAGCCTGGCATGCTGGCAAACAGGTAACAATTTCTTACCAGTCAGACTCCTGGCCTCTCTCTCTCTCTCTCTGTGCAAACAGGTTGAATAAATGGTAAAAATCACTGTTACTCTCCTGTAAAGTTTAAATTAATCAGAAAAAGCACTTGTAAGGCTAGTCTTAAGCTGTACCAAATTTGGTATGCTTTGTGTGTCTTTCCGTATTTTCTGTCATTAATGAGGGGTACCTTAGGATAGAATACAGGCTTAGGACACCTGTAAGCCCGCTGTTCAAGACAGCCAAGCAAACTGATCACTTATAAGCTTTGCTGCAGGTCCCTGGAAAAAACAAAAAACAAAACAAAACAAAAACTGGATAAGGTTTCCCTCTTGTCTTGTATGTCCTTGGGAGCTTGACCTTGTAACCATGTGGCCATGCTTTCTCTTCACAATGGCAGCCTGGGTTCAGGGTTCAATTCCTGGCTTGGAAAATGAGTCCTTTAACTTCTGTCTATGGATTTATATGTATTATGTGTTTGATGTTTATATATAAAAGAGCTTTCACTAATTGGTTTAAAAATAATAAAAGCTTAAATAACATATTTTGTCAGAAAAGTAAAAAGTGTAATGCCTTTTAGTTCATGTGTCTTAAGTAATTTTTGGGAAATAAAGAGAGTTTTAAAAATTATTGGTAAAATGAAAATGTCAAATAAGGCAAACGTCGAGCTGTAACCAATCCAGCCATTCTCTATCTCACTTCTGATTTCTGTATGTAGTTTCCCTTTTTTGTCTATAACTCTCCCACCACATGGCTGCACTGGAGTCTCTGTGAATCTGCTGTCATTCTGGGGGCTGCCCGATTTGCAAATCGTCCATTGCTCAATTAAACTCCTTTAAATTTAATTTGGCTGAAGTTTTTCTTTTATCACATGAGAACAGGACTTATAATGAGAAAAAAAATGAGGTGGAATGATGGCATCCTAGGATTGCTGGCTTTAGAGTTGCTTTCAATCATATTCTATTGCTCCACGGTTTTGAATTTGCTTAAAGTTACCTTCTCAAGTACAGGTTGCAAACTGGAAGCTGCATCCTATATCTGGTCTGCAGATCTGTTTCGGATGACCAGTGTAATTTTAAATAAAACATATTTGAATCGATTGCTCAGATCTAAGGATCAGAAGGTTTCATGTAAACACTTATTTCTGGCCAATCTTTACAAACTGGAAAATCTGCCAGATCTGGACCCCAAAGTCCTGACCAGAAAAATTAGGCTGAAGCAGAGTAGTGGCCATTCCCTTTGGGGGAGACATATCCTTTCCCAGTTTACCAGTCCCCACTCTGCTTGTTTTCTTCATTTATGTTACCTTCCCGGCCCTGTTAGCAGCTAGGTTTTCGACCCTTACTATTTTTTTAAAAATTATAGGAAATGTCCAAAATATATAAAACAAACATAAGATGAACACTCATATAGCCACCACCCACATTCAACAATTATTAATATCCAGTCTTGTTTCATCAGTAGCCTTGCTGATTTCTCCAACATCCCTGCACCCAACCTGGGATTATTTGGAAGCACATCGAGACATCACATAATTTCATCATTAACCATTTCAGGGCATGTTTAAATGATACACCCTTTTTATACAGACAGCCACAGTTATCACTACCATAGCGAAAACATGGAAAAGCCTTTACAAATATCCACTCTGCTCACTTTAAAAAATTCCTCTCCATATTATTCACTTCATTTGATTCCTTTTCTCTGTCAAGAAAGGACAAACAGTAATTGTTGATCTGGGAAAATGGGGGCGAGCATGCATATAAACATGAATGGTACTCCCCACACTCTAGAAAACAATGCGTGAAATGATTTTTTTCATAAGGCATTCATTCCTATTTTTTCTGATTTTTTGAAATATGCCTGATAAACTTTTACCACTAAACCTACTCCAAATACATGAGTCATGCTATTACTGTCATGATTCCATAGGTGAGATGATATGGTTGGGATATTTGTCTCTGCCCAAATCTCATGTTGAAATGTAATCCTTATTTTCCCCAATGTTGGAGGTGAGGCCTGTTGGGACGTGTTTGGGTCATGGGGGTGGAAACCTCATGGCTTGATGCTGTCCTTGCAATAGTGAGCGAGTTATCACAAGATCTGGTTGTTTAAAAGTGTGTGGCACCTCCCACACCCACTCTCTCGCTCCTGCTCTCACCATGTGAGATGCCTGCTCCCAGTCTGTCTTCCACCATGACTGTAAGCTTCCTGAGGTCCTCACCAGAAGCAGATGCCAGCATCACACTTCCTGTTAAGCCTGCAGAACTGTGAGCCAACTAAACCTCTTTTCTTTATAAATTACTCAGCCTCAGGCATTTCCTTATAGCAAAACAAGAATGGCCTAACACATGAGACAACAGAGATATAGTAGGTTAAGCGACTCATTCAAGGTAACAAAGACAGCGTAGAGCTGCAGCAAGAACCCAGACCACCTTATTTTTAATCAGATCTCTTTCTGTTATACCACATAGGAAAGGTGGAACAACAGGTTATAATAATATGATGATAGGAGATAATATAGAATAATAGTAGAAAACATTTCTGTGTGCTTACTCTGGCTGGGCATTGTGGAAGGCCACTTACATATGTTATTTATCCCTCTCATCAATTCTGTGATATAATATTATCATCTTATAGAGAATAATAATGATACTACAGAGCTTAAGTAAAATGCCCAGGGGGAAACAGCTGGGAAGTGGTGCATCTGGGATTGGAAGCCAGATTGCCCTAACTGTGGCATCCCAGTGCACCACCGCTGAATTAAACTTGACAAAGCATGGGCTCTGGAGGCAGACAAATTTGGCTTCAGATCCTGTTCCTCTGATTAGCTTTGCACCATGGATAAGTTTCCTCTTCTTTCAATGAAGATGCTAGAACCTCACTATTAGGATTCATTTGAGCATCAAACAAAATCATCCAAGGACATTATTTTATTGCTTGTCACATAGTAAAGGCATACAAGACGTTAGCTGCTAATAAAAAGGGAATGAAAGTTTTAAAGGGTACTGTCTCCAGTAATGTTCTCCATCAGAAAAAATTGTAACTTGTTCTCCACCCAGCCCCTTGAACTAGTCCCATTGTATGCTACCTAAACAATGTGTTGTTCAAGGTCAGTAAATGACATCCTAACTATAATTCTACAAATTTGAATTTCTTAAGGTCCAAGAACTCTGCTTTGAAGTTCAGGATCTAGGTTACCAGAGCTAGACAACATCTTGACCTATAATTCTAACAGGTACTTATCAGATACATGAAAACAAATGCCAACTGAGTATAGGAGATCTCATTTTCTACATAAAGGAAACATATATGGCTAAAAATGTCTTTTGATGGTGTAAAAATTTTATGAATCTGATAACCACGGGGAGGGATAATGGAAGTATGACTTCAATCTCCCCTCCTCCCCTTTTACCTTTCTTTGCCTATTTCTGAGTATCTGTAGGCTACCAAATGTTTCAGTCTGAATGTAGAAAAAACAAAATAATGAGCAGGAATAGACCGACTGGCACAAAATGTACCAAATGGAAACAATTTCCAGACGGAATGTACACTGACATGCGCGACTTACTGTAAATAATTATACAAAGCACAATACAATGAGAACAAGAGCAAAAAAAAAAAAAAAAAAAAAAAAAGGAAAATCTCAATCGGAGAAGAAAAAAGAATCCACTTGGCCAAGAGGCATGCATTAATGCATAGTGAATTCATGGACTTTCCTTATTCCCACCAAGGCTTGTGGCTTCAGGGGTATGAATAAACCTCCTTCTCCTTGCAAAACCCTCACACCAAATGCAATTGCGTGGCTGAAGCTTGACACCCACAATTGTGAAGAGAGAAGTGGGGAATGAAAAGCAGCAGACAGCCTGACAGAAAGTTCATGCTCACCCAAGAAAATGGAATTTTCCTTCAGGCTGAAAACATAATCATTATGAAACTGGCCATCAAATAATTTTCAGAGAAAATACTGTTGTAACCATCACTCCTTATCTGCAGGCATTGCAATCACTTCACAGGATGACCACAATGTTCATGATCACTTTTTAAAAACTTTTTGGTATATTTTTTCTTTTCTTTTGTTGTGGTAAACCATATAAAAATTTGCCATTTTAGCCATTAAATAAGTGTATAATTTCATGGCATTATTTACACTTACACTTTTACAAGAAAATTACTTTAAAGAAGTCTTCCATAGCAAGAAAAAACTTAATGAATTTTTAAGAGTGGGCATGGCTTCCTTCCCGATACCATTTTGGTTTTGCTGTTTTCCACCCTGGCAGTAACTTGAAACACACTATTCTCTCATTAGGGACTCACACCACCCCATCCTGCACATGTACCTGGTATCAATGGGGGCAGAGAGGAGATGAGTATGGGGTGTTGGGGGTGGGGGTGGAAGAGAATGTCTGGGTCGGTGTAAGCCTGCCATGGGCACATGGGAAAATTCTGTGACATGCACAGCCCCCAGATGGTGACTCAAGATTACTGCATGAGACGAGAGTCCGTGACATTCGGTTTGAATGGCATTTCTTAACAATTTTTATTGAGAACTTACTGACCCCATGTGACACACAAAACAAATGTACATACCCTTCACATATTTATAGAAACATTTTTACAAGTGCCCTAAAAATGGGTCAATGATGTACTTTTCTTTAAAACGTTTAATAGACATTTGATGAACTACTTTTGATGGGGTGCTATGCAAAATATGAATCTGGCTCAAAGACACTCTGGCAAAAAGTGGCACAGAGGCTATCCCTTAGACATTGGGGAATGTGAAAGAAGGCACGATAACAAAAGGGAATGGGCCAAATTCAGCCTGGCCAGCGGGTGGCATAGGTGGAAGAAGCATGAGTGGAAGGGGCAAGGACGGAGGAGGAAAGGGTGGCATGGGGAAACACAGGCTGCTGGAATGGCTGTGGTCCCAGAAGTAATCATCTCTCATCCCGCTGATGAACAAGGGTGCCGTTATGGCCTCAGCTGCGGTTACCATGACAGGCTGGCCCACTGCCATGAAGGGCAGCATGTTTCTTGCCATTAATGCCCTCTGATGTCTCCTCCATTTGGCTCTTCTATTCTCAAACCAAATCTTCAATCAGAGGAAAAAAGAAACAGGTTTAGTATACTGAGCATTTAATTTCATCATGGAAAAAAACACAACAAGCAACTCTCTATGTCCTTAACCTTTTCGGGTGTATCAAGACAAGCTACTTCCTTACTACTAAAATATCTTAGAAAGGTGACCACCACACCTTTCCCCTAGTGAGCTCCAAGTATGTGCTACGTACGCTCTGGCCTGGCTTATTTCTTTGTCTCTCTCCTTTTATCTGTAATATTACTTTTTCCACTCTTGGGTGCAGGTGTAGCTGATGAGTGGGACTCGATCCCTGCTGGTATTGCTATGTGTGGCATGTCTGCTTGCAGATACTTGACCATCAGCTACCCAGCTGCCCACCAACTCCTACTTACTAGGCCACTGTCACCCTGGTCGTGGGGGAAGCTGAGCTTGGAAAAAAAGGCGGGGGTGCCTTTTAAAGTCATACCAAGAAGATGAGGCCCCCGTTTTGAAAAGCCCATCTTCAGTGTAAAGTAAAAAATCGGTAAGAGTACATTGTATTTTAAAACAAGTTTTCTTTCCTTCAAGAAATTCTAAGGGGTCATTCATCTTCTGAAACTCCTTGAGAATTAAAAAGATGGTATATTGCAAGGCAAGTCTCGTTATAGGGGGCCCAGGGAGTTTGTGGATTGTCTTGCTGGGAAATGAGGGTATCTGAAGCCCTGGACACTCTTCACACTTCAGCTTGAAGCTTTGTGGAAGGAGGACACAAATGTTGTCCAAATTCACAAAAATTCTCAAAAAGCTTTGCCCAGTTGAGAGTTTGGGAGAAAGGAAGCATTGCTAATTCTGCACGCTCCAACTCATCCCTCCCTCCAAATCTTCCTGGGCTAAGGACAAGGTCAGCTCACTTTGTTCTCCCTATAGTCCTGGGATATGGGACAGAGACTTGGTTGCCCAGTTCCATGGGACGCCTTCAGCCATCTAGCCTCACTACTCGAGCAGAAGATCCCAATCTCATCAGCATTCCCAAAGCGGGAGTGTCCAAATAGGCAACTCTGAACACGTTCAGTAGTAATGTGGAGGAGGTATCAAAAAACACTACTCCCCAAACACCTGCCAATTGTTAAAAGACCAAAAAATAAAACCTGTCAATTAAACAACACTATCCCCCAAGCTTCTAGTTAATGACATTTCCATTGTATTTTGATCCTTCTGGAAGTTCCCAAACTGCAAATTTTATGGGACAAAGGGACTCTTCTCCCTGTTTGATGCCCCATTTCCTTCTCCCATCTTACTATTTGGAGTCCTTCTCCCTCATGAATACATAGTCTAAATTTTAAGCCTACCGTAATAGTGCTTGTTTAGAGACAATTCCAATGTACCTGTGGTCAAAGGTTCATAAACATAAGCAATGCCAAAAGTGGGCCAAATGTGCTATGGGACAACATTAGGTCCCTAGTCTCAGTATCGGTTTCATAAACCAGCCCTTACTATCTTTACAAAACAGAGGGGGGAAACATCTATTAAAAATTTTTGGAGATATTCATGCTGAAATGTTTGGCAATAGATGAGAACATCATGCCTTTTTCCTTATTTGCTGAGTGAGAGTGGTCCTTTTGCCTTCAGAACTGCATTGAGTGAATGCTATGTAAACCCAGGGAGGGGAAAGGCAATTCACCAAAACGTCAATATTTCATCTCCCCCAAATTGGCATTGCCTGCCTGAGAAAATGGAGGGCAACAGGATGCCAACACTCAGTGCCCCGTTTTGTCAGGCAGCTTTTCTGCATGCCACCATTGACAGAACCGCAGCATAGTTCCCTCACTGCACTCACACACATGAGCTCTGCAGAAAAGCTGTTAAGGTCATCCCGATTTTTCTTTCTTTTCTTCCTTTTTTGCAAATACTCCTTTGGATCCACTGACCTACAAATTTATTATCACAGCCTGAGCAAATAAATAAAAAGGTATTTCAAATTACCACAGGTAAGAGTCTAGCCTGACCTGACAGCCATCCCCCACTATCAACACATTCCACAAAACACATCTCTTCCTGTTAGTACAACAAACTGGAAGAAACAAAAAATCTCTTAAATGCTAGAAATTGATCAAGAAAATATTCACTGATGCATTTGGTAGCTTCAAAAGTTGAATGGGGGCAGCTTCCCCAAGCCATGAGTGTGACTGTATACAATTCTTGCCTAACACTTCCATCCTTAGGTTGGTGGAAATTTATGAAAAATTGATCTTGTAGTTTGTTTTGGTTTCTAGATAAACTTGCAAAGGTTGCAAGCCTTTTCGCTATCTCTACCATAATGCAAAACCAACTATGTCAGCAATGTTTTCAGCCTGCCATATCAAAGTATTCCAGAAAATTAAAATTTAGAGCTGCCACTCTCTACAAGGCTTCACCAAATACTTAAAAACAATAGTAGGAGGGCCAGGCACTTGAACTTTATGCTATCCCCCGCCATCAGTCTCAGCTTAAGGAAACATACGTTCTGGTTGGGAATTATTCCTTTACCCCAATGCCTAAACATTTATAAATTCTTAACCAAAGAGTTTATGCTTGGTTTTAAATATATTAAATAGTTTAGTTTAATGGAGCTCTTTGGAGCATTAGTTCGAATAATCCCCATGTCAGAAAACCCCAGGATGCCTCCACATGGAAGTGCTACCTAAAGGATACCAGTGCTAGGAATTCAATCTTATATATTATGCTATATTTAATTTATACTGTTATATATTATATATATTTGTAATTTGGAATACATATATTTATATATTTGTAATTTATTCAAGTGTATAATATATTTTATACACAAGGAATAAAGGAAACAGTTCAGTACTCATTTTTTTTTCCGTGGATTGTCATGTTCCCTCTGGTAATGGGAAATTTCCACAAGCTGAGCTTTCCTTACCGCATTTTCCAGCCACAAAGATCCCAAAGTTCAGACCTCATTGCCTATACATGAAAAAGGCCACAAAAACACCAAGATGGCAATGTCTGGGTCAAAGTGTGTCCAAGCCCTGAAGCGGGTTTTAGAATGGCTCCCCTGCCCGATTGCTTTTTCGGTTTACTGACCTGCACTGCGAGTTCAGTCACATTCATGCTTCTTGCCAGCCTCCTTCTATGGAAGAAACCACACGTGTTCAGCATTTGGAGTTGTGGGTGTCGTTTCATTCTTGTGTTTAATTTTTTTATTCTACCAACTCCCCACACCCAGTAGGCTGTTCTGTAACACCCAGCTGAGCCTCACATTAGGAACATTTCTCTCATGCCACAAATAAAGGAGATGCCAAAAAAAAAAAAATCAGGGCGGTGGCTCACGCCTGTAATGCCAGCACTTTGGGAGGCCGAGGCAGGAGGATCACTTGAGGTCAGGAGTTCGAGACCAGCCTGGCCAATATGGTGAAACCCCGTCTCTACTAAAAATTCAATAATTAGCCGGGCGTGGTGGCTGGCGCCTGTAATCCCAGCTACTTGGGACGCTGAGGTAGGATAATCTCTTGAACCTGGGAGGCAGAGGTTGCAGTGAGCCGAGATCGCACCATTGCACTCCAGCCTGGGTGTCCCAGCGAGACTCCTTCTCCAAAAAATAAAAAAATAACCCCCCCATAACAAAAAAAATCGTTAATCAATATAAATGACATTCTAACTTACTATTTGAAACTTAGAAAAATTAACACCAAAGGAAACCCAGACGAACGACGGACTTCTCAGAATTTTAAATAAGGTCAGAATGCGACCCTGCACTTGCTGTACAGAACCTTAATCTCCTCATCTTTATTTCTGCCTCGCCTGGGATAGGAGTTATTTATCATAACTGACCTCAGCCCAAAGTTGCCCAACTTGGTTCATTTAAATTCTGCATGATGCCTAATAGGCATAGCCCCACTACAGAACCCACTAGGTGCCAGGGGTCTGCGGGGAGGGGACGGCAGCAACACCAGGCCCCAGATGGGTTTTGGTTCAGGAGGGGAGAGGGTAGGAGAGGGACTGCGGGAAAGCCAAACGCCGCCTCCCTGCAAACCGCGCGCCAACCAGAGCAATGGGCTTACCGCAGGAACTCACTGGGGAACTGCTCGCGTTGGAAAATGCACTCCAGCTCCTGCAGCTGCAATGGGGTGAAGGCGTGGACGTTGGGCTGCTGCGCGTTGCCAGGCTCCAGCCCCCCGACGGCGCCCTGTGGGCGCGAATACTGCTGCCCAGGTTCCTTCTCGCTCTGGTCGCTGTCCTCAACGTTGCCATCGCTGCCGCTGGTGCCCTCGAGGTTTCCTTCCCATAGGTGGCCAGGAACTCCGGCGCCGCCGCCATCTTTTTCTTCTCCGCCGCCATCTTTTTCTTCTCCGCCTTGGGCTCCTGCCGACTTTAACTTTTCTCCTGCTGCTGTGCCTTGCTCAGGCTCAGGCTGTGCATCCTCTTCCTCCTCTTTGACCTCTTCAGTAAGCGACAGCACCATAGCATTCATATCTGGAAAAGTAGAAACCCCAAGAGAAAGATCAAGGCATTGGTCCTGAGGGTGTTGGAAGGAGGTGGTGAGGGGCTACACTCTGAGAGCAGTGGTAGTGCAGGGGTATCATCCAGTCTACTCGCCTCTCCCAGAGAACCTTGGTTTCCTGAGTTCGCAAAAGCATGTGTCCCATCAAGGTACTGACCCTGTAGTTCTTTCTCGTCGTCGACTGCAGGGCTGAGCAAGCTGGTCATATACTGGCTACACTGGTCCGGAGGCTCCATACCCTGAGTGGTGTGGATGGAGCTGTGCACTTCTGCAGATTCTGAGCTGGGGCCACCACGCTCTCCTAGGCAGTGCTAGAACTGTGAGTCGCCGCCTGCAACGTTCTTCTGGTGTCTAGACTCAGCAACAGTGTATCCACTTAGAGACCTCCTCTCTTGCTTTTCTGCTTCCCGCTATTTGCTGTGGGTTGGGCCTGCTGAGGTGCGCATGCGTCAGGGGCTTGGCCTTGCCCGGATGAGGGAGAGCACGCGTTGGTGGTGTGGGGGGGGAGGGGTAAGTGGTGTAGTAGGGTGTGGGGGAGGGGGGAGTAGGGCGTGGGAGGGGGAGTAGGATGGGGTGCGTGCTTGCATGCGTTGTCCTGTAGACAGGCATGCGTGAGTGTGGAACTTGGGGGAAGCTGCTGTGCTGAATTGTGCAAGCCCATTTTATGGCGATAAGGGAGATTTTGCACTAGCCCCATGCTTCCTAGGTCTCCAGGAGCAGGAGCTTGGGCCTGGATTTGCAAAGCTTGTGGGCTGCGCAAATGCACTATGTAAAAATGCAGCACACTCCTTGAGAAAGTCCACTATTAATTCTTAGTAATGAATCCACATCAAAGTGCAAGGGTGGAAACATGCACAATGATGCTTAGAGCATCCGAGATTGCTTTTCTTTTCTTTCTTTCTTTCTTTCTTTTCTTTTTTTTTTTTTTTTTGAGACAGTCTCGCTCTGTCTCTGGAATGCAGTGGCACTATCTGGGCTCACTACAACCTCCATCTTCTGGGTACCTAGATTCAGTAACAGTGTATCCACTTAGAGACCTCCTCTCTTGCCTTTCCTCTTCCCACTATTTGCTGTGGGTTGGGCCTGCTGAGGTGCGCATGCCTCAGGGGCTTGGCCTTGCCTTGGGCACGGGAGAGCACGTGTTGGAGTGGGGGCAGTAGGACGGGGTGGGGGGAGTAGGGCGGGGGAGGGAGTAGGGCGGGGGGGCGTAGGGTGGAGGGGGGGAGTAGGGCGGGGGGGCCGGGGAGTAGGATGGGGTGGGTGTTTGCATGTATTGTGCAGGTACTCAGGAGTGCCTCAGCCTCCCGAGTACCTGGAACTACAGGTGCGCACCAGCACACCTGGGTAATTATTGTATTTTTAGTAGAGACAGGGTTTCACCATGTTTGCTGGGCTGGTCTGGAACTGCTGGCCCCAAGTGATCCACCCACCTCGGCCTCCCAAAGTGCCGGGATTACAGGCGTGAGCCACCGTTCCCAGCTGCAGCCAAGATTTCTAAAATTGCAGGGCATCCTTCCTTTGCCTTTGGTTGTGACTGTGGATAGCGCAGCTTCTGCTATGTCTCTGGCTACAGACCCATTACAAATGCGCACTTACCTTCTGTGCTGAGCTGGTGCTGTGGACCTGCAGTGATTTCCCTTCTTTCCTGCTGCTGCATAGCCCTCTTTTCCTCTACTCCTGCCCTTTTCTACAGATATCTTTCTGAGCTCTTGTTTAGGAATAAATACATTTTATTTATTGTCAAATAATCACAGCCAGGACAGATTGAGTGCTCTAAGATTCTTCCTTTAAGAAGTGTTTTGTAGATACTTCAGGACTTGTTAATGTCCTGAATATAGAGAGTAGGTTTTAACCATAGAACCTATCCTCCATCGTTTGAGTGACTCATTCTATTTTTGCTTGCACAATGACCCTTTTCATCAACCTTATTTTATATAAGAAATTAAACTAGTTTGTGGGCCCCTACATGTACTGTGGGTTCCAGTCACCCCAACGACTGATCCTAATGGATGAGTGCACGCATCATACCTCATGTTCCCAGAGGATGGGTAAGAAAACAGCTGGAAAATATTTGACCAATTCACGTTCAAAGAGATGGGAAGGGATGACGATCTAACAGCCTCTTTCTGATTTTAACTAAGATGTCTCCTCGTCAGGCTGGCTCTTCCTGGAGCTAAACTGCTGGAATCTGAAATTTTGCTTTGCTTCCTGTTGCTAGCTGGCTAATCTCACTTGATCACTCTCCGTTTGTGTTAGTTTTGTCATCTGTAAAATGGGAATAACAATGATAACTATCTCATGGGGTTTTCGAATAGATGGAGATGATTAAACATGCTGCCTCACATTTCCTGCTTCTGTCAGTTTGTATGTGTTTATTTACAAGGGTCCTTGAAAGGAGAGAGATGATGGCTATTCTCTGGCAGTGGGCAACAGGGGTAAGATGTTTTATTGTGAAAATAATGGTTCTATAAGTCTTTTTGTACCTATATGTACTTCACTCAGTAAACCTTTGTTGGCTGCTGTGTTGACAGGGCCCTGTGGCAAGAAATGTGGGGATTGCCACAATGTCTGATCAATGCCTGACCATTGAGATGTAGGTTCTCATAGTGTAGTGGGATTGATAAGGAATCAGAGAGACTGATGGGGTTCAGGAGGATATTTATTATTTAGGTGCACCGGCCCAGTAAGATTAAGATCCAAAGAACTGAGCCCTGAACAAAGAGTTAAGTTACTTTTTAAGCATTTCGTGGGGCAGGGGGAAGCATATTGCAGAAGTGAGAAACAGAGACAGTTATTCAATTAATTGAGACATGCATTACATCATTTCTTAGTTTTCAAGGAAAAACATGTTTTATGACTTGAGTTTATCTGTCTAGTGAACTTGCAGCTGCACAGCTAGGGAAACAGGGTCTTCACAATGCCTGGGAAAGGAGGAGAGATAAGGCTCACTAGCCACAGAAAAACAGGCAGTTAATTTTTAAAGGACTCCAACTCTTTCTCTTTCTCAGGGGAATTGGGTTTTCTTACATACGACTGAGTTTCTGCTTACATATTCTTTAATTTCTTTTAATTCCTATTTCCATTCCCCCCTTTGGTGCTTTTTATAACAAAGGTGTTAATAGAAAGCACCACTACTTGCCACCTCTTCGCGGAGCTGAGCTGCTTCTACTGGCAGTGGCTGATATTTGGTTAATGCCATCAACTGTGCGGTAGTGTGTCGGGTTACTATTGCCTCTGTAGTTGACTGAATACTCCTAGTAAGCAGGGGTAAAAGGCAAGGGAGGATGAGGCAGTTGCCAAGAATAAGCAAGAACCTACCAATGAGGGTTTTGAATCCTCCAAAGGCTGAGAACCATCCTCCAAACAAGGAATCCAGGGACCACCCGGATCAAGTCTGAACTAGAACATGGGCCAACTCGCCCATTCTAGCAGTGATTTCCATAATAGCTTGGCCATTATCATCGATTTCTAGGCAACAGTTGGTTAAATTAAATTTTCTACATACTCCTCCTTCTGAGGCTAAGAGGTAATCCAAAGCTCATCTATTTTGATGTATAGCATTTCTTATTTGTGTTGCTTGTATTGCCAATAAACCTAGTGCCCTTGGTGTTTCATTGGTTATAATTTCAAGGACTACCTACAACCTTATGATGCAGTTGAGCATATAGATTGGGGTGCAATATCCCCATGAACCGTCTTGCACCCAGATAGCTGGCTTATAATATTTAATGATTCTTTCAGGAGACCATTCATTATCTTTTCAGTCTCCTATGTCCACATCTTTTTGACATTTGTGTCTATTTTTGTGATTATGCTTCTTCTAGTTCTTCTTTTATTTTCATCATAAACTGGATATCCTAAGAGTTCCTCTTGCTTTAGAGGAATTAGAAAGAAGGATGGCTTGATTGTTCCTAACACACATGCCCCTGTCCATTTAGCCGGCAGTTGCTGATGTACCCATGCTCCACAGATCCATTATAGGCCAGAGGATGCCTTCCAAGCATTTGGAGCCTCTAGCTGATTCCAAGTGTGGCTTAGAGTAGAGAATCAAGAGAAAGGGTTTGGACCTGGTAAGTAGGAGTCATTCTGGGCATTTCTCCGTAGAGTTTTGTTTTTAGTCTCATCATAATGCTGTTGCCCTAGGCAGGTTGTTTCTCCTGCTGCCTCTGTGAAAGCCTTTCCCCATCGGGTGATACAGTACTTTTTAATTACGGAGGTTTTTAACAACCAAACACTGGCTGAGGCTGTTGGTTCACTGGCAGGGTTAGGCAAAGTGAAGTTACCTTGTGGCATTAATTCCTTTGCCTCCCATGGCCACTGGTCACCCATATTAGTTCCTCCACATACATAGCATGAGGAAATTCCTAAGCTGCCAGTTATGTTTTCAGCTAGTTGAGCAAATATGTTTTTGGGTGATGGGGGAAGCTCAGGCACTGGCTGATCAAAATGCTTATAGAATGACTTATGGACCCAGAATTGGGGGATTGGACACATTTGAGTCCTTCTAGTCTTTTTGACAATCAGTAGTGGAACTCCAAGGCCTGCTTCTTGTCTATCAACTCATAATAGTGCTGCCTGCCCTGTAGACCAAAAAGGTAGCTCTGGCTTTAAGATAGTAAAATTTAAAGAATTGCATGTCCTTGTCTTACAATTTAGTTTGACTGACATACTACTTAGCAGAGCAGTCCATCCTGAATATAAGTGTTGGAGCTGTGTTAGCATAGACCACTGAATGTTACGGTCCGGGCATCCGATTTGTGGTTCTCCATACAGATGTTTAGGGCTGTTCCTGCTCAGCCTCTCTTGTGTTAAACCATTGCAGGCTGCTTCTGTTTTTTTTAAGATTATGAACATATGCGGCATGGCAGGCATCAAAGTACAAGGAACTACGCCTTTTATAGGAGGGAGGGGCTTCTTTGGTTCGAGCTATAAGCTCTCCTTCTTTTTCTCCCTCTGATTTAATATGTACCTCAAACCAGAATTCATAAGGTAAGAGTTTAGGGTCATAACCTACATGTAGCTGATTATTTCCTGGGTCACAGAATGAATAGGTGGTCTGGTTGTATGTGCAGATTCCTAACTTGGTTCCTGTACATTCATAGTAGGTATGGTACAGTAGAGTTTTAACTATGGTGTTTCTTACCCAGGTAGTGTGTACACAGTATGGGCATCTTTCTAGAGATTTCTCCTTTTTTAGTATAGGCAGAAATGGTAAGAACATTAGTGTATATAATAGAAACATGCTTACACTACACATGGGCATGGCAAACCTTCCTCTGGGCATAGACATTTGCAGCATTTGCAGTAATAACATAACATAATAACCAGTATTGACAGAATTATAGCTAGGCTTATAAATTGTATCCACATTTGCTTATCCGGAGATGGTCCTTTTAGCTTCGGCTGTGCATAGACTAGTCAGCTTCCGGGCTGTGACTAGAGCAGAGCTTGCAGGATTCTCAAGCTTCACCTGTGCGTAGACTGACCAGCCTCCGGTGTGGTCAGAGCAGGGCAGTTGTCCTTCTTACCGGTAGTTGGGTTTTGCCATAGGACTGTTCTGGTGGGGCAATCTGGGTCTTGTTGGCTAGTCCACTGGTCGTCATGGGGAGTCACTGCTGCCGCTGGTTTTAGCCAGCTATGGTGAATCCAAGGTGTGACACCTGCAACTTTAACAGCAGTGGGAGTAGACATGATCACAATATGGAGCCCATCCTATAAGGGCCCCAGGGTTGTTGGATTCCACCTTTTTTTTTTTTTTTTTGAGATGGAGTCTCGCTCTGTTGCCCAGGCTGGAGTGCAGTGGCGCAATCTCGGCTCACTGCAAGCTGTGCCTCCCGGGTTCATGCCATTCTCCTGCCTCAGCCTCCCAAGTAGCTGGGACTACAGGTACCCACCACCATGCCTGGCTAATTTTTTGTTTTCGTATTTTTAGTAGAGACGGGGTTTCACCGTGTTAGCCAGGATGGTCTCATTCTCCTGATCTCGTGATCTCCCCCCCGCCGGCCTCCCAGAGTGCTGGGATTACAGGTGTGAGCCACCAGGCCCAGCCTGGATTCCACATTTTAACCCAGACAGAATCCCCGGTTTATGTGGATGCACTGGGTCTGTTAGACTTAAAGGTATCCTTTCACTTACCCAGCCTTGCACCTCCTGCATTGCCACTCCTAAAGCCTGCATCTGTCTTCTAAGGGTTAGCTCTCCTAACTCCTTTAACTACCCTCTAATTTGATTAATGATTGGGGGTGGCCTTCCAAATAATATTTCATAGGGTGAATACCCAATTTGTTCTGTAAGTGTACACCTGACCTGGAGGAGGACCATGGGCAAGACCTGATCCCATCGTAAGTGAGTTTCCTGGCAAAACATTTTTAGTAGCTGTTTGAGTGTCTGGTTCATCCATTCCGCCTTCCCTGAACTCTGTGGTCAGTAGGCTGTGTGCAGTTTCCATTTGATCTTTAAAAGCTGAGTCAGCTGTAGTACTACTTCTGCCACAAATGCAGGACCATTGTCTGATCCTAGGGTTAAAGGCAATCCAAACCTTGGTATGATGTCTTTTAGTAGCACCTTTGTCACCTCTCGTGCCTTTTCAGTCCTGGTGGGGAAGGCCTCAACCCACCCTGAGAAGGTGCAAAGAAACACTAGCATATACCGGTAACCTCCTGCTCAAGGCAACTCGGTAAAGTCTACAAGCAGGTTCTCACAAGGCACAGCTCCCATTTCCTGAATTCCTGGGGGTCGAATAGGTCCTTGTTTTGGCTTATTCCAGACACAGGATAGACATTATTCGCAAACAGCATGGGTGATGGCAGAGAGCCGTGGCACATAGAAGTGTTGACCTATCAAAGTCTCTAGTTTCCAGTGTGTGTTCTTTGATGGATCTGCTTCACAAACCTTGAGGCTATTGTCTCTGGGACGTCTAGTCTCCCATCAGAGAACAGCCACCATCCACCTTTAATATATTTCCCTGTTTCCAGAACAAAACAAGCTTTTTCACTCGAAGAGTAAGGGGGTACCTCCAGCAAAGGGGGCTCTATAAGGAGAGGCATTGCTAGAGTTCTTTCTTCAGGTGAAGCCTTGCTCATTGCTGCCTGCCGAGCCTCTTGGTCTGCCTTTCTGTTGCCCTGCACCTCATAGCTTTTCCTGATTTGGTGTCCTTTGCAATGAATGACAGCCACCTTCTCCGGAGCCCATACGGCTTCCAATAATTGCAAAATTTCCTCCTTATTTTTTATTTCTTTTCCTTCAGTAGTCAAAAGTCCTCTCTCTTTGTGTATTCCCCCATGGGCACGCAGGGTTGCAAAAGCATATTTTGAGTCAGTACATATGTTTACTTTCTTCCCCTTGGCCAATAACAGTGCTCTGGTTAATGCTATTAATTCAGCCTTCTTAGCGGAAGTCCCAGAAGGTAAGGCTTGAGCCTCAACCACTGAGTGTTGGGTCACTACTGCATATCCTGCATATCTCACCCCATCTGTTATGAAACTGCTACCATCAGTGAAGTATATAACATCTGGGCTCTCCAAGGGGGAATCTCTGAGGTCTTCCTGGCTCGAGAACACTTTGTCCACCATATTTATGCAACAGTGGGGAAGGTCCTGCCAGGAGTGAGGCAACCCAGCATCCTTCCAATCGGGTTCCTCCACAGGCAGCAGGGTAGCTGGGTTCAAGGTATTTACATTCTCTAGTGTTATCTGGGGATTTTCACATAGAAGCCCTTGATACTTTAGCATTCTAGAGTTGGACAGCCAACCATATCCTCTTTGCTCCATTAAGGTGACTACGGCGTGTGGCACTGAACTATTAACTTCTGACCTAGGGCTAGCTTGTTGGCATCTTCTATAAGGATTGCGGTAGCTGCCAATGCCCTGAGGCAGTGGGGCCAACCTAAAGCCACCAAGTCCAGTCTTTTGGATAAGTATGCTACCGGCCGATGCCAAGAGCCCAAGAACTGAGTTAAGACTCCAACTGCCATTCCTTGACATTCATCCACATACAAAAAAAGGGCTTTTTTACATTTGGCAACCCTAGTGCCGGGGCCTGGATGAGAGCTTCCTTTATATCCTTGAAGGCCTTTTCCTGTTTCTTTTGCCATAGGAGGGGCTCTCTTTCCTTTCCTTTTATAGCCTCATACAAGGGCCTTGCTGTAAGGGAGAAGTTTGGAATACAGATTCGGCAGAATCCTGCCACGCCTAGAAATTCCCTGGCCTTGTAACTGGGGTGGGCAGTGCACATACAGCCTCCTTGCGTGCACTTAAGCCTGCGCTGGCCTTGGGATACCATGAATCCTAGATATCCAACCTCCTGAAAACAGACTTTTGCCTTGTCCTTGGACACTTTATAACCAGCTTCACACAGCACGTGAAGAAGCCTCTCTGTTCCTTGGAGTCATTCCTCCCTCGTGGGGGCGGCAAATAGGAAATCATCAATGTGTTGTAATAGCACATAATTGTCACTAGGTGGCGCAAAAGCCTCAAGATCTGTAGCCAAGGCCTCCTCAAAAATGGTAGCATTCTTAAACCCTTACGGCAGCCTTGTCCAGGTATATTGCGATTGCCCCCTCTGACTTTGGGGAGCAAGCTTCAAACAAAAGAAGGCATCCTTTAAGTCCAGACATGTGAACCAAGTGGCATCAGCAGGAATCTGTCCCAACATTGTGTATGGGTTGGGTACTGTTGCATGGATAGCGACAGTGGCCTTGTTTACCACCCGGAGATCCTGCACTGGCCTGTATTCCCCATTTGATTTGTGCATGGGTAACAGAGGAGTATTCCATGAGGACTTGCATTTTACTATAATCCCATGTGTATAAAGCCGATTCAGATGCTTTTGTTATTCCATCAATTGCCTCCCTGGGTACTGGGTATTGACGGACTCATACCGGGGCAGCATGAGGGTTAAGCTCTGCTACCACTGGGGGTCTGTTTGCAGCAAGTCCAGGGTATTATCCTCGGCCCATACACCTGGTACCTTGAAAAGCATCCCCCATATATTGTGTAGGTCGGTTCTGGTGACCTTCTGGCACACGGTTCACACAGCCACCATTCCTCAGCCCTTGGGACAGTTGGAGTTCATACCATTGCCTTGGACTTTCCAAACTCCAGTGTCATATTCCCTTTAGGCGTAAAGAAAATTTCTGCCTGCAGTTTCTGGAGTAAGTCTCTCCCCAGCAAGGGCACTGGACAATTTGGCATATACGGAAACTCATGCTGCACTTCTTGTCCCCCAATAACACATCTCCTGGATTTGCAAAAAGGTCTCTTTTTTTTGGCCCCAGTAGCCCCTACAATAGTAGCACAGTTCTTTGTGGGGAGGCTAATTGGGTGAGTTACCACAGAGAAATCAGTACCAGTATCGACCAAAAAAATCCATTAATTGACCCCCTATTTCCATAGAGACCATAGGCTCCCCGGGGCCTAAAAAGATGGAGCCTGGTCTGTCTCAGTCCTCAAAATTCTTGGCCCCTGCTAAGCCAATCAGATCAGGATCTGCCCTTGATGCACCATGACTAGCAACCGAATAACGCACTTGGGTGTTAGACCATTGACCATCATTTCCATCCTTTTCCTTTTTGGGTCACTCATCTTTCCAGTGGCCCATTTTCCTGCACTTTGCACATTGGTTCCTGTCCAACCAAGATTGGCTTTCCTCTCCTGGTCTTGTCTGCCCCCTTCCTCGACCTCTGCCTTGGCCACGCCCTCTAGCAAATTCAGGGTTACTTTCTGCTAGTGCAGCAGCTATAAATTGAGCCATCTCTGTTCCTATATCTGGTTTTTCTTTCTTCCTTTGGTTGGGCTGCCTGAGCCACTAATGCCTTATAATATCTCTTTAGACAGGGCTGTAGACACTTGGGGTGAGTTTGTGCTACACTGAGCCAAGAGTCTATATAGGGAAACTGGTCTGGGTATCCTGGTTGTCTTCCAACTCCGGTGACCACGTTAAACACACGGCCAATTAATTTTCTGTCTATTGTACCTTCAGAGGGCCACCCCACATTGAAAGCAGGCCAATCTATTTCACAGTATGTCCTTAACTTTTGAGCATCCAGTTTCATCCCATAATCACCTCTAAATCCTTTTTTAAAATTCTTTATCACGCACTCCAAAGGAGTTGGCTTCGACACTTTTCCTCCCATTTCCTCCCTTGCAGTGCACTTTCCCTCTCACTTTCACTCTCAGATCCACCAGACCAGGTCCTTTTATGGGAGTTTCAGACACTGCTTAGCCAGGAATGTGCCTTCCCCTGTCACAGCCTGCTGTGGCTGTGAAACTGGTCCCATTGGCCGTATGCGGCATCCTAGGTCTGATTTCTTCCACGCTCACCTTGGAGTACACAGCCTGCCCTAAGGGATCTGTGCCTCCTCACGTTACTCCCCGCATTGGCCTCTCCCAAGACCATCTCTTTCATACACTTTCACACACCTCCCCTGCCCAGGACTCCTCATCAGACGAAACGAGCCTCTCTCATGTCCTGGGTGGGTTCACACACACCCACACACTCCCAGTTCCTGTCTCCAGATCCAGTAAACCACTTTCACTTTGTTAATGGGGACACGAGGTTCATCCAAATTAGCAAGCCTCTCCTGCCACCCCCAGCTGCTCTGGGTTGGATTAGTGGTCATTCCCTGGGAGGTGATCATCCTTATGGGACAGGCTTCCCTGCCTTAGGCACTTGCTCCTTACTACAGTTCCTGAAGTGCTGGCATCGTCCTGCAGCCCTGTTCCTGGTTCTGTTGCATTGCCGGGCAGTCTGCTGGGATGTGGGGAGAGCCAGTCTCTGTCTGGGTGAAGCTCCCCTGTGGCGTGCCTTGGATGCTGGGTCTCCCCAGCCCTGGGGCTCTAGTCCCCCAGGCAAATGAGACAGTAAATCTGTTGTCTCCAATCCCAGGCGAGTTCCCAGAAATGTTACGAGATTTTTAAGGAATCAGAGAGACCAATGGGGCTCAGGAGGATATTTATTAATTATTTAGGTGCACTGGTCCAGTCGGATTAACATCCAAAGGACTGAGCCCTGAACAGAGTTAAGTTACCTTTTAAGCATTTCGTGGGTCGGGGGAGATCTGTGCAGAGGAAAGTATACTACAGAAGTGAGAAACAAAGGCAATTGAGACATGCATTATATCATTTTTTACTTTTCAAGGAAAAACATGTTTTGCAACTTGAGTTTTTCTGTCTAGTGACCTTGCAGCTGCACAGCTAAGGAGACAGGGTCTTCACAATGCCTGGGAAAGTGGGAGAGATAAGGCTCACTAGCCACAGAAAAACAGGCAGTTAATTTTAAAGGACTTCAGCTCTTTCTCTTTCTTAGGGGGAATTGGGTTTTCTTACATACAACTGAGTTTCTGCTTGCACACTCTTTAATTTCTTTTAATTCCTGTTCCATACATACACTGGAATATTCTTTTGGAATGTGTTCTTCCTTTTCTTTCTAAGGGATACAGGCACAGAAATTTGTGGCCTATAGCTGACTGTCCTGTTGAGAATTACTGAACTGAACTGAGCTGGTTGAGAACTTTGTTATAACTTTCACATTTTATTGTACTTTTGACAAAGGGCAAAAGAAAAGTTAAGTTCTGTGTAGAATAAACCCAAAGCTATGTTTGCATAATCTTATCAGTTGTTTTGTATGTTGGCAGATACTATCTTTACTTTCAGAAAACACAGAGAGATCAATTATTATACTTGATCTACAGAGTGCTCAGATAATATAATAAAGTAAGTATGTGATTTCTACTATGATCCCAAAGAATTATATTCACAAAGGCAGTAGATAAAAGGTAGGGAAAACAATGAGAACATCCAGTATTACTTATACAAGAAAACAATGTGATTTCCCATGTGTTTAAGAGTTTCATTGGGCCGGGCGCGGTGGCTCACGCCTGTGGTCCTAGCACTTTGGGAGGCCGAGGGGGCGGATCACGAGGTCAGGAGATTGAGACCATCCTGGCTAACACGGTGAAACCCCGTCTCTACTAATGGTACAAAAAATTAGCCGGGCGTGGTGGCAGGTGCCTGTAGTCCCAGCTACTCAGGAGGCTGAGGCAGGAGAATGGCGTGAACCTGGGAGGTGGAGTTTACAGTGAGCCGAGATCACGCCACTGCACTCCAGGCTGGGCGACAGAGTGAGACTCCATCACACACACACACAAAAAAGAGTTTCATTGATACATTATGTGCATCTTCTTTTGTGCCACTTACCACATGGTTACATGGAGGAGTGTTTTGTTTAGCATATACATTTTCCTTCTCATGCTAATGTATTTTGTTTTTAGAGGCTAAAAAGCAGTCAAGGTCCAGGGAGCCCACTCTTTTCTTTTACCTTACAGACCTTGGTGTTTGCGGTGGGTCTATAGGGTAATCATAGAGTTTTCAGGCTAAGCCTGTAAGAGTGGTCCACCGTAGATATGACCTTGGACCTGACTGGAAAAGAGAAAAACATCAACATCACCATCAGATATTCAGCCATTAGAGGAACAGCTTTGCCACAGTATTTTAGTTCTGCACAAGGCACTATTCAATGAGGCAGTCCACTGTGTGGCAAACACACCTGTTCAAGTGAGGCTGGATTGTTCTGAGAGGTCTTAAGATTTCATGACTCTCAAGGATCTGCCCACCTGGGACTGACCAGCACAGTACTCAGGGTCTATGGACTTCAATGTTGGAGGATGGACCTCAGCTTGGTAAAATCCTGGGCTATAACCACCTCCTCTTGTAACCAAAAAGCAGGTTAATTGGACTTAGAGTCCAATTAACAAGAGCAAGGCCTTGTACAAGAAAAGTGAATTTATTTCCGAAGCTAGCTAGGGGAAGGGGCATAAAGTGTCTTGTTTTAAATGTGATGCTTCACCTTTGTAGCAAAAGTGAAATCTTTTCTAAGTTGACCAGAGAAGTGAGCAAGGGCAGGGGGTCTCCCTGCTACCCTGGTTTCTTATCTACCAGACAGTTGAGTTGGTGCCTTTCTGGGCAGAAATAAGTTGTAAAAGTGGCTAAATGGAAAGCATGCCCTCCTGAGGTGACCCTCTGGAGGTGGGATTTCTGTGGGGACATGCTTTGATCTGCACTTCAACTATCAACTCTAGAGGAGAGCTCCATCTTGGGGCACACGGATGAACTTGCGCTGTAGGGAAAGTCTGGTGACTGGGAGGAGAGAGGTTATTTTGCATTTCAAAAAGGGCTAAATAGGAAGCAGGGGGAAAGGAGAAAGGAGAAAAGAACAGAAAAAAATAATTAAACTACCACTTAGAAAAATGGGGGTACTTGGTTACACTCTTATTTCTGAGGTCAGTGTGGTGCCCTTTATCTTGAAAGGATTTAACTTCGGCTATAGTTGCTTAGAACTTACTAAATCTAACTTTGAATCATATTTTAAGTTAGAAAGTATTTTGCTGTCCCCTGCTTGGCCTTTCTAGTTATCTTTTCACATGAACATGCTTTATCTTTCCAACTAGGTTGTGAGGATGGAAACATTAGTTCATTCAGCTTTTCTTCCCCATAGTGCCAGACACCTAGGTACTTTAAAGGTGTTGACAAGCTATCTACTGGCTGAGTGGCTTATTTGAGAAAAATACAATGTCAGAATTTCACCTGCACTTCATTGCTGGGAGCCATCAGCTTGCTAGACGTAGACATGAAGAGGAGAAAGCATGAAGAGAATGGGCAAGGGGGAGGAGGGAATGAGGGAAGAAGATAACTAAGGGATGGTGTAATAGGGAGGGCAGAGAAGAGATGGGAGAAATTGAGTTGTATGACTTCAGAGCAAGTGTCCTTAAACATAGGGCATATTAGGAAAGACTATGCCCCCTTAAAGTTTGGATGGAACCTAAAATCTGTACACTTGTCAGCTAAATTGGTCTCCTTTGATAATATTGGCAACATGTGTCACGAAGATTAGACACAGAAATTGGAGAGATTGTAAGAAGTGTGCAGAAAATATTTCCATGGAAGATCCAGCCTAGTTGGCAGCCTCAGGTAGGATCATAATTGAAATGCTAGAATGTTACAGTAGGCATTGTTCCAGGGCTAAAACTTGTTATTCATAACTTCAACTCTAATTTTATTCACTTGAATTTTCAGAGTGCAGCTGTAAGGGGCCACAAAAGGTTCCCTGGCTTAGTTGCTATTCTGTAATTACATGTAAAGCCCTGATCAACTTCCCGAAAGCCTGTGCAAGGCTTTTCTTTCTTTCTTTTTTGTTTTGTTTTGTTTTTTTTTTTTGAGACACAGTCTCGCTCAGTCGCCCAGGCTGGAGTGCAGTGGCTTGATCTCCGCTCACTGCAAGCTCCGCCTCCTGGGTTCACGCCATTCTCCTGCCTCAGCCTCCCAAGTAGCTGGAACTACAGGCGCCTGCCACCAGGCCCAGCTAATTTTTTTTGCATTTTTCTTTTTTAGTAGAGACTGGGTTTCACCGTGTTAGCCAGGATGGTCGCGATCTCCTGACCTCGTGATCCGCCCACCTCGGCCTCCCAAAGTACTGGGATTACAGGCGTGAGCCACCGCGCCCGGCCTGTGCAAGGCTTTTCTTGAGAGCATGTGCTGAGACAATTTTTTATTTCAAATCACAGAATTAAGAATTATGTCATTGGTTAGAAGGGTAGAGCATAACTTACATTAGTATATTTGCAATGACGTATTTGCTTTCCTGAGGTAGTGTGAGGAATAAGAAGGCAATAGATATTCATATTTCTGAGTGTACTTTTATAAAGTGAAACACTTTTGAAACTCACTGTTTAAACAATAACAAAAAACAAATATTGTATGTTCTTACTCATAAGTGGGAGCTAAGCTATGAGGATGCAAAGGCATAAGAATGATACATTGGAGTTTGGGGACTCGGAGGAAAGGGTGGGAGTGGGGTGGGGGACAAAAGACTACAAATTGGGTTCGGTGTATACTGCTTGATTGATGGGTGTCCTAAAATCCCACAGATCACCACTAAACAACTTACTCATGTAACCAAATACCACCTGTTCCCCAAATACCTATGGAAATAAAAAAACAACTTAATAAATAAATTCTAAAAATAATAACAAAACTCACAAATCTAAAGAAACTTAAATGAAAACCTGGCCAAAGGTTTTACCATTTTTAGCTTCTGAGTTATGCTTTTGTTTTATTTTAACTGATATTCTTGAAATATTTAATTTTATAAAACTAAACTTTGAAATGTGAATGTCTTTTCCCTTGACATCACTCGCAGTATCAAAAAGAAGTAAATGTATTGCTGTGTATGTTTAGTTATATCTATGATTATATGTATTTCATGTGCAGTTGTACATATGAATTTAGAGTTGTCATTTTCAATTAATTTATAAAATTTTTACAGTTCTATGTTACTCCTATAATTGGTATGTGACAAACCTCTCAGTGTTCCTTCTACAGATATCCAACTTTAGATACTGATAATAAGAATTAAATTAATAGCTTTCGTCACTTACTGAGTCCCTGCTCTTTACCTGCCAGGCGCAGTGTTAGACATGCATGCATTGCGTCTTTCACTTGTCACAGCAATGGTGTAAGGTAGATGTTATTCCTATCCTCACCTTTCTACCTATCTCCTACTAAGGCAGCACAATGTATCTCAGCTGATTTAAGGAGTTAAATTTAGGTAACATCAAATCAAGTAGAAGTATAGAATTTAAAAATCATCAGTGCAATTATTTGATAAAGCATAATGTCAACTCTGGAAGAAGGATAACTTTTAAAGTTATGAAGCAATAAAAAAATCAGAAAGAAAAATATGGACCACAAAACTAAGAAAAAGAGGAAAACAACAGAATGGGGAAATATTTGTAGTGAAAAACGTAAGCATTAGTTATTTTAAATGTATTTTTTAAGTTATTAAACATTGGAAGAATACCACCAAATGTCCAAACGTTCAGTGAAGAATAAAACAAATCACAGAACAAAAAGCACATAGAAGAGCCTTAAAAAAGGTGTTAACTTCACTATGCAACAAGGAACTATAAATATATTTTTAAATTAAATTTATATTTTATTTTATTATATTTTTGAGACAGAATCTCACTCTGTCACCCAGGCTGGAGTGAAGTGGTGTGATCTCGGCTTGCTGCAACCTCTGTCTCCTGGGTTCAAGCAATTCTTGTGCCTCAGCCTCCAGAGGAGCTGGGACTACAGGCACCTACCACCACGCCCAGCTAATTTTTGTATTTTTAGTAGAGATGGGGTTTCACCATGTTGGTCAGGCTGGTCTCAAACTCTTGGCCTCAGGTGATCTGCCCGCCTCAGCCTCCTAAAGTGCTGGGATTACAGGCATGAGCCACCAAGCCTGGCCTAGTTAGTATAAATATAACAGTGTCATTTCATACCTAATTAATAAATAAAGACAAGCTGAAAATGATAAAATACAACGTTCCTGTGGCTGTGGGGAAAAACATGTATTGCAAATGGCAATGATAATAACAATAACCAATATTGTGCCCACTTTCCTCTTGTGCCCACATCTCTGTGCAGAGGAACTACTGTTTACCCCATTTTGTAGATCAGATGACTGTGACTCAGAAGGGAGGGGTAAGTGGTCCCCCATCACACAGTTAGTATGGTGTTTTAGTCCATTTTTGTGTTACTGTAAAGGAACACCTGAGGCTGGGTAATTTATAAAGAAAAGAGGTTTATTTGGTTCATCGTTCTGTAGGCTGTACAAGAAGGATGACACCAGCATCTGCTTCTGGTGAGGGCTTCAGGAAGCTTCCACTCATGGAGGAAGGGGAGCAAGTGTATGTCAATCACATGGTGACAGGAAGGAACAAAAGATAGGGGAGGAGGTTTCAGGCTTTTTTAACAAGCAGATCTCAGGGGAAATAATAGAGTGTGAACTCACTCATTATACCAGGTCAGCACCATGCCATTCATGAGGGACTCAACCCCATGATCCAAACATTTCCTGCCAAGTCTCACCTCCAACACTGGGGATTAAATTTTGACATGAGATTTGCAGGGGACAAATATCCAAACTAGCCTAATAGAGCTTTGTTGAAGTTAAAAACGCTATGTTCCTTTTTTTTATTTTACATAAAACCATTTGGAAGCTTTTTTTTTTTTTTAAATAGAGATGATGTCTCACTATGTTGCCCAGGATGTTCTCAAATTCCTGGCCTGAAGTGATCCTCCTACCTCACCTCCCAAATCTCTGAGATTACAGGTGTAAGCCACGGTGCCTTGCTGATTATTTTTTAGAGGCAGAGTCTTGCTCTGTGGCCCAGGCTGGAGCACAGTGGCACAACTCTAGCTCACTACAGCCTCAAACTCCTTGGCTCAAGGGATCCTCCTGCCTCAGCCTCCTGAGTAGCTAGGACTACAGGCGCGTGTCACCACACCTAGCCTAAAAACCATGTTTTTAACCAAAACTGGATACTGTTTCTCATGGCAATATACAAGAAAAAAAGAAAAGGTTCAAACTCTTTCACTTATGTATTTCAGTTCTGGCATGTTAGCCCAAAAATGCTAATTTAGGCTGAGTGTGGTGGCTCATGCCTGAAATCCCAGCAATTTGGGAAGCTGAGGCAGGAGGATTGCTTGAGTCCAGGAGTTCAAGACCAGCCTGGGCAATATGGCAAAACCCTGGCTCTACAAAAAATTTGCAAAATTAGCTGGGCATGGTGGTACATGCCTATAGCCCAAGCTACACAGCAGGCTGAGGTGGGAGGATCACTTGAGCCCAGGAGGTCGAGGCTGCAGTGAGCCATGATTGAGCCACTGCACTCCAGCCTGGGTGACAGAGTGAAACACTGCCTCAAAAACAAAACAAGGCCAGGCATGGTAGCTCACACCTGTAATCTCAGCATTTTGGGAGGCCGAGATGAGCAGATCACTTGAGGTCAGAAGTTCAAGACCAGCCTGGCCAACATGGTGAAACCCCATCTCTACTAAAAAATACAAAAAAAATAGCCAGGCATGGTGGCACACACCTGTAAACCCAGCTACTTTGGAGGCCGAGACAGGAGAATTGCTTGAACCGGGGAGGCAGTGGCTGCAGTGAGCCTAGATTGTGCCACTGCACTCCAGCCTGGGTGACAGGGTGACTCCGTCTCAAACAAACAGAAAACAAAAAAGGAAGCAAAAGAAAGTTTAAAAGTAGCCATATGTACAAAGATGTGCATTCATTCAATTGATATCTGTTGATCACTCATTATGTGTCAGGAAACAACCTTAAGCAAATTACAAGATACGAATGCAGACATTAAAATGAAAACTATGAAGAAAATGATAAAATGTTGAAAAGCATTTCTGAAATAGTGTTAAATGGAAAAACTGGACCACACTATTGGATACTGAAAGTAATCGTTCACTGAGTTAGGTCCAAGAGCTGAATTGAGTCAGAGAAGTTATGTGATTTGGGGAAATTTCTAGTAAGAAACTTTTCAATGGAAATCTTAATTGCCCGACTTTTGTGGCACCAGAATGTATACTTTCACATAAAAGCCAATTTTGCAATTGTGGTTCATTTGCCAGACTCCTGATTGGTGGGACTTTAGGTCCTCAGAGAACAACCCCACCTCTCCTATTCCCAACTCTCCCACCTCCAAATGGCGCACGATGTTCTTGCCATTTCCGGAGAGCAGCCTGTGTTTCTTGAATGGGAAGTGAGGGGAGGCCAGAGCACACCAATGACAGGGGAGGGAGGCAGGGAAATGCTGGGAGGAGAAGGCGGGGTCCCTAGCAAGGGCTCCACCCCGGTCCTGTGCCCATGGACCAAAGTGAGGACAGGCATTTCTGTTTTCATGCCCAAATGTTGCATTTCCCAAGACCACCCTGGCCCACCACGCCCCCATCCTGTGCCTATAAAAACCCCGAGACCATATTGGCAGAGACACAAGTGGCCATGGGCAGACAGAAGTGGCTGGCCCTCGAGAGGAACACACTGGTGGAAGAGCACACCGGCAGACACCAGCAGACACCAGCAGATGCCAGCAGGCCGACCAGCTGAACAACACTGACTTTGGCTGTGGTGGTCAGAGGAGAGCCTGGCCGCTGGGTGGCCTGACTCCAGGGGAAAATCACCTTCCCACTCCATCCCCCTTCTGGCCTCTCCATCCACCTCGCTGAGAGCTACCACCACTCAATAAAAAACCTTGCACCCATCCTCCAAGCCCACATGTGATCTGATTTTTCTGGTACACCAAGGCAAGAACCTGCGATACAGAAAGCCCTCTGCCCTTGCGATAAGGCAGGGGGTCTAATTGAGTTGATAAACACAAGCTGCCTACAGATGGCTAAACTGAAAGAGCACACGGTAACACATGCCTACCCTAGACACTGCAGTGGGATTGGAGTCACATGTCACTATACTGATCTCTTCTTTGCAATAATTAAGTTGTTTTTCTGTTACAGCTTTTTTTTTTTTCCTTTTTTTTTTTTTTTTTTAAGATGGAGTCTCACTCTGTCACCCAGGCTGGAGTGTAGTGGTGTGATCTTGGCTCACTGCAACCTCTACCTCCCGGGTTCTAGTGATTCTCGTGCCTCAGACTCCCCAGTAGCTGGGATTACAGGCATATATTTAGTGGAGACAGGGTTTCACCATGTTGGCCAGGCTAGTCTCCAACTCCTGATCTCAGGTGATCTGCACACCTCAGCCTCCCAAAGTGCTGGGATTACAGGTGTGAGCTACTGCACTTGGCCTATGTTATAGCTTCAGGGACATCCAGCTTCCATTCATTACCGGTCTTCCCAATCTGTGACCCTGCAGCATGGACTAGCACATGACTGCCACTTAGAGCACCCATGCAGGACTCCGGAGGGGAGCCAATAGGGAGTAGGGGTTGTGCAGGAATGTATTATGGTCTGTGTTCATTCGACTCTACATGAAGGCCCTTCCCAATTATATCAATAACTTTTTAAGAGATTTCAACACTAAAAAAAGCTTTTAATCACTAATGTGTTTTTGGAAGGACCTGAATTATGTACTTTTAAAATTAATTTTTCTCGTGAATAAACTAGTTATTATTTTTAGTTAATACAGATTTGTACGGATTTGATACCCAACTGAGGAACTGGCTTTGTGGGTCCCACTAACAACTGGCTTGACAAGCTTTATGATGATGAATTGTTCCTATTTTTATAGGAAGGAGTTTGATATTAGGCCACTGTGCATATGGAAAATTTCCCAAACTCCTGGATTAGTCAATTGGAATTTTAAATTGGAAAATGCTCTCATAAATAGACGATTGTTTCTTGTTTTATCTCACTGGGAACAACTTGACAGTTGTGTCTTCTAACAGGTAGAAACGTGGTTGCAGCTTGTGGGGGTGGGGGTATTCTGATGACCAAAAAGCACAGGGTGAAATGGAGTGATGTGACCATTCCAGGGTGCTTTCTAGCTAAAGATCCTGTGTGTGTGCATGCATGCCTACATGCACGTGTGTCTGCAAAAGAGAGAAGGAACAGCCAAAAATATAAGCTCATGGTTTGGAAGGAGAATTCAAGTGCTCTGCTGACCACCAAGTTCCTAGGGAAACAGGTTGTGAGAGGGATTGAGAACAAGGAAGCCTCAGAATTTGGTCAACAACCCAGATCTCTCAGCACAGCCAATGGCTCATTGTGCCATATTTTAAATGCAATTGAACTGTCAATTCACATCCATGCATGAAAGACAAGAAGCATTATTATTCCTGTATTATCATACAGGAAGCATTATTAAATATAAAATGGTGTTTGGCTTTCTTTGGTCTAAAAACTAATAAAAGTAGGTGCTAAAGGAAATTTTTCAGTAGAAAGGCACCAAGGACTGCTGATGATCCCACATTTAAAACAAAAGGTCAATTTCTTAAAAATTGCATACTTGGTTTATCTTCCACTTTCCTTTCCCTTAAAACTAAAAGTCTTTTAGCACATGTACCACCCCTAGAATTTCTGGTAAACCAGCACTAGCCTGAGGATCATGTTCTCATCAAAGGGTAAAAAGAAGGGAAACTCGAGCCAGCCTAGGAAGGACCCTTCCTTGTGCTGCTAACCACCAAGACTGCTGTTCTTACAGCAGAAAAGGGATGGACTCATCATACCCGAGTCAAAGCACCACCCCCTCCAGAGTCATGGGCCATAGTCCCAGGGGAAAACCCTACCAAACTCAAGCTAAGAAAAATTTAATTCTTTCATCTATTCTATTACTTTCTTCTTTCCTCGCTCTATTACTGACCATGTAGTTATTAACATAACCAAGTCAATTTCGCCTCAAACTATTGCATTTAATGCTTGCTTTGTTATACCCTGCAGGGACTTGCTAAGCCAAAAACAGCTCTCTACTTCAAAAAAGTACCTCTGTCCCTCCTGACTCTCCTCAGACTGGGCATTAGTAAATTAGGACCATCTAATCCAGGGAGATTTCAATAAAGACCCCAGTGTCAACCAGGAGTCTTGCCCCCCGATGTGGAGCTTTTATGCCGTAGTTGGTCCAAAGTTCTGTGGACCACTAAAAAGCAAGAATGAACTACCCCAACCAGTTTTTGTAATTTCCTAAAACCATACATTCATTTTACTAAAGAATCATAGAAGTTAAAGACTTAAAACAAACTTTGGCAATTAAGGCAGTATACCAAGATGCAAATGCCTGGTTGGAATGGATCAAATATTCTTTCCGCACATTAAACAAAAGCAATCGTTATGCTTGTGCACATGGCAGGCCAGAGGCCCAGATTGTCCCCTTTTCACTAAGGTAGTCATCCAGTTGACCAGGTGTGGGCTGCATGATAGCTCTTTTTCAGGATTCTACAGCCTGGAGTAATAAGTCGTGCCAAGCTCTCTCCGCTATGTCCTGAAGTCTGGCACCCTGCGAGTCAGCCCCTGAGGGCCATCCAGCTTCCATCTCCCAACACTAAGTTCACTTCATGTCTCTCACAACAGGGAGAAAACTTAGCATTCCTTGGAGACCTGAAGGGATGCAGTGAGCTTAAGAATTTTCAAGAGCTTATCAATCAGTCAGCCCTTGTTCATCCCCGAGCGGATGTGTGTGGTATTGTGGTGGACCTTTACTGGGCACTCTGCCGAATAACTGGAGTGGCATTTGTGCTTTAGTCCAATTGGCTATCCCTTTCACCCTGGCATTTCATCAACCAGAGGGAGGAAAAATAAGACATCATAAAGCGAGAGAAGCCTCTTATGGGTCTTTCGACTCTCATGTCTATTTAGATGCAATTGGAGTCCCACGGGAAATACCAGATCAATTTAAAGCCCAAAATAAAATAGCTGCAGGATTTAAGTCAATATTTTGGTAGGTGACAGTTAATAAAAATGTAAAGTAAATAAACTACACCTATTACAACCAACAGCAACTAGCTTTTCAGGAGTTAAAAGAAAAACCTCATGTTGGCTGCAGCCCTGGGGCTACCTGACCTGACCAAACCTTTTACACTGAATGGCAGTTAGAGATTTAACCCAGACTGTGGGGCCCTGGCTGAGGCCAGTGGCCTACCTCTCTAAATAACTAGATGGGGTTTCTAAGGGTTGGCCCCCATGTTTGAGGGCCTTGGCAGGAACAGCCCTACTAGCACAAGAAGTGGATAAGCTAACTCTTGGGCAAAACCTAAACATAAAGGCCCCCCATGCTGTGGTGACTTTAATAAATACCAAAGGACGTCATTAGCTAACAAATACTAGACTAACTAGATACCAAAGCTTGCTCTGTGAAAAATCCCCACATAACCATTGAAGTTTGCAACACCCTAAACCCCGCCACCTTGCTCCTGGTATCAGAGAGCCCAGTTAAACTTAACTGTGTAGAGGTGTTGGACTCAGTTTATTCTAGCAGGCCCAACCTCCAAGACCATCCTTAAACATCAGTAGACTGGGAGCTGTACGTGCATGGGAGCAGCTTCGCCAACCCCTGCAAAGTGACTCTGAAGAAGATGACAAGCCCTGCCCCAGTCACACCTGGAAGCTGACTGGTCCTTGCATGGTCAAAGCATGAGGAAACTCATCGCAGGACTCATTTCCCTTAAAATTTGGACTTGTACAGTAAGAACTTCAACTGACCTTCCTCAGACTGAGGACTGTTCCCAGTATATACATCAAGTCACTGAGGTAGGACAAAAGATTGCTACAGTCCTATTATTTTATGGTTATTATAAGTGTACTGGGACTCTAAAAGGAACTTGTTTGTATAATGCTATTCTATACAAGGTATGTAGACCAGGAAGTGACCAGCCTGATGTGTGCTATAACCCATCCTTTTTCCTACTGCCCATAAAAACAGGCGAACTTCTAGGCTTCCCAGTCTATGCTTCCCAAGAAAAGAGAAGCATAGCTATAGGCGACTGGAAAGATGACAAGTGGCCCCCTGAAAGAATCATACAGTACTATGGGCCTACCACTTAGGCACAAGATGGCTCATGGGGATACCCAACCCCCATTTATACTATCAACCGAATCATACGGTTATAAGCTGTCTGAGAAGTAATCACTAATAAAACTGGCAGAGCTTTAACTGTTTTAGCCCAGCAAAAACCCAGATGAGAAATGCTATCTATCAAAATAGACTAGTCCTAGACTACTTGCTAGCAGCTGAAGGAGGAGTCTGTGGAAAATTTTACCTAACCAATTGCTGTTTGCACATAAATGATCAAGGGCAAGTAGTTGAAGACAAAAAGATATGACAAAACTGGCACATGTGCCCATGCAAGTATGGCATGGACTTAATCCTGGAGCCATGTTTGGAAAATGGTTTCTAGGGCTAAGAGCATTTAAAACTCTTATAATAAAAATTATAATAGCAATAAGAACCTGCTTACTACTCCCTTGTTTGCTACCTGTACTCCTACAAGTAATAAAAAGCTTCACCGCTACCTTAGTTCACCAAAATGCTTCAGCACAGGTGTACTATATAAATCACTATTGATCTGTCTTGCAAGAAGACATGGGTAGTGAGGATGAAAGTGAGAACTCCCACTAATGAGTGAGGTTCTCAAAGGGGGGAATAAGGGAGGAGACCACCCCTCATATTGTCATATGCCCAATTTCTGCCTCAAAGAAAAAGTAGGAGTTAAAAGACAGAAGTGAAATCAGTAGTCAGACAGCCCAGCACTGCATTCCAGGCCTGGTAGTTAAAGATCGACCCCTGACCTAATTGGTTATGTTGTCTATAGATTCCAGACATTGTATGGAAAAACATTGTGAAAATCCCTGTCCTGTTCTGTTCTGTTCTGATTACTGGTGCATGCAGCCCCCAGTCACATATCCCCTGCTTGCTCAATCGAACACGACCCTCTCATGTGGACCCCCTTAGAGTTGTAAGCCCTTAAAAGGGACAGGAATTGCTCACTCAGGGAGTTCGGTTTTTGAGACATGAGTCTGCCGACACTGCTGGCCAAATAAAGCTCCTTCCGTCTTTAACCTGGTGCCTGAGGAGTTTTGTCTGTGGATCGTCCTGCTACATTTCATGTCATTAGGACCTTCTGAGACTGTGTCATGGGTGCATCCTTAACTTTGGTAAAATAAACTTTCTAAATTGATTGGAACCTGTCTCAGATACTTTTGGTTCACAAGTTGGTAACCAGGAATGGCTTCTGAGTGGAGGTTCCCCTAACCTTTGACAAATCTCCTATTGGTGCTTGGTACCAGTTTGAGCTATCTTTATTGTTCAAACCAATAGGACAATTTGTGAAGTCCTGGGAGCTCCCCCTTCAGAGAATCCATGATCTCCTCAAATTTGGCTGAGATCTAAGGTTTATTTTGTTGTACAACTCCTTTTCTGGAGTTTTACACAAGGAAGGTGAATTGTCCTGCTTCATGTTGATGGAGAGCAGGCAACTCCTTTTTGGAGTGTGAGCTCACTTCCAACAGGGAAGGTGAGTTGAAGTTGTTTCCTGCTTCTAGGATGGTAGAGAGCCATCTTCAGACTGGGCTCCATTCCTAGGTAAGTAACTGAATTGGGATTTTGTCTTGGAAATTCTCCTTAATGACTAAAGTTAAAATTAACAACCAGCTGCTCTTAATTTCTACTTACCTTTAGAGTGCTCAGTAATTGTATAAGTTGTGCAATTTTTTGTTTGTTTTGCTTAACTATTTTTGTTTGTTTCTATTTTTGTTCTTCTTTTGGTCTTTTTTCCATTGGATTTGATAAACTCTATCAGACTTAGTCAAATCTGAAGGAAATTTCCAAATTATGGGGAACAATGCCACTGAATTAGCTAAATTCCCACAGCTGGGGAAAAAAAGGAAAAAGAAAAAATGACCAGCAAAGGGGAAAAAGAGGAAAGATTTTAACTACTGAGGGGTTTTACTTACATAACAAGGCCACTTTTTGCTAGCCAAGCCAAACTGAAAGAGCAACAGCTGTTGTCCCATGGTGCAGTTCAGTAGCTATGGTTCTGCCCTTTTTTCCCACCACAACACCCTGGGTTTGGTTCCTAAATCAAGTCCTTTCAGGTTTCATATTTATGTTACTGTTGAAGTATGAGCAATTTGTCTCAGTTAAAATATGGCAATGAGATTTAAAAGGATTTTTCTTTGAGATGGAGTCTTGCTCTGTTGCCCAGGCTGGAGTACAGTGGCACATTCTCGGCTTACTGCAACCTGCCTGCTGGGTTCATGCAATTCTCCTGCCTTAGCCTCCTGAGTAGCTGGGATTACAGGCATGTGCCACCACACCAGGCTAATTTTTGTATTTTTAGTAGAGACAGGGTTTCACCATGTTGGCCAGGCTGGTCTCAAACTCCTGACCTCAAGTGACCCACCCACCTTGGCCTCCCAGTGCTGGGATTACAGGTGTGAGGCACCACACCCGGCTTAAAAGGATTTTTTTTTTTGGAAGAGCTCAATGGCTATGAATCTGCTTAATTAAAAAGCTAATATTGAAGATTTTGGGTGTGTGTGTGTGTGTGTGTGTGTGTGTGTGTATGTGTGTGTGTGTGTCCACTTAAAAGGCCTTTATGGTTTTTTTTCCTAGAACTTCATTTTTTTTGTAGAAAAAGTTTTGTTTTTCTCAGTTGACTGAATTCTGTTTTCTCCATTTTTCTTCCTGTCTCTCCTTCCTTTTGCCCCTCTCTGCTGCATGAGGGACCTAAAATGGTTTTTAACAGCCTGAGATTCCTTAAAGAAAACAGAGAAGGTGCCAGACTCCATTTTGGGGAGAAACCTCTGTTTTTCCGTATGGAACCTTAAGAGTATAAACAGACAAGTTCTTCTCAAATCTTAAATAGCTTGCTTTTGTATTGTTACCTGATTTTGTTTTGACTAAAGTAGTTATTACAACAGTGGCTATTCTTGGGTGTTTAAAATCAGAAAGAGTATAGTTTAGACACTAAGAGAAATGTCTTCACAAAGAAAGTGCATTATAAAAGCATCACATGTTCTAGGCTCATGAAAATTTCTCTTTTGGAGATTCAGAATTCAGTGTGGGCTCTGCCTCAGACCTCAGAGATCCAGTTAAATAGTAAGAGACTAAATTTAAAACTACCTATATTGATAAAATTGGTCCCCTTATACAATCCTATGATAGATTTTTACAATTTTATGTTTGATTTGGCATCTGTTTTTAATCTCCCTCTAGAATACCAGACTCTTTTTCTCTTTACTTTGGGCAGTATGGCCATTTTCACAATATTGATTCTTCCTATCCATGAGCATGGAATGTTTTTTTTCCATTTGTTTGTGTCTTCTCTTATTTCCTTGAACAGTGGTTTGTAGTTCTCGTTGAAGAGGTCCTTCACATCCCTTGTTAGCTGTATTCCTAGGTATTTTGTTGGGAAAACTGGCTAGCCATATGCAGAAAACTGAAACTGCTTCCTTACACTTTATACAAAAATTAACTCAAGATGGATCAAAGACTTAAATGTAAGACTGAAAACCATAAAAACCCTAGAAGAAAACCTAGGAAATACCATTCAGGACATAGGCATGGGCAAAGACTTCATGTCTAAAACACCAAAAGTAATGGCAACAAAAGCCAAAATTGACAAATGGGATCTAATTAAACTAAAGAGCTTCTGCACAGCAAAAGAAACTATCATCAGAGTGAACAGGCAACCTACAGAACGGGAGAAAATTTTTGCAATCTACCCATCTGACCAAGGGCTAATATCCAGAATCTACAAGGAACTTAAATAAATTTACAAGAAAAAAAAAACAACCCCATCAAAAAGTGGTTGAAGGATATGAGCAGACACTTCTCAAAAGAAGACATTTATGCAGCCAACAAACATATGACAAAAAGCTCATCATCACTTGCCATTAGAGAAATGCAAATCAAAGCCACAATGAGATAACTTCTCATGCCAGTTAGAATGGCGATCATTAAAAAGTCAGGAAACAACAGATGCTGGAGAGGATGTGGAGAAATAGGAATGCTTTTACACTGTTGGTGGGAGTGTAAATTAGTTCAACCATAGTGGAAGACAGTGTGGTGATTCCTTAAGGATCTAGAACCAGAAATACCATTTGACCTAGCAATCCCAATACTGGGTATATACCCAAAGGATTATAAATCATTCTACTATAAAGACACATGCACAGTGTTTATTTCAGCACTACTCACAATAGTAAAGACTTGGAACCAACCCAAATGCCCCTCGATGATAGACTGGATAAAGAAAATGTGGCACATGTACAGTATGGAATACTATGCAGCCATAAAAAAGAATGAGTTCATGTCCTTTGCAGGGACATGGATGAAGCTGGAAACCATCATTCTCAGCAAACTAACACAGGAACAGAAAACCAAACACTGTATGTTCTCACTTATAGATGGGAGTTGAACATTGAGAACACATGGACACAGGGAGGGAACATCACACACCAGGGCTTGTCGGGGGTGGAGAGCTAGGGGAGGGATAGCCTTAGGAGAAATACCTAATGTAGATGATGAGTTGATGGGTGCAGCACACCACCATGGCACGTGTGTACCTATGTAACAAACCTGCACGTTCTGCACATGTATCCTAGAACTTAAAGTATAATAAAAATTGGGCAAATGAAATGAACAGACGCTTCTCAAAAGAAGACATTTGTGTGGCCAACGAACATATAAAAAAAGCTCAACATCACTGATCGTTAGAGAAATACAAATCAAAACCACAGTGAGATGCCATCTCACACTGGTCAGAAGAGCAATTATTAAAAAAATCAAGAAACAACAGATGCTGTCAAGGCTGCAGAGAAATAGGAATGCTTTTCCACTGTTAGTGGGAATGTAAATTAGTTTAACCATTGTGAAAGACAATGTGGTGATTCCTCTAAGACCTAGAACCAGAAATAACATTTGACCCAGCAATCCCATTACTGGGTATATACCCAGAGGAGTATAAATCATTTTATCATAAAGATACATGCACATGTATTTCATTGCAGCACTATTCACAATAGCAAAGACATGGAATCAACCCAAATGCCCATCAATGATAGTCTGGATAAAGAAAATGTAGTACATATACACCATGGAGTACTATGCAGCCATAAAAAGGAACATTATCCTGAGCAAACTAATGCAGGAACAGAAAACTAAATACTGCATGTTCTCACTTATAAATGGGAGCTAAATGATGAGAACACATGGACACATGGAGGGGAACACACTCACTAGGGCCTACTGAAGGGTAGGAGGAGGGAGAGGATAATGAAAAATAACTAATGGGTACTAGGCTTAATACCTGGGTGATGAAATAATCTGTACAACAACCCCCCATGACACAAGTTCACCCATGTAACAAACCTGCATTTGTGCCCCTGAACTTAAAATGAGAGTTAACTAAAAAAATAAAAGAAAGAGAAGTGTTCTTTGTGGCATTAATTTTAAAGGATCTCTCTCTTTGAAAACCTAGACTGCAGGTAAATTATCATGTACCACAATGTTTTGCTTATCTTTTCTGCCTCATACCACCGTCCTGCCTGAATCCTGCCTTAATTTCTGGCACCTGGAAGTAGAGACATGTTAAAAAACAGTGTATATGACTCTTGAAGATGCTACCCACTTCTGGAAAATGTATTCACTTTTATTTTGCTTCTTCCAGGAAATCTGAACATGAAAAAAGAATATTCTCTGCTAGTGTGTGTCAGACTGGATGTGAGGATTGACTGAGGATTTCTGCTGAGCACTCTCTGGCCTTCAGTTTCAGCTGTAGCCAGTGCAGAGAAGGTGTCAGTCCTGGGTCTGATGGTGTCTTGGAGCTTATTTGTACAGACCCATTAATTCTGAGGCTGCTTAAAGCATTGAGAAATTTACTGTTTTAGATGGAAAGTGATTAACACTGGGAAATAATTTTTGGTTTCAAAATCATCCTGTGAGAGTGGTGAGGTACATTCTTCTTGGATTTTCCACACTCCCAACAGGGCCTGGGGCTTCTGTGTAGCAATAACAACCCTCTCTCTGTGGAAGCCACACATTATGCATACTACTTTGCTGAAATTTGACAATCACAAGTGGAAAAAGGAAGAAGTAAGGAATTAAAATTAGCAGGCACCATGGCATGCTTTTCCAAGGAAACAGAGCCTTCCTTTACACTGGGAACATATGAGCACTATTAAACTGGTCTTTGATTAAGACCCATGAGAGGAAATTGTGGGGTAACTCTGATACCTTATCTATAGTCACTGCAATCACTTTATAGTATGACTGTGGGGCCCACAATTAATCAGTTTTAACATAAAACTCCACTGAAGGAGACTCATATTGCTAAAGGTTACTCAAAAACAAAGGTTAAACTGAGAAGAACTTTATGCTTTAAAAAATGGGCTGGGCCTCTTCATCTTCCTAATTTATTTTTGTTTTTGTTTTCTTTCTATCCTGGAAGTTTTGCACAAAGAAGATCGTGTTGATGAAAAGAGTAAAACTCTGTAAAATATTTGAAAAGATTTATTCTGAGCCAAATATGAGTGACCAATGGCCTGTGAAAACTCTCAGGAGATCCTGAGAATGTGTGCCCCAGGTGGTTGGGTTACAGCTTGGTTTTACACATTTTAAGAAGACATAAGACATCAATCAATACATGTAAGATGTACAACATTGGTTCTGTCCAGAAAGGTGGGTAAACTCGAAGTGGGAGCTTCTAGGTCATATGTAGATTCAAAGATTTTCTGATTGGCAATTGGTTGAAAAGTTACATTATTGTCTAAAGACCAAGAATCAATACAAGAGAATGTCTGTGTTAAGATAAGGGGTTGTGGAGACCAAGGTTCCCATTATGCAGAGGAAGCCTCCAGGTAGCTGGCTTCAGAGAGAATAGATTGTAAATGTTTCTTACTTGAGTTGATTCTCTCCTGGATCAAGAAAAAGGCCTGCACAAGAAAGGGGATTCTCTTGAGAATGTACATTTCCCCCCACAAGAGACAGCTTTGCAGGACTGTTTCAAAATATGACAAAGAAACACATAGGGTAAAATACTTTTGATTTCTTTCAAGCCTTGCTATCTGTCATGTGATGCTATACTAGAGTTAGGCTGGAAATTGGTGTCTTATTGCCACAGAGTATGTTAGTCTTAAGTTCTGTTCTAACGTTAAGACTGGTCAGCTGTACACGAATTCCAAAAGGGAGTAGGGAATAATAAGGCATGTCTGACGCCTACTTCCTGTCATGACCTGAATAAGTTTTTCAGGTTAACTTTGGAATGCCCTTGGCTGAGAGGAGGGATCCATTCAGATAGTTGTGGGGCTTCGAATTTTATTTTTGGTTTACAATAGCATGAACAAAGCAGAGGTCTGACAGCTTCGTTCCAGTGAGTGGATATTCTGGAACATTGCTCAGGGTACCATCTTCTTACTCTTCTTTGAGCAGCACTAAATGAAAAGGTCCCCTTTCACCTTGTAATCAGCAGGAAGTGGGATTCTCTCGAAGATGTTGAAGATGACAAAATAAACTTAAAGGATTGTTCATCTGCTTTTGAGCTAGGGAAGGTATAACAATATGCTTTCTGGGCCGGGGGGAGGGGAGAAAATGGAGAAGAGCCTCTTTTTGGGCTTAATGAAATTTTTGCTTGTGTTTCTTTTGAAGCAGCAGGATCTTTGGGGCAGAATAGCTCCTATTCCCCTGTGTCCCCCACAAAAAGGGAGGGCAGTGAACAGAATTTGGAGCATAGTGGAGTGGATCAACGTTCAGCTGCCACCTTCCCATAAATCCTATGAGTAGCCACCTAGGAAGTTTCTCTTTAGAGTCCAGAATTTGGACTGAACTAGTCAGCATAACTGGAACTCAGCTTTATCTGGGAATACACTGTTGTCTCACCAGGAATCTGCTTCACCCCTTCTTGCACATATTTGTGGTCCCTAAAGGGGCAAGGTGGTGAGGATGGCATAATGGCAGGGGTAGGGAGGGGGAGTGGAGAAGGATGTATGGGTCAGTGCAAACTCACAATGACGCTTGGTAAACTTCTGTGATGTGCAGGGCCTATTGTTGATGGCAAGCCAGGGATGTCATTTCATGAAAGATCTCCTTGTCATTTTGTTTAAATGGCTTTCTTTTTTTTTTTTTTTGATATGGAGTCTCACTCTGTTGCCCAGGCTGAAGTGCAGTGGTGCGATCTTGGCTCACTGCAACCTCTGCCTCCTGGGTTCAGGCCTCCCGCATAGCTGGGATTACTGGTGCCTGCCACCACATCCAGCTAATTTTTTTGTATTTTTGATAGAGACAGGGTTTCACCATCTTGGCTAGGCTGGTCTTGAACTCCTGACCTCCTGATCCACCCGCCTCAGCCTCCTAAAGTGTTAAGATTACAGGTGTGAGCCACTGCACCTGGCCTTAAATGGCTTTTTAAAAACAATTTGCACCTATACCCTACTAACCACAATTGGCACACAAAAACAAATATATTGAGAATTTGCCTCTTTATTGATAACATAAGTGCAGAGGAGATAAGGGTAGCCTGAGCGGCATGGGCAGCCCAGGTGTCAGTGGCACCAGAAAAACCCATCTCCAAACTAGCTCCTGAAGAAGGATGGCATTCTAGGGCTAGTCCACGACGATGTAGACACAGTCGTCTGGGTCAGCACGTAGTTCATTGGCGAGCATTAATTCTCTCTGATGTCGCCTACATCTGGCCCTTTTATTCTTAAACCAAACCTACAATCAGAGGGAAAAGGGGATTGGTTTAGTATATTGAACAGTTAATGTCGTAATAGAAAAACACAGGATGCAACTTTATATGCTATTGAGATTTTAAACTGCATCAGGAAAAGCTATTTCCTCATTGCTAAAATACCTTAGGAAAGTTAACAACATAGCCCGTGGCCCTTCAGCTCACCCTTAGTGAGGACCAGCTTTGTGCCAAGTCCTGGAATAAGCTTATTACTTTGTATCTCTCTTCTCCATTTTATTTATTTATTTATTTATTATTTATTTATTTATTTATTTATTTATTTTTTGAGACAGGGTCTTGCTGTTTTGCCTGGGCTGGGATCCAGTGGTGCAATCATAGCTCACTGTGACATTGAACTTCTGGGCTCAAGAGATCCTCCCACCTCACCCTCCCAAGTAGCTGGTACTAGAGGTACATGCCACTATGCCCAGCTGTTTTAATTTTTCTGTAGAGACAGGGTCTCGCTATGTTGCCCAGGCTGGACTTGAGCTCCTGGCCTCAAGTGATCTTCCCACCTTGGTGTCCCAAAGTGTTGGGATTACAAGCGTGAGCCACTGTGCCCAGCCCCAATTTTAATATTCTTTAATGGTTACTTCCAGATATTGGATGCAGTTCTGGCTTATGAGTTGTTCCAGGTCCTTGCTGTTTGTTAATTCAATGCCTGGCAACAGGGTAACAAAAGGTGTGCATCTGACAAGTGACCATCAACTATCCAGCTGCCTCCTGCTCCCTCCTCACTAGGGAGAGTTTCATCTTGTTTGTGGGAGAAGTTCGGCATGGTAAAAAGTGGGCCTAATTTCAAATCATTTTCAGGGGATTGTTTAAAAAATCCATCTTTAGTATGTAGTAAATAATAGGAAAGAGCGCACTGGAATTTTAGACAGGTTTCCTTCCAGGATGTCTAAGGGATCATTCGTCCTCTGGCAAGAGAGGCCTGGACACTGCCTTGATATTTTAGCCTGTAGCATTAAGGAAAGTTGAAACCAGCTCGACCCAAATTAACTGAAACTCTCAAAAATCTTTGCTCACCCAATAGTTTAGGGGAAAGAGGCATACCATTGTCACCAATGCCAAATCTTCGTTCTCCAATCTGCTGCACTCTCCAAACCTTCCTGGGCTCAGGACAAGGTCAGCTCACTCTGTTTTACCTACAGCTCCAGGATCCTGGACTGGAGGTGCTGTAGCCCAGTAAGGCAGGGCCCCCTAGGCCCTGCTACTCAACCAGGAGATCTGAATCCCACCCCCTATTCCTAAGGCAGAAAGGTGGAACCAGCATTTTAGGAAGATGGTTAACATCAATGTGGGGGAAGGGTCACAAATATGGCTCCTCCCTAAATATCTGCCAACAATTAAAAAGCAAACAGACAAAAAAAGCCTGTCAGTTAGATGTCACTATCCTCTCAGCAACCTAGTTAACGGAGTTTATATTGTATTTATTACTTTCAAAAGTTCTCAAACTGCAAATTGTAAGCTGCACAAAGGGCCTTCTTTCTCTACCTGACACGTCTTTTTCACTTTCCCAGTTAAGGATTTGCAGTATTTCTGCTGCATGAGGCCAGTCTCTAAAAGTCTAAAAGAGCTCATTTTGGGAGCTTTCAAGTGTACCACTGGTCAAATCTCTATAAACATAACCAAAGTGTACAGTGGGTTAACTGGTATGTTCTGATACTAGGTCTGCATTCCCAATACTGGTTTCATAAACCAGTTGCATTACATCTGCAAAAGCTATGGGGAAACTATGTATTACTTTCTTGGGGGAAATTTATGCTGTATAGTTTGGAGATACATGAGAGCATTCTGTCTCTTCCCTTATTTGTATCTTGTGGCTCATATTCTTTTCAGAGCACTAAGGAGAGAACATTATGTCGACTCAGGGAGGAGAAAAACAACTCACCAAGCCTTGTTTTTCTTTTCCTCTGAGTTTGCCTTACCAGCTGGAGAAAAGTGATCCCAACCTCTTTTCAACTTCTCCAACCCGAACCAGGTGTGATTGTGAGTCCACCCTTTGCCATTAGGATGCCAGCACTCAGTAACCCGCTTTGTTAGTTTGCTTTTTTGGACAACCCACTACCAGATCGGCAGTGCATTTCCCTCACTACACTCACACATGCACTCTGCATAAAAGCTAATAATAAGGTCATCCTGATTTTTGTTTTTTCTTTTTTGGGAAAACATCACTTTGATACTATGTATGGTTTTCTTTGGTCTTAAGTGGTCATCACTTGAATCCTATGACCTACTAATTAGTTAACACTGCTTAAAGGAATGAAAAGTATTTGAAATTAACATGGGTGTGAATCTACCCTAAAATGAGGGCCACCTCTCCAAACAAATTCCAGAAAACCCACCTCTTCAAAAAAGTACCACCAAAAAGAAATATAAATCCTTAGATGGATAGAAATTCCTCAAGAGAACAGTCACTTAAACATTTAGTAGTTTCATAATGTTGAATTTGTATAGTACATGCATAGTATGTGCAAAGCCTATTTTGACCATATTTCTCTCTAACCTTTTCACCCTTCTTGGTCAACTGAAATGAATTCAATATTACTCATTTTGTTTGCTTCATTCTTTAGACAATTTTCCAAAGCATACAAACCTTACAAACCTTCCTCAATTTCAAAATAATGTGACTATTTTAGCAATATTTTCAGGTTGACACATCAAAGTATTTTAGAAAATTAAAACTTAGGGCTGCCACTCTCTATACTGCTTTACCAATAACTTAAAAACAAACAAAGAAGGACCAGGGGCTTGGACATATAAGCTATCTTCCCATCAGTCTCAGCTTAACTAAGTATACATTATTTAGTCATGTAATGTGTTCTGTGGGTGAATTACTCCCTCATCCCAATATTTATAAATTCACTCATTTAGCTAAGTGTTTATGCCTGGCCTTAAATAATTTAGTACACTTGAACCCTCTTATAACCCTGCTCCTCCCTGCATTAACTTGAATACTTCTAAGGTAAGACTGAACCCCACCATGACTCTACACAGAAATTGTTCCTAAAAGATACCAGCGTTAGAAGGAGTTGAATTTTATTTATTGGATACATACATATATGTATATATGTATGATATATATACATATATGTATTATATATAATACACATATATTATATATAATACACATATGTATAATATATAATACACATATATGTGTTATATATAATACACATATATGTATTATATATAATACACATATGTATTATATATAATACATATATGTATAATATATGTGTTTCATATGTATGTATTTGTTTAATTTTGTATACAGATTAGGAGAAGCAGTTTTTGTTTTGTTTTTCCTTTAGGAAATCATATTCCCTAATTGGAATGGGAAAGAGGAAAGAACCATAAGCTGGAGCTTACTTCCTTTTCTACCGACAAGGAACCCAAACTTCAAAACTTATTTGTCAACATAAAAAAGACAATAATAAAAACAACAACTTTAGAACGTTCAGGACAAAGCCTTCAAAGCCTTCAATGCCCTGAAGCAGGTTTTAGAATGGCTGTCCTCTCAAATTGCTTTTTCAAGTGTACTGACCCGCACTTTGTCTTCAGTCACACCTAAGTTTTCGGCAAGTTCCCTTCTGTGGAGAGAAGATCACACATGGTTAGTATTCAAAGTTGTGGATGAAATGAAATATATAGTATGTACTATTTACTTCATGCTTGTTTTACAATTTATAATCTCCCCTCACACCTCCCCCAAGTATATACTTTTCTCTAATTCCCAGCTCCATGGTTGCTTTAGAAATGGTTTACCCTCATCACGAAATTTAAGGTGACGTTAACAACTCAGTAATCAAGAGAAATACCTTTTTTTTTTTAAATTGAGACAAGGTCTCACTCTGTCTCCTAGGCTGGAGTGCAGTGGTGTGATTTCAGCTCACTGCAACCTCCGCCTCCGGGGTTCAGACGATTCTCGTGCCTCAGCCTCCCGAGTAGCTGCGATTACAGGCACATACCACCATGCCCAGTTGATTTTTGTATTTTTAGTAGAGATGGGGTTTTGCCATGTTGGCCAGGCTGGTCTCGAACTCCTGCCCGTCTCAGCCTCCCAAAGTGCTGGGATTTGGGGCATGAACCACCGCACCCGGCCAAGATGAATAATTTAATGCATTATTATTATTTTTATTATTATTATTTGAGACAGGGTCTCACTGTCGTCTATGTTGGAGTGCAGTGGCAGGATCACTGCTCACTGCAGCCTGCATGTCCTGGGCTCGAACGATCCTCCTGCCTCAGCCTTCCAAGTGGCTGGGAGTACAGGCACACACCACCACACCCACATGGCTAATTTTTTAAGTTTTATTTAGAGACGGGGTTTTGCCATGTTGCCCAGGCTGTTCTTGAACTCCTGGACTCAAGCAACCTTCCCACCTTGGCCTCCCAAAAGCGCTGGAATTACAGGCCTGAGCCACCGTGCCTGGCCCTAATGCACTATTTTAATAAATAACAATTAATGCAAAAATCTGTGATGAGGACCAGGCACTGTGGCTCAGGCCTGTAATCCCAGCAGTTTGGGAGGCCGAGGCAGGCAAATTGCTTGAGCCCAGGAGTTTGAGACTAGCCTGGGCAACACGGCGAAACCTTATCTCTACACACAAAAAAAATACAAAAATTAGCCAGGTGTGGTGGCCTGTGCCTGCAGTCCCAGCTACTCAGGGGGCTGACACGGGAGGATGGCTTGAACCCAGGAAGCAAATGTTGCAGAGAGCTGAAATCGCACTGCTGCACTCCAACCTGGGCCACAGAGAGAGACTCTGTCTCAAGACAAAACAAAAAAACCAGAAAAACAAAAAACCAACCAAACAAACAAAAAAAAACTATGATGAACAAATTATCAAAATTTTAAATAAAGGAAGGATCTAGCACTGTAGTTGCATGACAGTACCTCATTCTCCTTACCCCAATTTCAATAAAATTTTATTTATAAAAACAGACCACAGCTGGGTGTGGTGGCTCACTCCTATAATCCCAGCAACTCAGGAGGCTGAGATGGGAGGATTGCTTGGGTGACAGATCCCCCACTCAACAAAAACAACAACAACAACAAAAACAGGCCATCATCACAGGTAATAAAAGAAAAAATACATAACTTGGACTATATCAAAATTTAAAACTTCTGTATATCAAAAGATGCAATGAACAGAGTAAAAAGACAACTCATAGAATGGAAGGAAATATTTGCAAATCACATCTGATAAGGGGTTAATATCCAGAGTGTATAAAGAACTCCTACAACCCAATAACCAAAAAAAAAGAAAGAAAGAAAGAAAAAGCCACTCAGATTTTAAAATGGGTAAAGGACTTAAAGAGATATTTCTCCAAAGAAGATATACAAGTGGCCACTAAGCACATGAAAGGATGCACAACATCACTAATCATTAGGGAAAAGCAAATCGAAACTACAATGAAGTATCACCTCACACCCATTAGGATGGCTATGTAAAAAACCCCAGAAAATAACAAGTGTTGGTGAGGATGTGGAGAAACTGGAACCCCCATGTACTGTTGGTGTGCACCTGTATCTATAAAATGGAATATTATTTAGCCTTAAAAAGGAAGGAAATTCTAATATATGCTGCGATATGGATGAACCTTGAAGACCTTATGCTAAGTGAAATAAGTCAGTGACAAAAATGCAAATACTGTATGATTCTACTTACATGAGATACCTAGAGTAGTCAAAATCATAGAGACATAAAATAGTAGAATGGTGGTTGCCAAGGGCTGGGGAAAGGGGGAAAAGGGGAGTTGCTTAACTGGTATAGAGACTTAGCTTGGCAAGATGAGAAGAATTCTAGAGATCTATTGCACAACAATGTGAACATACTTAACACAACTGAACTCTATACTTAAAAAGTGGTTTGGACGGTAAATTTCATATTTCCGTGTATTTTACCACATCTTTATAAAAGGGAGGCACGGACTAGTTTCCAGGTTTCATTCACATAAACATTGCAATAAAACATTTACCTTGATGCCCAGGAGGTAAATATCCCCCTCCACACCAGCACAAAGGCAGGCAAGGACCCCCAGTGGCTTTTTCCTCATGATTGGGTGGGGCAAGGGAGAGAAAAAGATGCCTCGAAACGAACTTGGAGATCTCGTGGCTCCTGGAGCAGGCCACTTACCTTGTGGGCACATCAGGGTATTGAGTGTGTCGGAAAACACTTTCCAGCTCCTCCACCTGCAACAGCGTGAACTTCGTGCGCCGAGTTCGTGGCTGCATGTTCTCGGGCTGCGGACCCTCCATGGCCGCCTGGGCCGGCTCCTCCGGCGGGGGCTGCGGCTGCTGCCGAGGCTCCTGGTTTCCACCGCCGCCCTCGGGGATCATGCCGCCATCGCGGTTCATGCCGTTCTCGTGGTTCACACCGCCCTCAGGGTTCATATTACCCATGAGGCCTGGAGCTCCTTGGCCAACATGGCCTTCTGCGCTTGATGCTGCCCCCAGCTGAGGTGTGGGGCTTATTTTTACCTGGTATACACTCAGGCAGTAGAACACGGTGTCGTGGACGAGCGAACGCGCCATGGCTGGAGCGCTGCGCCCCTGCACAAACTCCGTGGCGTCTGCAGCTGGAGTGGGGGTTAGAGGGTGGAGCTAGTTCCTGTTCTCATGCTTGGTATTGGTTACAGTTGCAATGAGTGGGACTTGCTTATGCGCACAAGCAAGAGAGGGAATGGAGAGGAGTGGGGGGATGGGAAGTTGGGGGGTGCGGGTGGGGAGTGGGGGTGTTGCAGGTGGGAGTGGGGGGTTGTGAGTGTGGGGTGGGGTGCAGGTGGGGATGGGGGTGTGGGTGGAGGGTGGGGGGTGCACAGTGAGGGTGGGGGTTGCGGGTGAGGGTAGGGGTTGTGGGTTGGGGTGGGGGTTGCCGGTGGGGGTACATGGTGGGGGTGGGGGTAGCGGGTGGAGATGGGAGGTGTGGGTGGAGGGTGCGTGGTGGGGGTAGGGGTTGTGGGTGGGGGTGAGGGGTGTGGTATGGGTCGTGGGTGGGGGTGGCAGTTGAGGGTGGAGTGGGGTGGCCAAAACACAGGGGCAGTGTGGAGAAGAAAAGGGCCAATAGGAGGCATATATGTATGCAACATGGGGCCCCAGCTTGCAGCTTTGCTGACTACACCCTACTCGGGCCTAGTTATTACCCTGAGGAAAGCTGATTTGGGGGCTCAGAGGGGAGGTGAGATCTCACGGTGACCATAGGACGCCTTGAGTAAAAGTTTGGAGAATATCTCATGGCCTGACCCTCCATATTTGGCAGCATGCACAGGGCGCGGGCTATTAATTAAGCAGAAATGATTGACTGGGGGCTGCTTGTTCAGAGTTCCAGCAAAGGCACTGAAAGCAGAGCTGCCATGCTCTCTTCAGTGCTGGGATCGGGATCTTGGAGATGGGCATGCAGAGCATTCTGGGTGGTAAGATGTGCTCTGCAAGAAATCTAACGCACCCTTTGAGAAAGTCAACACAGAATAAACACGAGGCTGAATCTGTTAGCCTGAGACTGAATATCTTTGGCTATGCAAGAGAAACCTGTACTCATGGCAAAATGGAGTGCTATAAGGACAAGCAAAAAATAAATAAATAAATAAAATCGGGGATGGTATAGGAAGAGCACCAGTAAGGGCATACCTGCCAAAAATCTCCAATCTTGGGATGGAGATTTGGGATTTAAGGATATGCAGCTTACTGGATGTGGGGCCACTTCTGCTCCACAGAGCCTTGTAACTACACAGCCTTCCTACCACTGACCCCAATAAGCCCAATTACGAAGAAAAACCCTGAAGAGCCTGGTGCAGTGGCTCCTGCACTAGTCCCAGCTACTCAGGAGGCTGAGATGGGAGGATCACTTGAACCCAGGAGTTTGAGGCTGTGGTGAGCTAGAATCACATGGCAGCACTCCAGCCTGGGCAACAGACAGAGGCCCCTTTTCTTTAAAATAAATAATAAAATAAGAAATAAAATGAAAATGAAAGAAAGGAAAGCGCTAAGAGAGTCTGTCATGAGGAAGGGCATGGAGATGTCTTTTGAGGGTGGACAACTCATGAATCCTTAATTTTTCTAGAGATTGTGTGTGTGCTCTTAAGTGATGTTATATACTTTATTTTGTTTTTTAAAAATATTTTTAAAAATTTTATTTTTAAATGTTCTTTTAAAAACTTTCTGTATCTATTTATATCTATTGGTTATTTGAGGTTTTTTTGGCAGCATATATAAATATGCAGACCCTTTGAGTCTGTAGCCTACCAAGAGAGATAGCTCTCGTCTTCATGGTGATTCTGAGCATGGAAAGGCCCTTGCACTTGGCAGCATGACAAGGACTAAGCCACTCGCTCCATTAATTGACTGCCATCCACTGGGCTAAGTGAGATCCTTGCGTTCTATCCCTAGTGAGAGAAGAGAGAGGAAGAAGAAGAAAAATAGAAAGATAATAAGAAAATAGAAAAAGAAATGAATAAATGTACATTGTGGGGAGCAGGAAAGGACTACCAGTAATGGGAGGCATCAGCTAGGAGCACAGATCCGAAGCATGACTCACTGTGTGTCCTAGGACACTGGATGAATCTATCTGGTTCTCAGCTTCCTCACCTATAAAATGGAGATAACAACAGTGTCTCGATCATAGGGTTTTCATGAGAGTTCAATGAGGCAAGGCATACATGTAACTGAACACAGCTCCGACTGCTCACCAGTTGCAAAGTCCAGTGAACAAGAACGACGTCTGGTAGAAAGAAAGTGGCTTTATTCCAGAGCTAGTTGAGGGGAAGTAGTACAGGCTGCCTTGAGGAAGCCACTAAAGCCTTTGGGGCAGAAGGCAGGAGCTTTGAAAGTGGGGCTTGGCGTGAATGGCATGCAGGGGAGAGGGCGATGAAGTGCAGAGTCTATGTGACTTGCTTCGGATGTCTTATCTATCAGGTGGTCTGGCTGGCACCGTCACGGGCAGAGCTAGGTTGTAAGTTGAGGCAATCTCAATTTGCCTCCTGGTAGGAGAGAGTTCTGGAGGTTCCTGGTTTGCTTTAAGGTTCGGTCTCTGTAACTTCTAAGTAAACATGTAGTTAGATAAGCTTGCTGTGTAGGGAGTGTCTGGTGGAGAGAAGGTAAAGTTTATAATTGCATTCCCAAAGAGCTAAGTAGGAGGTGTGAGGAAAGGAAAAAGGAAAAAATAATTCATTTGATTCTTTAAAAAAGAGGTACTTGGTTATATATAGACTGTTTTATTCTTTTTCTTCAACTCCAAATAGTCAATTTATCAGCAAATCCTGTTGACTCCGCCTCAGAAACACATTCCCAAACCTTTAATTTTTTTTCTCTGACATGCTTAAGATAATCTCTATCATCTTAAACCTGGGATATTGCATTAGTGTCCTGTCTCCCTGCTTTCACCTTTTTTCTCCTATAAACATTCTCCACCCAGCAGCCAGAGTGATCTGATGATGAAAATGTGAATTACACCATGGTGCCCCTGCTTATCACCTTCATACTGCTTGTTCTTGGGTTGGGTCCAGAGTAGGTACTTAATACATGGTAATGCTTATTACATTATTATTTGCTCTGGTATCTAGGAATAAGATATATTAGGCCAAGGAAGAAAATCTGTCTGCTGAGTGAAAGACACACTCTCCTGGCACATTTCCTGGCCCAGGGCTCATACATGCAGCAACCAACATAGGCTTATTGATGGAAGCACATATAGGTACATAGAAACATGGTACGTGTATTGTTTTCACAAGAAGATGCTCTATCTTTATTACATGCTGCCAGAGGAGAACAATCACTCTCTCTCCCTTGTGAATAAAAAAATATGAAAGTGAGTCAAGTAGGAAATGTGAGGCTGCATGGTCATTTGTGAAATTGTATAATTAAGCACCTCAATTAATCCTCAAAACACCTCTATGAATTAGGTATGATTGTTATCTCCATTTAAAAAATTATTAAACCAAGGCAAAATGAGAATAAACTGCTCACCAGATTAGCCAGCTAGCAAGTAGTGAGTGAAGCCATGATTCAGATACCTAGTCTGGTTCTAGGGTCACTGCTCACATAAATCTGTTACATCAGGCCGTGATTTGTGGCTATTTTTGCTTAGGATGAGGGTTCCATTAGGTACTTAAGGTTTTCAAGAGTGAATCAAAAATTAAAAATTAAATTATATTTAAAGTAAAACATTTAAGTAAGTACTAGCTTTTCTGGTGCCCACATAGGGCAACAACACTCACCTAAGATGCCTATGAGTGACTGAAGGTGAGAAAACACCGGGGTACACTGTGGAAATCTGAGATGTGGAAGAAATCAAGCTGTCACAGACGTCCCAGCTAGTCTACTGCACTCCATGATTAAAACTCTTACATGTCTCTCATGCAGCATTTGATCCAAGGCTGAAAATTGATCATGAACTGATTAGTTAAGAGAAGGAGAGGGGGCCAGACTCCAACAAAAGTCAGATTTTGGTTGAAGTCAGAGAGAGGTTGTGAGATTGCCATCCCTTGACATCTTTTTAAAAGTGAATTGTTTAATCACTTTTTTTTAAGCTGATTTCTTAGCCATCTTGCAGAAATATGAGGCAGGGGCACTTATCCATTAGGTACAGTAGGTAAGGTAACTAAGCCCAATGACACCCTTAGCAGCCCATGAAAATGGTTTAGTTTCTTTCATAAAATGGTGCTGAAGATAATGATAGTTGCAAAGGAAAAAATACGGTAGACCAATATCATAGTATGTTACCAAGCATAGGGCCTATTATTGGAAGCTATTTCCAGTGCTCAGGATATTAACATCTCCTGGAGCGTCTGCAAAACACATCTTGAAGGCAGAACCATAGTCCTCAATTTGGCCTGCCTCTTTTATTTGACAATAAAGTTTTATTTATTTCTGAGCATAAGATTGGGATTTTATTTCTAGAAAAAGGGAGAAAAGGTGGAAGGAGGAGGAGGCAGGGAAAAGGTGGAAACTTGCCCAGGCCCATAGCAGGAGCCCAACACAGGGAACACTTAAGCTTGTGTAGAGTACTTGTAACCAGAAGCCCGGAGGTGGAGCACAGCAGAGGATGCAATGTGCCACTGTCGCGGCCAGAGCCCATGCAGTGTAAACATTAACATTCTTGGATGCACTAAGCACTGGGCTGCGGTCTACACTTGCATTCTGAGGTGGTGGAGTCATGGCCAAAATTTTGGAGTACTTGGACTTTTCTCAAGAAGCGTTGCACTTCTTGTCCGGACCGGGGATTACCGCAGATCGCAGCCCAGAGTCTGCGGAGGCGCACCGTTTCATCAACAGCAGGGACTGAAACTTCAGCCCAGGAGAAGCCAAGATGGCACCGTTATCGCACCCTGGGAATCGAGGACCGGGAAGAACTTAATGGTCAGTGCCTGGATGGTGACAGGTGCTCCAGTGAACTCAGGCAAACTACCTTTTCCTGCGACAGCCGATTATCTTTGTGCAGCTTTCAGTTTGCGGCCCCTAACCTCCTCCAGCCCATAAACTCAGGCCTCCAGTGTTCTGATCTTTCTCTTTGCCTTTCCGCCTTTCCAGATGCGATTCCTCCCGTGATCTCAGTGATTGTATCAGGCGAAAACGAGGAGGGCAAAATACCGTCCAGATGTAAACTAGGAGCAGCCGCACCAGCAGCACCAGCAGAATGCCGTGGTAGTGCGGCAGGCCCTGGCCCCATGGACAAAGAGAAACTCGTCAGTGGCAGTGGCCACGAACTCAGAAAGCCTGAGGACAGTCAGCAGCTCCTCTGGCTCTTCACTTTCACACTGGTGCAACTACAGGAGCTGAAGAACATTTTTCAACTCGTTCCATACCCGGACGTGTTAGGTAAGTGGCATGCTTAGGCGGCACCGACTTTTCACGGAGCAGGGGCTGGGCTCAGGGCTTATTCTCTTTCCCCAGGCCCCTTCCAAACCTTTCTGAGCCAAAAGCTACCTAGGGGTTTCAAGGCTGCTGGGGCCTGTTTGCCCTTGGGCTTCAGGGTGGAGGCAATGCCTCCTGGACACCAAGGTAAATATTTTCAAGCAACATTTAAATGAATCAAGTGGGGAAACTTTGGCCTGATAACTAGGTTTGTATAAATAGAATTTGATTGGAACAAGAACCATGATCAGGGTGAGGAGAGTAAGGCATGGTCGTGCAAGTGGATGGGCAAATTCTGGTTTTATGTAAATATTTGATAATTTGCTCATAATATTTTTGATTTTTCAGAGTAGTGCAAAAAGTGTTATTTTTCTGGAATCCTGAGTTTTTTTGTGCCCCCTTACATTCACTATGGGGGAAAATCATTCCTAAAGAAAGCCTCAATCTGGATATTACAAAATAGTGTACTCGGGGAGAGGTGTTGGGAGGTAAGTATTTAAAAGCAAGCTTGAAATGAACAACATAAATTTTGTTTCATCCACAACTCTAAATACTGAATCTTTGTGGTTTTCTCTCACCAGAAAGGGACTTGTAAGATGCATGAGCATGACTGAAACCAGTGTGCAGGTCACTATACCTGAAAAAACTTATTTGGCAGGGCAGCCATTCTACAATCTGCTTCAAGAGGTAGATACCATTGCCCTAGATATTCTGAAGTTGGTGTGTTTTTGTTGCCTTTTCCAGGTTTGCGAAATAAGTTCAAACTGTGAGTTTTTGCGAATAGAAAATGGGATAAGAAAACCTCAGCTTAGGGAAATTTCCCATTATCAGAGCATACACGATTTCAAAAAAGGCCAAAGAAAGTAGAACCAAACTACTTTTCTAGTTCCTATATATTAATACAATTAAATATGTATGTGAATAATATCAGTATGAAGTATCTAAATATGTTATATTGTATATAAATATAAATAAATAATATGCAGTATATGTGTTTGTATGTATGTGTGTATATATATACACACAAATACATATGTGTATATATATTAGGGAGGACATCTATGTGAAGATTATCGATAAGATGGGAATAAAAGCATTGTCTATGCCATAGAATTGAGAAGAGGAATAAATGACAATATATGTAAGTACCTAGCACAATACCTAGTCACAGAGTAAGACCTCAGAAATATTTGTTACTATTACTCTGTAATATATCCTCTCACCACAGTATAACCCATGGAATATGTGACATAACAGAATAAGCCTGGTTAGGAGTCACACATTTGGTTCTTTTGGAGATACACACTGAAATATTTACTGATGAAATGATGTGACGTCTAGATGTGCATCACAAAAATCCAGGGGGAGATCCAAGTGTGTTTGAGAATTGGTTAGGGTATTCATGAAACAAGGTTGTCTATGATAATTGTTGAAACTGGATAATGGGTACAAATAGGGTTCATCTTTACCATTCTCTCTGCTTTTGTATATGTCTGACAGTTTGCATAATAGAAAAATTGTAATAATCAGAGTTGTAAATTCAAATGTTGACAAGGCCAGACAGGTAACATAAAAGAGAGAAGCAAGCAGGGTAGGGACTGTGGCAAACTGGGAAAGAATATGTCTCTTCCAAAGGGGCAGCCAGTATTCAGCTCCAGCTTAGTGTTGCTGGCTGGCAATGTTGGGCCAGGACTGCCAGATTTTTCAGTTTTTCAAGATTGGCCACAAATTATAATGTTGATATGAAACCTTCAGTTCTTTAAATGTTGGTAACTAACTGAAATATGTTTTATTGAAAAGTATGCTGGCCATCTAAATCAGGTCTGCAGAACAGACTCAGGCTGGAGCTGCTAGTTTGTAAACTCTGCCTGAGAAGCCAATTTTAAGCAATTTTCATTCTCTGGAGCAGTAGAATATAATTGACAGCGTTTCTAAAGCCAACAATCCAAGAATGCCATTGTGCTGTCCTGCTGTTCCTTATTGTAAGTCCCGTGCCCATATATGCTTTGCTCTCTGCCTTCCATCCCTACCTGAAGTTTCTCTAACTTTATCTTTCATTCTCTTTACTTGGTTCTGATCTTAAGGTTCAGAGCACTGATGACCAAGACTTCACAAGTGTCCAAGAGAGGAGACCTCACAGTAATGAATTAGGCACCAGCTCACCTGATCTTTCTCTCTGGTACATTTTGCAGCTGTTCTTAACAATATGCAGGTCCTTTGGACAGTTTTCAGAAATATTATGCCTCAAGGGGCAAGGCACCAGGCTGGAAGGGCAGGGCACCCTTGAGAAGAAAAAGGGAATTTTATAAAACTAGTATCAATTTGTGATCAAGTAGAACTTCCTGAAGTTCAGCAGTTCTTTCAATCTCCCTTTTTTTCTTTTTCTTCTCTTATATTGAAGTAAAATTTAAAATTTAATACTTTTTATTTTTTAAAAGCATGTATGGCATCATTTCAGTCTTATTAAATTCTCTCTGCATCCATTCACCCATCCTTCTTTTTGTGTGTGTGTGTAGTGGTCTCTGTGAGAGGGTTCATTAATGTCAATCCTGATCATTTCTTCCTCAAGAGATGTCAGTAGATTTGTTTTTTTTTGCTTTGGACTTTTATGAATTGATTGAATTTTTATGCCAATTATTTTTAAAGTATTACATAGAAGAACAAATGGACAGAAAAATTTAAATGCAATCAAATCTTGTTGATTTTGAAGTATAGGAAATAATCTTTTTTTTATTATACTTTAAGTTTTAGGGTACATGTGCACAATGTGCAGGTTTGTTACATATGTATACGTGTGCCATGTTGGTGTGCTGCACCCATTAACTCGTCATTTAACTTAGGTATACCTCCTAATGCTATCCCTCCCCCCTCCCCCCACCCCACAACAGGCCCCAGTGTGTGATGTTCCCCTTCTGCATTGTCAGGTAAACTGCAGGACACTCACTTGTATTTGAATTTCAAATAAGCAACAAATATTTTTGTATAAAGTATGTCCCAAATATTGCATGAGACACAGTTATCTAAAAATATTTGTTGTTTATCAGTAGTTTGACTCAGCACTCCGTATTTTTATTGCAACTCTCATATAAACATGTCATTTTCATAGGAAATGCTTTAAATACTTTGTCCTTTTTTTCTCATCCATTCATCCCATTTATATTTTTCTTTTAATTTAGGAGATTAAGGAAAACATTAGGTACTTTGATTTGAGCCATCCCTATAATTATACACATGCATATGTTATATACACTCATATATATATTATCTATATACAGATATATGTGACAGTGTGCTCTATATAATACCTGATGTAAACACACACGAAACACAAACTGAACTGACTGTATTGTTGAAACAGCTGCTCAGTGAAATACGTCTTGTGACCTGTGGTCCTTCTGAAACCGACCCAACAGTTCTATAGACCAGTGGTCCCCAGCCTTATCAGCACCAGGGACTGGTTTCGTGGAAGACAATTTTTCCATGGACTTGGTGGGCGGGGCAATGGTTTTGGGATGAAACTGTTCCACCTCAGATCGTCAGGCATTAGTTAGATTCTCATAAGGAGCACGCAACCTAGATCCCTTGCATGTGCAGTTTACAGTAGGGTTCGCGCTCCTATGACAATAAAACGCCACCGCTGATCCAACAGGAGGCAGAGCTCAGGCGGTAGTGCTCGTTCACCTACCACTCACCTCCTGCTGTGCAGCCCATTTACTAACAGGCAACAGACCAGTACTGCTCTGTGGCCCAGGGGTTGGGGAACCCTGCCAAGGACTGTTCATTTTGATAAAAATAGAAATGGACCCTTCTGGTGTTAAAGTTTGAACCTTACATTTGTTTTATCTGAGTTCCTTCCTCAGGAAGCAACCTTCAGGCCTCTCAAAAAAAAGGGATCAAAGAACTGAAACTCACCAGATCACTACATCCAGACAGTGAGATGCTAGACCCCTCTTTCATCTTGATTGCTTCCTTGCCCCTCCCTAGTTCCTGTTTTCTTATACATTGTTAAATTTCTTCCCTGCTATATAAACCCGTAGTTTTAGTGGGTTCGGGGGATGGATTTGAGACTGAGCTTCCATCTCAGCTGCAGCATCCGATTATAGCCTTTTTCCTTGGCAATACTCACTGTCTCTGTGATTGGCTTTCTGTGCAGTGAGCAGCAGGACTTAGACGGTAGCCTTGGTGTTTTGGTAACACTTCCTTCAGTCGTTTCGGAATGAGGCAGAGAAAGGACAAGGTCTCCTGTTTAGCTTAGACTTGAATGTCATGTGGAACTGGAAGGAGACAGGGACCCAGTTGCCCTACTGGCTTTTTTCTTTATCCCCTTATCCCACAGCAGCAGTGAGGTATCTGGGAGTCCTTGGGCTCTGGAGGAAATGTCAAAGTTGTTGGAAAAGCCCCAAGCCCAGCAAATCTGCCCACTCCCTGCAGGACTGCTGCTTTCACTTTCACTCTTGCCCATGGCCTAGGGACTGGAATGGCCTCAGCCATCAGCTGGGTGGCCTCTGCCAAGGCTCTTGAAACCAGTCCTACCGCTCACACTAGTGGTCGTGCTTTCTAGGGTGGCCCTCTGCCCCACATGGCATCCCCTTAGCTTCTGTCTTCTGGTCCGCCAATTATGGCAGCTACCCACACCCCTATGGGTATGACAAGCTGTGGCCTAGCCTCCTCAATAAGGAGAGGGAGGAGAGCCTGTGGCAGAAGTGAGTGAGCTCACCTGCCTGCAGAGTCCCTGACATCTTACTTCTGTCTATTCACATTTCCTCTCTGCCTGCCTTGTGTTTTCACCCTTTCAATCCATCTAGCTGATGGATCCCTTATGCATCCTACCTACTCCCTTACATTCTTACTCTTCATCACGTCCCTTCATAAGTTGCCCTGGTCTCCTTCTTCTCCCTTTCACCTTCTGCTGGAGCACACATGGCCAAACACCTCATACTCACTGGAATTTCCTTGTCTTGTGTTATCATTAAAGAAAATTATATATAATATATATGTTATATATTATATATGTTAATATATTAATATATATTGTATATAATATATATATTATGTAATAAAAATTGTATTTTTTAGTGATGAAGTCTCGCTACCTTGCCCAAGCTGGTCTGGAACTCCTGGCCTCAAGCGATCTTCTCACCTCAGCCTCCCAAGTAGCTGGGATTAGAGAGCATGTTTTTATTCCCCACTACACTGAGCTCCTGGAAGGAAGGACCTCTGTTTTATTCATCCCAGAATTCTAGTGCTGACAAAGATTCTCTTATTGACCGAATTTTACTCAGGTTCCCTTGAGCTCTTTTTCAACTAGGCCTGGAGTTTTGGATTTCTGAGTTTGTCTCTGCATTGTCCGATTTCAGCAAGGAAATTGCTAAGTCCTGCTAAGTCTATTTAGTCATCCCCCATATCCAAGCACTCTCAATATCTAATCTGGTTCCTCATCCTCCACCATCTCCCAGGTGATGTTTGATCGCCCTGGTGCCTTCAGCAAAAATAATGTTAGGTCGGTTTGGCCCAAATCTTCCATTATGCCTGATGTTTCCTCTTAGTTAATTTCCATCCATTGACTCCCACCTTGTTCCTTGGCTCTAAATTCCCACTTGCCCACATTGTATTTTAGCTGATCTCAATCTATCTCCCCCATTGCAAGATGCCATTGCAGTGATTCCTATACTTATCTTGATATTTCCCCCTTGAACACAGTCTTTCTCACCATCTTTAACAAGTGTCATTTAAAAAAATTGAACAGTAATGATGCTGTGACTTTTATAGGATCAGATTCATCATTGGACTCCTGGACCTATCACTGCGGACCTCAAATGTGCACCTTTTAAGCCCTTTCCTTCACTCCTGACTGATTGATTTGGGATCCACTGCTAAGTCAGACTTTTGAACCATTGTTCCAGGCAAACTTCTGTTAAAGCTGGTAAGGATTGATTTGATTCTTAAGATTCTGAGTATACTCTCTGAAGCAGGTTAGAGTTCCAGGCTTGTTTTGAAAGGTATCTCCTAGGCTGGATGGTTTCCTTCCTGGATCTCTGTCTTGAGTGGGGATTATTCTCTGGCTCCCTGGGCTGAAAGCTTTTCTTTCTGGCTTTCTATTTTGAGTGGGAATTATTCATTGATTCTTTGGGCTGGAAAATTTTTTTTTTGAGACAGGGTCTTCCTTTGTTGCCCAGGCTGGAGCGCAGTGGTGTGATCATGGCTCACTGCAGCCTCAACCTCCCAGGCTCAAGCAATCCTCCCACCTCAGCACCCCTGAGTAGCTGGGAGTACAGGCACACGCCACTGTGCCCGGCTAATTTTAATCTTTTTTTTTTTTTTTTTTTTTGTAGAGACAGAGTCTCACTATGTTGCCCAGGCTGGAAATTTTTTCCTTGTTACTTTGTGAGGCCTCTCTGTTCTATTTGATCCTGTTTTTCCCACAGGAACTTCTGAGTCAACTGAAACACCATTCTTGAATTCCTACTGACTATATGCTCCACCTACACTGTCCAACTCCTTCTTGTTGACATGGTTTTGCTGAGGATAATTTGGAACTTCACTGGTCTTTTTGGGAAACTTATCATCTCCCCAAACTGGTGTCTCTAAGACTTCTCTCTTCCCACTGGTTTCTCTCCTCCTTCCTCCTCTTACTGTAACCAAACGCAGGCTAAGCTGCTCATTGCTTGCAAAATTGAATAACAAGGACGAGGGTGGTAAAAAGAAAGTGACTTTTATTCCAGAGCTTAGCAGTGGGGAAACAGAACAGGCTCCTGCCTTAAGGGAACTGATTTAACTTTCAGGGAAGAAAGCAAGGGCTTAAAAAGGGAAAGTTGGTGTGAAGGGCAAGGAGGTGCGGGGTCTACGTGACTCGCTTGGATGACTTATATTGAGTGATGCCATCTGATGGTCTGGTCTGCACCATCATGGATAGAATTGGATTGTGAATTAATTGTTGTCTTGAGACAATCTCCTGGTGGGGAATTCCAGAGAGTGCCTGTTTTGTTTTGAGATTTGGTCCCTGATACTTCTAAGCAAACATATATTTAGATAAGCTTTCAGTCTAGGTGTTACTGGTGGAGGGTGTCCAGGTTCTTGGCGTTTTGAACAAAGAATTGGACAAAATGCACAAAAAAAGCAAGTAAAGAGTGAAGCAACAAAAGCAGAGATTTACTGAAATCGAAAGTACACTCCACAGGGTGGCAGCAGGCCTGAGCAGCGGCTCAAGGGCCCAGATACAGAATCTTCTTGGGTCCAAATACCCCCTAGAGGTTTCCCATTGGCCACTTGGTGCTTACCTCACGTAAATGAAGTGGTGGCCTGCAATCAGTCTGAATGGTTGCGGAAAGCAACCAATCAGAGGCTGAAGTGAACTTACAAAGGTCACATTCCTATGCAAACATCTGGTGGTTGCAGAAAGCAACCAATCAGAGGCTGAAGTGAACTTACAAAGGTCACATTCCTATGCAAACATCTGGTGGTTGCAGAAAGCAACCAATCAGAGGCTAAAGTGAAGTCAAAAAGTTGTACTTCTATGCAAACGGTGACCTGGCTGGCAATCAATCAGATTGAGCTGAACTAAAGTTATAAAGTTACACTCCTATATAAAGGTCTGATTGGTTGCCAAAATCAGCCAATCAGAGGTACTTTCAATTTCCCATCTGCAGCAAAGGAAAGGTGGGGGTTTGCAAAGGGAGTAGCCTCTGGTCCTTTTGTTACTTAGGTGTGGAAAGTTAGGGCTTTCCTTTCAATTTAGTTCTAGGAAGTTAGTGTGAAACAGCTTTAGGTTCCCTGCCTCCAGACCCTATTCTCCTGCTTCACAGGGAGTGTCTGTTGGAAAGAAGGTAAAGTTTATAATTGTATTCCTAAAGAGTAAAGTAAGAGGTGAGGGAAAAAGAAAAAAAGGTAAAAATAATTCTTTTTAAGAAAATGAGGTACTTGGTTACGACTCCCCACTGTCAAATTCCATTCCATTTTCATGGGATTTGGGCATTGTTTTTATTCTGGCTACTTACTGCTGAAAGTGGGAGGAGTTATAGGGTACCAGAATGGAACTGATCCATTGGAGTTGGAAATATTCACAAGTACTGGGGTTCACAGACAATGTTTGCTGGAGCATTATGGTGCGAGGCCAGGAAAGTCTCTTGGGAAAGCCTGTCTTGCATTTCCATACAGAAGTTGCAACAGCAGTAAAATCCACAGCAAAGAAATATGCCTATCCCTGCAACCAGGGCCAAAGTTATAAGCAGCTTTTGCCACCAGGACGGTCCTGACCTGAACCAGGTTGCTAACCACTGAGCTAGCGACAATGTGGGGTCAGACATAGTTTTGATTTGTTGGTTCATGTCTTGCAGGGCTAACAAGACATTTTCTGAATTATCTGAGATAATATTTAGCATTCAGTCTTAATTACTTAATTATCATGCACAGTCCCCACTATCAATTGTGTCCAGAGTTCTTGTGGGGATATGATGACAGGTGGACTCAATACACAAATTTAACAGTTTTTTTTTAGTTTATATTTCCCACATCTTTTGGTTAAGACATACAGGAGAGGTCATAAATGTTTATGAAGGCAGTCTTGACACATGTGTATGGAACAAATATGTATGTAACATATGACTCATGTTTATTTTTGTGTGGGGACTTAACATATAATGTATTATAATTAGGCCCTAGACATCAAAAGGTCTTTTTAGGACATAAAGGCATGCAAATGTGTACTTTTTGTAAACTAGCCAGAATTAGCCTATGGTCAGTGGTCTTGTTTATAGTTTGGTATCTTATTGTTACAAAGAATCTGTCTTATCAGTCTTATGATCTCCATTTTAATGTTAATGCTTGTCAGTTTTGCCTAAATTCCAGAAAGGGTGGGGATGGTGTAGTGAGGCATGCCTGATGCCCTGCTGTCTGTCATGGCCTGAAACTTTTTCTTTTAGGTTTCTTTGGGATTCCCTTCGGGCAAGAAGGGAGTCCATTTAGTTGGTTGGGGTTTAGGATTTTATTTTTTTTAGTTTATATTCCCCACTGCTTTTGGTTAAGACATACCAGAGGCAGCATTGATGGCTAAACTTTAATTTTGTCCCGTGTTGTTGCCAGGGTGGTGTGTGTCCATTATGTCCCTTGGTAGGACCCCTATGGCCAAGGGACGACCCCTATGGCCAAGGGATTAGAGCCAAAAGATTTATAGGCAATTAAACATTCTAGGCCCGATGGGAATGGAGGTAAGCAGGCACCCATTAACCTTTAAAATCACTTTCAAGTAACATAAGAGCATACATTTTATGCATTGAGCTATTCTAATTTTGGCTTGTAGCAATTAGGTATATAAAACACAAGCATTTTGTTTAGTGGCTTAGGCATCTGTGTGCCCGTCCTCAATTTGGAGGGTCTGAATTGGTTTTATACCTCAAAACTAGCCCTTATAATCTCATATGCCCACCGCTTGCACAATAGTCCCTGGGTTTGGAACGACTGAATAGTTTTACGCTCTGGAGGCAAAACAAAGATAAAGAATTAGCAGTGTTACAAACAAAAAAGTTAAAAGCCCTGTCTAGTTTTGAGAAGGGTAAGTTTATAGGTAGCTAAACATTTAAATCATTTAGTATTAAGGCATAGAATAAATTATATTATTCCAGATAGAGGCAAAATTATTAAATGAATCTTAATGTTTCTGAGGACAGACCTTTCCCTGTGTCTCATGAAAGCAGTTTATTTTGATTGTTGCCTTTGCCTGAGTCTAAAGAGAAGACTTTGGTTAACTTGAGTCTGGTGTCAGATACTGGCAGGAGTCAGTGTCTTCTTTAGATGAGATATGTGTATCCAGGAGTCAAAGCCCTATAACTTAACAACACAAAGATTAGTTAATAGAGATGCAAGATATTTTCTTGACCCCTTCATTGGATTTGCAACAGGGGTGCCCCATTTACTCAGCCCACCCCACTCAACCCCTCGTAGGAGGGAATGTGTGAGTGAATGAGTGCAGGAGCCGGAATAAGCAAGTGCAGGAACTGGCTGGCTGCTTTGGTGCCAGCAGGAGCAAACTTTGTGCAGGCCCTGTGGCATTGTCCAGGTGGGGGTGCCTCCAACCCCAAGGCCCCAGAAGGCATGTTATGATGCTGTCTTAGCTCCACCATCCTCAGACAGCAGTGTGTTATTAGTTCAGTGGGCCTTTTGCCTCATCACATGGGGCAGCTTCCCTCTGCCAGTGAGGGTAAAGGGCCAGTGTGACAACCTTTTTGGCTACCTGCACTTGGTGAGTCCCAAATTCTTGTCCAGTGCCAAAGAGGAATGAGGTCATGCAGATGAATTGAAAGATGGTGAATGTAGAGAATTTTATTGACTGATGAAAGTGGCTTTCAGTGGAGAGGGGAGCTGGAAAGGCGACAGTAAGGGCAGGTCGTTCTACCCTGAAATCAAGCTGCCTCTCTGCCTCTCTCTTCCAAAGTCAAGTTGCCTCTTTCCGATGTCCACCCACTGTCTCTGAAGTCAAGTCATCTCTCCCTGACATCCAGCCGCTTCTCCTCTCTATCGGCTGAATCTGGGGTCTTTATAGACACAGGATGGGAGGCAGAATGGGCCTAGGTAGTTTTGGAAAAGGCAATATTCGATTGGGAAAAATACATTATTCAGGAAGAACCAATTGGGAGAGAGTGGGCACACAGGAATAGAAGTTCTCACTTTGGGCTGTGTGTTTCAGGCTTTTTGGCTCAAAGGTGGGGTTTTACCATGGACCCCTCCCATCTGCCTAGAATTTCTCTGCCTCCTGTCGCTATCAATAGCACCTGATGAGGACTTCTAAGGGGTTGGAGGTGGTAATACTGGAGTTTATGACCTGATTGGAAGCTGTAAAAAGATTTTATAACCTTATAGTTATATATATAACTTTGATATATATATCAATTTGATATATATATCAAATTTTTATAACTTTGATAAACCTCAGCAGTAAGTTTGAGACTTAATTTAGGATTTGATTTTGAGGACATCTGTCAAAGAGGCTAAAAGGCTTAAAATTGATCAAAACAGAACCATAGGTCCTTGTAAAACAAAAGTTGCTAATGTATCCAAGATGATAACTAAGAGATTTTAAAGGCAAGGTGGAAGGTTACATGTATATAAAAACTTAAATCCTTTTAAATCTCAGTTTTTTAATTAATCAAAAACTTAATAAACTTTATTAAGACAACATAGGAACTATCTTGATAAAATGTAAAATCTTGTTTCTTAAGCCAGTTATCAAAAAGGCAAAAAAACCCCACCCCTTCTTTAGTGTGACTGTATTTTTAAATTAGAAAGCCCATTTAGATAATCTGAAAGTCAAACTAGATGAAAAAAGTACTTAACTTTAATCGTACACGGGAAGACTGTGTTTAAGGTAATGAGTATAGCCAGGGAATACATGACTCTGACTAAATGCATGAGAAATTTTCAGATTACATTGAAAATTTGGACATATTAAGGAAAGACAAGAGTGCAGAGTCAAGTTATCCTAGAGGAAAACATTACTTTTCTAGACCTTTAAGAGCAAACATTTTAGCATTAGGCCACAACAGCAGTTAGAACTGGAAGAAAAATGTTATAGGAGTTGATAAAAAAGCTAAAGGAGAGAGTTGTTACCTTGGGCCCTCTCAAGGGGAAAAAAAGCTGAATGTAGTGAGATACATCAAAAGTTGAACTTCTGAGATATGATTCCAAGAAGTTTTTAAAAGAAATAGGCTATAGAATTAAAATTAATAATCTTTTGCAATTTTATTTTTTTAAATTCTGAGTCCTTTTCCCTTTTCTACCTTTTGTAATTTTATTAAGAGTAAATCAATACCTTAAGAAAACTTTGTTTTACCATAGGTGACCAATCTTTAGAAAGACTATTATAAATAATTCCTTTTTAATTATAGCCCAACTTAATTATATATAAAATTTCTTTCATAAATTCCTCTTCACAAACTTTATCATGACTTACATAGATTATCTATAACATGCTTGGACTATTTGACTTGTCCTAAATTTTTCTCTTTTCTAAATAACCAGTCACTTTATTTTAGGATGAAGATCTTATTTCATATAAAAATTATTTTATTTTCTTTATACCATTTTTAAATTAAAGATATATTTTTATATCCATAACTTTTTCATACCTGTCTCCTATTTATTGCCTTTTTCTTTTTTAAAAAAATAACTAAAAAAACCCTCTACATTATATAAAATTATTTTTAAACTAGGAATATAACTTATATAATACTTATTAACTAGAATTCTTATTCTTAGCGACCGTAAATTTTAGTGAAAACCTAGGAAGCAAGAAATTATGAACAATTTAACAGATAATAGTATTTTATAGAGGAAACCATTCCATAATTTTATTTTAATTAATTAACTAACTAATTAATTAATTTTTTGAGACATGGATTCACTCTATTGCCCAGGCTGGAGGGCAGTGGTGTGATCTTGGTTCACTGCAACCTCCATTTCCCAGGCTCAAGCAATTCTCGTGCCTCAGCCTCCCAGGTAGTTGGGATTACAGTCATGTACTACCATGCCCGGCTAATTTTTTATTTTCTGTAGAGGTGGGTGTTTGTCATGTTGGCTAGGCTGGTCTTGAACTCCTGGCCTCAAGTAATCTGCCCATCTTGACCTCCCAGAGTGCTAGGATTACAGGTGTAAGCCATTGTGCCCGGCCTCCATGATTTTAGAAACACGTTTTTCTTTACTTAATTTTTTCTTAATTAGAAATGGCCCAGACATCCAACAAGCAATTATTACTTAATTTAAAAATTTCAGGATTTTAAAATATATGAAAACTCTATTTACAAGCATTTATTTTTTATTTATTTGAGATGGAGTCTTACTCTGTCACCCAGGCTGGAGTGCAGTGGAGTGATCTCAGCTCACTGCAACCTCCATCTTCCAGGTTCCAGTGATTCTCCTGCCTCAGCCTCCCAAGTAGCTAGGACTACAGGCATGCACCACCATGCCTGGCTAATTTTTTTTGTATTTTTAGTAGAGATGGGGTTTCACCATGTTGGTCAGGCTGGTCTCAAACACCTGGCCTCAAGTGATCAGCCTACCTTGGCCTCCCAAAGTGCTGGGATTACAGGTGTGAGCCACTGCACCTGGCCTGCAAGCATTTATTTTATTTACATGTTTAAATTTTAAACTTTTGACAGTTTATCTAGATTACTTATGAAAACTGAGATATTACACAAAGGTAATCATTATTTAGAGTTAGTTCCCTGTTAACCATTTTTAAAGTCTGTACACATTAGGTGTTTATTTAAGTAAGAACCTTAAAGTTAAACATATGGGCATTTTGTTGATAATTTAGAAGATTTAATTTTTTATTAAACTAACAATATTATATTAGTCTTATTTATTAAAAAAATCACACAAAGATTTTTTTTTGGTGGGTTTATAGGCTTATGACATTTATGTTAAAGCCTAATACTTTTATTTATAGACAGTGACAAATATAAACCATTTGGTCAATAAACTCAGACAAAAATGTGTGCTGACAATTCTGAAGGTATTTCTATTTTTATTTCACCAATAATCTTAAGATCAGTTTTATTTATCAAAGATTACTAAATTCATGTGAACTTAAAAAGCATTTTTTGTAGAGGTGGGTGTTTGTCATGTTGGCTAGGCTGGTCTTGAACTCCTGGCCTCAAGTAATCTGCCCATCTTGGCAGATTGTACTCATTTACTTATAATCCTTTTGGTAGCATGCTAGATACAATATATAATACATGTACATACACATGAACAGATCTAAACATGTATACGCACACAAACAAAGGTCCCAATAGCTTTTACCTCAGAATTCTAGCCATCAGATAACAATACAAACTCACAACTTTATGAAAGATAGCTGGATCCACATTATTCTTTGATTACATTGGAAGCTGTTTATATGGCTAAATTTTGATTGCCCCCAATATATAATCCAATGAAAGCTGTGAACCAAAATTTGGGTAAAGCAGTCTCTGTGGCAGTTTGAAAAATATATATATATATATATATATATATATATAACCTCTTCTATCTTTTTTTTTTCAGTTTCAGATGAGTTTCCAATGTTTATATTCTAGTTGGACCACAAATAACGAGTCTCATCTCAGCACCCGAAGGTTAGTAATAGATTTCAAGCAGGCAGAATAGAAATTAGAGGAAGATGGAGAGCTTTAAAACACTCTGCTTAACTTTCTAGTTGCAGGTTACCACTCGAGCTCTGAATTTTTCTTGCTGTAATTTTCTCATCATTTAAAAATGTGCACAAAAATACGTCATAATATGTAACCAGCTGTAATTCCAAAGAGAATTAAAATATGAAGTTCCTGGCAGGCTTCTGTGAAGGAGCTGGGTTTTAAAGGAGAGAAAGAGAAAGAGAAGGAAAGAGAAGGAGGTTTGTGACCCTTCCAGCCCCTGCATGGTGTGGGTTTGGTACCCCCACCACTCTCATTTACCTCCTGTCAGGGAGAGCCCAAGTACCCTAGACCTGCACAATGTAGGATGAATCCCTCCCCACTCCGCAAGTCACTGGTTGAAGTGAACTGTTTCCAGCTGGAGGGAGCTAAAGATACATTTGCCTGAGAGAAGTAACGATGTAGGTGGCTTTGCAAGATAAATCAGGAAGATGAAGTCGTAAGTGAAAAGGAAAGGATGAAATCAGGATCCACACACAAAGGTCAAACACTCACACTTACAAACAAATGGTGCACTTCTGAACAAAACCCTGGTTAAGGGGCTAGGTAAAATCCTGAATGCCTTACCTCAGTTCCAAACAGCTCCACAGGCAGCTAAGTCCAAATGGTGCCAAAGCCCCAATGGTGCCACATATACAAATGTGTTAAACGCCAAAATGGTGCCACCGGCAGCCAAGTCTAAACAGAGCAGATCCCCAGCAACACTGTAGAAGACACAGAGGAAAGTCGAGTCCACTCCAAGTCACTCACCCAGTTTCAAAGGTTGCCAAATTTCTTCAGAGGTCACATTCTTTATACCAGCAAGGCATTGAAGGCAGCAGACATCATGCAGGAAAGAGAAAGGGAGGTTACCTGAAAAGAAAGCATTTCGGCAGCTTCTGGGAAATACCCTAATGTTCTTACAACAAGCAGTTGTAAGAACTTGCTTACCAACAAGCAGTTGGTGTTCACAGGTGGCCCTGTGCCCTGCCCAGTAGTGTAAACTGGGCTAGTAGGCTCGGACAGCCAGAAATGCACAGTGCTCCCTGTATGGGCCACCAAATGTTTAACCAAACACAGATTTGGCCGCTCAGCGCTTGCAAAATCAAATAGCAAGGACGAGGGTGGTAAAAAGAAAGTGATTTATTCTAGGCCTGGCATGGTGGCTCACGCCTGTATTCCCAGCACTTCAGGAGGTTGAAGCAGGCAGGTCACTTGAGGCCAGGAGTTCGAGACCAGCCTGGCCAACATGACAAAACCCTGTCTCTGCTAAAAATACAAAAAATTATCCAGGCGTGGTGGTGCACGCCTGTAGTCCCAGGTACTCGGGAGGCTGAGGCCGGAGAATTGCTTGAGCCTGGGAGGCGGAGGTTGCTGTGAGCTGAGATTGCACCACTGCCCTCCAGCCTGGGTGACAGAGTGAGACTCCATCTTAAAAAAAAGAAAAGAGAAAGAATGAAAAAAGGAAAGGAAAGAGAGAAAAAAAGAAAGGAAAGGGAGAAAGAAAGAAAGAAAGAGAAAGAAAAAGAAAAGAAACTGACTTATTCCAGAGCTTAGCAGTGGAGAAGCAGAAGAGGCTCCTGCCTTAAGGGATCCACTTTAACCTTTGGGATAGAAAACAAGGGTTTAAAAAGGGGAACTTGGAGTGAATGGCATGCAAGAGGGGTGACTAGGTGTGGGATCTATGTGACTCGCTCCAATGCTTACCTTAAGTGATGCTGTGGTCTGATGGTCTGGTCAGTGCCTTCGTGGACAGAAGTGGGTTGTTAATTAATTGCTGTTTTGAGGCAGTCTCCCGGTGGGGGAGAATTCCAGAGGGTGCTTTGTTTGTTTTGAGATTTGGTCCCTGGAACTTCTAAGCAAAAACATAGTTAGATAAGCTTGCAGTGCAGGGAGTGCCTGTTCAAAAGAAGGTAAAGATTTTAATTGTATTCCTAAAGAGCTAAGTAAGAGGCGAGGGAAAAAGAAAAAAAGGTAAAAATAATTCCTTTTAAGAAAATGGGGCACTTGGTTTCATTGCTACCTTCAATCTTCTCTTCAGCTGCCTTGAATGCTTTAATATGTCCCTGGCAAACTCCTACCTCTTCCATTCCTCTGTCCACTCCTGCCAGACTTCCCTTTCCATTTTGACCCCTCAACTTCCCAGTCTCTTTACCTTTAGGTTGCTTGACCCCATTAGGGGCTCTCAAGGGACTTAGTGACCCCAAAGGCAACTACCTGAAGCTCAAAAGGAAAAAGGATAATTAGAAATAGACTGAATATTTTATCCACTCAGATGTGTTTTGGAGATAATCAAACAGCCGCTAGATGTCTCCTTAGTCTCTTGCCTAAAATAGTATCCACGGACTTCATAAGATTACATATCAGGGTAAAAGAAAATCTTAAAAGTCTTCTCTACAAATATTGATTTAAAAAAGGCTTTAGCCTTTATTCAGTAGGTAACCTTGTCCCATTTTTGTCAGAAATGTAATTCGGATAAAAATATAAAGAAGATATGAATCAATGAGTTTTGTATTAATGATTCATGGCTAAAAGTTTAGAATGAAACCAAGATCTCCGTTTATGCCTGTGTCTATGTTTATGTATGAATGTATGTTATGTATATGTGATTTTTTTCCACCTCTGGATGGTATTAACTAATGAATTTATAAAATCTCTTAAAGGAGCTCTATTCAAATTGGCCTAAAGATAAATGAACACTTATCTCAATGGAATATTCCTAAAACTCCCAGTGATATAGAAAGAAACCCAAATGCTTTTCAAGTTCACATGACTTGGTTAAATCTTTGGTAAATAAAGTTAGTTTAATATTTTTGGTTTAATAAAAACAGCTGTCTTCTGAGTTGTCAGTTTCAAGTATAATATGGGCATATATTTTTATTCTATTTGGGTTTACTCATTTAATAAACTAATATTATGTCTGGCAGATGTTTAAGGTTATAAACATTATAAATTCAAGCTAATGGCTGGGTGCGGTGTTTCACACCTGTAATTCCACCACTTTAAGAGGCCAAGGTGGGTGGATTACGTGAGGTCAGGAGTTTGATACCATCTGGCCAACATGGTGAAAACCCATCTCTACTAAAAATAAAATAAAATAAAAAATAGCCAGGCATGGTGGCATACGCCTATAATCCCAACTACTCAGGAGGTTGAGGCATGAGAATTGCTTGAATCCAGGAGGCGGAGGTTGCAGTGAGCTGAGAAGGTGCCACTGCACTCCAGCCTGGGGGACAGAGTGGGACTGTGTCTGAAATAATAATAATAATAATAATAATAATAATAATAATAATGATAATAATAATAATAATAAATATAATCCAAACTAACAACAAATGTACAAGTAAAGATGCAGGTAAAACTGAATTGTCCGATTCCATTACGTCATGTGTGTCAAGCACAGCAGTAAAACAACAAACTCATGCATTTAACTTTTTAGGTTTTTGCTTTTGTGATGCCAGTCAAACATGGACATCCTGTAAAAATAGTTAATAGGGAAATAACTTCAAATGATGGCTAGCTTTGTTTAATGTTATGTTTGCCTAAAATAAGAACCTAGATCTTTTCTAAGTAAGATAAACCACTTAAACACTAATTACTGAACCTAAGTTTTAAGTTTATATGCTTTTGGTGTTTTATTTTCTTTTATTTTATTTTATTTAGATGGAGTCTCCCTCTGTCGCCCAGGCTGGAGTGCAGTGGCGCGATCTCGGCTCACTGCAACCTCCACCTCCCGGTTTTATGCGATTCTCCTGCCTCAGCCTCCCGAGTAGCTGGGACTACAGGTGCGTGCCACCATGCCTGGCTAATTTTTTGTATTTTTAGTAGAGATGGGGTTTCACTGTGTTAGCCAGGATGGTCTCAGTCTCCTGACCTCATGATCTACCTGCCTTGGCCTCCCAAAGTGTTGGGATTACAGGCATGAGCCACCGTGCCCGGCCTGGTGTTTTATTTTTATATGATATAGTGAAGCTAAATACATCTGGTTCTGTTAATGAACATGAAAAATTATACAATGAGGAAGCATATTCCTCTAGAAATTGTGAAACTGTGTGTTCATAAATTTGCTAATCTGCTACAGAACACTAGTATATGACAGTGCTATAGACTCAATGTTTGTGTCCCCGCCAAATTCATACGTTGAAATCCTAACCCCTAATGTGATTGTATTAGAAAGTGGGGCCTTTGGTAGGTTATTAGGTCATGAGGGTAGAGTCTTCACAAATGGGATTAGTGTCCTTAAGCATTCTCTGCCTGTTTCTATTATGTAAATACATGTAAAGCCCTGATAAATTTCCCCAAATGTCATTGTTACAAACCTATTTATATCTTTACTACAGAGCATATCGTGGGAAAATTTTTTATTTGAAATCACACGGTTAAGAGTTCAGAATTGGTTAGAAGAGTAGGGAATGGCTTACGCTAATATATCTACAATGACGTATTTGTGTTCCTGTAGTGTTAAGGATAGGAAGACAATGGATATTCAACAGCAGCAACAATAATATCAACAATTAATCTAAAGAAACTTACAAGAAAATATGACTAAATATTTACCCACTTTTGGCATTTGAGTTTTGCTTTCAATTATTTAAACTGGATTTCCTGAAGTATTTAATTTGAAATGTGAATATCTGCTCTCTTCAAGTGATACCTTTTTCCTTTGCTGTTTTTAATGTGTTTTCTGTAGCTGTAATAAACCATAAACAGGTGTCTGACAGCTTTTCTGAGTCCAGAAGCACAGAATGCTCTATGAAAGACCATGATCCATTCTCTCTCCTATCAACATGTTTTTGTTTGTTCTGTACCCCATTTGTTTTGTCTAGGAGCAAACACACAGAGATCTTAAGCCTATTAAAGTTGTGTTTTGGCTTAGTTTCGGTACACATATCCTTTTAATACAGCAGTTATTAAAAATTATTTTAGGCAATTAGAAAGGGTAAAGAGTTCTTGGTGGAATTTTCCATTAATAAAAAGCAGCCCCCAAACCATTTCTTTTCTAACAGAAAGCAGCCTGAAACTTCAAGCTGCAAGCATAGCTATGCAAGCTAGCTTTCATATGTAAATGCCATCAGCTGTACCTGGAAGCCAGGTACATTCAATATGGCGATTCTCGCTCCCTTTTCTTTGTGGCCACGTGTGCGGGTGTCATGGCACTAGCCAGGTAAAGTCACATGTGCAGGTGTCATGGTGACAGTCAGATAGAAGCCATAATTGCATAATAAAAGATTAGGGTTGGAGGGCCAGTCTTTTCATGGACTGTGTAAATGGAGCACCTGGTCAAACCAATCCCCTGGGCTCTATGTAAATCAATCACCGCCTCCTCAAGCCTTTGTACAAAATTGATCACGTTCTGCACCTAACCCAGAAACCCTCTCTCAGGTGACCCGCTTTCTCAGCATGAGGAAGCTTATTCTATCTCTCTTCCTTTTTGTCTGTTAAACTTTCTGCTCCTTAACCCACTCCACGTGTGTGTCCATGTTGTTAATCATCGGCGCGAGACAACTAACTACAGGTATTGCCCCAGAGGAAGTGGTTTCACTTTGAATGGTTTGGCACTATTGTCAAATATCATACTTGTTATAAGTCTTTGCAGATTTTCTATTTATTCTTGAGTCAGTTTTGGTAGTTTGTGTGTTTGTAGGAATTGTTTTTCAATGTATTAGGGCATCTAATTTGTTGAAATACAATGTTCATAGTATTTTCTTATAATCCTTTTTATTTCTGTCAAATCAGTGGTAACATCCCCTCTTCTTTTTCTAAAAAAATAATTTCAGCTTTTATTTTTGATTCAGGGGATACATGTGCAGGTTTGTTACATGAGTATATTGCATGATGTTGAGGTTTGAGATCTGAATGGTCCTGTCATCCGGATGGGATACTAGTGAACATAGTACCCAACAGTTAGTTTTTCAACCCTTGCCCCCTTCCCTACCTCCCCCCATCAGTCCCTAGTGCCTATTATTGCCATCTTTATGTCCATGAGTACCCAATGTTTAGCTACCACTATAAGTGAGTACATGCAGTATTTGGTGTTCTGTTCCTATGTTAATTAACTTAGGATAATGGCCTCCAGCTGCATCCTTGTTGCTGCAAAGGACATGATTTCATTCTTTTTATGTCTGCACGGTATGCCACGGTGTATGTGTGCCACATTTTCTTTATCCAGTCCACCATTGATAGGCACCTAGGTTGATTCCATGTCTTCACTACAGTGAATATTGCTGTGATGAATATATGAGTGAATGTGTCTTTTTGGTAGAACAGTTTATTTTCTTTTGGATGTATGCCAGTAATGGGATTGCTGGGTCAAATGATAATTCTGTTTTAAGTTCTTTGAGAATTCTCCAAATTGCTCTCCAAAGTGGCTGAACTAATTGACATTTCCACCAACAGTGTGTAAGTGTCCTTTCTTCTGCAGCCTCACCAGCATCTGTTGTTTTTTGATTTATTAATAATAGCTATTCTGATGGGTGTGAGATGGTATCTCATTGTGGTTTTGATTTGCATTTCTCTGATGATTAGTGATATTGAACATTTTTTCAAATGTTTGTTGGCCACTTGTATGTCTCCTTTTGAAAAGTGTCTGTTCATGTGTTTTTTGCCTGCTTTTTAATGGAGTTACTTGTTTTTTATTTCTTGAATTGTTTCCTTATAGATTCTGGATAGTAGGCCTTTGTTGGATGCATAGTTTGTGAATATTTTCTCCCATTCTGTGGGTTGTCTATTTACTCTGTTTATAGCTTCTTTTGCTATGCAAAAGTGCTTTAGTTTACTTGGGTCCCAATTGTCAATTTTTGTTTTTGTTGCAATTGCTTTTGAGGACTTACTCACAAACTCTTTCTTGAGGCTGATGTCCAGAATGGTGTTTCCTAGATTTTCTAGGGTTCTTATAGTTTGATATCTTACATTTAAATCTTTAACCCATCTTCAGTTAATTTTTGTATATGATAAAATGTTTGTATATGATAACCCATCTTCAGATAATTTTTGTATATGATATGTAGGGGCCCAGTTTCATTCTTCTGCATATAGCTAGTTAGCTATCTCAGCACCATTTACTGAATAGGGAGTCCTTTCCCCATTGCTTATTTTTGTCAAGTTTGTAAGAGATCAAATGGCCATAGGTGTGCAGCTTTATTTCTGGGCTCTCTATTCTTTTCCATTGGTCTATGTGTCTGGTTTTTTTTTTTTTTTTTTTTTTTTTTTACCAGTATTATCCCCTCTTTCATTTCTTATTTTAGTTTTTGATATTCCCTCTTTTGTTAGTCTGGCTAAAAGTTTGTCAACTTTGTTGATCTTTCAGAGAACCACATTTTGGATCTGCTGATAGTTTATATTGCTTTCCTATTCTCTATTTTGTTTGTCTCCATTCTTTATTATTTCCTTCCTTCTGCTAGCTTTGGTCTAGTTTCCTCTCCTTTGCTAGTTTCTAAATGTGTAAGTTCGATTATTGATTTTGCACATTTCTTCTTTTTTAATGTAGGTGTTTTTAGGTATAGATTTTCCTCTGAGCATTGTTTTTGCTGCATTTCATAGGTTTTGGGAGTTTGTGTCTTCATTTTAATGCATCTCTAAGTATTTTCTAGTTTCCCTGGTGATATCTTCTTCAATCCATTTGTTGTTTAACAGCATATTATTTATTTCCGCATATTTGTGAATTTCCCAGTTTCCCTTCTGCTATTGGTTTCTAATTTCATTTCATGATTGTGAAAAGTAAAGTAGAGGTTCCTCTTCAAAGACTTTCCTCCCCATCTAATTAGGAAGAAATAGTAACTTCTCTTAGAAGCAAAATTTATTCAAAGACCTGGGCTAACATTCTTAAATATCTGTGAGCTGTAATAAAGAAATCAATGTACTTTATGTTCTTAGCTTCCACAATTTAGCCTAAATATTTGCCCTGGCATGCTTATACTGGTCCAAGCAAGCATTAGGATAGCCTGTTCCTTTTCCTTATTTGAAGGTGTTTTTACCTTTCTCAGCATTCCATAAATTACTTCCTCCTTCCTTTGTTCTCCTCTGCCTTTGCCTCTTTTAAAAAGTTCTAAGTTGCTAGCCAATCAGGACTAATACAGAATGTGAGGTTCCATTCCAGCCAATGGAGACTGGACATAGCAGTAGGGTGGACATGTCAGGTTATAAATGACCCTGTCTCCCTTGTTCAGTGTACTCTCATGGCAGAACAGCTGGCGAGTGTACCCTTTCTGCAGAAAGTAAAAATGCCCTTGCTGAGGAAATTAAATTTATGTTCAAGTAAATTTCTTTATGGCACTGGGAAACAAGCATTTCTAACAATTTTGGTGGAAATCCGTACATGGATACGTTCTCTTCTGGGGGCGGTCTCCAGTCCTTTCTCATGAGGGAGCACACTCCTCTGCCTCATTGCAGTGGCCTCAGGGATATGGAATTAAGATCCACCTGGTGTGATGAATAAACCCAGACTCTCAGCAACGCAGGAAAAAAAAAACAAAAACTGGCTGGCGATCTGGAGTAAAGGATCCTCACATCCACGTGAACCAGGAAACTCTGTGCCCAAATCGACGAAAAAAAAACACTGGGAGAGCCGGTAAAGTATTTCCTTGGGGTGGTTAAAAAGAGGTGAGAAATCCCCATTGGGGGGGTTAAACCTTAAAAAGAGGTAAGAAATCCCCATTGTAGGGGTTGAACCTCAAAAAGAGGTGAGAAATCCCCATTGGGGGATTGAACCTCAAAGAGGTGAGAAATCCCCATTGTGGGGGTTGAATCTCACACAAACCTCCGGTAGTAAATATATATTCAAAACTCCCCTTTCCTCTCTTCTCAGGAAAAGAAAAAGGCTAAGCTCCACTCCCACCAGTTGCTCCCCTAGGGGAAGGGGAAGGAGAGGGGGGAAAACAGCAGCATAGGTGGCTGGCAGAGGCGAAGTCCAGCAGGGAGGAAAAAGAAACCAGGAAAGGAAGTCAGAGAGAAAGAGCAAAAACAGCAAGCGTGACACCAGACAGGCGCACCAAGGGTTAAGTCCCTCTCCCCAGCCCAGCTCTATGTGAAAAAGAGGGTGGGGAACGGCGCCAGGAGGAGAGCAGAGGAGGTGAAAGGGCATAATTATTGCAACTTGCAGCAGGCATCTGCCAAGCCTCTGGGCCAGTGATGGCCCGGGGTCTGGACTGCAGCCCCACAAATCCCACCCAGCCCAAGAAACTGAGTGTAAGAAGAAAGGAAAAAAGTAAAAAGGGAAATTGGGAAAAGAAAAAAAAAGCAGATGAAACAGACGGCAGTGTGTGTGTGGGGGCGGGACCCATGCCATTGCCCGGCCTTGCCGGCCGGCAGGAGCAGGAGAACTTGGGAGGGAAAAAGGAACAAGGGATGACGGAGAGAGAGAGAAAAAAAGAGAGTGCAAATGAGAGAGAGAAATAGAGGGAAAGAATAAGTAAGAGACAGAAATCAAAGAAAGACAGAGGGTGAAACTAGGAAAAGAAATAGTGTAAAAGGAAGGCAGAAAGTTAAGACATGTTGAAGATTGTCTGTGAAAGTCGTAAGAAAGGTTATAAAGGGAATTTATGCAAGAAATATTGTATAATTTAAAAGTAATTAGGCCTCCTGAATGTAAAACTATTAAAAAAACAGTTTATGTACAAAGTATGTAAGAAAAATAAAATATACTTTTAATAAAAGGATTATAAGGAGGCATAAGAATATGGATTTTTACCTACATTAAAAGGTTTAAAAATTTTTGTTTTAAAGGTTTAAGCAAGTTTTAACATGTTAATTGTAAAGGAAATTCTGTGTGTAAACATTTTGGCTAAAGGTAAAGGGTTTATCATCCAGTTTTGCTGTGAACTGAACATTAAAATAAAACCACAATAGTTTATTCTTAAAGCACTAACCTGCTCTTTAACAAAAAATTTAACATGTTAAAAAGAGTCTATAAAAATCTTACCTTATAGTCAGACATTAAAATTGGATAATATCTACAAGATTTTATTAAAATTAAGTTTAACATTAATAGCACATTAATATAAAGGTAAAATTTAACTTACCTGGTACAAAATCATACAAAAAGCATTGTCAAATATAAAATGGTGTTTAGCTTTCTTAAGGTCCGAGGGCAGCTGGGTAAGTCACAAGCTCCTCATCCCCAAGGCCACAATGTGCAGGGGAGATGAAGGCCACTAGAAGGCCAAGACCTTAAGAGGGGGCAGGGCTGCAGCATCCTGTGAGTGGTGCTGAGCAGGAATGGAGTGGGAGGCATCACCATGGGACCTCAAGCCCCAGAATATGCAGCAAAAATTATATACTTTTTATCTTCCACTTTCCCTTCCCTCAGAACTAAAAGTCTTTTAGCACGGGTACCAGCCCTAGAATTTCCAGTACACCAGCAGCAGCCTGGAAACCACATCCTCATCAAAAGACAGAAAGAAAAAAACTCGAGCCAGCCTGAGAAGGACCCTATTTTATGCTGTTAACCACTGAGACTGCCATCCTCACAGCTGAGAAAGGATGGACCCACCATACTCAAGTCAAGAAAACATCTTCCTCGTCAGAATCATGGGTTACTGTACTAGGATTAAGCCTTACTAAGTTAAAGTTAAAGAAAGCTTAATTTTCATATACCTTCTATATTGCTTCTTTTCCTTTCCTTATTCTGTTACTAGCTCCTTTGTTATTAATGTAACTAAGTCTGAGTCACCTCAGACCATTGCCTTTTATGCTTGCTCTGTCATACCTTGTGGAAATGTAAAAGATCAATGACAGCTAGCCTTTTCACACAATTATTTATGCCTCGGCCCTCTAATTGACACAGTTACCCCTAGCACTCATCGTTGTGATCACCTGCAGCCAAGACGCTGATTTTCTGCTCCTATAGCCTGGCAACCTTGTGGTACATGGGACTACGTCCTTTAAACTACCCAGGAGCAAAGTTGGACTTCCATGAAAAAGGTTTGTGCAGATCTAAAACCTCTCATCTATTTCACTAAAAGGACTTCCCCTTCTAACTGTCACCCTTACCAATGTAACCCTGTCCTCTCTATCACCACCTCCACCTGTCTTTAACTAACTCTAGACCTGTCCTTAATTGCTTTTATGGTATTGGAATAGGAATTAAAAGAAATTAAAGAATGTGTAAGGAGAAACTCAGTTGTATGTAAGAAAACCCAATTCCCCCTGAGAAAGAGAAAGAGTTGGAGTCCTTTAAAAATTAACTGCCTGTTTTTCTGTGGCTAGTGAGCCTTATCTCTCCTCCTTTCCCAGACATTGTGAAGACCCTGTTTCTCTAGCTGTGCAGCTGCAAGGTCACTAGACAGATAAACTCAAGTTGTAAAACATGTTTTTCCTTGAAAAGTAAGAAATGCTGTAATGCATTTCTCAATTAATTAAATAACTGTCTTTGTTTCTCGCTTCTGTAATATGCTTCCCCCTGCACAGATCTCCACCCACCCTACAAAATGCTTAAAAGGTAACTTAACTCTTTGTTCTGGGCTCAGTCCTTTGGGCTGAGTACTGGGCCGGTGCACCTAAATAATAAATATCTTCCTGAACCCCATTTGTCTCTCTGATTCCTTAAAAAATCCCGCAACATTTCTGGGGACTCGCCTGGGATTGGAGACGACAGATTTACTGTCTCCTTTGCCTGTGGGGACTAGAGCCCAAGGACCGGGGGAGACCCGGCATCCAAGGTGTATCACAGGGGAGCTTCACCCAGACAGAGATAGGCTCTCCCCGCATCCCAGTGGCCTGCCCAGCAGTGCAATGGAACCGGGGATGGGGCTGCAGGAAGATACCAGCACTTCAGGAACCGCTGTAAGGAGCAAGGGCCCAAGGCATGAAAGCCCATCCCATAAGGATGAAGGGGAGCTTGGTCACCTCCCAGGGACCAACCAGTAATCCAACCTAGAGTGGCTGGGGGCGGCAGGAGTGGCTTGCCAATTTGGATGAACCTCGTGTCCCCACTAACAGTGGAACTGGGAAAAGGGAGAAAATGGGCCGATAGAGTGGCAAGTGCAGCAAGGTACAGCTTGCTGGCAGGGTGGCAAGAGTGGCTTGCCATCCCAACTGGGAGTGTGTGGGTGCATGTGAACCTACCTGGGACATGAGAGAGGCTCATTTTGTCCGATGAGGAGTCCTGGGGTAGGAGTGGTCTGTGTATGTGTGTGAATGTGGGAGCCTAACTAGGCTCACCTGGGACACGAGAGAGGCTTGTTTCATCCGATGAGGAGTCCTGGTGCAGGGGAGGTGTGTGAAAGTGTGAGAAAGAGACGGTCTCGGGAGAGGCCAATGTGGGGAGTGATGTGGGGAGGCACAGATCCCTCAGCGTGGGCTGTGTGCTCCGAGGCAAGTGTGGGGGAAATCAGACCTAGGACGCTGCATACGGCTGATCGAACCAGCTTCACAGCCACAGCAGGCTGTGACAGGGGAAGGCACATTCCTGGCTAAGCAGTGTCCAAAACTCCCGTAATAGGACCTGGTCTGGTGGACCCAAGGGTGAAAGTGAAAGGGAAAGTGCACCACAAGGGAGGAAATGGGAGGGAAAGCATTGAAATCAACTCCTTTGGAGTGCATGATATAGAATTTTAAAAAAAGATTTAGAGGTGATTATGGGATGAAACTGGATGCTCAAAAGCTAAGGACATAACTGTGAAATAGATTGGCCTGCTTTCAATGTGGGGAGGCCCTCCGAAGGTATAATAGGGAATTAACTGGCCATGTGTTTAAGGTGGTCACTGGAGTTGGAGGACAACCAGGATACCCAGACCAGTTTCCCTATATAGACTCTTGGCTCAATGTGGCACGAAGTCACCTCAAGTAGCTACAGCCCTGCCTAGAGGGATATTGCAAGGCATTAGTGTCTCATGTGGCCCAACCAAAGGAAGCAGAGGAACCTAAAGCCCCTAGCATCTCCCAGGAAAAGGAATCCCTGAAGCCTCAGCTGAAACCAGTTCTTCAGGCCCCACCCAAGGAAAGGGAATGTCCGCCCCCATATGTGCCAGTCTACCCATCTTTGACCAGAATAAGGCAGGAGGCAGAGTCAGGAGTGTCCGGAGAGTTGGGCTCAGAGGAAAGTGAGGCTCAGTCTCCCCCCACAGAGGACCAGAAGCCCCCATTATAAAAAAACAAGGAAGATGGACAGGGTGAGGCAGCTGGGTGCCTCTGCTCAGGCCGACCACAGGCTTTGCAGATGCCACTTTGAGAGACCAGGACACAAGTTTATGATGACCAGGGGCAGATACAAGGCGGCCCTAGGCTTTATGTTTATCAGCCTTTCTCCACTACTGATCTCTTAAATTGGAAACAACACACCCCCTCCTATATAGAAAAACCTCAGGCTCTCATTGATTTGGTGAATTCTACTATTATGACACATAATCCAACCTGGCCGGATTGTCAACAACTTTTGCTAACATTATTTAATACAGAGGAGCATAGGAGAGTTAATCAGGCAGCTCTCAGCTGGTTAGAAGGGGAAGCCCCAGAGACCACCCCTAACCCACGCCAGTTCAGCAATACCCAAATGAGGACCCTAACTGGGATCCAAATGAGGCAAGGGACATGGAAGGCCTGCAGCAATATAGAAAGGCACTCCTGAATGAGAAAAAAGCAGGAGTAAGGAAGACAATGAATATAAGCAAAATATCAGAAGTGTGCCAAAAGCCTGACAAAAGCCCAAGTACATTTAATGAAAGGCTTTGTGAGGCCTATAGGCTGTACGTGCCAATTATTCCAGAGGCTCCTGAAAACCAAAATATGATAAATATGATGTTTGTCGGACAAGCTCAGGGAGACATAAGACAAAAGCTTCAGAAGCTGGAAGACTTTGCAGGGAAAAATATTAGTGAACTCCTGGAAATAACAAACAAAATATACATAAGCCAGGAAGAAGAGGCAGAGAGAAAGCAAGAAAGAAAAACCAGAAATAGAAACAAAGAGACAGCTCAATTTATAGCTGCTGCACTAGCAGAAAGTAACCCTGGATTTGCTAGAGGGAGTGGCCGAGGCAGAGGCCGAGGAAGGAGACAGACAAGGGCGGGAGATGAAAGCCAGTCCCAGCTGGACAGGAACCAATGTGCAAGGTGCAGGCAAATGGGCCACTGGAAAGATGAGTGCCCCGAAAAGGAAAAGGATGGAGATGATGGTCAATGATGTAACAGCCAAGTGTGGCATTCAGTTGCTAGTCGTGGTGCTTCAAAGGCAGATCCTGATCTGATCGGTCTAGAGCGGGCCGAGAATTTTGAGGACTGAGACAGACCAGGCTCCATCTTTTTAGGCCCCGGGGAGCCTATGGTCTCTATGGAAATAGGGGGTCAATTAATGGATTTTTTTGGTCGATACTGGTACTGATTTCTCTGTGGTAACTCACCCAATTAGCCTCCCCACAAAGAACTGTGCTACTATTGTAGGGGCTACTGGGGCCAAAAAAAAGAGACCTTTTTGCAAATCCAGGAGATGTGTTATTGGGGGACAAGAAGTGCAGCATGAGTTTCCGTATATGTCAAATTGTCCAGTGCCCTTGCTGGGGAGAGACTTACTCCAGAAACTGCAGGCAGAAATTTTCTTTACGCCTAAAGGGAATATGACACTGGAGTTTGGAAAGTCCAAGGCAATGGTATGAACTCCAACTGTCCCAAGGGCTGAGGAATGGTGGCTGTGTGAACCGTGTGCCAGAAGGTCACCAGAACCGACCTACACAATATATGGGGGATGCTTTTCAAGGTACCAGGTGTATGGGCCGAGGATAATACCCTGGACTTGCTGCAAACAGACCCCCAGTGGTAGCAGAGCTTAACCCTCATGCTGCCCCGGTATGAGTCCGTCAATACCCAGTACCCAGGGAGGCAATTGATGGAATAACAAAAGCATCTGAATCGGCTTTATACACATGGGATTATAGTAAAATGCAAGTCCTCATGGAATACTCCTCTGTTACCCATGCACAAATCAAATGGGGAATACAGGCCAGTGCAGGATCTCCGGGTGGTAAACAAGGCCACTGTCGCTATCCATGCAACAGTACCCAACCCATACACAATGTTGGGACAGATTCCTGCTGATGCCACTTGGTTCACATGTCTGGACTTAAAGGATGCCTTCTTTTGTTTGAAGCTTGCTCCCCAAAGTCAGAGGGGGCAATCGCAATATACCTGGACAAGGCTGCCGTAAGGGTTTAAGAATGCTACCATTTTTGAGGAGGCCTTGGCTACAGATCTTGAGGCTTTTGCGCCACCTAGTGACAATTATGTGCTATTACAACACATTGATGATTTCCTATTTGCCGCCCCCACGAGGGAGGAATGACTCCAAGGAACAGAGAGGCTTCTTCACGTGCTGTGTGAAGCTGGTTATAAAGTGTCCAAGGACAAGGCAAAAGTCTGTTTTCAGGAGGTTGGATATCTAGGATTCATGGTATCCCAAGGCCAGCGCAGGCTTAAGTGCACGCAAGGAGGCTGTATGTGCACTGCCCACCCCAGTTACAAGGCCAGGGAATTTCTAGGCGTGGCAGGATTCTGCCGAATCTGTATTCCAAACTTCTCCCTTACAGCAAGGCCCTTGTATGAGGCTATAAAAGGAAAGGAAAGAGAGCCCCTCCTATGGCAAAAGAAACAGGAAAAGGCCTTCAAGGATATAAAGGAAGCTCTCATCCAGGCCCCGGCACTAGGGTTGCCAAATGTAAAAAAGCCCTTTTTTTGTATGTGGATGAATGTCAAGGAATGGCAGTTGGAGTCTTAACTCAGTTCTTGGGCTCTTGGCATCGGCCGGTAGCATACTTATCCAAAAGACTGGACTTGGTGGCTTTAGGTTGGCCCCACTGCCTCAGGGCATTGGCAGCTACCGCAATCCTTATAGAAGATGCCAACAAGCTAGCCCTAGGTCAGAAGTTAATAGTTCAGTGCCACACGCCGTAGTCACCTTAATGGAGCAAAGAGGATATGGTTGGCTGTCCAACTCTAGAATGCTAAAGTATCAAGGGCTTCTATGTGAAAATCCCCAGATAACACTAGAGAATGTAAATACCTTGAACCCAGCTACCCTGCTGCCTGTGGAGGAACCCGATTGGAAGGATGCTGGGTTGCCTCACTCCTGGCAGGACCTTCCCCACTGTTGCATAAATATGGTGGACAAAGTGTTCTCGAGCCAGGAAGACCTCAGAGATTCCCCCTTGGAGAGCCCAGATGTTATATACTTCACTGATGGTAGCAGTTTCATAACAGATGGGGTGAGATATGCAGGATATGCAGTAGTGACCCAACACTCAGTGGTTGAGGCTCAAGCCTTACCTTCTGGGACTTCCGCTAAGAAGGCTGAATTAATAGCATTAACCAGAGCACTGTTATTGGCCAAGGGGAAGAAAGTAAACATATGTACTGACTCAAAATATGCTTTTGCAACCCTGCGTGCCCATGGGGGAATACACAAAGAGAGAGGACTTTTGACTACTGAAGGAAAAGAAATAAAAAATAAAGAGGAAATTTTGCAATTATTGGAAGCCGTATGGGCTCCGGAGAAGGTGGCTGTCATTCATTGCAAAGGACACCAAATCAGGAAAAGCTATGAGGTGCAGGGCAACAGAAAGGCAGACCAAGAGGCTCGGCAGGCAGCAATGAGCAAGGCTTCACCTGAAGAAAGAACTCTAGCAATGCCTCTCCTTATAGAGCCCCCTTTGCTGGAGGTACCCCCTTACTCTTCGAGTGAAAAAGCTTGTTTTGTTCTGGAAACAGGGAAATATATTAAAGGTGGATGGTGGCTGTTCTCTGATGGGAGACTAGACGTCCCAGAGACAATAGCCTCAAGGTTTGTGAAGCAGATCCATCAAAGAACACACACTGGAAACTAGAGACTTTGATAGGTCAACACTTCTATGTGCCACGGCTCTCTGCCATCACCCATGCTGTTTGCGAATAATGTCTATCCTGTGTCTGGAATAAGCCAAAACAAGGACCTATTCGACCCCCAGGAATTCAGGAAATGGGAGCTGTGCCTTGTGAGAACCTGCTTGTAGACTTTACCGAGTTGCCTTGAGCAGGAGGTTACCGGTATATGCTAGTGTTTCTTTGCACCTTCTCAGGGTGGGTTGAGGCCTTCCCCACCAGGACTGAAAAGGCACGAGAGGTGACAAAGGTGCTACTAAAAGACATCATACCAAGGTTTGGATTGCCTTTAACCCTAGGATCAGACAATGGTCCTGCATTTGTGGCAGAAGTAGTACTACAGCTGACTCAGCTTTTAAAGATCAAATGGAAACTGCACACAGCCTACTGACCACAGAGTTCAGGGAAGGCGGAATGGATGAACCAGACACTCAAACAGCTACTAAAAATGTTTTGCCAGGAAACTCACTTACGATGGGATCAGGTCTTGCCCATGGTCCTCCTCCAGGTCAGGTGTACACTTACAGAACAAATTGGGTATTCACCCTATGAAATATTATTTGGAAGGCCACCCCCAATCATTAATCAAATTAGAGGGTAGTTAAAGGAGTTAGGAGAGCTAACCCTTAGAAGACAGATGCAGGCTTTAGGAGTGGCAATGCAGGAGGTGCAAGGCTGGGTAAGTGAAAGGATACCTTTAAGTCTAACAGACCCAGTGCATCCACATAAACCGGGGATTCTGTCTGGGTTAAAATGTGGAATCCAGGCTGGGCCTGGTGGCTCACACCTGTAATCCCAGCACTCTGGGAGGCCGGCGGCGGGGAGATCACGAGATCAGGAGAATGAGACCATCCTGGCTAACACGGTGAAACCCCGTCTCTACTAAAAATACGAAAACAAAAAATTAGCCAGGCATGGTGGTGGGTACCTGTAGTCCCAGCTACTTGGGAGGCTGAGGCAGGAGAATGGCATGAACCCGGGAGGCACAGCTTGCAGTGAGCCGAGATTGCGCCACTGCACTCCAGCCTGGGCAACAGAGCGAGACTCCATCTCAAAAAAAAAAAAAAAAAAGGTGGAATCCAACAACCCTGGGGCCCTTATAGGATGGGCTCCATATTGTGATCATGTCTACTCCCACTGCTGTTAAAGTTGCAGGTGTCACACCTTGGATTCACCATAGCTGGCTAAAACCAGCGGCAGCAGTGACTCCCCATGACGACCAGTGGACTAGCCAACAAGACCCAGATTGCCCCACCAGAACAGTCCTATGGCAAAACCCAACTACCGGTAAGAAGGACAACTGCCCTGCTCTGACCACACCGGAGGCTGGTCAGTCTACGCACAGGTGAAGCTTGAGAATCCTGCAAGCTCTGCTCTAGTCACAGCCCGGAAGCTGACTAGTCTATGCACAGCCGAAGCTAAAAGGACCATCTCCGGATAAGCAAATGTGGATACAATTTATAAGCCTAGCTATAATTCTGTCAATACTGGTTATTATGTTATGTTATTACTGCAAATGCTGCAAATGTCTATGCCCAGAGGAAGGTTTGCCATGCCCATGTGTAGTGTAAGCATGTTTCTATTATATACACTAATGTTCTTACCATTTCTGCCTATACTAAAAAAGGAGAAATCTCTAGAAAGATGCCCATACTGTGTACACACTACCTGGGTAAGAAACACCATAGTTAAAACTCTACTGTACCATACCTACTATGAATGTACAGGAACCAAGTTAGGAATCTGCACATACAACCAGACCACCTATTCATTCTGTGACCCAGGAAATAATCAGCTACATGTAGGTTATGACCCTAAACTCTTACCTTATGAATTCTGGTTTGAGGTACATATTAAATCAGAGGGAGAAAAAGAAGGAGAGCTTATAGCTCGAACCAAAGAAGCCCCTCCCTCCTATAAAAGGCGTAGTTCCTTGTACTTTGATGCCTGCCATGCCGCATATGTTCATAATCTTAAAAAAAACAGAAGCAGCCTGCAATGGTTTAACACAAGAGAGGCTGAGCAGGAACAGCCCTAAACATCTGTATGGAGAACCACAAATCGGATGCCCGGACCGTAACATTCAGTGGTCTATGCTAACACAGCTCCAACACTTATATTCAGGATGGACTGCTCTGCTAAGTAGTATGTCAGTCAAACTAAATTGTAAGACAAGGACATGCAATTCTTTAAATTTTACTATCTTAAAGCCAGAGCTACCTTTTTGGTCTACAGGGCAGGCAGCACTATTATGAGTTGATAGACAAGAAGCAGGCCTTGGAGTTCCACTACTGATTGTCAAAAAGACTAGAAGGACTCAAATGTGTCCAATCCCCCAATTCTGGGTCCATAAGTCATTCTATAAGCATTTTGATCAGCCAGTGCCTGAGCTTCCCCCATCACCCAAAAACATATTTGCTCAACTAGCTGAAAACATAACTGGCAGCTTAGGAATTTCCTCATGCTATGTATGTGGAGGAACTAATATGGGTGACCAGTGGCCATGGGAGGCAAAGGAATTAATGCCACAAGGTAACTTCACTTTGCCTAACCCTGCCAGTGAACCAACAGCCTCAGCCAGTGTTTGGTTGTTAAAAACCTCCGTAATTAAAAAGTACTGTATCACCCGATGGGGAAAGGCTTTCACAGAGGCAGCAGGAGAAACAACCTGCCTAGGGCAACAGCATTATGATGAGACTAAAAACAAAACTCTACGGAGAAATGCCCAGAATGACTCCTACTTACCAGGTCCAAACCCTTTCTCTTGATTCTCTACTCTAAGCCACACTTGGAATCAGCTAGAGGCTCCAAATGCTTGGAAGGCATCCTCTGGCCTATAATGGATCTGTGGAGCATGGGTACATCAGCAACTGCCGGCTAAATGGACAGGGGCATGTGTGTTAGGAACAATCAAGCCATCCTTCTTTCTAATTCCTCTAAAGCAAGAGGAACTCTTAGGATATCCAGTTTATGATGAAAATAAAAGAAGAACTAGAAGAAGCATAATCACAAAAATAGACACAAATGTCAAAAAGATGTGGACATAGGAGACTGAAAAGATAATGAATGGTCTCCTGAAAGAATCATTAAATATTATAAGCCAGCTATCTGGGTGCAAGACGGTTCATGGGGATATTGCACCCCAATCTATATGCTCAACTGCATCATAAGGTTGTAGGTAGTCCTTGAAATTATAACCAATGAAACACCAAGGGCACTAGGTTTATTGGCAATACAAGCAACACAAATAAGAAATGCTATACATCAAAATAGATGAGCTTTGGATTACCTCTTAGCCTCAGAAGGAGGAGTATGTAGAAAATTTAATTTAACCAACTGTTGCCTAGAAATCGATGATAATGGCCAAGCTATTATGGAAATCACTGCTAGAATGGGCGAGTTGGCCCATGTTCTAGTTCAGACTTGATCCGGGTGGTCCCTGGATTCCTTGTTTGGAGGATGGTTCTCAGCCTTTGGAGGATTCAAAACCCTCATTGGTAGGTTCTTGCTTATTCTTGGCAACTGCCTCATCCTCCCTTGCCTTTTACCCCTGCTTACTAGGAGTATTCAGTCAACTACAGAGGCAATAGTAACCCGACACACTACCGCACAGTTGATGGCATTAACCAAATATCAGCCACTGCCAGTAGAAGCAGCTCAGCTCCGCGAAGAGGTGGCAAGTAGTGGTGCTTTCTATTAACACCTTTGTTATAAAAAGCACCAAAGGGGGGAATGGAAATAGGAATTAAAAGAAATTAAAGAATATGTAAGCAGAAACTCAGTCGTATGTAAGAAAACCCAATTCCCCTGAGAAAGAGAAAGAGTTGGAGTCCTTTAAAAATTAACTGCCTGTTTTTCTGTGGCTAGTGAGCCTTATCTCTCCTCCTTTCCCAGGCATTGTGAAGACCCTGTTTCCCTAGCTGTGCAGCTGCAAGTTCACTAGACAGATAAACTCAAGTCATAAAACATGTTTTTCCTTGAAAACTAAGAAATGATGTAATGCATGTCTCAATTAATTGAATAACTGTCTCTGTTTCTCACTTCTGCAATATGCTTCCCCCTGCCCCACGAAATGCTTAAAAAGTAACTTAACTCTTTGTTCAGGGCTCAGTTCTTTGGATCTTAATCTTACTGGGCCGGTGCACCTAAATAATAAATATCCTCCTGAACCCCATCAGTCTCTCTGATTCCTTATCAATCCCACTACACTATGAGAACCTACATCTCAATGGTCAGGCATTGATCAGACATTGTGGCAATCCCCACATTTCTTGCCACAGGGCCCTGTCAACACAGCAGCCAACAAAGGTTTACTGAGTGAAGTACATATAGGTACAAAAAGACTTATAGAACCATTATTTTCACAATAAAACATCTTACCCCTGTTGCCCACTGCCAGAGAATAGCCATCATCTCTCTCCTTTCAAGGACCCTTGTAAATAAACACATACAAACTGACAGAAGCAGGAAATGTGAGGCAGCATGTTTAATCATCTCCATCTATTCGAAAACCCCATGAGATAGTTATCATTGTTATTCCCATTTTACAGATGACAAAACTAACACAAACGGAGAGTGATCAAGTGAGATTAGCCAGCTAGCAACAGGAAGCAAAGCAAAATTTCAGATTCCAGCAGTTTAGCTCCAGGAAGAGCCAGCCTGACGAGGAGACATCTTAGTTAAAATCAGAAAGAGGCTGTTAGATCGTCATCCCTTCCCATCTCTTTGAACGTGAATTGGTCAAATATTTTCCAGCTGTTTTCTTACCCATCCTCTGGGAACATGAGGTATGATGCGTGCACTCATCCATTAGGATCAGTCGTTGGGGTGACTGGAACCCACAGTACATGTAGGGGCCCACAAACTAGTTTAATTTCTTATATAAAATAAGGTTGATGAAAAGGGTCATTGTGCAAGCAAAAATAGAATGAGTCACTCAAACGATGGAGGATAGGTTCTATGGTTAAAACCTACTCTCTATATTCAGGACATTAACAAGTCCTGAAGTATCTACAAAACACTTCTTAAAGGAAGAATCTTAGAGCACTCAATCTGTCCTGGCTGTGATTATTTGACAATAAATAAAATGTATTTATTCCTAAACAAGAGCTCAGAAAGATATCTGTAGAAAAGGGCAGGAGTAGAGGAAAAGAGGGCTATGCAGCAGCAGGAAAGAAGGGAAATCACTGCAGGTCCACAGCACCAGCTCAGCACAGAAGGTAAGTGCGCATTTGTAATGGGTCTGTAGCCAGAGACATAGCAGAAGCTGCGCTATCCACAGTCACAACCAAAGGCAAAGGAAGGATGCCCTGCAATTTTAGAAATCTTGGCTGCAGCTGGGAACGGTGGCTCACGCCTGTAATCCCGGCACTTTGGGAGGCCGAGGTGGGTGGATCACTTGGGGCCAGCAGTTCCAGACCAGCCCAGCAAACATGGTGAAACCCTGTCTCTACTAAAAATACAATAATTACCCAGGTGTGCTGGTGCGCACCTGTAGTTCCAGGTACTCGGGAGGCTGAGGCACTCCTGAGTACCTGCACAATACATGCAAACACCCACCCCATCCTACTCCCCGGCCCCCCCGCCCTACTCCCCCCCTCCACCCTACGCCCCCCCGCCCTACTCCCTCCCCCGCCCTACTCCCCCCACCCCGTCCTACTGCCCCCACTCCAACACGTGCTCTCCCGTGCCCAAGGCAAGGCCAAGCCCCTGAGGCATGCGCACCTCAGCAGGCCCAACCCACAGCAAATAGTGGGAAGAGGAAAGGCAAGAGAGGAGGTCTCTAAGTGGATACACTGTTACTGAATCTAGGTACCCAGAAGATGGAGGTTGTAGTGAGCCCAGATAGTGCCACTGCATTCCAGAGACAGAGCGAGACTGTCTCAAAAAAAAAAAAAAAAAAAAAAAAAGAAAGAAAGAAAGAAAAGAAAAGCAATCTCGGATGCTCTAAGCATCATTGTGCATGTTTCCACCCTTGCACTTTGATGTGGATTCATTACTAAGAATTAATAGTGGACTTTCTCAAGGAGTGTGCTGCATTTTTACATAGTGCATTTGCGCAGCCCACAAGCTTTGCAAATCCAGGCCCAAGCTCCTGCTCCTGGAGACCTAGGAAGCATGGGGCTAGTGCAAAATCTCCCTTATCGCCATAAAATGGGCTTGCACAATTCAGCACAGCAGCTTCCCCCAAGTTCCACACTCACGCATGCCTGTCTACAGGACAACGCATGCAAGCACGCACCCCATCCTACTCCCCCTCCCACGCCCTACTCCCCCCTCCCCCACACCCTACTACACCACTTACCCCTCCCCCCCCACACCACCAACGCGTGCTCTCCCTCATCCGGGCAAGGCCAAGCCCCTGACGCATGCGCACCTCAGCAGGCCCAACCCACAGCAAATAGCGGGAAGCAGAAAAGCAAGAGAGGAGGTCTCTAAGTGGATACACTGTTGCTGAGTCTAGACACCAGAAGAACGTTGCAGGCGGCGACTCACAGTTCTAGCACTGCCTAGGAGAGCGTGGTGGCCCCAGCTCAGAATCTGCAGAAGTGCACAGCTCCATCCACACCACTCAGGGTATGGAGCCTCCGGACCAGTGTAGCCAGTATATGACCAGCTTGCTCAGCCCTGCAGTCGACGACGAGAAAGAACTACAGGGTCAGTACCTTGATGGGACACATGCTTTTGCGAACTCAGGAAACCAAGGTTCTCTGGGAGAGGCGAGTAGACTGGATGATACCCCTGCACTACCACTGCTCTCAGAGTGTAGCCCCTCACCACCTCCTTCCAACACCCTCAGGACCAATGCCTTGATCTTTCTCTTGGGGTTTCTACTTTTCCAGATATGAATGCTATGGTGCTGTCGCTTACTGAAGAGGTCAAAGAGGAGGAAGAGGATGCACAGCCTGAGCCTGAGCAAGGCACAGCAGCAGGAGAAAAGTTAAAGTCGGCAGGAGCCCAAGGCGGAGAAGAAAAAGATGGCGGCGGAGAAGAAAAAGATGGCGGCGGCGCCGGAGTTCCTGGCCACCTATGGGAAGGAGACCTCGAGGGCACCAGCGGCAGCGATGGCAACGTTGAGGACAGCGACCAGAGCGAGAAGGAACCTGGGCAGCAGTATTCGCGCCCACAGGGCGCCGTCGGGGGGCTGGAGCCTGGCAACGCGCAGCAGCCCAACGTCCACGCCTTCACCCCATTGCAGCTGCAGGAGCTGGAGCGCATTTTCCAACGCGAGCAGTTCCCCAGTGAGTTCCTGCGGTAAGCCCATTGCTCTGGTTGGCGCGCGGTTTGCAGGGAGGCGGCGTTTGGCTTTCCCGCAGTCCCTCTCCTACCCTCTCCCCTCCTGAACCAAAACCCATCTGGGGCCTGGTGTTGCTGCCGTCCCCTCCCCGCAGACCCCTGGCACCTAGTGGGTTCTGTAGTGGGGCTATGCCTATTAGGCATCATGCAGAATTTAAATGAACCAAGTTGGGCAACTTTGGGCTGAGGTCAGTTATGATAAATAACTCCTATCCCAGGCGAGGCAGAAATAAAGATGAGGAGATTAAGGTTCTGTACAGCAAGTGCAGGGTCGCATTCTGACCTTATTTAAAATTCTGAGAAGTCCGTCGTTCGTCTGGGTTTCCTTTGGTGTTAATTTTTCTAAGTTTCAAATAGTAAGTTAGAATGTCATTTATATTGATTAACGATTTTTTTTGTTATGGGGGGGTTATTTTTTTATTTTTTGGAGAAGGAGTCTCGCTGGGACACCCAGGCTGGAGTGCAATGGTGCGATCTCGGCTCACTGCAACCTCTGCCTCCCAGGTTCAAGAGATTATCCTACCTCAGCGTCCCAAGTAGCTGGGATTACAGGCGCCAGCCACCACGCCCGGCTAATTATTGAATTTTTAGTAGAGACGGGGTTTCACCATATTGGCCAGGCTGGTCTCGAACTCCTGACCTCAAGTGATCCTCCTGCCTCGGCCTCCCAAAGTGCTGGCATTACAGGCGTGAGCCACCGCCCTGATTTTTTTTTTTTTGGCATCTCCTTTATTTGTGGCATGAGAGAAATGTTCCTAATGTGAGGCTCAGCTGGGTGTTACAGAACAGCCTACTGGGTGTGGGGAGTTGGTAGAATAAAAAAATTAAACACAAGAATGAAACGACACCCACAACTCCAAATGCTGAACACGTGTGGTTTCTTCCATAGAAGGAGGCTGGCAAGAAGCATGAATGTGACTGAACTCGCAGTGCAGGTCAGTAAACCGAAAAAGCAATCGGGCAGGGGAGCCATTCTAAAACCCGCTTCAGGGCTTGGACACACTTTGACCCAGACATTGCCATCTTGGTGTTTTTGTGGCCTTTTTCATGTATAGGCAATGAGGTCTGAACTTTGGGATCTTTGTGGCTGGAAAATGCAGTAAGGAAAGCTCAGCTTGTGGAAATTTCCCATTACCAGAGGGAACATGACAATCCACGGAAAAAAAAATGAGTACTGAACTGTTTCCTTTATTCCTTGTGTATAAAATATATTATACACTTGAATAAATTACAAATATATAAATATATGTATTCCAAATTACAAATATATATAATATATAACAGTATAAATTAAATATAGCATAATATATAAGATTGAATTCCTAGCACTGGTATCCTTTAGGTAGCACTTCCATGTGGAGGCATCCTGGGGTTTTCTGACATGGGGATTATTCGAACTAATGCTCCAAAGAGCTCCATTAAACTAAACTATTTAATATATTTAAAACCAAGCATAAACTCTTTGGTTAAGAATTTATAAATGTTTAGGCATTGGGGTAAAGGAATAATTCCCAACCAGAACGTATGTTTCCTTAAGCTGAGACTGATGGCGGGGGATAGCATAAAGTTCAAGCGCCTGGCCCTCCTACTATTGTTTTTAAGTATTTGGTGAAGCCTTGTAGAGAGTGGCAGCTCTAAATTTTAATTTTCTGGAATACTTTGATATGGCAGGCTGAAAACATTGCTGACATAGTTGGTTTTGCATTATGGTAGAGATAGCGAAAAGGCTTGCAACCTTTGCAAGTTTATCTAGAAACCAAAACAAACTACAAGATCAATTTTTCATAAATTTCCACCAACCTAAGGATGGAAGTGTTAGGCAAGAATTGTATACAGTCACACTCATGGCTTGGGGAAGCTGCCCCCATTCAACTTTTGAAGCTACCAAATGCATCAGTGAATATTTTCTTGATCAATTTCTAGCATTTAAGAGATTTTTTGTTTCTTCCAGTTTGTTGTACTAACAGGAAGAGATGTGTTTTGTGGAATGTGTTGATAGTGGGGGATGGCTGTCAGGTCAGGCTAGACTCTTACCTGTGGTAATTTGAAATACCTTTTTATTTATTTGCTCAGGCTGTGATAATAAATTTGTAGGTCAGTGGATCCAAAGGAGTATTTGCAAAAAAGGAAGAAAAGAAAGAAAAATCGGGATGACCTTAATAGCTTTTCTGCAGAGCTCATGTGTGTGAGTGCAGTGAGGGAACTATGCTGCGGTTCTGTCAATGGTGGCATGCAGAAAAGCTGCCTGACAAAACGGGGCACTGAGTGTTGGCATCCTGTTGCCCTCCATTTTCTCAGGCAGGCAATGCCAATTTGGGGGAGATGAAATATTGACGTTTTGGTGAATTGCCTTTCCCCTCCCTGGGTTTACATAGCATTCACTCAATGCAGTTCTGAAGGCAAAAGGACCACTCTCACTCAGCAAATAAGGAAAAAGGCATGATGTTCTCATCTATTGCCAAACATTTCAGCATGAATATCTCCAAAAATTTTTAATAGATGTTTCCCCCCTCTGTTTTGTAAAGATAGTAAGGGCTGGTTTATGAAACCGATACGGAGACTAGGGACCTAATGTTGTCCCATAGCACATTTGGCCCACTTTTGGCATTGCTTATGTTTATGAACCTTTGACCACAGGTACATTGGAATTGTCTCTAAACAAGCACTATTACGGTAGGCTTAAAATTTAGACTATGTATTCATGAGGGAGAAGGACTCCAAATAGTAAGATGGGAGAAGGAAATGGGGCATCAAACAGGGAGAAGAGTCCCTTTGTCCCATAAAATTTGCAGTTTGGGAACTTCCAGAAGGATCAAAATACAATGGAAATGTCATTAACTAGAAGCTTGGGGGATAGTGTTGTTTAATTGACAGGTTTTATTTTTTGGTCTTTTAACAATTGGCAGGTGTTTGGGGAGTAGTGTTTTTTGATACCTCCTCCACATTACTACTGAACGTGTTCAGAGTTGCCTATTTGGACACTCCCGCTTTGGGAATGCTGATGAGATTGGGATCTTCTGCTCGAGTAGTGAGGCTAGATGGCTGAAGGCGTCCCATGGAACTGGGCAACCAAGTCTCTGTCCCATATCCCAGGACTATAGGGAGAACAAAGTGAGCTGACCTTGTCCTTAGCCCAGGAAGATTTGGAGGGAGGGATGAGTTGGAGCGTGCAGAATTAGCAATGCTTCCTTTCTCTCAAACTCTCAACTGGGCAAAGCTTTTTGAGAATTTTTGTGAATTTGGACAACATTTGTGTCCTCCTTCCACAAAGCTTCAAGCTGAAGTGTGAAGAGTGTCCAGGGCTTCAGATACCCTCATTTCCCAGCAAGACAATCCACAAACTCCCTGGGCCCCCTATAACGAGACTTGCCTTGCAATATACCATCTTTTTAATTCTCAAGGAGTTTCAGAAGATGAATGACCCCTTAGAATTTCTTGAAGGAAAGAAAACTTGTTTTAAAATACAATGTACTCTTACCGATTTTTTACTTTACACTGAAGATGGGCTTTTCAAAACGGGGGCCTCATCTTCTTGGTATGACTTTAAAAGGCACCCCCGCCTTTTTTTCCAAGCTCAGCTTCCCCCACGACCAGGGTGACAGTGGCCTAGTAAGTAGGAGTTGGTGGGCAGCTGGGTAGCTGATGGTCAAGTATCTGCAAGCAGACATGCCACACATAGCAATACCAGCAGGGATCGAGTCCCACTCATCAGCTACACCTGCACCCAAGAGTGGAAAAAGTAATATTACAGATAAAAGGAGAGAGACAAAGAAATAAGCCAAGCCAGAGCGTACGTAGCACATACTTGGAGCTCACTAGGGGAAAGGTGTGGTGGTCACCTTTCTAAGATATTTTAGTAGTAAGGAAGTAGCTTGTCTTGATACACCCGAAAAGGTTAAGGACATAGAGAGTTGCTTGTTGTGTTTTTTTCCATGATGAAATTAAATGCTCAGTATACTAAACCTGTTTCTTTTTTCCTCTGATTGAAGATTTGGTTTGAGAATAGAAGAGCCAAATGGAGGAGACATCAGAGGGCATTAATGGCAAGAAACATGCTGCCCTTCATGGCAGTGGGCCAGCCTGTCATGGTAACCGCAGCTGAGGCCATAACGGCACCCTTGTTCATCAGCGGGATGAGAGATGATTACTTCTGGGACCACAGCCATTCCAGCAGCCTGTGTTTCCCCATGCCACCCTTTCCTCCTCCGTCCTTGCCCCTTCCACTCATGCTTCTTCCACCTATGCCACCCGCTGGCCAGGCTGAATTTGGCCCATTCCCTTTTGTTATCGTGCCTTCTTTCACATTCCCCAATGTCTAAGGGATAGCCTCTGTGCCACTTTTTGCCAGAGTGTCTTTGAGCCAGATTCATATTTTGCATAGCACCCCATCAAAAGTAGTTCATCAAATGTCTATTAAACGTTTTAAAGAAAAGTACATCATTGACCCATTTTTAGGGCACTTGTAAAAATGTTTCTATAAATATGTGAAGGGTATGTACATTTGTTTTGTGTGTCACATGGGGTCAGTAAGTTCTCAATAAAAATTGTTAAGAAATGCCATTCAAACCGAATGTCACGGACTCTCGTCTCATGCAGTAATCTTGAGTCACCATCTGGGGGCTGTGCATGTCACAGAATTTTCCCATGTGCCCATGGCAGGCTTACACCGACCCAGACATTCTCTTCCACCCCCACCCCCAACACCCCATACTCATCTCCTCTCTGCCCCCATTGATACCAGGTACATGTGCAGGATGGGGTGGTGTGAGTCCCTAATGAGAGAATAGTGTGTTTCAAGTTACTGCCAGGGTGGAAAACAGCAAAACCAAAATGGTATCGGGAAGGAAGCCATGCCCACTCTTAAAAATTCATTAAGTTTTTTCTTGCTATGGAAGACTTCTTTAAAGTAATTTTCTTGTAAAAGTGTAAGTGTAAATAATGCCATGAAATTATACACTTATTTAATGGCTAAAATGGCAAATTTTTATATGGTTTACCACAACAAAAGAAAAGAAAAAATATACCAAAAAGTTTTTAAAAAGTGATCATGAACATTGTGGTCATCCTGTGAAGTGATTGCAATGCCTGCAGATAAGGAGTGATGGTTACAACAGTATTTTCTCTGAAAATTATTTGATGGCCAGTTTCATAATGATTATGTTTTCAGCCTGAAGGAAAATTCCATTTTCTTGGGTGAGCATGAACTTTCTGTCAGGCTGTCTGCTGCTTTTCATTCCCCACTTCTCTCTTCACAATTGTGGGTGTCAAGCTTCAGCCACGCAATTGCATTTGGTGTGAGGGTTTTGCAAGGAGAAGGAGGTTTATTCATACCCCTGAAGCCACAAGCCTTGGTGGGAATAAGGAAAGTCCATGAATTCACTATGCATTAATGCATGCCTCTTGGCCAAGTGGATTCTTTTTTCTTCTCCGATTGAGATTTTCCTTTTTTTTTTTTTTTTTTTTTTTTGCTCTTGTTCTCATTGTATTGTGCTTTGTATAATTATTTACAGTAAGTCGCGCATGTCAGTGTACATTCCGTCTGGAAATTGTTTCCATTTGGTACATTTTGTGCCAGTCGGTCTATTCCTGCTCATTATTTTGTTTTTTCTACATTCAGACTGAAACATTTGGTAGCCTAGAGATACTCAGAAATAGGCAAAGAAAGGTAAAAGGGGAGGAGGGGAGATTGAAATCATACTTCCATTATCCCTCCCCGTGGTTATCAGATTCATAAAATTTTTACACCATCAAAAGACATTTTTAGCCATATATGTTTCCTTTATGTAGAAAATGAGATCTCCTATACTCAGTTGGCATTTGTTTTCATGTATCTGATAAGTACCTGTTAGAATTATAGGTCAAGATGTTGTCTAGCTCTGGTAACCTAGATCCTGAACTTCAAAGCAGAGTTCTTGGACCTTAAGAAATTCAAATTCGTAGAATTATAGTTAGGATGTCATTTACTGACCTTGAACAACACATTGTTTAGGTAGCATACAATGGGACTAGTTCAAGGGGCTGGGTGGAGAACAAGTTACAATTTTTTCTGATGGAGAACATTACTGGAGACAGTACCCTTTAAAACTTTCATTCCCTTTTTATTAGCAGCTAACGTCTTGTATGCCTTTACTATGTGACAAGCAATAAAATAATGTCCTTGGATGATTTTGTTTGATGCTCAAATGAATCCTAATAGTGAGGTTCTAGCATCTTCATTGAAAGAAGAGGAAACTTATCCATGGTGCAAAGCTAATCAGAGGAACAGGATCTGAAGCCAAATTTGTCTGCCTCCAGAGCCCATGCTTTGTCAAGTTTAATTCAGCGGTGGTGCACTGGGATGCCACAGTTAGGGCAATCTGGCTTCCAATCCCAGATGCACCACTTCCCAGCTGTTTCCCCCTGGGCATTTTACTTAAGCTCTGTAGTATCATTATTATTCTCTATAAGATGATAATATTATATCACAGAATTGATGAGAGGGATAAATAACATATGTAAGTGGCCTTCCACAATGCCCAGCCAGAGTAAGCACACAGAAATGTTTTCTACTATTATTCTATATTATCTCCTATCATCATATTATTATAACCTGTTGTTCCACCTTTCCTATGTGGTATAACAGAAAGAGATCTGATTAAAAATAAGGTGGTCTGGGTTCTTGCTGCAGCTCTACGCTGTCTTTGTTACCTTGAATGAGTCGCTTAACCTACTATATCTCTGCTGTCTCATGTGTTAGGCCATTCTTGTTTTGCTATAAGGAAATGCCTGAGGCTGAGTAATTTATAAAGAAAAGAGGTTTAGTTGGCTCACAGTTCTGCAGGCTTAACAGGAAGTGTGATGCTGGCATCTGCTTCTGGTGAGGACCTCAGGAAGCTTACAGTCATGGTGGAAGACAGACTGGGAGCAGGCATCTCACATGGTGAGAGCAGGAGCGAGAGAGTGGGTGTGGGAGGTGCCACACACTTTTAAACAACCAGATCTTGTGATAACTCGCTCACTATTGCAAGGACAGCATCAAGCCATGAGGTTTCCACCCCCATGACCCAAACACGTCCCAACAGGCCTCACCTCCAACATTGGGGAAAATAAGGATTACATTTCAACATGAGATTTGGGCAGAGACAAATATCCCAACCATATCATCTCACCTATGGAATCATGACAGTAATAGCATGACTCATGTATTTGGAGTAGGTTTAGTGGTAAAAGTTTATCAGGCATATTTCAAAAAATCAGAAAAAATAGGAATGAATGCCTTATGAAAAAAATCATTTCACGCATTGTTTTCTAGAGTGTGGGGAGTACCATTCATGTTTATATGCATGCTCGACCCCATTTTCCCAGATCAACAATTACTGTTTGTCCTTTCTTGACAGAGAAAAGGAATCAAATGAAGTGAATAATATGGAGAGGAATTTTTTAAAGTGAGCAGAGTGGATATTTGTAAAGGCTTTTCCATGTTTTCGCTATGGTAGTGATAACTGTGGCTGTCTGTATAAAAAGGGTGTATCATTTAAACATGCCCTGAAATGGTTAATGATGAAATTATGTGATGTCTCGATGTGCTTCCAAATAATCCCAGGTTGGGTGCAGGGATGTTGGAGAAATCAGCAAGGCTACTGATGAAACAAGACTGGATATTAATAATTGTTGAATGTGGGTGGTGGCTATATGAGTGTTCATCTTATGTTTGTTTTATATATTTTGGACATTTCCTATAATTTTTAAAAAAATAGTAAGGGTCGAAAACCTAGCTGCTAACAGGGCCGGGAAGGTAACATAAATGAAGAAAACAAGCAGAGTGGGGACTGGTAAACTGGGAAAGGCTATGTCTCCCCCAAAGGGAATGGCCACTACTCTGCTTCAGCCTAATTTTTCTGGTCAGGACTTTGGGGTCCAGATCTGGCAGATTTTCCAGTTTGTAAAGATTGGCCAGAAATAAGTGTTTACATGAAACCTTCTGATCCTTAGATCTGAGCAATCAATTCAAATATGTTTTATTTAAAATTACACTGGTCATCCGAAACAGATCTGCAGACCAGATATAGGATGCAGCTTCCAATTTGCAACCTGTACTTGAGAAGGTAACTTTAAGCAAATTCAAAACCGTGGAGCAATAGAATATGATTGAAAGCAACTCTAAAGCCAGCAATCCTAGGATGCCATCATTCCACCTTATTTTTTTTCTCATTATAAGTCCTGTTCTCATGTGATAAAAGAAAAACTTCAGCCAAATTAAAGTTAAAGGAGTTTAATTGAGCAATGGACGATTTGCAAATCGGGCAGCCCCCAGAATGACAGCAGATTCACAGAGACTCCAGTGCAGCCATGTGGTGGGAGAGTTATAGACAAAAAAGGGAAACTACATACAGAAATCAGAAGTGAGATAGAGAATGGCTGGATTGGTTACAGCTCGACGTTTGCCTTATTTGACATTTTCATTTTACCAATAATTTTTAAAACTCTCTTTATTTCCCAAAAATTACTTAAGACACATGAACTAAAAGGCATTACACTTTTTACTTTTCTGACAAAATATGTTATTTAAGCTTTTATTATTTTTAAACCAATTAGTGAAAGCTCTTTTATATATAAACATCAAACACATAATACATATAAATCCATAGACAGAAGTTAAAGGACTCATTTTCCAAGCCAGGAATTGAACGCTGAACCCAGGCTGCCATTGTGAAGAGAAAGCATGGCCACATGGTTACAAGGTCAAGCTCCCAAGGACATACAAGACAAGAGGGAAACCTTATCCAGTTTTTTTTTTGTTTTGTTTTTTGTTTTTTCCAGGGACCTGCAGCAAAGCTTATAAGTGATCAGTTTGCTTGGCTGTCTTGAACAGCGGGCTTACAGGTGTCCTAAGCCTGTATTCTATCCTAAGGTACCCCTCATTAATGACAGAAAATATGGAAAGACACACAAAGCATACCAAATTTGGTACAGCTTAAGACTAGCCTTACAAGTGCTTTTTCTGATTAATTTAAACTTTACAGGAGAGTAACAGTGATTTTTACCATTTATTCAACCTGTTTGCACAGAGAGAGAGAGAGAGAGGCCAGGAGTCTGACTGGTAAGAAATTGTTACCTGTTTGCCAGCATGCCAGGCTTCTGTGTTCCGTTGCCCTAAGTGGCCCTAGTGACCCACCTCGCTGCACCATAGACCTGGGGGGCCAAGCCACAACACAAAGGAAAATTATCTTTTTCTGTTTGGGCCAGAGTAAAATATGTGTGACGAAACATAGACATCAGCTACTCTGCTTAGCACCCAATATTAAACTGGCAAGGCTTAAATTTGTCCTTAGATGGCTCCCGTCATCTTTAATCCAACTTCTGACTAGGAATTTCAACACGTCCCTGGGCAAGATGGTCACCCTGAGTAATAGAAAAGATAAGAAAGGGAAAGGAGAGAGAGAAAAGCATTGCCTGTGGCAGGGTGGGGAAGGTGAAGAGCTCACAGAGGCCAGAGAAGGACCCACTCATTCATTGCAGTGACACTGAAAATGAAAAGTTCAGGGGACCACTTGCCAGTAGTGAAGGGATCTTTTCCAGCAGTTCCATCAGCTGTCAGGATTCCCCTTCTGGGGAGGAAAAAGCTCCCCATCTCCCACGGTCCTGCACATGCCTAATCCTGTCACCCATAGCCGTCAGCAAAAAGTGTAAGACCGATTAATCCAAAGAGAATAGCACTTAACATTCCATAGTGCCAAACCCGTCCTTAGCCAAAAGGGATTTTACCAAGAGCCCTCATTTTTAAATGTATTTCAATGTGTTGTTGTTCATTTGGAACGTTCCACTGTAAGTACAAGCGATTCTACTGCCTCAGCCTCCCGAGTAGCTGGGACTACAGGTGCATGCCACCACGCCCAGCTAATTTTTTGTATTTTTAGTAGAGATGGGGTTTCACTGTGTTTAGCCAGGATGGTCTCGGTCTCCTGACCTTGTGATTCACCTGCCTCGACCTCCCAAAGTACTGGGATTACAGGCTTGAGCCACCGCACCTGGCCTCTTGTTCTCTTATTTTCTCCCGAACATACAGAATCGCTCTCTCTGTTCTGAGCCAACTAAAGCTGGGGGTGGAGTGACATAGGTATTAACACCCCTGTGGTCACCACCACTATGACTGTGCTGGGTCAGACCTGAAGCCAGCACAGGACTGGGTCTCACCCAAGGCCTGCTGTAACCACTCCCTGGCTACTGTCTCTCTGTTTGCTTAAGACCCTGGGCTCTACAATGAGCAGGTGGCAAAGCCAGCCAGGCCTGTGTCCTTCCCTCCAGGTCAGTGAGTTCCCCCAGGCCCCAGGTGGGTCTAGAAGTATCATCCAGGAGTCAGGGACTAGAGTCAAAAACCTTCGAAGTCTACCTGGTGTTCTATTGTATTGCAGCTGAGCTGGCACTGAAACCATAAGACCTAGTCCTTCCTGCTTTTCCCTCCCCTTTCCAAAGGCAAAGGAGCCTCACTCCACAGCCACTGACACCCCTGGCCACAAGGAGCACTGACAGACTACCATCAATGTTCCGTTAAGGCCCAAGGTCTCTTAAGTTAGCTTGTGGTGAATGCTGCCTGGTCTGGGACTCATCCTTCAGGGCAGTGGGCTCCCCTCTGGCCTGGGGCAGGTCCAGAAATGCTGTCAAGTCCTGGAATCTGGAACCTCAAGAACCTGCTTGGTGCTCTAGGCCCCGTGGTGGTGTTGGTACCTGAAGCCAGCAAGTCTCAGAGGCTCATGATGGCCCTCAATGTAGTGCCTGTGCATTGCTGTTGGTTATTCAGGGCCCAAGGGCTCTTCAGTTAGCGGGTGATGAATGCTGGCAGGATGGGGTCCTTTCCTTCAAGGCAGTGGGTTCCCTTCTGGCCCACAGTTTGTCTAGAAATGTCATTTGGGAACTAGGGCTGGAACAGGGGCCTGTTGACTCTGACTGGAGCCCTATCTTGCTGTGGCTGAGTTGGTATCCAAGATGCAAGACAAAGTCCTCCCAACTCTTCCCTCTCCTCTCCTCAAGCAGAAGGAAGGGCTCTCTTTTAGAGCCACAAGCTGTGCATCCTGGGGTTAGGGGAAAAGTGATGCCAGCATTCCCTTGGCTGTCCTAGCTAGTGTCTCAGCATGTTGTGTTCCCCGCCCCGCCACCCCCAATCCACTGTGTCTGGGCCTAGTTCATCCCTAGGACTTACCTAAAAGTTGCAGTCCTTATGGCCTAGGCTGCCTTTCAAGTTTACTTAGAGACTGACAGCACTTTGGCCCTTCATGGTGAGGTTTGCAGGTACTCAAGTTCAGACTGCTGGGATCAGTGATTCCCCTCTGGCTAGGGCTGGTTTAAATGCTCCCTCTGTGAGTGGGCATCAACTGAGTTTGATCTGGTTTTCCTTTCTGCTGTAACAGGACATTGCTGAGTGCAATGCTTCACAATTGAATTGTGAAGCAAAAGAACTGTGTTCTCTCTTCCCCAGTGCCCAGAAACACTCTCCACACCATGCCATGGCTGCCAGGGTGGGGAAGGGGTAGCATTGGTGATTCAGGATTGTTTTCTATATCTCTTCAGTGCCTCTTTCAGTGATACGAAATTAAAACCAGGTACTGTAAGTGCTCACCTGATTTTTGGTTTTTAAGAAGGTGTTTTTTTCTGTGTAGGTAGTTGTTAACTTGGTGTCCTTGCACAGAGTGGCAGGAGGACGATCAGCGGAGCTTTCTATTCTGCCATCTTCGTCTGCCTCCTTTCCTAGCCTCATTTCCCCCTGCTTCCTCCTCTGCCCCCTGGGTCCTGAGCACATGGGTCTTGAGAACACACCAAGCTCCTTCCCACCTTGGGGCCTTTGCACTGGCTGTTCTCTCTGCCTGGAATGCTCTTCCTACAGGTTTTTGCATGGCTGCCTCCTTTACTGCATTCATGATTCTGCTCAAATGCCCTCTCTAAGCACCTGAGCTAAAATCCCTAACCCCGCAGTCTCTCTACTTTTTTGTTTGGTTATTGGCTCTCTTGTTTAATCTCTGTCTTCCTACCAGAGGGCAGGATTCAGAATTTAAACAGTGCCCTAGCACATAATGAGAGCTCAGTTATCTTCTGTTAAAGATAAAAATGAAGCCACACTTTAGGTGTACCCGAAGGCCAACCACTCATAACCAGGTAACCAAAATTTAATTCTTCCCAATTTCCCCAAAACACTGTCTCTAATCATAAATATCAAACATAACCTTTACATCTTTGTCAGCGTGATTCAGTGAAATTAAACCAATCAGCTATAGGCAAATCAGTTTAAACAGCTCTGTTTACCTTAAAAAGAATGATAACGTAAAACAGCCAACCACAAAAAAAAATCAAAATATTCTCCTTTATGCTTTATAAAGTGTGCTATGACTGCCATAAGGTGAGCTTTCTACCACTTTGTTTGAAGTCTCCTGGGTCATGAGCTGTACTTTCTCTTACTGTATAACAATAAACTTTAAAATGTTTCCTAACTTGATCTGATTCTCATTTTGACACTTCCAATAATCTTGAGAAATGCTCCTGAGCACTTTGGGTCTGGTATTCTTAGAGAGGGCAAACATTCTCATTTTTCAAAGGGGAAGTTGAGGCCCAGAGAGAGACAGTGACTGCCTGAAGTCATAAAGTTCCAGCACTCTCTTTCCTTACTCCCTTGTTCTCCTGGTCTTGGGGACATCAGACATCTTTAAACATTTGGTCTCACCATAGAAACTTTGAGATCCAGTGCATTAGGGTTCCCTAGAGGGACAGAACAAATAGGATATAGATATAGATATATAGATATATATGTAGGAGATATAGATATATATATGCATATGTAGGATATATATATGTATATGTAGGATATATATATGTATATATATACAGAACTTATATATATATATACAGAATATATATATATATACAGAACTAATAGGATATATATATATCCTCCATATATATATATCCTCCATATATCCTCCATATATATATATCCTCCATATATATATATCCTCCATATATATATATCCTCCATATATATATATCCTCCATATATATATATCCTCCATATATATATATCCTCCATATATATATATCCTCCATATATATATCCTCCATATATATATATATCCTCCATATATATATATATATATCCTCCATATATATATATATATATCCTCCATGTATATATATATGGAGTTAATTAAGCATTAACTTACATGATCACGAGGTCCTACAGTAGGCTGTCTGCAAGCTTGAGGAGCAAAGAGATCCGGTCTGAGTCTCAAAACTGAAGAACTTGGGAGTCCGATGTTCAAGGGCAGGAAGTGTCCAGCATGGGAGAAAGAGGTAGGCTGGGAGGCTAGGCCAGTCTCTCCTTTTCACATTTTTCTGCCTGCTTCATATTCACTGGCAGCTGATTAGATTGTGCCCACCAGATTAAGGGTGGATTTGCCCTGTGCAGCCCACTGACTCAAATGTTAATCTCTTTTGGCAACACCCTCAGAGAACACCTAGGATCAATATTTTGTATCCTTCTATCTAATCAAGTTGACACTCAGTATTAACTGTCATACCCAGAGTGGCTGTTACTTCCCAAAAATATTCAGTCTGTAATTGATAAAGTGGGGTTTTTATCCTGGTATGTCAGACTTGTGGCTGAGACTTTCTGACACTTGTGAGGCTGGAAGGGAAAGAGGCAGTGGATAAAGTGGGCCTTGGCTTGTTCTCATAGGTTGCAATTAACATCTGAAGCACTTGCTTTCAACCTGAAGAACTTCATTATTTCTTGTGAGGTGGATCTACTAACAACAAATCCTCCCATTTTTATTTAACTGGGAATGTCTTTGCCTTCATTTCTGAAAGGTAGCTTTGCTGGATGTAGGATTCTTGGTTGATAGTTTTTTCTTTAAGCATTTTGAGTATTTAATCTTACTGCCTCCTGGCCTTCATTGTTTCTGCTGAGAAGTCAACTACCAATCTTACTGGGGTAAGTGATGAGACATTTTTCTCTTGCCACTTTCAAGATTTTCTCCTTGATCTTAGCCGGTTTTACTATGATGTAATCTGTTTGTGGATTCTTTACATATATCCTTCTTAGAATTCACTGAGCTTCCTGAGTGTGTAGGTTATTGTTTTTAAAATAAATTTGGGAAATTTTCTGCCATTATTTCTTTGACTATTTTTTCTGCTCCTCTCTATCTCTTCCTTTCATCTCCTCTCTATCTCTTCCTTTCTTCTAGTAGATCCCACTTAGGTTTGTGTGGCTGATGGTGTCCTACATTTGTCTGAAGCTCTATTTATTTTTCTTCACTCTTTCTTCTCTCTAGTCTTCATCTTGCATAATCACTATCAATCCTGTTTCAAATCTGCTAATTCTTTCTTCTGCCAGTTTAAATGTGCTATTGAACCTGCTAGTGATTTTTTCATGTCAGTTATTGTACTTTTCAGATTCAGAATTTCCATTTGGTTCTTTTAAAATAATTTCTATCTCTTTAATGATATTTTCTACTGGATGCAACATTGTTATCATACCTTTATTTTCTGAATCATGCTTTCTTTTAGTTCAGTAAACATATTATTTTTTTTCTCTGTAGAGATGGAGGTCTTGCTATGCTGACCAGGCTGGTCTCAAACTCCTGGCCTCAGGCAATCCTCCCGCTTCAGCTTTCCAAAGTGCTGGGATTACAGGTATGAGCCACCACACCTGGCCTGCAAACATATTTATAATGGGTATTTTGAAGTCTTTCTCTGTTAAATCCATCATGTGGTTGCTCTCACAGGCAGTTGGTGTTGTCTGCTTTTTTTCTGCTGTATGGGGCATACTTTCCTGTTTCTTTGCAGGTCTGTATTTGTCTGTTCTCACATTGTTATAAGGAAATAGCCGAGAGTGGGTAATTTATAAAGGAAAGAGGTTTAATTGACTCACAGTTCAGCATGGCTGGGGAGGCCTCAGGAAACATACAATCATGGCAGAAGGTGAAGGGGAAGCAAGGCACCTTCTTCACAAGGCAGCAGGAAGGAGAAGTGCAAGCAGGAGAAATGCTAGACGCTTATAAAACCATCAGATCATGTGGGACTCACTCACTATCACGAGGACAGCATGGGGGAAACCGCCCCCATGATCCAATTACCTCCACCTGGTCCCATCCTTGACACATGGGGATTATGGGGATTAAGGGGATTACAATTCAAGATGAGATTTTGGGTGGAGACATAGACAAACCATATCACATGCCTCATAAACTTTTTGCTGGAAATTGAAATCATTTCTGAGACATGGTCCCACTCTGTCACCCAGGCTGGAGTGCAGTGGTGCAATCATGGCTCACTGCAGCCTCGACCTCCTAGGTTCAAGTGATCCTTCCACCTCATCCTCCTGAGTAGCTGGGACTATCAGCGTGCACCATTCCACCTGGCTAATTTTTTTTATTACTTTTGTAGAGATGGGGGGTCTCTCTGTATTGCCCAGGCTGTTCTTGATCTCCTGGGCTCAAGTGATTCTTCCACCTTGGCCTCTCAAAGTGCTGGGATTACAGGTGTGAAGCATTATGCTTGGCCACAAAATTTTTGATAATATGTTGTAGCAACTGCCCCCAACCCTGGCCTCTGGGACTTGTTATTTGCTGGTATATTTTTTTTAGTGATTGGCTGGATTATTTTAATGAAGCTTATTCCTTCTCCTCATAGTCTTAAGCCTCTGATGTTGCTCTTCAGGAAGACATGACTTTGGGTGTGTACACCGTCACTCTAGGATGGCAGTGGTGTTAGTAGGGCTCTCTATCTTTCCCTTACCATGCCCAACTATTAAACTCCACTAATTGCCTGCTGATCATTCTATTGTTTTCAGCAATGCTCTAGGACATAAATTGTTCTACAAACTAATTCAATTAAATTGTGGTTTATTTGAAGGAATAGTTTTTGAGGTCCACGTCTGATATTTGTTCTGATACCAGGAGTGCTCTTACCAGCCATCTTATTTCCTGGTTTTCTCCTGAAAACTATCCAGCTTACAGGCCATGCTTTATCTTCATTAGATCCACAAATCTCAACTGCCTTGTATGACAACGTCCACTGTTCTTGAGAGCACTCTTAGCTTTGAACTTTACACTCTGTTGCAAATGAAGTCAATCCCTTTGGGAAGAGATTAGGAGCTACCTGTTTTGTAGCCTGTTCCTCCTCCAAGGCAAAATCTTTGAGCAAGAGCTCTAGAGACAAGGTGGGGACGGTGGCAAGCTTCTGCCTGAATGGCAACCCCTTTCTATGGGCTGAGGCCTTGGCAGAGTGGGGTGCAGCAGCCTAAGGTGCTCTCGGCTTGCCTCTTCAGCATGTAACCACCACCTCATGAGCGAGGCAAGGAAAACTTGAGCCGCGGTTTCCTCAGTGTGTTGCATCTAAGGTAGAGCCTCCATTAAATAACTGGGGGACAGAGTCGGCAGATTAAATGAGCCACCATCACTCAGCTGTACTCACCTGATACTTAGCCTCAGAAACAAGTAGCTGGTGTCAGTATGAATGATGCTGAAGTGCTGCTCCTCTTGGGAAGAAAGTCCTCTGGCTGGGAGCCAGAGGGGAGAGGGAGCCCTATGCTCTTGTCTGCAGCAGTCTGAAGTAGAATCTCTGCCTTACTGATCTGGGAGGGGAAAAGGAAGAAGCTGTAGTGATTCAAATACCACAGACTTGCTTTTCTTATTGAATTTTTGTAGGTTCTCTTAGAAAGACGTTTCTTCATTTGCTGTTTTCCCTTAGGACCATTTCCAGGGGCTTTAAGTTGTTGTTTTAAAAATAATATTTACCACTTTCACTTGGGAGTGCATCAGCAGAGTTCCTCAAGCTGTCATGCTGGAAGTTGAACTCCGTGTTTGGTACTTTTTTCATTTGCACAGTGATCTTGTTTTTTCTATGCCTAGACAAGGTTATGAAGTGGTATTTTTTTTCTCACTTCGTCAAGATCACAGAGTGATTTTGTCTGGCAGTAGTGCTCTGTGAGACTGTTTATGTTCAACAGGAAAACATCAAGACCTAGTTGTGCGTACCAGGCCAGTGCTGGCTGTCAGGGACTGCGATATGGTTTGGATTTGTGTCCCTACCCAAATCTGATGTCGAATTGGAGGAGGGGCCTGATGGGAGGTGATTATATCATGGGGGAGGATTTCCCCATTGCTGTTCTCATGACAGTGAGTGAGTTCTCATAATATCTGATGGCTTAAAAGTGTGTGGCACTTTCCCCCTTAATTTTTTGCTCTCCTGTCACCATGAAAAGATATGCCTTGCTTCCCCTTCACCTTTTGCCATGATTGTAAGTTTCCTGAAGCCTCCCAGTCATGCTTCCCGTTAAGCCTGTGGAACTGTGAGTGAATTAAACCTTTTTTTCTTTATAAATTACCCAGTCTCAGGTAGTTCTTTATAGTATGAGAACGGACTAGTACAGACTGCTTATCACCTTCTCACAGTGTAGAACAATCACTTCGTAATTATTCTGTCTAAGGGGCAAGGAAGCTTGGGCATTTATCCACCAACTCCCAATAATCATTGGTTGAGGGCTGCTCCTGGGGGCATTTATTCCCCAGCCTTCCCTGTTCAGGCAGAGGGGCTTCAGACCCCAGAGGAAGCATCAAGCTGTTGCAAATTGGGCCAAGTACATATGGCTGAGATCTAGTAGGACACAGACAACATCTGCTATAGATGACCTGCCAAAGATCCTGAAAGGGCCAGGATTTGAGCTCAGTGTTATCTGATGACCATGTCTTAGCCACCACTTGATTTCGTGAATGGAGAGGTTTGAAAAGAACAGCAGAACTTTGCTAGAGGGGTTGTCAAGATTACTTGCCTGAACAGTTTCTCATGTATATATTACACAGACTGTTGGAGATACCTGCTCTGTTCCCAGCTCCTGGCTAGACGATGGGGTCACAAAGATGACCCAGGCATGTTTTCTGCTCTTATGGTACAATCTGTCTGTTGAGGGTGGGATATCTGAAGGGACAAGCCCACACTTCGTCCCCAGTCCCACCTGTGTTGGCTAGGGAGTCCTTCCTGGAGGATGTGTTGCGTAAACAATGGAGAGAATTTAGGGAACATCGAGCCTACTCTTTTCACTTTACAGATGAAGGAACACAGGCCCACAGCAAGGGAGTGGTCTGCAAAAGAGAACATATAGACTGCACCCTGGAGAAGGCCAGCTTCTAAGTGGCCATGCCCTTCCTTAGCTCCCCAGTCACCCAGATACAGGAAGTGCTCACTATATCAGATTCAGCTCCTCAGCACTTACCAAGTCCATCCTGCCCAGAATGCTTTCCTTCAAAGGCCTGCAGGCTCAAGGCTCTGTCTTAAGCCTGAGCCTTTTTACCTCTAAAGAAAGTAATCAACCTCCTCCAAAGGCATTCAGTGTCCTGGTATGGGAGAATATGTGTGTATACCAGGGTCTGGGAATTTTGAGAAACCATCTTAAGGTTTGGTGAGTTGCTTTTTCTCCTTATGTGAATTTATACAGTCCTCTATGGAGTTCTGGAGGGAAAATGAACCAAACAAAATATTTTTTTTGAGACAGGGTCTCACTCTATCTCTTAGGCTGGGGTGCAGTGGCACAATCTTGGCTCACTGTAGCCTTGACCTCACAGGCTCAGGTGATCCTTCCACCTCAGCCTCCTGAGTAGCTCGGACTACAGGCATGCAGCACCACACTCACCTAGTTTCTGTATTCTTTGTAGAGATAGGATTTTGCCATGTTGCCCAGGTTGATCTCAAACTCCTGGGCTCAAGTGATCCTCTTGCCTCTGCCTCCCAAAGTGCTGGGATTACAGGTGTGTGCTACTGCACCCAGCCGAAGATTTTTTTTAAAGTGAAAACAAAGTATGTTTTTATCTATTTCCAAACTATAGCATGAATTTCCCCAAGAAACTTTTAGCAGATGCTCTCCTCCCTTTTGCAAATATACTAAAACTATTTTATGAAAACAGTATTGGGAATATGGACCCAAAACACGGTTATCCTGATGTAGAGATTTGGCCAATGGTACATTTGAATTCCACTAAAATGAACTCTGTTATACTGACCTGCTTTTGACTATATCCTTTATACAGCACTGTAGAGGGCTTTCTGCAGGCCCAGAGCAATGGAGTGGCCTACGTAAGAGAACACACATAGCTCAGCTTAGAAGAGGCCAGCCGCTGAATGGCCATGCCCTCCCCTGGGCCAGAGATCATTCAATTAAGAGAAACACACACCAGCCCAAGTTCAGCTCTTCAGCACCTACCACATTATCTAGCCCAGAACTATTTCACTTAAAGGGTTGAAGATTCAAGTCCCTTCCCCAATCATGGCACTGGGCCATTTTACCTCTAGGAATAGTAAACAACCTCCCCTAAAGGCATTCAGTATCTTGGTGTCCATTCTTACAGGCCCTTGAGGGAGTGATACAACTTGTACCCTCCTCACAACTCTCATTTCTCCCAATCTTCTTGCAAATCTGTGCCTGAAGCTGGAAGCACAACACATGAACAATAACTAGCTTGGTGCTTGGTGTTGAATTAACTTTTTTAAGAAAGCAGGCTAACAGGTTGGAAATTGTTCTGTCAATATTTTAGAATCTAGTAATACAAAAGACCCCTTCTAAAAGCACGTTCTGTTGTGTTACACAAGCAAGGGGACAAAGGTGATTTCAGAGGTAGCATTCAGGTGTGAGCATCATAATTGATACATTTGGACCCCTCTAAAGCACAGGCCACAGACAAAACTAGGGCCTCTATGAGAACTGCAGAGTTGGATTATGATTTTTTATTTCAAGCCGAAGAATCTTGGTTTAGGCAAAATAATGGAGGGAAGGCAGAGAACAAGGAAGAGTCTCTGTCCATTCCCTTTGAACGAGAGAAACAAAAAAATTAAACAAAGGATGTTTTAAAATCAAAAGGTGAAAGAGTCTGTGGAGACATAGGAGGAAAGAAATCCATGGCAATGGCTGAGCCTGGAGCTGTTGTTGAGGTGTGGGGAGCTTGACGATAAACAGCGGCTAGCAGCTAGGTACTGCCTCTGGAAGATAGCCAGTGGGGCACAAGGAGGTAGCTCTGGCCAGCTGGGCTTTACCATAAAAAAAAAAAGGAAAAATAGAACTCTGGTCCCTATATAAATCAGTCCCTAACATCTCCTTCCACAGCCCTCATCACGAGGCCAAGCAGTAAGACCAATTTCTCTTTACCTCTGATCCCTATCCTCCCTTTAACTCATCTGGTCACATTAAGGGGTTTCAGTGGGATTGAAATTATTTATAAGGAAGAAAGGAAAGTAAAGACTGAGTGGAGGTTTCACAATCTGATTTTCCCTGGCCCAGGTCCCCAACCCCAGCACCTCAAGGAGCACAAAATATGATTCTATTCATTTTAAGCACAAAGAATTTCCAAGGATTTCTCAGAAATTCCACAGGCCTACCCGCCACATCAAAAAGGTCAACTCCAAAAGTGAGTCCGACAGAAATATTGTAAGATGCTAAATCGTCTCTTCTATTTATTTAACATACAGACTTAGATTTAGGAGCCTCTTCTTGGCTCAACCCGTTAGGTGAACACATTCTATAGTATCAAAATTTTGCATAACTCTCCACTAAGTAAATGTTTAGTCCATTCATTCTGAACTGGAAGGAAGGAGACTAGCTGCCAGCTGTGATCCTAGTCAACATGCAGGATGTGATGAAATGAGGAAGTCTTCTTCATGGTCATCGAGTTACTGTCCAAGAGTAGCAACCACAGCCAACGACAGAGATCAAATTTCATTCATCTCACTCTGCTCCTTCTCACCATTCTTTCCCCTATGAACCATAGGAAAGACTCAATCCATAGGCAAAATAAAAATGATACTCTGAATAACTCTTTTAACACCCTCCTGATATTTAGGCACCATGCCCAAACTGTCTTGTTCCCTCTCACAATTGGTAGCATTCTAATATTGTACATCAATATCTCAGTTAAATAGAATAACACTAGGAGGGAACTTGAATTAATCATGATTGCATACTTATTGCAGGAAAAGATAAATAACCAAGAAAGCCACTTTTCCTCTGCTGAATCTTTTTCTTTGCTTAGCTGTTTTTTCCATATGTGTTGCTTTATATAACTATTTAGAGAAAGTCTCAGGGATCAGCACACATTCAATCTAATAGCCTAAGTGTTTTTCAGCTAACGCCATGGCAATAAAGTTTGCTCTTTGGAGTGATGGCTCTTAGACACTGTATTAGTCTGTTCTCACACTGCTATGAAGAAATGCCCAAGCCCGGGTAATTTATAAAGGAAGGAGGTTTAATTGACTCACTGTTCTGCATGGCTGGGGAGGCCTCAGGAAACTTACAATCGTGGCAGAAGGCAAAGGAGAAGCAGGCACTTTCTTCACAGGGCAGCAAGATGGAGGAAGTGCAAGCAGGGGAAATGCCAGATGTTTATAAAACCATCAGATCTTGCGAGACTCATTCACAATCATGAGGACGGAATGGGGGAAACCACCCCCGTGATCCAGTTACCTCCACCTGGTCCTGCCCTTGACACATTGGGATTATGGGGATTACAATTCAAGATAAGATTTTGGATGGGGACACAGCCAAACCATATTAGACACTACAAACTCACAGTGAATCTCTGGAATATACCATGCTCATTTCTGACTATCTTTGCTTGTGCTGTTCCTATACTCCTTTCCTCATCTAGCCAAATCATTCATGTCTGTTTTCCTCTCACATTTTCTGCCTCCTTTCACCCATCTTCTTCTTTTTCCTTCTGTTTCTCAACCTCACCTGCCCAATTGTCTCCCCTTCCAGACCCCCTGTAGACCTGAAGTCTCAATCGCTAATTAAGAGGCAACAGTCATGACTTATGGCCTCTCACTGAAACATAACTGTTTTGTGGGTGTAATTCTTATGTTCCCTACCTGCATGGTAAGCACTTGCATTTTCAGACTGGGTCTCCTACTCTTCTTGTTTCCTTCACGGAAGCTAGCAGTGGTGCTTTATGTGTAATTTTTAAAAGGGCAATGATTATCGTAACAGCTAAAATTTTTGGAAGGCTTAATGTGTGACAAGTACTGTGTGTGAATTAAGCTTATTGCTATTTCACAAATGAAGAAATAAAGACAGAGAGAGATTAAATAATCTGTCCAAATCACAGCTGACAAGTGGCTATAATGGAATTCATTGACCAAACATCCCATTCTGTTCAGTAGACTCAAATGTGAGGGGAAAATAGACATACATAATCTCACATTTTTTTTCAACAGAAAATAAGGAAATAAGCTGTGCACAGTGGCTCATGCCTGTAATCCCAGCACTTTGGGAGGCTGAGGTGGGGGGATTGCTTGAGGCCAAGAGTTTGAGACCAGCCTGGGCAACATAGTGAGACCCCATCTCTAGGAAAAAAATAGCTGGGTGTGGTGGCATGCACCTGTATGTAGTCCCAGCTCTTTGGGAGGCTGAGATAGGAGGATTGCTTGAGCCCAGGAGTTCAAAGCTGCAGTGAGCTATGATCAGACCGCTGCACTCCAGCCTGGGTAACAGAGCAGGACCCCATCTCTAAATTAGTTAATTAAAATAAAAAGAAAATGAGGAAATAAACAATGACATGGGATTCTTGTTCAATCTCATTTCTTTAAAACAGTCCATTAACCAGACTAAATCTAACCCTTGGGTATTATGCTGAATTAAGGATTCATTTTAATATATAAGTACACAATATTTCTGGATACAAATTAAACAGAATAGACTGCTGGGTATGTACTAGATATTTTTCTTTCATTCTTCTATTTGCTCATTAGATTCCCTTTTCTGTGCTGCCATTTTTTTCTTTATAATCATTAACCCATCCATTTATTGTCTGTTAGGAAGTAAGGCAACATATATGCAATGAATATAATAAGAAAGGAAAACTGAAAAAATGTTGTTTTAGAAAATAACGTTAATAGTGTCACTTGAACCCAGAAGTTCGAGGCTGTAATAAGCTATGATCGCGCTCCTGCACTCCAGCATGGGCAACAGAGTGAGATCCTCTCTCTTAAAAAAAAAAAAAAGTTAACTGTGGATTAAGACATCTTTTTCAAAAGATAAAGCCATTTTCCTTTGCCCGGGTGAATGCTAAGCAGTTTGTGAACTCACAGTATCACTGGGATTTGGAAGTCTCACGTGTTAAAAAGTAAGACATGATCAAAGCTTGAATACAGCCATAGGTCTGCTTGTTTGAATCCCATCATTCCAAGATATGCATATTTTGTTTAGTGTTTCAGTATATTGATATGGTTTATGTAACAGTATATATACAACTACTTTGTGGAGTATTTCCTGCAATTTCATGTACTCGCATTCAGAAGCAATCAGAAGCCATTCTTCTTTTTTCAAAACAAGGAAAACAATATTTCTTCCATCATTCTACATATATATTTGGCACCTGTTAATGTCATATATGCCAACAGCTACTTCAGACATCTCTTTTTGATTGACTAGTATTTCATTTTTCAGTCATCGTCAGTCTTAAAGATTAATGTTTTGTCTTTCTAATAAATATGTAGTTAAGTGAATTCCATACTTATTTTTAGGTCGACCGTGTGTTTTCTTGCTTATCTTTCTGTGTTAATTGAAATTCTGTTAAACCTAGAAAATTACTTGGAGTATGTGTTCAGATGACGTGGGGCAGGCAAGCCCCCAGACTGGGGCTTAGCCTGGGAGAGTTCTTGGCTTTGCCCAGGAAAGAATTCAAGGGTGACTTGGTGGTATTAAACAGCAATCTTTTACTTAACTGGAGCTGTTCCTTGTGAAGCAGGGCTAACTCATTGACATAGTGCCCAGAGCCACATTTGTGGGCTGTTGGCAATTGTATTTATATCCACTTATGGTCCCCTACCCACCTTAAATTTGGAGAGCCTCATGTAAAATCAGAAACAAGCAGGGGACTAGATTCCCTTATTGTCCTCTTTATGCCCATATTGTTTCATAATTATAAAATGTTAGACAGGAACATAGGGTCCTTGGATGGAAGGATACCACATAAATATATTCAGATAGATGAAAGGCAGAACTCTTTGTTACTTACAGCTCCAAATGAGAGAAGGCTGCCAGGTAGAGCCACACCTGAAGTTGTAACGCAGGATAGAGCTATACCTGTAGGAGGCAGTCCAGGTATGGCAAGGGAGGTTTCATGGGCTCCCTGTGGATTTGTTAATTTGAAACTTAGGCAAAAGGGCTGTCCCTAGTTGTCTGGTACCTATCCCTGTGGTGATTAGGGCAGGTACATAGTTGCCAGGAATGTGAGAGCCCCATAAGGGAAATGGTTGAGATGTGGATTTAATCAGCTGCTCAAGAAGAGGAACTGACTAGCCTCTAGCCAGGGCCTCAAAATTGGGTCAAGATGGCACTGAAGAAAACAAAACCCACAACTGGTGGAGCCAAGATGGCCGAATAGGAACAGCTCCAGTCTACAGCTCCCAGCGTGAGCGACGCAGAAGATGGGTGATTTCTGCATTCCCAACTGAGGTACTGGTTTCATCTCACTGGAGAGTGTCAGACAGTGGGTACAGGACAGTGGGTGCAGCGCACCGAGTATGAGCCGAAGCAGGGTGAGGCATCGTCGCCTCACCCGGGAAGCGCAAGGGGTCGGGGAATTCCCTTTCCTAGTCAAAGAAAGGGGTGACAGATGGCACCTGGAAAATCAGGTCACTCCCACCCTAATACTGCGCTTTTCCAATGGTCTTAGCAAACAGCACACCAGGAGATTATGTCCCACGCCTGACTCGGAGGGTCCTACGCCCACGGAGCCTCGCTCATTGCTAGCACAGCAGTCTGAGATCAAACTGCAAGGCGGCAGCGAGGCTGGGGGAGGGGCGCCTGCCATTGCTGAGGCTCGAGTAGGTAAACAAAGCGGCCGGGAAGCTCGAACTGGGTGGATCCCACCGCAGCTCAAGGAGGCCCACCTGCCTCTGTAGACTCCACCTCTGGGGGCAGGGCATAGCCAAACAGAAGGCAGCAGAAACCTCTGCAGACTTAAATGTCGCTGTCTGACAGCTTTGAAGAGAGTAGTGGTTCTCCCAGCATGCAGCTTGAGATCGGAGAACGGACAGACTGCCTCCTCAAGTGGGTCCCTGACCCCCGAGTAGCCTAACTGGGAGGCACCCCCCAGTAGGGGCAGACTGACACCTCACACGGCCGGGTACTCCTCTGAGATGAAACTTCCAGAGGAATTATCAGGCAGCAACATTTTCTGTTCACCAATATCCGCTGTTCTGGAGCCTCTGCTGCTGATACCCAGGCAAACAGGGTCTGGAGTGGACATCCAGCAAACTCCAAAAGACCTGCAGCTGAGGGTCCTGACTGTTAGAAGGAAAACCAACAAACAGAAAGGACATCCACACCAAAACCCCATCTGTACGTCACCATCATCAAAGACCAAAGGTAGATAAAACCACAAAGATGGGGAAAAAACAGAGCAGAAAAACTGGAAACTCTAAAAATCAGAGCGCCTCTCCTCCTCCAAAGGAACGCAGCTCCTCACCAGCAATGGAACAAAGCTGGATGGAGAATGACTTTGACGACTTGAGAGAAGAAGGCTTCAGACAATCAAACTACTCTGAGCTAAAGGAGGAAGTTCGAACCCATGGCAAAGAAGTTAAAAACCTTGAAAAAAAATTAGACGAATGGCTAACTAGAATAACCAATGCAGAGAAGTCCTTAAAGGACCTGATGGAGCTGAAAACCACAGCCCGAGAACTACATGATGAATGCACAAGCCTCAGTAGCTGATTCCATCAACTGGAAGAAAGGGTATCAGTGACGGAAGATCAAATGAATGAAATGAAGCGAGAAGAGAAGTTTAGAGAAAAAAGAATAAAAAGAAATGAACAAAGCCTCCAAGAAATATGGGACTATGTGAAAAGACCAAATCTACACCTGATTGGTGTACCTGAAAGTGACGGGGAGAATGGAACCAAGTTGGAAAACACTCTGCAGGATATTATCCAAGAGAACTTCCCCAATCTAGTAAGGCAGGCCAACATTCAAATTCAGGAAATACAGAGAACGCCACAAAGATACTCCTCGAGAAGAGCAACTCCAAGACACATAATTGTCAGATTCACCAAAGTTGAAATGAAGGAAAAAATGTTAAGGGCAGCCAGAGAGAAAGGTCGGGTTACCCACAAAGGGAAGCCCATCAGACTAACAGCTGATCTCTTGGCAGAAACTCTACAAGCCAGAAGAGAGTGGGGGCCAATATTCAACATTCTTAAAGAAAAGAATTTTCAACCCAGAATTTCATATCCAGCCAAACTAAGCTTCATAGGTGAAGGAGAAATAAAATCCTTTACAGACAAGCAAAATGCTGAGAGATTTTGTCACCACCAGGCCTGCCCTAAAAGAGCTCCTGAAGGAAGCACTAAACATGGAAAGGAACAACCAGTACCAGCCACTGCAAAAACATGCCAAATTGTAAAGACCATCGAGGCTAGGAAGAAACTGCATCAACTAATGAGCAAAATAACCAGCTAACATCATAATGACAGGATCAAATTCACACATAACAATATTAACCTTAAATGTAAATGGGCTAAATGCTCCAATTAAAAGACACAGACTGGCAAATTGGATAAAGAGCACACCCATCAGTGTGCTGTATTCAGGAAACCCATCTCACGTGCAGAGACACACATAGGCTCAAAATAAAGGGATGGAGGAAGATCTACCAAGCAAATGGAAAACAAAAAAAGGCAGGGGTTGCAACCCTATTCTCTGATAAAACAGACTTTAAACCAACAAAGATCAAAAGAGACAAAGAAGGCCATTACATAATGGTAAAGGGATCAATTCAACAAGAGAGCTAACTATCCTAAATATATATGCACCCAATACGGGAGCACCCAGATTCATAAAGCAAGTCCTTAGAGACCGACAAAGAGACTTAGACTCCAAGACTTTAACACCCCACTGTCAACATTAGACAGATCAACGAGACAGAAAGTTAACAAGGATACCCAGGAATTGAACTCAGCTCTGCACCAAGCGGACCTAATAGACATCTACAGAACTCTCCACCCCAAATCAACAGAATATACATTCTTTTCAGCACCACACCACACCTATTCCAAAATTGACCACATAGTTGGAAGTAAAGCACTCCTCAGCAAATGTAAAAGAACAGAAATTATAACAAACTGTCTCTCGGACCACAGCGCAATCAAACTAGAACTCAGGATTAAGAAACTCACTCGAGACCACTCAACTACATGGAAACTGAACAACCTGCTTCTGAATGACTACTGGGTACATAATGAAATGAAGGCAGAAATAAAGATGTTCTTTGAAACCAACGAGAACAAAGACAAAACATACCAGAATCTCTGGGACACATTCAAAACAGTGTGTAGAGGGAAATTTATAGCACTAAATGCCCACAAGAGAAAGCAGGAAAGATCTAAAATTGACACCCTAACATCACAATTAAAAGGACTTGAGAAGCAAGAGCAAACACATTCAAAAGCTAGCAGAAGGCAAGAAATAACTAAGATCAGAGCAGAACTGAAGGAAATAGAGACACAAAAAACCCTTCAAAAAATCAACGAATCCAGGAGCTGGTTTTTTGAAAAGATCAACAAAATTGATAGACCGCTAGCAAGACTAATAAAGAATAAAAGAGAGGAGAATCAAATAGACGCAATAAAAAATGATAAAGGGGATATCACCACTGATCCCACAGAAATACAAACTGCCATCAGCGAATACTATAAACACCTCTACGCAAATAAACTGGAAAATCTAGAAGAAATGGATAAATTCCTCGACACCTACACCCTCCCAAGACTAAACCAGGAAGAAGTTGAATCTCTGAATAGACCAATAACAGGCTCTGAAATTGAGGCAATAATTAATAGCTTACCAACCAAAAAAAGTCCAGGACCAGATGGATTCATGGCCGAATTCTACCAGAGGGACAAGGAGGAGCTGGTACCATTCCTTCTGAAACTGTTCCAATCAATAGAAAAAGAGGGAATCCTCCCTAACTCATTTTATGAGGCCAGCATCATGCTGATACCAAAGCCTGGCAGAGACACAACAAAAAAAGAGAATTTTAGACCAATATCCCTGATGAACATCGATGCAAAAATCCTCAATAAAATACTGGCAAACCGAATCCAGCAGCACATCAAAAAGCTTATCCACCATGATCAAGTGGGCTTCATCCCTGGGATGCAAGGCTGGTTCAACTTACGCAAATCACTAAACGTAATCCAGCATATAAACAGAACCAATGACAAAAACCACATGATTATCTCAATAGATGCAGAAAAGGCCTTTGACAAAATTCAACAGCCCTTCATGCTAAAAACTCTCAATAAATTAGGTATTGATGGGATGTATCTCAAAATAATAAGAGCTATCTATGACAGACCCACAGCCAATATCATACTGAATGGGCAAAAACTGGAAGCATTCCCTTTGAAAACTGGCACAAGACAGGGATGCCCTCTCTCACCACTCCTATTCAATATAGTGTTGGAAGTTCTGGCCAGGGCAATCAGGCAGGAGAAGGAAATAAAGGGTATTCAATTAGGAAAAGAGGAAGTCAAATTGTCCCTGTTTGCAGATGACATGACTGTATATTTAGAAAACGCCATCGTCTCAGCCCCAAATCTCCTTAAGCTGATAGGCAACTTCAGCAAAGTCTCAGGATACAAAATCAATGTGCAAAAATCACAAGCATTCTTATACACTAATAACAGACAAACAGAGAGCCAAATCATGAGTGAACTCCCATTCAGAATTGCTTCAAAGAGAATAAAATACCTAGGAATCCAACTTACAAGGGATGTGAAGGACCTCTTCAAGCAGAACTACAAACCACTGCTCAATGAAATAAAAGAGGATACAAACAAATGGAAGAACATTCCATGCTCATGGGTAGGAAGAATCAATATCGTGAAAATGGCCATACTGCCCAAGGTAATTTATAGATTCAATGCCATCCCCATCAAGCTACTAATGACTTTCTTCACAGAATTGGAAAAAACTACTTTAAAGTTCATATGGAACCAAAAAAGAGCTTGCATTGCCAAGTCAATCCTAAGCCAAAAGAACAAAGCTGGAGGCATCATGCTACCTGACTTCAAACTATACTACAAGGCTACAGTAATCAAAACAGCATGGTACTGGTACCAAAACAGAGATATAGACCAATGGAACAGAACAGAGTCCTCAGAAATAATGCCGCTTATCTACAACTATCTGATCTTTGACAAACCTGACAAAAACAAGAAATGGGGAAAGGATTCCCTATTTAATAAATGGTGCTGGGAAAACTGGCTTGCCATATGTAGAAAGCTGAAACTGGATCCCTTCCTTACGCCTTATATAAAAATTAATTCAAGATGGATTAAAGACTTAAATGTTAGACCTAAAACCATAAAAACCCTAGAAGAAAACCAGGCAATACCATTCAGGACATAGGCATGGTCAAGGACTTCATGTCTAAAACACCAAAAGCAATGGCAACGAAAGCCAAAATTGACAAATGGGATCTAATTAAACTAAAGAGCTTCTGCACAGCAAAAGAAACTACCATCAGAGTGAACAGGCAACCTACAGAATGGGAGAAAATTTTTGCAATCTACTCATCTGACAAAGGGCTAATATCCAGAATCTACAATGAACTCAAACAAATTTACAAGAAAAAAACAACCCATCAAAAAGTGGGCAAAGGATATGAACAGACACTTCTTGAAAGAAGACATTTATGCAGCCAAAAGACACATGAAAAAATGCTCATCATCCCTGGCCATCAGAGAAATGCAAATTAAAACCACAACGAGATACCATCTCACACCAGTTAGAATGGCGATCATTAAAAAGTCAGGAAACAACAGGTGCTGGAGAGGATGTGGAGAAATAGGAACAGTTTTACACTGTTGGTGAGACTGTAAACTAGTTCAACCATTGTGGAAGACAGTGTGGCGATTCCTCAGGGATCTAGAACTAGAAATACCATTTGACCCAGCCATCCCATTACTGGGTGTATACACAAAGGATTGTAAGTCATGCTGCTATAAAGATACATGCACACGTATGTTTATTGTGGCACTATTCACAATAGCAAAGACTTGGAACCAACCCAAATGTCCAACAATGATAGACTGGATTAAGAAAACGTGGCACATATACACCATGGAATACTATGCAGCCATAAAAAATGATGAGTTCACGTCCTTTGTAGGGACATGGATAAAGCTGGAAACCATCATTCTCAGCAAACTATCACAAGGCCAAAAACCAAACACCGCATATTCTCACTCATAGGTGGGAATTGAACAATGAGAACACATGGACACAGGAAGGGGAACATCACACACCGGGGCCTGTTGTGGGGTGGGGGGAGGGGGGAGGGATAGCATTAGGAGATATACCGAATATTAAATGACGAGTTAATGGGTGCAGCACACCAACATGGCACATGTATACATATGTAACAAACCTGCATGTTGTGCACATGTACCCTAGAACTTAAAGTACAATAAAAAAAAAAAAAGAAAAAAGCCCCCACAATTGTATTACACACACACACACCTCTTCACATTGGTGGGAGGTCCCCTAGGACTGGGGCAGGGCTTTGTCAGCATACGTGAAATAGCTTCCATGATTCCCTTTGCTTTGGGTGGTTGCACTGTGGTGGCAGCAGTCTGGGAGCCAAGACAACAGAGATGTTTCCACTCTCAGAGAGAGCCCCGTTCTCTCAGGAAGGCAAAGTTTCCAGTGTCCCACTCAGTGGCCATGAGGGTAGGTCTGGAGCATGGGGTTGGGATGGGGGTGGGGGGACACTCATACGCTTGTCCTTAGTTCATTGACTGGAATGGTCTTGGGCGTCAGCTGGATGGCTTCAGCTAAGTTCCTGTTGCTGTAGCTGTGGGTTGGGGATGGGAGAGAGGGTCATCTACTGGGGGAAAACAGTCTCCTGAAACTGCCCATTCCAGACTGGGGAAAGACCGACCGATGGGAGAGGATATGTCTGAAGGCACAGAACATTATAGAACTGGCTCTCCATAGCCCTTATGCCATGCCCATTCACTCAGAGTAAATTGTAGTAAACTCTGCAAAAACAACAAAGTGTTTTGTAAATCAGTTAATTTCTTAAGCTTGCATGAACTAGTCATTGGCAACTTGATTGCTCCAAGAATGGCTCACTTGTTCACTTGGTCATTCTGTGACTTGGATTTTGGCAAAATGGCTCTTGATGAATTAACCAGGAGTCAAAATCATGACCGCCAACACCAAGCAATTAAGGCGAAGTCTTTGTCCATGGGAAGACCCTCTTTAGAACTTTCTCCATGGAGCCCTGTGTTCCAACGGGAGAAGGAAAATACTAGGATTTTATCCTTACATATCTGTGGGGACAAATCATTCTTGATCCTCCCAATGACCTTTTCTAGCTCTTTTTTTATCTGTACCTTCCTAATGAGATGCTAGGTAGGCAGAATGGGCAGAAAGAGCTGGGAGCATGGTCAAGTGTGGGGTCTTGGTGATGAATGGGGAGAACCACTGTAGGTACTTTTTTTTGTAGACAGTCCCCATTCCTAACAAACTCTGATACATGAATGATCAGATCCTTGTTTGGAGTACCAGCAGCAGTAGCTGAAGAAGCCTCAGAAGTCTTTAAGCAGCTCTTACCCAGGGTTCCCAGAAAGAATGCTTATGAATGCTGTTATAGCAACAATTTCAACCAATGGGAAGTAAAGCCCAAATATTTCTGCCCGTTTCAGTTCGGTCAAGGAGGAGGAAATGGGAGAGAGTGAGGGAAGGAGGAACATCAAATTTATCTGACCTCAATAACAGGACCAGTCTGTAGTATCCATACTCAGCTCCTTCCCAGCAAGAGATGAACTCATAGGGCTGTGCAAGGAGGAAGAGTGACAATAAGCCTTACAGCTGGTATGTATTCGGAGGTTCTTATGTGCCAGTTACTGTGTAAATACTCGGTATATGTTGTCATTTACTCCTCACAACAGATATTAGTGTTTTCATCTTAAATTTCAGGAAACAGACACAATGCTCATTTTCCCAAGGCTCAAACTCAGAGGTGTCTGTGTTTTACTTGGCTATTCCTAAATTCTGAGATCAGGGCCTCCCTTGTGGGCCTAAAGGTTACTCTTGTCTTTTATGAAAGAGAGAGACAGTATATTATAGTATGCTAACTATAATGGTTATCAGCAGAGGCAGAAGCAATTTACATATTGTTTCTTTTTCTTCAATTTCCTTGCCTATAAAATGGGGATAACAAGCTTACTGAACAGGATTTTTATGAGGATTGAATCAGATATTTCATTGAAAGACTGAGAGCAGAACCTGCCACATTGTAATCTTTCTTTACAAGGTTTAGATATTATTTCTGTTATTAAATATTTTGAGAGAGGATTGTAACCACCTGATGGGTTCTTCCTGCCTGCTGCACAAATGAAGACCATGGCATGGTAGTAAATAAAAGAATTTAATTGATGCAAGGCTGGCCACGCCACATGGGAGATAGAATTGTTACTCAAATCAATCTTCTTGAGCATTTAGGGGTAGGGTTTTCCAAAGATAGTTTTAGGGAGGGAGTTAGGGTGGCTAAGCAATGGGTGCTTGCTGCTGATTGGTTGGGGGTGCAATCATAAGGGTGCAGGAATGGTCCTTCTGCCCACTGAATATCTTCTGGGTGGGGCCACAGGAGTGGCTGGCAGGTCCAGGTGAAGCCATTGGTGTCAGACAGGCAAACAAATCTGAAAAGATATCTCAAAAGGCCAGTCTTAGGTTCTACAATAGTAATGTTATCTGGAGGAGTAATTGGGGAAGTAGCATATCTTGTGACCTCCAGAACAATAGCTGGCAATCGTTTATGTCTACACCTTAGCAGAATTTAGGCTCCTCTATCCCCCTAGCCTGGTGGTCTCTCATTAGCTTTACAAAGGCAGTTGAATTTTGGGAAAGGGCTATTATCATTTAAAGTATAAACTAAATGTCTCTCCAGGTTAGCTTGGCCTAACCCAGGAATAATTAGGGGCAGCTTGAAGGCCAAAGGCAAGATGGGACTTTGGCATGATCAGATCTCTTTCACTGCTATAATTTTCTCAGTGTTGTAATTTTTGCAAAAGCCGTTTCAGCCTCACTCTGTCACCCAGGCTGGAGTGCAGTGGTGCAATCACAGCTCACTGCAGCCTCAACCTCCCAGGCTCAAGTACTCCTCCTGCCTTAGCCTCCCAAGTAGCTGGGACCACAGGCACACACCACCACACCCAGCTAACTTTTTTATTATGTGTGGAGACTAGTTCTTCCTATGCTGCCCAGGCTGGTCTCAAACTCCTGACCTCAAGTGATCCTCCTGCCTCGGCCTCCCAAAGTGCTGGGATTACAGGTGTGAGCAACCATGTTCAGTCTACTATTATTTTAATAGTAGTGTAAATGGTGTTGTTTTAAATGTCCTTAATTAGTGAAATAAAAAGATAATAACCTATGTCAGGACCCAATTTTATTAACTTTATTAGTCCCTGACATCTCCAAGTATCAGAACCCCTGCCTTTAACCACTATGCTTTGTATGTGGAGTAGTTTCCCACCTTAAGACAATTGGTCTTAATTGCAATACAGAAAGGGAAGTGCTTCGTTGAATGTCCTCTGTATCCAGGAAGAAATACTAAGCTTGCTGCCTGGAAAACACTACACAAATCTAGGACCCATATGTAAACATCATGCTGCTGAGATGGCATGGAGGGGTCAGGGCACTGGGGTGGGAGGAGGAAGTGTAACTGCCCAAGGGGTTTACCTTGCCCACTGCCTAGGCAGAGCCGATTTATGAAGACAGGGGAATTGCAATAGAGAAAGAGTAATTCATGCAGAACCGGCTGTGTGGGAGACTGGAGTTTTATTATTACCTAAATCAGTCTTCTCGAGCATTCAGGGAGCAGAGTTTTTAAGGATAACTTGGTGGGTGGGGGGAAGCCAGTGAGCCAGGAGTGCTGATTGGCCGGAGATGAAATCATAGCGAGTCGAAGCTGTCTTCTTGTGCTGAGTCAGTTCCTGGGTGGCGGCCACAAGATCAGATGAGCCAGTTTATCCATTTGGGTGGTGCCAGCTGATCCATCAAGTGCAGGGTTTACAAAATATCTCAACCACTGATCTTAGGAGCAGTTTAGGAAGGGTTAGAATCTTGTAGCCTCCAGCTGCATGACTCCTAAACTATAATTTCTAGTCTTGTGGCCAATGTTGGTCCTACAAAGGCAATCTAGTTCCCAGGCAAGAAGGAAGTCTGCTTTGGGAAAGGCTATTACCATCTTTGTTCAAACTATAAACTAAGTTTTTCTCCAAGGTTAGTTGGGCCTACGCCCAGGAATGAACAAGGACAGCTTGGAGGTTAGAAGCAAAATGGAGTTGGTTAAGTTAAATCTCTTTCACTGTCTTAGTCATAATTTTGCAAAGGCGGTTTCAGAAGTATGGGAGTCAGTGTGGCTAAATAGGAGGAACAGAGACTCTCAATGCAGACAGAGGGTTTCAAGTCACAGATCTGCCACTTACTGGATTTGTGACTTTAGGCAGGTTGTTTTAGCTTTCTGAGCCTCATCTGTACAATGGAATTTTCACAGTAATTAGTTCATAGGGCTGAAAAGAAGATGAAATGAAGAGATTCAAGTAGAACACTCAGAACAAGGCCTGCCATGCTGTAGGTGTTTAATAAACATTACCTTCCACAGTGATGATGATTAAGGGACTAAATTTCATGCACGTCCATGTGAAGAGACCACCAAACAGGCTTTGTGTGAGCAACGGGGCTGTTTATTTTACCTGGGTGCAGGCGGGCTGAGTCCAAAAAGAGAGTCAGTGAAGGGAGATAGGGGTGGGTGGGGCTGTTTTATAGGATTTGGGTAGGTAGTGAAAAATTACAATCAAAGTGGGTTTTTCTCTTATGGGCAGGGGCAGGGGCCACAAGGTGCTCAGTGGGGGAGGTTTGGAGCCAGGTGAAGGAATTTCACAAGGTTAATTGCTCAGTTAAGGTGGGGCAGGAACAAATCACAATGGTGGAATGTCATCAGTTAAGGCAGGAACCGGCCATTTTCACTTCTTTTGTGATTCTTCACTTGCTTCAGGCCATCTGGATGTATACGTGCAGGTCACAGGGGTTACGATGGCTTAGCTTGGGCTCAGAGGCCTGATACTAACCATAACAGATAGAATTTAAAAAGCAGAGGAACCAAAAACAGCCCACCACTCTCCTGAGCTGGGAGAATTTGCCCAGAATTCCAGGGATAGGTGTGTCCTAAGCTTCCGCTAGGTAGGGTCAATGCCCAGCAGCCAAGCCAGAAGGAAGATTTGGGCAGACACTGTCATTGGTGAACACGTAAGCTCCAGAGCTAGAATACTACTGATGATGGTGACTGGCTTTGGTTCTTCCGTCTGGTCTGACACCCAGAAAGCCGATCAGACTCACCGCTATGAACCTTCTAGTGCCACAGCAGGCCAGAAACCACAGCCCTGCCTCCCCTTCTCCTGAGTTCCCGGTGTGGGTGTGGTAGGGGCACGGGTGGATTCAGTATTTCTGTAATGGAAACTAGAAACACGTAGCCCCACAGTAGCTGCATTCCAAAGGGGCAGAGATCTGACTTCCTTTGTTTCATGCTTTTAGAGACAATGACAGCAAGACCTCTCACAGGAAGTGCTAGGACCACTGGAGAGAGTGAATTCAACTCTTGGCCAAAAACCTATGGGTGATCTTTCAGGCCTCGCCATAGGCAATTACAAAAGCTTTACCTGGCAGGGATCATGGGGGGACGTGCCCTCCCCACATCAGACCTGATGCACAGCCGTGCATTGCAGTCTGTGAATGGAGTTGCAGTCAAGGACTCAGACGTCCCGAACTGATCATGCTCTCACACATGTCGGCATTCCTAGACCAGATGCCTCCATTTGGAGTCCGCCTTATCAGGAGCCTTTGGCAGAGGCCTTTCTCAAGCACCTGAGCTAAGACCTCTTGTTGCCATGGTGGGAGTGGGGGATGCCTAAAAATATTTTTTTCTTCAAGCTGACTCAGTACTCAGTACTTTTCTACTCCTAGCCCTTCCCTGTCACCTCCTCCTGCCCCTGGGTCCATAAAATGGCAGGAGCCTCTTGTTCAGGGCTCCCTTAACAGTGAGATGATGATGCCCTGCATCTGTGGTCAGACCCCTGTTGGAGCCACCCCATGTGGAAAAATGGAATAATGGAGGAGTCGGTACTTTTTCTGGTTCAGTCCCTTGCTTATACTATCAAAGGCAGTTATTAAAGTCTGACTGTTACTTTTATTTTGACTCGTCTTAATCGACTACTCTGACACCCAGCAGCTCAGCTCTCTCTAGCTCAGCTGAGCTCTTGAAAAATTGGAATGGCAAGCTGGGTAGTTGATTATGCACAATGTCGTTTCTGAAGAGCAAAGAGCCTGAAAATCTCGTGGGGCAATTCACTAATGATGGGTGTAAGCAGACCTTGCAGGGCACTCCTGGAGGATGCTAATGGATTATTTGCCAGAGTCAGAGGATCTGACCGGGCACTCTGCCAGTGAGTCCTGGGAAGTGCTAGCAGACCTCACGTGGCACTTTACCAGCCATGCCAGCAGGTCTCAGGAATTGCTATTGTAAGTCACAGGGTATACTTGGAGGATGATAGAAAATTGTTTATAAAAGCTTTTGGTTCCAAGGTAACCATCGGTCCTCCTGTTTATCCCCATCACCTCGGCTGAGATAACCTAGTGGATCAAATAAGAGATCCAGCAGAGGGGCTCTAAGAAGCCACAGAAACAATTCCCTGGACACCGTTCTCTGATGATGGGGCCAGAAGTCGTTGGAGACCCTGTAAACTGACCTGTACCCCAAAACTATTCCTAGATCTAAGCAGTTCCCTGGGGCTGACGGACAACATGCCATGCAGCATGTTACTGAGACTCATGCTTCTAATAAAAATAATGTAGAGCTCTTTAGAATCACTTTGTCCAGTGATCTCACTAGATAGGGTCAATGCCCAGCAGCCAAGCCAGAAGGAAGACTTGCTTAGGGGAAGAAACCACAGAGACTTGGCTAGTTTGCTTCCATTACGAAAAAGGTAATCTTGTTAAATAAACTTCATAAAGGAAAGTGGCTCCTTGAGGGGTACATCACTACAGACCCCCTCCTCCATAGTGCCTTGATAGTGGCCACTTTCTCTGAGGAGGAGGAGCAAGGTGGGGAGATGAGAGTGTATGTATACCAACGACCATCTCTTTCCTCAGCTGGGTACTATTTGGTCTCTGACAGATTTGGTCCACACATAATGAGTACCTAGTCACTGAAAAACATGTCTCAACCACCTTCGCAGAGACTATGGAGGTCCTGCAGCCCTCCTGGTGGTCTCTTGGGTCTACTACGAGGGAGTGGGAACGGTAGATGAGAAGATTAACCAGACTTAGATTTACGGGTTTGTTCATGCTGCTCCTGCTTGTTGTCAAGCCCAATTAAGCCACCTCCTGAGGTCAAGTCCATCAATCTGCAGTGTGATCCAGATCTTAACTCAGAAATTCTCAGGCACAGAAGAAATGGCTTCCGATAAAATAGCAAAATTTGACCCCTCCCCTCCAAAAAGGGAGCATAAAAATAGTACTTGAGTGCCCTCTTCTGGACTGTCTGGGCAAGGGCCTTCCCAAAGAGATCTCTGAGTCTGATTACTCAATAATGGAACCACGAAAGCAGATTGATGGGCTCCCCACTAAAAAATTCAGGGCCAAGTACCAGGCCATGGGGATTTGATAAGTGGTCCCGCTAGAGTCTGCACAGTGATGGCCTTCCACCTCTCCTGGTGGATTTGGAGACAAATCAGAGATCCTGAGCAACTTTTGCTCTGACACTCAGCTTTCAAATATAAACAAGATTAGGGGTTACAAACAAAAATCCAAAGATTTTAGGGGTTATAAACAAGATCCTTCTGTACTCAGGGGACCCAGAGGCCCTATGCCAAGGTTAGAGTTCAACTGAACAGTGGAGAGGAATTGCACTTCTTAGGCCTTTTAGATACCAGTACACAGGTGACTGTGATCCCCACAAACCCTTGCATCAAGATGAGGAGAAAACAGATCGTGTTCTCTGACTTTGGGCTCCTACTAACCTCCGTTGTCATGGCCCCCACTACTGAATGAAATATTGGCAGTGATGTGTTTTCCATGTGCAGCCCCACTTGCCTTTGCCTCCAAGCCCTGACAGGAATTGCAATAGTTATGGCCATCTTAGTGAGAAATATAGAAGACCATGGACCCATCTGATGACCAACACCTAGTACTGTTGTTTCCCAAAAAACAATGTCAGCTGCCTAGGGGAGAAAAAGAATAATTGCCATCATTGCTGAGCTTAAGGAAGCCAAAATGTTTCATGAGACTGTTTCTCCATTCAATAGCCCCATCTGGCCTGTGCACAAGACCTTGGTTTCTTGGAGACTTACCACTGATTTTAGGCAGCTCAATGCGTAATACCACCTTTGGCACCAGCAGTACCTGACATTGTGACTATTACAGAGGCCCAAAACAGAGAGAACTTGGTATGCAGCAATTGATATTGCAAAGGCATATCAAATTGTAGTCCCCAGTGTTGGCGATGGGGCCTGGTGAGAGGCGATTAGATCATAGGGGCAGATTTCCCCTCTAGTTTTGTTCTAATGATAGTGAGTAATCATGACATCTGGCTGTTTAAAAGTGTAGCATCGGCTGGGCATGGTGGCTCACACCTGTAATCCCAGCACTTTGGGAGGCCGAAGCGGGCGGATCATGAGGTCAGAAGTTCGAGAACAGCCTGACCAACATGGTGAAACCCTGTCTCTACTAAAAATACAAAAATTAGCCGGGCGTGGTGGTGTGCGCCTGTAATCCCAGCTACTCAGGAGGCTGAGGCAGGAGAATTGCTTGAACCCGGGAGGCAGAGGTTGCAGTGAGCCAAGATGGTGCCACTGCACTCCAGCCTGGACGACAGAGTGAGACTCCGTCTAAAAAAAAAAAAAAAAAAGAAAGTGTAGCACCTCTCCTCTCTTCCTCCTGCTCTGGCTGTGTGAAGATGTACCTGCTTCCCCTTCCACCATAATTGTAAGTTTCCTGAAACATCCAAGCCATGCTTCCTCTACAGCCTGCGTACCTGAGTCAATTAAACCTCTTTTCTTTATAAATTACCCAGTCTCAGGTATTTCTTTATAGCAGTGCAAGAAAAAACTAATACAGAGCAATTTCTTAAAACTACTCCTCCCTGAATCCTCACTCTCACAGCCAGAGACCTAGTTGCCATCTGCAATGGACTTAATTGTGCCCTGCCTCAAATTCCTATGTTGAAGTTGTAATCCCCAATGTGACTGCATTTGTAGATTCGGCTTTTAGGTGATAATCATTAAGGTTAAAAGAGGTCATAGGGTAGGGTCCTAATCCGATAGGATTGGTTACCTTATAACCTCATAAGAAGAGGAAGATTGACCAGGCGTGGTGGCTCATGCCTGTAATCCCAGCACTTTGGGAGGCTGAGGCGGGTGGATCACCTGAGGTCAGGAGTTCGAGACCAGCCTGGCCAACCAACATGGTGAAACCCTGTCTCTACTAAAAATACAAAAACTAGCTGGGCATGGAGGCACACCCCTGTAATCTCAGCTACTCAGGAGGCTGAGGTAGGAGAATCACTTGAACCTGGGAGGCAGAGGTTGCATTAGTAAGCCGAGATCACGCCACTGAACTCCAGCCTGGGAGACAGAGCAAGACTCCATCTCAAAAAAAAAAAAAAAAAAAGAAGAAGAAGAGGAAGAGGAAGATTCTCTCTCTCTCTCCCCTTCCCTCTCTCCCTCCCCCCTCTTTCTGTCTACTGGAATGTGAAAGGAAAAGCCAGTGAGTACACAGAGAGAAGGCAGCCAACTGCAAGCAAGGAAGGTGACTCTCACCAAAACCTGAGCTCACTGTCATCCTGACCTTAGACTTCCAGCCTCTAGAACTGTGAGAAAATAAATTTGTGTTGTTTAAGCCAGCCAGTCTATGATATCTTGTTGTAGCAGCCCAAACAGACTAAGACACCATCCATGATACCTTCTTCTTTCTCAGCCCCACATATATTATGTCACCATATCCTGTGTGCCCTTCCTTCAAAATATGCTCTGAATCTGGTTACTTACCACTTCCACTGTTGCCACCCATAACCAAACTGCTATCATCAGCTCTTCCCTAAACACCTGCAATAGCTCCTTACTAGGCTCCCGCACTCACGCCTGATTCCCTCCCATCTGTTATCTTCATATTAAAAATAATACAGTGGCTTTCCACTATACCCTAGGATGTGATTTAAAATTCTTAGCATGGCCTTCAAAGCTTTGCCTAATCTATCTCCTGCTTAACTCTTCAAACTACTGGAGCCTCTCTTCTCCTCACTCCTCACCATCTAGTCACATGGCCCCTTTGGGAATATATGAAAACTTCCCAGCTTGGAATCACTGCCCATTATCTTTCACCTGGCTCATTCTTGTTTATCCTTCAGGTTCAGCTTTCATGTCCCTTCTTTGGAGTGGCCTTCCATGACCTACATCCTAAATTAGAAGTCTTTGTATTCTTTCTAGTTTTAGCATGTTCTTTACATTGACATGCATACCACCAGTTTTGTATGTATTGGTTTATTGTCTGGCTCCCCAGTTGGGTGACCAATTTCATGAGAGTAAGGAAAGCATCTGCCTTGTTCACTGATGTTATTACCAGCACCCAGCCTAGGGTTCAACAGGAGTAGGTGCTCAGTTAACGTGCGTTGAGTGAGTGAATAAATGAATAGAGTCTATGAGGTTGGTGTTTTTAGTTCAGAGTAGTTTGGTGATTCACTTGCTGCCACACAGCTAGCAAGCAGACATAAATGGGCAAGATCCCAGAATCATAGTTCCAAGGTGAATGCATAATCAAGAGACTGCCAGGGGGTGAAAAATGGAAGGGGGCATGGAGTGTGAGACAGGTGAAAAGATTCCAGACCATTGATTCTAGGGAGATCTTCCCCCAGGGTGTGTTTTTTTGGGGGGTACATATTCAATATTCACATTTGTTGAAAAATAGCTTCTGATTTCATAATAAATATATATTGCTGAAAGACTATTCCGGTTGGTAAGGATAACAGAAAATGCAGCGTTTCTTCGCTGAGGGCAGATTTTTTTCAGTTTATTGAAAGGAGGCAAGTTAAAAACGTGACTAGGAAACTGCACGAAAGCTTTCTGCCATTCCCCTGATTGGAGCTAAGGCCTGTGGGGTGCAGGAGACACCAAGGTTTGGGTCGTGCCGGGACTATGCTCATATAGTGGAGAGTAGGTCTTGGTGACACAGCAACCCACAGGCTGCACATTGCCACCCACCCCTCACCCCAGCAAACTGCACATCATTCCGCCCCTACCCCACAGACTCCCCTTCACAATTCCCTAATCTGTATATTACCTCTCAGGCTCCACACATGCCCCACGCCAGCCCCCCTCTCCAAGCTCCACTTTACCCCACATTACCTCCTAGAATCACATCACCCCACAAATGGTGAGAAATGGCCATTTGTGAAAAGCGAGTTTGGAAGGTGCTGGTCAGGAGAGCCGGGTGCGAAGCCAGAACCCTTGGGCAGAGGCAGCATGAGGGTCAACTCGACAGCAGAAGGCGCCTGAGAGTCTCTCCGCAAAGGCCATGCAAGGACGCGCGCTCCTGTAAGTACAGCCTCCATGCCCGGGTTAATTCCTAGACAGGTAGTGAGCCAATCAAGCCAGCCACCCACTTTCTAAAAAACAAAAAATCTACTCTTTCTCCTTGCCCTCCTCTGCTCAGCATCGTTCACTATGCCTCGAATATTTTAAATGGCCCTATGGATATCTGTAAAACAAAGGCTAGTAGTTATCATTATTATTATCATTAATCAGATATATAGGTAAAAGGTGACCCTAGGAACAAAGCCAAGAATCTAGAGTAAGGATGGCTAATGGGGATTGTGTTTGAATAGTTTGCTTTTGTTTCTTATTTTGCTTGGGTTGTGACGTGTGTTGCTTCAACATATGGCTTAAAAAAAAAAAAGTCTGTTAATGTATTGGTCACAAAGTGTCTTTCTGGGAAAAGGCACTTATTTTCCCAGAGTGATTTGACACATTTCTGGTGAAATGCATTAACATTAACGTTCCTTTTTTTTTCCCCAAGTTTTGGACATATGGGTTTAATTACCTGCTAGATTAGCAGATGGAAATATGTGGTAAATGGATGTAAACAAGGTGCATAAACTTAGGAGAGAGGCAGAAATTTTTAAACTTTAGGTTTAGACATTCACTAGATTGGACAATTTTTAACATTTAAAATAAAACTTTTTGCCACAAAGAAACAATTGTATTAAAACTAGTTTCCAGAACTGCCCAAATGACTTTTTAAACATGATTTAAATGTCAAGCTTTCTTTGGCAAATCTATCCAAAATACTAATTTTCCTTCTAGAACTTGGTTTATAATTTATATATTAGAGTGCCCTTAATTGATGTTCATTGGGATACCTTCCTCTGAGCCCTAATGGTTTCTATCTTCCCTTTAAAATGATTAAGTATCTTTTAATTAAGTTGTCATTCGCAAAGATATTCTGGAGCAAAAATCAGGAATTAAACATCTATGAATTCTTCTTCACTTCTGTTATAGTGTAGCAATTTATCTTCTAACCCATAGTAGTCTATCAATTGAGTAAGGCTTAGTTTCTTGTTCTCTTCAGACACAGCTGACTGCAACTCATAAAGCAACAGCTGGCTACAGCTCCTCCACTTCTTTATTAACAACTGTAATGGAGACAGATTCTTTGATCATACAGTTTGATGAGTTTTAGCCTCCAAAGAAGGTCTTCTTTCTCCTGAACCTGCTTCACCAATTTGGCTTTTTCATCGTTTAATCTTTGTTTAGAAAGATTCTCATTCACAAACTCATTTTGGAGAGCACTGCATGACCCAGAGTCAAATGACTGAGATTCACAGACATTGATTCTTCAAAGTATTTTTCAAATTTATATTTTCTTCAAATTCACTGTCTATGTGTTTAAAACTTTCTTGAAATTCCAAACAGTTTTCCTCTGTGGAAGATGCTGGTTTCTCTGAAAAGGTCTGATCGTTTTCTTCATTCTCTACTTTAAGAAGTTTCACCACATTATAACAGGAACTAAATGAAGATCTTGCTTTCCTTAATCTTTCTCTAAGTGTTGCACTCATAGGTTGTGTTCGTGAACTATTTGTATAGGGAGATGATGGATTCACAGAGGTCTGAGGAGTGCTAGGTAAAACCACAGCTGAGTCTGATGGACTTTCCATCTTGAAAATGAAATCTTGGTTTTCCTTCAACTCCACAGCAGACTCCCGAGGAAGTCCAGGTCTCAGGCATCCCCCTTCCCCTCAGCAGGGTACCTCCCTCCGCCATCCCCAGAGAGAGCAAAAAGCCAACTTTCCCTTCTTAAAGGACTCACGGGAAGGGAATAATGGAAATAATAACTTCACATGCTGAAGAAAACAGATAAAGTGTGAAGAAACCATTTATCAACATTTAAACCTCCACACATTATTTGTTCTTTTTTTAAAAGAACTTTACTAAGAATCAGATTCATTAAGTCAAAGGATGTTAGAACACAAAGGAACCTGCAAAATTAAATCGCGTTCTTATTATATAAAACAGGAGACCCAGAGAGGGTAAGTGACTTGTCCAAAGTCACAGAGCACTTGAATGCAGTCAGGGCTGATTTCCAGTCTGCAACTCAAAAGAGAAGCAGTGTTTCTCAGTGAAAGAACAGTGGTGTGAGTTTTAAAGATTTTATTCTATTCTTTATTACATGATTATTATAGGAAAAATTGGGACACATTTTAAATTACCTAGAATCCTACCACTTCACAATGATCATTGTTAGTATTTTTGCTGTATAATTTTCCAGACTTTTTAATGTATATGAATACTGGTAAATGTGTTTACTAAAATTGGATCACACTGTCTGTACATCTCTGTCATATAACTCCTAACAGATGCAAAACTAGTCCACTGAATAGATTAACTTCATCAGTTTAACCAGTCCCTTACTGATAGATAGATAGATAAGCTTTTTCGAATGTTAAACCCTTATAAAAGATGCTGCACTAACCATTCCTGTTCAGACATCTTTTGCTGAAGTGATTTCTACCTACTGATCAGTGTGAATTTTGTAGGGATGCAATGATGTAGACTAGGTTTGAACTCTGGCTCTAGAACTTACTGTGTGTCTTTACACAAATCACAACTTTTCTGCACTCTAGTTTCTTCATCTTCAAGTGGGAATAATCATACTGATAGCCTAGAGGTGTTAAAAGGATTAAATGAAATAATACATGTAAAATAGTTGGTTAATACCTAGCATGTAGCAAATCCTAAATAATATTAGTTATTATTATTACCACAATGCTGAAGAAAACTGGCTCTTCAAAATAATGCCCATGATTTTCTGTTACTCTTTAAAAGAGACTAGCCAGAATTTTACAAAGAAGGTTTTAGATGCAAAACTTCAGTAGCTAAATTAATATTTCCTTTTTTCTAACTTAATCTATCGAGAAGAAAAGTAATAAATTTAAATCATGTGTGGTCTGTTGAGCTAGTTACTATGTTCTATCTATATAACTTAATGCCAGTCAAAATTTAAAAGGCATAGCTTTTCATCAAACATTCTTGTCTTAGTCTGTTTTCTGTTGCCTATAATAGAATATCTAAAACTGCATAATTTATAAAGAAAAGGAATTTATTTCATATGGTTATGGAGGCTAAAAAGCCCAAGGTCAAGGGACTGCATCTGGTGAGGACCCTCTAGCTGGTGGGGATTCTCTGCAAACTTCCTAGACAGCACAGAGCATCACAGGGTGAGGGGGCTGAGCATCCTAGCTTGGGTCTCTCTTCCTCTTCTTATGAAGCCACCAGTCCCACTCCCATGATAACCCATTAATCTATTGACCCATTAATCCATGATGGATTAGTCGATTCATGAGGGCAGAGCCTTTATGACCCATCACCTCTTAAAAGCCCCAAGACCCCACCTCTCAATACCGCCACATTGGAGATTAAATTTCAACATGAGTTTTGGAGGGGGCAAATATTCAAACCATACTCATTTGTAAGTAAAAAATCAACTGTTTTGTGATAAAGTTGCTCACCTTTCTTTCCCCTTTGGAAAATGCTCAAAGCATGGCTTACCCCATAAAATCAGCAGAATATCTTTACAGTCATCTATCCAGCCTCCCGGTGCCTTCAAGCTATTCTCCACTGCTTTTCTGTTTTATCCATGGGCCCCCAGCTATTTCATATTCCTCAGAGGGGTGGGAAAGAGCACAGAAGCTGAAGTTTTCACCTCTGAGACTTTGCTTTTAAACTGAAAAGATATCCATTGTCACACTGGGATTCATTTCTATCTGAAGCTTTGGAAACACATCACGACTTTTACCAAAGCCTATACAGTGAATCTAATTTATGTGTCACCTTTATTTCACCAATAGTTGCTTTAAAAATAAGGGAACACTCACCCCCTTTGAAAAGCTGGGTGGAAGGTTCAGTGTTGTATGGCTTATCTCGGAAGTCAGGGGTCAGTGACCAAAATTCACGGTGACCAGAAGCATTCCAAAATGCTGCCAGTAACTCCATGCTTACTGTTTCTTCCTCTTCTGCTCTACTGAACATTGTGGACATAGACACTCAGGATTGTTGGGGTGGATGATACTGGTTAAATGAGTCCTTCTTGGACACAGCTTTGGTTGAATGTGAGCACCAAACACTGAGAAGTCCTTGTCTATAACTGATGTGCAGAATGACCCATACGTTTTTTGGTTTGGGATTCTTTTTTTTTTTCTCTACTGTGTGTTATCCTTTTCTCTAATAGTGGCCAGTCACATTCTACCAGTCTGTATTTGTCTCACGGTTGTTGAAGTGGCTTTGCCAACTTAGCTAAGCTAGAAACATAGTTTCCTGGAATTGCCTTCCCAATGTGGTTCTGAGTTAGAGTGGACCAGGAGAAAAATTTGGGCAGGGCTTGGGAAGTGGGAGTGAAGCAATAGATACTATATTCTGAAGTTTGGTAGGACAGGCACTATTACCACTGCCATACACTGGCACTGATCAACTGGCACACCTCGTTGGTGTGGGGCAGCAACAGGACCTGCAGCAACTCCAACTCTGACAAGATCTCCTTCTTCAACTTCTCCAAGTCCTAAGTCAGGTTTGTGTGCACTTCCACGACTATGGATGCCAGCTCTTTCTTTAGGTTGGAGGCAATAAGAGACAGATGCAGGTTCCAGTAAGTCTTCATGGGATTTAGTTTGTCCTAGGGATTCAAGTTAATCCTTGCAGGTTCCAGTTTGTCCTTGCTTTCCCCCACACCACATACACCTCTTCTTCCCAACTGTGGGCCCTGAATATCTACAGTGACCTCAGGCTGCTATAAGTGCAGAGACAATAGCCTTCTATAGACTTCTTCCTCTGTGTAAGGTACATGGATGTTCCTTGGTCAAGGAATAGGCCAAGGTGGATATCCAGGCCTGCATGACTCAGTGAGTTTGGCATGCAGGCACACACCTCCACTTGTTATATAACCTGTTTGTGTAAGTTTATACTTCGCTCTAAGCCACTATTGTCTGTAAAAGGTATAACTGCCCTGCTAACGTTCTACAGGGGCTCTTGGGACTCTGGTTAGCTCCACATGGCTTAACATGGTGGGCACGCTGGTGCCCAGAGAAAGAAAGAGAGAGAGCCAAAGCTGTCCGTCTTGCAGATGGACAGGAGGGAGCCAGCACACAGCTTGGCTTGCTCATGCCCAGAGAGAAAAAGAGTTAAGCCGCTGACCCTGAAGGCAAGGAAGAGCCAGATGCACAGCTGTTTGTGGGAGCCACTGGCTCAAGCAGCTGCGACAGGGCAAACAGTGTGAGAGAGCTAGTGTGAGAAAGCTGTTAATAAAAGCTGCTGCTGAATAAAACCACATTCACCTGCCTTCAGCCCCGAGTGTTCTTTCTGCTCATCCACCAACTCCCTCTGGACTTCAGCATGGGCTGGACCCGGACCCCGGGACCTGACAACTGGTGATGAGAATGGGATGAGGTGAGTTGGCCCCAGTCCCTGAGGGCTCCCAGGTTGGCTTTGTGGCCACAGCATGGGCTGTGATACCCGGTGGCAGCTGTGCTGCGAAGATGGGCTCCAGTGGAAACATGGGAGGCAGTGGGTGGGTCTCCTGTGAGTATGGAGAAGGCACTGAAGCACCTGGAAGTGCACAGCACTGAGAAGAAGCATGCCTTTGCTGGCAGAGTCAGATGAGCGTTTGTAACTGTGCTGTGGGAAGTTCATGCCCAGTCCTTGTGGAACTCAGTGCAGTGAGGAGGAAGAACCTCCATGGCAGGCTTGCCCAGTGATCCACCACAAAATAGATCATGAGCAGCTACTGGGCCCCACGAGTAGGCCCAGAGACCCCCTGCTGTGGTGGAGCACCCTTCCTTTGGTGCCTGTGTCCCTGCTGAGTTGAGGGAGTTAAGCAAGTAATGTCGGCAGTCATGCACAGACTTAGTGCAAGCCATTTGGGAGAAGGACCTTGCTGCGCAACCCAGTCCTGCTCGAGCATTCCAGTTCAAAGAGTACCTGCTGCAGTTGGTGGAAGTGTAAAGCCTCTTCTGTTTGATAAGAGAACTGGCCGAGATGCCCAGCTTGGAGGGCACTGGACAACGGGAGCCACATTTGGACTTCGCAATCCACTGGTCCCTGAACCTGGATAAGTTTCCAGGCAGAGCTGCATTTATTGACAACTATGAAGACTGGTCAGTGAAAGTGAAACCTGTATCTCTGCATCTTGGCATCGACTGCTTGGCTCTCTGCTTATGTGCTGTGTATGTCTCTCCATCCATACCTGAAGACATTCTGGGGTAGATGTTTTGCATGGCTTGGCAGCTGTGCCATCTATCACAGACTTAATAGACCACTTGACAATGGAACTTGGCAGTGCCACTGTGTGGTGGACTTGGCTAATGCATTCTTGTCAATCGACAATGCTCCAGAGAGCCAGGAAGAGTTTGCCTTCATGGGACAGCGACAATGGACTTTCACAGTGTTGCTGCAGGGCTACTGTATAGCCCCACCATATGTTGTGGTTTTGTTAATAATGTTATGTTAACCTCTGATTCTCTTGCAGGTTTAAAAGTGGCAGTGTCCCTCTTGCCTGGGATTGGGGTGATGAGGCTGAGACAGCCTTTCTGGGTAGTAAACCAGGGTGCTCATTTACACTGAATGTGCATGTAACCACAGATAATTTTGGCTAGGGCCTATAGCAGTGCATGGAGCACTTGGAAGCACCAGTGGGCTGTTAGTCCCAACTGTGGAAGGGAGCTGAGCTCCAGTGCTTACTAATAGAGAAGCAGTTATTAATAGTGGGATGGGTGCATTCATGGGTAATGACCCCCTGGACAGAGGCAGCACAGACATCAACTTTAGCGAAGTGGGGTACCGACTTGAAACAGTGAAGTATGCTAAGTAAGTACAAATCCCTTAGCAGCAAAGTTGCAAGAGGTCTTGGGACCTGTAGTCCTAATGCAAGATAAGGCCATGGGGCCTGAGGCACTCCTAAACCCTGAGACTTCATCATTAGGAAGGGCATCCCCTCATTCCTGATAGGGCATGGCACACAGCTAGGTCTAGCTGGGGTGCTACTGCTGCCTGGACTGCTGGTGCGGTCCAGCCTAGTACTAACACCATATGGTTTGAAACCAGGTGTGGGCAAAGCAGCTAATAAGCTAAACTCAGGGCAGTGTGAATGGTAATCACCAAGGATGTGACAACCTATGGTAATCTGCGCCAATAGCTGGGCAGTTTATCAAAGCTTATGTATGTAACGGGCTAGAGTGCCCAAAAGCTTGTGTATGTATTGGGCCTGCATGCCCAAAGCTTGTGTGTCAGGCTTATGTGTCAAGCCTGTGTATATATCAGGCCTGCGTGCCCAAAGTTTATATGTCAGGCCTGTGTGCAAAACTTGAGTATCAAACCTGTGTGCCCAAGACCTAAGTCTCCCTCAGCCTAGGGGGTGGAGTGTAAGGTACATGGATGTGCTTTGGTCAAGGAATAAGCCGAGGTGGATATCCAGGCCTGCATGACTCAGTGAGTTTGGCATGCAGGTGCACACCTCTGCTTGTTATATAACCTGTTTGTGTAAGTTCACACTTGGCTCTATACTTGGTATAAAGGTATATTTGCCCTGCTAATGCTGTACAGGGCTGTTGGGGCTCAGCTCGGCTCAACATGGGTTAACATGGTAGTGGGTGCGCTGGTGCCCAGAGAAAGAGAGAGAGCCAAAACTGTCAGTCTTGCAGATGGACAAGAGGGAGCCAGGACACAGCTTGGCTTGCTCATGCCCAGAGAGAAAAAGAGTTAAGCTGCTGACCCTGAAGGCAAGGGAGAACTGGCTGCACAGCTGTGTGTGGGAGCCGCTGGCTCAAGCAGCCAAGACAGGGTGGCCAGTGTGAGAGAGCCAGTGTGAGAAAGCTGTTCATAAAAGCTGCTGCTGGCCGGGCGCAGTGGCTCACGCCTGTAATCTCAGCACTTTGGGAGGCCGAGGCCAGCGGATCACGAGGTCAGGAGATCGAGACCATCCCGGCTAACAAGGTGAAACCCCGTCTCTACTAAAAATACAGAAAATTAGCTGGGCGAGGTGGCATGCGCCTGTAGTCCCAGCTACTCGGGAGGCTGAGGCAGGAGAATGGTGTGAACCTGGGAGGCGGAGCTTGCAGTGAGCCGAGATCGCGCTACTGCACTCCAGCCTGGGAGACAGACCGAGACTCCGTCTCAAAAAAAAAAAATAAATAAATAAAATAAAATAAAAAAAAGCTGCTGCTGAATAAAACCATATTCACCTGCCTACAGCCCCCCGAATGTTCTTTCTGCTCATCCACCCACTCCCTCCGGACTTCAGCATGGGTTGGACCCGGACCCCAGGACCTGACACCCTGCTCCCACAATTGCATATGGTCTGATTCCTGTAATCATCCCTTATTGCTTTTCACTCTGCTTCTCTGATCAAACTCTGCAACTATGTTCAAGTGATTCTTATTTTACATCCAAATTTGCAAATCAGACACAGGATTATAGACATTACAAAAAAATTCAATTTTGAAAAAAAAAGGAAGAGATTTGTATATGACACTTAAGTAACCCATCTATTACCCTCGCTTTCTTTTTGATGTCAAACTTCTTTAAATGGCACCCTAAGTTTATTGCAAAAGTATTTTTCTTCCTCCCATTTTCTCTGCAGTTCCTTGAATATGACTCCTGCTTTTAAAATGCTATTTTAATTCATCAGAAACTTATAAAACATCAAATCCAGATCTTAGTCCACTTTATTTCTTTGTACTCTTAACACTGTTGACTACTCTCTTTTTTCCCTCATTAAATTTGGTTTCAATGGGTCTCAAATTTCTGTGACAGATTTTTGGTCAAGTTGTTTCCACTAAAAAGTGCTGATTTTAAAAATTAAATAACTTAAAACTACCAGATGCCAAAAAAAAAAAAGTTCACAAAACATTCTCCTTTCCTTCCAAAGGTTTTACAATGCATTGTTATCATTAACCAGTCTTTTACGACTAAACTTAAGTGGCCAGTTGAAACAAACAGTTCTGAGACCCTTCCACCACTGATTAAGACTCAGGCCAGGCACCGTGGCTCATGCCTGTACTCCCAACATTTTGGAAGGCTAAGGTGGGTAGATCACTTGAGCCCAGGAGTTTGAAACCAGCCTGGGCAATATAATGAGACCTAGCCAGGCATGGCGGCACATGTCTGTAGTTCCAGCTACTTGGGAGTCTAAGGCAGGAGGATTGCTTGAACCCAGGAGGCAGAGGTCGCAGTGAGCAGTGATTGTGCCACTACACTCCAGCCAGGGCAACAGAGTGAGAACCTGTCTCAAAACAAAAAACAAAAAACAAAAAACAAAAACACCAGACAACAACAACAACAACAAAAAAGACTGGGGTGGCATGTATTAGGGATAATATTCATTTAGCTTTCTGAGCTTTCTGGACAGACTTGGTGACCTTGCCAGCTCTAGCCGCCTTCTTGTCCTCTGAACCCATGGCAACTGTCTGTCTCAGCGAATTTGGCATGCAGGTGCACACCTCCACTTGTTATATAACCTATATAACCTGTTGTATAAGTTCATACTTGGTTCTATCCTTGGTATAAAGGTATATCTGCCCGCAAAATGTCCCAGAAGAGAATAGTCAGGATAGTCAGAATATTCAGAGAAGCTCTCAACACACATGGGCTTGTTAGGAACTATATCAGTCATGGCAGCACCACCAGATTTCAAGAATTTAGGGCCATGTTCTAGCTTCTTACCAGAATGGTCACCTTTTCTTTCTGCTCAGAACACTTGTAAGGAATTTGAGATGTGTGACAATCTAGTGCAGGGGCATAGCCAGCACTGATTTGGCCTAGATGGTTCAGGATAATCACCTGAGCAGTGAAGCCAGATGCTTCCATTGGTGGGTCATTTTTGCTGTCACCAGCAACATTGCCATGATGAACATCTTTGGCAGATGCGTTCTTTTTTTTTTTCTTAGAAAGAATGTAATGCATGTTTTTAATCAGAACAACAGCAATAACAAAAGCTAAGTATGGATATGCCAATGTAGTGTTGAATCCAGCAATGGACACAAATAAAGAGCAAATGCTTGACAGAGACAGCTGTAAATAATCTATGTACCTCTTACATCCCCCCACTTCATAAAAAAGACATTCTCTTTGGAAATATGGTTACAAATGTAAATCACTGATTTCTTGCAAGACCACGATGATTCTGTAATAAATATCAAATTGTTCCATTTCAGATTTGTAAAAGGATTCTTTCAGATATGAAGACTTGGGAGCAACTGTGAAGCTGTCTTTATTCAGATGCTTTGAAATATAAAGTGGTGATCTTAAACCACCAAGAACTGTAAGGCATGCTAACTGATGTTTATAACAACTTAGCCTTCTTTTCCTTTATATCCGATTTTATTAAGTGGGCAAACACCTTGTTCACATTGAGGCCCACATTGTCCCCAGGAAGAGATTCACTCAAAGCTTCATGGTGCATTTCAATAGACTTTACTTCAATTCTAACATTGACTGGAGCAAAGCTGACCACCATGCCAGGTTTGAGAACACCAGTCTCCGCTCGGCCCACAGGTACAGTACCAATACCAACAATCTTGTAGACATCCTGGAGACACAGACACAAGGGCTCATAAGTTGGATGAGTTAATGGTAGAATAAAGTCCAGAGCCTCAAGCAGCGTGGTTCCACTGGCATTGCTATCTTTATAGGTGACTTTCCATTCCTAGAACCAAGGCATGTTACCACTTGGCTCCAGCATGTTGTCACCATGCCAACCAGAAATTGGCACAAATGTTACTGTGTCAGGGTTGTAGCCAATTTTCTTAATGTAAGTGCTGATTTCCTTGTATCTCATCTGGTGGTAGGGTGACTAAGTGGAATCCATTTTGTTAACACCAACAAGTAGTTGTTTCACACCCAGTGTGTAAGCCAGAAGGGCATGCTCCTGGGTCTGCCCATTCTTGGAGATGCCAACTTCAAATTCACCAACACCAGGAGCAATGATCAAGAGAGCACAGTCAGCTTGAGATGTGCCTGTGCTCGTTTTTTTTTTGTTTGTTTGTTTTGTTTTTTTGAGGCGGGGTCATGCTCTGTCCCCCAGGCCAGAGTGCAGTGGTACAATCTTGGCTCACTGCAACCTCCACCTCCCGGGTTCCGGTGATTCTCCTGCCTCAACCTCCCGAGTAGCTGGGATTACAGACGCATGCCACCACGCCCAGCTAATTTTTGTATTTTCAGTAAAGATGGGGTTTCACCATGTTGGCCAGGCTGGTCTCGAACTCTTGACCTCAAGTGATCCGCCCGCCTCGGCCTCCCAAAGTGCTGGGATTACAGGCGTGAGCCACTGTGCTCGGCCTGTAATAGTGTTTTTGATGAGGACTCTGTATCCTGGGGCATCAATGATAATCATGTAGTACTTGCTGGTCTCAAATTTCCACAGGGAAATATCAGTGGTGATACCATTCAGCTTTCAGTTTATCCAAGACTCAGGCATACTTGAAGGAGCCCTTTCCTATCTCAGCAGCCTTCTTCTCAATTTTTCAGTGGTTCTTTTGTTGATGCCACTGCATTTGTAGATCAGATGGCCAGTAGTAGTGGACTTGCCTGAATCTACATGTCCAATGACGACAATATTGATATGAGTTTTTCCTTTCCCATTTTGGTTTTTAGGGGTGGTTTTCAAGACAACCTGTGTTGGCAGCAAACCTGTTGCAGAAAAGCTACTTTCTCTTTTCTGAATTTCTCTCTTCCCTTGGTTTCTATGACAAGCACTCTTTGGAATTTTCTCCTATCTCTCCAACTGCTGCTCCCTGTCTTAGTATGCTCACTTCTCTTCTACCCAATCGTCAAGGTGTAGGAGTTGGTTGCTCAAAGTCCAGTTCTTGGCACTCTTGAATTCTCACTCTACCCTCTCTACCTTTATGACCCCCTCCACTCTAAAGGATTCAACCACCATCCCTTCACACTCATGATTTATAGATCTATGCTTTTATCTCAGCTTTCTCTCCTGAATGCCAAGGTCATGATTCTTATAGTCCATTTAGTTGCAGATGACTCTCAAATTCAACAAGCACAAACTGACCTATTTATTTACCATGACATGTTCCATGTCCCCTAACTTGGATAATGGCATTACAATTCTTCAGTCACTCGTTCTCAAAACTTCAGAGTTGGGGAGTGATGTCACCAAAGATGGAGTAGAAGCAATCTGGATTCACTCCCCCTGCCCACTGAAAACCAAAAACAACTATCCGGTGCCACAATTATCACCAGCAATATCCCAGAACTCAAAATCAAAGCTGTGACAATCCCTGAGGCCACAGAGAAGTAAAAAACTATGAGCTGAAAGTGAGAGAAATGGACTTCTCTATCCACAATGCCCCTCCCCCAAACTACTAGACACCACATGGAAAAATCCTCCGAGACTCATGGTTTCTACATTGGAAAAAGTGAGATCAAGGTGGAAAGCCAGCTTCCCCATCATCTTGGGTTCCTATGCAAGAAAGCTGTTCCTGCCTCAACTCACAGGAAGCATCACAAGTGCCTCCACCTAAGGACAGGTGGAGACAAACCTTGGAGGTGGAGCTGCATGGCCCAGCACCAGAAACTCGGGGGGCTGCTCTCCACTCTAGAAAAAGGGGACACCAAATCAGAGAGGTGGTTTAGCAGCACCACACTGTAGGAGGCACCCTGCAGGGAACCTCTGGGCATGAACCCGTAGCCAGCCTCCCCACACAGCTGAGGAGTCCCCTTTGGAATCTCCCCCTGTCTGTAATGGGCAGCACTTGGAGAGCTACAGAAAACCTGTGTTTAGGGCGCCATCTAGTGCTCAAAGAAGGCAGCAATCTAGGGCTAAGGGAATCAACGGGCAAATCGCACAGAACCTCTAAACACACAAAACAACTCAGACAGGAAAGACTTGAAAAAATAACCAATTCTTTAATGCGAAGACATAGATCTACATACATAAGAAATAACAGCAAACAGTGAATAATGACCTCCCCAAATGGACAAAGCAAGGAACCACTGATCAACCCCAGTGAGAGAGCAACATGTGAGCTCTCAGATAGCAAAGTCACAGGAGTCAGATCAAGAATTCAAAATAGCAGTTTTGAAGATACTCAGCAATCTCCAAGTTAATACAGAAACGCAACTTAGAAATTTATCAGAGAAATTTAATGAAGAAATGGAAATAAGAAAAAATCAAACAGATACCTGGAACTGAGAAATACATTGGCTGAACTGAACAACTCATCACAGAGGTATCAACAGCAGAACTGATCAAGCAGAAGAAAGAAATAGTGAGCTCAAAGATAGTCTATTTGAAAATACACAGTCAGAGAAGAAAAAAAGAAAAAAGAAGGAAAAGGAATGAAGAATATCTACAAGAACTAGAAAATAACTTCAAAAGAGCAAATCTGAGTCATTGACCCTCAAGAGGAAATTGATAAAGAAAAGGGGGTCATTAGCTTATTCAAAGAAATAACAGAAAACTTTCCAAACCTAGAGAAAGATATAAATATCCAGATACAGGAAAGTCAAAGATTACCAAACAGATTAAACCCAAATAGGACTATACCAAAATATGTATTAAGCTCTCAGAGGTCAAGGACAAAGACAAGATTCTAAAAGCAGCAAGAGAAATAAAAGCAAATAACACACAAAGGACTTTGATTTGTCTGGCAACAGACTCTCAGCAGAAACGATACAGGACAGAAGAGAGTGAGACGACATATTCAAAGTGCTCAAGGCAAAAACTGAGAATAATATACCCAACAAAGCTATCCTTCAAACATGTAGGAGAGATAAAGACTTTCTAAGACAAACAAAAGGTGAATGAATTCATCATCACCAGACCTGTCTTGCAAGAAAATGCTAGAGAGAGTTCTTCAATCTGAAAGAAAAGGATACGAATGTGCAATAATAAAGTCATTTAGGCTACGCATAGAGGCCCACACCTGTAATCCTAGTGCTTTGGGGGGCACTAGGCACAGAAAGACAAACATCGTATTTTCTTACTTATTTGTGGGATCTAAAGATCAAAACAGTTGAACTCATGGACATAGTAGAAGGTTGATTACCAGAGGCTGGGAAGGGTAGTGGGGGATAGGTAGGGGAGTTGGGGATGATTAATGGGTACCAAAAAATAGTTAGAATGAATGACACCTACTATTTGATAGCACAACAGGGTGTCTATAGTCAATAATAATTTAATTGTACATTTTAAAATAACTAAAATAGTATAATTGGATTGTTTGTAATACAAAGAATGATCACTTGAGGGGGTGGATACCCCATTCTCCATGATGTGATTATTATACATTGCATGCCTGTATCCACACATCTCATGTACCCATAAATATATATACCTACTATATACCCACAAGAATTAAAAATAAAATTTTTTTAAAAAGTAGAAAGACTTCAAATAAATAACCCAATGATGCACCTCCAGGAACTAGAAAAGCAAGAACAAATCAAACCCTAAATTAGTAGAAAGAATGTAACAAGGCTGGGTGTGGTGACACCTGTAATCACAGCACTTTGGGAGACTGAGGCAGGATGATTGCCCGACACCCACCTGGGCAACAAAGTGAGACTGTGTCTACAAAAAAAGTTTGAAAATTAGCCAGGAATGATGGCATGTGCCTATAGTCCCAGCTACTTAGGCAGCTGAGGCAGGAGGAATGTTTAAGCCCAGGTGGTTGAGGCTGCAGTGAGCCATGATCGCACCACTGCACTCCAGCCTGGGGAGCAGAGCAAGATTCTGTCAGAAAGAAAAAGAAAAGAAAAGAGAAAAAGAAAATAATAAAGATCAGCACAGACATAAATGAAATCGAGATTATAAAAAAATACAAAAGATCAATGAAACAAGTAGTTTTCCAAAGAGATAAACAAGCAAAACTGACAAATCTTTAGGTAGACCAAGAAAAAAGAGAGAAGACCCAAAGAAATAAAATCTGAAATGAAAAGGAGACATTAAAACTAATACCACAGAAATATCACAGAAATATAAAGGATCATGAGAGACCATTATGACCAACTATATACCAACAAACTGGAAAACCTATAAGAAATGGTTAAATTCTTGGACACATACAAACTATAAGAAATAGAAAGCCTAAACAGATCAGTAACAAGTAATGAGATCAAAGCAGTAATAAAAAGTCTCTGATCAAAGAAAAGCCCAGGAGCAGATGGCTTCCACAATGAATTCTACCAAACATTTTAAGAATATAAACTCTATTCAAATTATTCCCCAAAAAATTGAACAGTAGGGAATACTTCCAAGTTCATTGTATGTGGCCAGCATTACCCTGACAGGAAAACAAGACAAAAGATACAACAACAATAACAACAACAACAACAACAAAACTACAGGCCAATATTCCTGATGAACATAGATGTAAAAATTCCCAATAAAATACTAGCAAACCAAGTTCAACATCACATTAAAAAGATCATTCACCATGATCAAGTGGGATTTGCCACAAGGATGTAAAATGGTTCACCATACACAAATCAATAAATGTGTTATATCACATTAACAAAACTAAGGACATTTTTGTCCATGATGATTTCAATAGATGCTGAAAAAAGCATTCAGTAAAATTCAGTATCTTTTCATGACAAAAACTCAACAAACTGGGTATAGAAGGAACATATCTCAAAACCATAAAGGCCATATATGACAAACCCACAGCTAACATCATGCTGAATGGGGAAAAATTGGTAGTCTTTCTGGGGAAAAATTGGCAGTCTTTCCTCTAAGAAATGAAAGAAGATAAGGATGACCAATTTTACTATTTTTATTAAACATAGTCCTGAAAGTCCTAGCCAAAGTAATTGGGCAAGAGAAAGACCTAAAGGGCATCCAATTTGGAAAGAATGAAATTAAATTATCCTTGTTCATTGATGACATGATCTTATATCTAGAAAAACCTAAAGACTCTACCAAAAAATTATTAGAACTGATAATCAAATTCAGTAAAGTTGCAAGATACATAATCAACATACAAAAATCAGTAGCATTTGTATATGCTAACAGCAAACAATTGGAAAAATAAATCAAAAAAGCAATCCCATTTATAATTGCTACAAAAAAATACCTAGGAATAAATTTAACCACAGAAGTGAAAGATCTCTTACAAAGAAAACTATGAAACACTGATGAAATAAATTGAAGAGGATACAAAAAAATAGATATCTCATGCTTATGGATTGGAAGAATTAATACTGTTAAAATATCCATACTATCCAAAGTGATCTACAGTGGTCTCTTCACTCTATTGATTGTTTCCCTTGCTACCCATACAATATGATACAAAATGATCTACAGATTGCAATCCCTATCAAAGTGCCAACAACATTCTTGATGGAAATAGAAAAAACAATCCTAAAATTCATATGAAACCACAAAAGACCCCAAATAGCCACAGCAATCCTGAGAAAAAAAGAACAAAGCTGGAGGCATCATACTACCTGACTTCAAAATATGCTATAAAGCCATAGTAACCCCAAACAGCATAGTACTGGCATAAACGCAGGCACATAGACCAATGGAACAGAATAAAGAACACAGAAATAAATCCACACATTTACAGCCAACTCATTTTTGACAAAGATGCCAAGAACATATATTGGGAAAGAACAGTTTCTTCAATAAATGATGCTGGGGAAACTGGATAACCATATGCAGAAGAATAAAACTAGACCCCTGACTCTCACTATATACAAAAATCAAATCAAAATGGATTAAAGAAAGCCAGGCATGGTGGTGTGTGCCTGTAGTCCCACTACTTGAGAGGCTGAGGCAGAAGGACTGATTGCTTGAGCCCAGAAGTTCAAGTCCAGCCTGGGCAACATGATGAGACCCCCTATCTCTTAAATAAAGACTTAAATGTAAGACCTGAAACTATAAAACTACTGGAAGAAAATGCTGAGGAAATGCTTCAAGACATTGGTCTTGGCAGAGATATTTTGTGTAAGACCTCTAAAGCACAGGCAACAAAAGCAAAAATAGACAAATGGCATTACATCCAGGTAAAAAGCTTCTGCACAGCAAGGGAAACAATCAATAGAGTGAAGAGACAACCTATGGAATGAGAGAAAATATTTTCAAACCATATATTAAATAAAGGGTGAATATGCAAAATAGAAAAGGAACTCAAATAACTCAACAGCAAAAAATAATAATCTGATTAAAAATGGGCAAGTGATCTAAATAGACATTTCTTTTTCTTTTAGATTTGCCGTTAACAATGAATATATATTTCTTAAAAGAAGACATACAAGTAGCCAACAGATATATGAAAAATGCTCAACATCACTAATCAGGGAAATGCAAATCAAAACCACAATGAGATATCATCTCACCCCAATTTAAATGGCTATTATATTCAACCTGAGAAAACTGATAAAAATGGCTATTATAAGACAAAAATAACAATTGCTGGTAAGGACGCAGAGAAAGGAGAACTCTCATACACTGCAGATGGAAATTTAAATTAGTACAGCCATTAATGAAAATAGTATGAAGTTTCCTCAAAAAAACAAAAAAACTACCATATGATCCAACAATCCCACTGTTGTGTATATATTCACAAGAAAGGAAATCAATATATTGAAGAGATATCTGTACTCTCATATTTATTGCAGCACTATGCATAATAGCCAAGATATGGATTCAACCTAAGTGTCCAGCAAGAAATGAATAAAGAAAATGTGGTATATATACCACAGTGAAATATTATTCAGCCATAAAAATGAAATAAATACTTTCATTTGCAGAAACATGGATAGAACTGAAGGGCATTGTGTTATGTGAAATAAACCAGGCACAGAAAGACAAATATTGCATGTTCTCACTCATATATGAAAACGAACAAACAAACAAAAAAAGGACCTCATGGAGGTATAGAATAAAATAGTGATTACCAGAGGCTGTGAAGGGTAGAGGGAGGGAGGATGAAGAGAAGTTGGTTAATGGGTACAAAACTACAGTTAGAAGCAAAAAGTTCTAGTGTTTGATAGCACAGTAGAGTGACTATAGTTAACAATAATTTATTGTATATCTCAAAATAGCTACAAGAGAAGATTTGGAATGTTTTCAACACAAGTAAATAATAAATATTTGAGGTGATGGATACCCCAATGACCCTTATTTGATCATTATACATTGTATACATGTATCAAAATATATGTACCCCCAGAAATATATGTACAACCATTATATATTAATTAAAAACTTGAGTTATTCAATACTTTTCCCTCTAATCAGACTCCTAACTTTAGCTTCCACCTCTTTTTCTACCCCCTAAAGCTTGTGTTTCCTTCCCAAAACATGAATTGGCTTATGTAAATTCTTTGTTCAAAATATCTCCTGGTTCCCAGTGGCATATAGAATACATATCTGCCAGTTTTGTACAGCATAGCCACATTTTGATTTCTTCCCTTTCAACTGTATGTCCTACTATACTCCAATGTCCCTTTCATCACACACACAGTCTGTGGATCTCCCTCAGCACTCCCCCATCTTCTGGATATATCTGGATGCTCCTGGCCCAGGGGCTTGGCTCAGACCTTTTCTGTTTGAGTTATGTACTATATTGAATGCCTAACCATACTCCCTATCCAGTTTCAGTTTTCACTCCTAGCTGATGACTTGGATAAGAGTCTCTTGAGTTAGAAATAGTTTTTATCAATAACATGGGAGTAACAATGCATATAATAGCAATAGCTCACATGAATCAAGCTCTTAATTACTGTGCCAGGCACTGTTAATGACAAAAATGATAAATGTCCTCCAGGATAAAGGGACCTAAGAGACAGTTTGATCAAATGTCCTTACACCCTCAAAGAGGGTTTCCTGATATAACAGGTCCAGCCTCTGTCTACTTGCCCTTTTCTATTCCAACTTGTCAGGAGAAGAGGGGCCATACCCTGTTAAGTCCAGTGAGTAGAATCACTTCATTCATCAAGGCGGGACGTGGCTTGTTTATGCATGAGGTAGTTATTCCACTCTGGTTTAATTTCTTTTAAAATGGGGATGATGACAATTGTGGTTGTTGTACAGATAAAAACTCATGTACAGTGTCAAGCATAGGACCCATGGTTAAGAGCTATTAATATTCAGAATATTAACACATCACAGGGTACCTGTAAAACACTTCTTAAAGAACTACAGTGCCTTCAACCTAGCCTGGCTCTTATTTATTTGACACTTCAGTGGGGAACAAGAATTCAATTTTGGCCAGGTGTGGTGGCTCACGCCTGTAATCCTAGCACTTTGGGAGGCCGAGGCAGGTGGATCACTTGAGGTCAAGATTCAAGACCAGCCTGGCCAACAAGGCAAAACCACGTCTCTACTAAAAATATAAAAATTAGCTGGGCATGGTGGTGCACATCTGTAGTCCCAGCTATTCAGGAGGCTTAGGCACAAGAATTGCTCTAGCCCAGGAAGTGAAGGCTGCAGTGAGCTGAGATCGTGCCACTGCACTCCAGCCAAGGTGACAGAATGAGACCCTGTCTCAAAAAAAAAAAAAAAAGAATTCATTTCAGGAAGATAGTTCTGAGAGGCGAAAGAAGAGGAGAAGCAGGGAGGAGTGGGAGGATGAGGTAGCAGCAGTACCCACAGTGATGCAGGAGCTCCTGGATGGGAACCTGGAGGGCAGTGGTGTTTTTATTGCCTCTTCCATGATTAGAAAATAAGTTTTGAACTTTGGGGGCTTTAAGGAGTGGAAATGAGAAAAGTAAATACAGAGGCTGTTAGCCCTTCTTAAGGGAGAATACTACTGTCTTCTGTGTATCTTCATGTTGGGACTCAGTCTGAGCTGGAAGTATTCAAATTAATGCACTGAGGAGCTGGATTATACAAAAATTAGCTGGGCATGGTGGCATGCACCTGTAATCCCAGCTACTTGGGAGGCTAAGGCAGGAGAATTGCTTGAACATGGGAGTCAGAGGTTATAGTGAGCTGAGATCACGCCACTGCACTCCAGCATGGGCGACAGAGCAAGACTCCGTCTCTAAATAAATAAATAAATAGGGCCAGGAGCGGTGGCTCATGCCTGTAATCCCAGCACTTTGGGAGGCCGAGCAGGCGGATCACGAGGTCAGGAGATAGAGACCATCCTGGCTAACACGGTGAAACCCTGTCTCTACTAAAAATACAAAATAATTAGCTGGGCGTGGTGACAAGCACCTATAGTCCCAGCTACTCGGGAGTTCTGAGGCAGGAGAATGGCGTGAACCTGGGAGGCAGAGCTTGCAGTGAGCGGAGATCGCGACACTGCACTCCAGCCTGGGCGACAGAGCAAGACTCCCTCTCAAAAATAAATAAATAAATAAATAGGGTTCAATTGTACTTAACTATTTGAAGTATTTAAAACCAAGCATAACCTCTGAGCTAAAATGAGTGATTTTGTAAATATTTAGGCAGTGGTGTGAGGAAGTAATTCACCCCCAAAACACACTAATGTACATTTAGTTATAATGAGACTGAAGCAGGGAGATGAAGGCCAAGTCCTTCTGCTGTTGTTCTTAAGCCTTTGGTAAAGCAACATAGGGAGTGGCATCTTTAGATTTGTCTAAAAAAAACAAAGAACAGTTACAAATAAAATTCCATGCACATGTATCCCAGAACTTAAAGTAATATATATATATGGCAAAAAACCACAAAAACAAATAAAATTCCAGACAGAAAGACGATGCAAATATTAGAGAATTATACACAAAGTATGCCTTGCAGCTGCCACACAAACTCAACATTATGAAACTATCAAATGCACAAATGAACACTCTCTTGAGGAATTTCTAATATCAAAGGAATTGTTTTCTTCCCTTTTGGTGGTACAATTATGAAGAGGTGGGTTTTGCAGAATTTGTTTAGTGGTGGTAGGGTGGCTGTCAATTCAGGGTTGATTCAAACCTCTGTTAATTTGAAATACTCTTCCATTTTCTCCAGTAGTGAAGACTTATTTGTAGGTCATGAGATCAAAAGGTGACTACCTGAGACCGTGGAAAACCTAAAGTTGTGTCAAAGAACTATTGCCAGGGAAAAAACATCAAGATGAGTTTATTGTTAGTTTTGCTGCAGAGAGAGAGAGAGAGAGTGTGTGTGTGCATGCAGTAATGGAAACATGTGCAGATCTGATGGTGGGTTGTCCAAAACAAGCAGCCCCTGAGTGCTGTCATCCTAACACCATAGGTAGGGCTCACAGTCAGTCTTGGCTGACTCCCACAGTCAGGTTGGGAGGATGAAAGAAACCTCCACTATCTCAGGAGGCATGGAAAGCTCAGAGGAAACGAAAGACAAGGTTTGATGAGCTGCTTTTCTGGTTTTCATAGTGGTCTCTTAATAGAATTCTGAAAAGGAAAAGGAGCCACAAGAAAAAAGAGAAAGAAAATGTTCTCATCTATTTCCAAATTCTAAGGCATGACCTTCCCCCAAGAAACTCTTGGTAGATGTTTTCTCCCTTTCTCTTATTTGCAAATATAATAGAACTGTTTTATGTAATCAGTACTGGGAATAGGGAACTAATATTGGCCCATAAAACAGCCTACTTTGGGGATCGGCTATTTAGGGAGATTTGATAATAGATTTGAACATGCCCAAAATGAGCTCTATTACACTAGCCTTCTTTAGACTATATTCATGCAGAGAAAGGATCCTAAATCCTAAAATAGGAGAGTGAAAGTGAGGAGTCAGACAGGGAGAAAAGGCCTGTAGTGTCACAATTTGCAGATTGGGAACTTCCAAAAGGATTAAATACAATGTTAACTCCATTAACTAGGATGCTGAGTAGACGTAAAGCCCACCTGACATGGTTGTTTTGTTCTGTTTTTTAGTAGCTGCCAGGCATTTAAGAAAAAGCCTTTTCTGTGACCCCCCACACCCACATTGATGTTGACCTTGCATTAAAATGACTAGTTCTGTTATGGGATCTTTGGAGTGTCAATTTTCTGGCCAGAAACCTCTGTGGCTGGTGACATCTTTGCCCTAGTTCTTGTCCTGTGTCCAGGAAGAATGAGGTATGCGACAAGTGAAGAGTGAACAAGACAAAGAGGCGCCTGAGTTCTTGTCCTGCATCCAGGAAGAATGAGGTATGCGAACAAGTGAAGGGTGGACAAGGAGGAAGAGGAGCTTTATTAAGTGTTAGAACAGCTCAGAGGAGAACCACAGTGAGTAGCTCCTCTCTGTAAGCAGGTAATCCCATCTCTCCATCCTCTGCCCTGCTCTGGCTGAGCCCAGAACTTCTAGGGACCTCAGAGGGGAGGAAGTGTGTGCTGATTGTTCCATGGGCAGCCATGGGTGGGCCCAGAAAAGGCACCACAGGTCCTCACTCCAGTCGTCAGGACTGGCCGCCTGGCCTGAAGGTGGGGTCTTACTGAGGACCTGCCCTCTTCCACCCAGGAGCCTGTCTGCCTCCCACAGCAGTCCATGGCGCCCAGGCTGCTTGCACCGAGGGGCACTTGCAGGCCAGTGCTGAGCTGCCCTCAGCCCCCCTTAGCTTCCTCTCTCATGTTCGTGGGCACTCAAATTCTGGAGGGGGCCAAGGCAGCAGGGCACTGGCATGTCAGCACTGCCCTGAGCCTACACACATCCTCCGGGCTGTGACAGCACCTCCGGCTCGGCCCCAACTCCTCTCTGAGATGAGATCAGAGCAGGTGCCTGAGGGAAAAGAGAACAGGCAGTGGGAGCAGACACACCTGAGCCTGTGGTGGTGGGGCTTCCTGGCCCCCAAGGATGCAGGCTGCAGAGATGCCCGTGTCCTGCACCTGGGAGGGTAGCTACAGATGCACCTGAGGAGCTCCTGCCCCACCAACTTGGAAGGGGTGGGGCTCCCACTTGTCCCTGGCTCCTGCCCGCTCTGTGGAGCCAGAGGCCTGGGTCTGCAGCCACGGATTGGGCAGTTATAGTTGCACTCAGGAGGACAGGGATCCTGCCTGCTCCTGGCTCCCTCGAAGAGCACAGGGAGGCTCAGATCTGCAGCCCAGTAGGGTCGGGGCTCCTGCCTGATCCATGGAGCTGGAGGCCCAGGTCTATAGCTGCAGTTTAGGCGACTGCAGTGGCACCCGGGAAGCTCCCTCCCCAACCTGGAAGGGGTGGGGCTCCCACCAGCTCCATGGAATGTGCAGCCCCAGCCATGCCTCCCTGCTGCAGCCAGCATGATTGCAGCAGCCGCTGCCATCAGTTCTACTTTCCTGCCTTAGAAATTGGTGATGGTATAGCAGGAATTTTAAGGAATCAGAGAGACTGATGGGGTTCAGGGGGATATTTATTAATTATTTAGGTGCACCAGCCCAGTTGGATTAACATCCAAAGGACTGAGCCCCGAACAAAGAGTTAAGTTACCTTTTAAGCATTTCATGGGGTCGGGGGAGATCTGTGCAGGGGGAAGCGAGAAACAAAGGCAGTTATTCAATTGAGACATGCATTACTTCATTTCTTACTTTTTAAGGAAAAACATGTTTTGTGAATTGAGTTTATCTGTCTAGTGACCTTGCAGCTGCACAGCTAGGGAATCAGAGTCTTCACAATGCCTGGGAAGGGAGGAGAGATAAGGCTCACTAGCCACAGAAAAATAGGCAGTTAGTTTTTAAAGGACTCTAGCTCTTTCTCTTTCTCAGAGGGAATTGGGTTTTCTTACGTACAACTGAATTTCTGCTTACATACTCTTTAATTTCTTTTAATTCCTGTTCCAATGGGAATGAGATCTCCTAGTTTTGGACTGGGGCTAGCAGGGCCTCGGGTGCACCACCACTTGGCAACATCAGCCTCTGTCCAGAATCCTGAACCTGTAAGCTAGAACAGGGTTAGCTGACAGTGTCCTGAACCCAAGAAGGTTGGGAGGGTGGGGTTGGATTGGAGTATGCAGGATTGACAATGGTATACCTCTTCTCCAAACTACTGGCTGGGCAGAAATCTTGAGTTCTAATGAATCTGAACCTAGTTAGGCTAACCTTTCCTTAGCACCTTTCCTTAGCAGTAAAGGCTAAAATATCAAGTCAGTATCCAGGGCTTCAGCAACTCTTGTGTCCCAGTAAGACAAGCCACAAATACCTTTGGCCCCATTATCAGGCCTCCATTGCCATAAAATCTTTTTAACTCTCAAGAGGTTACAGAGAATGAATTACTCCTTAATCATACTTGAAGCAAACCTTCTGTCTAAAAATCCAACGTAGCCAGGCATAGTGACTGGAGCCTGTGATCCCAGACACTTAGGAGGCTGAGGTGAAAGAATTGCTTGAGACCAGGAGTTTGACACCAGCCTGAGCAACATAGTGACTCCCATCTCTAAATAAATAAATAGACAGATAGGTAAGTAAATACATAGACAAATTGATAGAATGATAGATAGATAAGTGAGTAATAAATAGATTAGGTAGAGATAGATAGCCAGCTAGGTAACTAGCCAACCAGCTGTCTCAAAAAAAAAAATGGCTGGCTGTGGTGGTTTATGTCTCTAATCCCAGCACTTTGGGAGGCTGAGGCAAGAGGCTCTCTTGAGTCCAGGAGTTCAAGACGTTTGGGCAGCATAGTGACACCCTGTCTCTAAAAAAAATTAAAAATTAGCTGTGTGTGGTGGTGTGCACCTGTAGTTCCAGCTACCCTGGAGGCTGAGGTAGGAGATCAAGGCTGCAGTGAGCCATGACTGTACCACTGCACTGCAGCCTGGACGACAGAGCAAGATCCTGTGTCAAGAAAAAAAAAAAAAGAAACGGTTTTTTCCCTCTACTTTCTCACAGTTAATACAATACTCAGCACAAAACACTTTTGACATCAGATTCTCCAGTGAACACCAACTGGGTGTCTTATGATTTAATTCAATTCTGACACTATCTACCTGGAGATAGTGTCAGATCCTATGGGTTAACGGCTCAGTCCCATGAGATTGTGGCCCCCATTTCAGATGCCAGTCACAAGCACTAGATTGTCACTTATACTTCTGACTCCCTGGGTATAAATTGCAGGGTCCTACAACCCCCTCCTCAGGTTCAATTAATTTGTTAGAGTGGCTCACAAGACTCAGAAACACTTACTTACATTTACTAGTTTATTATAAAGGATACAGAATAACAGCAAAATGGAAAAGATGCATAGGGCAAGCTATCAGGAGGAGGGTGCAGAGCTTCTATACTCTCTCTAGGTGTATAACCTTCCAGGCACCTCTGTGTGTTCAGCAATCTGGAAGCTCATCAAATCTCATTGTTCAAGAGTTTTTATAGTTCTGGTGTTCTATGGCACAGTAGGGTGACTATAGTAAACAACAAGGTGTTGTAGATCTCAAAATAGCTAGAAGAGAGGATTTATATGTTCCTATCACAAAGAAATAATACATGTTTGAGGTGTTGGATATGCTAATTACTCTGATCATTTGATCATTACACAATGTATACATGTATCAAAACAAAATCACATTAGGCTGCGTGCAGTGGCTCATACCTGTAGTCCTGACACTTTGTGAGACCAAGGCAGGAGGATCGCTTGAGGCCAGGAGTTTGAGACAAGCCTAGGCATCATAGTGATACCCCATCTCTACAAAAAAATTTTAAAAATTAGTTGGGCATGGTGGTGTGTACCTGTAGTCCTAACTACTTAGAAGGCTGGGGCAGGAGAATCCCTTGAGCTCAGGAGTCCAAGGCTGCTGTGAGTTATAATCAAGCGACTATACTCCAGTGAGGGCAACAGAGTGGAGACCCTATCTCCCAAACACACACACACACACACACACACACACACACACACACACACACACCACATTATACCCCATAAATGTGTACAAAATCATGTCAATGAAAAATACTTCATTTTTATGTTTTATTATTAATATTTTTAGAGACAGGGTATCACTCTGTGACCCAGGCTTCAGTGCAGTGACCTGATCATAGTTCACTGCAGCTGTGAACTCCTGGGGTCAAGCAATCCTCCCACCTCAGCCTCCTGAGTAGCTAGGACTACGGGTATGCACCATCATGCATGGATAATTAAAAAAAATTTTTTTTGTAGAGATGGGGTCTTGCTAGGTTGACCAGGCTGAACTTGAAATCCTGCCCTCAAGCAATACTTCTACCTTAGCCTCCCAAAGTGCTGGAATTACAGGCATGAGCCACTATGCCTAGAAAAAAAATTTATTAAAAAGAGTTTTTATAGAACTCATCCCTTAGCCCTGTTTTCCCGCCTTTCCTGGATGTTGGTGGGTGAGGCTGAAAGTTCCAACTTGCCAATCCTCTAATCCTCTATTACCTGTTTTTTCAGGTGACTGGCCCTATCCTGGGCTACCTGGGAGTCACACTCTGAGTTATATCATTAGCATAAACTCAGATGTAATCCAAAGGGACACATTATAAATAAGAAGATAATACTATTTCTCAGGAAATTTCAAGGGTTTTAGGAGCTCTGTGACGGGAACCAGGGACAAAGACCTAATATATTTCTTATAATATCATAGGACTATTTCCCTCAATATGACTTTAAAAAGGTTCAGTTTTTATGATGCTCAGCTTCCCCCATGACCAGGGTGACACTATTTGTAGTAAAGAGGGACAGAACAGCTGACAGCTGATAGTCAGTTGTCAGGACACTAATATTTCTTTATTCTGTTACCAAGCATAGCATTAACAGAAAGGACACAGTGCAATTCATTAGCTAGGTTTGCATCCAAGACTTGGACGAAAATGAAAGAGTATTAAAAGCGGGTAGAAACTTTGAAAGGAAAATAAATCTCGGAACCCCCAAATCACTAAGCCAAAGGGAAAAATCAAGCTGGAAACTGTATCGGACAAACCTGCCTCTCATTCTATTCCTAAATAAGATAGTTACAAAGATTTGTTTAAAAGCTACATACCCCTGTCACAATTTGCCCATAAGGAAAATCCTCATGGACAAAGGACAGACAGAACTCAAAGTCATCCCTCTGCTGCTGTGCAACAAATGCATATCTGATTGCTTCCTTTGCCCTATTGTTTCACTAAGCCAGACTAAGGCATAAGTGACTATTCCCGTAAATTGTGTATTCAGTGAAAGGCTAATCAGAAACTCAAAAGAATGCAACCATTTGTCTCTTATTTACCTATGACCTGGATGCCCCCTCCCTGCTTCGAGTTGTCCCACCTTTCTGGACCAAACCAATGTATATCTTACATATATTAATCGATGTCTCATATCTCCCTAAAACGTATAAAACCAAGCTGTATCCCAACCACTTTGACCACATGTTGTCAGGACATACCGAGGCTGTGTCACAGGCGCATCCTTAACCTTGGTGGAAGGAACATGGCTGCACTGAAGCCAGGCAGACATAGGCTGAGGTAAACATCCTGCATGACTCAACAAGTTTGGTGTACAGGCACATAAATCCACGTGTTATATAATCACAGACATGTAGCCATAACATGGGAAGGCTCATCACTCAGCTCAGAGCCACTATTGTCTGTAAAAGGTACAACTACCCTGTTAATGCTGTACAGGTGTGCCCAGAGAAAGAGAGAGCCAGAGCTGTCTGTCTTGCAGATGGACAGCGGGAAGCCAGGACACAGTTTGGCTTGCTTGCACCCAGAGGGAAAGAGTTAAGCTGCTGACCCTGAAGGGAGAGCTGGCCGTGTGGCTGCGCGTGGGAGCAGGTACAGCAGTTAGCCAAGACAGAGACAGACAGTGTAAGAGAGCTGCTGAATAAAACCATCTTTCACCTGCCTACAACCCACCCCCTCCCCTGCCCTGAGTGTTCTTTCAGCTATCTGCCACCCATCCACCCACTCCCTTCTGACCTCAGCATAGGCTGGAACCTGACCCTGGACCTGACACTTGGCAAAATAAATTTTCTAAATTGATTGAGACTCATCTCAGATACTTTTTGGTTTACAAATTGGTGACCACAGAGGGACTCAGTGGAGGTGGCCCTGACCTTTGGCAAATCTCCTGTTGGTGCTTGGTACCAGCTTCAGGTATCTTTATAGCTCAAACCAACAGGACAATTTCCTGAGGCCTGGGAGCTCCCCTCCCTTCAGAGAATCCCTGATCTCCCAAAATTTGGTTGAGATCTAAAGTATATTTTGCTGTACAACTCCTTTTCTGGAGTTTTACTTGCTTCCAACAAGGCAGGCAAGTTTTCCTGCTTCCATGACGATGGAAGGCAGGTAACTCCTTTCTGGAGTTTGAGCTTGCTTCCAACAAGGAAGGCAAGTTTGAGTTTCTTCCCGCTTCTAGGATGGTAGAGAGCAGTCTTCAGTCTGAGACCCATTTCTAGGTAAATAACTGAATTGGGTTTTTTTTTGTGTGTCTTGGAAATTCTCCTTAATAACTAAAGGTTAAAATTGACAACCAGCTGGTCTTAATTTCTCCTTACCATTAGAACACTCAGCGATCATATTGTTGGGGTTTTTTGTTATTGTTTCAGTCGTTCTCCCATCGGATTTGACCAACTCTACCCAATTTGGTCAAATCTGAATGAGAATTCCAAATCATGGGGAAAAAGGCCTCTGAATTGGCTAAAATTCCTTGCAGCTGAAAACAAAACAAAAACATATGTTTAGTTTCTGTGTCTGCTTCCTGTCTTTTCTTTCACCCTATTCCTCCTTCCCCTTTGCCATTGCTGACCAAGAAAAAAATCTAGAGAAGGCTTCTAATGAGTCAAACCCCTCAAAGAACTCAAAATGAAGGCACTATTCATGCCTCTTTGGAGTGTTCTGTTTTCTTTGTGGAGTTTCAAGAGTCATGGGCAGATTCTTTGTAGGTCTAAAGCTCTGCTCTCCTGTATTGCCTTACCTGACCTCTTTGGTTTTTGGCAGTACTAGAGATTACCTCGTACTGTAAGAGGATTTGACTTTGGCATGTGTAATGGCAAATGAGAGCTACAAAGTTAAGAGTGGGTGAGGACAGTTTACAGGAAGTGGTCTCAGCTGAGTATTTTTCCTCCTAGGAAATTGTTTAGGATCATAATTCTAGTTCAGAGGTTCATTCTAAAGGGTCTTCTTTGTTGCCTTTCCTCCTGAAATTAATCTCAATTGGCTTGTCTGCACATTTGCATGAGGAACTGAACTGTTTTCATAGACAAATGAGAGACTGAGTTTCCTCAGCTCCGAAATGAAAGGGCATTTTGCTCCTCCCAGCTGAAAGGCACCCCTGGGTGATGAGTGGGAGCTTTCTTTTCTACCTGCTTTAAGTCTGCTGTTACTTTTCTACTGAAATAAAATTCACTGTTTGCATCCAACCATTTCTTTTTGTTATTGTTTGCAAACTGGTGAGTTTGTATTACTATCTCATGGCCAGAGTTCTGAATTAAAAGCTATAGGATCTTTGTATGAGTGTGCATATGTGTGTTTATGTGTACATGCATGCATTTTATTATGTGTTTTTGGTCACAAGGTACCAAATTGGCTTAAAGTTAAGTAGTACTCATAAATTAAATAAGCCCAAATGCTTTTCAAGTTCATGTGACTTAAAATATTTAATAAGCTAGCTTTACAATTATTGGTAAAATAATATTAGAAATGTCTTAAGAATTGTCAGCATACATTTTTGTTTGCATTTATGAATCAAGAGATTTCATACTTATCCCTGCCAAATATTATAAGGTGTCAAAATTTGGCATAATGGTTAAACTATAAACCCAGCCCAAAACAGAATGATATTTGCTTGTGTAATTCTTGATAAATAAGATGTTAATACTGTTTTAATGTAAACAGCTAAATTTTGGATTATTTAGTAAGATAACCATATATTTAATCTTAAGGTTCTTACTTAGGTAAACACCTGAAATTCACAGGCTATAAAACGCTTCACAGGGAAATAATTTTAAATGATGACTATCACAGTTTTCATAAATAATCTAGGTAAACAATTAAATTAGGTAAATATAATGGGATATTTATAGACAAATTTGTCATAATTTAGAATCTAAAGTTATATTAAACTAAATAGATATTTCATTAAATGGGTATTTTCCAATAAAAAATATATATAATATAGTAGGAAAACATTCTTTCTAAAAAAAGGAAGTGTGCTCTTATTTAAATGTGAACTACTTTTGTCTAACTAAAAGCTTATTTAAAGGTTATGTGTAAAACAAGGTAAAAGAAACTAGGAAATAAGAGAGATGTAAGGAAAGCTATAGAAATAAAGAGGTATTTTTGGTTAAAAAAAAGCTTAAAGAAAAATAATTTTATATAAGAATATTAGGCCAGGTACAGTAGCTCATGCCTGTAATCCCAGCACTTTGGGAGGCTGAGGTGGGTGGATTGCTTGAGCCCAGGAGTTCAAGACCAGCCTAGGCAAAAGTGCGAAATCCCATCTCCACAAAAAAATACAAAAATTAGGCAGGCATGGTGGTGCATGCCTGCAGTCCCAGCTACTTGGGTAGGCTGAGGCAGGAGGATTGGATCGCCTGAGCCTGGGAGGTGGAGGCTGCAATGAGCCATGATGGCGCCACTGCACACCAGCCTGGGCAACAGACAAGACTCTGTCTCAAAAAAAAAAAAAAAAAAAAAAAAAAAAAAAAAAAAAAGAATCATATATGGTAAATTTTTTTCTCCTAGAATAAAATGACTGGTTGTTTAAGAAAGAGAGATGTTCAGGACAAACCAGAAAGTCCAAGCGTGTCATGAATGGTATGTATAAGTCATAAGATTTATGGAAAAAAACTTTTATATGATCTAATTGGCTATAATTAAAGGGAAATGATTTATAATGGTCTTTCTAGAGATTGGGTTTTGATATTAAAAAAAGACATATACTAAAGAATTGGTTTGAACAATGAAATTTTCTTAAGGTATTGCTTTACTCTTAAAATTACAAGACATTTTAATTCTTTAATACAAAGTTCAACTTTGTGTCTCACTGTTTTCAGCTTTCTCTCCCCTTTTAAAAGGCCTGAAATAATAACTCTATCATTCAACTCATTTTCAGCTCCTGTAAGTTTTTTTTTCCCTTCAGGTTCTAATTTTTGTAGCCTGATGCTAAAAATGTTTTATTGTAAAGGTCTAAAGAAAACGTTTCCTTCCAACATAATATTCTGTGCTCTTGGCTCTAAATTGTTCTATGAACCAGAAAATTTGCATTTATGACCCAGGAAACACTCTTTCTATGTCTAACTAATTCAAGTACCCTTTTCATTAGTTTTGAGTTGCAGGTTATCTAAATGGACTCCCCATAGGGAACAGCAGTCATACTGCAGATCTTTTCTTTTGCCTTTGGGTAACTGGCCTAATAAACAGATTTTATGCTTTATCAAAATAATTCCTGTCATTACTAAGTATTGGTTTGCTTGGAAATAATACTGAGATTAAAAAAAATTTAATTGAGGGTATTACATCCATGAAACTTTCTGTATGTGCTTTTAAAGTCCTTGTGCTATTAAGTTACGGGGCTTTGACTCCTGGGTCTAAAAAGGGTCTAAAAAGGACCAAGTCCTGCTAAATCTTAAACACTAACAGCCGTTAAAGCCTCATCTTCGGAGCTGGTAGAAGATGTCAATCAAAATAAACTGCATGCATGAGACACAGGCCAGAAATTAAAGCTATTCAACTCCTCAAGGCCCAGGGACTATCATGAGAGAGGTGGATGTGTGAGATTATAAGGGCCGATTTTGACCATTAATGTCAAAGGCACACTGATGTAAGACCAGCATATGGGTCCCTGTGTTAGATTAACAAGGTTTTCTTGAAGCATTCACCCACTCCTTAATAAAAGGTTATAAAGGTTATAAAAAAGACTTAGGAAAATTATATCTTATAGTCAAGATGATTAAAATTTTATAGGTTTATAAAATTTTGAAAAACAAATTTAATTGGGCCTCATGCCATCTTTATTAGGACTTATTGTTTTGGAAATTAAGTCTCCTGTCTCAAAGAATAAAAGTTTTTAACTTTTTTAAAAAATCGAGTTATTACTTTGGCTAAATGAATGACTTATTTTACAATGACCTGTGATCCTATTTTGTGATATCATGTGTTTTAAACTCTTTATGTTTGACAAACTTTTCAAAATCAAATTTTAACTTCAGACCTCATTAATTTTTTGATATTAGTCTCCTGAAGTCCAAAAGAGACATCTTTGGCTTATTTGATATAATAAAACCATACAGAAGTATTGTTAAATATGAAAGTGTTTAACTTTCTTTGGATTTATATAAATGTGTTATTAGTATGTGTTCCAGAATTATATGAAATTCCTGTGATTCTGATGTGTCTTATAGCATGTTATCGGTGGTAATTGTGATTATTATGTTAAATTGTTGTATGCCATAGAAGTAACCAAATTTCCTTGTCAATTGTCTCTTTAACTATGACTGTTCTAAGATTTTTTCATCCACAGTTATTTTACTTTCATCTTTTTTTTTTTTTTTGAGAGGGAGTCTCACTCTGTTGCCCAGGCTGGAGTGCAGTGGCACGATCTCGGCTCACTGCAAGCTCCACCTCCCGGGTTCACGCCATTCTCCTGCCTCAGCCTCCTGAGTAGCTGGGACTACAGGCGCCCACCACCACGCCCGGCTAATTTTTTTTTTTTTTGTATTTTTAGTAGAGACAGGGTTTCACCATGTTAGCCAGGATGGTCTTGATTTCCTGACCTTGTGATCCACCTGCCTCGGCCTCCCAAAGTGCTGGGATTACAGACGTGAGCCACCGCGCCTGGCCACTTTCATCCTTTTCAAAAGGTGGTTTTATAATCAGCATAGGACTCTGACAGGTGCTCTTGAATGCACACTTTTGATAACTTTGGACATTGTGACACTAGAATAGAGGAAAAACCTCCAAGGCTCCCATGGAGAGCTGAAATGTTTATGATTATCAAGCAGAACAGGAGTTAACTACATAGACTGAACTAATAGAAGACTGAAATAATTATGACTTTTGCTCAAAATGTTGCTCATCCTTTGTTTTTCAGAGCCAAGAAAACTTTTCTTTTGAGCTATTTACAGCTTTTAACACTTAAGTATACTCCTATAAACAAAATTTAGTGCATATTTCTCTCTACCTGATCTCTCCAAAATTTGGAAACTAGTTGCATGTATACTTAACTTATAGCAACATAGTTAGTTGCATAAGTGCAATAAGAATCTGTTTTCTTTTGTAACAGGATACAAATGGAAAAAACTGGTTATTTTACCAAGGTATTGACAGGAATAACATACTTTCAGATATAGTCTCCTTTAAGAAATCAAAGTTGACTTACAGGGCCAAAAAAAGCCCCTTGTAAAAGCTATCCTCATACCTTATCTACACAGTCCCTGTACAGTCTCCTAACACGTGGTAAGTAAAGAATGCCACTTTCTGACAGGCCCAGGAGACCCAAGTTTTCTGGGGACCTTGAGGTGAGGAATTCACCCAATTAATACAAGTATTTGCAGGCACAGGCTGGGCTTAAGGCATTAAAGTTGAATCTGAGATTCCTTATAGAATAAAGTTCCAGCAAAGCCAATTTTAAAAAAAGAGAAGACTATATGGCAAATAATTATTTTTGCTGACTTTATGCAAATACTGCAGCCATAAGACTAAAACTTATTTTGCCAATGAATTTGTCCTATGATTTGTCTTTAGTGAAAACGGGACTGGAGAGAGAAAAAAATATGTTTCCAAATAAACTATAGCATACCTGTTAGATTCTAGTTTGCCTAGTGTTTTTCAATTTTTATTATTTTCTATAGTTTAGACTGAATTCTAATTTTTTCCTGGCTACAAGTCTCCAAAATAATGTTTTCAAATTGTCCTTCTTTCCTTTCCCTTCTTCCCCATTTTTCCTCATTTAAAATCACTAAAAATTAAGCTGTGCTTTCTTCAAGCCCTGCAAACTGAAGCTAGACAACTTCAGAAGAAAATAACAGCAACCTATTTACATACATCAACCACTTTCATAACTGCCTACTCATGCATGGACTTCAGAGTAATATGGCCTATATAGATTTTCCAGGATTGTTCTTGTTTGTTGTTGCCTTTCTCCCTTCCTCCCCGTTTTCTCTTCATAGGACATGAAACTTCACAACCTGCTAAACATGAGCTTTCCTAATAACATGGGACCTAATCATGTAGGAATAAAGCATCCTAGCCATGAGAGATCAGACAAACCTAAGACCAAAGGACTCATTTTCTTCTAAAATGCTTTCTCTGAAGGATTTTTAAAAGGGGGGAAATGTAAAAAAAAAAAAAAAAAAAAAATCTCGCGACCCCAAAATCACTAAGCCAAAGGGAAAAGTCAAGCTGGGAAAAGTCAAGCTGGGCAGGACAAACCTGCCTCCTGTTCTATTCCTAAATAAGATAACTACAAAGATTTTTTACAAAGCTATATACCTCCCTCACAATTTGCTCACAAGGAAATTCCTTGTGAACAGACAGAATTTAAAGTCATCCCTCTCCTCACGTGAGACAAATGCCTATCTGATTGCTTTCTTTGCCCTATTGTTTGACTAAGCCAGACTAAGGGATAAGTGAATATTCCTGTAAATCGTGTATTCAGTGAAAGACTAATCAGAAACTCAAAAGAATGCAACCATTTGTCTCTACCTATGACCTGGAGGCCCCCTCCCCACTTCGAGTTGTCCCGCCTTTTCGGACCAAACCAATGTGTATCTTACATATATTGATCGGTCTCATGTCTCCCTAAAAGGTATAAAACCAAGCTGTGCCCCAACCACCTTGGGCACATGTCGTGAGGACCTCCTGAGGCTGCGTCACAGGTGCATACTTAACCTTGGCAAGATAAATTTTCTAAATTGATTGAGACCTGTCTCAGATACTTTTTGGTTTACAAAACAAAGCCAGAGGCCTAGTCCAGAGCTTGGCAAATAGTCCACGCTCACTAAGGGTGAGCTGAAGGGAAGGCTTGCAGTGTTAACTTTCCTAAGATATTTTAGTAATAACATAATAGTCTCTCCCACTGTGGTTTAAAATTTCAATAGCACATAGATTTGCATGTTATATTTTTCTATTAAGATATGAACTATTAAATATACTGAACCAATTCTCCTTCTCCCCCTGAAGGTTTGGTTTAAGATTAGGAAGATCAAGTAGAGAAGATATCAGAAGGCTTTAGATTTTAGATATATGTCACCCATTGCCATCGATCTGTCATCATAATCTTGGATGGGCTCTATAATGCCATCCTTGTTCTGGAGCCCAGTTGGAGTTGGGTTCTTGTAGTGCCACTGCAGCCTAGAATATCCAGGCTTCCCATGCTGTCCTTGCCTCCTCTGTCTATGCCTTGCTTTGCCCTGACTTTGTTTGGCCTGGTATAGGCCCCTGTCATCAGCATTCATTTGTAGTCTCCATTTTCTTAGGTCTGTTTTTTACAAATTTTTCCAAAATGTTTTTCTGCCAGATTCAAATTCTGCATGGCACATCCTCAAGTGCAGTTCACCAAATGTCTGTTAAATGAACTAAATAAACAAAAAAGTCAGTGCACCATTTTTTATAAGGCACATTTTTTATTTAAAAAAAGTTGTGAATTCCTTGTAAACATTGGTTCCCAGGACCCCTGCAGATACCAAAATCCATGCATACTCAAGCCCCACACTTGAACCTGCAGAATCCAAGTATACAAAAAGTTGGCCTTACCTATCTGCAGGTTTTGCATCCCACGAATACTGTATTTTTGATCTGCATTTGGTTGCAGGTGTGAAACCTGTGGATATGGGGGGCCAATTCTATTTATTGAAAAAAAATCCACATATAAGTGGACATATGCAGCTCTAACCTGTGTTGTTCAAGGGTCAACTGTATATCTGTTTTGTGTGCCAAATAAGGTATGGATAAGAATTTCAAAGGAAAAGTCATTTAAACAGAATTACAAGGAAGCCTCATTTTATGAGCTGACATTCCTCAATCACCAATACGCCCTGTACGGCTCACATACATACATATGCAAAATGGGGGTGGGGAAAGTCCCTAGTAAAAGAACAGTGTGTTTCAAGACAGGGCCCATCTCCATTTATGCTGAAGAGCTTAGACACAACCCTGTAGTCTAAAGGAATCTTCCGAAGAAGCTACTCATAGGGCTTTATGGGAAGGTGGCAGCCAAACATCTATCTAGTATATTGCAAATTCTGTTCACTATCCTCCCTTTCTGTGGAGGACATAGGGAAATAGGAATCATTCTGGCCCAAAGTTCCTCTGCATCAAATGAAACACAAGAGGAGACTCTACCAAAGCCAGAATGAGGCAGTTCTCCCTTTGCTCACCCATCCCCAGCCCAGAAGGCATATTGTTGCATATTCCCCAGCTCAGAAGCTGACAATCATGCATTCAAATGTATTTTGTCTCATTCAACCTCCTTGAAAGGACCCTGGTTCCTGATGATAAAAACACAAAAAGGGAACCTTTTGTTTAGTGCTGCTAGAAGCAAGAGGGAGGAGGTAGTTCCCTGATTAATATTCTAGATTAATTGATCATCAAAAAGAAGCAGTCAGACCTTGGCTTTCTTTATGCTGTCTTCCTCATGTGAAACTGCTAGGCTAGAAAACAACAAAAATTTAAAAATGGAGTGTGATGAGAGTTGAGGAGTTATTGTTAATTTTTTTAGGCATGATAATGGTATTGTAGTTATGTTTTTAGAAAAAGAACGTGTATCTGATATGGTTTGGCTCTGTCCCCACCCAAATCTCATCTTGTATTATAATCCCCACATGTGGAGGGAGGGGTCTGGTGGGAGGTAATTGGATGGATGGGTTTCCCCCATGCTGTTGTCATGATACTGAGTGAGTTTTCATGAGAACTGGTTATCTGTAAAGTGTCTGGTGCTTCCCCCTTCTCACTCTCTCTTCTGCTCCCATGTCAGATGTGCCTTGCTTCCCCTTTGGCTTCCGCCATGATTGTAAATTTCCTGAGGCCTCCCAAGCCATACAGAACTATGAATCAATACCTCTTTTCTTTATAAATTACTCAGTCTCAAGTATGTCTTTATGGTGTGTGAAAACAGACTAATAAAGAAAACAGTCTTTTAGAGAAACATGCTGAATTGTTTATAAATGACATTATACCTGGGATTGGTTTCAAATTAATTAGGGGGCAATGGCAATTTCCCACAAGTTGTTAATTGTTCAAGCTGGGTGCTACGTGCCTGAGGGATCATTATACCATTCTATGTATGTTTATACACATTTGACCTTTTCCATAATAAAAATTAAAGGAAAAAATCTGGCCATCTGCATTTCTTTTCCTTTTTCTTAGCTGTCTTTGCTCTCATTTTTGTGTCTTCATCTGCAAATTAAAACACATTATAATTTTTAAAAAGTTACCTCTAAAACCTCAATACTTTTGAGTAAATAAATATGCTTTTGCTGTTTCTCATTTGTTGTTACAGAGAAATTTATTCATTCAAACATTTATTACTATTTGTCAAGAACTGTGCTAGGCACTGGGGATATATATATTATTAAAGTCACATTAGGTATTATATGATATAAGAAATTAATGTTAATTTTTTCATAAGTTAATGGTATTATGGTTAAGTAGGAAAATATCATTTTAAAGAGATACACAGAAATATTTTGTAGTGAAATGTGATGACATTTGTAATTTACTTTGAATACCTTAGTGAAAAATCCATATTTGAAGCAAACATGTCAAAATGCTAACAAATGTTAAACCTGAGTACTAAGGTATATAGTATTAATTATACTATTCCCTTTACTTTTCTGAACATTTGAAGATTTCCATGATAAAAAGGGAAAGAAAACTATGTGTGTGTTGGAGTGGGGAAGGAGAATGCTTTCTAGGAGCTCAGTCTAATGGAGGAGACAAATAGGTAAAGAGATTGATACAATCCAGAGTGACATAAGGAAGCTTGAGGTGCTCTGGACACACAGAGGAGTCTCAAAATCAGAACTGATTTGAGGAGGGGGGTTGAGGAATGGTTGACCAAGAAAGGTGGCTCTGAGAGTAGTTATTTGATTACAAAATCCATTGTTGCAATGAGTAAGCCAAGCTTGTTGGAAGAAGAGACTGGTATTGTAGGCAGAGGGCCTCTCTACCAAGCAATAGAGTCAAGAGAAAGAACATGGAATACTGAGGAGACAGAAAGCAGTTCTAGCCTAGGCAACACAGCATGACCTCATCTCTACAATTTTTTTTTTTTTTAATAGCTGGGCATGGTTGCGCATGCCTGTGGTCACAGCTACTCGGAAGGCTGAGGCAGGAGAATCACTGGAACCCTGGAGGTGGAGGTTGCAGTGAGCAGAGATCGAGCCACTGCCCTTCAGCCTGGGTGACAGAGGGAGGCCCTGAAAAAAAAAAGAAAGAAAAGGAAAAAGAAAGAAAGAAGAAGGCAGGCAGGCAGGCAGGCACGAAAGAAAAGAAAAGAAAGAGAAGAGAAGAGAAGAAAGAAAGAAGGAAAGAAAGAAAGGAAGAAAGAAAAAAAGTTTTCAGGCCACAGAGTATGGTGCAACAAAAAGTGACAGGGTATATGTGATTAGAGAAGGATCAGTCAGGGTCTGAACTTTACCCTGAGGGCTATGGAGAACTACTGAAGGATTTTGAGTATGGCACTGACATGCTTAGATGTGTGCTTTAAGAAAGTTTGGTTTTCCAGTGGCAAGGAAGTAAAGTGACATTGGGGACCAGGAAACTGGGGCAATATCAGAGGAAGCAGAGCCTTTGTGGAATATGCCAACCAAGAGAAAGCACCCTCTGGTCAATCATTAGACAGGAGAGGGCGTAAAAAAGGTGGCTTTTTGTGATGCACTACCCCAGATGGGGTGCCTTCCATAAATTGGCAGCCAGTCTAAAGGGAGTGCCTTTTTGAAAACTGTACAGCAGTGCCCACTGGGCACGAGAATTACACAAATGAGCCCTTCCACTGGGCTGATGCAGCCCTGTAAGGCTTACTTTGGTACAGCCCAATCCCCTGACTTGGTCTGGTGCCATGTGCTTTGTACAACTATGCACAACCAATCTGGAGTCAGATTGCTTAGGTTTGAATCCCAACTGTATGACCTTGGGGACAGTACTTATAATCTGCTCTGTCTCCATTTCCTCATCTATAAGATGTACCCAACAGTTATTTATGGATTAGATGGTAATAATGAATATAAAGCACTTATGGGGAATGCCTGGCACAAGGTTAGCAAGCGTTCAAAAACTCTTCAGTATTATTAGTGTTTTCAGGAACCTTCTTCTAAAATAAGTTTTAAGAAATAAAACTAGTTTTGAAGCAAGGCTTGCAGAATGCTGTTGGCTTTCTTACCACTGGAGTCTGTTTCAGAATCAGAGTCACTGTCGCTATCTTCAGAATACTTCTTGTGTTTTCTTTTTGATAAATTTTTCTTTCTTCCTTTCTTGGACCTTTCACTTGAATGACTAGACTACTATTTTTCTGTAAAAATATAAATAAAAAAGTAACTTCTAAAAAAGTATTTCTGATTATCAATTTTATTGCATTTGAAATACTGAAAAGGAATAGATGATAGGCAATTTGAATAAAAGTAAAGTCTAATGTTTAACTATTTATAAACTTTTTCTAACTTCTCAAGAAAGGTCTGTATCTTAAAAATACTTTCTGATGTAGAAACTGAAGTAGTGCATTTCTTTGGCTCTTCATTCTTTACTTCAATATGTTCAGCAGAGCTGAATTTAAAGAAAATGGTTATAAGAATTAGAAAAGTGATGAAATATGGACCATAGAGTATAAAAACACAGACTTAAAACTTTTCAGCAACAATGACAATTGTCCAAGAACCATTAAAAACAAGCATTGGACTTCTTTCATAAGAATACAGTTCATGTCTGTAATCCCGGCACTTTGGGAAGCCAAGGTGGGAGGATCACTTGAGCCCCAGAGTTCAAGACCAGCCTAGGCAAAATAGCAAGACCCCATCTATACAAAAAATTTAAAACATTAGCCAGGTATGGTGGTGCTTTCTTGTAGTCCCAGTTACTCAGGAGGCTGAGATGGGAGGATCACTTGAGCCTGGGATGTCAAGGCTGCAGTGAGCCATGATCATGCCATTGCACTCCAGCCTGGGTGACAGAGCAAGACTGCCTAAAAATAAAATAAAATAAAAAATAAATAAATACAGTTCAAGGGTCTGCCACCTTCATAATAATAAAATAACTTACATTTGCACAATGCTTTACAGATTACAAAGCACTACTCAAACTGAAAGCAGCATGGAGGATTTATATTTTCAGAAGAAATCACAGGCTAAAAATAGAGAAAACAGAATCAGAAGGAAAGATGAAAGAAACTGTATATAAAAAGTCTGAAGAAGATATCATAATTTTATTCTAAGCATGTAAAAAACAAATGGTAGAGCAGCAACTGTTCTGTCTCCTCAGAGCAAGAAGATCCTAAGAAGCTACAATCTAAAGAGATTTGGGGGACACATGTTCTCAGGACCTGAGGCTATGTCACGGTAAAAAATTGTGTGTGTGTGTGTGTGTGTGTGTGTGTGTGTGTGTGTGTATTTGTTTTGTTGCAGAGAATTCTTAAAATAAGTATTATTAAAGTTCTACAGTAGGCTTGGCGTGGTGGCTCATACTTATAATCTCAGCACTTTGGGAGGCCAAAGCACAAGAACAGCTTGAGCCCAGGAATTCAAGACCAGCCTGGGCAACATAGTGAGACCCTTCTGCACAAAAAATTTAAAAATTAGCTGGGTGTAGTGGTGTGCACCTGTATTCCCAGCTACTCGAGAGGCTGGGGCAGGAGGATCACTTGAGCTGGGAAGGTCAAGGCTGCAGTGAGCCATGATCGTGCCACTGCACTCTAGCCTGGGTGACAGAGTGAGACCCCGCATCAGAAAGAAAGAGAAAGAAAGCAAATAAATCAATAAATAAAGTTCTACAATACTTTAGAAAGGGACTTTCTATATTATATAATCTTTCCCTTTGAAGATCACATCTGCAATAATTTAGGTATTGCCTAGAAAATTATTTTTAGGGTTCCTTCTGACTCTAATTCTATGAGTTCAGGTCCTTTAAGCATTTACCAAGGGTATCTATAAGAATACACTTCAGATAATAATGTTTTATCACCTTGTCACAAATTACAGGTTTACCTGTGAAACACATTGCCTCAACTCAACCTAAACACAGAAATAGAGGAGAGGGAAGAAGAAACTTATGAGCAACACCAAAGAGAAAAGAAATAAGCAAAAAAAAAAAAGTACTAATATTTCACATAGTATTGGATACAGGAAAATTAACTAAACCGAACTACACTGGCATCTGCATTTTTTAAAAATCGCTGTGTAATACTATTGTCTGGAATGCAATCTGCTCCTGGGTTGAAGAAAAAAATCAAAATATAAATGTATTATCTGTTTTAACACTGAACTCCTCTATTAATAGGAAATTAGCACCCCATGAATACAATTTAAAGAAAACAATTAGCATGCTAAAATGCACTAGCAACATGTTTTAATTCTTAGGTATGTTAGACTCCCTTTAGTTCCTTTTTAAAAAAGAGTACCTTACCTATCTGTTCTTTGGAGGACACTAATTTTTTATTGTATTATAATGTTTGTCATTTATTGTTTTAATTTTTGCTGTTACTCATAAGCTGAAAAAAATAAACTAAGAGAGGTTCAATTTCCTCAAAGTTTAGCTGCTTACGTCTATAAAAATCCTTATAAAATAAATGTTTGATTTCATTGTTTGAATAAATATTTTTTACTTCTTTATTCAGGGAAAAGGTATTATAAGTATACAGAGTTAGTCTCAGAGGGTTTCCCATTTCAAGAGCAGGTAATCAAAAAGTAAACATACGTCTAACAGTTCTTGGAATATGAGTATAGGGACCAAGGATGCCTGCCAGACTATAAAGACACACAGTCTTTGTGGTGTGAGGCACAAAATTAAGGCCCAATATTGTGTACTACCTTGACAATTGGGGAAACCAGGAGGGCTCCCAATGGCCTTACTGCGAATTCTCCTCTCCATTCTGCTCCTGCAAATAAGGTCCCCTAGCCAAATGACCCTCCTTCTCAAAGAGACCAGACGCAGTTCCAGCTTATCTCTGGGTAGCAGATTTTAGTACATTGTCAGCTTGTGGAATTATTCAAACAAGCCAATCATATCCTTCCAAGGGAAAGCAGGTATTACCTCAATTTCTTGATACCACAAAGTCTACCTCCCACAGCCCCTGATTATTCACTGTCTTACCAACAGCAACCTCGGTGTGGCCCTTCGTGGCACGCTGTGTTCTCTCCCATTCCAGCTGTGAACATATGTGATTAATAAACTGCTGTTGATCTCATCTGTCCTGTGTTCAGCTACTCCATAACACAAAGGGTGGGAATCCTTCCCTCATCAACATGGTGAATAGCAGACAATTATAACACTCCCTGCTGCTACCTGGTTTTATCTGTGCCTTAAGATAAATTATTTATCTTCTATGTGCACAAATGCAAATTTTACCCAAGTTGTTCTTATATGTTTTGGTTAGGATTCTAAAATAAGAAGTTTTTTGATTGACACAAACTGGGAGGACCTTTCCATCCCAAAGGCAGGAGCGCTCCTCAGAGGACAGGTGCAGTAGTTTCACTCACCTCTCCCACATGGGCAAAAAATGTGTATCTGTAACCTAACTCAGGACTGTTTTTACTTCCTCTGCTCCCAGGCATGAAACTCTAATAACCAACACCTGTGAAATGCTTATTACGTTCAAGGCACTACATCATTACAATAACCCTAAAAACGTCAGTACTATTTGTATCCCCCTTTTACAGGTGAAAAAATAATGAAGCTTGGAGAGGTTACCAAGGTCACATAGGTATTAAGTAGCAAAGCAAGGCTTCAAACTCAGAAAGTCTCAATCCAGAGGCTGTCCTTCTCATCACTATGCTTTATTACATCCCACTAGTGGAAGAAAAAGACTCATCAAGACATCTCCCACCTGTTGGAATTTCAACCTACCCCTCAATACCTGTAATGTTTTAAAATTTCTCATTTTTTAACCGTAGTGCATGTAAGGCACTCAGTATAGTACCTGACACATTCAATAAACATTTGATATGAGTACTTACACAGCAATAATTATAATTATTTTCCTTCTCAAACCATCTACTTCCCACTCCAATATTCACTCTCATTAGAGGAAAACTCATCTCACTCTCCTCTCATTCTTCAAGGTCAAGATTGAGACCACTTAAGACCTTCCTGAAGGTAGCCACATCTGCAGTTTAGCACATCACTTTGCCTACATTCATCCAGTTATCTTGTCTCAGAGGAAGGTATTTCTCCTTTCCAATTTAAACCCTTAATCTCAACCCTTTCCAACTCCCTACAAGGAATTTCCACTTAGTTAGCCTGTTAGGATCTCAAACCGATCATTCACTCAACACACAACACTTTCAGTAGATTGAGCCCCTATTAAGTGCCAGGCACTGCAAATTCTGTAATGAATAAAATAGGGGTCCTCCTTTCCACGAGCTCAGTCTAGTGGAGAATAAAAATATGTTCACGAACGATAACACAAAACAAATAAATGCTATACGTAGGTCTGTGACCCTTAGCCGTGTCTGCTCCGAGATCAGAGGCGAAAGAGGGTGGAGGGAGACCGGGGCACCCTACAAAGGGGCCCAAGGATGAGTGAGAATGTGAGAGAGGAGAGGGGCGAACAAGGAGCTGTCGTGGATAGATTGCAGAAAAGGATGAAAATGGGCGCGGTGAAGGTAGAAGGAGCGAAATGCAAATGGTCAGAAGCGGGCTGAAAGATGAAGCGGACTCGCTGAAGGCAAGTGGGCTCCTTAGAGCGAAGGTGCAGCCATGATCTCACTCACCTCTGCCACGGATTCACCTCCCTCTCCTCGTCCCGTAGGAGCGTGAGTAGTTGCCGCAATAGGCGCAAGAGCAGGCAGAAGCGAAAGTGATGGTCCACGGCGCAGTCAGCCGCTCTTGAGAATGCGACCACAACTGGGAGCGGCAGGGCTGGTTTCGGGAGCCTTGGCTGAGCCCATTCCATTCCCCAGTCAGAGAACAAGAGTTCCAGTGAGAGTTGCGCCCCAGCGGGGAACGGGCGGCTTTGCTGGGCTTGGGGCTCTTGGACAAACTGCAACACATTCCCCCGCCCGGAGCCCGAGGCCTCCCTCTCGGCACTGCAGAACCGGACACCGGAGCTACTGCAGCCTCGAAAACGGGACATTCTCAGGAGCCTCAGCAGTATCCGTTGCCTTTGCTCCAAAAACCCAGCCCGCGCAACCGCTGGGAGCAAAGGAAACCATGGGAACTATTGCGAGTACGTTGGCAAAACATTTCCCCAGGTCTGTGTGGCCTCCGGCCAAGGTGAAGAGGTGTGTGTCTTGGTGTAAATAAACCGCTACTGCAACCGATTTCGCTCATCCTTTGGTTCCGCATTGAGGCTCGCCAGGGTCTAAATCCGCACAGAGACTAGGTCTTCCTTAGGCTTCTACTTGAAATAACTGAAGGGCAGGACGAGAGTCCACTGGAGACATTTCACAGAATGGCCATATCAACAACATAGACAATTCTGTTCGTGTACGGGTGCTTTCCGTGAATGTGTGTATTACATGTTCTATAATATTGGGCGCACTCTGTGTCGTGTGTGTGTGTATAAAATATGTACATTTGGTTATGTGTGTATATATGTACATATATAATAAATAGGACTGGCTCAAACAGATTCACATATTTTTTCGGAGTCTATTTGAATTAAAAGAAAAATCTGAGATGGGAAGAAAAGGGACAAAGTATTCAAAGTATTTCGTACACAACTGAAAGTGTTTATTTCAGTGTTGTCAGATTTATTAATAGCAAAAAGAAATATACAGTAGGCCACTTATCTTTGAATTTCAAATAAAGAATAATGTTTTAGTATAAGTATGTTCCATACAATAATACAGTAGAAAGTGACTACTTTCTATTAAAGATGAGGTGATAGCCACGGTTGTACTTCTTCCTCTCCTACTACTTCTAAAATTTGTTTCTTATATTCTTTTTTTGTTTGCTTGTTTTGTTTTGTTTTGAGATGGAGTCTCACTCTGTCACCCAGGCTGGAATGCAATGGCGCGATCTCAGCTCACTGCAACCTCCACCTCCTGGGTTCAAGTGATTCTCCTGCCTCAGCCTCCCAAGTAGCTGGGATTATAGGTGCCCGCCACCACACTCGGCTAATTTGTGTATTTTTAGTAGAGACGGGGTTTGGTCACGTTGGCCAGGCTGGTCTCGAATTCCTGACCTCAAGTGATCCTCCCACCTCGGCCTCCCAAAGTGCTGGGATTACAGGCATGAGCCACCGTGCCCGGCCTTGTTCCTTATATTCTAAGGCTTTTCGCTTGCTGTTTGAGAAAGGGAAGTGGGAGCAGCCCCTGATATCCACAAACTGACCTCGCACTCACAATTAGGCATGTTCTTCTCTTGTTGAACATAAACTCACAGAACACCAACCCAAGACAAGATCACTGGGAGCCTGATCAAGTGAGACAAAACAAGACCACTTCATAAGCTTGTCTAAGCACAGACAAAAACAAGCTCACTGTGACACCCAGAAAACACCAAACACCCCTTCTTGGCCAAGATAGGTCACTGCTACTTTGCCAGTTAATGTACAGCTTTATCCTCCCTCTAGTCTGCCCTCCCTATAAATAAGATTTATTGAAATGTGCAATCATACAATTGCCCCTGCTTTCTGATGTATCTGAGACGGAACTCCTGATTCCTAGACCTTCCCCCAAATTGTCCAAATCCTATAATAGGTTCATTCTAACAACTTCTTATTGAAACACATCATAGTTACCTATAGTGTGTGTTGTCCCTCCCTGGAGTAAGAGTAATAAACTCAATCTGTCAACTATGGGTATGTTTCTGGTAGTCTTTGGTTGAAGGGCAATGACACATTCCACTGCCTAAAATGTTCTTCCCCAGATATTTATATGGCCCTTTCCCTTAGTTCATTCCATTCTTTGGCCATACATCATCTTTTCAGAGAGGCTGTGCTTGACCACACAATTTACAATAACACCCTCATCATTCTCTATCCCTTTGCTCTATTTTTCTTCATAGCACTTACTACTTTCTGTTTTTGTATTATATATTTATATTATATATATACAAATGTTGATTGTATGTCTCTTCCATTATAATGTAAGTTCCATGAAGACCAATATCTCAACTTGATGATAATTATATCCACAGTGCCTACAACACTGCCTACAACACTGCCTGGCACAGAGTAAATACTAAATGATATATGTTTAATATGTATTGAAAAAATGAATGAAGTTTACAGTGTCGGGCTTTATAAGTTTCATTGTCACATAGTCATAATCAATCTGTTGTTTGGACTTAGTCTTCCACTTAAATAGATTGGCTTACTGCAAAATCTCCATTCTTAATTCTTTATTTGGACTCATTTCTTATTTGATTTGACTTCATATATTGCCAAGTAATTTTCACAAATGACTCATAGGTAGTATATTCCCTCAATTTTGTTCAAGTTTGGAATAAGCTGTCTGTTGCTTTTTTTGGTAGATTGTATTATTGTTAGCAATTATCGACGACTCCTTTTCCAGTAGGAGAGTTATATATCCCTATCCAATTGACTTTGGAAAGTTTTAAGAAAAAAGGGCAATAGGCAGTATTAGACAGGTCACTTAAAGAGAGATTTGTTGGGATTAAGCAGAAAAGGGGATAGTGGTGAGAAAGCAACATATATTTGGCACTTACTGGGTTCCAGACACTCATTCGTTCAGCATTAAGCAACCATCTCTATCTACAATTTGTTGGGCCAAGGGATGCTTCACAAATAAGTTAGTACTTGAGTTGGGTTTTTATGGAAAACCAGGCACTTGCCAGGAACTAACCAGACAACAGGTTAAGCGAGGTGTGGCTATGAAGGGAATGACTATTCCAAGCTCAGGGCTCCAGGCTCAGACTTGAAGGCAGTAAATTGCATGGCATATTCTGGAAACCGTGAGCAGTTTGACACTATGCATAGTTGATTCATTTAATCCTCAAAGTGACTCTGTGGGAAGGTATTATTATCCCTATTTTACAGATGAAGAATCAGGCATAAGATCAAAGAGCTAGGAAGTGGCAGTATCAGAATTCCAACCCACTCACATCTTCTGCTTAAGACTTTGTTTCTTCCACTCTACCTTACTAGGGTTTCTGCAGATCCCATGGAGTGACCTTACCAAATCTGTAACCATAAGCATAACATATAGGAAGTGCTCTAAGACTGAACGAGTGTCACTTTATCTTTTGTCATCAATTAATATATATTAAGCACCCACAAGATTGTTGGCATTTTAACACAGGAGAGGACAGTTACCGCCCTCATGGAATTCACAATCAAGGTCAAAAGGCAAGCAAACGCTGACAATACGGCTATAAAACCTAACTCATCCCATTTTCAGCCAATAAAACCTTTCTAGAATGTGAAACAATTGATACCTCCAAATCCATTTGATATAGGTTGTTCTCTGACCTCAGGTGATCCTCCCACCTCGGCCTCCCAAAGTGAGTTGTTGTTGTTTGAAATAGAGTTCAAACTACTGGGTTGTTTGAAGTAGGGTTAAGCCCTCCAGATTAAAAACAAAAGTAAAAGTGAAATGACTAGTTGAGAAACAGAAAATTAATTAAACTTTCCAGTGATCCTGTCCCAAAGACAATTATTAAGGCCACTCAGGCTTCTTGGTCTGTTCTGCTTTCCTACAAATAAAATTCCTTTCCTGACCATTGGACCCCCTTTCATTATAGGTAGCTTTTAAACTTGTTTAGTTTTTGCTTGGTTAGGGGGTGAGAGATACAGCAAGAAGGGAAGAGAAGGTTTACTGTGCTTTGAATGAACAGGTTTCATCATATGTTAGTTGGTACTCCAAACTTTTAAAATACTTTCAGGAAAGTGACAATGGCATGGCAATTCTGTTGCCAGCCTCAGTGATGTAAATGCTGGTACAAAATAAATTGCATTGTGCCTTCCAGTTTACTGAGAGCTGACCAACAAACATGATATCTAGAGTGGCATCTATTGCCACTGTGATCTGTATTTCAAAGATATGTCTCATTTTAGTTTTCATCAATTAAGCCACTGAAAGATAAATAGATCCTAAACTTTCAAGATATACTTTGTTCTAATTACTAAGATTTTTTTTTTTACTACTAAGTTTTGGGGAGGATAACTCAGAAAAATGGTTATTAAGTACTCAGTTGCCAGGAAAAATACTAATCTGCCTTAGTTTATTTTACAACAGCATACTTCTATTTGCCATGAAATATCTTTATAGTAAACAATGAAACTTTTCATAATGCTAAGTCCTAATCAAAAATCAATAATGCAATAATTCCCACATAGTTTGTTTTCCCACAATACAAAATCTTGGAGAAGAGCTTAAGGAATTGCATATTTCCATGTGAAATACAGCTATATTATACCACTTTGATGTTTTATTATACCATGTGGCTTTACTTTATTGAGGAGGATGAAGAATAGATTAGGGATAGGTAGATGAGATGATGACATCCATGTCTGATTTCCTGTCAGAGAAAATTAGATATAGTTACATCTGTTTTCAGTCTAATATCCTGATGGACATTTTCAGCAAGATTTTTTAGGAAAGAAGCACAGGAATTCCACTGCAAGGTATTAATAGGTACAAATTTAAGATTTTGGAAATGAATGCAGTATTATCCTATATATATCTTTTTAAAAAGATAATGAAGGTAGTGAATGGCCTTAATTATGGCAGAAAAAAAGTTACTATTTGGTTCCTTAGTTGAATACGATCAATAACCAGCCTAAAAGGGAAACATTTTGCTCTCCAAACACCCATCCTGTTGCTTCATTTATTATGGTACTCAGTTGGAAGGGTATTACCAGAGGATTTTAAAAAATTATGTAACTCACAATGTATTTTTTCGGTCATTAAACAATCACTGAACACATACTATGTGTCAGACACTAAAGCCCTCTGAAGATGAAATGTTATGGAAATAGTAATAATAAAAAATTAAAATAGTAACAATAAAAAATTAAAAATGCAAGTGTTAATATTATTAATCTTTCAAGATACAGGTCAAATGACAGCATTCAATTTGCTATTCTCTTCTCTCTGCTTCTACACCTTGTACAAATATTTTTGTCCATGTTTGTGTACCTACCTACTGAGCTCCCTAAAGAGGTAGAGACCTTTGGGTTATTCATTTTTGTATTCCCGAGAGCCTAACATAGGGTTTTTGCTACAGATCAAGCAGGGGGTCAGTAAATGCTAGTTGGAATGAGGGAATTAACATAGTACTGCACCATTTAGTATTCAATTAAGAAGATAGTTGTCCAAACACTAAATTTCTTTCTTAAAAGTAGTTACTGTAATGTAGTTGCTCTCTTGTTATCCCAGAACTTGAATTACCATAAGAAGTTGTGAATTTCTATTTGATTGTATGTATTTTGATTATATTTCAAGATGGTTTATCATCTAGCAAACAGTCTAATAGAGCAGATTCAAACTTGCAAAATAAATGAAACCTGTATAGTCTCTAAAAGTTTGTATGCCCTAGAAGTTCACATTGAATTTCGATGAAAACGACTCGCTTCCCTTCCATCCAATTGCTTGCGACTGTCTTACCCGATCTTTCCCTTTCCTTTTTTCCCACCCGTTAGCCCTCCGGAAAGAGCCGAACACACAAGAGCTTCCCAGTCTTCCTCCGCCCCCTTGCGGAAAGAACCGAAGGCAGAGCACGGCGCCGAAGTGGAGCCGCCTCAAGCTCGGGCCCTTCCGGACCACCCCGGCCTGCGCTCGGAAGAGGAGGGCGCCTTTGGCTTCAGCGCTTCGCCCCCGCGCTGTGCCCTCTGTCGGCGGCGTGGGGCAGCTGTAGCAGCGTTGGCGGCAGGAGGCGGCGGCCGCGTCGACGTCGACCCAGACTGGAGCGACGTTTAAAGAAGGGGCAGAATCGCTGGGGAGTGCGGCTTCTTCTTGTTGGGGGACTCCCAGCCTTCCGCGCGTCCGGAGGAGGAGAAGCGGCGGCGCCGGGAAGCAGGTGAGGACCCGGCCCCAATCAGGGAGGGGGCGAAGGAGCGCGCTTGCCTTCTCCGTCCCTGGGCCGCGCCTGCGTTTGCATTCGCCTCACTTGAACCAGGAAGCGGCAGAGTCGGAGGCTCAGCTCCTCCGGCTCTTTCTTTGTGTGGGCCGGGGAGCGAAGGAGGGGACGAGCCGCGAGGGCCGCGGCGCGGTCCCCTTCGCCGTTAGGGGCCGAGGGGCTGCCGGTGCCCTGGGTAGGCCCCGGGGCTTGGGGAATCCATCACAGAGACCCACTTGGCTTTTCCCTCGCCCCTCTCGCTGCTTTTTTGTGCCTCTTTTACTCCCCTAGCCCCTACTTTGATTTAGAGCTTTTCTGCCAGGCCCATCCTCCCCTTCCGTCCCCTTCCCGGGGCACAACAATGCCGCCTGCTTCGCTTCATCCCCCCCCCAACACCCCACCCTGCCGTTCGCCACCTTCTACTTTCCCTGGTACCCCATATTCCTCCCGCCCTCACTCTGCTGTTTGTACCTCCGTCTGTATTTGCAAGAAGCTTGCTTTGCACGTGAATTGGGGTTAAAAACCTCGGTTGCAGCTGGCAGGGTCCATATGGGGAAGAGGGAGGTGGAGGAAGGGAGATGAGGTTCAGCTGCCGCAGGGAGCCGCGTGTCGGTTTGTTTCACTCCCTCGCGGATGGCTTTTATCTCTTTCCACCGTCACCAGCTCCTCCGAACTGGCCCTCGGTCAAGGGTTTCACAGTGATGTGGAATGGCTTTTCCACAGTCGAATCGCATATCTTCGGAGTGGGTTCAGACCGACTTGTGCTGTCTCTGGGGCCACCCTGAGTGGGAGGAGGGGGACACATAAACGAAACGAAACCGAGTCCCAGTGTCACCTGGACACGTACATTTGACGCATTCCCATATTGGAAGAACCCGGGAGCAAATGACAAAAATTGCGTGCCGTTTTCAGAAAACCTGTCTTTCCACTTAATATCGACTTCTGTCGAAATGCCCGTATTTCGGAAGCCCTGGTTTTTGGCAAACTGTCCAAAGGTCACCCTTTCTGATGATGAATGCCTTTATGGTAACCTGGAATTCCTTGGTACTGTTAACATGCAACACCTTCTAATAATGTTTTAAATCTTGATTTTTAGACTTTTTGCCTGCTGTTTGTTCTTAAGGTATCATTTTGAAAAATTTAGAAGGTATTTGAGACAGAACTGCCCTCCACCTGTATATAACTTAAGCATTGTGACATCGACACCCTTTTGGTAACTTCAAAGGGAGAGAATATTAATAAAAATATTTCTTCACTAAAAGTACTTGTCAACTAATTGTTAATATATAATATCCATATATTAAAATATATCCATATATAATATGTATGGATATTATATATTTTTAATATATGGGTTTTTTTAAACTCTGGCCTCTTTGTTACTGGAAATATCTTCTGCAAAGTGCAAAAAATGATGTTTTGCTAGTGCTACACAACAATGCATTCTACTGACATCATCCCCTTTTTCTAGAGTAGTCTATTCCAATAAGTTAATGTTTTCATTTTCACTAACTCATTTGGTGTGGAAAAAATTCTCATACCAATGCATATGATTCTTTACCAACAAAAATAAAATGTTTCGTGTTTTCTTGGAAGTGGGCATTTAGAAATGGTAAACTTTCCTTTTCCTTTGTCATATTTTTTCATGATAGTGTCTGTTGACTTCACTTGGCACTGTTTAACATTCCACCTCTGGAAATTGTAAAGATGGAGAGATGAGGGGAAGGGACAAGGGGATGAAGAAAGAGGAAAGGGTAAGAAAGATGTTTAATAGTTTATCAAGATGAGGCACCCCAATTTAAATAACAGAAAAATAATGGGACGTTGGGAGGTAATAATTGTCAGTGTTTATAAATGTCATTGGCTCCAGGGTGTAGATTCTGCATATATTCTTAAAGATTAGTTAAAATTAAGAGTATGTATTTCAGACACAGTATTGCACGCGCTGAGCTTTTCTGACATTTCAATCATTTACAGGCGAAATAACTTCTGTGTGTTCATGATGATTTTCCTTAATTTTGACAGTTAAAAGTCAACTCTTACCTCTTCTTGGAGAGAAAACCCAAAATTGGGACTAAGAAAATTAATTCTAATCTTTAAAAATCACTTAGTGGAGGTGCATGTATCTAATATTCAAAAAAAGGTGACTATGGAGATTACTGTTCAAATCTCTGTAACAATGTAAAACTTGCTCAACTCAGGAGCAAGCCATGAAATTGGACACTTGTTCCAAAAGCCAACCTGTATGAACAATTTCTGTAAAAGCCAAAAAATTATGCTGAACTTTGGTTAAAACTTGAATAAACTATTTAATGATGCTACTGCTTAAATTCTAAATAAGTACTTTTGTTTTTTCTCTCTAATCCTCTCCCATCCCCTCCTCTCTTTCTCTTAAAGGCATGGAGAGTAGAAAACTGATTTCTGCTACAGACATTCAGTACTCTGGCAGTCTGCTGAACTCCTTGAATGAGCAACGTGGCCATGGACTCTTCTGTGATGTTACCGTTATTGTGGAAGACCGAAAATTCCGGGCTCACAAGAATATTCTTTCAGCTTCTAGTACCTACTTCCATCAGCTCTTCTCTGTTGCTGGGCAAGTTGTTGAACTGAGCTTTATAAGAGCAGAGATCTTTGCAGAAATTCTCAATTATATCTATAGTTCTAAAATTGTTCGTGTTAGATCAGATTTGCTTGATGAGTTAATTAAATCAGGGCAGTTATTAGGAGTGAAATTTATAGCAGAGCTTGGTGTCCCATTGTCACAGGTTAAAAGCATCTCAGGTACAGCGCAGGATGGTAATACTGAGCCTTTACCTCCTGATTCTGGTGACAAGAACCTTGTAATACAGAAATCAAAAGATGAAGCCCAAGATAATGGGGCTACTATAATGCCTATTATAACAGAGTCTTTTTCATTATCTGCCGAAGATTATGAAATGAAAAAGATCATTGTTACCGATTCTGATGATGATGATGATGATGTCATTTTTTGCTCCGAGATTCTGCCCACAAAGGAGACTTTGCCGAGTAATAACACAGTGGCACAGGTCCAATCTAACCCAGGCCCTGTTGCTATTTCAGATGTTGCACCTAGTGCTAGCAATAACTCGCCCCCTTTAACAAATATCACACCTACTCAGAAACTTCCTACTCCTGTGAATCAGGCAACTTTGAGCCAAACACAAGGAAGTGAAAAATTGTTGGTATCTTCAGCTCCAACACATCTGACTCCCAATATTATTTTGTTAAATCAGACACCACTTTCTACACCACCAAATGTCAGTTCTTCACTTCCAAATCATATGCCCTCTTCAATCAATTTACTTGTGCAGAATCAGCAGACACCAAACAGTGCTATTTTAACAGGAAACAAGGCCAATGAAGAGGAGGAGGAGGAAATAATAGATGATGATGATGACACTATTAGCTCCAGTCCTGACTCGGCCGTCAGTAATACATCTTTGGTCCCACAGGCTGATACCTCCCAAAATACCAGTTTTGATGGATCATTAATACAGAAGATGCAGATTCCTACACTTCTTCAAGAACCACTTTCCAATTCCTTAAAAATTTCAGATATAATTACTAGAAATACTAATGATCCAGGCGTAGGATCAAAACATCTAATGGAGGGTCAGAAGATCATTACTTTAGATACAGCTACTGAAATTGAAGGCTTATCGACTGGTTGCAAGGTTTATGCAAATATCGGTGAAGATACTTATGATATAGTGATCCCTGTCAAAGATGACCCTGATGAAGGGGAGGCCAGACTTGAGAATGAAATACCAAAAACGTCTGGCAGCGAGATGGCAAACAAACGTATGAAAGTAAAACATGATGATCACTATGAGTTAATAGTAGATGGAAGGGTCTATTATATCTGTATTGTATGCAAAAGGTCATATGTCTGTCTGACAAGCTTGCGGAGACATTTTAACATTCATTCTTGGGAGAAGAAGTATCCGTGCCGTTACTGTGAGAAGGTATTTCCTCTTGCAGAATATCGCACAAAGCATGAAATTCATCACACAGGGGAGCGAAGGTATCAGTGTTTGGCCTGTGGCAAATCTTTCATCAACTATCAGTTTATGTCTTCACATATAAAGTCAGTTCATAGTCAAGATCCTTCTGGGGACTCAAAGCTTTATCGTTTACATCCATGCAGGTCTTTACAAATCAGACAATATGCATATCTTTCCGATAGATCAAGCACTATTCCTGCAATGAAGGATGATGGTATTGGGTATAAGGTTGACACTGGAAAAGAACCTCCAGTAGGGACCACTACATCTACTCAGAACAAGCCAATGACCTGGGAAGATATTTTTATTCAGCAGGAAAATGATTCAATTTTTAAACAAAATGTAACAGATGGCAGTACTGAGTTTGAATTTATAATACCAGAGTCTTACTAAACTCCTTTGAAATACTAGAAAGTTTTGTTTTGGATGATGGGGCAGGGGTTTCAGAAGATCTGTAAAACAAATTAAGGTGCGAACAAGTTAATTTGATCTGCCACATTATCTGAAGGAAGTGTAGTGGGATTTTTGTTGATAATTTTTAGAAGCAAATTTTCCTGAAAGTTTTGAGTAGAGGTGAGACCCCCTCCCCAAGTATCTGTTTATATAGTTAGTTTTCAGCTCATTTAAAAGAGGCAAAAATTAAAAGCTTGGAGAGATAGTTTCCTGAATAGAATTTGAAGCAGTCTGAATGTTCTTTGAAAATAACTGGAGTTATTAGCATACCCTAGTACATCTTACAGCTTTCCCCTTCCATGTTAGCACTTTACTGCTGAATTCTCAATTTTCTTAACATTGAGACAATAAATGTGTGTTTTGTCTTGTATATGGCATAAAGAGTAAATAAGTTTTAGAGTTGTTCTGGAAAATGTCAGAATAAGTCAGTACTTGGGTTGTGTAATCTGCTAGTCCAAGCGAACAGCAACCTCCTGCTACCCTCCCTCTATGAAAATAGCCATGCAGACAAGTCTCTCATCTGAAGAACAAATTAGATTTAGCTAATTAGAATTAATCCTGGCTTTCATTGCCATAGTCTGTAAAAGACTTTGGTGGCTAGACCACTTTATACCTTCGCAGTGTGGTCTCTGGGGGCAAAAAACTAATGAAAACAATCTCTGTAATGGCAGATAGGAGGAGATGAAAAGTTCTGTTGCATGGATTTTTAATTCTCTGGCTACCACATAGTAGAGAATGGAATGAAGATTTCCTTTTGGCTTCTTAAGGTTAAAAATATTCCCATGAACATGAAAATTTTCAAATTTTGAATCTGAAAGCCACCAAATGTATCTTTATGTATAAATCCTTGTAAATGATAGATTCCATGGGTGAGACTTTACATATTTTGGGTGGGAGGCTACTGGCATATATTTTTAAATGTTCATATTGCGTAGAATCTCCACTAGGAAGTCTTTATTTGAAATAGTTGAATCAGTGATCTAGTATTTTCCTTTCGGCAAGATTTGTTAGGTTTTTACCCCTTCTAAAATAAGTTTTATTCCATCTGCAAATTGCTGCAATATTATAGTAATCAGAAACTACATAAGGAATGTTATATAGGCTTGTCAGTTCCCATTTTTCTTGACAACAATAAATACCACTTTTAAAAATGACACATATTTAAACACTTAGAAAATAAAGTTAACACTTACTGAAGTGCTAGTACTAAACTGTGCTAGTACTAAAAGAAAACAGGTTGGAACATACATATAGCCTAGCATTTATAACAGAATTGTTGAACGTCTGTAAATGATTTTTTTTTTTTTTGCAAAGGAAAAAATTGATACTGGAAAAGATTGTTGTGCATAGTTATTAGTCATTTGTAACCTTGCTTAAGTATTTCTTAGTCCAACATAGATATTTTCTTTCTCCTGACCATGTATTTTAAAATATAGTCTATTTCTTGACTTTGAACTTAAAGCTTTAATCATAATTTCTCATGTATACATCGTTCTTCTGATGGTAAGCTGGATTTGAAGGTAGTGGTTTCAGTGTTTCTTAAGTTGGTAGCTGAGGGTATCAGGCATCAGTTCATGCAATAATACAAGAAAAAAAATCCTTTGCTTGCCAAGAGGTAGAGTGATGTGCATTTATCTGTTTTCTGTTCTGTAAGTCTAGACCTTCAAACCATTTGTAAACTAACCCCTGGGAAATTTGAAATTACCTGATAACTTAAGACTCTGTGATCTCTGGAATCACCATATGTTTCTTTTTTGTGTAGATATTAATAACATTACTCTTTGACTATAGTGTGCACTCTGAAATGTACTCAGTGAAAATTTGTTTTGAGTTTCATTAATGCTATTTCACCAGTTAGACATAATTACTTCTACCGATGTGAATGATACGGATGCCGGCAGAGCTTCCAGATCTTTCAGACTCAACTGCTAGGTCAATTAGTTTGTCATAATAAAACTTGGCAGATTCTACAAGTCTATTATGACAAACCAGGAACTAATTCTATAATGGAAAACTATCCATTCTGAATAATAGGTATGTAATTATTTGCTGCTGCTGCTGTGCTCTGTAAATTCTGAATATGACATTTAAACTCTGTGCCTACTAAAGGTATCTTCTGGAGTTTTTGGGAGGAGAGAAACTGGAAAATTAAATTGTATTTTTGCCAGAAGACTCTTACTTGCATGTGTCTCAGGGTCTTCAGTTTTTCTATAAGTTTCCATATCCAAAGTTCAGAATTCATGTGAAATACTTCTTTGGGGCAAAAGTCCTTCATTCCTGGTATTTATTGGATTGGAAATCTGTAGCAAGATGCTGTTTAAAATTACCATATTGTTTTTTTATCTTATACTTAGCTCTCTGGCTATTGAACTTCCTTTTCTTGTTTGAAGTTAGCTTCAAATTTGCTCCTATGCTAAATTACCTGTAAATATTCTGGATAGGAACTACTTGAAATAGTAATTTGTTAAAAGATATGACAAAATGAAAATGCTTAAACTACAGAAATTTAAAAATGCCATAACAATCTTGCGAGACTAACTTTAAAATATACTTTAAATGATTATTATGATTTTGGTGGTAACGATCCCCCACACACAACCACTATGAAGAAATAATGCCGCATTTTTCCCCCATTGTACCAAAAAGATAAAAAAATGGTAAACACTGATCAAGGTATTTTGTATTGTCAAGGCATGCATATTCTAAAGAATTAAATGCTAACTTAACAGCACTGGCTTTCTGGCTGGTCAACTATATGAAACCTTGTTCATTCCTCCGAGTACTGTAATGTTCACACTTGTACAATCTTCCCTGTCATGACTTTAAGTTCTACTTTTCATTAACCATGGCCTGATATTAGTTCTTAGAGCTTCTTGTGGCAAAAATAAAATGATTTAATTCTGATGTTTGAGTGCGTGTTTTACAAGATTGTCTTTCAGAAATTATATGGGTTTTTATATTGTTTTTCAATTTTTATAGCAGGAGACTGGGGCTGTATTTCTGATGACAGCACGGCAAAATTTCCCACTAGGTTTTATATGTTGGTTAAAAATGTCCCCTTTTATCTTGAACCCTAATAGTCAAAAGTGAGTCAGCTGCTGTCAGTTGCTTTAGAGCGTTTGCTGTACTTTTATAGCTACCTTGACACAAGTGGATAACGAGGGGAGGATAGTTTTATTCATTTGAAACATCACAAAAGCAGTCTGAGTTTTCAACATGGCAGTGATACAGATTTTAAGCAACATCCAGTTTATACAGTTTCTGGATTAATATTTTAATGTTTCATGCCCAGTTCAGTACTTTAAAGCAGAATTAGGAATAAAGCAGTAAATATTACAAAATGCAGTCAAGATACATATTGGAAATACAAATCCATTCATTACAGCAAATGTTTTGCAAAAGAGTAAAGCAGCAAATATTAATTTTTCTAAGGTAACATGCACTTTGTATAATTCAATGTAATAAAAAAGCTGCTCAAATTAAGTGTTACAAAATCTATACTGTTTCAGGTTATTTTGTAAAGTAAGAAAAATACATAGAAATGAGCCATAGAATCTTAACACTTTAAGAAATGTGATAAATGTAGGATAAACTGTGTAATGGTGCCTTAAAAAATTAAATATGGACATTCACTAAAGCCAACGGTCAAATGTAAATGGCAAAAAAATTCATTGAGTATTACAAGTTGATATTTGTTTAGTTAGTCAGTTGGGTATTAGTCTCTTTTTGAAATCCAGTAGAATTTTAATATGCTCAGAACTGTAAAAAATCATAGTAATTTTGTATAACATAAAAGGATTATAGTTTTTCGGATTCAAAATCTGGATAAGAACATTCATGATGCTGAAAGTTAAACTGAATATCTTGCAAACATTTACTGTTAATGAGAGAGTGCACTTCTTGTGCCTTGATTCTTGATGGCTAAGTGTCTACAAGGTAGATGGGAGCACCAGCATTTGCGCTACCTCTAATCCATCAAGTTGGGAGGTAGCAAAATTGGCCGGAAAATTTTCCAGTGTGTGTTCTGTGTTTGGAGAACTGTCTAATTAGGTACCCTCCTGTAGCCCCTGTATTTTTACGTTATAAAGTATAGGATTATCAATCTTCCTTTAAATCAATTCTCAGGTTAACATAAGATCACAATGAAGGTGTTCATTCTGAAGTGAAGGCATGGGTGCAAAAGCTTTAAACTCATCAGGTTGATGGTTTAAAGCTATGTGTAATTAAAAGAACTGTACAAATACCTACCACGGTGTGCCAGATGGATTTTAAATCTGCCGTAACACTTAAATATTTGTCAAGTTGGCTACGTTTGAGGTTTTGCAGACTTGAAGCGGCATTGTAACACTTTCATAATCTTGAATGCTGTCATGACTGGTCTCAACAGACAAAAGGACCGATAAGACCAGTGGCATTAAAATACAGATGACTCTTTTGGGGTGGGGTGCAGGATACGTGCGGATTGCTGGGGTTAAGCACAATATTTGAAGATTAAATAGTCACAAAGATTAGTAACAATTCATATCACGACCCAAGAACCTAATTTATAACATTTTTAAACTCTGAATTACAACCATAAGATTTATATCTCCTGTAGCAAATGTATTTTGTAATAATGCAACATGTAGTAGAACCACTGTCTCCTAAGTGATCTACTTAAAACATCTCACATGTTGCTGTGTATTTCAGTGTTTCCGGAACAATACATCCTGTTCCCCACTACTGAAGATGCAAGAATATTGCACTTTTCCCTTTAGGAGGTACCAATAACAAAAGCTGAGCTGAGTGATCACAACAGCCATTTTTACAATACTCACAGAGAAGGAAGGAGTAAGAGATACGGGCAGTCTTTTTCAACATCCAGACACAAGCAAACAAAATCTTAGCCAGAACTCTCTGTATTGGAACTACTGTGTAGCCCCATCAGCTGGGAAATTGTCCTTAGGGACTGACTTTAGGGGTAGGGAAAGATAGGGCCTATAAACCAGGTGCTTCAACCTAGGTGCTGGGGTGGCAATCTGCCAAGGGCCCGAGGGCAACACTCCTTTACATAAAGTGAAAAAGATGGCAACCACACTTCTGCTGAATACAGAGGTGGAGCATAGGGTAATGCAAGTCCAAACAAGCTTCTTGCTGGGCTGGCTCCCCAGTCTTGCTTAGAGAATGTGAGCTGCCCTTCTGTGCTGCGTTCAGCCTGACCACCCCTGCTCTGCACTAATAATGAATAAGCTTCGTCCCTATCTTTCCCTAGCCTGGCAGGCCATTGTAAAACTTTATGCATAAGAGTCACACTTTAAATTTTGTACCCTACACACTTCCACTGAAGCAGAAATACAAAAGCCACAATAATCTCAATAGCCAGCAGGCATTCCTCTTTAGGGACTGTAAGGTGGTGGCTTTTCAAAAGGTGGATAGTAGGGTGGAGAGTAACGGGGCGGTGCACTTGAGGACCACATGTAGCTGGGTGAGGGAGAGGCAGACTGGGGCTCATCAGAAAGTCCAGAGGGAGGGGAGGATGGAAAGACACCGGAATGCTGTGTGATAAAAAGAAAACGTTAGTTTAGGCAGTGAGTTTGCAATTCCCTGAACAGTCATTACTATTTAAAAATGAATATGGGCCAAAGCTTTTTTTCTATTTGGAAGAACAGAGAGCTCCCAAACCTCACAGAGTTAATGAGCCTGGAACAGGTGGTTCTCTCAGTCACTCAGGCTACAAGCCACCTGCAGAAATAGGGAATCCTCCTCTGCAACCCCTTGCAGCCCACATCCAATCAATTGCCAAATCCTGTTGCTTCTACTTCTGTGTTGTCTCTTGAATCCATCACTACCTTTTTTACATTTATAACTCAAGCCTCCAATACCTCTCCCTTAAGCTATGGCAACAATGTCCCAACTAGTCTTCAAAAGGTAATTTTTGGCTTTGAGAACATTTAATGATATTAAGCCAGTGATCCCTGGGAAAGTCTTTGCTAAAAGAGTATATCACAGAGAGGTAGTACAGTGGTCAGGAGCCCCTCTCATAGACAAGAAACTAAGGTCAGAGAGGTGAAATAGCTTGCTCGGATCTGGAGTCTTCTGACTCCAAGTCCAACATTTTCTACTCCACCTTAACTGCTGCCCCCTCATCCCCAAGTGCAGAGTAGGTTGGAGAGCAAAGAGTAACAAAGGCATGGAGGTGAGAATGAGGAGCAATATGTCAGGTTGCAGAGACACTGAGTATTCAGTTTTACTTTGTGTTGTCTTACTTTGGGAAAGGAATGGAAATGAATTTTTTAAAATATGCAGTGAATTGGCAGGAGTCATTTGCCCCTTTCTCTCCCTGGCCCACGTATATCCTTGACTCTAGTGATTTCCCTGCTGAAGGAGAGGTGGCCTGTTGTGTTTGTTGCTGTATCCTCCAGAGCTCAGAACAGTACTTGCCAAGTAATAGGTGCTCAATAAATCTTGAATGAGTGAATACAACTTCAGGAGCATAGTAGATGAACTTGGCATGCTTTTAAAAAATAAAATCTAGGCCGGGCGCGGTGGCTAACGCCTGTAATCCCAGCACTGTAGGAGGCTGAGGTGGGTGGAGCACCTGAGGTCAGGAGTTTGAGACCAGCCTGGCCAACATGGCGAAACCCCATCTCTACTAAAAATACAAAAATTAGCTGGGAGTGGTGGTGGGTGCCCGTAATCCCGGCTACTCAGGAGGCTGAGTCACGAGAATCGCTTGAACCTGGGAGGCAGAGGTTCCAGTGAGCTCAGATCACGCCACTGCACTCCAGCTTGGGTGACAGAGTGAGACTCCGTCTCGAAAATAAATAAATAAATAAATAAAACCTATGTCCAGATTTCTAAGCCTTGCTTGAGACACAGAAAAATCTTCCTTACCACATAATGTTAAGACTGAGAAGAGATGCTAGCTGCCATCATCCCCTGCCTCCCAAATCCCATCCATTATTTCACTCCAAAGAAATGGCAGGGTCGTAGAACCTGGAGAGCCCTTAAAGGCAAAACAACCTGAGGCAGTGGACTCAAGACAATCTAGATTCCTTCTTAAAAACTCAATTTTCCTCCTCCCTCCAAGAAGATACCCTTTGTTAAAAACATCGGTATAGTGATTTCCTGATTTTCCATCTTGCACCCTTCAAACTCTCCCTTCCTCCTCCTCTCCCTCCCTCCTGTTCTGTTGCTTTCCTCAACTAAGAACTCTCTCCTCTTAACCAGAGAGGGGAACAAAGACCCACCAGGGCAAAGAATCTCTGTGCCTGGGCATATGGCACTCACTGCCTCTCTAAATCCCACTACAGAGATGACATGAGAGGCAGCAGGCCAGTTTTAGGTGTTCCCAGCCACAGAAGGGAGAGGCAAGTTTCCTGAAGTGAAGCTAAAGGCAGTTCTGTCCTGAGAGGCATTAAAAGGCTTCTGTGGGCAGCAGCTGCTGTGGGTGGCAGTTGTACACTTTGATAATAAAAGGGGGTGGTACAACGGCCCTTGGGTTTTCACTTCTTAGTTTTGTGTTTGAGAAGTATGGGGGGAGGGGGTCATGATTCTCACTTCCCTTTGAGGATGCTGGGAGTCTTAAGGATAAAGCTGAAGGGTTCCTGGCAGAGCTAGGGAGCTAACTGGCTGCAGTCCACACACCCTTGGGGTTTAGCGGGGGAAAAGGCCCATAGTACCAGTGCATAGTTTCCTAGCAACAGGCAGGCACCTTGGGAAAGATCTGGCTTTGTCGCAGCCAGGGAGTTGGCCTGGTGTATTCTGGTTCCTGCCTGAGAGTGTGACTTTAATAATGCTGTGGGCAGCTCAGGAGAACAGAACTTTGAATCCTTGTGCACCACCAAGCACGAAGAGCATCTAAATAGCCTACTGCTGGGCCTAGTCAGCTCCAGCTTCCTGAGCGGCTTCTTAGAGGCTGGGGTGGCCAACAGGCTGATGGTGCTTGAAGAGGAGCACCACCCTTTCAGGGACACAGATGGCTTTCCTCTTCCACCTTAGCCTGCCTCCTGCCTGCCTGATGGCTGACCCACACCCTTCAAGATCAATGCGCATTTCCGTCAGGGCATGCTTCTCTCCAGGAGCCTTGTGGGACAGTGACTTCACAAAGAGCCCAGGAACTGGCTGGTGATAATTACTAGTTAAAGACACTGTGTCCCAAGGGTAAAATCCCAGCATCTGTCGGTATTGTGCATTCCCTCTCTGTTCTGCCCCTGGAAGCAAAGGCTAGGGAGATGGAGAGAAGAGTGGGTAAAAGAAAGAGGAAAAAAAAAAGGATGAGTCAGGAACAAGGGAAAGGAGGGGACGAAAGGAAAGACTTGACAGCGGGGTGGCGGGCGGGTGGCGGGGGGAAGAAAAAGTTGAGTGATAGCAACAACAGCCTTCTAAGGCTCTCAGCAACCTGTGCCATAAACTGTACCCTCCTAGGATCAAAGCAATCCTTTTAATAAATGGGCCCAATTTATAATGAGTAACTTTTAGTGGCTAGGGTGAAACCTAGTGTACCCTCGTGATTAAATAAAGAGGAAAAATAGAGGCACTTTTGAATTGCATAGGTTGAGACTTTCGTTTTAAGCTTAAACTTGGCTGGTCACCAAATGGATAGGAAAGGGACCATTCCATGGTTAGAGTAAAGTAGGGGTACTGGCCCAGTATGCCAGACTGGGAAATATTGCTGGGAACCTTGAGGGGTTTATAAATAGCTGGGTTTAATTTCCCAGCAGAAGTGAAAACTGATGCTTTGTACCCTACAGATTTTGGACTACTTGGCTAAAGCTGAAGGGGTGGTGGGGAAATAGTGCAAAGGACAAGAGAAATGAGTGTTGGACAGATGAGCGAGGAGGCAAAGGTAGTCTCAGCTTATATCCTTCCTGCTTTGGAGTATGAGGAGTTCCTGAGAAGCAAGGACACCCTGGAGCCCAGTGTTTGAAAGAATCCAGTTTCTCTAAGCTCAGCACTCAAAACTTCCTCAGGGCCAGCTGATCAGACCCAAATCCTTGCTCATGTCTGACCACAAGAAGTGTTTCCCAAGCTTCCTCACTGGACAGCTACCCAATAAGGGTATGACTTTGAGGGGTTAAAACAAAACATTATAAGTCTTTTTTCCTCATCCTCCTATTAGCCTCAGGGTCAAAAGGAAGTTGAAATCACCAAACCCAAAGTCACAGAAATAGTCCTACTTGGAAATAACCAAAATGGGAAGTCATTCAGAAGAAAGTCTAGAAAGGTCCATTTTCTGGCTGTAACTTAGGTCATTTTACAATCAGAAGAGCATGAGGGAGCTCTGGCCTTTTGGGGGTGGGTCTGTGCTTCAGGTGGTTTTATTGTCAGATCTGGAGTGCATTTGCTGACTCCTTTTTATTTATCTGGGAATATAAGCAGACGTTTCCTGCCCTCTTGACTTTCCTTTTTTTTTTTTTTTTATACAGCGCTTCTCTCTTGTTGCCCAGGCTGGAGTGCAATGGCGTGATCTCGGCTCACCACAACCTCCACCTCCTGGGTTCAAGTGATTCTCCTGCCTCAGCCTCCTGAGTAGCTGTGATTACAGGCATGCACCACCATGCCTAGCTAATTTTGTATTTTTAGTAGAGATGGGGTTTCTCCGTGTTGGTCAGGCTGGTCTCGAACTCCCGACCTCAGGTGATCGCCCGCCTTGGCCTCCCAAAATGCTGGGATTACAGGCGTGAGCCACCGCGCCTGGCTGACTTTCTTGTGTAAAGAATGGTATTTTCGCCTATGAAACTATAAGGGAATGAAACTTGGTGAGCAAAAGAAAGCTAAACTAAAATACTAAAATGAAACCATTTAAGTTCTAGAGAGAAATCACTTAAAATCTTACCCCCTCAAGACTTAGGCTATACAATTATAAAGTCTTCAAACAGGAAATACTAAAGACATCTTGAGCCTAGGGAAAGAAGTGGGAGACATATAAAAAGTGTCCAAGCAGCCCCTGAATTCCCCTCTGAGGAATGCATGAAGGAAGGGAATCCTTTTTCAGTGGGGATCAAGAGTAAAGAGACCCTTTCTGAGGACCATGAGTCCAGTAGAAAGTATAAATATCCAGTAGAAAGTATAAATATCCCAAAATTAACTGGGGAAAGAGCTGTGCTCCGCTTAGATTCACAACTTCAAAAATCCCCCAACCCAATCTCTGGAATCAGTCAGCCCTAGATATAAATCCTTACTCTTTCACTTACCACCTCTGTGACTTTGGTGAAGTCACTTAATCTCTCCATGATTCAGTCATCTTATCTTAAAAATGGCAATTGCAAGAGTACTTCTCTTAAAGAGGTAAATGATTGAATGATGATATATGTAAAGCACTTAGCACAATGCTTAGTACATAGTAAGTACTCAGTGAATAGTAGCTGTTATTAAAAAGTAAGGGTGGGCCAGGCACGGTGGCTCATGCCTGTAATCCCAGCACTTTGGGAGGCCGAGGCGGGTGAATCACGAGGTCAGGAGTTTGAGACCAGCCTGGCCAACATGGTGAAACCCTGTCTCTACAAAAGATACAAAAAAAAAAAAAAAAATAGCCGGGCATGGTGGCACGCACCTGTAATCCCAGCTACTCGGGAGGCTGAGGCAGGAGAATCGCTTGACCCCAGGAGGTGGAGGTTGCAGTGAGCCAAGATTGTGCCATTGCACTCCAGCCTGAGCGACAGGGCAAGACTCTGTCTCAAAAAAAAAAAAAAAGGAGAGGCTTCTAACAATCCCCAAAGTCTCTGCTACAAGCCCATAGTATAGGTTTGGACTAGGTAGCTAAATCTGGATCCCTTTTCTGGGTTAGGTATGCTGTTTCCATAGCATTCTGGGTAATGTTTTCTTTACTTTTTTGTCCCCACTACTGTCCCCTGACCCCCCACCCCCAAGTCCCTAGACTAACGCAGGGACTGTCTCATTTAATTTCTATTTCCACAGCTCCTGGCTCAATGCGTGGCACATGGAACACAGAGTAAACATTGATTGAACTGAAACCAACAATCCAAGTCACCGTTGGCATTCTCAATCTTGCTTTCATTTCTGGGGTAGGATTTGAATGAGGAATGATGGCTCCATACCCAAAAGAGAGGTTTCCTATCTTATAATTTGTGGTAACCATCACCAGATGTATTATTGTCCCTACTTAAAGGGTTCATTATAAAGTGCAAATTCCTGAAATCAATGTAATTTACTTTGATATAAAAGTAGAGGAGGCCTCTTGGGCTAGACCCATGTGTGGCTCCTCTATTTAAGGATGACTTTTTATTATAGGGACCCCAAGAGAATGATGACCTTCCTTGTTTTAGCTTCAACATCCCTGCATTCTCTTGAAGAATTCCTTGTTGCCTCGGTCACTATTGAAATTATCTATGCCCTTCTTGAACATATTTTTGTTTTCCAGTCTATACCACCTATTTGGGTAACAAGTTACCTGAGTTGTCTACCTGTGTACACAGTAGGCTTTAGAACGAATTTTATCATTATATTTTCTAAGCTTTAACCCATTTATGCCTAGTGTCCCATTATTGGAACGCTAAGCTTGTGGGAGTTATTTATATCCTCCTGCTCAAGGTCATCGCCAAGGTCTGATTTTTCACAAAAAAATTTGCAACCTCTGGCATCAATGGGTTAATGGATACCTTTTTGAACTAGTACTATATTTTATAAAAGTGAACAAGTACATGTGCACACTATATGTATTATTATTGCATTATGGAGCCACAGACCTCTCTGAACGGTATCTAAACCAACCACAACAACACTTTATTCAACTTAATCAGATTTTTAAGTTTCAGTTATTTTGCCAAACTGAAGTTGAAATTAGGTTGCCCAAGGGCTTTGTATTGCCAAACTGGCTGGTTAGTTGGAAGTACCCCCAGATAGTTGTACTTTTATGTCCCCATGGAACATTCATGGTCTCTTGATCAATAGAAGCAAATTTATTATGAGTTTCCCTTCCTTAAAAGGTATTTCCTTTGGTCTCTAAAGTTTGAATTAACTAGATTTTAGTGTAACCTTGCTCTTCTATGGTCAAGGGTTTATAATCGTTATACATACCTAAAGGACCATTTCACTTGTTTGCCCAAAGTGTCTAGTTCAGTGTTCTGCATGCAATGAATTCCTTTTAAGTAAGTGCCTTTTTTGGGTCTGGTTTTCTACTAGTAGTCACAGTTCAAAAGGAAAAGGGGAAAGTGCAAATTTGTTAACACTATTTCTGACTTACGTGATAACAGGGCAAAAGGGGGAGGGGTGTTATAAAAATACTCTGTGTATTGCTCTGTGTAGTCCTAGTTAGGAGGCCTGGAGAAAAAGAATGGGACTTCTTCCTCATTACAGGTTTGATTCAAACCCTTGTGTGGCTCAGAATGCCCTTGTGTTAAGGAGCAGGATTAGGCCTCTCCCCATATCAGGGGAATGGAAAAAGCCACTGTTGCACAGGGGTCCATGGTAGTGTACTAATGAGCTGCCATTTCCCAACTAGCTTATCTTCTCCTTGGTGTAGTTTAAGGCAATTTGGGATACCTTGATCCTACCTCCCTCTCTCCCTTTTTCTTCCATCTCTCTGTTTCTTCTCTTGCGCAGCTTCCACCCGCCCATCTCTGCCATCGTTGCCTGCCTACATAGTCCTTAAGCTGGCAACCACAGGCTGCTGGCCATTAGGGAGATGCATGGCTACCTCATACATATGCAGACAATGGAAAGGTTCCATAATTGAATTTAGGGAGAGAACAAGAGAGCATGAGTGAGAACAAGGGTAATACAGAGTTCTTTTTTCTCCCAAAACATACCTGAAAGTCATAAGCAGAATATGGTGGCAGGTGAGGAGGGCTATGGTAGTAGGTATTGTAGGATGCCACTTGGGGATGAGCATAGTAAGAAACTGTTGGATGGGTATTTTCAACAGAACAGTTCAGTGCTGGGAGAGTTGGGTTCTGTAGAAAAACACAAATTAGAAACAACATAAACAGTCATCACTAGGAGAATGGTTAAATAAACTTAGTACATCTATACTATGGAATACCATGCAGCTATTGATAAACAATGATGTGGACCTATTTAGAGAAGGTTGTCCAGGATATATTTTTATGTTTTAAAAGCCATTATGTTACATTAATATAACATGATCCCAATTTATGTTTTAAAAAAAGACCCCCAAAATTATACATGTATGTATGTTTGTAAATGCAAAGAAATTAACCTGGAAGGATGCATAGCAAACTATTAACTGTGGTTTATCTCTGGGGAGCAGAGTAGAATTAGGAGGTATATAGGGATTCTTAACTTTCTACTATATATGTCAAAATGTTTACAACTAATTTGTATTGTGTCATTTTCCCCAAACTTTTTAACTTGAAAAATTTAAACCTATAGAAAAGTTGAAATCATTTGTGTGATTTTTAAAAACAAGAATTAAAAAGAAAAAATAAGACTCAAAATGCAAAACATCAAATAGAGAAGGCCGAACCAGCTAGTGTTCTTGCTGTGACAGAGTGTGTTCAATCACAAAGAATTTGTAAAAGTTGTAAGGATTCTTAGAGATCCCAACCTTGCTAAGGGGGTCTCCTGAAGACATGAAGGGTATTGATTTCTCATCAGCCCTGTAGAGTAGAGGCAAAATCCTAGCAGTGCACAGAAGCCATGAAAGACCAAGAAAAATATATTGATCCCCCCACCTTTTTTTTTTTTGCAAATAAAACGATGCAGACATAATTTTATATCCTTTTCACAACATGGTGGTGTGTGTAGCCCTTCAAGGGTTAAAGCTAACCTTGTCCAGAATGGAGGCCCTGCTCTCATCAGAGCCAAAGCACTGCTAAAGGAAGTTACCACTACTCATTAGTTCCCAAGTAGGACTGTGCTTTGTGCCACATGGATCAAGGTGTGGGGTAAATGATTTTTCCATCTTCTATGTCATTGATACCTCCCCCATTCATGTGTATAATTGAGAGCTGTCTGAAAAATCAATGTGTCTTCCTTTTGGAACATAGCTACAGCACATTAACAGAGAAGCAGAAGCTTCCTCTCAAGTGATGAAAATGTGTAGGCAGGCTTTGGCAGTCACAAAGGCAACCATGTTAGGGTGTTGGCAGGGGGAAACTCCCTTCCAGCAAGTTTCAACACAGTTCTGTTGCTCTCTTCCTTGGAGTGGGTTACTGTTTACATCTCTAGGAGGTTTGAAGAGCTACAAACCTCAGTCATAATACAGCTCACAGACAGCCAGATAAATGTTTGTCAGCCTCTTTAATGTGTGAAAGAGGGCTGAGATCTTGACCATTCCAAGGGCTGGCTTGCTTTACATTTACTCAGAAATGCCCTTACCTCTCCCCCAGAATTCTTTAAAGAAATTCTGTCTCTGGGGAAGTACCAGAAATCATGTTCCCTTGGCATACTGTCAATTAAAAACACACCCTCCAGCTCTCGCAAAATGAAACCAGCTCTTCTATCTAAATAAATTAAGCCTAACTGTGGAGAAACAATCATACAATGTAAACTATATAAAAGTTTTTGTGTGTTCAGCAAGGCCAAGGGTCTAGACAATATTTGAAAGGAAGTTGACTATTTAGAGAAGGCAGCACAGAAGAAACATGAGAGTAAGATTAAATGGGTATAGGAAAGTCTCTGAAGAGAAGACAGTCAGGGGTAGAGGATATAGAGAAAATGGACAAGCCAGCAAGAGAAGGAAGAAGAGGAAATGGGGAATGGAGTGAAGACTTAGTCAGGGATGGGGCAAAAGAGATGGGCCAAAATAGTGGTCTGGTTATATTTTAAATCAATAAATCTGATTTTACAATAAATTTGGGCCCTGTTTCTATTTGTGTGCACGTATAGGAGTGTGTGTTTGTGTGTGTGTGTGTGTATGTGTATTTCTGTTAGAATTCTGGGGCTTACGTTGTGAGACGCCCGCCCTGCCCCCCCATTATTGATCAGTAGCATTCCGAGCTCCAGTAACACAAAAGGTTACTAGGTAGCACAGCAAATGGTGAAAGCAATCTTGCCTGGACAAAACTGAGTCTATTCTGAGACAATGATTGTGGACTTTGGAAAGAATGCTACTTTTTTTCCCTCTCCAGTTTACTCTAAACCAGCGATACCAATTAGGAGAAAATGGAAAGATATATTCACTTTTTAAAAATTCATCTCAAATCCTCATATCTTTGGTCAACAAGCACTTCTTCAAACATTTCTTTAAGATCTTTTTCACCAAGCACCTCTTGTCAGGGTTCCTTTCAGGATCCCACAACTTTGGAAATGGTGGTTCCTAGCTGATTCCATTGAAGACTGCCAGCTCACAGCCCTCGGCTCCTGTCCTCACTCTCTGCAAACGGCTTTCATCAGCCAGCACCCCCGGGCCTCCCTGCAGACCCCGGGGACTCTACTCAGGGAGAGGCACATCACAAGTCACCAACCACACTTGGATGTAGGCCAAGGATTGTACTTAGGCTCACCTGAATGATGTTCCTGGACTTTTTACACCATGGTCTTATTTTAATAGAGTGATCTAGGCAATGATTCCTCCTTGGTATCCTTATCTGTGCCCCCACTGGTTCTCTAATCTCATGAATCAAAGATCTTCTCCCCAGATCTTTGCTTTCATTTTTTTTCTGCCCTGGTCCTTGATAGAGTTCCCGGGATTCACATTTGATAATGCTCGGTACTTCCCTTGCTCTCCTTCCGTACTGTCAAAGAAGCTCCCAACAGGTGGAAACAACTTGCTTTTAATTTTTTAATTAAATCAACTAAACAAAGGAGGTAATATATGTTAAAACACTCATAGAACCAGAAAGGGCTACCCAAATGTTAGTCAGGGGCAGCTGGGATGAAATAGAAAGAGCAAAGGCTCTGGCATTTGGCAAATCTGGGCTCCAGTCCCAGTTCTGCTACTCAGCTCTGGGCAAGTCACTTGACCCCTCTTGGCCTGTTTCCTCACCTGTTAAACAGAGACAGTAATACCTACCTCACAAAGTAGTAATAGTGAAGATTAACTGTGCAAAAGCACTTTGCAGAGGGTTAGGGGCCATTATTGCCGCTATCAAGACAGACCATCAGCAAACCCATTTTTTCCTCAGGAGATCAAAGATAACAGTGAAATTAAGAACGCAGAAACAAATCTATATATCTGCAGTTAATTGATTTTTGACAAGGTTGCTAGGATCATAAAGTAGGGAAAGAGCAGTGTCTTCAACAGATGTGCTGGGAAAACTGGATATCCACATGAAAAAGAATGAAACTGAGCCCCTAACTTATACTAGATATAAAAATTAAATCAAAATGTTTCAAAGCCCTAAATGTAACAGCTAAAACTATAAAATTCTTAGGCAAAAATGTGGAAATCATGACCTTGAGCTTGGCAATAGATTCTTAGATATAACACTAAAAGCACAAGCAACAAAAGAAAAGATAGATAAATGACACTTCATCAAAATTAAAAACTTTTGTGCTTCAAAGGCCATTATCAAGAAAGTGAAAAGACAACTCACAGCATGGGAGGAAGTACTTGCAAATCACATATTTGATAATGCTCTAGTATCCGCTATTTATAAAGAACTCTTACAACTCAACAACAACAAAACAGATTTAAAAATGGGCAGGATTCTTGGTCAGTGGCCAGGTCTCAGCTATAGCAGGGGAGTGGAGGGTGTGGGATGCTGGGGGTGCCCAGCTCTGAAGCTCAGTGTGGGGCCCAAGACTGAGGCCCCCAGCCCTTACAGCTGCTCTGTGGGGAGCCCTGTCTGCACCTAGGGCCCTGAGCATTTGCTTAGTCACCTGGCTTGTTGAGGCAGGGGGTCCCCAGGCCGGAATCCATGGAGGGCTCTGGGCACCTCTCTCAGTACTGAGGGTGCCTCTGGGGAGCATGAGGACCCTGCAGCCCAGGCCTTGTCCTTAGGGTATGGGAAACTGAAGGTCCCATTGACTGAGGTTGGCTTTTACGCACTTGATGCACTGATACGGTTTGGATTTGTGTCCCCACCCAAGTCTCCTCTTGAACTGTAATCCCTGTAATCCCCAGGTGTTGAGGGAGAGACCTGGTGGGAGGTGATTGAATCGTGGGGGTGGTTCCTCCATGCTGCTGTTCTGATGATAGTGAATGAGTTCTCACGAGATCTGATGCTTTTATAAGGGGCTCTTCCCCCTTTGCTTCCTTCACATGCACTCTCACCTGTTGCCATGTAAGATGTGCCTGCTTCTCCTTCTGCCATGATTGTAAGTTTCCTGAGGCCTTCTCAGTCATGCAGAGCTGAGTCAATTAAACCTCTCTTCTTTATAAATTACCCAGTCTTGGGCTATTTTTTTTTTTTTTTTTTTGAGACGCAGTCTCACTCTATTGCCCAGGCTGGAGTGCAATGGCACGATCTCGGCTCACTGCAACCTCCACCTCCCAGGTTCAAGTGATTCTCCTGCCTCAGCCTCCCGAGTAGCTGGGATTACAGGCATGCACCACCATGCCCGGCTAATTTTTGTATTTTTAGTAGAGACAGCGTTTCACCATGTTGGCCAGGCTAGTTTCAAACTCCTGACCTCGTGATCTGCCCACCTCGGCCTCCTAAAGGGCTGGGATTACAGGTGTGAGCCACTGCACCCGGCCGGGCAGTTCTTTATAGCAGTGTGAGAATGGACTAATACATGCACTTTACCTGGGTTATCACATCAGCCCTCACAAGTCCACAGGTAGGTGCTACTAGTGCTGTTGTTTACAGGCTGCAGAAAATTTCAACGCTACTTTTGAAGATCAACATTAGGTAAACAAATTTGCAAGGAATATGAGTAGAATCACAGAGCTGAAGGAAGAAACAGAAGTTAAAAGGAAACAACTCCACAATTTAGAAGTTGTTTGCAATGACATCATGCTTGCAGATGATGACTGCTTAATGATACCTTATCAAATTGGTGATGTTTTCATTAGCCATTCTCAAGATGAAACACAAGAAATGTTAGAAGAAGCAAAGAAAAATTGGTAAGAAGAAACTGATGCCTTAGAATCCAGAGTGGTATCAATTCAGTGAGTGTTAGTAGATTTGAAACTTCAGTTATATACAAAATTTGGGGGTAACATAAACCTTAAAGCTAATGAAAATTAAACATTTTATAATACTTTAAAATTTTGTTTAACAATCTTGAATATTGTTTGGAAAATAAAAAAATCTGCAAAAACTTGATAGATATTTCTCCAAAGAAGATATACATACAAATTGCACACAAACATATAAAAAGATGCCCAACATCACTGGTCAGCAGGGAAGTACAAATCAAAACCACAACAAGATACCACTTTGTGCCCACTAGAATGTTTATAATTTTTTTTGAGAAAGTGTTGGTGAGGATGTGGAGAAATTGGAACCCTCACACACTGCAGGTAGGAACGTAAAATGACACAGCTGCTGTGGAAAACAGTTTGGCAGCTCCTCAAAAAGTTAAACATAGAATTACCAAATGACCCAGCAATTCCACCCATAGGTGGAAAAAGAATTGGAAGCAGGTAATCAAACAAGTACTTGTAAGTGATTGTTCATGAAGGCACTATTCTCAGTAGCTAAAACATGAAAACAACCCAAATGTATATCAATGGATAAAAAACTAAACAAAACGTGGTCTATCCATACAATGGAATATTATTCAGCCATAAAAAGAAATGAAGCACTGATATATGCTACAAGGTAGATGAATTTTAAAAACAAAAAAAATATGATAAGTGAAAGGAGCCAGACCCAGAAGTTCGAATATTGCATGATTCCATTTATAGAAAATACCTGTAATAGGTAAATCCATAGGGACAGACAGCAGATTAGGGGTTGCTGGGGCCTCAGGGAAGGGGCAACAAGGAGTGATTGTTTAATGGGTACAGGTTTCAGGTAATGAAAAAGTTCTAGAACTAGACAGAAATGATGATTGCACAACATTGTGAGTGTACTAAATGCCACTGAATTGTACACTTTGAAGTGATCAATTTTATGTTTGTGACTTCCACCTCAATTTTTTTTAAAGGGGGACAGTGAGGGAAAACGGGACTAAAGCTAAGGCTAAAAGCTTGGCAGGGTTGTGTTCCTTAGCATATCATCTTCCTATTCCTCCCTTCTTTCCAACTTCCAGAAATTTCTTGAAAGTGTCCATCTAGCCACTCTCCCTGTCTTCCTCAGATGCCCTTTGCCTTCAAAATCCAATTCTTTCCATCACCATGGAAAAGGGTCTTATCAAATCCTTCACACTGAGAGACTAGTAACTCAAAGTATAAACACCTCTGTGGCCTACTAGCCTATTCCTTTGTTTAATACACGCATCTTGAAAGTGGACAAGGAGAAAAAGGACAATGCTTATCTTAAAGTAAGGAATAAAACATGGTGGCAGTTTCAGCGCCCACAGTAGGGTAAAATTGGAGAGGGGGAAGCCTTACAGGCACCCCACAGAGCCTACCAAGTAGCTACCACCTACTCCATTTGTGCATCAAGGTATCTCTGCCATCCAAGCCTGAAAGCTCTAGGGACAATTTAGAGAACTCTTAACACTCATCCTGAGGTCCCATCTCCTCAACTCGCCAAACCTGGGAGCTTCTCTTCCAGCCAAAGCTGCTGAGATTCCACACAATACCTGTACTTTCATCTGCCCCCTGGGGAAATTCTCCAAGAACAAAGGGCATTCTTTTCTCCAAAGAAGCCCCAACCCAGAAACAGCTTTTTTTGCAGCTCTCTAACCTAAAAGCTTCCTCAAGGCCAAATTTACAGGAAATCCTTTTCCCTCCTGGGGCTCCACCTTTGTTGATGCTTCCCCTACTTGTTAGTGCTTGGGCATTCCAGAGTCTGGGGAGGGAAGCTGGGAAGAGAAATGTGCGGATGAGAGAGGGAGAGAAAGAAGAAAGAGAGAGTGCAGATGGGCAGGAAAGGATTTCTCTTGACTTAGAGTCACTAGCAGGAACACTTAATAGTTCCAGTCAGCCCAGTACTGCTGGAGACTTGCAATCCAAAACGACAGAGTTTCTTTCTTTTCCCTTGTCCTACCCCACCTTTCACTTTCCAACATTCATCCTTTTGACCGTCCAGGATCAAATTACAAACTGCCTTTCAGGTTCTGTTCTTCAGGGACCCCAAAATCTGACAGAAACAGCCAAGGGCCTAGGAGCTAATTTCTGGGGTCAAAGGAAAGTCCCTCTTAGGCACAAAATAATTCCATAAACAGATGTGGGATGTTCATTTAAAGCAGTGGTATTCAATCATGGCTGCAGATCAGAATTACCTGGGAGCTTAAAAAAAAAAAACCAAAAAACCAAAAAACAAAACCTGATGCCTGGGCTTCAGTTTAGACCAATTAAATCAGAATCTTTAGAGAAGGAGCCCAAGCATTTTTTTTTTTTTTTTTTTTTTTTTAGAGACAGGGTCTTACTCTGTCACCCAGGCTGGAGTGCAGTGGTGCAATCATGGCTTACTGCAACCTCAACCTCCTGGGCTCAAGTGATCCTCCCACTTCAGCCTCCCAAGTAGCTGGGACTACAGATATGTGCCACTACACCCAGCTAATTAAAAAAAGTTGTTTTTTCTTAATAGAGACAGGGGCTGTTGCTCAGCCTAGTCTCAAACCCCTGGGCTTAGTCAATCCTCCTGTCTTGGCCTCCCAAAGGGCTGAGATTACAAGCATGAGCCACCATGCTGGGCAGGTGATTCTTATATGAAGCCAGGTTGATAACCATAACTCAAAGCTATTATCTCCATAATTAGAGATCTAGATTTATCAAATAAACAAATAAATGCTTAGAAATGCCTTAGAAGGAAAGGAAAAAAAGAAGCCTACTATATGGAGTACCTACTGAATGCTGAGTCCTGCTGTGCCTTTGCAGACACACACACACAAATAGAAAAGATTTGGAAGGGAAGAATGGAAAGTGGGGAGGCTGAGGTTGAGGTCCAAGTTGAAGGCAAGACCTGGCAAGCAACTTAGCCTAGAGCTGGCTCTGCGAATGCAAACAGAAAAGAGCCCAGATGCTCTTTCTGAAGAAACTTCACTATGAAATACCTGGGGAGGGGAAGACTAGCATTAATCCTACCTATAGCTAGAATAACCTTTCCTTCCATCTCTCCCAAAGTTTGTTAGGGGAAAACTATTCCCAAAAAATTTTACTAAAAGTGTGGGGTGGGGCTATAAAAGACTATGTTTACATAACCAGTGCGAATGGGGGAACTGAGAACACCCCTTCCTCCTTTCACCCCCCACCCCTAGAAGGTGCCTCCAGAACACAGGTAATTTGTGTATAACAAGAAATATTTGCAGACTGATGACATTACCTGGCTCCTTCAACTTGAGACATTTGAAGGCAGCTACATCCTTGAAGCAATTGCTTCTGATTCTTCCCTTCAAAATATGTGTCTGCATTTCCCCCAACTGCCTAGCCTTCCCCCTATGTCCAACAGGGGCCACTGTGAAATGCAAAGTCAATTCTTTCCTTACCATGTCCTTAAAGCCTCCAAGGACAGCGGCAGTGATGATGCCCAGGAACAGGCCAACAATGTTGAGGATGGTGGCAGACCAGAGCAGGTGGTAGAGGTGGATGATATCTTGGCAACTGCTGACATCGATGTATTCGTAGTACCCACCAGTGATCTCCACCCGGCTGGACAGGGAGGAGCATGCTCCAGTCAGTCCCCAGGGAGCAGGCTGTCCTCCCCAGCCCCCTCCCCAACTCTGGGATTGGGCTACCATACAGCTCAGTGAAAAGACAGGTGGGCAGGTGGGGAGCTACAGTAAGAGACATCATAGCCATGTACTATAATAAATCAAAGTGTGATTGTTTATCCCCACTCCCCGAAAAAAAACTCCTACCTGCCAGAAAAATACTTGTAACCACCACTAACACTAATCCTAGATAGCACTTATTGACACTTGCTATGTACCAGGCACAGTGCTAAGCATTTCACATGTGTGAATTCATTGCATCTGTGCTGTTTAATGTGGTAGCTACTAGCCACATGTGGCTATTTAAATTTAAATTAAGTAAAATTAAGTAAAAAGAAAAATTCAGTTGGTAAGTCTCACCAGCCACATTTCAAGTGCTCAATAGTCACATGTGGCTAGTGTTTACTATACTGGACAGAGCAGGTTACAGAACATTTCCATCATTGCAGAAAGTTCTGCAAATCCTCACAGTATCCTATCAAATAGGGACTATCACCATGCACATTTTACAGATGAAGAAAGTGAAGCACAGAGAAGTTAAAGAACTTGCCCAAGTCGTAAGTGGTAGAACTGGGACCTGAATTCAGGCTTCAAAGACTTCAGTGTGTGCCCTCTCAAAACAAAACAAACAAAAAAACAAACAAATAAAAACCAATGTCCTGGTAAACAACTAAAGCTGAGTTGCTACACAAAACCTGAAAGTCGCCTCCGTGGGGAGGCCTTTCTTGACCACTCTGTCCAAAGACACCCCTTCCCAGCCCTGTCGCTCTCTATCACATTATCCGCTATGGAATGAATTTTGTCCCTCCAAATTCATGTGTTAAAGCCCTATCCCCCAATGTGACTGTATTTTTAGATAGGGCTTTTAGAAGATAATTAAAGTTAAATGAGGCCACAAGGGTGGGGTCCTAATCGGATAGGATTGGTGGCTTTATAAGAAAAGGAAGATCTCGCTCTCCTCCTCCTCCTCCTCTTTTTCCCTCCTTCTCCCCTGACTTCCCTACTCCACGCCCCTCCCCCACCCACCCCCGACCCCGACTTTCGTTCTCTCCCTCCCTACTTGAATGTGAAAGGAAAGGTCACTGTGAGCACAGAGGGGAAGTGGCACAAGCCAGGTAGAGAGCCCTCACCAGAGCTCGACCATGTTGGCACCCTGATCTTAGACTTCCAGCCTCCAGAAATGAGAGAAATAAGTACATTTCTATTGTTTAAGCCACCTGGTCTATGGTATCGTGTTATGGCAGCCCGAGCTAAGCAATACATCACCCTTTTCTAATTTCTCTGTAGCATTCATTCCCATATGAAAATAACTTACTGATGTGTCTACTACGTTATTGTCTGCCTCCCCAACTTGAACGTGAGCTCCATGAGGGCAGGAACTGGTTCATTTTGCTCACTGCTGTGCTTGACACACAGTTGGTGCTACATAAATACCTGTGGAATTAATTAAATGAAAGTTCCTGTCCTCCTGGATGTCACAAACTAGTTTACAACTTGGCCACTGGAGTTCATCACGAATCTAAAACACTTAAAGTCACAACGAAACGCCCTGGCATTAGGATGATTATTACATGTGACTCCCCTGCTATAAGAATGCAAAAAAGAAAACAGAAAAACAATCAAAGGCTGATCTCCAAAATGAATCAGAGAGGGACTATTCACATATGAAAAGACTTAAACTTTACAGATGAATTTATCTTCAGATTCTTTAAAGTCAGTGTTTCTCTAAGGAGGTGAAGTCAGTGTGGTTACAGGGCAGACTGCATCAGAATCATCTGTGTTTGTGTCTATGTGTGCCTGCCTGTTTGTATCAGTGCATTATTTGTGTGTGCCTGTGGGTGTCTCTGCGTGTATCTGTGCATGTATCTTTGAGAAAGAGAGATGGTTAAACATGCAGATTCCTAGGCCCAGCCCCAGTCCTACTGAATCTGGTAGAATCTCTGGTGATGGGGTCAAGAATCTGTGTTAACAAGTTCATCAATGTTTGAGACCCACTGTTTTTAATAGTAAGCTTCCGTAGTGGAATTTTTTAAAAAAATATTTTTTGTAGAGACAGAGTCTTACTATATTGGCCAGGCTGGTCTTGAACTCCTGGCATCAAGAGATACTCCCACATCAGCCTCCCAAAGTGCTGGGATTCCAGGTGTGAGCCACCACACTTGGCCCATAGTGGAATTTTAAGGGAGTTTCAATTAATCAGAGTTTGAATTGGATTTCAGTATTTTCAGGAGCATATCTCAAGAGCCCATGCATAAGCATACATTGTCTCCTATTAGCTGGCATTGTACTAGGCCCTGGGGACAGGGCAGGGAGGATGCACAGATTATTTACTGCCCCCAAAAACGGACAGCTGTACAAGGACTATTCTCTGAAAAGGACAGACCTGTGTGTATGGGTGAGTGTGGAACTGCAGGAGCACCTTTGTAGCTTGGGAGTCAACTTCTGACATCCCCCAAATTATGTTTGCCTGCCTCCTAAAACACCAAGGGTGGACTAGTAGTATATATAGGCAGGCAGTATGCCATAGCTGACTCTGAAGTCAGACTGTGTTCGAATCCTGGCTCTGTCATCTATGCTCTGTCACCAGATGCTGACTCTAGCAACTTACTTTCTTACTCTTAGGTTACTTACTTTACTTAACTTCTCTGAGCCCGGGGGATGTAATGCCAACAGGCATGAAAGCAGTACTCCAACATATAATAAAAGCCTCCACTAAAATATGTAGCTACATTTTGTTCCTTCTAAGAGCCAGCCTCTGGCAACACAATTCAAACCTTTGAACCCTGTTCTTAAAGGTATTAACACTTTATTTTGTTTTTTGTTTGTTTGGTTGGTTGGGTTTTTTCTTTTTCTTTTTTTTTCCTTCCTTCTTTTCTTTCCTTTTCTTTCTTTTTTTTTTTTTTTTTTTTTTTTGATGGGGTCTTGCTCTGTCACCCAGGCTGGAGTGCAGTGGTATGGTCATGGCTCACTGCAGCCTCAACCTCCTTGACTCAAGTGATCCTCCAACCTCAGCCTCCCAAGTAACTGGGACTGCAGGCTCACACTGCCATGCCCAGCTAAATTTTGTAGAGATGCGGTTCTGACATGTTGCCCAGGCTGGCCTCGAACTCCTAGGCTCAATCTATCCTCCCATTTCAGGCTCCCAAAGTCCTGGGATTACAGCCATGAGCCACTGTCCCTGGCCAGTATTAAGACTTTGTAGGCACAAACCGCAATATGGGAATAGGATAGTAGTTTGTTTTAAAATATTCAATAATTTTAGATAATATATACTTGGTTTCAGTTTGAGTGGTTCCAGCAGCCATTTAATTTTTTTTTTTCACTGAACCATGAAGGAAAAGAAAGCTAATTCTTAGATATGGTTCGGGTTTAGCAAATTAATGTGGTTTTTTTCTGCTTGAGATTCAGGATTCCATTTGGTTCAGTCTCTGGGCAGAGCTTCCTCTGAAATTGCACCTTTTGCATTCCCACTGCTCCCATCCTCATGCCTCCATCACTGTAAGGCTGTCCTGCCAGACCCCACTGCTGCCTGATTACTCTTCCTAAAACACTTTTAAAAATATGTCATTCACTTAATCAAAACCCTTCTGTGGCTCCCCAGTACCTTCAGGGGAGTGTTCAAATTCCTCAGTCTGCCAAAGTCCAGCCTCAAAATGGAGTATACACTCCAGCCAGGCTGGAGTCCACAGAAGCCCCACACTGGCTATGCTGGGTACTAATTCCAAACCTTTGCTCAGATTTCTCCCCCTGCATTGAAGGTATTGCTTTCTGTTCTCTGCCTATCCTAATCTCTCTCACTGCTCAAAGCTTCAATAGTGCCTTCTTCAAAGACGCCACTACCCATTCATTAGCTTTTTCCTTGGACTCCCATAGTCTATTCCTCTTAGTTTGGCACTTTGTATATATCAATAATTCAGTTATTTATTTAATCTAATATGTGTTGGTAGCGTATCAGTGCTAAATACTGTGCTGGTGCTAATGTTACAATCAAGGCCAAGGCCGACATGATGTTTCTGTCAAAATCGCAACCTCTTGAGGGCGAGGGTCGTCTCTTAACATTCCTTTGTGTCTCTCTCACTGCCTAGCACAGTGGTAGAAACATTAAAGGTCGTCAATAAATACTCGGTGAATGAGTAACTGAGTGCAAAGACTAATCACTGTATTGATCATGAGATTGATTACCCAATGTGGGCTTTTACCCCCTTGCTCTCAACGTTCTGGGTGGACCTAGAGAAACGGATAAGTTCTCTGTGTTTCAGTCTCCTACTTAACAAAGTAGGCAGCAGAAGATCTTAGATAAGGCAGGAGGGCATCCTTCTGCTCTTCCATAAGGGCCTGGAGCACTCACCAATTCTTGGTGGACAGGCAGTGGCAATGGCCAGCCTCTATGTGTCTCTCTCCTGCTGCATGCATTCTGCATATACGTTTAAGTCCCCTTCCCTTCAATCTCCCTGGCAAATTGAGTTCCTTAAGGGCAAAGCTGTGTCTTATTGATGCCCATTCTTTTAGAACAGCCCCTAGCACATAGTAGGAGCTCAAGAAAAGTTTGTCGAAGAAAAGAGTGAATGGAAGTAGGCTATCTTCTTTCATTTTATTACCAGCTGATGCTGTTCACAAATCACTTCATTTCCTTTAGGTTACGGGCTGAAAACCAGTGATATTGACTTGACCTTTCCAAAGATGAGTGAGTAGGTGAAAGCCTGAAGTACTCTGAAAGGCAACTGCTGAGGAGCTGTGTCCTAGAGAAAGCCACCTTCCTGCATGAGGCTAAATAGAATAATCTATGTTTGGTATTAAAACCTCAACACCCCTGACGTCAAAGAAGGCCTGTGGGTTCGAGGGGACAGTAGAGACTCTGTTTCTGTAGCACTGTACAAATGACTGCCTGATGTTTTTGTTCCCACTTTTTTTTTCTTGGCCTCCTTTCCAGGAAATGGACCGGAGGAGCTGGCAATTGATTAAAAATAGGCTTCGTGTGAGGAAAACAAATACACATTTGGCAAAATTAAAGTCTCCAAGCCTCAGAATGCTTATTGCTAGCTATATTTAGGCCTTGAGTTTAGGTCTCTTTGGCTCTGGGTGGAAAAAGCCCCAGGTCAAGAAAAAACATTTTCCTCTATTGTGGGACCCTCGCCTCTTCAGTCTCAGCCTGGGTTTATGGCCTGGTGGGACTGTTTCCTCAGGAAAAGCTAAGGAAGTCCTTTTCTAGTGGCTTTGCCCTTGGAATCTTAGCACTACAGACTTGGGAAAGGGCTTTGAGAGATGTCCGGGGCTGGCTTCCAGGCACTAGGTAGGTGAAAGACATTTCTAGGCTTGAAGATCTTTAGTAGGACTGTTCCCATGACCCCTCTCAGTTGCCTAGTCCAATATTTTATTTTCCCCAGTGAAAAGGGAGTTCTTCTTTTTGTTCCTTTTCAACAAATATCACTCCCTTTTCATCGGCTCTTTACTCATGCCCAGCCCTGTGCTGGGGCCAGGGAAGTATAGATAAGATTAAGTCATGCTCCCTGCCCTTGGGGAGTGCATAGTTTAGCACAGCTCCTCATAAAATTCCTTGAAGACTCTTCTGGTATAACTTGCTTTAAGAAAGTAAGGAAGTCAATTTTTATGAAGTTCAGATTGACAGGAACATAGAATGGACTTGAGCCTCCACTTTCAAAAACAATTCACCTGAGGACTCAGCTAAATGGAATTTAAAGTAGGGTTTTGTGTATTCAAACCTTTTTCAGAAACACACTGTCACAGAGAGAAAGGTGTGTCTGCAAGGAATCACTTATCAACCCTCTCAGTGGGCCTCCTCTCTCCTTGAGATCTCAGGCCCAGTTCTGGCCAGCTCCCAGCACCACCCTAGGAGGCCATGAAATGGGAAAGGAGAGGAGAGCACCAAGGAAAATGGAGAAGGATGGCAGGAGGAGGGAGAGAAGAGGGAGGAGATAAAAACAAAGGGAAAGACAGATCGGGGAAGGAAGGATGAGGGGAGGCAAGAGGAAAGATAGTAAAATAACCCCAATTCCCCTAGGACCCGTGTTACATTTCTTTGATCATTTTTGTAAGGATGGGCTGAGGAAGTACAGTTATAGCCAGCTCTCCATCATTGCTGCTAAGGAGGGAAGTCCTTTACAAGTGATGGTTATTATTACAACATAAATAATTGAACTCCCCAGATAATCCCTAAACCTCATTTGAATCTGTAAATTTCTCTTCCTCCACTGCCAAACCTTTCAATGAAACAAGACTGGCACAAGCAAAGAAGGTAAAGAGCTGGTGTATGGTCTCTGCCTTCTCCTCCCTGACTCTAGTCTGGCAAGTCTTAATCCTTAAACCAGAGTAACTGACCCCAAAATACCGACAGTAGGGAATGTGAGTGATGAGGGGGCTGCATCCACTTGCTGCCTCTGAATCTAGCTCCATCCAGCCCCACTCTGCAGGTTCCTCCCCTTACTCCCTCCCTCCCGTGGCCCTCAGTTCGCCTTCACTAAGATTCTGAAGGAAATACGTGCATGACGAACATTGGTCGACATACCCTGCATGGAGAGGTGTTCACTCACTGTGCACATCACCTACTCACACATCCCTATTGATTCTACCTTCTAAATTGCTCTTAAAATGATTCCCCGCTTTGCATTGTCTCCAACTTGATCTAGGCTCCATTCTCTATGGCCTGCGCTCTTGCAATGGCCTCCTAGCTGCCTCCATTCCTCAACCACTCAATTCCATCTTCCATGCTGTACCCTTCAATGGCCCCCAGTTGCCTACAGGGTCAAGTCTGAAGTCATTCCTATGGCCAATGAGCTCTCTATCATCTGATCTCTGGCTACACCTCTGTCTTACCTCCTACCACACCTTCTGTAACTACCTCCACCCACTACCTCTTCACAACTACCAGGAATATCCTTCCCACCTCTGTCTTCTTTTGGTTTGTCTCCTGATTCCCTACTTATTCTGTAAGTCTCAGCTCCCATATCACCTACTCTTTGACACTTTTCCCTCCCGGCAAACTCTGACTTTCATTCATTGGGCCTCCAGAATCCCCACCACATCCACTGATCCCCACTGCACTTATCACATTATATTGCAATCGATTGTTCACATGTCCATCCTCTTTACTAGTCTACGAGCTCTTCAGTGGCAATCTCTGTATTCCTAGCGCCCAAATATATTTTGAAAGAAAGAATAAAGGATGTTTTAGCAATTTGGAGTGCACAGAGCCAGAGTGGCTGTAGCAGAACCAGCACCAAAACTGCTCCTGCCTCAGAACCTTTGCACTTGCTATTCCCTCTGCTTGAAGCACTCTTTCTCCAGGTATCTACCTGGGTTGCCCACCCACCCCCAACTACTTTCAGGTCTGCACAAATGTCACCTGCTCAAAGAGGCCTTCCCTGGCTACTCTATCTAACATACAGTGTGCGTGCATGTGCACGTGCACGCACACACACACACACACACACCCCTCATCACTATCTACCTCTCCTGCTTCATTTTTCTTCAGAGCTCTGATCACCACCTGGCATTATATTATATATTTCTGTATTTGTTGACTGTCTCCCCTACTAGAATATAAGCTCCACAGGGGAAAGGACTTCTGTTTTGTTGGCTGCTGAACCTTCAGTGTCTAGAACAGAGCCAGGCACCGAGAAGGTACTCAGTAACTATTTATTGAACATTGTTAAACTTGGATATAGACAGAGCTGAGTTTGAATCCTATACATATTATTTTCAAGTTCTGTGTAACCTTGGGCTAGTTGTCTGTTTCCTTTGAACTTCACTCTCCTCATCTATAAAATGAGGATTACTCTGCATACATCATAAGTAAGAATTAAATGAGATCAAGTATGTGAAAGTACCTAGCATGATGCCTGGCACAGAGAAGGCAAGTAATGTCTGTTAGCCAAAATCTGTTAACAGATCAATGTCTTCCACTTCCCTAATTCCCACAATGCACCCTTCCTTAACCTCAGCCCTTCTAGTGTCCGTTGTGGTCAGACCATTATTCCTGTGTCTGGGCCTCAACACTTACTTGCCACAGTTGTAGAGGTCACAGCAGAAGCAGGTGTTGCCCCGGATGCGAGGTGTGCAGAATTCACGGCTGAGGTGAGGGCAGTTAACCTGACGGTATATAACAGTGAGGAGATGAGCTGGCATTGGATAGGAAGCAGGACCCTCTGGGATTGGAAATGCGAGTTAGTGACTGATGGAGACAGTAAGGATGGCTTTGAAATGAACACCCAATGTGTGGGAAGGATGGGGCTGGATGGGGAGCTGGCCGAACTTGTGCATGAGGCAAGTCACTGTGTAGCTGGGCTCATGTCCAGCCTCTGCCACAGCCCTCAGTGCCCCATCCCTGAATGGTGGAGATGGAGAGAAGGAAGGACAGATGGAAGGACAGACGGAAGAACAAATGGACTGAAGGAAATGAGAATATGAGGGCAGGCAAAATCAGGGTACAGGAGGAAAGAAGATAAGGTGGGAAGGAAGACAGAGGAGCCGGCGCATGCACTCTGAAGTACAATAGTACCTCTCTAGCTGCCTGGGTAAGGTTCCTCATAACCCTCGTGGAAGGAGAATTTTTGGTTGAGGAACTTATGACCTTATGTAGGAAAAATAGGGTTAGGGGGACCAGGGTTACAAGTGAACCTATGGAAGTCATTATTAATATTTTTACAGTCACCAAATTAACGCAAGAAAGCTATCACAACAAAATCTAGAGAACAGCAATGACATTTTACACATTTTGAGTTAGCAAAAAGGTTTTAAAAACGGAAAAGAATTTCATTTACCATCTCTTGTTAGCAAGAAATTGTCCAGCTCTCTCCCCCATCCAGATGCAATGAAGTGCTGCTAAATTTGTCTTGCTTTGTTATAGAGAATATTCATAGCAAATGGGCATTTTTTTCTATATTGGGTCCTTCATCCAAATGCTTACTGCCTTTCAGATAAGCTGTTATCATATATGCATTTCTATTCCTCCTATCTAACCTGAGAACAGTGAGAGAAATAGTAAATTTATGGTTGTTAAAAGAAAAAGGAGTCAAGTGGATGGCAGAGACATAATCAAAGTATTTGCCATGGTGCCTTTGGAGCAGGACTGCTTTGCCTTACTCCAAGGGCACCCATTCACATTGTATTTTATGTAAAATGGCTTCCCCTGAAGCTGTGCAATGCAGTGGCCATTTTACATCCAATTGCCTTCCTTTTCTCTTCCCAACTGAAAGTTTACCATTTTTCTAACTATTTGGGAATGATTGACTTTCAATGTGAGGTTAATAGAGTACAAAATTGTCAAGATTCCTGGAAGCCTAGGTACAGTTTCATATGGAGAAATCCCTGGGTTGGGAAGGGATTATTGTATACTGAAATGAAAGCTCTCCAAAAATGACCTGGAGTCATACTTTGCCTCACTACGCATTGCATCTAGCTCTGCTTGAGGCAACATGGAACATAAGGAGAGCTGTTTGGGGCAGAAGAGAGACTCATCTGTGCATGCTCAAGCATTATTAGGCTGGCCTCTTGGAGGTGTTATGAGAGGGGCCAGGCTGACAGTCCCAGCCTCCCCAGAGCATAAAGGTGGATCTGGCTTCTCAGTTACCCTCATTTGGCTTCCAGACCCATCCTATGTGTGGAACTCAGGCTCTGCCTCCGTAGTTCAGGCCTAGTGCCCTGGTGGGGCTTCCACTTTTATTCCAACTGAGCACTGAGTTCAGGCAACTGAACCATCATCCACAGAGATGGGGGAGGGTCATGTCCTGTGGCCTCTGTACTCTCATTTGTCCCCCTGAGGATCAAAGCCACATATGGGGAGGCTCCCGGCTGGGGTCAGAGGGTCAGCCTGTGGCCACAGAACAAAGTAAAACTGATTAGGCCTCATGAGGCTCCAACCTATGACCATGGCCTCATTAGCAATGTGCTCTGACCCACTGAACAAATCAGCTATACATACCTAGAAATAAAACTTAGGCCCATGAAAAGGAGTAAAAGAAAGGGTGTTTCAGGCAGAACAGGGGACTTTCCCAGGAGGTAAAGACATGCAGCCTCATTCTGGCTCACCTCCTCAGCTTCCTTCTGTGATGTCTTGGGAACATAATGGCACCGGTTAGCGTAGAGTGGTTTCAGATCCTGAAAAGGGAAACACCAAAACAAAGGGGTTTTGACTTTGGAAAATAAAACAGCAAGTGTTGTACTTGGTAATAAAAGGTTTGAATACACACACACACACACACACACACACACAGAAGCAGGCAGGCAGTAGATTGGGTTAATTTCTGAAAGTCACCTGTCTAGGGAGACTGAGTGAAGATTAGACAAAAATACTTTAAAAATTACTTTCTATTAGACTACTTGGTTAATGAGAAATTATGAAACTGATTGAGAAATGGGCTTCTTGAAATTTCCTCTCTGGTTTTCTTTTACTTCTGGCCTTTGTCTTCTTGTAAACAGTCCTCAGGGAACAAGATGCAAAACTCCAGGTTATTATGAAATGACACTTTCAAGCAGAGAGAGCTCAAGTCCAACAATGAGGTTTCATTATCACCTGGGGACAGGACTATGGTTGGCTGACTTGTACCTCTTGCTGTCATTTCCGCATCATTTTCAGAAGGAAGAGCTCAGGAAGCAAGCCTCAGGAGGAGGGGCAGCTCCTGAGGCTGCTGTAGATTTTAACTCAATTGAACTGTGAGCCATTTTCACCCAACTGCATAGATTAGATAAAATCAGTGAACTCCAAAAACACTGTTCAAGTCTCAGAAAACTAACATGGGGCTCAAGGACAGTCGATTTACTCTGCTGGCTTGGCCAGCTTCCTGATGAGAGAGAGCTCTCATGCATGGGGGTTGGGGTAGAACCAATAGACACAAGCCAGGGCTGCCTGGAAGCTTGCAGGCAGGAGCTGCTGTTCACTTTCCGGACTGATGCTAAACCTCCCCTGAGTGGTAGGGGGCTTCTTCCAAAGGCACCTTAGGACAGGACAAACAACTTATGCAAATTGACCTTGGGGTTTGGCAGAAGTACCCAGGCAGAGGGAATTTATGTATTGTCTCCTTCCCTTCTGCCCCCACTTCTTTCACCATTTACGATCATCTCAGTGGCTGCTTTTCCCCACACATGTGATTTAGCGTCTTTTGTACTTGGCACTCAAATGCCTCCTGCCTTTTAGCCGGCCTCCCCATTAAGGTTCTAGGACTTTCCATCAGCTAGCTACTTCTACATGAAACTCCTGCCTGCTCAATGTTCTGAAAGTACCTTGCCCTGTTAGCTTAGCTTGGAGTCTAGCTGGAAAGGAATGAGGGTGTTCATGCTCACACCTGGAAGGGCTTATTGTCCATGTTTGGTGTTTGGGTAGTGGCAGAATAATTATCATAATTATCCTGCTGAAGAGGAGGCTTAATGTGCTGGTCACAGCCCTTCTCACCTCCTGGTTTTGCAAAAAGCATTCAGGCACCAAGTGCCCTACATGAAGACAGACGTGTGATAGTTGCCCATTTGCTGCCTCTGGCTGATACTCTTCATTGAGGCCCAGAAGAGTAACAAGAACAAGGCAATTGGGAGGCAAGAAAAGGTCACTCAGCCAGGGCTTGGCAACCTCTGTAATCTGAAGGGCTACCAACTATGGCATGAAGGGGTAGAAAAGGAAATTGTTTTATGTTGAGTGTCTGCTCTATGCCAGGCCCTCTTAGGGCATATCCATTCCCATTATTTAATTTCACGTTCATGCTAACCCTGAAAGGTAGGTTACTACTATATCCATTTAGAAGAAAAGAAAACTATGGTACAAGAAGGTAAAGTGATTTTCCAAGCTAGTTAATGGCTATACTAGGGAGAGGGGAAAGGAAAGAAATATGAGACAAAAGAGAAATGGCACAAGACACATAGAGAAGGGTGAGTGAGAAGGTGGTAGGTCTTGAGAGGAAGTTCAGATTCACCCAAGTCAAAGGAACAGGGAAAGATGATGTTAAAGGGCCTCAACAATAGGACAGCTGGCTCTCACCCATCCAAGCTGTGCTAGGGTCCAAATGTGCCTTTCATTTAAGTTGGCCAACAGATACCATCATAGATTAATAAAGCCTCCTTCCTCAAAGCTCTCTGGGTGTCAATGAGGACTAGCCAATGTCTTAGGGCAGGTATAGTATAAGCAGAAAGATTTTCTTAAATATTCATCCAGTCGTACCCCCAAATACTTGAGTCAAATGCTGTACTGCAGGTCACCAGCAGCAGGAGGTACAGAGGGCCTGGACTCAGAGGCAAGTAGTGGTCATTAGAGGAAACTTCCAGTAAATATAATTTGAATTTTTGCCCATTGCCTTTGACTGGAGCCAATGATCAAAAACATTGGAATGTCAGGAAAATGCAAATCAAAACCATAATGAGATACTGCTTCATACCCACTAGGATGGCTGGAATCAAAAAGTCAGATAATAATGAGAGTTGATGAGTATGTAGCAAAATCAAACCCATCAAACACTCTGGTGGGAATGTAAAATAGTGCAGCCACTTTGGAAAATACTCTGGCAGTTCCTCAAACAAATAAACATACTTACTATATGATCCAGCAGTTATACTCTTAGGTAGAAAGAAAATGAAAATGAAAATGAAAACATATATCCATGCATAAATTTGTACATAAATGTTTACAGTAGAATTATTCATAATAACCAAAAAGTGGAAACAACTCAAATGTACACCAACTAGTGAACGGACAAAGAAAATGTGGTATACCCATACAACGGAATGTTATTAGTCCATAAAACGGAATGAAGTACTTGATACAACATGAACGAATCTTGAAAACATTATACTAACTGAAAGAAACCAATCACAAGAGAATATATATATTATATTATTCTATTAATATGAAATGTCTAGAATAGGGATACCTTACACAAAGAAAGTATATTAGTGGTTGCTTGGGTCTGGGGAGAATGTGGGAATGTGGAGGTGAAAGCTAAAGGGTATGGGATTTCTTTTCAAGATGATGAAAATCTAAAATTGACTGTGGTGATGGTTGCACATAAATAACTGATACATACTAAATATATTAAAAATCATTGAATTATACACATTAAATGGGTGAATTGTATGGGATGTGAATTATATCTCAATAAAGCTATTAAACAACATTAGGAATGAGGGGAAGAGGGGAAAAAAGGAAGCCATTTTAGCTCATGCTGCCATCAAAATCTACTGCAGGCTTCTTAGCCACTAGGCCTATGTTGCCATGGAGACTGCCTCAGAGTGAATACTGTTTGTCAAATGGGGATAATAATGCCTGCCCTATATATATCACAGGATTACTGTGGGTTTCAAATGAGGTAATAGATGTGAAGTCACATTGAAAAGCTAAATGCACTACACAAAACAAGGAATTATTGTTATTAAGATGGCTTCTGTTGAATACAAAATAGTATGCATACTATGATTGACTGCAACTATGCTACAAAAATAGGTATATACTCAGCAGCTAATATGCAAAAACAATAAAAATTGTCAAGTTAGGGTGGTAGAATTATGGATGTTTAAAGTTACTGATGTGTCATTTGCTTTATAAGAAGAAAAAGATGATGAAAAAGATGGCTGATCTCAGCTAAAATCAGAAGGGATGGATCTGGTAGAGGGGCCTACATTTATATTCCTGGTCCTGAAAGAAAATCAGGCAAAGGGCCTTTCTCTGGCATTCCTTGTTTTTCTCCTTGCCCAGGAATTGTTTCTTCAGATGCCATTTCATAGACTATTTGGGTGACGGCATTGACCATAAGTCATGTGGCTTCTTGGTGCTCTCTCTCTACCCCGTTGCCCCCAATACTAGTTCTAAGCAATTCCCCTGATCCTTTGCCTTCTCAAATCTTACCCACGTGTCAAAGGCCTAGCTCCAGCCCTACCACCACTGAATGCCTTCTCTGACCTCTGGAATCCAAGATAAGCCACTATGGCACTTGGAGTTTGTTCCCCCAGCTTAGACCTCATTCTCTAGATGTCCGCGTGTCCATTGGTGTCTTCACCTTGACTGCCAACTCCTTGAGAAAAGGGACTGTGTCTTCTCCCTCTCATGTAACCCTCATGACACTAAGCAAAGGACTGAACATCGAGCACACATTCAGTGGGGCCTTGTTGTATTGCCTATTTACTTTAACTCAGGACGAAAAAATACTCACAATGTGTCTGGCAGCAAAGACCCCGTCAACTATGGCACAACAAAAAGCCGCAATCACACCAAAGCTGATAAACACGATAGAAGCCACCAGCTGTAGGGGGGAATAAAACAAAAGCGTCTGTTAGCCTTTCGCACTTGCTGCCTCTGGGGACCAGGCAATCCCCAAGAGACTTCCAGCCAAAGCAGAACTCTAGCCTACCACCCCATGGGAATGCTCTTTTTGGTCATGCAGGATGAGTGGAAGGGAGGTAGGCAGGGGAGGCAGAGAATGGGCAACTGAAGCAATTTTTACATTTTCAGGGAAAGCTAAGAAATTCACTCTGTGAGCACCAAATGAAGAGGAGGCTTGCTGGTATCTAGCATGCTGTCCATGAAGGAATTTGACTGCACGGCCCTTCCATCCTTGGACTCAGAAATAATGTTGGACTTTTGACATTAGGTAGTTCAATCCTCTATTTTATTTATGTAGAAATGGAGGCACAGTGAGGGGAAATGGTGTGCCCAGGGTCTCCATCTAGTCTGTGGAAAAGCCTGGTGCTCACCAACTCCTAATCCAGTGTTCTTTTTACCCCCTCACACTGCTACTTGATGCTATAGTGGGCACTGATGAAGGCAATGATGATTCCGGGGTCCTGCAAAACTTTACATGACCTTCTGCAACACTGAAGAAACAGGACATTCAACTTAAGACTTACATGTCAAGGACATTTTACAAAGGATTGAAGTCTCTGAATCAACGTTGTATGATACATATTTTTAAAATTTTTAAATTTTTTTAGAGACAGGTCTCCTATGTTGCCTAGAGTGGTCTCAAACTCCTGAGAACAGCAATCCTCCTGCCTCAGCCTCCCAAAGTGCTGGAATTACAAGTGTGAGCCACTATGCACAGCCAGTATGGTACATATAAAAACTTTCAAGTAAGACAAATGTTTGCTAGAACCAGGCTACCCTATTCTCTAATTGTGTTAGATAACAGAAATTTTCCTAATAATTTGTCTACTATTACAAAGATGCTACTACAACCAAATGTGGGGGAAAATAGGAATTTCAAGGCTTTTCCAGGGGCAGAGATAGATGCTACCTGAGCTGACCGCCTGCCTGTGTTGACCCTCAGAACTAGATGGAATCAGCACTTTTTTTCCCTGAGGTTTTTGGAAGAAAAGAGGGGGAGATCACATGGCATCAAGCTGCTCTCCAGGGAGAAGGAGAAAATCAAAATCAAGGCCACCCAGGGCGCAGTGGATCACGCCTGTAATCCCAGTACTTTGGGAGGCTGGGGCGGGTGGATCACTTGAGGTCAGGAGCTCAAGACCAGCCTGGCCAACATGGTAAAACCTCATCTCTACTAAAAATACAAAAAATTAGCCAGGCATGGTGATATGCACCTGTAATCCCAGCTACTCGGGAGGCTGAGGCAGGAGAGTGGCTTGAACCCGGGAGACAGAGGTTGCAGTGAGCCGAGATGGTGCCACTCCACTCCAGCCTGGGCGACAGAGCAAGACTCCATCTCGAAAAAAAAAAAATCAAGGCCACCCTAGGGTTCTCCCACCTCAACAGGCTAGGAGGAAATACTTATCTCCTTTGGGAGTTGTTCAGAAACCTCTCCCCATAATTCTCACTTTATAGTGTTACAGAGAATTGGTAAATAATGTATGAACAATGTCATGAAATTGACATTATTAGCTATGCTATGATCAGCTCTACAATTAAAATTCCCCCATTATTTTGAATAATTTAAGCCTAAAGTGCAAACACAACTGGCAAGGAGGCAGCCCAGGTGAAATGGAAGAAAAAAACTATTAGAACTCCCTTGAGGGTGATTCCCCATATCGCTGGGGGAAAACATATGGTTAGAGTTCTCTGTCCTTGGAGCTATTACGTTATCTGATTAAACTTGCTGTGAAATAGACCCCATTGTCAAAGTTTCAGTGCCACAGAGACTGTACAGGGGGAGCCCAATCACCATCTGACCACTCACCAGGCATCTTGATTTACAACTCTATAAAACTGCAATATGCTTGCAATTCAGTCTATATCTTCTACCTTTACCCTTGAGGGAGCCTTTTCAGATTGAACCAGGAAAGTATAACAGCTTGCCCTTGTGGGCCCCTGTTAAGACATAGAAGCTTCACCTTCTGTTATATGCTTGTCCTTCCTTTCAATCTTACAACATGCTTAGCTTTGAACTATGGGTAATGGAGATACTTTAGGATGGCTTTATAATTTTATTTTATCTTTTTTTGTGTGTGCCACAAGTACACTTGCTCATTAAATCAAAGTCTGCTATATTGTAATCTCCTAAAAGGCAGGAACTCTCTGTGAAAACTTGCCCAAAAGATTATGTATCAGAGAGAAAGATGTGACGGCCACCAATAATCCAGGGCTGTAGTAACAGAAATGTAAGCAAAAGCATTCTAGGTGAGGACCATAGCCTGATTGGATAGGTTGGAGCACTCCTTTGGGAGTAAGGAGGAAAGCAAAGGGCAAGATCCAGAATATTCTATCCCTTTGGCATAAGGAATCTAGCTAGGCCAGTGAGGGAGCATCAAGCAAGATGAGAACCAATCCCATATCACAGGGTCACAGTAAAACACATTCCCTAGAGGTTTAGGAGAAACGGCAAAGTAGCAGTTCCTTTTATGACCAAATCACACAAACTTAAGAAATGTGTTACTTATCCACATAAATGTTGTGCTTTTTTAGAGGAAGAACTTGACTCTATAAGGGATGAAAACTTACCATCTGCCTTTTGTTCTCAATAAGGTTTGATCCAATGATTCCAAGGAACGATCCAAAGCCGAGCTGCAAAGCAATATGGCATACATAGTATGTGGGATGACAGTCAGGCTGACCACACAATCATTCCAGCCCCTTCATATGATTCAGGATAAAAGAAAAAACTGGGCCGGGCGCGGTGGCTCACGCCTGTAATCCCAGCACTTTGGGAGGCCGAGGCGGGCGGATCACGAGGTCAGGAGATCGAGACCATCCCGGCTAAAACGGTGAAACCCCGTCTCTACTAAAAATACAAAAAATTAGCCGGGCGTAGTGGCGGGCGCCTGTAGTCCCAGCTACTTGGGAGGCTGAGGCAGGAGAATGGCGTGAACCCGGGAGGCGGAGCTTGCAGTGAGCCGAGATCCTGCCACTGCACTCCAGCCTGGGCGACAGAGCGAGACTCCGTCTCAAAAAAAAAAAAAAAAAGGTATTGGTGCTAAAGCCACATGCAGCTGTTACTTACACAAATACAGCATGTACAATAAAAGTATTTTTCCCACCATTTGCCAGTTTTCCCTTGTAGCTATGAATCATACCTAAGAAGAAACTTATGTGCCCAAAAACTAAAAGTAAAGGTCAACCATAGCTTTCAGAGCCTGCCTATTTCAATTGCAATATCTATTACCTAGCATGTGACTGGTGAGTCAGTAAGAGACATATAATGATGAAAAGCACACATTATATTTTTATTTTTATCTTTTTTTTGAAAAAGACCTTCCACTTTGATGTATAGATCACAAAATAAAGGTTTGCAAAAGCAATTTTGATGCATCTGGCATACCAATCCAACTCAGGAAGTACTTTAGAAATCAGGAAGCACCTTAACCCACACTAAAAAATTTTTTTAAAAATCTTTTTTTTTGAAAGCCTGTATTTGTGGTTGACCCACTGCAATTTATGTTAGCACTTATTCACCCCTTCTTCCATCCCTGCTTCATTTATGGACAGAAAGCATTCATTAAAGGGTGAACAGAAATGGCAGTGTAAAACCCTAAAAACAATTTTCCTGTCTAAGTGGCTGAGATTATGGCTTGGTATAACAGATCTCACTGCCCTCTCAGCTCTGCCATTAGAAGACTGAGTCTGCCAGTCTTAGATGAAAATGATCACTAACTGATAGCTGTTGATGGGGATGAAAGTGGAAGAAGTAAAAAGTGGTGAGAACGGACCAATAAATCTTAACACAAGTTCAGTGATGAAGTTACTTTTCTCTTTAGCCTCACTAATGGTCTGGGTTTCCATCTGCAGCCTTACTTTGGCTCACAGGGACATCTATTTCAATTTGAGACCCCCAAGCCTTGCACCTAGGTTTGGGAATCTAAGAGACCCAAGGGCTGGGCAGGAGCTTGGTAGGGCAGTGTAGGGGGACTGGGTGGCTGTCTCAGACCCCAAGAATGAGAGAATGAATGGAAGGAATGAATGTAAATCTCCAGGACTCCTTGTGCAGGGCCACTCAGACAGCAATGTCTCTTGGGAAACAGATGCTGCAGTGCATGAGGGTAATATCCAAGACTCTACTGAGAACATCCTCATTCAACAGTCAAGCAATGCCTGTCTCCCACCTGGTCTTATTTCAGATATAATTAAAATATGTTGCCATAAAATATACTGATTAAAACTTAGTTATCACACTAGCCTGGCTTCCAACCCCAGCTCTTCTATGTCTGTGTAACCTTGAACAAACTGGTTAAGCTCTCTAAACCTCAATTTTCTTATATTGTAAAAATAGGAACCACAGTAGTGACTACCTTATAGGGCTTTTGTGAGAATTAACCAGGATAATACATTCAAAGAACTTTGCACAGCACCTGGTACACAGTAAGTACTCAGTAAATATTACTTTTTTCTAGTGATTATTATTATTTTTACAGCCATTTAACTTTTGAGCCACTCTAACCTGACTTGAGCTGGAAAATCTTATAATTATGTGCTCTATTTTGTGCTAAGAGAATTTCCTTGTTCCATCTTGTCTCCCCCTCTGATGTTCCACGGCTTCTATTTTTTAGGAGAAAATCCATGAATAGTCTCTCCTTTTGGCACTCTGGGCCACTTGTTGAGTTGAGAGAAATTTGGAGGCAGCTTCTTACGGGAAAAATAAGTCCTTTTACTTAACAATTCATCAGCTTCCAAAGGTATTCGCAGAATGTCTCCTGAATCGTGATAGCAGTCTTTGTCCTAAGACAGGAAGCAAAGACACTCTCTATTCCTCATATTCTCTCATGGCAAATAACTCTCTGATGGCAGTGACCAGAAGAGGTGGGTGGAAGTCTTGTGGAATTGTCTGGAAAGACAAGGCACTCCAGAACTGGAAATCCCAGGCCAGCCAGTTACTTCATCCAGTTATCTCCCCTTCTCCTCTATTCTATTCTATTCTATTCTATTCTATTCTATTCTATTCTATTCTATTCTATTCCACTCCAATGCATTCAGTTTTCTGACGTTCACTACTAGCTTTATGTCAGATGAATAAGAAGACATGGCTACTGTCCTCCAAGAGCTCACGGTCTAGTAAGGGAGAGACAGACTGGGTTAAGGACCACAGACCAGGTAAAAACAAAGTGCTATAGGAGCAGGGAATAATTCACGCAGCCAGGAATATAATATATATATATTATATTATAATATAATATATATTATAATATAATATATATTATATTTAATATATATATTAAATATATTTAGGTAAATAAATTTAATATATATTAAATATATTATATTATATTATATTATATATTATATATATTAAATATATTATATATCATATATAATATATATGATATATAATATATATCATATATAATATATATGATATATAATATATATCATATATAATATATAATATATTATATATCATATATATTATATATGATATATATAATATTATATATATATTATATATAATATTATATATATAATATTATATATATATTATATATAATATATAATATTATATATATTATATATATATTATATATAATATATAATATTATATATATTATATATATATAATATATAATATATAATATAATATATATAATATTATATATATTATATTATATTATAATATATATAATATTATATATATTATATTATATTATAATATATAATATTATATATATTATATTATATTATAATATATATATTATATATAATATAATATATTCCTGGCTCTGCTACTTATAAACTCTGTGCCCTTGGCCCAATTCCTTAACCACTCTGTGCTTTGGTTTCATCATCTATAAAATGGGAATCATAATAGAGCCTGCCATACAGGGTTGCTTTGAGGATTATATGAGATGAAGTATGTAGTGTGATTTGCATAAGGTAGGCTGCTAAATAAATGGTAGTGCTAAGGTTTCATAGAGGAGGAGACATTTTTGTATGCGCTCAAAAGATGGATTAGAGCTCAGCAGGCAGGGAACTAATACGTATTGAGTCATGGCTGGAAGAATTCACTTACCTGGATGACAGGTTAATGAACTCACCAGTGTTGCTAAAACAATCTTCCATTTCAAAAGCATTTTAAGTTAAAGAAGCACTTGCCCCCTACTTTGGTCACAGGAATACTATGGAGTTTGGTGGAATTCATATCATTCCCATTTGATAGACAGGAAAATGAAGGCATAGATAATTGTAAAGATGTATGCCCTCTTATAGCAAGTTAATGGTAGGTCTGGGACTAGCTCTCGGGTCCCCTGAATAACAGCTTGAGTTCTTTTAGCCACACCTCGCTGCATTTGTGACCAGTGCTAGTAGAATTGTGACCTCCAAGCAACAAGGACTTCATTGTTGCCCCCTAGAGAAGAAGTTCTCTGCAAGGATGGAGTGAGAAGTCTTATTTGCGGAAGAGCTGAGGGGTTGAAAATAAAGAAGGGAAAACCAACAGTTTCCTTAAAATGGACAGCTGCTTCTAAACAATTGCTTGCTCCCCTGAGACCTCAGAAAGGTAAGCTCTGTGGTCTCCCCTCAAGAGCTTCATGGAATCATGTAATGTTCAGACCTTTGGACCTCCATCTTGATTCCCCATTACCTGAACAAATAACTAGTTTGCTTTGTTTTGGCTGTCCTCCACTTGTGGAAAAAAAAAAAAGACAGATGATTAGATATCAAAGTCAGATTCAAGGGCTTTTTTGAGGCTGGACTCTTGTCACCTATGCCTGTTCCCATTCACTGTCCCAGACATCTAGGACAAAGGCTAAAAAAATTAGTCATTAGGTAAATATTAATTGGACATCTACTCTGGCTGGCAGTGTGTTCGATCTGTAATTTGGAGGCCAGGAGGTGGGATGGGGTATGATCAAGACCACTCAGGCTAAAGGAGCTCATACTACAATTAGGTAAACCAGTCCACAATCCCTTTCCATAATCCTGAAATCCACAAAGTTCTTAAAATAAAAAAGTGTTTTTTTTTCTTGAATGTAACTAACTTGGTGGCAAAACCTGATCTTGAACTGATGTGAGGTTATATTATCATCTTTATCTCACTTAGTTTAAAAATCCATGTTTTATTATAGAAACATGAGGTGCTTGATTATGGGATGCTTCTCAAGGCTCTACTTGGTTGTTAGATAATATGTGGTATATGTATTGTATAATTTTTCTAAAATAAGAAGTCTAAATTCTGAATCCCATCTGACCCAAGGGTTCAGAGAAGGGATTGAGGGCCTATATAAACAAAGCTAAATGAGAATATAGCCCAACAGATGCCACAAAGCAGGACACAAGTGTTTTCCAGCAACCATGAATAGGAGGAATCTACAGTAGGGAGTTCAAAGATGTAGACACCACTGTGGACCTCAGTATTTGAGACATGTTTCTGCTGTGTTTTTAAGTTGGGATAGAACAGAGCACCTAGAGAGAGAGAGAGAGAGAGAGAGAGAGATCAGGGAGGATATTCTAGGCATGAGGAAAAAATGTTATGACGGCCCCAAGGCAGAAAAGCCCAAGTCGTGTTCAGAGGACTGTGAATTGGCAATTTTTGCAAAAGAGAAGTAATGAGAGACTAGGCTGAGGGCATCTATGGAGAGCTCTGAATGACATGCCAAGGAAGCAACAGGGAGCCAATGAAGGTGAGAACCTTGTGGTATTATAAAAGTCTTATCCAGCAAATCAAGATTCAAATGTATTTATTTATTTAGAGACAGGATCTCACTCTGTCACCCAGTCTGGAATTCAGTGGTGCAAACAAGGCTCACTCTAGCCTCGAACTCCTGGGCTCAGGCAATCCTCCTGCCTAAGCTTCCTGAGTAGCTGGGACTACAGGCCTGAGCCACTGTACCTAGCTAATTCTTAATTTTTTTATAGAGACAAAGTTTTGCTATGTTGCCCAGGCTGGAGAGCAGTGGTGAGATCCTAGCTCATTGCAGCCGGCCTCGACCTCCTGGGCTCAAGGAACCCCCTTGCCTCAGCCTCCTAAGTAGCTGGGACTACAGGTGTGCACCACCACACCTGGCTAATTTTAAAATTTCTTATAGAGATGGGGGTCTCACTTTGTTGCCCAGACTGGTCTCGAATGCCTGGCCTCAAATGATCTTCCTGCCTCGGCCTCCCAAAGTGATGGGATTACAGGCATGAGCCACTGTACCCAGCCCAGGTGCCATTTTAAAAATGTACTTAGTAAGTGAGGGACTTATATTTTAGAATGAACTTAGATTTTAGAAACATTTTCAAACAAGAGGTAGAAACTTTTTCACCTCCTGTTGAAAATCTTTCTGCCTAATTCACTATTTACTACAAAATCCCACTATCCAGAGCTCCTTATGTTTTCTGAGCATTCATGTTAATCAAAATTTCTTTGGACTTTTCCAAGGAGTCTTTACATGTGAATCTGAGGCCACACTGACCTAAAGAAGGTTTCTGGGATCTTGATTGTTTTGAATGATCCCTGTTGTCCCCATCTCCTAATATCCCACAGTAACTCTGAAATGATTTTCAATTAACTGACTCTCCTACCCACTCCCTGGGAAAGGGGGCAGAAATTCTTGCTCTCTTTCCTGAAAGAAGACTCAGGCTAGTATGCGCCCTAATAGTATCAATATAGCAGCTGAGGAGAGGGTGCAAGAATGAAAGGCTTGTCTCACTATCCAGGGGACCAACTCCATCTTGTGGGTTGCTTGGGAAACACATTTAGAGGCCTCTTTTTCCTGCATCTAAGGTAAGAGGAGGTGTACCGGGAAGCAGCAATCACCCTCCCCTGTCTCTTTCAGCTTCAGGCAACAAATGAAGCTCTTGGGTTTTTAGGCCTTCAGAGTAGAAAGCTCATCTGAACCCTCCTGAAATAAAATGCCTTGAATATTTGAGGACAGTAAAATTCTTAATCCAGTTTGTCTTTGTTTGTTGGTGTTCGGTTTTTGTTTCTGTTTTGTTTTGTTTTGTTTTTTTGAGACAGGACCTCGATCTGTCACCCAGGCTGGAGTGAAGTGGCGCGATCTCAGCTCACTGCAACTTCCATCTCCTAGGCTCAAGCGATCCTTCCACCTTAGCCTCCCACGTAACTGGGACTACAGGCTCATGCCACAGGGCCAGGCTAATTTTTTTTTTTTTTTTTTTTTGTAGAGATGGGGCTTTGTCATGTTGTCTAGGCTGGTCTCAAACTCCTGGGCTCAAGTGATCCGCCTGCTTCAGCCTCTCAAAATGCTGGGATTACAAGTGTGAGCCACCGCACCTGGCCGTTTTTAGTTTTTAAATTTTATTTATTTATTTATTTGAGACAGTCTTGCTTTGTGGCCCAGGCTGGAGCCCAGTGGGGTGAGTGATCATGGTTCACTGCAGCCTTAACCTCCTGAGCTCAAGAGATCCTCTTACCTCATCCTGTCGAGTAGCTGGGACCAGAGGCGTGCACCACCATACTTGGCTAATTTTTTATATATATACTTTTTGTAGAGATGGCGTCTCACCACGTTGCCCAGGCTGGACTTGAACTCCTGGCCTCAAGCTATCCTCCCACCTCAGCCTCCCTAAGTGCTGTGATTACAAGCATGTGCCACCGTGCCCAGCCTGGTTTTAGTTTTTTTAAAACTTTACAGTTCAGACTGTACAGACTAGCACATCTTTACAGAGGCATGTGTGCGTATGTCTCTTAGAACGATGATACCACATGCTAGCTCAGGTAGAGTAGCTAACATGCCATGATAATGCACCTCACTGTACAAAGATATCTCATTTGGCAAAATAAAGATGCTCCCAAAAAGCTTCACGTGACTTAGAATTATGCAAATTGAGTTATATTTTAAGTACCTGAGATCACAATATTTAAATGATTTGTATGGTAAGTCTTCTTTTAATCTAATAACTTCTCCCTAATTTGTCTGTTTTGAAAATTTAAATTCTCATGGATTGTTAACACATTTAATCAGAGTCTAAAACAGCAGAGTTCTAAATAAGCTGAAACTTTTTCACAGTTCTATACATTAGTAATTTATATTTAAAGTGACCACTTTGACAGTGCAGAATCTCCAGATGACACATTATGATCCTTCTGGTTTTATTGCTAAGCATATTTTACTGTGTGTTAATTCTCCAGGTGGTTGCTAGTCCACCTGAATTAGACTCCCCCCACCCCCCACGGATTCTTTCCCCTCAGGTGGATTCAACATTTATTACTTTTTCAATCAAAGGTTAGTTTATGAAAAGAAAATTCAGATTGCCAGGGCCCATGCAGACCAACTGAATCAGAATCTCTTGGGCTAGGGAGTAGAGATCTGCATTTTTTGCAGGTTCACAAGGTCATTCTTATTCACATCAGAGTGGGGAAACCACTGGTTTGGAGTTTCTATAGTAACTCCCTAATAACCAAGCTATTCAGTTAATGAAAGTACCCCATTCCCAGACAAATCTGGATTCTCAGGCGTTTACTGTTTCTGAGGTATGAGTCGTAATTGTATTTGTTACAACGTGATCTGACCTATAAACTCAAATGGATTTTTCTGCTATTCAATCTGCTGTCTTTTCCCCTTTATTTTATGTAATTAAAATGCATTTTAAAGAAGCAATCTCCAGGAACTATGAGAGCACATTTTTAAAGGTTAAATCATGGGGGCACAGTGTCCGTTAGGGATGGCTTTCCTATTAACACTTCCATATTAGCTCTTAGTGAACCACTCACACGCAAACACACGCCCCCACTGCTTCAACTTCTAGTGCTAGCTGAACATCAGGTACTTGAATAACAGCAATCAGGCACCCTCCTTCCTTTGTTAACGTATTCCAACCTAGCCACCCACAGTAAGATATTCCACAGAGAAGGTTCACAGCCACTGTTTATGAATAGGAGTTCATACTCTTAAATAACATGGAAAATACCTTCCCCTCACCCACAGAGACTCTAAATCTTGGCTTCAGCATTTGCTCATCAGTCAGAAATATTTTACTAATGCAGCTACCTGAAATACACAAAGTCAAGCAGACCCTATAAATTGCTTTTCCAAGCCACCGAAATGCTATCTTACCCCCTCTGTTCCTCCCTGCACACCCACCCCCCGACCCCCCACCGGCTTTGCTTGTGTTTAAAAATAAAACCCAATTCTGCTGACGACTGGTTTTCTTGCCTCACCACAGGAAGTGCACTGGGTGAGTTCTCACATCACATGTTTAACACAGGGCACCAAACAGTGTCTGTGGGTCACCTGCCCTCAGCTGGGAGGAGCCCTGCCTGCCCTGGAGCTGTGGAGGCACTTCCCCCAGCAGCCTTCAGCTCCAGGAAGGCATAGCCTGCAGCCCACTTTAGGTCCCAGCTTCTCAAGAGCTATTGAGGAGGCTGACTGTGGAATGAAATCAGTGACCTAGGCAACAGGCTCCAGGCTTGGTCACTTATAGCTCTGGCTTGTCCAAGGCATCATCTTTAATCTCCCCTCTCGCTTTGCTTCTCTCTCCAATCCCCACCTCTCTCTCTCTCTCTCATTTCATTTCAAAGAGAAATGAAACAAAACAACAACAAAAAATACATCTGACCTCTTTGCTGTACTAAAATATTTCTTAACTGAATTGTCCTAAAGGTCCTTCTGCTCTCTAACAATTGAGGAGCCATTTAATTGGTGTTTAAAATATGATCTCACCTCTAGAGTTAGGTTTTTGGGTTCAACAGCAGTGTACGTAGACTCAAATTAGGTTTTGGTTTTTCTAATGCAACTAGTTTAGCAGTCTCCAAAGGGAACTGCATGCACCCTAGGGTAGATAAAACAATCCACTGGAATACGGCTGTTTCCTATTTATTGTTTATCTAAAATAATAAGAAACCAAACATTACTAATATTTAATAAACAGACTGTCACTGGCACCCTCTGTCCGTGTGAATGTCAGGTGATCAGGTGAACTATCCTTCTGGAGGAGGGCAAGTTCCAAGCAACAAACGGTTGATGGTGGGGCATTTTATGTGTGCCTGGATTGTATTATCCAATTTTAACGAAACTAGTCTCAACAAAATGGATAAGAGGCTTGAAAAGATTCCTCTTGAGAAACCAGAAGTTGAAGATGACCCTAATAATGTAAGCAAACGTAAGCAACAAGAAAATGGCAGAGTTTAATACTTCTAACTCCCAGGGTAGATTTTTGGCAGCCAAATTGTGATATTGACATTTAAAAACATGACTCCAATGACAGTCTAATCATATGGGATAAGAAGGCAGCCAAAAATATTCACAATTATCTAGTGGGCCATTTGAAATAAGGATTTAAAGCCACTGTCTTTAATGACAAGCTTCACACTAAGTGCATATTATCTGGTGACATTTTAGTTTGTGTTCACATGAAGATATTAAAAGTTATTGTATACTTATTTTTATCTAATTTTTGAATGTTCATTTTTATATAAGTTTTATGAACATGTATATATATAATTTATAAGTGAATAAATATACATATTTTAGGAACATATCTTCCACAGCTTTTTCTGATAGGAGTGCAGGATCACTTTGGAGATCAGTGCTGTTGGTCAGAGTGTCAAGCTGCCAGGATCCTCAGATTTCAGGTGAGATCAGATGACCTCTATTATATATGGGAATGCAGATGCCCGGAGAGAAAGGACCTTAGCCTAAGGTTAACACTGCTGGTAACATCTCCTAAACCAGAAACCTGAGGTATTAAAGAGTGAGATGACTTGCTCAGGATCACACTGTTAGATAGGGATGGTGCTGGATTCTTCTGATTCTCAGTCCAGTGCTCTTCTTAGCGGGCCCAGAGTTGCCTCTCCACATAAATATACAGAGATACAAAGGAGGAAATCTGAGCAAACACTAGACACTCAAACAGAATTGAAAACTATCAGAGCAGAGCCAGAATTTCTGTAGACAGCAAGCTACTGCGACCTACCTGTGCCTTCTATACTTACAATAACTCCGGGGTAATAACCTCCTACAGTCACATTCTGGGTCCTGGTGGTTGCAGCAAGGCCCACTGTGAGAATTAACACGGACACAATAAGCAAAGTCACGGTGACATAGATGGAGTTTCGTTTCCTCCGATTGAATGCTCCTGAAAGCACAGAGAGAAATTAAAATTGCTCATTTCAGCTGGGGAAAGGATTGACTTAAAGAAAAAAACACTAAGAAGGTTTTCCTTTCCTATTCCTACCGGTAACTGAAGTTATCTTTGGTGGTGACGGGTGGGGGGTTGTGGGGAAGGGATAGAGCATTATTTTTTGTAGTCATCAGGTGCCACTTTTATAATAAAATATGTATTTCCAATTTGAAAATAAACAACAGAAGAAATTTCACCAGTTACGTAAAAACAAAACGAATTTTTGTGCTCCTGGCACTCTGTAAGAGATGTGTCACAACTACTTAGTAGAGTGGTTTTTTAGACCAAATTAGAAGGCATATGATAAATGGGAAGTGTGTGTGTGGGGGAGGGGGTATTAAATGAAAACATTTTAAAGCCAATATCCAACTAAAAAGATTTTTTTCATAAGCTAGAGATATGAAATTTCATTTTCAGTGTAAATATCACAGCCAAGCCAAGTTACTGGGATTTTTTTTTCATTTATTTCTGACATTTGCCACCTCATGTATAAACTTTAAAATGGTGTATTGGCAAGATTTGTCACATAACAAATGTGTGTAATAAAGTGAGTGTTTGGAGGCCATTAGTCCACAAAGATATGTATCGGGGGAGTTAGGTGGGGAGGATTATAACTTATACACATTTAGGCTTATGTGAGGGTGACATAAACATAAATGATGAGAAACCCATTCTCCCACTCAGGGCTTATCAGACATGATAGTGCAAACCAATATTTTTTTGAAAACAGGATTATTAAGTCAGACAGAAAAATGGTATCTAGGCTCACTTTTTAATTTATTTTTTTTTAAAGGAACCGAGCACTGTCTCACACTCTGCAGGGATTTCTCAGGCATAGGGAGAGGGCCTTCAACAGGAAATAACCAGGGGAGAGTTACTACCTAGGAGTTCTCAAAAAAAAAAAAATAAGCAAATGAGAAGAGTCTAGCTCTCTAGTGGAGGTTTGGAGCATGAGGAGGATGAAGCAGTGAGGAGCCCTGATGGAGTCGCCCACCCACGTGGCTTGACTGTCATTTATGGCCCTAAAGAGATCACTTGAGTCTGTCCATAAGACCCTGTCATTCTGGGAGACCTCACTGCAGCCTCAGGAAGCAGTTGTTGAGAGAAGCCATGCAGACTGCTCCATGGGGAGGGAGGGGAGAGGGGATAGAGGGAGGGGAGAGGGGATGGAGGAAGGGGGACGAGGTCAAGGAAACGAAGCGAGACCCAGGAGGCAAGGTGGTGGTGAGACGGGAGGGGTTGTGGCTGGCCTTGCAGTCCACTGCAGATATCCCCTCCTGTATGGAAGAAAAGCACTGGGAGTATCACCCGGGCTTAACCCCACCATCCATCCTGTCTTCCCCAGTACTGTCCCTGCTGAAGTCTCCAAGGGAGGTGGGAGGGGCAGGCGGTCTCCCCTGACGTCAGCTTCGAAAATGAGGGATGTGACTCATCAGGGTCATTTCTAATATGGGACTAATCTAAGACTATTTTTCGTTGAAATGTAGAAGTGGTTTGAACGTTTATAGGCATCTACAATGCTAAAGCACCATGTCTCACCCTGGGGAAGAGGTAAGAAGAGTTGGCAAATGAGACTCATCTTTAAAGAGACCTGAGTCCAGCCTCCATGGGACAAAAACATAAAGGCCCACTAGAGACACCTGTAACATCGGGGCCCTTTCATGACAGGGCTATTAGGGATGCAAATGGGAGCTGACTAATGGTAAACACAGGAGCAAAGCCGGGAGCTCTGGACTGCATGGTACTGGGAAAGGAATAGTAGAGGGTTGGGGGAAGGCCAGGATTTATTTCTTCTGGTTACCTGAAGTTTAGTTATCCTTCCTCTTGATTTTGAGGGACCCTAAATTAGTCTCTAAACCAGGGTGCCTAAGTTTATTTGATGATAGATACTTCTCAGTGAATCTGTGAGTTGGTTCTACAGAGGGGCTCTAACATAAACTTACCAACATTGCCTCCCATTCTTGTCTTCCCTTCTCTTTTGTCACTCACACAATCTCTAGCCCTCCCCTGCCCCAAACTGGCAAAAGAGAGTGAGAGAACATTTGGATACACCACGGATATCTTTGTGATATGGAAGTGTCTCAACACCTTACCCAGAAAACATGTAACCTGACAGACTAAATTGGAGAAGTGTGTGTGCATGCATGGTCTTTTTAATTTTGGTTTGTTTGTTTGTTTGTTTCATTTGCCTGCTCCTTCCCCACCAGCTGGCCTTTAATCTTATTCACAGCTCTTGGGTCTTCTTTGCAAATATCACTCTAACTTTTAAAAGCGCAGGAAGAGCCAGGTCAGAAAAGTGACTCAGCAAACCACATAGTGTCATTTGAAAATCTTTTTTCCTGCTTTAGAACCTGAATTGAAAATTCAGTCACTTGAGCAACCCAGGCAAATATCCCACAGCCCCACAGGGGCCTTGACTCCAGATAGGATTTGCTTTGGATAAAATTCCTAAGAAAACTCTCTGATCACCAGGTCGAATATCTAATCTCTGTCCCCTCACGAGCGTCCTTCCCTGTCACCACTTATTTTATAAGGACCATAATTGTGTAACATGAAATTATTTCTAGTTGCACTTGGGGAATTGACTGTTTTAAGAAAACCCCCTCCCAGGGTGACTCGTTTTGAAAATGAAGAATCACCCCTCAATTTATCTTTAGTGTCAATTCGACTCAATAAAATTCACATCTACTTAGAGCAAGATATACCCATTTTCTGAAGGTGTGGCCCAGGCTCCTAAAAGGCAGTTTATTGTGTCTGCTTAGGACATTTTCCTGGTGGTTGTTTTATTTTAGAAGGGAGAAGTACAGCCGTGTTCTTATTCTGGTACAATTTGGGGCTTGCCTTAGATGTTTCTGTAAACACAGGACCATCTTATTCTGATTTTGTTTAGTAAAGTGACACGTAAAAAAACTCAGGCACCAGGAGGTACTTAAATAAAGCAGCAGGTATATGAAAATCATGCCTATTACGATTTATACCTAGTGTTTGATACCTAATAAACAATCGGTACTTGTTGAATAAACAAGAGGCAACATCTCAGAATTGTTTCCCTTTTAATCAAGAAGGATGTGGGAGGAATTGTGTGAATAAATATGGGCTAGTCTCATAGAATTGATTTTTTAATGTAGGGTACACCTGAGGGTTCCCTCAAATTAAAAGCCTTCTGGCTAACTAGTGTGAAAACTACAATATCTCTCACTACTCTGTCTCCTTGGCACCCAGTATATTTCTGCTTAAACAACAACCACCTCTGCAACCAACAGCAGTGAGAGAGTCTGAAATCTTTTCATTGGCCTTGCCTGCCCCTCCTCAGCAGCCTCCCTGCAGAACTACTGCAGCCCTCCCTCTCTGCAGTGCCCCACCTCCACCCCAGATTCCTGATGACCAGGATGCTTAGCTCTAGAAGCACCCAATTATTTGCTATCTCCACCCTTCCAAAAACAACCAGCTTTTCTCTCATCCGGGTATTCCCCCTGGTCAGAGCCCCCATCTGCATTGCGGTCTTTGAACCTGGGTGCCTCCCTTCCTTTGAAACATGCTCAAAATTCCCCTCCTCCAAAAAGTTTTTCTTGATCAAAATTAATCACTTATTCATGTCCCTAAATTCCCAGGTACCTTACTCAATAAGTATATTAATTGTAACTGGTACCATTACAATTGTAACCGTGGGTCTGGTCCACAACCCATATGATATCTGCCAGTCCCAGGATTGTGTATCTGAGGGAACCAAGATGTGAGTTGCTAGAAGGTAGGATGCTGTCTCTGTTACTTTGTTTTACCTTGCACACGTTCTTGATTATCCTCTCCCAAGAGAGTAGATAAGGTGTATAATCTTTATTGGGCACAGAAAAGTTGGGAACCCAGTATCCTGTCCTGTACACGGTGTTGTTGATGCCTGGCTAGTTCTCTGGGTTGATCTTTTGAACCGATTAGGATTTGCTTACCTGAGTCAGCTTTGCCACACAGGGTGGGTCCCCGGATATCCCAGCCTTGAGTATCCCTAGAAACAAGTGGCTGCCCACACAAGGGCCTCAAGACCCTGCCAATCTCCCAAACATTTCCTTAAAGGCGCTGAAATCCATCCCTCCCCACTTTAGACAGTTCTCTGAATGGAGAACATCCGAGGCCGCCCGCGAATTACAAATGTGTTATTTGGGAGGAAGGAATGCCCTACTGTAGTAGAGGTGCCTTTGCGCCTGGGGGCGGTGTTGCCAAAAGGGAGAAGGGGGTTGCTGGGAGGGGATGGGGGGACACTGGAGTCAAATTACCATCTTCTTAATTGCAAAGCGCCTGCTCCACTCTGAGCCTTGGACGCACTGCTCTATTCCCAGGCAGCCAGCAAGCGTAGAGTGCAGGCACCTTGGTGCAGTGTGTCTGCGTGTTTTAAATTTTATTGTTTTGGTTGCGGTTGTGTCTTGACAATAAAGGGAGTCCCCTCAGAAATGCTGCCCTTGGAGGCTGAAACACTAACCTACCTACCCACTGTCCTCTTCCCCCCACGCAAGGGAAGGTGGTGTTGCCAGAGCTAAGTGGGAGTAGCTCCTAAGTAGCCTAGACGCTGATTCAGGCCCGGACTGTGCGGGACCAGGGCCAGGGAACTCCGGGGAGACTCCCCTGTCCAAACTGTGGAAACCCAGCGTTAGCACTGGACTCAGGAATTTGCCAGTGCCGTCGGTCTGCGGACTTCAAAAAGTGGAATGCGTGGCGCCGGCTCCGCTTCTATCTGGGATTTATGATTCCTTTCCCGCAGTGTGGAGACTGGGCTGGGCGAAGCCCACTCAGCTGTTTGTTGCGCAGACCTTTCGAGAAACACAAGATCGCTGAGGGCCCCTGGGAGCCCAAGAAAGAAAGCTCTTCATCTTGTTCCCCAACCCACAGAGCAGTGCGCCAAGTAGCGACTCTTTAAGCCCTGGGCCACCAACCAGCCCACTCCCCGAAGGCAGACGGGCCCGGGGCGCTGTGGCTTGATTTGCAGGTGGTTAGGTGGTTGTCGTCCGCAGCGGGAATGGACGCTGCGGAACCCCAGCACTCTTCCACTCTGCCCTCCCTCGCGAAGCGCAACAGCTTGGCGTCGGGGAGCCAGGGCTGCGTTGTTGGCGCCACAGCTGGCCAAGGTAAGCAGTGCATTCCCACCTCTCTGTCTCTCTCTCTCTCGCTCTCGCTGTCGCTCTCTCTCGCTCTCGCGCTCTCTCTCTCTCCCTCTCCCTCTGTATGTGTGTGCGCGTGGTGTGTGTGTTGGAGAAAGAGTGCGCGCGCGCGAGCTGGGAGTAAGGGGGAGTCTGGTACTGCTGGGCTCGGGATTCGGACCAAGTCCTTGGCCTCATTTGTACCCCGTTGTAAATAACTACGCCCTTAAAAATGAAAAAGCAAATTCTTATACTGAATATGCAAAACCATTGAGGATACGGATCTTTCCACCATCCAGGAGATAACACTTTCTGGGGCCCCTCCGGTGAACGAGTTTTGTTGACACTGAGTCTTCTGCGGGCAGTAGGGAGATTATATAGGGGGTTCGATCTTCTCCCTGCCCCCTCCACTCGAGATGTTCCCGCAAATTCATCGGAGAAGACCTGAGCAGACTGATGGCAGGAACTGCGGGACAGAGGGATTTTGCAGAATGTAAAGTATGTTGGAAAGAGAGAATTCGATTTGATTGAAGTGTATCCGAGGCGAATTTTAAAAGATTAGGTGGGATCATGATTTTACAATCCCCTCCCGCTCTCCAGGGCTCCAAATTAATTTCTCCGCCCAGTGAAATCACAGGGCTTGGGAAGGTGCCTAACAGCTGAGGGGGACTGGGTTTGTTTTTTTTTGTAACTACCAAAAAGCAGCTTCGAGGGGCAGCCAAGTTGGTGCCCGAAGGTAGCTGTCCCCCAGTTTCTATAAGGAAAGGAGTCGAAGGGTGCCCCTCCCCCTCCATTCCGCCCTGCGAGGAAAAGCGCGACTTCAGAAGATGCGCGGGCTCGCGCTGGATGTTTCTTTCTCGCGCTCTCACTCCTGCCCCTGACTCCCTTTTCACACTCATGCACATTCCGTGCATTTGGAGCAGAGTAACAATCAAATTCAAAGAATGTTGATCCCGCCGCTGCAGAGGGCAGGGCTGGGCTGTCTTGAGTGATTCCTCAGGAATTCCCCTCCCCTCATCCCCCCCTTTCTTCTCACCCCCGCCCATCCCCCAGAGTTGCGCAACCCGCCCCCCCCCCCCAATCAGCGAGGTGCAAGTCAGGCCCCCACCCAACTGCATCTCTAAATTTCAGGGCAGCTTCAAGAGAGTTGGGAGGGGGCGAGGACCCTGCTTCTAATTGTCGTTAGTCGTGAGCTCTTAGAAGTGACCAGGACTTTGCAAAGAGGGAGTGTCGAATGGAAAGCGAAGGCGCAGGTTGCAGGGAAGTGTTTTGATCCTCAGATTGCTGGGATTTACCACCGACTGCAAGTCTGTAGACACACGCACACAAACAGGCACACACCCGCACTCCGGGGCAGAGATACTCCGACGCAAGCTTGGCGCTCCGATCTCCGCACGTCGCTCCCGCTGCAGCCAGGCCGCTCCCCTGGGACTCTGGTCCACCACCCAGACGCTGGGGCGCGAAGACCACCCCATCCATGCCCCGTTTCCCGCTCTCCGGCTTTTGGGGCAGCTGGGGCGTTCACAGTCCAGAGGCCAGGGCACTCAACCCCTGCTGCCGCCGCCCGAAGGAAGGGCCGCTAGACTTACCCATGGAATCGGGCAGGGACATGTCGCTGGACCGCTGCTGAGTCAGGGACTGATGCATGGTGAAAACTGCCCGGTTGCCCCAGTCCCCGAAGCTGCTTCAAGCGCCCCCGGCTCTGGGCGCCCCGCAGAGCATCCTACTCCGCGGTTGCCTCTCTCGGTCCTTCCGAGAGCTGAGAGACACTGCCTCTGGTTGCGAGCTGCAGCCCAAGTGCCGCCTCCCCCTCCCTTCCACTCTTCTCCCTCCCTCCTCTTCTGCCTCCCTCTGCTCTGGGAGGCAGCAGCATTGGCGGTCCGTGCAGCCGCGTGCGCTTGCGCAAGACCCCCCCCCTCCTCCCTCCCCCTCAGTCTCCCCATCCTAGTTATCCACCTCCCAGCCTTCCAAGCCAGACAGGGAGCAGTTTTAGCCCCTTGGGGCCAGGGCTGCGCAGAGAAAGAGGGGGAGGCTTCAGTATGAAGCCAACCAACCTTCTCTATAGTTGGACAGGGTCTTGGGTAATTATCCTGTTCTAGGATTTATAACTGGGGAGGGGGTCAGAGTCAGAGGTTCAGAGCTGAGGAACACACACACACACACACACACACACACACACACTTGAGCAGGTCTGGTCTTAGTGCTTCCAGAATGACATAATGGAGCTGGAGATGATCCAGAGAAGGGCCACTCTATAATCAAAGGGATGGTGTGTGTGGGGCGGGGGGAGGGTGGTGGCTGACATATGAAGATAGATTAAACAAACGCAGACTCTTTAGTCTAGAACGATGAAGGCTGGGAAGTGATGTGACCAGAGTGTATAAAATTATGCAGAGACGGAGAGAAGGAGCACAGCCTTATTCACCAGACCTGAGAATTCTAGAACCAACAGCCCCCAATCTTTAGCTAGAAAATTCAGCTAAAGTATAACTCTGCACCAGAACCCCAGTTTGTACTGTTCAAGTGCTTTTATAACAAGGATCTCATTTTATCATCATAGCAGCCATGCAAGGGAGGAAGAGGAGTTATCAATAACCCCATTATGCAGAGGAGGAAACTGAATCTCAGAGAAGGGAAGAAAATATCCTGTGCCCACTCAGCTAGTAAGTGGCAGAAGTGAGAGCTAGAACCTAGATCTGTTGGACTCCAAGGTGAGTGTTCTTGCTATGGCGACTGAAAAGAACTATTATTCTCTATAGCAAATGGAAAACCTAAGGAATTCATTAGCTCCAAAAGATGCAGCAAGATGAAAATGCAAGTAGCTTTGGAAAGAGTGAAAGTAAAGTCATGGCTGACAGATCCACTGTGGATTACTAAGGGAAACTGGGGATGAGGTGGGAATGTCATTGATCTTGGAAGACAGCCAAATCCTTCTCGAACCTATCCTTTTGGACCCCATTAGGATATTGGGCTTGAAGCACCTTGTGGTTGGACCAAAAGGTGGTTTGAATGTTCTCAAAACAACTGCAGATCAGGATGAGGCCTCCTTGGAGTGCCCCCAAGACATCTATCTGGTGGCCAGGGGAGGTGGAGGGTGAGGAAGCGGGTAACAGTGGACTCCACCTCCCTCTGGGAACAGCCCTGGAAGCCTAACATAGCTAAGAGAATATACCTATTTGGAGGTGCCCATACTGTCCCATTGAGGAGCTCCCAGGCTCTGCTTGCCAGGTCTCCTTCCAACCACCTCCTTCTGATGGTTGCTGCAATCCTTTCTCCATGTTCCCCGAAAAACCCAAACCAAATCAAGTATAAAACTATTCTAAGAGTCAATGGGATGAAGAAGAGTACTTGGCTCTTTCCAGATCTGCCTTGCTAATCTACTGTAAAGCTTTGTTTTTCTTATCCAGGAAATGGGACTGAAGGCCCTTGCCCTTTCCCATCTTCTGAAGGAAGAAAATATGTTTCTTGAAGATTAAAAAGGAAGCCCTTTGTAAAGAACTTGGGCACCCCAGGGGCCACGTTGAATGCTGTGTCAGGTATTATTAGCAACCCTACACTATACATGTGGTTTAGAAATCTGTGATATATGTCCTAGATAGAGACAAGATGCCTACTATTGTAGATGTGTGTGTCTTAAGCCTGCTTAGCTTGTGTCAGGGTCTCTATAAGCTCCACAAAGGCAGAGAGAAATCCTGTATTTATACTTCTGCAATGATTGTCTTTGAGTCCTGTTTACTTATCTCTTTCTCCTCTCATTCTAAATATCTCATACTTAATGTGGAGGACTCCTGCAACCAGCACTGATTTCTCAGGAGTGCTTGCTAATTAACATATTTCGTTTCTGTGAAAGTAGCCTGAAAGAAAAGAGGTTTTTATACAGGCTCTAAAGACTATATGACACCTTCTTTAGAGATTCTTGGCTCCCCTATAGCAATCACACAGCAAGAGATCCCTAAAGAAGCCAAATAGAAACTTGTTACCATGCTGGTTTTGATGGACAGATTGAGGGCTTTTCAATTCAGAGAGAAACACACTACCCACCAAATGATGCAGAGGGCATATGTAATTTGACCTTTATAATCCCAAAGACACAAACTAGTGAGGTACCTTTAATGGGAGTGAGGTTTGCTTTCTCAACATCTGTATTCCTGAATCCTGCTTGAAATTGAACATTATTTTATAAAGTACTAGAGGAGCTGGCTATTTAAAAGAACTGCATATGGTATGTTTCTTTTGTGCTGTCTCTTGGGGTGCCTTGTGGGACTTGGAGCACAGCACGCACTCAGTCAAGTTAAAAATGACTTTGAGACCAGTAGCAGTGACAATAGCAGCAGCTGCAGCAGCTTGGAGAGTAGTAGCAGTCTTCTCCCCAGAGATGGTGTATTTGTCTGGAGAGAGGATCGGGAAAAGGGGAGGGACTAGAATGGGAACTGGGGGGAAAACCCCCTACATTTTAACTAAGCCCAGTACATACACCTCTTTTCCTCCAAAAAAAAGTTTATTTTAACTCAAATTGAACAGGATGATTAAAAAGCAAGAGGCAATGTTTCCTGGGCTCCATTCTGATTTTCTTCATGTCAAAACACATGTGGAGTTTATACATAAATAGGTTTATAATAAAACTTACCAATAGGCAAGCCATCTAGATGAAGAAACAGGTCTTTCATGCAAGTGAAGGCTACTATAAAACTGCTTGGTTAGCTTTTGATAAAAAAAAGAAATTATTAAAATGCCTTAAAATAAATCCTTTTCATAGCAAGCTTAATCAAGCATACAGTGTTGCCCTAGGTTGCAAACTGCTTTATAGCATCAGGAAATGTTTACCAATGGGGCTGCAGCCTACTTCTCTCCATCTTCTTCAAACCAGTGATGAGCGCCCTCCCCAGAAGCCTTCAGACCAGTAGAAAAATGCCAGATGGTGCTCTGTGTCTAACACATTCTCCCTGGGAAGAGCCATAGCATTCAATTATCTCCTTATTTTGCTGACCAATTTGACTATTTAAATTACATAGTATACCTTCCTGATTCCAATTCTGGGAATGTGGGCTAGAGAAATGTCTACATGTTTACACACACATACATGCATACATGCATATTTAAAATGGTGGCCATACAGGTATTCACAAGTGCACATACTTATAGACATCCCAGCTAGTATCTCTACGCTCTGGTTATCACCATCCAACTCTCGTTTTCCAGACTTTGGTTGATCAAGGACAGAGAGAAGCTTCAGAATAATGGAGAGCCTCAAAGAGTCCAAACATTCCTAACTGAGGTTGGGGTGTGCCCACCAGACTACCTTAGGTCAATGCCTAGTACTCAGTGCCTGCACCACAAACATGTGAATCTTGATTGAGGAAAACCATAGTTAAGGGTGTTGCCTGATTCTCATTGCCAGCTGGTCTTTTTCTTTGGGTACCAGGAAAATAACCATAGCACCAGGGAACAGTGTTGGTACTTGTCTTTACTTTGTTATTGATTTATTTCTATTTTGTAACCTGTGTTAGTTACCAAACGCTATATAATAAATGTTTTCCAATATCAGTAAAGAAAAAACCTTTGATAATATGATTTAAAATGAATGGAACATAATTTATTTACCATTTCACTGTTATTGAATATTTTAGAGATTGCCAGTTTTTTAACATTGTAAATAATGCAATGAACTAAACCTTTGCATCTTTTTCACCGTAGGATACAATACTATCATGGAATTATTGGTTCAAACGTTCCAAACACATACTTTTAATTAAACTTTTTTTATCAACACACATGTAATAAAATGTACAGACCAATGTATTTTAACACACACACACACACACACACACACACACACACACACTTGTAAACCACCACCCAGATTAAGATATTGAACCTAACATCCCAGATGGCTCTCTTGAGCCCCCTCCCCAGTCAATAACCCTCCCAGAGGTAACCACTATTCTGATTTTTATCAAGTCAGAATATTTTTAAGGCTTTGAAAATGTATTGCCAAATTGCCCTCCCAAATATTTGTAGCAAAGTACATACCCACCATCAGCATCTGAAAGTGTCTGGGTTCCCATGACCTCTTGATTTTACCTTGAAAAGGAGATGTTTAACACTGAAGACACACCTAATTGCAGTCAGCTACGGGAAGGGCCAGTCAAGAAGCTGAAGTTCAGTTGGGCACAAGGCATCCAGTGGGAACCACAGATCTAGGAGGCAGAGGGCGAGGGCAGTGCCAGGGCAGACAACACTGTCACAGCCCACAAGTACAGTCATGTGCCACATAATGATGTTTTGGTCAACAATGGAATGCAGATATGAAGGTGTTCCCATAACATTATAATGGAGCTGAAAAACTCCTATCACCTAGTGACATCATAGTGCAATGTGTTACTCACGAGTTTGTGGTGATGCTGGTGTAAATAAGCTCACTGTGCTGACAATCACGTGAAAGTGTAGCATATACAATTAGGTACAATCCATAATACTTGATAATGATAATAAATGACTATGTTACTGGTTTATGTATTTCCTATACTATACACTTTATCATTATTATAGAGTGTACTCCTTCTACTTAAATATTTTTTAAAAGTTAACTGTAAAACAGCCTCATGTAGGTCCTTTGGGAGGTATTGCAGAAGAAGGCATTGTTGTCATAAAAGATGACAGCTCCATGTGTGTTATTGCTCCTGAAGACCTTCCAGTGGAACAAGACGTGGAGGTAGAAGACAGTGATATTGATGATCCTGACCCTGTGTAGGCATAGGCTAATGTGTGTGTGTTTTGTCTTTGTTCTTAACAAAAAATTTAGAAAAGTAAAGAAAAAAGTTAGAATAGAAAAAGCATGTGGAATAAGGATGTAAAGAAAGAAAATATTTTGTACAGCTGTACGGTGTGTGTTTAAGAGTGTTATTACAAGGGTCAAAAGTTAAAAAAAAGTTTATAATGTACAAGTTACAGTAAGCTAAGGTTAATTTATTGAAGAAAGAATAATCTTTTAAAATAAATGTAGTGCAGCCTAAGTGTACAGTGTTTATAAAGTGTATAGTAGTGTACAGTAATGTCCTAGGCTTTCACATTCCTTCATAATAGGACACAATACTACCATGATTGTATTGAGTCACTCAGTGACTCACCCAGAGGAACTTCCAGTTCTGCAGGCTCCATTCATGGTAAGTGCTCTATACAGGTGTACCATTTTTTATCCTTTATACTGCATTTGTACTGTACCTTTTCTATGTTTAACTATGTTTAGATACACAAATACTGACCATTGTATTACAACAGTATTCAGTACAGTCACATGCTGTACACATTTGTAGTCTAGGTGAGATAGCATATGCCTTATAGCCTAGCTGTGTAGTAGGATATACTATCTAGGTTTTGCCTAATAGCCTAGCTATGCAGTAGGATATACTATCTAGATTTGTGTGAGTACACTCTATGATGTTTGCACAAGGACGAAATCACCTAACGACGCATTCCTCAGAAGGTGTTCCTGTCAATAAGCGATGCATGACTATACCTTAGAAAATTCCAACTGCTCAGGTGTTTTCATTGTCATATTCATTATTGTTCTCTGGTGCAAATACTCAAAGTCTTTCTTATATTTAGCCTTTACAGTTTCGATGATGATCACTTAATTACGTCTGGTACATAGTTGGCATTTCAATACTTGTTGAACATGTTTTACTTATTTTTATCTATTGCTTTATTCTACCTACTAAATAAGACACAACACGGTAAAAGTTCCCAAAACTGCAGAGGTGCTTGATGCAGCAAATTACTCCTGCTCCACAATTCTACTCTCCACAGATAAAAATGCTTTACGGGTTTGAATGCATTATTCCACATTTTTTCTCCATGCATAGTTTTACCTTTGTTTGTTTATTTTGAGAGTTAAATACTCTAAAAAGTATTTTAAAAGTAAACTTGCTAAATAATGAAATAATAAATATTTTTATTAAGGCTTGTAAGTTGCATTTAATAGCTTTCAGATACACCACATCAAAGTCCATCTTCAATCAATCAAACCCAATGGTAGTTCCTTCTTGCATAATAAAATTCCCTCCAACTTACATTATGATACCCACTTAGCTATAATGGGCAGGGAAAGGAAACTACATCTCCTTTCTGATCACTATTGTGTAAGGAAGAGCATCAGGAGAATTACATAAAAATGAATATAAAGAAATGATTCTGATTTCAAAGTACATTGTTTGGAAGCATTAACAAAAACAAAAATGATTCAGGTATACATACTTCTACTGAATTTTTGATAGGAAAGTTAGTTCTGAAAACAGTCCATTTCCTACTACAGAAAGGAGATAGTTTATTTTTAAGGTTAGTCTTTGTTTTCCACAGAATTTCACATCTTCCTAATTTGAAGGCATAAAACAGCAACAGAGAACCATAATGCATGAATCAATGAATACACTAGGGACATGGTGATGTTTAAGAAGGCTAGGTAACTTTTTTTGAATTTCAGAATAAATGTAACAGAGGTTAATAACCACAAATGTTAAGGTTAGAGTGAGATCAGTCTATGAGAAGCATAATTAACATTTTATACTGCAAACTATTTACTACTGAAGGAAAACATCTACACAGAAAAATTCACCATATGTATTACTTTTAAATCGGGGGAAAGGGAGAGGAGATGAGTAGCTTTAAGCCCACAGGAACTGGGTTGGGGATCTTTTGGGGAACCTCACTGTTTAGATGCTATGATTTACCTGCCAGAGATAACAGTTGGTAGGGATAGTAGAATGGGATTCAGTTAAGCTGTTTCCTTCCTTTAATTAATGACAGAGCTCAGTATATCCTTCTCCCTTATCCCCATCAAAAAACATTCATTAAACACCTAATTAGATGTGACATTGTTGAAAGCGGGGGTGCATGTGTCCAGCTGCTTGGTTCAGGCTTGCACTGAAGAGGATTTCTGTGTTCAGTGGTTCTTAGGAATCAATAAATTTGCTACCAGTTCAAACTGCTCCACAGAGCCTTTAAAAATGTTTACACTCTGTGACCCAGTAATCCCACTTCTGGGAATCAGTCCTAAGGAAAGAGAAATCTGGACTAAGATTTACGTGCAACAATGTCCGTGGCAATGTTATTCGTAAGTTAAAAAAAACCCTGAAATGACAAAAATTAGGAGAACGATTAGCTAGATGATACCACAACCAAATGATTCCATATGTTATATAGCTATTAAAATTGTATTTCAAATATTTAAGAACACAGAAATATATACAATAATGAGTGCAAAAGTAGGCTAAGCACTGCATGTATAGTTTGATCCCATTTTGTTTAAAATTGTACATATATACAGAGAAAAATGACTAGAAAGAAACTCAAATATCCACTGTAGTTATCTCTGAGTAGTGAAATTACAGGAGATTGCTTTCTTTTTTATACTTTTCTATATCTTTCAAATACATTCAATGAGCATGTATTATTAAAAAGCACAAACTACTTCAAATTCTATTTTACAAATGAATTAAACAGGCGAATGTTTAATAAATTGCACTGTGTCTGTCCTGCAGTGTGAGCCTAGGGCTGCCCAGGACCCACCTACTTTGGTTTGGTCGGTCTCTCTCTCTCTCTCTCTCTCTCTCTCACACACACACAGACACACAAACACACACACACACACACACACACACACACACACACACACACACACACACAGCTCTTCTGTCAGTCTTTCTTGCCTGAATGCTAGTTTCAGGCAACAAGTCACCTCTCTCAAGGGAATTTGTACTTCTTTTTCATTGTATGATTGAGGCTTGTTGGTGCTGGCAGGTGGGCAAGTACTTTTTCTGGTCTGGCTTTGTCGATGCCCCTAAAATTACACCGGTAGGGGGCTGTCTACTCTGTGGATTGCCTGGAAGGAGCAGCTTTCTGGGTAACTGATCTGTCTAGGAAGATAGAAGAAACTCTGCCTAGGTGGGAGGAGAGGAGGAAATTTGGAGGTAAAACAGAATAGAGAGAGGAATAAAAATCAGCAGCTGTGCTTATTAGAGAGGATTCCTTTGGTAAGGCTATATTTTAGTGTGTTACTGTTTATAAGAAATACAGTTCAATTGGACCTGTAAGAAGTTCTATTGAAGGTGAAATGCACCTAAATCCATGCCCACTGCTCAAATCTGCTCAGGAACCTGGAATCCCACTATAACGAGAAAGGGGCTGTCCAATAAAGGCTATTGTCCTTTAACAAACACTCAACATTACAAAAGTAAAATATGCACACAGATTTCAAACAATACAAAATTGTATAAAATAAAAAGTGAAATTCTTTCCTTCCCCAATGTCATTCTTCAGAGGTAACCTCTATTCTGATGTATATTTTCCCAAGATTTTCCACTTTTCCTATGTATATATAAGGATATGCATACACACATACAATTACACACATAGTGAAGAAAAATGGAAGCAAACTGTAAATATTATTCTGCAACTTACTTTTTAAGAAATCCAATACTATTTCATAAATACATTTTCCGTGTCAGTATATATAGGTTTGCCTCATGTTTTTTAAGCTGCTGCCTAACATTCCATTGTGCGAATGTTTTAACTTACTTGAAGAACCCCCATGGGTGGACATTTAGTTTATTACCAGTTTTTTATAGTTACAAGCAATGTTGCTATAAACATCCCTGTACATATACCATGGAATCAATTTAAAGGAAAATCTTCTTTCTATCAGCTGTGCATTACCTAACCATTTGCAATTAGTTTCCTGGGCTCTGGAGAACAGTTTTTAATGGCTATGCCAAATGTTCTGTAGTGTCCCAAATGGTCCGAGGCATCCCTTCCAATTAAGTTGCAGTCTACTACACACTGCATTTTAAATTACATTTTGCTTTAAGGACAGGGCACTGTCTTACATTATTGATACAGTGTTATAATGTTCTATCTTAGTCCTTATGCCCTAGACTTGAATGCGCACCGCCTGAAGAGAGTGGGCAGTCAGAGGCAGCTGGTACATGTCACCAAGGGTAGCCCAACTCAGCCCAACACAAATATGTGATTGTCCCTCCTCTGATTACATCCAGCATCTTTTCACCACTTCTGGCAGGAAAGCACAACTAGAGATAAGGCACTTTATTTGCCACCTACCTGCTTGGGGGAAAGGAAAATGGGACCACTTACACTAACATCTGAATTGGTGAAGGAGACCAGGCTGCTTTCGGCCCCTCTCCCATCCTGTCTGCCTCCTCTCACCCAGGTGTTTATTGTCTCCAACATGTCCTCTGGCTGTTTGCAGGCCTTTTCTTTGACATCCTACTTAGACATGACCTCCTTAGCCATTGCCTGCACCACCCCCCATCAAAACACATCTCTTTTTCGAAGTCTCAGTTGACAGCATTCATTTGTGTTAGCATGACAGAAAGCACTTAAGGCGTGGCATCAGAAGACCATTTTCTAGCCCTATGTTTCTGACCAAGTCAATTAATCTCTTTGAGGCTCCATTTTGACATCTGTAAAATGGGGATTATAGTAATATTTTCCTCATATAATGGATGTAAAATAAAATGAAATAACATGTTGGAAAGTACATTGAGAGCAAGGAAAAGTGCTCTGAGATTGTAAAATGCCATTATTACTTATGAATTCTTTCTTCCAGGTAAACCAGTTTTATTTTATTTTGTTTAAACAAGGGATTTCTGAAGACTACAATGTTTTCACTGAGAGAAGTGCTTATTACAGTGAAAATGTCAGGCAGTGCGAACAGGCCAGTGGGGAAGCTATTTTGAGATGGGAAAACTCTTTCAAACCTTCAAATCCACATATGTAGGGGGCTGATGGTATCACCAAGACAGAAGGCTGACCAGAGTCCTCCAGGTAAAAATATCAGAATGGTTTCTGGTACTGTTTGCTCTCTTCGGGGAGAAAAAGGTTGGGTGGAGGGGGACGAGGACAGCATGGATTTCTGTGGGCTGGCCTGAGGATCTGTCCTTCCTAGGGAGATGTGTTCTAGCAACTGTTTGGTGTATTTTTAAAGGCCAGAGAGGCTTTGGCTCTATAGGATGGAGTGGCTGTGACACCTGATTAATGTCTGTGCAGTATTTTCCAGAATGAAATTTAATCAGCAGAATGATTGCAGCAAGCAGCTGCCTGGAGGAAAATGATCCTGTTCTAATGGTGGCTTGTTTGATATGTTGGCATTGTAGTGGGGCACGTACATTATTAGTCCAGCCCAGGGGGCCCAAACTAGGATACTGGATCAACTAGTAAGGAAATACAACAAATAGCAGCACCCACTCCATGGCTTTGTGTAAGGTCATCACTGTCAGATTGTCAGTTCCTCCCCACTTCAAGGACCTTTACTGTCAGCCTCCCTCCCACCCCCAGGATCTTCTTCGTCAGCTCCTTTAGCCCCCTCCTATCATTATCTATTCCCTGAGTCCCTTCAGATCCATCACTCTCACCCTGGCTTCAAGGCCTTCACTGACAGCTTCCTCCCAACACACTCACACATGCACAAGTGCATGCATACATTTCTCCTCTACCTCCATGGGTGTTCTCAAGACTTAAATGAAATGAAAAATGACCTCTCCCCATAAAATGACTGGAGTCTCCTGATCTAATTAACACTTCTTGGACTATTTTTCCCATCAGAAGCACAGAGGTTATTACACTGCCTTGCAAAAATTCTGTAGTCAGTATTATACTCCCTAACATCTAGGAAATACAGTGGAGACCTATGTGACTACCATGTCTTACCACTCAAATGACATTGGGTGCATTTCATCCAAGCTGAGTATGCTGAGCTTTCCTCACAGGATCTGTGGTATAAGATGTTTCCCAGTAGTAGAGAAAATTTGGATGAGCTAGTTACAATTTCTTGCAGGTATTTGTTTCCCTAGTTTGAAAAACTTCCACTAAATCCCTCCAGAGTGTACCCTAGGATCACCACAGGGATCTGACTCAGGATGGGGGCAGTGCTTGGAACTATTAAGGCCACAGTTTACAGTGGAAAGAGTAGCTTTCAGGACCAAAAGAACCCAAGCTGATACGGCCATAACAACCCTTTCTAAATTCAAAGAAAGGATAGAGTAGTCTACTGCTCTGTGGGCAGTTGAGAGTGCTTCAAGATTCCTAGGCTTTGCCTGTGGTACCACCTCTGGGCAAAGGACACCATCAAGAAAGTAAAAACTGACAACCCACAGGATGGGAGAAAATTTTTTAAAACCATATATCTATATATCTGATAAGAAACTCTCTCTCATACGTATACATATATATAATATGTTATAAACATATATAATGTACATATGTAATAAATCAGAGATTAATTTATAATAGGAATTGGCTCATATGATTATGGAGGCTAAGAAGTTTCATGATTTGCCATCTGCAAGCTGGAGACCCAGTGGAGAACCAGAAAAGCTAGTGGTACAATTCAGTAAGAATCTGAAAGCCAGAGACCAGAGACACTGATGTTGAGTGCAGGAGACAATGAGTGTCCCTGATCAAACAGAGAGTGAATTCACCCTTCCTCCAGCTATTTGTTCTATGTGGGCCCTCAGCAGATTGAATGATGCACCCTACATGGGTGAGGGAGATCTTCTTTACTCAGGTTACTGATTAAAATGCTAATCTCTTCCAGAAACACTCTTTCACAGACACACCCAAAAGTTTTACCAGCTATCTGGGCATCCCTTAGCCCATTCGAGTTGACAGATAAAAATTCACCATCATGCTAGGGAAATGCAAATCAAAACCATGAGATACACTCATGATTGTATAGTTAGGAAACGCAACAAACAGCAGCACCCTCTCCATGCCTCTGCATAAGGTCATCACTAGGATGAATGTTATAAAGACAAATAATAACAAATGCTGGAGAAGATGTGCAGAAATTAGACCCCTTGTACATTGCTGGGTGGAATGTAAAATGGTTAGAGCCACTTTGTAAAACTGGCAGTTCCTCATAATGTTGATTATGGAGTTAAGATATTTCATAGATATTCCACTCTTAGGTATACGTCCAAGGGAATTGAAAACATATGTCCACACAAAAACTTATAAATGAATGTTCATAGCAGCATTATTCTCACACACACACACACACACACACACACACACACACACACACACACATATATATGTGTCCTGTTGGTTCTGTTTCTCTGGAGAACCCTAACTAATACACCTAGTGACTAATGATATTGAGCATCCCTTCATTTGCTTATTGGTCATTGTGTATCTTTGGAGAACTGTATATTCAGACCCTTTAACCATCTTTTAATTGGGTTACTTGTCCTTTTGTTATTAAGTTGTAACTGTTTTTAATATATTCTAGATACAAGTCTCTCATCAGATATATGATTTCCAAAAATTTTCTCCCATTCTGTGGGTTGTCAGTTTTTACTTTCTTGGTGGTGTCCTTTTAAGAATGGAAGTTTTAAAATCTGATAAAGTTCAATTATCTATTTTTTTCTTTTGTCACTCGTGCTTTTGGTGTCATGTTTAAAAATCCATTGTTTAATCCAAAAACCACAAAGATTTGTGCTTACGTTTTCTTCTAAAAGTTTTCTAGATGTAACTTGTGCTTACGTCTTTGATCCATCTTTTGTTAATGTATGTATGTGGTATGAAGTAGGGGGTCCAACTTCATTCTTTTGATGTGCATATTCAGTTGTTTCAGCACCATTTGTTGAAAACACTCTTTTTTCTCTCAATTGAATGATCTTGGCACACTTGTCAAAAATCAGTTAACCGGCCGGGCCTGGTGGCTCACGCCTGTAATCCCAGCACTTTGGTAGGCCAAGGAGGGCGGATCACGAGGTAAGGAGATCAAGACCATCCTGGCTAACACAGTGAAACCCCATCTCTACTAAAAATACAAAAAATTAGCTGAGTGTGGTGGCCGGCACCTGTAGTCCCAGCAACTCGGGAGGCTGAGGCAGGAGAATGGCGTGAACCCGGGAGGCGGAGCTTGCAGTGAGCCGAAATCATGCCTCTGCACTCCAGCCTGGGCAACAGAGAGAGACTCCATCTCAAAAAAAAAAAAAATCAGTTAACCATAAAAGTGACTCTTATTTCTGGATTCTCAGTTACATTCTATTGATCTATATGTCTATCCTTATGCAGGTACCATGCACTCTTGATTACTGTTACTTTGTAGTAAGCTTTGAAATTGGTTAAGTGTGAGGCCTCTGCCTTTGTTCTTTTTCAGGATTGCTTCCGACCGGGTGCGGTGGCTCATGCCTGTAGTTCCAGCACTTTGAGAGGCCGAGACAGGCAGATTGCTTGAGCTCAGGAGTTCGAGACCAGCCTGGACAACACGGTGAAACCCTGTCTCTACCAAAAATACAAAAAAAAAAAAAAAAAAATTAGCCAGACGTGGTGTCAGGAGCCTGTAGTCCCAGCTACTCAGGAGGCTGAGGTGAGAGGATTGCCTGAGCCTGGGAGGCAGAGGTTGCAGTGAGCCGAGATCACATCACCGCACTCCAGCCTGGGTGACAGAGAGAGACTCTGTCTAAAAAAAAAAAAAAAAAGATTCTGGTCCCTTACATTTCCATTTTTGTCAATTTCTGCCAAAAAAAAAAAAAGGTAGCTGGGATTTTAATAGGAATTGCCTTGGGTCTGTATATCAGTTTAGAGAGTATTGCCACCTTAACAATATTAAGTCTTCCAATACATGATAATGGGATAATGTTCCATTTAGTTAGGTCTGTATTTTCTTTCAATAATGTTATCTGGTACACTGACAAGTGTACAAGTATTGCAATTCTTTCGTTAAATTTATTCCTAAATACTTTACTTTTTTTTTTTTTTTTTTTTGAGACAGTTTCACTCTGTTGCCCAGGCTGGAGTGCAGTGGCGCGAGCTCGGCTCTCTGCAACCTCCACCTCCTGGGTTCAAGCGATTCTCCTGTCTCAGCCTCCTGAGTAGCTGGGATTACAGGTGCGCACAACCACGCTCGGCTAATTTTTGTATTTTTTTGTAGAGATGGGGTTTTGCCATATTGGCCAGGCTGGTCTTGAACTCCTGACCTCAGGTGATCTGCCTGCCTCAGTCTCCCAAAGTGCTGGCATTACAGGCATGATCCACTGTGCCCAGCCTACTCTTTTTTAGTTCTATTATAAATGCAATTATTTTATTACTTTCATTTTTCAGACTGTTCATTGCAAGTATATAGGAATACAGTTGATTTTTGTCTGTCTTTTATCATGGGACTTTGTTGAACTGTTGATTTATTAGCTTTAATAGTTTTTTTGTGATTTCTAAAGGATTTTCTGCATACAAGGTCACTTGCAGAGAGTTTTCCTTCTTCCTTTTCAATCTGGATGCCTTTTACTTATTTTTCTTGCCTAGTTACACTGGCTAGGACCTCCAGTACAATCTTAAATAGAAGCAGTGAGAGTGGACATCCTTGTCTTGTTCCTGATATTGGGGAGAAAGTTTTTAGTCTTTTACCATTAAGTATGATGCTAGCTGTGGATTTTTTGTAGATGCCCTTTATCAAGTTAAGGAGGTACCCTTCTCTTTTTAGTTTGTTGAGTGTTTTTATTATGAAAGGATGTTGGGTTTTATCAGATGCTTATTCTGCATCTGTTGAGATAATCATGCTATTTTTTCCTTTCTTCTATTAGTATGTTGTATTACAATGGTTGATTTTTATATACTGAACTAACCTTGCATTTCCTGTAATAAATTCCAATTGGTGATGAAGTATAATCCTTTTGATACATTGTTGAATTTATTTGCTAGTATTTTATTGAGGAATTTAGTGAATAGATTTTAAAGGAATGGATATTGGTCTGTAGTTTTGTTTTGATGGCTTTTCTGGTTTTGGTATCAGAGTAATACTGGCCTCACAGAATGAATTGGGAAGTATTCCCTTCTCTTGTATTTTTTGAAAGCATTTGACAAGGCTTGGCATTAACTCTTCTTTTATTCTTTAAATGCTTGGTAGAATTCACCAGTGGAGCTATCTGATCTTGGACTTTTTGTTTTTGGTGGGAATACTTGATTACTGATTCAGTCACTTTATTTGTATAGTTCTATTCAGACTTTCTATTTCTCCTTGAGTCAGTTTTGGCAACTTTTGTCTTTCTAGAAATTTGTGTGTTTCATCTAGGTTATCTAATTTGTTGGCATACAATTGTTCATAGTATTCTCATATATTTTTTCAAATTTCTGTGATGTCAGTAGTAATGCCTCCTCTGCTATTCCTGATTATATTAATTCAAGTGTTTTCTCTTTATTTCTGGGTCAGCCTAGCTAAAGTTTTGTTAATTTTGTTGATCTTTCCAAAATATCAGCTTCAGTTTTATTGATTTTCTTATTTTTATCCTCTATTTCATTTTTTCCTTTGTAATATTTTTATTTCCTTCTTTCTGTTTGCTTTGGATTTAATTTGCTCTTTTTTCTAGTTTCTTAAGGTAGAAGCTTGGGTAATTGATTTGAGATCATTCTTCTTTTTCAATGTAGGCATTAATAGCTATAAATTTCCCCATAAGCAATGCTTTAGCTCCATTCCATCAGTTTTGTATGTTGTGTTTTTTGTTTTCATTCATCTCAAAATATTGTCTAATTTTCCTTGTGATTTCTTCCTTGACCCATTTTTTTAGGAGTTTGTCTTTTAATTTGCACGTTTGTGAATATCCCAAATTTCCTTCTGTAATTGACTTCTAATTTTATTCCATAGTGGTCAAAAAACATACTTTGGATGCTTTCAACCTTCTTAAATATATTGAGACACAATTTATGGCTTAGCACATGGTCTAATTTGAAAAATATTCCATGAGCACTTGAGAATAATGTGTTTTGCTGTTGTGGGGTGGAGTGTTCTAAAGATGTCTGTTAAGTCTAATTGGTTTATATTGTTGGTCAAGTCTTCTATTGCCTTGTTGATCTACTGTCTGTGGGCTGCATGCAGCCAAGGAAGGCTTTGAATGCAGCCCAACACAAATTCGTAAACTTCTTAAAATATTATGGGAATTGCAAAACATTTTGCAATTTTTTTTAGCTCATCAGCTATTGTTAGTGTTAGTGTATTTTATGTGTGGCCCAAGACAACTCTTCTTTTTCCAATGTGGACCAGGGAAGCCAAAAGATTGGATACCCCTGGTCTAATTGTTCTATCCACTAGATAAAGTTAGGTATAGAAGTCTTTAATCGTTATTGCTGAATTGTCTATTTCTTCCTGCGGTTCTTTCAGTTTTTGCTTCATATATATCAGGAGTCTGTTTTTAGATGTGTATATGTTTATAATTGTTATATCTTCCTGAATTATTGACAATTTTGTCATTATAAAATGCTCTCCTTTGTCTCTAGTAACAATTCTTGTCTTAAAGTCTATTTTGTCTGGTATTAGCATATTTTCTCCAACTCTCTTTTGGTTACTGCATTAGTCCATTCTCACACTGCTATGAAAGAATACCCAAGACAGGGTAATTTATAAGGAAAAGAGGTTTAATTTACTCACAGTTCCACATGCCTGGGGAGGTCTCAGGAAACTTTCAATCATGGTGGAAGGCAACTCTTCACAGGGTGGCAGGAGAGAGAAGTGCTGAGCAAAGGGGGAAAATTCCCTTATAAAACCATCAGATCTCGTGAGAACTCACTCACTATCACAAGAACAGCATGGGGGTAACCGCCTCCATGATTCAATTACCTCCCACTAGTTCCCTCCCACAACATGTGGGGATTATGGGAACTACAATTCAAGATGAGATTTGGGTGGAAACACAGTCAAACCATATCAGTTACTGTTTGTAAGATATGTCTTTTTTCCATCTTTTTACTTTCAAATTAATTGTGTCTTTGAATCTAAGTCATGTCCCTTATACATAGCACATAATTGGATCATTTTTAATTCATTCTTTCAATCTCTGCTTTTTTATTGTAGGCTTAATCTATTTAAATTTAATATAACTAACAAAAGGTAGGATTTGTGTCTGGCATTTTTCAATTTGTTCTGTATGTGGCATGTCTTTTTTGTTTATCAGTTCCTTCATTACTGCCTTATTTTGTATTAAATGGACAGTTTCTAACCTACCATTTTAATTACTTTGTTGTTTCTTTTGCCATTTTCTTGATCACTTCCCTGGGGATTGCAATTAACATATTAAGTTAGAAAAACTAGTTGAAATGAATACTAACTTAATTTCAATATTGTACAAGAATGTTGTTCCAATATAGCTCCATTCCATCCCTATTCCTATGTATTGTTATTGTCATACAAAACCCATCTTTATACATTGTATGTGTATCAACACATATTTGTCATGATTCCTTTATGCAGTTGTCTTTGTTTTTATTTTTATTTATTATTATTATTATCTTTGAGACAGGGTCTTGCTCTGTCACCCAGGCTGGAGTGCAGTGGCATGATCTCGGCTCACTGCAACCTCCACCCCTCAGGTTCAAGCGATCCTCCTGCCTCAGCCTCCCTAGTAGCTGGGACTACAGGTATGTGCCACCACACCCAGATAATTTCTGTATTTTTAGTAAAGATAGGGTTTCACCATGTTGGCCAGGCTGGTCTCGAACTCCTGACTTTAGGTGATCTGCCCGCCTTGGCCTCCCAAAGTGCTGGGATTACAGGCATGAGCCACTGTGCCTGGCCACAGTTGTCTCTTAAATCAAAAAAGATAAAAAGGAATGTGTTATGAGGCCTAAAATTAATATTATGTGCTGCCTTGACATGGTAAAATTGGCCTAACTGCAAATTCTCCTTCCCACTCTGTTTCCACAGATAAGGTCTTCTAGCCAAGCAATCCTCCTTATCATGCAGACCAGGCACAGTTCATGCTCATCCCTGAATATTAACAAAGATTTTCTCATTGACAAAACTCTACTCAGTCTCAGGCTCCTCTGAACTCTTTTTCAACCAGGCCTAACTTTTAGACTTCCATGTGTATCTCTGCATTGTCCAATTTTAACAAGAATCCATGAAGTCAGTTTAACCAGAACCTCTCACCCTTGATATCTGATCCCTCCATATCTAATCAGGCTCTTCATCTTCATCCTCCATCATCACCCTGGCCTGCCTTCAGGAAGCATTCTGCTAGGTTGGTTTAATCAGAATTCTCCCTGGCCTGGTGCAGTGGCTCACGCCTGTAATCTCAGCACTTTAGGAGGCTGAGGTGGGAAGATCGCTTGAGCCCAGGAGTTTGAGACCAGCCTGGGCAACATAGCAAGACCTTGCCTCTATTTAAAAAAAAAAAAAAAAAAGAATTCTCGTTTACCCCTGCTGCTTCCTCTTGGTAATTTGCCATCCACTGACCCCTACCCTGCCCCCTGGCTATAAATTCTCATTTTCTTATGCTGTATTGGGAGTTAAGCCCAATCTCTCTCTCACACCATAAGATCACATTACAGTGGTCCCTACACCTATCACAATGCTCCTGAATAAAATCTTCTTTACCATCTTCAACCAGTGTAATTTAATAATTTTTTTCTTTAAGAGTAGTGGGCTTTAGTTCCCTGCCAGCCCATAGAATTGTTTAAACAAGCCAATCACATCCTCCCTCAGGAAGCAAAGGCTACCCACCCTCTTGCTACTATAGAGCCTGCCTCCCACAGCACCTGGTTGTTCACTGTTCCAGATTGCAAACCTCTTGTGGCCCTGTGTGTTATGTGGTATCCTTCTCCCCCAGGCTATAACTATATGTGACTAATAAATTGCTGTCAATCTCATCTGTCCAGTGTTGGGTGTTGTGTTTTCAGCTATACTTATAACCTTACGGTGGAATCCCTCCCTCACCAATGGGGTGGAGGGGAAGTGATCAAAACAATTGGTGTCGTGAATGGGATGTACCAACAATAACCAAGGACACCTGGTCAGCTTTAATTAACTGCTCACGGCTAGTTAACTAGTTTCATGATATGGCAAATACTGCCTGGAACAGAATTGCTGATTACTAGTGGACTTGTGCTTTGGCTTGCATGGAACTGTGTTTTCTTTGCCAGATGTCGCCATCTCTTCCCACTCGAAATGCTATAATCCTCAAGACAAGAACTTCTGTTTATTGACTATACTGTGGCATGATGTGCCACTGGGTTTGGCCTGTGTTGGGCAGATAATCTCTGAGGCTTCTGCCTGTGGAAGTGACAACACAGCATCCTAATCAGCTGACACCTGAGTCCCACCTTACCAAAGGCAGAGCTGGAGCTCTCTGATCACTGTGTATAGCCTAGTTACCATCACTGGCTGCTTGGGACAGCCATGAAACCGTTCGTGATTGTGTACTCCCAAGATGGCCTTTTGTAGAGTATGTGGAAAAGAAGAAGACCACCACCCTGCGGAGAATTAAGCATGGCATTTTGGTTGCATAATAGTCATTGTTGTTCAGGCAAGAGTTGCTTCTCTCCTGTGATACTGCTTCCATTGCTGCTGTTGTATGTGCTCTCCTGACCTCCAAAGGTATTGAGGTGCACATCCATGGTGGCCCATGGCCACACACTGATTATTTAAAAATGAGAAGGAGCATTTTGTACTCAATTGCTCTCCCAATGCATAACCCCTAGCCAATGTACCTGGGATTTGTTTAGCACTGTTGCTTACCAGCACGCCAAAGGGCTAATCTTGTGACAGCAGGACTTGATAGATTCCATCCAGGCCACAGACAAAATTATCTTACTGGATGTGGAACTCAACCCTGGAAAGACTGATTGGCATTCTCTTGAAGAGGAGGCCACCACCTATGAGTCGGGCCCCAGGAACCCAAACCTGTTCCCATAACCATCAAGAAGGGCTGCATCATGGTGATTGTGCAGACAGAAACTGAAAGCAACAACTTTATGTGACTATAAATCTAAATTATTACAAAGGAATCTTGTGTTTGTTTGTTTGTTTGTTTCTTTTAGAGACAAGGTCTCCCACTGTCATCCAGGCTGGAGTATAGTGGTGCAGTCATAGCTCACTGTAACCTTATACTCCCAGGCTCGAGCAACCCTCCCGTCTTAGCCTCCTGAGTGGCTAGGACTACAGGCACACTCCACCACACCTGTTTTTTTTTTTTTTTTTTTAAGAGATGGGGGTCATTTTGTGTTATCCAGGCTGGTCTCGATCTCCTGGCCTCAAGTGATCCTCCCTTTGCAGCCTCCCCAAGCACTGGGATTACAGGCATCAGCCACTGCTCCTGGCCTAGTATGAGGGGATTTTTACAGCAGAAATAGTGTGGACAAAAAGGAAGCCTGTGTGGGAGAAAGGGCGGGTCTGTAGCAGAATTGTGGGCACAGTGCTCTTCTGCTACGCCACTCTCCTGCTTATGCCTCCATTGCAATAAAGAGCTCAAATTTCAAGCTTGCAGGAAAAAAATTAAATTGAAACAGAGGTCCACAATTTGACATAATTAGATATTATTGACAAAATTATTTTCACAACAAAAAGAAAAAAGGCTCTGATTGGCTTTTGTGCCTCTACAAAATAGGTTCTGAATTAACATCAACATTTGCTGAAAGAACAAGAAAAAAGGAACAAAAAAGAAAAAAGAAAAGAACAATAAAAAATCATTTGCCGAAATGCACTAATTGGCAGGCTTTCATGGACTTAATCAATACTGAGGCTCAAATTACAGTTATACATGGGGACCCATTATATTTAAACAAGATACCCCCTAAAATCTTAAGGGAGTTGCCAAATATAAAATAGAGGACAAATAAATATGCCTCACCTTAACCATCAGAATTAATATTTTGTCTAAATTCCTTATGGTCGTAGTACCCATTATCCTAAAGTATCCTGTGGTGGGCAAGGTTACTCTGACCCACGAAAAATAAAGTTAAATTATGTCTTTCACACTTAAAAACTGGCTAAACTAAATGAGATGCCATGGATCCCCCCAGTTAAAATAATTACTATGGCCCAATGTAACTTAAAACAGAGCTTCAAGGGTTAAAACTTATTATTTAAGACCTAATTAGTGAAGGAGTGATTACTCCCACTGCTCCTCTATTTAACATCTCAATTGTCCTGATCTTAAACCTGAAAAGAATGAATGGGGCGTCACACTGGGTAGCTACAACCTCAATGCTATGGTCTCATCCACTGAGGCCCCCATACCCAATACTCAATATTATTGGAATTACTGACTCATCCAATGAGCAATTGGTAAATATTGTCCTATTTTAGATTTGGATATGTTCTGTTTAGTGTCTTTTTCATAGCCTCTCAATTGCATTTGTCTCCACCACCTAAAGGACACAATACATGTTTGCCAGGCCTTGCCTGGCACATAATCTTTGCAGGCAAGATCCCAATTGCACTCACCTTTCTGTAGGGGCACACGTATGACCAGGTATGACATTACATTGATGACATCCTCCTCCAAGGAGATTCATCTGACACATTTATTAAGGACTTACAAATACAAAGGAGCTCACAAAAAGGGGGAAGAACATTGCTCCACACATAGTGTAAAGCCCCGCCACCTCTATTAAATTCCGGAACATTATTTGGTAAACTGAAAGCTACTGTATTCCTGACATTGTTAAGAAAAAACTATCGATCCTTTTAGCACCCAGTGTTAGTATGTCCATCTTTTAGTACTTTTGGGGTTCTGGAAGCAACATATTCCTCAGTTTCAAATTTAATTAATTTCACTGATGTTGTTATTTGCAAATCAGCCCACCTTGAATGGATCCTTCTCCAACAAAAAGCCTAGAATCTGTCCAAATTCAAATCAACAGGCACTCCTGTTAGTGTCCTCAGAGACTCATTCACCATAGAAGCTTTAGCAACCTCCTCTCATGCCTTCTCGGGTCTCTGGACCACCTATGACGAACATAAGCAGTCCATAGGCTTCTGGTGCAAGAAACTGCACTGCCCTTCTCAGACCTGCACTATATACCATTAGGGCAGCAATTGCTGGCCACATACTGGGCTATCCTGAAAATCTAGGCTCTTGCAGCCCCTGTACCTGTAATCTTCTATACCCAGCTGCTCATTATGTCTTGTGTTATGGAAGCAGAACCTCACAAGCACAGCACAGCTACTGAGGCCTCTTTGCTACAGAGCAGAGCCAAACCTGGTCACTCTAGTAAATCTTACAGGAGGGACTGGCCTCCCTTATTCTCAGTCTTGTTGGATGCCATAATACTGGAGGAAGTCAGCCCTCTCCCAGGCCCTTGGCTACCTGAAGAACCTCCTTAGGATCAACTGAGTGATCAGCAATAGAAATTCATACACTTTATGGATGATATCTTGCCATCATACATGATGGAGTTCAGCAGAATGTTCCTGCTTTTCCATCCCTTAACCAGAATGTCCCTGAAAAGAATGGGACCCAAGAGTCAGCACAATTAGCCACACTTCAGGCAGTCATCTTAACATTGAATGCCCTGGCCAAAAAATAGTTCCATCTGGACATTTTTGCAAACTCTTGGTCCACTGCCTAAAAGTTGCCTCCTTTGGGGTAAAGAACTCTGGGAATCTCTTGCCTCATAGATACCCAATCTGTAAATCAAGGTCACACACATCTCTACATATACTAAGGCCACGATACATGGCCTTACCAGGATACTTCTTATCCCCTTTGGAGTTCCAGACATTTCTGATATTGGCAAAGGCCCTCATTTCGCTTCTCAGAATACACAATGCCGAGCTATTGAAGAAAGCATTCAATGGAACTTCTACCACCCCTATAGGTCTCAGGCAGCTGGTTTAATTGGAAGCATAATGGGTTCTTCAGAGAACTCTAATTTAATTTGCAAAGTGACAAATGGACACCCCACTGGGTGTCACTGTTGCCACAGACATTGATTAGTCTAAATTCATGCCCCCTGGGGACATGCCTTCCCTGTACCAATGTCACACAGGTCCCTCAAATGCCTTTATTGGCCATAAATGGGGATACCTCTAATGTTAATGTATTTTTGATGACCACCTCACCATGTACCCATCTTTCTTCTGGTCAAGTGCCTACTTTGCTTCCTAGGAATGTTCTGCTTCTATTCCCCCCAAAGTTGCAGTGATCAACAAGTTTAAACTGATGTCAAAACATCAAGGGGTCAGTTGTGATATAAATCCTAAAATTAATAGTAAGTGCTGCCTTGACATCTAGAAAAATCAGGAAGGTCTCAAATAGCCTAACCACAAGTTCCCTTCCCCATTCTGCTCCTACTGATAAGGTCCCCTAGCCAAAAAGCTCTCCTTATCACAGGGATCAGACACAGTTGTTATTTATCACTGAGTAGCAGGCCTCAGTCCCTGCCAGCCCATGTCATTATTCAAATGAGCCAATCACATTCTTCTGTGGGAACCAAGGATCACCTTATCCTCTTGATATTACAAAGTCTGCCTCCCACAGACCCTGCTTGTTCACTCTGGTCCCAAACACAAGCGCCTTGTGGTCTTGCATGGCATGTGTCTTCCTCCCCTGGGTCGTGGGTATATGTGACTAAAAAACTGCTGTTGATCTCATTTGTTCAGTGTCAGGTGTCTTCAGCCATCTCCATAACCCTAGGTTGGAGATCCATCCTTCACCAATGGGGTAAAGAAGTGATTATCAAAACAAAGAGTAACAAAGAAAAAATACACTGATATTGTCTTTTATATTTACTATGTAGTTAAATTTACTGGTTTATTTGCTTTTTCATGTAGATTCGAGTTGCTATCGCCTGCTTTTTCACTGTGGCCAGAAAACCCCCACTTTAGGATTTCTTGTAGGCACGTCTGCCAGCAACACTCTCAGTTTTTGTTTATCTGAGAATGTCTTAATTTCTTTTTCATTTTTAAAGAGTTGATTTGCTGGCTGTAGAATTCTTAGTTGACAATACTTTTATTTCAGCACTTTTAGTATGTCATCTTACTGCCTTCTGGTGTCCATGGTTTCTGATGAGAAATTAGCTGTTAATCTTGTTGAGTAACCCTTCTATCTAATGAGTCACTTCTCTCTTGCTGCTTTCAAGATTGTCATTTGACAGTTTGATTATAACGTGTCTATATGTGGACTTTTTTTTTTTTTTTGGACAGTCTTGCTCTGTCACCCAGGCTGGAGTGCAAAGGTGTGATCTCAGCTCATTGCAAGCTCTGCCTCCTGGGTTCACACCCTTCTCCTGCCTCAGCCTCCCGAGTAGCTGGGACTACAGGTGCCTGCCACCACACCCGGCTAATTTTTTGTATTTTTTAGTAGAGATGGTGTTTCACCATGTTAGCCAGGATGATCTTGATCTCCTGATCTCGTGATCCGCCCACCTTGGCCTCCCAAAGTGCTGGGATTACAGGCATGAGTCACCGTGCCTGGCTAGATGTGGATCTTTTTAAGTTTATACTACTTGGAGTTCTTTTTGTTTTTTGAATGTGTAGATTCTTGTTTTTAGTGAAATTCAGAAAGCTTTCTGTCATTATTTCTTCAAATATACGTTTTCTGCTATTCTCTCTCTCCTCTCTTTCTGGGTCTCCTATCATGTCTATGTTGGTATGCTTGGTCATGTTCAACAGCTCTATGAGTCTCTATGCATTTTTCTTTATTTTTTCTTTTTGCCCTTCAGATTCAATACTCTCAATTAACGTATCTTTAAATTCACTAATTCTTTCTTTGATTGGCTCAATTCTGCTGTCACATTCCTCTAGTGACTTTTTCATTTGTGTTTTTGTACTTTTTGACTCCACACTTTCCTTTTCATTATTTTTATAATTTCTATTTCTTCATTGATAATCCCTATTTGTTGAGACATCATTATTATACTTTCCTTTAGTTCTGTAGATTTGGATTCCTTTATTTGAGCATATTTAAATCATCTCACATAAAGTTTTTTGTGTAGTAATTGTGATGTCTGGGCTTTCTCAGGGACAATTCTTATCGACTGCCTTTTCCTACTGCCACCTTCCCCTGACACACCCACACCATTATGGTCCATACTTTCTTATTTTTCTTTGTATTTCTCAATTTTTTTTGAAAACTGAATATTTTAAATAATGCAATGTGGCAATTCTGGAAATAAGATTCTCTCTTAATTCCAGGGCATGTTTTTGTTGCCATTTGTTTTTATTACTGTTGCTGTTTAATAATTTTACTGAAGTGATCTGTAAAGTTTATATTTTTGTCATGTGTGATCACTGATGTCTCTGCTTGATTAGCTTGGTGGTCAGCTAATGATGAGACAGATATCTCCTGAAGTGCCTAAAACCAATAAGGCTTCCACTCTTTATTAAGGGCTCTGTGTTTATTTGGAGGCATTTGGCACTTGGCCAGTTGATTTGAAACTTTGTCGTGGCTTTCATCTCCTCCTCATGTGGGGCCTCAAAGTCAGTCAGGAATGACAGCTTTGGACATTCTCAGGTCTTTTCTGAACATGTTCACAGCCCTGGGAATGGGAAATCCTATGCATATGTATTCCCTCCTAGGTTCTTGAGAATTTGTCAGAGCTTGTCAAAGCCCCTGTGGAGTTTTAATTTCCCCATTTTTTATTTTAAGCTTTTTGGTCAGTCTACAATGTTTGCCCTAACTGTTATCCACTTCAACAGCAGGCAGCCATGATGTTAAACAATTGCCACTTATTGTTTTCAACAAATATCTTCAATGAAAGGCTTTTCACACTGAACAAGCTCTGAGTCAGGTAAAATAAAGACAAACTTTGTGAGTAGAGTCTTCCAGGGAACTATCATATGGGTCAAGTAATGACAATTACATGAGTATAGAGCTTTGAAGGAGCTCTAACTCCATTCTTCCTCCTCTAGTGACTTACAAGCTCCTGATTTTCCACATTATTGTGTGATATGTTTTCAAGGCTACTGCAGAGCTGGAGAGAAGGGGATGGGCATAGAACAAGTTAAAACATTGTAGAGCTTGTTGTTTTTGCATAATTTAGTTGTTTTTCTTCAACAAACACTTCCTGCTTCCTACAAAACTTTGGTTAATTTCCAGAGTCTAAAAAGTTGATTCTGGGCCAGGTGCAGTGGCTCACACCTGTAATCCCAGCACTTTGGGAGGCTGAGGTGGGCAGATCACCTGAGGTCAGGAGTTTGAGATCAGCCTGGCCAACATGGTGAAACCCCATCTGTACAAAAAATACAAAAATTAGCTGGGTGTGGTGGTGGGTGCCTATAATCCCAGCTACTTGGGAGGCTGAAGCAGGAGAATGGCTTGAACCTGGGTGGCAGAGGTTGCTGTGAGCCATGATTGTGCCACTGCACTCCAGCCTGGGTGACAGAGTGAGACTCCATCTAAAAAAAATTAAAAATAAAAATAAAAATAAAAGTTGATTCTGGCCATTTTTGCCACCATTCTCATAGTTTCTTTGGAAAAATTTTTCTTCCTTACTACACTATTGCTTTTGACATCACTCTAATTCAATTTTGAACTTTTGGCATTTGAGATATCTGTAAGATATCCAGGTAGAGATACTAGCTGTGTTTAAAAATCTAAAGCTTGGCAGTGGGCATTCTGGTACAGAGATAAAAATGTGGAAGATGTCAGAATAGTTTAAAACATTGGAATGGATTAGAGATATTGTAGACACTTTTGATGAAGCAAAACAGTGAGAGAATTCGCTTTACCAAATATCAGACATATTATAAAGCTATAGTAAATGAGACAATATAATATTGGCAGAGGTAAACAAACAGACAAATAGTACAGAAAAGAGAGCCCTGAAGCAGATTAATATATATGGAGACTTCTTTTATGACAGAGGTAGCAACGCAGAAAAATAGAATAAGGTGTGTAGTTTTAAGACCTCCAGTAAACAGATGCTAAATGGAGTTAGAAATACAAGAAGTTTATTGGGAGTGTGTGAGTATCATCTCTAAAAGATAAACAAGAAGGAAGCAGAATTGGGTAGTAAGAGTATATATGAACCTTACTTCAATTAATACCCTCAAATCAGTTACAAGTAGTTATAAATCTAAATCCGAAAGGCAAAATTATGCTTTTAAAATATAAGTGATTATATTCACAACCATGGGCTAGTGAAGAACCTTTTCAGCAGTACACAAAACCATTAACCATAAAGGAAAGAATTCATAACTGACCACATTAAAATTAAATAGTCCAGTTCATCAAAAGACACCATTAAGAGAATTAAAAAGTGAGCTATAAGGTAGCATCTATATCTGTCTATTGTCATCATGCCTATTCTTCTTTAATCATGATTTCCAATAGATAGATAGATAGAGCTATAAATATGTCTCAAATAAAGTTCTAGGACCTGGAACATATACAGAATTGCTGGAAAATGATACAAAATTTAAAAATGGGTGAAAACCATAAACAGTTACTTTACAAAAGTGAAAAATCCAAATGGCCAATATACAAATGAAAATGTTCTCCATTGTGTCTAATGAGAAGTCAGCTATCTCATTCAGGTTCCCTTGTAGGTGATGAATCATTTTTCACTTGCCAATTTCCAGATGTTCTCCTCGTCTTTGACTTTCAGCAGTTTTACTATGATGTATCTGTTTTTGTATATCTTTTTTTATTCTGCTTAGAAATTATTGAGCTTCCTAGATGTGTAGGTGTTTTGCAATAAATTTGTGAAATTTTCAGCCATCATTTCTTCAAATAATTTTTCTACTGTTTTCTCTCTCTTATGTCCTTCTGGTACTCCCATTGCATGTATACCAGTGTCCTTAATGGTGTCCTAAATTTCCCTGAGGGTCATTTCATTTTTTTATTGATCTTTTTTTCTTGTTCTTTGGATTGGATAAACTCTGTTGGTCTATCTTCAAGTTGACCAATTCTTTCTTTTGCCAGTTCAAATCTACTGCTGAGTCTCTCTAGAGACATTTTTAATTCAGTTATTTTGCTTTTCAACTCCAGAAGTTAGATTTGGCTCTTTCTCATAATTTATATCCCTTTATTGATATTTTGTATTTGATGTGATACTGTCATCATGCCTTTTCTTCTTTAATCATGATTTCCTTTCATTCTTTGAATATGTTCATAATGGCTATTTAGAAGTATTTGTTAAATCTATCATGTGGTCACTGTCTGTCTTAGTTGGTTCAGCTGCTATAACAAATACCGTAGACTGGGTAGCCTAAACAACAGAAGTGTATTTTCTCGCACGTATAGAAGCTGGAATTAAAAACTTAAGGTGCAAGCATAGTTGGGTTCTGGTCAGAGCCCTCTCTCTGGCTTGCAGATGGCTGCCTTCTTGCTGTATCATCACTGGGGGGAGAGAGCATGTGTGCAAGCTTCAGTCTCTTCTTCTTATAACGACACTAATCCCATCATGGGAGCCCTAACCTCATGCCCTCATCTAAACCCAGTTACCTCCCAAAGACCTTGCTATGTTTTGAGTGTGTCCCCCCAGTTTTCTTTTCTTTTTATTTTTTATGTTTTTAATGATGGGGTCTTGCTATGTTGCCCAGGTTGGTCTCAAACTCCTGGGTCAAAGCAATCCTCCTGCCTTGGCCTCCCGACTTGCTGGGATTACAGACATGAACCACTATGCCTGGCAAGTCCCCCACATTTTATGTGTTGGAAACTTAATCCCCAAATTGATATGTTGATGTCATTTGGCTGTGGGACATTTAGGAGGTAATTAGGATTAGAGAAGGTCACAAGGGTGGGGCCCCCATGATGGAATTGGTGGCTTTATAAGAAGAGACTTGAGCTGCTCTTGCTCTCTCAATATGTGATATCTTTTACTGTGTTACGATGCAGCAAGAGGGTCCTCATCAGATGGCAGCTACTAAATATTGGACTTCCCAGCCTCTAGGACCATAAGTTAAATAAACTTTTATTCTTTATAAATTTCTCAGTCTGTAGTATTCAGTTACAGCAACAGAAAATGGACTAAGACAGCTCCACTTTCAAATACCATCACAGTGGGGTTAGGGCTTCAACATATGAATTTTGGATGGACACAAACATTCAGTCCATAACACTGTCACAAACAGTTTCTGTTGCCTGCCTTTCTCCCCTCATGTATAAATTATACTTTCCTGTTTCTTTGCATGTCTCATAATGTTTGTTGGAAATGGAATATTTTAGATAATATATTATAGCAACTCTGGGTACTGATCCCTGCTTAAAGGCTTGTTATTTGTATTTGCTTGTTTTCATTTTGTTTTGTTTTGTTGTTTAATGGCTGTCTGGATTATTTCAGTGAAGTCTATTTCCTATTTACCATCACAATGTGAAGGCTGTGATATTGCTTCTTAGTGATGCAGCCTTGGGTATTCCCACCTTACCCGGTGATAACAATGGTTTTCACAGGGCTCTCTTAGTCTCTTTATCCCTAACCAAACCTAGCTGTTAAACTCCACGAATTTTCAACTGATTGCCCTATTGTTTTCAACAATGCTCTGGGAGCATAAATTGCTCAACAGACTAATCCAATTAAATTCAGAATCCCTTGTACTCAGGGGGAAAAAGGTGGGAAGGGGGTGAAGGATAAAAGACTACAAATTGGGTTCAGTGTATACTGCTAGGGTGATGGGTGCACCAAAATCTCACAAATCACCACTATCATGTAACCAAATACCACCTGTCCCCCAAAAACCTATGGAAATAAAAAATTAAACAAACAAACAAACATTCAGACTCCCTTGAAAGGACATTTCCTGAGGCAAGTATTTGAGGTTTGTTCTGACCCTTGAAAGTCTTCTTCTAGCTGTCTCTTTCCCAGGTTCTCTCCAGCAAACTAGCCAGCTTACAGTTTAGCTTGTGATGAATGAATCTCCCATTCTCCTGCCTTTCACCACACTCTCCACTGTTTCTGAGAACACCTTTCAACTGGAACTTCTCTGCACTCTGTTGCAAATGAAGTCAGTTCATTTGGGAAGACATTCAGAGCTTTCTGTTTATGGCCTGCTTCTCCCACAAGACAAAATTTCTGAGCCATGGCCCTGGAGCTGGGGGTGGGTAAAACAGCACACTTTTTTCTGAGTGACACTCCCACTCTAGGAACTTAATGCTCCGTGAAGTGGGTGGGTCGGGGGGCAGTAGCGTTATGTCTCCTAGGCTTGCCTCTACCAGTATGAAACCACTATCTTACAAGCCAGGGCAAGGATGATCAGGGCCCCAGTATTCTTAGCAGTGCCATGCCCAAGGTAAAGCCTCCATCCCACCAAGTGGAGGATGGTTGGAAGAAGGAAACCCACACTTCTTGACTACATTCACTGGATCTTAGCCTCAGCAACAGGTAGTTGAGGGAAGGATGAAAAACACTCACATCCTGCCCCTCCAGAGAAGATAATCTTCCAGCTTGGAGCTGGGGGAAGATGGAGCCCTGTGTCCTTGGCTGTACCAATCTGGAGTGGAATTTCTTCTCACAGAGCTGGGAAAGAAGGGAGAGGATGAGTCTTGGTTCAAGTACCAAACTCTCAATGTTCTCACCGAGTTTTAATAGACTTTCTTGATTAGATGTTCCTTCATTCACTGTATGTCTTCATACTCATTTCCAGAGACTTTTAATGGTTTGGGGATTTTTTTCCTAATTTTTCATTTCATGGGAGAACCAGTCCACAGATCTCACATTCTTATGCCAGAAATGGAACTCCCATACATATATTTTTCCTGAACCATATCAAAACATGTTGCAGACATTAGGAAACTTCATCCCTATGAACTTCTGCATGCATCTCCCAAATTAAGGACATCTTCTTATGTAACCACAATACATTATCATTCTTGAGTAAATTAACACAGTTCTATAGTATTATTTAATGAATAGTCCATGTTCAAGTTTCTCCAAGAATCTTTTATAATTTTTTAGGTGGGTAGGGTGGGAAGCCAGCAACCAAACAAGATTCACACACTGCATTTTGTTGCTTGTCCTTTTATATTTTTTTAACTTAAAACAGACCTCCTAACTTTTCTTTTCATGTTATTGAAATTTTAGAGTCCCAACTAGTTTTCTTTTAGAAGTCTACATGGGATATGTTGCTTCTTGAATGCTGTCAGTCTTTTATTTCTTGACTTAGGCAGTGGTTATCCTGTGACGTTATCTTTATAAGTTTTCATTAGGCTGTACGGTAATATTTTATGCATCAAATCTGTATATAATCAGTACTAAAAATAAATGAACTATCAAACCATGAAAAGACATGGAGGAATTTTAAATGTGTATTACTAAGTGAGAGAAGCCAATTTGGATGGCTACGTACTGTATGATTTCAGCTGTATAACATTCTGGAAAAAGTAAAACTATAGAGATCATAAAAAGTCCAGTGGTTGCTAGGGGTTAGGAGGGAGGAAGTAATCAATAAAGTGCAGAAGACTTTTAAGGCAGTGAAACTATTCTGTATGCTAGTACAATAGTCAATGCACGTCATTAATGTCTTTACGCATTCGTCAAAACCCTTAGAATGTGCAACACCAGGAGTAAACCCTAATGTAAACTATGGGTGATATTTGGGTGATAATGTTTCTTTCTTTTTAACTTTTATTTTAGGTGCAGGGGTACATGTGCAGATTTGTTATATAGGTAAACTCGTGTCATGGGGCTTTGTTGTACAGATTATTTAGTCACCCAGGTACTAAAACTAATACTCAATAGTTACTTTTTCTGCTCCTCTCCCTCCTCCCACTCTCCACCCTCTGACAGGCCCCATTGTCTATTGTTCCCTTCTATGTGTCCATGTGTTCTCATCAATTAGTTCTCTCTTACAAGTGAGAACATGTGGTATTTGCTTTTCTGTGACTGCATTAGTTTGCTAAGGATAATGGCCTCCGGCGCCATCCATGTTCCTGCAAAACACATGATCTTGTTCTTTTTTTTGGCTGCATAGTATTTCACGGTGTATATGTACCACGTTTCCTTTATGTAGTTTGACATTGATGGGCATTTAGGTTGGTTCAGTGTCTTTGCTATTGTGAATAGTGCTGCAGTGAACATTCATATGCATGTGTCTTTATGGTAGACTGATTTATATTCCTCTGGGTATATACCCAGTAATTGGATTACTGGGTTGAGTGGTAGTTCTGTTTTTAGCTCTTTGAGGAACTCAACACTGCTTTCCACAATGGTTGAACCAATTTACACTCCCACCAATAGTGTGTAAGTGTTCCCTTTTCTCCATAACCTTGCCAGCATGTGATTTTTTTGACTTTTTAATAGTAGCTATTCTGATTGGTGTGAGATGGTATCTCACTGTGGTTTTGATTTGCATTTCTCTAATGATCAGTGATATTGAGCTTTTTTTCATATGCTTGTTGGCCACATGTATGTCTCAATTTAGGTTCATCAGTTGTAACAAATGTACCACTCTGGTTGGGAATATTGATAATAAGAAAGCAATGCATACGTGGGGGTAGGGATTATATGGTGTATCTGTGCATCTTTCTCTCAGTTTTGCTGTGAGTCAAACCTGCTCTAAAAACTCTATTAAAATTGTTGTATGTATATTTCATAATTTTAAAAAGGGAAAAATGTCTGGAAGTAATTATTGTTATAGTGCTCATTTTTTAGTGGGTGCATCAATATGTTAACTTTAGACTTAAGTATATTGAGCACTTCAAAGTCCAAATTCTATGCTTTTCCCATTACACCACTCTTCTTCTCTAGAAACAAGTTAAGAATTATTGACTTCCCAAGGTACCCTAAATTGAGTCCTGGTAAGTGAACAGCCAAATTCAATGCCTGGGTTAATTTTTGCAGTTGTTATAGCCTTTTCTTCTTCCCTACTTGTGAGGTTCTCCTTGCTGCCACATTGAAAGTTCCTTCTGGGAGTGGAGCGAAGATGGCTGAATAGGAACAGCTCCAGTCTACAGCTCCCAGCGTGAGTGACACAGAAGATGGGTGATTTCTCCATTTCCAACTGAGGTACTGCATTCATCTCACTGGGGAGTGTCAGAAAGTGGGTGCAGGACAGTGGGTGCAGCGCACCAAGCATCAGCCAAAGCAGGATGAGGCATCCCCTCACCCGGGAAGCACAACAGGTCAGGGAATTCCCTTTCCTAGTCAAAGAAAGGGGTGACAGATGGCACCTGGAAAATCGGGTCACTCCCGCCCTAATACTGCGCTTTTCCAATGGTCTTAGCAAATGGCACACCAGGAGATTATATCTCGCGCCTGGCTCGGAGGGTCCTACTCCCACGGAGCCTCGCTCATTGCTAGCACAGCAGTCTGAGATCAAACTGCAAGGCGGCAGCAAGGCTGGGGGAGGGGCGCCCACCATTGCCAAGGCTTGAGTAGGTAAACAAAGCGGCCAGGAAGCTCGAACTGGGTGGAGCCCACCACAGCTCAAGGAGGCCTGCTTGCCTCTGTAGATTCCACCTCTGGGGGCAGGACATAGCCAAAAAAAGGCAGCAGAATCCTCTGCAGACTTAAGTCTGTGGTCTGACTTAAGTCCCTGTCTGACAGCTTTGAAGAGAGTAGTGGTTCTCCCAGCACGCAGCTGGAGATCTGAGAACAGACAGACTGCCTCCTCAAGTGGGTTCCTGACCCCCGAGTAGCCTAATTAGGAGGCATCCCCCAGTAGAGGCAGACTGACATCTCACAAGGTCAGGTACTCCTCTGAGATACAACTTCCAGAGGAAAAATTAGGCAGCAACATTTGCTGCTCAGCAATATCCCCTGTTCTGCAGCCTCTGCTGCTGATACCCAGGCAAACAGGGTCTGGAGTGGATATCCAGCAAACTCCAACAGACCTGCAGCTGAGGGTCCTGACTGTTAGAAGGAAAACCAACAAACAGAAAGGACATCCACACCAAAACCCCATCTGTACGTCACCATCATCAAAGACCAAAGGTAGATAAAACCACGAAGATGGGGAAAAAACAGAGCAGAAAAACTGGAAATTCTAAAAATCAGAGCACCTCTCCTCCTCCAAAGGAACGCAGCTCCTCACCAGCAACAGAACAAAGCTGGATGGAGAATGACTTTCACAAGTTGAGAGAAGAAGGCTTCAGACGATCAAACTACTCCAAGCTAAAGGAGGAAGTTCGAACCCATGGCAAAGAAGTTAAAAACCTTGAAAAAAAATTAGACGAACGGCTAACTAGAATAACCAATGCAAAGAAGTCCTTCAACGACCTGATGGAGGTGAAAACCAAGGCATGAGAACTACGTGACGAATGAACAAGCCTCAGTAGCCGATTCAATCAACTGGAAGAAAGGGTATCAGTGATGGAAGATCAAATGAATGAAATGAAGCGAGAAGAGAAGTTTAGAGAAAAAAATAATAAAAAGAAACCAACAAAGCCTCCAAGAAATATGGGACTATGTGAAAAGACCAAATCTACATCTGATTGGAGTACCTGAAAGTGACGGGGAGAATGGAACCAAGTTGGAAAACACTCTGCAGGATATTATCAGGAGAACTTCCCCAACCTAGCAAAGCAGGCCAACATTCAAATTCAGGAAATACAGAGAACTCCACAAAGATACTCCTTGAGAAGAACAACTCCAAGACACAAAATTGTCAGATTCACCAAAGTTGAAATGAAGGAAAAAATGTTAAGGGCAGCCAGAGAGAAAGGTCGGGTTACCCACAAAGGGAAGCCCATCAGACTAACAGCTGATCTCTTGGCAGAAACTCTACAAGCCAGAAGAGAGTGGGGGCTAATATTCAACATTCTTAAAGAAAAGAATTTTCAACCCAGAATTTCATATCCAGCCAAACTAAGCTTCATAAGTGAAGGAGAAATAAAATCCTTTACAGACAAGCAAATGCTGAGAGATTTTGTCACCACCAGGCCTGCCCTAAAAGAGCTCCTGAAGGTAGCACTAAACATGGAAAGGAACAACCGGTACCAGCCACTGCAAAAACATGCCAAATTGTAAAGACCATGGATGCTAGGAAGAAACTGCATCAACTAACGAGCAAAATAACCAGCTAACATCATAATGACAGGATCAAATTCACATATAACAATATTAACCTTAAATGTAAATGGGCTAAATGCTCCAATTAAAAGACACAGACTGGCAAATCGGATAAAGAGTCAAGTAACCCATCAGTGTGCTGTATTCAGGAAACCCATCTCACGTGCAGAGACACACATAGGCTCAAAATAAAGGGATGGAGGAAGATCTACCAAGCAAATGGAAAACAAAAAAAGAAAAGCAGGGGTTGCAATCCTAGTCTTTGATAAAACAGACTTTAAACCAACAAAGATCAAAAGAGACAAAGAAGGCCATTACATAATGGTAAAGGGATCAATTCAACAAGAAGAGCTAACTATCCTAAATATATATGCACCCAATACAGGAGCACCCAGATTCATAAAGCAAGTCCTCAGAGACCTACAAAGAGACTTAGACTCCCACACAATAATAATGGGAGACTTTAACACCCCACTGTCAACATGAGACAGATCAACGAGACAGAAAGTTAACAGGGATATCCAGGAATTGAACTCAGCTCTGCACCAAGTGGACCTAATAGACATCTACAGAACTCTCCACCCCAAATCAACAGAATATACATTCTTCTCAGCACCACACCACACTTATTCCAAAATTGACCACATAGTTGGAAGTAAAGCACTCCTCAGCAAATGTAAAAGAACAGAAATTATAACAAACTGTCTCTCAGACCACAATGCAATCAAACTAGAACTCAGGATTAAGAAACTCACTCAAAACCACACAACTACATGGAAACTGAACAACCTGCTCCTGAGTGACTACTGGGTACATAATGAAATGAAGGCAGAAATAAAGATGTTCTTTGAAACCAATGAGAACAAAGACACAACATACCAGAATCTCTGGGACACATTCAAAGCAGTGTGTAAAGGGAAATTTATAGCACTAAATGTCCACAAGAGAAAGCAGGAAAGATCTAAAATCGACACCCTAACAGCACAATTAAAAGAACTAGAGAAGCAAGAGCAAACACATTCAAAAGCTAGCAGAAGGCAAGAAATAACTAAGATCAGAGCAGAACTGAAGGAGATAGAGACACAAAAAACCCTTCAAAAAATCAATGAATCCAGGAGCTGGTTTTTTGAAAAGATCAACAAAATTGATAGACCGCTAGCAAGACTAATAAAGAAGAAAAGAGAGAAGAATCAAATAGACGCAATAAAATATGATAAAGGGGATATCACCACCGATCCCTCAGAAATACAAACTACCATCAGAGAATACTATAAACACCTCTACGCAAATGAACTAGAAAATCTAGAAGAAATGGATAAATTCCTTGACACATACACCCTCCCAAGACTAAACCAGGAAGAAGTTGAATCTCTGAATAGACCAACAACAGACTCTGAAATTGAGGCAATAATTAATAGCTTACCAACCAAAAAAAGTCCAGGACCAGATGGATTCATGGCCGAAATCTACCAGAGGTACAAGGAGGAGCTGGTACCATTCCTTCTGAAACTATTCCAATCAATAGAAAAAGAGGGAATCCTCCCTAACTCAGTTGATGAGGCCAGCATCATCCTGATACCAAAGCCTGGCAGAGACACAACAAAAATAGAGAATTTTACACCAATATCCCTGATGAACATCTATGCAAAAATCCTCAATAAAATACTGGCAAACCAAATCCAGCAGCACATCAAAAAGCTTATCCACCAAGATCAAGTGGGCTTCATCCCTGGGATGCAAGGCTGGTTCAACATGCACAAATCAATAAATGTAATCCAGCATACAAACAGAACCAAAGACAAAAACCATATGATTATCTCAATAGATGCAGAAAAGGCCTTTGACAAAATTCAACAACCCTTCATGCTAAAAACTCTCAATAAATTAGGTATTGATGGGACGTATCTCAAAATAATAAGAGCTGTCTATGACAAACCCACAGCCAATATCACACTGAATGGGCAAAAACTGGAAGCATTCCCTTTGAAAACTGGCACAAGACAGGGATGCCCTCTCTCACCACTCCTATGCAACATAGTGTTGGAAGTTCTGGCCAGGGCAATCAGGCAGGAGAAGGAAATAAAGGGTATTCAATTAGGAAAAGAGGAAGTCAAATTGTCCCTCTTTGCAGATGACATGATTATATATCTAGAAAACCCCATCGTCTCAGCCCAAAATCTCCTTAAACTGATAAGCAACTTCAGCAAAGTCTCAGGATACAAAATCAATGTGCAAAAATCACAGGCATTCTTATACAACAATAACAGACAAACAGAGAGCCAAATCATGAGTGAACTCCCATTCAGAATTGCTTCAAAGAGAATAAAATACCTAGGAATCCAACTTACAAGGGATGTGAAGGACCTCTTCAAGGAGAACTACAAATCACTGCTCAATGAAATAAAAGAGGATACAAACAAATGGAAGAACATTCCATGCTCATGGATAGGAAGAATCAATATCGTGAAAATGGCCATACTGCCCAAGGTAATTTATAGATTCAATGCCATCCCCATCAAGCTACCAATGACTTTCTTCACAGAATTGGAAAAAACTACTTTAAAGTTCATATGGAGCCAAAAAAGAGCCCACATTGCCAAGTCAATCCTAAGCCCAAAGAACAAAGCTGGAGGCATCACGCTACCTGACTTCAAACTATGCTACAAGGCTACAGTAACCAAAACAGCATGGTACTGGTACCAAAACAGACATATAGACCAATGGAACAGAACAGAGTCCTCAGAAATAATGCCATATATCTACAACCATCTGATCTTTGACAAACCTGACAAAAACAAGCAATGGGGAAACAAGTCACTATTTAATAAATGGTGCTGGGAAAACTGGCTAGCCATATATAGAAAGCTGAAACTGGATCCCTTCCTTACGCCTTATACAAAAATTAATTCAAGATGGATTAAAGACTTAAATGTTAGACCTAAAACCTTAAAAACCCTAGAAGAAAACCTAGGCAATACCACTCAGGACATAGGCATGGGCAAGGACTTCATGTCTAAAACACCAAAAGCAATGACAACCAAAGCCAAAATTGACAAATGGGATCTAATTAAACTAAAGAGCCTCTGCACAGCAAAAGAAACTACCATCAGAGTGAACAGGAAACCTACAAAATGGGAGAAAATTTTTGCAATTTTCTCATCTGACAAAGGGCTAATACCCAGAATCTACAATGAACTCAAACAAGTTTACAAGAAAAAGACAAACAACCCCATCAAAAAGTGGGCAAAGGATATGAATGGACACTTCTCAAAAGAAGACATTTATGCAGCCAAAAGACACATGAAAAAATGCTCATCATCACTAGCCATCAGAGAAATGCAAATCAAAACCATAATGAGATACTATCTCACACTAGTTAGAATGGAAATCATTAAAAAGTCAGGAAACAACAGGTGCTGGAGAGGATGTGGAGAAATAGGAACATTTTTACACTGTTGGTGGGACTGTAAACTGGTTCAACCATTGTGGAAGTCAGTGTGGTGATTCCTCAGGGATCTAGAACTAGAAATACCATTTGACCCAGCCATCCCATTACTGGGTATATACCCAAAGGACTATAAATCATGCTGCTATAAAGACACATGCACACGTATGTTTATTGTGGCACTATTCACAATAGCAAAGACTTGGAACCAACCCAAATGTCCAACAATGATAGACTGGATTAAGAAAATGTGGCACATATACACCATGGAATACTATGCAGCCATAAAAAAGGATGAGCTCATGTCCTTTGTAGGGACATGGATGAAGCTGGAAACCATCATTCTCAGCAAACTATTGCAAGGACAAAAAACCAAACACCACATGCTCTCACTCATAAGTGGGAATTGAACAATGAGAACACATGGACACAGGAAGGGGAACATCACACACCGGGGCCTGTTGTGGGGTGGGGGGAGTGGGGAGGGATAGCATTAGGAGATATACCAAATGTTAAATGACGAGTTAATGGGTGCAGCACACCAACATGGCACATGTATACATATGTAACAAACCTGCACGTTGTGCACATGTACCCTAAAACTTAAAGTATAATTTAAAAAAAAAGAAAGTTCCTTCCAATCCCACTCTCACCAAAATGTTTATTTCTCCTCTTGATCCCCAGTTACAACAACTGAGCGGTAACAACCTTCCCCCCTACGCCCTCCCCAGAAGTTAATCACCCTCTATCCCTTGCCTCATAGAGGAACAGTGGCAGAAGCTTTGGCATGCTTGGAAAGGTTCCTGACTCCTGATCAAAGGGATTAGACTAAGAAAGAGGACAAGCTAATGATTAAAGTGAGAGATAGGGATAATGTTTCGTTGCTTCTATTCCTAGCAGTACTGTGCTAGCATGTGATTGGTTCAAATTAACACCTGACCTTCTATCTGTGAAACTAAGGAAACCAATATGTTTGGGCTTACAAATTACTTGGGAAAAAATGTTTCTGTTGATACCATAAGGGTGACTGACCAAAGAAGTCTGGGAATTTTTATAAATAAAATCACCATGAATCTGCTTGTAAACACCATGCCATTCCACAGTATCATTCCTTTTTTTAGCTAGTTATTTTTTAAGAACAGATTGTTTGTGTCACTGAACAGATGCAGGCTATGCTAGTAATGGAAGGAGTGGAAGTCAGTTATAAGAGAAGTGTAAAGTACAGGTCTTGTCTTCAAGGTTCTTATAATCCTTTTGGAGAGAAAAAATATTCATGTAGGAGGAAGAGTGGTAGCAATCCAGTGAAATATCTGACTAGTTTGGAGTGCGTAATAATCCTTTATATGCTAGAGGGGAGACTAACCTTTGAAGAAGAGAAAAAAGGCTTGTGTAACTAATTAATTATGAAAAAATGAAGACACTGTATAGGTTCCTTAGGAGTGAAGGTCAACAGATTTGCTTTCAAACACCACTTTGGCAACTGTGTTTTCTCCTAAAGAATGACTCTGCTAATGTTAACTGAGATCAGTTCTTTCCAGTCTTCAGCGGATTCCAGAAACCTTATTTCCCCGACCCTCCTTTCTATCACTAGTGTTGTTGCCTGTCTTGGAAAGTAATAGGACTCCACTCCTTGGACAGTGTTTGACATCCTTGCTGGTCCACAAGTTTTGATTGACCTTTCACCTAGCTAGGGCCCAGGAGTGAAGTTTGGCTCCATTAAGGAAAAGCGGTAAGAGATGTAACCCTATGTGGACAGTGTCTAATTCTCAGTGGGGCAGCAGAGATCAAATGAGTAAAATGCGGGATATGTTATGCTTTCCTGGTGACCAATAATTCTATGTGATTTATTTTTTAATAAATTCTCTACTGTATTCCTAGAACCTTGCATAGTAGCTGACACATCATAAGTGTTCAATAACTATTTGCTTAATTAATTAATTAAGTTGGACTACAATCCTGACAGGATGCAGATGGAAACTAGTAAATGTATGAGTAAAGGTGATGGGAAATAAACTGAGGTCTTCATTGGGAACCAGGGGACGACTACAAGAACAGAAAAGGAAGGATAGAATAGTAGGCCCTTCTAGTCATAGTGGTGAGAAAGTGGGAGTGGGAGAAATGAAACTAAACATTTAATGTTGAGCATCTTCTAAGTGTCTAGTGCTTTGACAGGTATGAACTCATTTAATCTTTATGACTCCAGAGGTAGGTACTATTATGATACATATTTTTCAGATGAAAAGATAGAGACTCAAAGAGGTTAGGTAACTTTCTCATAATCATTATTGTGAGACGATTTCCCATGGGTCTCACGTTTCTGTACTTCTTGTGAGTACAGACAGTGACTGACATTGTTCCAGACTACCTTTTCAAGGATATGTGTATAGTGAACAGCTTTGGAAGATAGCGTATCTCCTTCTGGAGCAGAAGACAGGAACACTTACTGCCCATCGTAAAAGATTCAGATTTATTAAATTCAGTATTGCTTTTCAGTAATGCAATCTACAGCATGTGCAGGTGTCACCTGGCCCTCTTCAAGTAGCTCTTATGAGACGAAGGAGAAAGAGATAGTGACACAAGAAAATACTTGTACTCTGGCTAATACTATTGCTGTAAGAAACAAAGTCCCTTATCTCTGACCCAGGAGTCTCATGTCTTCTGTCAGCATCCATGGAAATGTGGTAGGTTAGCTTGCAAGATAAAAATCTCAGAACCTTCACAAGGCTTGACAGTTAACACAGGTGAAATGTATCAGAACTGGAAATTGCACCCATCTCTATTTGACTCCAGAACCTACACTCTTTTCTCAGAATGGTGTTGCTTCCTGCACTGTGCTCAGGGGTAGTTGCTACGTTACATGATATCATTCCTTCCTGTGTTTCCCCCATACCTATGTGTCACTGGAGCTGCTCTTACTTTTCAAGTTGGATGATTTAGGTATCCCACTAAGCAGAAAAGAGAAGAGGTTTAAAATATCTGATTTACTTTCTTCTGTTACATAAATTAATAGAAGTCCTTAATATCATCCCACTTTGTTAGTCATTCTATTTTCCCAGGGCTATGGTTCTTGCAATGGTCAGGACCTTGTGAGACAGATTTCTATTGATGGACAGGAATTCCCAGAGGATACAACTGGAACACCTTATACACTTCATAAATAGCCAGCTAGTTTTAGCTCTTTGGGGGATACTTGCCAAACTCTTCATCAAAAGTTAACACTAGTCCTCCTATATCCTTGTTGGGTCATCTGGGTGGTAGTTCATGCAGTGTAGAATGGTGGGATCCCAAGATCGCATTTTCCAAATATTTCTAACCTGAAACTTAATTGTATAAGGAGTTTCAGTAGAGATTTCTAATCTTGGGAGTCCTAAGTATCCCTTTTCCTCATATAGATCTTTTGTTCTCATTGTCTACAAATTATTTTTCTCTTCAACAATGTTGTGATATTAGATAATCAATCGCTCTTTTCACTAAAGCTAGAGAAACAGCTGTCAGCATGGAGTTGGGGAGAGGAGAAACAGGAGGCCATAGAGGAGTAAGGCCATTCCCATTTATCATGTCCCCAGAGGACTGCTCTACCAGAAGGCCTGATGATTTGTCCAGCACTTTCACCAGGGATCTTCCTCACTACAGTCCTATGAGAAAACTGAAGTATCAAGAAATTAAGTGACTAAGTAGTCCAACATCACACTGTGTATTTATAGCAGCTCTGGGGCTAGAATTTGTTTCCCTATTCTGGATACTTAATGAGTTCAGAGGATAGTGCCCTGGTTTCAAGGAGGTAGAGGAGTAGGAACATCAGGATAAGGATTCCTTTGTTTTTACAGATTCTGGTCATGCTGCCCAGAAGACAGGATATCAGGGGACAGAGAGCAGGGCAAAGTTAATGCCACGCCATGCCACGCCATTCTTCCTTCCACAAAAGCAGGATAGTTATTTGGGTGTCTTAGGGGCTGGTGTACTGCAAAAAGATGGGGATTGGGGACCTCCTCACAGCCTTCTACTATCCCCTCCTTGAACCCTTCCAGCAGCTGTTGCTCTTATCTAAACAGAAGATGATTGTTTAACTTCTTCACTTCTGGGCATAGATATAATAACCTGGGCTCTTCATGGGCTGGAGCCAGAGGTGGTGGAAAGAAAATGGTTCAGAAAAGGACTACACAACTTGAATTGTCCACCAGCCTGAACCAAGCAAGGAAGACTAGAGATAGGAAAGGGAGGCATTTGGGATGCAGGCATCTATAAAGTAGGAAGGGTCTTGAGAAAGTGGGCTCAGGGTTTCTTTTCTTGATTTGTGTGTCTGCTTGGAGAGATAATGAAACAATTGGCCTATTTCTGGACTGCCAGCTCCTCAGGTGGACAGCAACATACCCTAGAGATAGTTTTTTGTAGTGTGGGCATTAGCATTAGGAGTTTTCTAAGAACTGGGAACCTCAGAAAGGGTGCATAAATTTAATTCTTTTATCATAGATAACAGAGGTCCATTAGTATACCTCAAGAAAAGAAAGATTACAAAGATACATATGGCCTAGAAAACCACTAGATTCCAAGCAGTTCTAATCAACAGCATCTTGCTCCCTTCTTCTTGTATAATGTCCTTGTTGCCTGTATAAGTTTTTTCTAGTCTCCTCTTGCCACTGACTGGAAAATTCTCTCCATAGTCCATAGGAACAGGTTCACAGGGTGTTAGTCTGATTCTCTTAGCATGTTACTATCAATCCTATTGGGCAAAGAGCTCTTTGTGCCACGCTACTTTACCTATCACATTGTGGAGTTCATCCCTGGTATAGTCAACGTCACTCTCATGTCACAACTAGCTGGGTTTGCCTTCCTGAACATGGGGCAATGAGTAGAGTGTTGAACATGGCAGACATCATGACTGACGGGTCTAGTACAGAGGACTTTCCTCTGAAGGTTTAGGTAAGCCTTGTAACAACTCACCTTTGAGATAATCTGCTGAAAAAGGGAGAGAGAGACATAGGGCCAGTTTACTGTGTTTGTGCAGTAGGCAACTGTTCATGCCGGTGTTTCCCAAATCAAAATCCTTGAACCTCTGCATCAGATCCATCTTGGTGCTTGTTAAACCTTCAAATTTCTGGGCCCTGTTTTAGACCTGGAGAATGAGGATTTTGGAGCTGGGCTCAGGAAACCTGCACAGTTACCAAGCTCCTCACATAACTCTATGCACAATAAGGTTGAGAACCTCTACTCTCTCTCTCTCTCTCTCTCTCTCTCTCTCTCTCTCTCTCTCTCTATATATATATATATATATATATGTATGTATGTATATATGTATATATATATATTTTTTTTTTTGACGGAGTCTCGCTCTGTCGCCCATGCTCAAGTACAGTGGTGCGATCTCGGTTCACTGCAAGCTCTGCCTCCCAGGTTCATGCCATTCTCTTGCCTCAGCCTCCCGAGTAGCTGGGACTACAGGCGCCCGTGACCACACCTGGCTAATTTTTTGTATTTTTGTAGAGACAGGGTTTCACCGTGCTAGCCAGTGTGGTCTTGATTTCCTGACCTCATGATCTGCCCGCCTTGGCCTCCCAAAGTGCTGGGATTACAGGAGTGAGCCACTGCGCCCGGCCCCTCTGCTCTATATTCTTCAAGCTTCACTTAAGTTATTGCTTCTTTCTGAAAAGTCCTTTCTCTCCCACCTCTGCTTGGTGAAATCCTGCCCCATCCCTGGAGGCCAAACTCAAATGTGAGTGCCTTCCTGAAGCTTTCCATTATTTCTTGTGTCCTTAACTCCAAATGGCTTCTGTTGCTACAGGATGGGGGACATTGGAGGTATAAGAACTAAGGTGCAGAGACCTGTTGGGGATATGAAAAGGCACATCTGGAATGGGGCTGGAGGGAAGGATTTACATTTTGCTCTCAAATTTTTATTTGGAAAAATGTTAAAAATTGAAAGTAAAATGTGATGAAAGCCAGCATACCCTTCACCTAGAAATTGTTAATATTTTACATTTGCGCAATGCTCTCTCTCACAAACATATATATAATACACATATGTATGTATCCAGCTACAGCATTTGAAATTAAATTGCTACTATGCTACTTCACAACTAAATACTTCAGCATGTATATCTTAAGAATAAGAGCATTCTTTCATTGTCTTGCATAATCATAATGCCATTATCACATCCAAGAAATTTAACATTTTAATAATAGTATCCAATATCAAGCACATATTAAAATTTCTCAAGCTTTAATTGCTTCCAAAACATCCTAGCAGTTTGTGTTGACAGGATTCAATTAAAAATAATGCATTTCATTTGATTGTTTTTTTTTTTTCTTTTTAGTTTCCTTTAATCTAGATTCTGGAACAGTACCTTTGGCTTTTCTTCTCAATGATACTGTTATACTGTTATTTTTGAAGAGTCCAGGTCAGTTGTCTTGTATACAACCTGGCTTTGTCTGATTGTTTCCTCATGGTTACATTCAGATTAAACATTTTTGGCAAGAATACTACCGAAGCAACGTTGTTGACATCCCATTGCATCATATCAGCAGGGCTATATGTCATTGCCTACTGCCCTGCTATTAGTGATGCTAAATTTGATCACTAAGCTAAAGTGATGTCTGCTAGAATTCTTCATTGTAAAGGTGCGCTTTTTCTTTGAAATTAATAAATAATCTGTGGAGTAATACTTTGACACTGCATGAATATCTTGCTCCCCCAGAAATTTTCACCAATGGTTTTAGAATCCATCGATTTAATTGCTGTCTTGACAAAGAAGAACCCTGAGAAGTCATGTGTTCTGGGAGACACTTTACTAACAACATCCACGTAAGACACATGATAATAATACTGACAATAATAACAATTACCTTTATTGAGTGAACTAGGCCAAGTACTTTATATAAATTAAATCATTTGATTCTTACACCAATCTAGTGATTTTATGGATGGGAAAATTGAGGGTCAGAGAGTTGAAATAACTTCCCCAAGGTCACACAGCTATGAAGAGTGGGAACTGGGGCTGGGCGCAGTGGCTCACGCCTGTAATCCCAGCACTTTGGGAGGCCTGAGGCGGGCGGATCACGAGGTCAGGAGATGGAGACCATACTGGCTAACACGGTGAAACCCCGTCTCTACTAAAAACACAAAAAATTAGCTGGGCGTAGTGGCGGGCGCCTGTAGTCCCAGCTACTCGGGAGGCTGAGGCAGGAGAATGGCGTGAACCCAGGAGGTGGAGCTTGCAGTGAGCCAAGATCGCGCCACTGCACTCCATCCTGGGCGACAGAGCGAGACTACATCTCAAAAAAAAAAAAAAAAAAAAAAAGAGTCGGAACTGGATTTAAACCCAGTTCCAATTAAAAGCCCATGCTTTTAGACACTATGCTATACTCTCTAATAAGCAATAATTCTACCTAACTTCAGAGCCTCTCACCATTTTCTTTTGAAGAGTTCCAAGCCCATGGCATTCCTGAGAGTGAGGAAGCAGGGACATGGAACTTTATTTTCTTTCGAGGAGGGAACATGGTGCAACAGAGAAATCAATTGTCATTCCTGTAGTCTTACAGCAAGTGAGTAACAGAACAAGGCTGTTGATGGAGAGACCTTAAGCTCTTGCTTGTGAATCTGACTTTGATTTAAGAGGCAGCTGAGAGCCACTGTGATTTCTGACTGGTGCTTGCTGAATCCAGAGTGGGTTCGGATTGGATTAATATCACTGTCCTCTGTGTGGGGAAATGCTGCTGCTTCATAATAAGCAGGTTCACAGAGTTTGGTGGAAAAACCAATGTTGCCTAACAGCCCCTTCTGTGCTTAGCACACTTGATTGATTGTCCTTAGGTTTACAGCTCTCTGTCTAGCTTGTCACAGCAAAAAATCTCTACTTCTTTGAATCTAGTTAGTTCAAGAAGACCTGTGACCCCAACCCTACACCCTCCACTCCCAAAAAAACAGAAAAAAAGCCTTGTAAATGTGCTTCAAGTCTGTGTAGCTCAGTTTTCTCTGTAGTCTGCCAATTGTCCCCTGAGAATGCCCAGTGAAATGCTGCAAATGCTGCAGTGAACTGAAAAAAAATCAAAACAAACCACAAAGTCCAACAACCCTAAGACTCCTACTTTTAGGAGCCATTTGTAACTTTGGGATTTATTGTACAATTTATCTTTAGTTTCAGGTTATCCATTTGTTAGGGACAGAGGTGTTGGGAAAACATCTCTGCACCTGTTGCAAAATTTCATTTATGGCTGGAGACAGACACAGACACACACTAATAGAATATCATTCCAATTTTAGCATATGTGCTGTTGAATCAAGCACATATACTTATAAAGCATCATTCAAGTTTAGCATATGTCCTGATAAATTAAACAACGTCATATATAGACACACAAGACTGCAAGGTTGAAAGAGTCCTAAGAGGTCATCTAGCAGGGTTCTACTTCTCACACCCTGGCAGTGGATGCTTAGAGCATCTCTATAATGAGATGCCAAAGTGGGGGCAGCTCCAGTGGTAAGTTGTTTACTAACTTTCAGAGGCAACCAGTCTCAGTGACCAGCTTTTGTAACAAAGGTCTTATAAAATAAAGTGAAATTCATCTCCCCTGTACCTTCTAACCTTGGGGGCTACTTCCTTTTTTGGAGTCACTCAGAACACAGGATGTCTTTTTCCACACAGGCCCGACCCCCTTCCCCTGCAGGGACTAAAACTTCTAGCAACACAGTTCCCAGCCAGGACCCTCTGCAATGACTCTTCTCTCCCTCCAACTGCTCCATTTTGATGGCATGTGTTTCCAAGCTTCTTTCTCCCAATTGGTGCTGCCCCACCTATACTGTGCTGCTCCTCCCTGACCACCAAGCAAGCAAAGGTTTCTGGGAGGCTGGGGCTCTGCCGGCCCACTGCAGTGCCATCACTCTGCTTGCCAAAACCATTTTAGGCAGCAGGTAAGTAAGTGGTTGGAGAGGTACATTGGGTTTCTGAGAGGCACCAGTCTAGCTAAGGCAGAAATAGGCTCTAACTTAATAATCTGCTCATCACACACAGTAAGAGACACCCTGACTTATTCAAAGACACCGTGGGCGGTGCAGAGGATGAATAAGCATGATTCACTGCCACTCTGGCACCCGGGGCACGAAGAATAATAAAACCCAAAGAATTGTAGCCGCCTGAGTAGTAAATTAAGAGATCCAGGGCTCAGCTAGACTCTAGACATCAATGTTACCATGGCAATAAAGGGCCCCAGCCTTCAGCAGCTATTACAGAGCAGGCATCTAATAGGCTAGTCTATGTCACAGCCAAAGCCCAAGGGGCTAGCAAAGAAGACCAATTAGCATATCCATTCATTAGGGGCCTCTGCACACTTCTCTTAATTCCAATTAGTTGTTTGTTTGAACCAATGTCTCTGGTCTGCATTATACTCATTACTGCCTTTTAGCCACTAGAAATAGGCTTGAATCTCCACAATGACCTCACAATTTCCCAAGCTTTCATTTTTCCCCTAGGGGTCTAGGCTTATACAGTCACAAACCCATGGCCCTCTGTCCTTTGAAATGAAAGCGTCTGTCACTGTACAACTGTACTTGACAGATGGAAACTCTGCTCAGGAATGTGATGCGCTAAGGGTTCTTCCTGGAACCTAGTGAAGTAGGGATCTGGGGCCATTATCTGGACCTTTCAGGTCAAGGAAACCCTCTGGCCTTAGCCAGTGAGCCTACTGGCTATGCCTGCTGGCCACTACTCAGAGGCTAGCTGTTCGGGAGGGGGAATTTTGGGCACTGGGGACCAGACTGGCATCATCAAAGTCAGGCAGTAACTGTTCCGACTTGAAGTCCTGCCCTTCAAGATCCAGCCCAAACCCCACCTTTTCCGGGAAGCCTTCCCTGATTATTGTAGCCCTAAGTGAATTCTCCCTCCTCCATGCACTTCAAAAATGACATTCTGTGCTGAGCAGCATACATGGGCAACCTCAGGCCCTAGCTTGGCCTGGAGCTTCCTTACCCAGTGACCTCAGAGTCCACAGGTCACTAATCTTGGAAGGGACTGGGGTTCTAGAGAGTATTCAACATTACTTGGGTGACTCCAATGGCAAACAACTCTTAAGCTCCACTGCACATTACCTCCCAGAGTCCCTGAAGACCTAACCAGTCCCTTGGTATGGAAAGTACACAACTGCTCTTTGACGGCTCTGGGACACATTGTGGCCACCCCACAACTTACACAACTGTGGAAATGGCCCACAAGAACAGATGTCATAAACTAGCCCATCTCGTGGTAAAGGCAAAGATTATCTGAAGGGTGCTACCATATCTTCCTTCCTTTGGGAACAGGGGGACCCAGCCCATAAGATTGTTTCTGTTCCCAGTTAGTTGCCATTGTCAGCCAACTCTGTGGTTTCACCACAGCAGGCACTCAGGACAAGGGGCTTATAGAAGCATTTGCTAATACCTGTGCCCAAGAAATGAGCATGTAGTTTTCTAGACTTTAATAATGTGCCCCCGAATCTGCTGTTATATTCAAAGTCTCTCCTTTCTCCCTCCCCTTGTCCCTTTGTAGCCACTGCTTCATTTGCATCCGCATTAGCCACTTGTGGCTCCATTCTGCTGCACTGTTAGGCATATTGCTTTTTTTTTTTTTTTTCAAATTTGGCAGGAATCATTTCCCTTCTAACTAGTGTTTTGAGTGTAAATTCATACAGATTTCTGTCTTCAACATCCTATGGGATTTGGTTATTTTACCCCACCCAACAGCTGACATTCCAGAACACAGCCTGGGCTATAGCTGAAATACATGGCAAATGTCTTAAGTATACATCAAACCTCCAATTACCCAGAATGCTTAGGAATGGAAGATTCTAGAGAATGGAGTATTTTGTTACCTAAGGTCATGTCACTCCTAACTCCCTTTTGTCCCCCTACTCTCAGTTTTTGAAATGTTTTAAAGTGAGTGTACTCTCTTTTCAGCCTTAGACCAGTTAGCCTAGCCATTGTTTGGTTTTAAGGCTTCCAAGGGCCTGGGGATTCTCATACTTAATGTAAGGAATCACACAAAAGACTGGCTTGGAGAAGGTGTAGAAGATAGAGATCAACATCTACTGAGACCAGAGACCAGATTATCCCCTAGAATATATTTTGCTTTTAATAAAATTCAAAGAGAAGAATAAGTTTCTCTTTTTTGTAAGTGGCCTTTTTCCCTTCAAAGAAGCATATGGGAAGAGACACTGTTAAAGAAGAGGTCTGATTAGTAACATTACAGTGAAAGGAATTCTTATTTAAAATTAACTGCAATTGAAGCCATTTTCATCAGAATAGCCTTGAATTGGAGTTATGATTAAATCTTTCTAAGCTATTGTGCTGTTTTTCTCAGTAATGAATGTGCCCAGAATGTCAGTATCTGCAACATTCTCAGCCACTTGAGTATAATGGGGTTTGATTTGTGAAGGAAGGATCACAAACTCCATCCAGGCCTTTTAGCCACCCAGGCTCCAGTAGGGTGGACCCCAAACAGACCAAAAATGCTATACAATATTCTTAACTGTTTCTTCTAATTTTTCCTTTCATTGGATCCCATGTTGGTTTCAGGAGTTACATATGTCTGGGAAACTGACACTGCAAAGTTCTGGCTTGTTCCCTGCCCTGATGCTAAGGGATAAATATAGATCTCAACCACTACAGAAATTTGGCCAGGATTTGGAGGGGTGTGTGTATGAGGGGCAGTGACTGATGGGGCCACTCTGACATGTGGGCTAGAAAAAGGCTTCCTTATGTCCAAGACCCTCTTTGGGGCAGGGAGGAATGAAGTAGGAGCCTGGCTTCTAAAATCAGAAAGAATAATCCACATTTTAAGAAGCTCATGGATTGACACAAATAAGAAATATTGTAGGTGGCTTACAGTGTGTGTGGGGGTGGGGGGAGAGAGCAAAGGGAATCTTTCCTGACATCCTAGATCCTTTTGCATGAGATCAGCCTTATGAAAAAAGCAAGTTATTCTTGGCCATCTCCCCTCACCCCCAACTCCCACCCACACCCACCCCCTGCATGCACTGATATCCAACTCTCAATTGAGAAGAACATGACTTAAGATTTCCATTGGGGCCATCATATCTCAAGCGCTGGAGAAAGACAAGGGGTGGAAAGACATATAAAGGGGGCGGGAGGGTGAGTTGCTCATCCTCGTGACCCAGAATATCTCCCCCTCCTTGTAATGATGAGCTTGCTTTTCCATAAGGGCTTTCCCTTGATTCAGGGAAGGAGCCAACCAATGACAGAGGGACATGTTAGATTATTCTGGGGAAGGGCTCATGCCAGGAGGGTTCACTTTTACCAGGCGCCAAGTGTCCCCAGCAACCAGTGTCTCCTGTACCAGCAGAAGCTCCAGAACTCTCACCCGATTGCCTGCCTCTGCTGCGTCTTTGCCCACTGAACAGCCATGAGAAGGCAACTCCGGTCCAGAAGGGCTCCATCCTTTCCTTACAGTTATCGCTACAGACTCGTGAGTGCCAGAGAGCAGAATATTTTGCTGCCCCCTCCCCTTTTATTTTAATGGGGTGGGTTGGGGGCTGTGTAGACCTTGGTTTACGGCTGCCTCTCTTTGAGACGGGCAGAAACAGCGAAGTTTAGGGGAGCCCAGGGTTTCAAAAAGGAGCAGTGACTCCCAGCACCCCCGGGCACCCTAAACTGCTGGATAAAAGGAGGAAGCCCCTCTTCCTGTGAAACAAAGATAAGGGAAGGAGAAGATAACAGAGAATAAGTGGCTTCTAAAATCTTTTCCTGGGAGTATAGAATTTTCACAGACCTTTTGGAGTATAAAAGTTTAATTCTAATAGCAAGAAATTTAGCCAAGAGGGAAGGAAGGAGGAAGAGGAAATGAAAGGCACTGCCTACCCAGCTGTCTCTTGGGTGGTAGCTTCTTAGAGTCCAGCTGCTCTCTTTCTAAAGTAGAAATTCCAAACTATAGCTAAAATCATAGAATCCCCAATAGGAGCAGGGAGGAATCCTAGACATTATCTCTCCAGAACCCCTCATTACCTAAAGGAGGCTGCTGTGGCTCAGAGTACAGGAGTGACTTGCAAGTTAGTGGAGGAGCCAAAGTGAAAATGCAATATCCTCACTGCTAATCTTGTACTCTTTCCATTGTATTTGCAGAATGCATCTTCCAAACCCCCGATCTGCCACTACCCATTGCCATCCTGACTGCCACCCCACACTGCCCAACATGTAGACACACATACATTCTTTTGTCTCATCATTTATTTCCAGGGTGTATTACAAATTATTTGATCCAAAAGTTTATTTGCATTTATTTTGCTATAAGTCATTAATGTATGCCACACGCAGTGCTTTTTGGGGAGAGGATTTTGAAATGTTCCCCAGAGAGGATTGTGATCTCAGCCCCAGGAGGAAACAAAGCCTAAGCCATTTTTCTTTGGGTATGGCCACTTATGTAACCAGGGAGTTAAGTGAAGACTGTCAACAGCCCGCAGAAGAAAACACACATTATTCTAACCTCCTATCAATCTACAGAGGGCTTCTCTTAGCTTTTTAGCCACAATTTGAAGAACCGTTTAACTTCCCCCAAAGTTTCTTCCAGCTCTCAAAACAGTTACAATCTGCAGGGGTATAAAACTATTTCTTACTTGCCTTCTTTTCTATGTAATCTTGTTAAAATGTTGTGTATAATTTCAGTTATTTGTTAAGTGGCTTGGATTTTAAATGCATCAGGGGATCTTGCTCTTTATAATACTTGACCAAATTTAAAAATAAATTAATGCAATCCTGTGCTAATTTCTCTTTTAAAATTAACCAGCCATTCAAATGTTTATGGTGTATAAACACATGCCTTGCTGTCTTCTTTGCAGAGCACAAATTTAAAATTTATCCTTTGGGTCATACTGTTTGTTTATATATTTGTTTATATGTTTATATATTTAGATTACTCAAAATGGAGCTACCCTCTGTTCTTCAGACTCTTCCCTTTCAGGGAAACCTGATGACCCCATCACACACCCACTACCATATCCCAGCACACTCACACACACTATCACATGAGGGTAGTGCCACTTTAGGAAAGTGACAAGACAGAATCTTAGGGATAAGCATTCTCATTACCAAAGGATTTTCTATTGGATTTTGTTAAATAGTTTCACAAAGATACATTTTACACAGGATTTAATTAATGAGGATCTTTTGGGGAAGGCCTCTCTTGCACAGTGTGACCATTTCCTTTACCTGGAAACAGAGGAGAGGAGAAAAGATTCGAGGTTCCTAAAGTAAAGCTCAGGAACCTCTCACAGCCTCTCGGGTGTGAGAGCTGTAGGGGCAAATTAGCCGTGAGAAGATTAATTCTTCTCAGGAGGGTAAAGCTTTAATGACAAGCCATCTGTAATGGGATTATCATGAGAGCCAATATCTACAAATAAGATCAGTCTGAGGCCTAGGCCAGCTGCCTCCTCTGTGGAAGGTTAAAGGCAGGCATAGGTAACATGGAGAGAAAAGAAAATTGTTCAGGAAATATAAAGGGAATATATATTTCTCCTCAATGAAATGTTATACTTCAAATTCACTGAGATTCTCAGGTGCAGTAGATTCTCTGGGGGCCATGATTGCTACCCACTGTGATATACATGACAGCTCAGTCAGGGTGACAAGCTCTGTGAGAGCATTCCCGCAGAGTCCTGCATCAGGAATTTTAAGTCAGGCAGGTATCACTGATATTTGGTTAGGACCCACTGGGTACTTAACTGTCAGCTTTACACTGTGGAGGGCCATCGAGAGGCTAGAAAATATGGAATCTCCCTCTGGGTGCTCAAAATGTAGTTTGGGAGTTTAAATGTGTGCATAGGTTCACACACAAGTGAAAGATATTTAAGAACAGGTATTAATCCATTCATCATTGAGTGATGAAGTTTATTTTCCTAAGCCTTACACTGTGAGCCTATGTCAGTCAGCCATCCTTGATTATAATAAGCACCTAAAATCTTTTTTTGTGTTTTTTTGAGACAATGTCTCACTCTGTCACCCAGGCTGGAGTACAGTGGCATGATCACAGCTCACTGCAGCCTTGACCTCCCAGGCTCAAGTGATCCTCCTGCCTCAGCCTCCTGAGTAGCTAGGACTACAGGTGCATGCCACCATGCCTGGTTAATTTTTTTTTAATTTTGTAGAGACAGGGTCTCACTATGTTGCTCAGGCTGTCATCAAACTCCTGGGTTCAAGTGATCCTCCTTTCTTGGCCTCCCAAAGTGTCGGGATTACAGGCTTGAGCCCTAAAATCGTTTAGGAACACAGAACCTAAGGCACTGTGCTTCATTAATCTACTAAGCTACCTCTAGGCACTTGTGCTCAATGTGATAGAGGAGAAACATCATTGTCCAGGGTATCAAGAGACATAGGTTCCGAGACCGTCAACTCTATCATGAATTTACTGCATGGTTTTGGCTAGATCCTGTCCCATCTCTGGGCCTCAGATGGATAAGTAAATCTTGAAGGTCTCTGTCGGTTCTGATGTGATATTTTATATAGAGCTGTACATTGGAACAAATTAGAGAGCAATTCAAGAGGGCTTATAATCAAGAGCTAGATAGTGCTGTGCAGACTGAATGCTGAGAGCTGAGCCTTGTCATTCTGTATCACTTGTACTGATTCTGAACAATCCAATTTGCTGAGCCCTCCTCCCCCCAACAAAGGCAGCATTTTTAGCAGGGTGCCCTCTAAATGGCCTTTGAGGAATCAGGCCGGGAGGGGGCAGCACAGAGCCCCTGGTCTCTAGTGTTTGACACATCCAACCCAACAGGTGCACAGCCCCGCAACTCTTCAGACTTGGACAGCAGAGAAGGGAGGGCAGCCTCATTTTCTGCTGCTGCAATAAGCCTTGGCAAACCCCCAAAGAGCAAAGATACAACTCTCTGGCCTGTGGCTGGGAGGCATTTGAAACACCACTTGGTGAAGTCTAGGTTTCTCTCTCCCTCTCTCTTTTTCAGTTTAATTTTCTTAGAACCACTCAGAGAAGATTACAGTTTCAAATCTCAAGTAATGGCTGCAATCAGTCAATCAACAAATATGTGCTGAGTATGTATTACGTGCCCAGCTTTTTGCCTAAGCATAGGGGGAGACTAAGGAAGCCCGGGGTTCCAGCTCTCAGATGGTCTTTCCAACCAATTTAAGGTAGGAAGAGATTCAAACTAGGGCAATAATCAGAGAAGCAGCTAATAACTGCCCATCTATTGTTTCTGTTGGGAAGGAAGGCTAAGTTTTGAGGAGGGGTACAGCAGTTGGCCTCTCCTCCTGATGTCCGTCCCAGGCTATTTTTAGACACAACTTGAAATGGTGAAGTTGAGCAGCTGAATGTGTACAGGGTGTTAGGATAAAGCTGGCTTGGACTGAAAGTTTGCTATCACAGACACAATGTCTAAGACTATTCCATCCTCTTCCTGTGTGAGCTCACCTCTACTCTGATAGGACAAGGTTAAGTGGGAGGTCAAGGCCCCAGAACAGAGTAGTGATATGAGCAGTCCTTGGAGAAGAGCCCAAATGCCTGAAGCTGAGAATAAAACTTGCACCTCTATGGAAAGAATACTGAGTCAAAATGGGTCATAGAAAGGATATTTCCTCCAAAAGAACTAGGGAGAAAGAAAATCCACCTCTTGTAACAACATGTATGTTTATGGGAAAGTGGAAATTTGAAGCATCTCCAAATATTGAGTCATTTCGATTTATTTTTGGCTGGTGGGATGCACCATTGTACATTTTTTTTCAAAAAGGGTATTGTGTTTTGTCACTGTTCCAGGATGATCCGGATGAAGCGAACCAGAACTACTTAGCAGATGAAGAGGAGGAAGCAGAAGAAGAGGCTCGGGTGACGGTGGTGCCCAAATCGGAGGAGGAGGAAGAAGAGGAGGAGAAAGAAGAGGAGGAAGAGGAGGAAAAGGAGGAGGAAGAGGGTCAAGGTCAGCCAACAGGCAATGCCTGGTGGCAGAAATTGCAGATCATGAGTGAATACCTGTGGGATCCAGAGAGAAGGATGTTTCTGGCCCGAACAGGTCAGAGTTGGAGTAAGTCCCAATAGTCCCAATGCCAAAGTCTGGTGTCCTTTGCTTTTGGTGTGGTGTTCAGGGCTCCTTTACCATACGCTGGATGGGCTTGTCTGCAAACTTCTCTTTGCACTTCATGTAAAGGCATCAATGCCTAGGGAAATGCCTAGACTGTGGACAGATTCCATCAGAACAAACTCCAAATGGATGAACAAACTTGATTGTGTAACCAAAACCCACTGGGCTCAACATCAGTTGCAATGCAGAGAGACAGTGAGAATGAGTTGAAAAAGCACATGATTTTTTTAAGTCCCAGTCCTGTCACTTTCTATCCACGTGACCGTGGACTCATCATTTCCCCTCTCTGAGCCTCAGTTTCCTCACATGCCAAATGAGGAAAACAATCCCTGACTTGCTTCTCTTACAGGATCAGAGTGAGGCCCCAATTAGATGTTAAAACTGTAAAGTTTAAAGAACTATGCAGAAGACTTCTTGTAAGAAATGAGACTCAAATCCCTGCTAACATGACCAAGTGTTTTTATGAGGCCCCATCACCTGGTAATGTCAGAGAAGGAGAGCCAGGAGGCGTGTCCCTGGCCCCAGCTTGTGGGTGTCTTCTTCTGCTATGATAGAGATGTTTGATCAGTGGCAGAATTATATTCCTTAGCATTTCCTCTTTGCATCACATGCTGCCATTATTTTTACTCCACAACTTCACCAGCACTCACCTCCTACAGTCTTACCCACCCTTAAACTATTAATGCTGAGCCTTCTCCTCAGGAGATTTAGCCAGTGGTAAAATTCACACTTGCCACAGTCTCTGCACAGCCCAGAAAAAGAGCAGCTGCTGGTTTGGAAATCAGTCAATCCACAGAAGAAAAAAAATAGAGGATGCCAAGGATGAAATAACAGTCCCCTAGTGCCAAGGGTCTAGGTTGCTGAAATTGATGGCCATGTCTTCTAAAGGCCCCGTTGGCTAAGAATTCTCTCCCTCAAAGTTAATGTTGCTAATTCAGCTCAGTCAAGGTGACACACTAAGCTCTGTTTCCTGGAATTAGGAATAGCACGTGGGATCTCCCTTCACCCCTCCCCAATTCCCAGCCCCACCCCTGACCATCCCACAAACTCTCAACTGGAACAAATGTACCATTTAAGGAACATTCCGACATTCTGGAAGTTGCAGACAAATACTGGACACTCACTTGGGGCTCCAAGGGTGCACAGCTGTTTCTCCCTTGCCTAAAGAGGACTGGAAAAACAAGCCTTGTGAAATGCAAGTGTGAATCTGGGAGGGGGAGCCTAAACAACCAGCCATTAGATCTTCACCAGATGAGCTGATCCAAATTGCTTCTGTGGAAGGCAATCCATAGGCCAATAAGTGGGGATGAGGGAGGAAGGTTCAAGTGCCCAGAGAAGATATGGCAATAGGGACACAGCATGATAGGCCGTAGCCAGACCTCTGAGTAGCAGATCTAAGTAGAGCCCAGGAATTCATCCACTGGGCTACCCTGGGCAAAGGGTGAATGGTAATGTTAATGCTTCAGCCATAAAGCACACGCCTTGCTGTCTTCTTTCCTGAGAACAAGGTGCCCGCTTGTGCACTTACTAATGCTGTCCCAACCTGGACATCAACCTGCCCAATATATTTACCAGGCCTATGAATATAATCTGGGCCTTTCCTTTGGTATCTACGCAACCCCTATTCTTGGAAACTCTATGTTATTTTATTGGATACCAACAAGAATCATATGAGGTAGTAATATTATTATCCCCATTTTACAGATGCAGAAACTGAGGCTTAGAGAGGGTAAGTAACTTGCCTATAGTCATATAGTTACTAAGTGGCAGTGCTGGGATTACAAATCCTGGTTGGATGAACACCAAAGTTCATTCTTTTGCCAGAACACTGCCCCATTTCATGAACTCTAACAATGAACAAGGCCCTGATGTGTAGGGCCTCAGGACTTGACACGGTGTTTTAGTGGGAGAAATGAAGAGTTGGGAGCACGGTTACTTAGTGGTCTATTCAAGCCCGGGTGGGGCATTGAGGAAAGAACTCTAGAGTACCTAGAGGAAAGACCCAAGTAATACTTGGACATCCAGGGCAGAAAGTGTCAGAGGGATCAATGGGTTCAAATGGGGACTGTGCTTGGTTTTACCTGGGGGTGGCTGAGCTAGCTATCTCAGTCTGTGATCACCTATCATAAACTCTAGGGCGCCCACTCCTGGGTGAGGCTAAGGGGACTTACTGCTAGTGTCATTCTCCCATCTACAGCTTCCTGGTCACACATCCTGGGAAAAAAGGAAGATATCTCCAAAGGAATGTACCTATGTTCCATTGCTTTCCCTTCATCCATGAAACTGAGTCTTTTGATCTCCATGGATGGCTCTAGCTGTTGATCCATTCCTAGGACAGGGATGGGGTAAAGGAATGGAGGCAGAAACACAGGGCAAATGCCATTAGATAGCCAGTGGGCAACAGCCAAGTATCACAGGCACACAGGTGCTGTCGTTTATTCTCCAGGGACTCCAACTGAATCAATGTGTTCATGTTCCAGTTCTGCTTTAGTTCATCTAATAAAATAAAAAGGGTCAGTTCCATTTCCAGTCGGATTACTATGGGTTTTTTTTCTCCCTTCCACAACACCTTTTTTGGTTAATTTTATTTGGTTCATGGTTCAATTTAAAAATTAACATTTGGATTCAGTTTGGGGTACAGCAAAGTTAAGTGGTTTGTTCCAGTTTCTGGTTCATAATTCAGTTCAAATCTGTAGGTCCAACATCATGTCATTTCTGTGAGCAGAGCCAAACATTGTTGCCTGAGAGAGCCCCAAGGAGGGCTTGAAAAGAGTTTCTCATCAGCAATCTCATACTCATTCACTTCACTCAGTGTTGCCTAATCCTGGGACAAACCTAGTCCTAATACAGCCCAAAGAGGGAAAATTCACACAACGGTCCTACAGCACTAATAATAATGTTAATAATAACTGATGATGACTGCCATTTATGGTGCAATTAGTATTTGCCAGGCTCTGTGCTATGCTGCTTATATGCATTAGTCAATGCTAAGAAGTAAGTACCACTATTGTACAGACGAGGAAATTGAGGCCCAGAGAGGTGAACAGCATGTCCAAGATTAATCAGCTTGGAAGTGGTGTAGTCAGGATAGGACGTTAAGGAAAGACTGAATTTCAGATATTGTTAGGGATATAGATAAGAATCCGAGGTAAGTGCTATTTTTATCCCCATCTTACCTGTGAGGAATTGGAGGTGCAAGGAAGTTCTGTAACTTGCCAAAGTTCACGGGCAAGTGTCAGTGATTAGGTACTGTCTCCTCCTTTTCCCTTCCCCACCCTGTGTTAGTGTTCTTTTTGAAAAGCAGAGCCATTTTATTCATCTTTGCTAAAGATGAATACAATTTGAAATAAGCAGGCCAAAACCTCACTTTGCCTTGATTGGAGGCAAGTCCAGTGGAAATTCATCAAAAGTTTGAATTATAGACTATGTGGAAAGAAATGCTGTTTTCATCACTTCAAATACCTATAATTATTGGAACCAAGCTGCTAGGACTCTTCAGGGCACCCACTTTAATGAATAGCAAAGAATGATTTGTACTTAGGACATCAACTGTTGCCCAGAGGACTCTCAAGCAATTTTCCCTCTGCAATACTTTTAACTCCACTCCCCTGTATTCTTGTTCATGGCCATCATTTGCTGAGCAAGCCCTTCCATCGGAGATGCTGTAAAGGTAAACTGCAATTAGACCCCTGACACAATCCTCACTGACTCCAAATTGGTGAAATCTGAATAAGCAAGGACATACTGAATCTGAGGAATTTTTTAAAGAGCTATTTCGTGGTTGGGTTTGTTCTGGTTCATGAGTCCAAGCAGGGAGGAAGAGCTTGTTGGCAAGCACTGACCACTCTCATCTGTGATTGCTCTGCAGGCCTGATCTTACTCATTTACTTCTTCTTCTATGCCTCCTTGGCTGCTGTGATCACCCTCTGCATGTACACACTATTTCTGACCATCAGTCCCTATATACCAACCTTCACGGAGCGGGTAAAGCCTCCTGGTGAGTGTGCCCAGATGCCCTGTGTTGTCAGAACTTGCTGGACAGAAATATGCTTGCACAGCATGTTCAGCCTCAATTAACTTTGGCTCTTCCTGGTAATGACTTAGAGATTCAATTATTAGGAGGAAAAGTAAAATGGTACTTGGCAAATTATGGTTCTTTTCATTTTGATTGCCTGGGGGGAAATGGTTTCATGGGAATCAATACAAAAAAATTATCCCAAGAATGGGTTAATATATCCAAGACCTGTTTTCATTGCCAGGAGTTATGATCAGACCCTTCGCCCATAGCCTTAACTTCAACTTCAACGTTTCTGAACCCGACACTTGGCAGCATTATGTGATTAGCCTAAATGGCTTTCTCCAGGGTAAGTAAGTTCGTCTGAATAGTGGAAAGCTCTTTTGAAAGGTGATGGGTGGGAATCCAAAATTCAAAATTCACCTGGCCCAGGAATCCCAGTCTTACTAACCCCAACTCATCATGGTCTGTCCTTACTTTGCATCCCCCTTAGCACCTGTAGCTACAATCAGAATTGCTCTAGTGTGTGATTGTATGTTGTCTTGAAAACATACAAGCCAATTTTCCAGCAAGATAAGCTCTTTGTGGCAGAGAAATTTTTTTTCTTGAACACGTTACAGTACCCATTTAAGCCCTGAACATATCCAGATGGCTCAATAATGATCATTTATAGAAGATAATTCTTGGGGGAGATAGTGGTGGGAAAAGAAGAATGTTCTCCAGAGCTGAAAGATTCCTATCTTCTAAACTTTCTCAAGGTAAAAGAAGTCATTTCTTGGAGATGGGTTAACTTGAAGGGAGAGGGCAAGCGTCTTTATTTTATTTGAGATGGAGTCTCACTCTGTCGCCCAGGCTGGAGTGCAGTGGTTTGATCTCTGCTCTCTGCAACCTCTGCCTCCCAAGTTCAAGCGATTATCCTGCCTCAGCCTCCTGAGTAGCTGGGACTACATGTGCGTGCCACCACGCCCTGCTAATTTTTTGTATTCTTAGTAAAGATGGGGTTTCACCGTGTTAGCCAGGATGGTCTTGATCTCCTGACCTTGTGATCCACGTGCCTTGGCCTCCCAAAGTGCTGGGATGACAGGCATGAGCCACCGCGCCCAGCCAAGTGTCATTATTTAACAGCATTCCAGAAAGGAGTTAGAGGAAGAATCTCTGGGTGGCAGTCGCTCCAACATTCTGATCCCAAGTATTTTCGAGGTGCCTATCTCTATAGTGTCATCAGATAAGTTTTCAGGGGCAAATGAATGGCTTTGTGGGAGACGCTTCCACAAGGTAAAATCTGAGGTAGCAGCTTGGTTAAGGTTAACAGAGCACACAGGTTCTTTATGCAGCTATCAAAGAGGAGCTCCAGTGGGGTTTGCATTTCTGCACCTAATCTTTGTGGGGAAAAAAATGCCAGTCATTCTGGCTTGGTTGTCCTGGCCTGGTTGAAGTGGGGTTGATCCATTCTAGAGGCGGCTACTATTATAACAAGTGCACTGAATTAGGAGGAGAACAATCTCTTATCATGTGCTAGGAGGTGTTATTTAAATACATAAATTTGGTCATTTAACTTTAACTCTGCATAATAAAGTTGATCACGCTCATTTTATAAATGAGAAAACTGAGACTCAGAAAGGGGGAGTAGCTTGATCAAAGACTCTGGCAGCAGAACCAGTGTTTGAATCCACATTTCTTGTTCTTTACACTCTCGCTGCTATAAGTGTTATAAAGGGACCAACAACATGGGCATCTCCTGGGAGTTTGTTAGAAAGGCAAAATCTCAGACCACATTCTAGACCTGCTGAATCAAAATCTGCATTTTTAAAAAATCCACAGGTGATTTGTAGGAAATTTAAAGTTTGAGACATGCTGCTTTTCATAATTCTACGCTGCTGTCACATGACCAAGAGTTAGAAATTCAGCTTTATATCAGTAAGGCTCAGTGTTATTTTGGGTAAGTCTGAGCTTCAGATTCCTTACCAGTGAAACGAGGGGAGACGGGACTGGGTTCTTTCTGAGTCCATGTAGTTCTATTTTTAGCTACAGAAATGTTTTGGGCATCATGGCCAGCACAGTATCTTCTTTTGTTTCAGAATGCTTGCAAGCGATTGCAAATATATTGCCGGATTCCCTGCTAAGAAAATCCCTCCAAGAAGCTAGTAGACAGAGAAATACCAATTCTGACCTGATGATGATGGAAGCAGGAAATGCTAGGAAAAGCACTAGTTTTTAGTTCCTAAGAGTAGATAATGTGTCCTGCTAAAAAGAAGCACATCTCTGAAATAGACATCACAGAGTATCACTTTCACTCCCATGAGGACTGGGATTTTGCAATAAGGGTCATGTCCATGTCACATTATTTTTAATGGAACTACCTCAAGAGAAACAATGAGCACATGATCGCAGCCTCTATTTAGAAAGTTATTTGAGCATAGTTCTTGCTCTAAAAAAATTAAAACAAAGCCTTGAATTAAATGTAGCTTTGTCAAAGAAAAAATAAAGGCATAGCCATATTTGGAATAGATTTAAAATTCGCAGTTGCCGATTAATAATATCAAACCCAAGTCACAACCTGTGGGTTTGATATTATTAGATGAGGATTCAGCAGCACATTTTGAGTTTTACCTCTGGTAGATCACAGGTGCAAAATCTCCTCTGAAATACTGAGCTACTTTGAACATTAATACATAGGGACTGAGTCTAACAGGACTAACTGGGCTCCATCATTTAGAATCAAATTGGAAATAATGCAGTAATTTCTAAAGCCCAGTTTTATGTATGAAATTTGGTAGCCCAAAGGGTTACCTCACAAATAGCCCTTTTAAGCTTTCTCCCTGATATATGTATCCTTGGACACATGTTACATTCCATCCAATGTAAAAGGACATTTATCCTGAATGTCTCAGGCCTCAGTTGACAAGATCTCATGCCCTCACCATCCCCGTAGAGACCCTGTGGTTGTCATTGGTTTCTATCTTTTAACTTATGCTTCTGTTTTGCAGTGCTAACTTCCCTCTGTAAAGGATGAAGAGCTGGCTTATTCCCTCCCCCGCCTCCTCCTCCTGCTCCACCTCCTTCTCCTCCTCTTCCTCTTCTTCCACTTTCCTTCTGTCTCACAACTCATACTTCTCACTCTTACAATCAGGTGCCTCTCACTGACTTCAAAGGGAGACATTGTAACTGCCCAGCGGGTTCACCTTGCCCACCATCTAGACAGAGCTGATTTATCAAGACAGGGGTATTGCAATAGAGACAGAGTAATCCACACCCAGCCAGCTGTGCGGGAGACTGGATTTTTATTATTACTCAAATCAATCTCCCCAGGACTATTTCTCTATTGCAATCAAATCCATGTACATTGGGTCTGCAGTGCCCCGCCAGTGGAGACAGTACCAGAGTCGGCCTCCAGCCCAAGAGAACTAGGTGGCTGCTTGGGCTGGCCTCTGGATCCATTGCCAGGTCGGGAGGTGGGGTGCTACTGAACCACGAGCAGGTAGCCATAAGGGCAATCCCAAAAGAGCCCCCAGATTTGTAACTGCCCAATGGGTTCACCTTGTTTCCTAAGTGAAGTTAAGGAGATTTAACCCAGGATATACCATATATATACCCTTATATATACCAGGATATACCCTTATATATACCAGGATATATAAGGATATACCCTTATATATACCATATACCCTTATATATAATATATATATACCCTTATATATAATATATATATACCCTTATATATAATATATATATACCCTTATATATAATATATATATACCCTTATATATAATATAATATTATATTATATATATATAATATAATATATAATATATATATTATATACCCTTATATATAATATATATATATACCCTTATATATAATATATATATTATATTATATATAAGGGTGTATATATATATATTATATATATATAATATATATATATTATATACCCTTATATATATTATATTATATATAAGGGTATATATATATTATATATAAGGGTATATATATATTATATATAAGGGTATATATAAGGGTATATCCTTATATATCCTGGTATATATATATACCCTTATATATACCCTTATATACCATACCTTGAATGTTTCAGTCCCTCTTCCAAAATCTACCAACTATGTGCCTATTTCTCTCTCAGAAGTAGAAGGGACAGCCTTCCAAGTTTACAGTTTATCATGTCTGAAAAGAAATGGTGGAAAATAGAGAAAATTTATAAAGTGACTGACATAGGACCCAGAGATGGATATCCAGAAGTTCCATGGGAATGAAAAGCAAAGGAACAGGCAATCAAACTGGGCTGAAGTGACTAGTCAGGAAGACTTCCTAGAGGGATGGCTGCCGATGAAGGCTGTTGGGCACCTGATGCCAGGTCACAGGTAGACTGAGTGGGCTTTCAGAGGAGTACAAACAAGCTGGAGAAAGGAAACTTGGGAGGGAGGACTACTGAACGCACGGCCTTCCCCTGTAGCACCTGTCTAACATAACCTGTTGCCACTCACACATGCTTTAGGTTATAATGACAGTCTTCAAGAGGAAATGAATGTAGATTGTCCCCCGGGGCAGTACTTCATCCAAGATGGCAATGAGGATGAGGACAAGAAGGCCTGCCAATTTAAGCGCTCCTTCCTAAAGAACTGCTCTGGTCTGGAGGACCCAACTTTTGGATACTCTACTGGACAGCCCTGCATCCTTCTAAAGATGAACCGGGTATATTGGCTTTTCATATCTGGTGGTGATAAGCGAATGAACTAGATAGGAGGGCTCTGGCCACTCCATTTGTCTTGGTCTCTGTCTTCACACACCACAGGTTTGGCCATTTTTCTGACAGTATCATAAATACAAATAACCAGATAAACCTATCAATTTCTTCCCCCCCGCCCACCGAGCACTTCCTATGGCCATTCTTCTCCCTCACCCCCAAACCTGTCACTTGATGGCCTTTGTCAAGAATGGGGTCCTAGTCAAGTGCAGTGGCTCGAGGTTATAATCCAAGCTACTCGGGAGGCTGAGGAAGGAGGGTTGCTTGAGCTTAGGAGTTCAAGTTTAACTTGGGCAACATAGTGAGACTTCATCTTTAATTTTTTAAAAAAGTATTTTAAATAAAGAATGGAATACTGAGCTGTTTGGAACAGGGGATTGAAATGAGGGTGGCATGGGGGACAGTTCTTATATCATAAAAATGCATTTTTCTTCCATCCTGTCATGACTTAGGTGTGGCAGAGCCTTATCAGTCACACCTCTCTTGAAATTAGAAAGTTCTTTACATCTTTAGCATTGACTTGCTGACGTTTCCCCTTGTGTGTAAATACCAGGCATAAATACAACACGGAGTAAGCTGAGCTGCTTAGCTCTGAAGATGTTTTTCATTTTTTGCTTTTTGTAACATTTCTGAGAAGGCGAAATAGATGAAGCATATGCCTGAGGAAGCATGACTGGGAGGAAGGTTAGAAAAGCCCAATTTTTTACTGTCAAATATGTTTTGTTAAAAAAAAATAAAACACTGGTTTTCTTTTGATAGATTGTAGGCTTTCGTCCTGAGCTTGGAGATCCTGTGAAGGTTTCCTGCAAAGTTCAGGTAAAGAGTCCTTTTGAGTAAGCATTGTTAGCACATCTGTTTCATGCAAAAAGGTAGTCCATCACTTTCAAGGACTTACACATGGATGGTAGGCTAAGGAAAAGGTTAATCTTTTCATAACTACACCTCTCTTTAGTTCCTTCAGGTTTTCCTCTTTCCAGAAAGCATTCAATTCATGTGTGTTTGTGTGTATAGTGTATGTGTGTGTATGTGTGTGTGTCAGTCAGTCTGTCATGATTAATACTTCTGAAAACCAAAGACTGAACTTCAGCTAAGGGCCACAGCAGGGAACAACAATGTGCCAAGTCATTAATTGAGATTCTGTTTACACTTTTGCTTTTAGCTCTAATTACTTGTTTCTTTGAACTAAACAAACAGCTTTCATTAGAGTCATTAGTTCCCAGATTTTAAAACTGAATTTCACATTTTGCAGCAATGACCAGTGGTACTGGGTGTTGCAATAACAAATGACTACATGGGAAGTATAAACAGAACTCGATTAATATGCTAATTAACTGTCCTTCGAGGGACCATTAACTTCTATCTCATCTGCACCAATTAGCTCCCTTGTAGGAAAAAGCCCTTAGATCTTGGGTTTGCTTCTTAAACAGGCAGTAGCTTTCTCCTGTTCTATGACATCAACTGCACCCCCAGACCTGGATAGTTGTCTTGCAAATGCGTGAGGCCTGGTAATCCCATTCTCAGTAGGAGAAATACAGTTGAAAACTTCAGTCTTCATGGTGACAGATCAGAAAACAGCAAAAGGCAGCAGTTATTCAGCCAATATCCCACATTTAGCAAGCATTTATTGATCACTTATTATATAGCAGATCCTCTGCTAGGTGTTAGAAGTGTCGAGGTAAGAGTATGACTCCGTCTCTGAAATCAAGACAATCAAGTATTACATGTGCTGTGAAAAGTGAAGATGAGCTCTGAAAGGTCAGGCAGTACTTGCCAAATGAACAAGGTAGGAAGCACATTCTGTTCTCATGTATATGTGTAAATATTCACAACATGAGGTGACACTACAAACTATCCGAACTGATTCCTCAGGCCTTCATGAAAAATAAATTTCATTGCTTTTTAGAAGAATGTATTAAAAGTAAATCATAAAGACCAACTTAGTCTTAAGTTAGCATATTAACTGGACAGAGTTCTACTTATTGTTCCCTAATGGAAGCTGTTTGTTTTTCAGCTTACATCAAACCTTGCTAAGAACTGTCCTTTCTAAAATTGTTTTAATGTTTTAATTATTATTTTTAGCTACCTCCTTACATATTTTATGTCCTTTTAAAAAATATATTAAGAATCTCTATACATTCTATAATAAACAATACTGGTCAAATCCACACCCATTTGTGAAAATCAAGCAGGATGAGGTAATGACTAGAATAAATTAAGGAGAGCTTAGTTTGTACCAAGAACAATTATAGTATATTGACAGAAGTAATCACATGACCTTAGTGAGTAATTTGCTAGTAGTGATGCACTATTTGTCCTTACTAGCCCCCAGACCTCTGCTATTTAGGGCAAGCCGAATGTATCACAGAATGGGCAGCCCCTACCTGACATAATGTGATGAGTGTAGATCTGTTTACTTTAATCATTTCCATACCCAGGCTCTTGTTGCTTACCCCTCTGACCCCACCTACTGTAATTAAGCACTACAGAGAATATGGTCAGAGACATGAGTCTAGGTGAGCCAACTGTAGGCTGTGTGCCTGTGTATCAGGTACCTATGCACTTGATCTGACTTCCAATAGAACCGAGCCTGCAGTGTGCAAATCGTGGAGTGGGATTTACTAAATATGTTCTAACGTATATCTTCCTCAGCTCCAAAGTCCAAGACTGGGTGCCAGGCCCAGTGTGGTTCTTTGGAGAAAGGCTGGAGTTGTAGGTCCTCTTTCCAGAGCAGCATCAGGTACTGCAAGCCCTTTGGATTGCTTCTGTCTGGGTACCCCAGAAGCCAACAGAGAGCCATACTGAGCACCTTTGTCCTCCTCAGTTCAGGCCTTCTACTCAATATTCTTTGAACTGAAAAGACAAGGCACAGTCACTCCCTAAAAATGCTCATCTAGGGACAGGTCACGGCTGAGCTCTGCTCCATTCTGCTTTCATGGTCTTCCTGGAACAGTTGGTTATGGTTCACACAGTGATTTCACCTGGGTACAACTCCCTTTAGCTCAGACTCTAGCCCACTCTGTGACCCAGCACCCCACATATACCTGCTTTTGCTTACAGAGAGGTGATGAAAATGACATCCGATCCATCAGTTACTACCCAGAGTCGGCTTCTTTTGACCTCCGCTACTACCCTTACTACGGCAAACTGACTCACGTAAGCTGTATTCCCTTTAGTCATTGCTGTCAGAAAGGGCTCAGTGACAAAAGAAGAGCTGGCTGGGATCTATGAGAATTAGGGAGCAGGAGATAGTAGAGGGGTAAATAGCTGCTGGCCATAACCAGGAGCTCCCTTTACCAATTCTTATCACAACCACACTCCTTTCCATATCTGAAAGAATCTCATATATGGCCTAATTTAACCTTTTAAGTTTACGAATGGGAAAATTGGGGTTCAGAGACAGAAAGTGACTTGCCCAAGACCATACAGCTAAGTTAGTGGCAGGGTCAGGAGCAGATAAATTACTACCAATGTGCTTAAACATGCCCTAATAATCACGCTTCTGTTTCTCCCATTTGAAGCGCTGGGGTGAGTCCCCAACACAGGGACTCGATAGACACTAGTTTTGGTTTAATTCATGGTCTGATTTCCAGAAAAATCATATCATGCTGAATCAGAATTGGTTTTTCCCAGAGGACAATCAGATATCTGACAGTGACTTGTTAGAGAAATGTATGATTTTCCCACACTTTCCCACTGCAAGGAGAGTATGTCTGTTGCTTTGGCCATTTGCAAATTGGCATCATGGGATTTACTCAGTTCTCTTTGTGAGGGTTGTCATCCTGCAGTGATTATCTGATCACTTCCCTCCTACCACCTCCCCACACTTAGAATTCATTTTTCTTCTACCTGCAGGTTAACTACACATCCCCCTTGGTGGCAATGCACTTTACAGACGTGGTGAAGAACCAAGCAGTGCCTGTGCAGTGCCAACTGAAGGGCAAAGGCGTCATAAATGATGTCATCAATGATCGTTTTGTGGGCAGGGTAATCTTTACCCTGAACATAGAAACTTAAGAACTTCAGGGGGCCATTCTTACCAGTTCTGTTTCTGTTTTATCTCATGGTATCTCTGGTAGCACCTGAATTCTTTTTCTTCAATTAGGACACAGCCAGATGGACATCTAAGACAGCCGATCATCTTTCCTTGCCTATGACATGTGTATAAAATGACATTGTGGGAGCTGTTCGATTTTTTAAAGGTAGTGTCTCCTGATGACAAACAGAGTATATTAATTTCCTTTCCCTCCACTTAAAACTAAAGCCTGTTCTTGCTGCTGGTAATCTCCCTGTAGCGTAAACATAGTATCTGATAAAATTTACAATAGCCACGCAATAGCCATCAAGGAGAATTTCTATTATGATTATAAATTCATCATGTTTTCTAAAATTCTGTTGGTTTTAGAGGTCAGATTCCTCCCAACCAGGCTAATAACCTAACACATGTTTAAAAAAAATCTGCCTAAGCCGGGTGTGGTGGCATGCATCTGTAGTCCCACCTATTCAGGAGATTAAGGCAGGAGGATCACTTGAGCCCAGGAGGTCAAGGCTGCAGTGAGCTGCACTGCATTCCAGCCTGGGTGACAGAGTGAGATCCTGTCTCTGAAGAAAAAAAAAACCTGCCTGGCAAGGTCCTTCCCTGGGAATCACCACTCGGTCCAACCTAGACAACCAAGACCGCTATACCTAAAGACCTCTATATCCTGGTGCCTAAGAAACTTCTGCCTCCCACAGACAACTAAGTGCTTATTCAAAGACTAGGTTATTTTCAACTGGGAAAAAAGCAGTGCTAACAGGATATTGTTCTGGGATAGAGATGAAGACCGTCCTTGTGACTTTTTAAAGAGGTGGGGCTCACTGCAACTGGGGAGAACACTTAGCATATGGATATGATTGGTGTTTGATTCCTTGCTCTCTGGTGTAATCGTCTAAAGGCAAACATTCCTGCAAACAGGTTTTTCTCAGCTTCAGGCAGAGGAGACAACATGGAAGAAGATTCCCACCAGCTAATTCTTCTTGGGCTATTTGTTTGACAGTAGCATGATGTTTTTTGAGACCATCAGGGGTGGTTACATAGACCAGCAGCTACAGCTCTGGAAATTGAAATCATAATCTGTCAATGAATACATGACAAGACAGAACGTTCCTTGCCAGGCCAGGCAAAAGCCAAGGCCCATTAGCCAGTTTAGCATTTACTTTAAAAATGACATGAGGCAGATTCTTATCCAGGATGTGGATCAGCCAGGTCACTTTGTCTTATCTTTGGTCACCTGATCACTCAACTGCTTCTTAACACCTCCACCAGGGGGAAGGCTGGCACAAGGAGAAAAAAAAAGCAAGCATCAGCGAATAGTATAGTGTCTCAGGGTCCGAAGCAAGTTTAAATGCCACCTAGGAGGATCCAAAGTCTGAATCTCCTCTACAATGTTTCCTTTCTCCCAAAACAGGGAACTGACTGTCTGGTAGTGAAGACAAGCAAGTGGAGAAGTTATACGATATAGTTTAATGAGAGTTAAAAAACTAGTATGTGGAAAGCTATGGGAATATGAGGAAAAATATCTTGAGCTAAGAAAGTAGCAGAGGAAATTTCACATGCAAAGCCACAGTCATGAAGAGACCATGGTGTGTCTGGGTAACTGTGAGCAGTTTATGTAACTGGAATGAAAAGGGCTCAGAGGAATGGCAGGGATGGCAAGAGATCCAGCTAGAGAGGTATTCAGGGATGGAAAGAGGACTTTGAGTTTTATCCAATAGGTGAAAATGAGTAATTAAAGCATTTTAATCAGGGAGGCTCTGTGATCACATTTGTGTTTTATTTTATTTTACTTTATTATTTATTTGTTTATTTTTGAGATGGAGTTTCGCTGTTGTCACCCAGGCTGGAGTGCAGTGGTGTGATCTCGGCTCACTGCAACCTCCACCTCCCGGATTCAAGTGATTCTCCAGCCTCAGCCTCCTGAGTAGCTGGGATTACAGGCACACACCACCATGCCCAGCTAACTTTTGTATTTTTGGCGGAGACAGGGTTTCACCATGTTGGCCAGGCTGGTCTCGAACTCCTGACCTCAAGTGATCCGCCTGCCTCAGCCTCCCACAGTGCTGGGATTACAGGCGTGAGCCACCGCACCCGGCTTGCAATTTAGAAAGGGCACTTGGCAACCACTATGTGAAGGGTGATTGGAGAAGGACAAGACTGTGGAATGGGGAATAAGGAAGGAGGAGTTTGGAGAATGACTCCAAAGGTTTGAGCTTGGCTAGAACCGGTAAGATGGTGACATTGTTGATCAAGACTGGGAATATAAGAGAGAAGCAGGTTTGGAGAGATCAATTTTGAACATTTTAGACATGATTTTCTATTGGTCAGACATTGATGTGGAGATGTAAACACATGTAGGGTTGGTGAGAAGGAAAGATGAGAACAAAAGCAACATTGGGTTAAGGGAACTCGCTTAAGAAATTTTAAGCTATTTAATCTTGGGAACTGAAGCCAGTCATGTAAACATACTATACCAATCTAGTCCCTAACAGTGTTTTTTCTCTTGTGGCAGAAAGAATTGCTGTTCCTCTTTGGAATCTCCTTCCCAGACACCTTCAAAGTCTTATTGACACAGTAAAGGGAGGCCAACCACTACTAACAAGTTCTAGAAGATATAGGATCTTCTATAGTAGGTTAATGGAAAATACAAAAACAAACAAACATACAATGAAACTGCCTCCTCTCAACCCATTTTCTTAACAAATTCAATTTTCAAAACTAACCTTTAAAAAGAAAAGGAACAAAATGAAAAAGACAATAACTTTTAAACCACTTGAAAATTACCTCAATCAAACTCTCAAGATTCAGTAGTAAAAGATAATAGAATGTTAGATCTGGAAAGGATATTAGAGAGTGTTTAGAAAAAACAACTTGCATTGCATCTGACTCCAGGTCCAGTGCTCTTTCTACTCTGAGCTGCTGCTTACCAGAAAGTACCATCTTCTTAAAAATCAATGAATGATATCCCAAACATTTTGAAACGTATGTAAATTTTGAGTTAAAATAGTTAACATTTCACAGGAATTCAACTACTGGTGCTATACTTTATACATAATACATTATCCTGTTAAATGCATTGACTATTAGACAAGGAATTATGAATCATTTGTCAAATAATATTTATCTTTCAATGGAATCCATTGTGTCCACAATTGCAAAGCAATATTGAAGGGTACTAAGATAGTTTGGGTTGTCAGCTAGGACATGAAAAATGTAGGTTTACTATACAGAACTGGATATGATAATATATTCATTAAAGTTATGTTCTAACTGTTCAATAGACTTCTAGTAGATTAATTTAAATAGTTCCCCATACCGTGCTGCATCAGGATTTGATTTGTATGCCATCTGTTGCAATGCACTTGGTTTTACTTGCTTGTCAATGAGAAATACTACTTCCAAATGTCTTCATGGTTTTGTCCATACTGGACTTTGGGTTATGATTTTTCACCTTCTACTCCCCTGAAATCATTATCCTAAAGTAACTTTTTTTAGGCACCTATTTTCTGGGGATCAACATGTAAAAAAACATTTATATTGTCTTGAGGAGTTGTCAACAACAATAAATTGAAATAAAAAAGAAATGTATGATTTTCTCTTTCTAGACCATATCACTGATTTTCCCACTGGAATATTGGGCAGCCATGTGGGTGGAAAACTTGACAATTGACAACCTGTTAGTTAAATATTGTTTTTCTTCTCTCTCCCCTCTTTTTGACTCTTAGGGTTTAGTCACAGGAGGATAAAACTAAAAGTTGTTTCATTTCTGGGCATTTTTTCCTTTGTAGTCTCTGTGCTCTGGTTTCTCGTTAGACTGCTTTGTGAGAGCAGCCTTTCTTTATCAAGGTTGAGTCCTGGTATAAACTGTTATGTTTGTTTGTGTAGGAGAGGAACACTAAGAGAAACTTTCAGGCTGAGGGACAGAACCAAAATTAGAAGAGAAACTTTGAAAATGTTTGATGAAAGTCTGGCTAAATGGCTTTAAGGACATCTAGCCACAAACTGTTTCCCAGAGCAAATATGTAATGGCAATTGCAATTAAAGACATAAATATTTCCAATCCTTTATTCAACTCAGAGGCTAGGCTGTAGCAGGAATCTTTCCTCGGAATCTTTCCTTCTTTCCTTGGAAGCTGCCTCAGCCTAAAGTCTGCTAGGCAACAGATCCCTGATCCCAACATATTTCTCCCTGTCTAAATTCTTCATTAGAGTCATTTTCTTTACTGCCTCCCTCTTAAAATATTCATACATAATAAAGTAATTTAACCAAACCATACAGAAGTATGATTTACACTGTGCTTTTCTCCAGGCAGAAAATGGAGGTTTGGGTATTTATATGCATATGTTGGGAGGAAGGAGAGTGGATACGATGTATGGAGGCAAAGGGCAAGGAAAAATAAATGGAAACACTACTTCACAAAGTTCTTCAGTTGCAATCTAGAAGGGAAGAAGGGTTGACAGCGGGATCCAAAAGTTTTAAGCAGAATATAGTAAGCTTTCAGTCTGACAACTCACTCCGCAAAATGTACTTCCTTGCAGACCCCTATATGACCATAACTCAACAAGAAATAGATAGCACACTTGACAAAAAAAGGATAATTGGAAGAAGATTTATTTACAAAGGGATTACTTACAGAAGCATAGATATAGGGAACCACCAATAACACAGTAACCCAGCCTAGTAAGAGCTGAACTCTTACCATCTCTTGACCATAAGGTATAGGAGCAGGAAATGGTTACTAGAACTCAGAAGGAATGAGTTGTGTACAACTGGCTGCCTTGAGAGGAGTGGTGACTTTGTTGAAGGACTAAGCTAGCCCAAGGTGATCTTTTAGGGAGAATAAATATTGCAACTTAATTTTTCTCATTGGCCAAACCCAACCAAAAGCTGGCGGCGGGGGTGGGGGAACAACAACAAAAAAAACAAAAACGAACAAACAAAAAGATTGATGCAGCCCATACAGGTCAGACTCCTAAAAAAAGAAAGCAGGGTGGAGAAAGGTGGAGAGTGCATCTGGAGGGGCAAACTGGCGATATCTAGCACAGTTACTGAGTGGAGGTTCTGTGAGCAGACTCCTTGGAGCCTGGCATAGTGTTGGAATCATCTACTGAACCAACCCTAGGGACTGCGGCAATTTTATTTTCATACACACTTTGCTTTGCGGCTGTGGGGTCAAAGGCATTAGGCTTTTCCATTATAGAATTTTTTTCTCTATTCTTTAGTATTCATTCCCTTTTCAAATTTTCTCATTCATACTTTCCTAATCTGGTGCCCTTTGGGATATCATTTAGAACTCTTTTGCTTGCATGTGACAAACAAATGAACAAAAAAATTCAAATTGACTTAAGGATAAAGGGGAATTTACCAAATCAAAAAACTGAAAAGTCCAGTTGTAGTTTGCATTCAGGCATAGCCAGGTCCAGGAACTCAAAGATGCGATTAGGAACCGGTCTCTCTCCACGTCTGTATTCTGCTTTCTACCACAAATCAAGATTGGCAAGGTGGCTGCCTGCCTTGCCAGGCCTACATCCTCAAAGGCTAATGCCCATTTGAAAAGAAAGCTTCTCTTTCCTGAATATTCAAATAAAAAACAAAAGATTCTTCCTGTGTCCAAGTGTTCTCATTGTTCAATTCCCACCTATGAGTGAGAACATGCGGTGTTTGGTTTTTTTGTCCTTGCGATAGTTTCCTGAGAATGATGGTTTCCAGCTTCATCCATGTCCCTCCAAAGACATGAACTCATCCTTTTTTATGGCTGCATAGTTTTCCATGGTGTATATGTGCCACATTTTCTTAATCCAGTCTATCATTGATGGACATTTGGGTTGGTTCCAAGTCTTTGCTATTGTGAATAGTGCCACAATAAACATACGTGTGCATGTGTCTTTATAGCAGCATGATTTATAATCCTTTGGGTATATACCCAGTAATGGGATGGCTGGGTCAAATGGTATTTCTAGTTCTAGATCCCTGAGGAATCGCCACACTGTCTTCCACAATGGTTGAACTAGTTTACAGTCCCACCAACAGTGTAAAAGTGTTCCTATTTCTCCACATCCTCTCCAGCACCTGCTGTTTCCTGACTTTTTAATGATCGCCATTCTAACTGGTGTAAGATAGTATTTAATTGTGGTTTTGATTTGCATTTCTCTGATGGCCAGTGATGATGAGCATTTTTTCATGTGTCTGTTGAGTGCATAAATGTCTTCTTTTGAGAAGGGTTTGTTCATATCCTTTGCCCACTTGTTGATGGGGTTGTTTGTTTTTTTCTTGTAAATTTGTTTGAGTTCTTTGTAGATTCTGGATATTAGCCCTTTCTCAGATGAGTAGATTGCAAAAATTTTCTCCCATTCTGTAGGTTGCCTGTTCACTCTGACGGTAGTTTCTTTTGCTGTGCAGAAGCTCTTGAGTTTAATTAGATCCCATTTGTCAATTTTGGCTTTGGTTGCCATCGCTTATGGTGTTTTAGACATGAAGTCCTTGCCCATGCCTATGTCCTGAATGGTATTGCCTAGGTTTTCTTCTAGTGTTTTTATGGTTTTAGGTCTAGGATGTAAGTCTTTAATCCATCTTGAATGAATTTTTGTATAAGGTGTAAGGAAGGGATCCAGTTTCAGCTTTCTACATATGGCAAGCCAGTTTTCCCAGCACCATTTGTTAAATAGGGAATTGTTTCCCCATTTCTTGCTTTTGTCAGGTTTGTCAAAGATCAGATAGTTGTAGACGTGTGGTATTATTTCTGAGGGTTCTGTTCTGTTCCATTGGTCTATATGTCTGTTTTGGTACCAGTACTATGCTGTTTTGGTTACTGTAGCCTTGTAGTATAGTTTGAAGTCAGGTAGCGTGATGCCTCCAGCTTTGTTCTTTGGGCTTAGGATTGACTTGGCAATGCGGGCTCTTTTTTGGCTCCATATGAACTTTAAAGTATTTTTTTCCAATTCTGTGAAGAAACTCATTGGAAGCTTGATGGGGATGGCATTGAATCTATAAATTACCTTGGGCAGTATGGCCATTTTCATGATATCGATTCTTCCTATCCATGAGCATGGAATGTTCTTCCATTTGTTTGTATCCTCTTTTATTTTGTTGAGCAGTGGTTTGCAGTTCTCCTTGAAGAGTTCCTTCACATCCCTTGTAAGTTGGATTCCTAGGTATTTTATTCTCTTTGAAGCAATTGTGAATGGGAGTTCACTCATGATTTGGCTCTCTGTTTGTCTGTTATTGGTGTATAAGAATGCCTGTGATTTTTGCACATTGATTTTGTATCCTGAGACTTTGCTGAAGTTGCTTATCAGCTTAAGGAGATTTTGGGCTGAGACGATGGGGTTTTATAGATATGCAATCATGTCATCTGCAAACAGGGACAATTTGACTTCCTCATTTCCTAATTGAATACCCTTTATTTCTCTCTCCTGCCTGATTGCCCTGGCCAGAACTTCCAACACTATGTTGAATAGGAGTGGTGAGAGAGGGCATCCCTGTCTTGTGCCAGTTTTCAAAGGGAATGCTTCCAGTTTTTGCCCATTCAGTATGATATTGGCTGTGGGTTTGTCATAAATAGCTCTTATTATTTTGAGATACTTCCCAACAATACCTAATTTATTGAGAGTTTTTAGCATGAAGGGTTGTTGAATTTTGTCAAAGGCCTTTTCTGCATCTATTGAGATAATCATATGGTTTTTGTCTTTGGTTCTGTTTATATGGTGGATTACATTTATTGATTTGCGTATGTTGAACCAGCCTTGCATCCCAGGGATGAAGCCCACTTGATCATGGTGGATAAGCTTTTTGATGTGCTGCTGGATTTGGTTTGCCAGTATTTTATTGAGGATTTTTGCATCGATGTTCATCAGAGATATTGGTCTAAAATTCTCTATTTTTGTTGTGTCTCTGCCAGGCTTTGGTATCAGGATGATGCTGGCCTCATCAAATGAGTTAGGGAGGATTCTCTCTTTTTCTATGGATTGAAATAGTTTCAGAAGGAATGATACCAGCTCCTCCTTGTACCTCTGGTAGATTTCGGCCTTGAATCCATCTGGCCCTGGACTTTTTTTGGTTGGTAAGCTATTAATTATTGCCTCAATTTCAGAGCCTGTTATTGGTCTATTCATAGATTCAACTTCTTCCTGTTTTAGTCTTGGGAGGGTGTATGTGTCAAGGAATTTATCCATTTCTTCTAGATTTTCTAGTTTATTTGCATAGAGTTGTTTATAGTATTCTCTGATGGTAGTTTGTATTTCTGTGGGATCGGTGATGATATCCCCTATATCATTTTTTATTGCGTCTATTTGATTCTTCTCTTTTTTCTTCTTTATTAGTCTTGCTAATGGTCTATCAATTGTGTTGATCTTATCAAAAAACCAGCTCCTGGATTCATTGATTTTTGAAGGGTTTTTTGTGTCTCTATCTCCTTCAGTTCTGCTCTGATCTTAGTTATTTCTTGCCTTCTGCTAGCTTTTGAATGTGTTTGCTCTTGCTTCTCTAGTTCTTTTAATTGTGATGTTGGGGTGTCAATTTTAAATCTTTCCTGCTTTCTCTTGTGGGCATTTAGTGCTATAAATTTCCCTTTACACACTGCTTTGAATGTGTCCCAGAGATTCTGGTATGTTGTGTCTTTGTTCTCATTGGTTTCAAAGAACATCTTTATTTCTGCCTTCATTTCATTATGTACCCAGTAGTCATTCAGGAGCAGGTTGTTCAGTTTCCATGTAGTTGTGTGGTTTTGAGTGAGTTTCTTAATCCTGAGTTCTAGTTTGATTGCATTGTGGTCTGAGAGACAGTTTGTTATAATTTCTGTTCTTTTACATTTGCTGAGGAGTGCTTTACTTCCAACTATGTGGTCAATTTTGGAATAAGTGTGGTGTGGTGCTGAGAAGAATGTATATTCTGTTGATTTGGGGTGGAGAGTTCTGTAGATGTCTATTAGGTCCACTTGGTGCAGAGCTGAGTTCAATTCTTGGATATCCCTGTTAACTTTCTGTCTCGTTGATCTGTCTCATGTTGACAGTGGGGTGTTAAAGTCTCCCATTATTATTGTGTGGGAGTCTAAGTCTCTTTGCAGGTCTCTGAGGACTTGCTTTATGAATCTGGGTGCTCCTGTATTGGGTGCATATATATTTAGGATAGTTAGCTCTTCTTGTTGAATTGATCCCTTTACCATTATGTAATGGCCTTCTTTGTCTCTTTTGATCTTTGTTGGTTTAAAGTCTGTTTTATCAGAGACTAGGATTGCAACCCCTGCTTTTCTTTTTTTGTTTTCCATTTGCTTGGTAGATCTTCCTCCATCCCTTTATTTTGAGCCTATGTGTGTCTCTGCACGTGAGATGGGTTTCCTGAATACAGCACACTGATGGGTTACTTGACTCTTTATCCGATTTGCCAGTCTGTGTCTTTTAATTGGAGCATTTAGCCCATTTACATTTAAGGTTAATATTGTTATATGTGAATTTGATCCTGTCATTATGATGTTAGCTGGTTATTTTGCTCGTTAGTTGATGCAGTTTCTTCCTAGCATCCATGGTCTTTACAATTTGGCATGTTTTTGCAGTGGCTGGTACCGGTTGTTCCTTTCCATGTTTAGTGCTACCTTCAGGAGCTCTTTTAGGGCAGGCCTGGTGGTGACAAAATCTCTCAGCATTTGCTTGTCTGTAAAGGATTTTATTTCTCCTTCACTTATGAAGCTTAGTTTGGCTGGATATGAAATTCTGGGTTGAAAATTCTTTTCTTTAAGAATGTTGAATATTGGCCCCCACTCTCTTCTGGCTTGTAGAGTTTCTGCCAAGAGATCAGCTGTTAGTCTGATGGGCTTCCCTTTGTGGGTAACCCGACCTTTCTCTCTGGCTGCCCTTAACATTTTTTCCTTCATTTCAACTTTGGTGAATCTGACAATTATGTGTCTTGGAGTTGCTCTTCTTGAGGAGTATCTTTGTGGCATTCTCTGTATTTACTGAATGTGAATGTTGGCCTGCCTTGCTAGGTTGGGGAAGTTCTCCTGGATAATATCCTGCAGAGTGTTTTCCAACTTGGTTCCATTCTCCCCGTCACTTTCAGGTACACCAATCAGGTGTAGATTTGGTCTTTTCACATAGTCCCATATTTCTTGGAGGCTTTGTTCATTTCTTTTTATTCTTTTTTCTCTAAATTTCTCTTCTCACTTCATTTCATTCATTTGATCTTTAATCACTGATACCCTTTCTTTCAGTTGATCGAATCAGCTACTGAAGCTTGTGCATTTGTCACGTAGTTCTTGTGCCATGGTTTTCAGCTGCATCAGGTCCTTTAAGGACTTCTTTTCATTGATTATTCTAGTTAGCCATTTGTCTAATCTTTTTTCAAGGTTTTTAACTTCTTTGCCATGGGTTCGAACTGCCTCCTTTAGCTTGGAGAAGTTTGATCTTCTGAAGCCTTCTTCTCTCAACTCATCAAAGTCATTCTCCATCCAGCTTTGTTCCATTGCTGGTGAGGAGCTGCATTCCTGTGGAGGAGGAGAGGTGCTCTGATTTTTAGAATTTTCAGTTTTTCTGCTCTGTTTTTTCCCCATCTTCATGGTTTTATCTACCTTTGGTCTTTGATGATGGTGACGTACAGATGGGGTTTTGGTGTGGATGTCCTTTCTGTTTGTTGGTTTTCCTTCTAACAGTCAGGACCCTCAGCTGCAGGTCTTTTGCAGTTTGCTGGAGGACCACTCCAGACCCTGTTTGCCTTGGTATCAGCAGCGGAGGTTGCAGAACAGTGAATATTGCTGAACATCAAATGTTGCTGCCTGATCATTCCTCCTGAAGTTTCATCTCAGAGGGGTACCCAGCCTTGTGAGGTGTCAGTGTGCCCCTACTGGGGAGTCCCTCCCAATTAGGCTACTTGGGGGTCAGGAACCCACTTGAGGAGGCAGTCTGTCTGTTCTCAGATCTCAAACCCCATGCTGGGAGAACCACTACTCTCTTCAAAGCTGTTAGACAGGGACGTTTAAGTCTGCAGAGGTTTCTGCTGCCTTTTGTTTGGCTATGCCCTGCCCCCAGAGGTGGAGTCTACAGAGGCAGGCAGGCCTCCTTGAGCTGTGGTGGGCTCCACCCAGTTTGAGCTTCCTGGCCGCTTTGTTTACCTACTCAAGCCTCGGCAATGGTGGGCACCCCTCCCCCGCCTCGCTGCCGCCTTGCAGCTCAATCTCAGACTGCTGTGCTAGCAATGAGCGAGGCTCCATGGGCGTGGGACCCTCTGAGCCACGCGTGGGATATAATCTCCTGGTGTGCCCTTTGCTAAGGCCATTGGAAAAGCACAGTATTAGGGTGGGAGTGGCCCTATTGTCCAGGCGCCATCTGTCACAGCTTTGCTTGGCTAGGAAAGGGAATTCCCTGACCCTTTGTGCTTCCTGGGTGAGGCAATGCCTCTCCCTGCTTTGGCTCATGCTCAGTGCGTTGCACCCACTGTCCTGCACCCACTGTTCGACAAGCCCCAGTGAGATGAACCCAGTACCTCAGTTGGAAATGCAGAAATCACCCATCTTCTGCCTTGCTCATGCTAGGAGCTGTAGACTGGAGCTGTTCCTATTTGGCCATCTTCAAAAAGGGAACTCTTATACACAGTTGGTGGGATGTAAATTAATACAACTACTGTAGAAACAGTATAGGGATTTCTTTAAAAAAATAAAAAACTAAAAATAATCCTACGATATGATCCAACAATGCCATTACTGGGTATTCATCCGAAGGAAAAGAAATTGTTATATCAAAGGGATACCTGCACTCCCATGTATATCCTAGCACTATTCATAATAGCAAAGATATGGAATCAAACTAAATGTTTATCAAAGAATGAATGGATCAAGAAAATGTCACACACACACACACACACACACACACACACACACACAATGGAATACTATTCAGCCATAAAATATGAAATCATGTCATTTGCAGCAACATGGATGGAACTGGAGGCCATTATGTTAAGTGAAATAAGCCAGGCACAAAAAGGCAAGTATTGGATTTTCTCCCTCACGTGGGAGCTAAAAAACTTGATCTCATGGAGATAGAGATTAGAATGATAGATACCAGAAGCTGGGAAGGGTGTGTGGGTGGGAGAGGAGGAAAGAAGAGAGGTTGGTTAAGGAGTGTACCGTTAAATAGAAGAAAGTTTCTAATATTTGATAGCAGAGTAGGGTGACTATAGTTAGCAATAATGTATTGCATATTTCACAGTAGCCAGAAGAGAGGATATGAAATGTTCCCAATACATAGAAATGTAAATACTCAAGAGGATGGATACTCCAAGTTGATAATAATACACTCTACACATGTAACACTTACATGTACCCCATAAATATGTAAAATAGTATCAATAGAATAATACTTTACAAAAAAATAAAAATTCTGAGTCTCTCACTGGCTTGAATTTGATCCTGTGCCAATCCCTGAACCAATCTCTGTGGCCACTGGAAGAAACATCTGTGATTGGCCAGGCTTCGGTCACATGCCCACCCCTGGAGCTTAGAGTGATATCAACACGACTGAAACTGCCTGGATTGACTGTCAGGGAAAGGTAATCCCCTGAGGAAAATTGAGGTGATGTGACCAAAGAGGAGTGAATGAATATGAAGTGGCAGATAGAATAGGTGTTCACTACATTTTGTCAAACAGTGTCCTATCAAATTCTACAACTACTTATGATTATACCTGAACTTTTAGATTAAAATATTTTCAAAATTTTAACATGAAGGTCTCCAAAAAACAGTTTTTTATACCACCCTAGCATTTTTTTCACATTTGCTCAAAAGAAAGAAGGAGTAGGAAGAGAGAGAGAAAGAGAAAGAAGCCTCCTTGACTTACTGTGCTTTGCCTTTGCCAAAGAAAATTCTGTAATTAAATTCTGCATTAGAAATCCAGCTTGTGGCTAGGCACAGTGGCTCATGCCTGTAATCCTAACACTTTGGGAGGCCAAGACAGGAGAATTGCTTGAGGCCAGGAGGTCAAGGCCAGCCTGGGCAACATAGCAAGACCCATCTCTATATCATAAAAGAATAACATAAAAAGAAATAGGAAAACAGTGAGATCTTGTCTCTATGAAGTAAACAAATAAATAAAATAGTATAAAAAGAATAAAATAGGAAAATATTAACAAAAGAAGTCTAAGACTTATACTCTGAAATCTACTGTTATTGAAATAAATTAAAGAACTAAATAAAGGGAAAGACATTGTGCTCATGGATTAGGTTAATATTGTTAAAATGACAGTGCTCACCAAATTGATCTACAAATTCAATACAATTCTTTCAAAATTCCAACTAACTTTTTTTTTCCCAGAAATTGACAAGGTGATCCAAAAATTCTTATGGAAATAGAAGGGACACAGAATAGCCAAAACAGTATTTTAAAGGAAGAACAAAGCTGAAAGACTTACAATTTAAAATTTTACTACAGACAGCGGGTGTACTGGCTCATGCCTGTAATCCCAGTGCTTTGGGAGGCCAAGTTAGGAGGATCATTTGAGCCCAGGAGTTCAAAGTTACAGTGAGCTAAGATTGTATGACTGCACTCCAGCCTGGGAAACAGAGTGAGACCTTGTCCCTATAAAAATAAAAATAAAATTTAAAAATGATAAAACTCTTAGAAGAAAACATAAACCCTCATGCCCTTCGATTAAACAATGGTTTCTTAAATATAACACCAAGAGCAGAAGTGACAAAAAATAGATAAATTGGACTTTATTAAAATTAAAGTCTTTGTGCTTTAAAGGACACTATCAAGAAAATGAAAATACAACCCACAGAATAAGAGAAAATATTTGCAAATTATATATCTGTTAAGGATCTAGTATCCAGAATATGTAAAGAACTCTTACACTTAAACAATAAAAAGGCAAATAACTCAACTAAAGATGTATAAAGAATCCAAATAGATATTTCTTCAGAGAAGATATGCAAATGGTCAATAAACACATGAAAAGATGCTCAACATCATTACTTTTTAGAGAAATGCCAATCAAAACCACAATAAGGTCTTATGTTTATGTCTTTGATCCATTTTGAACTGATTTTTGTGAATGGTGTAAAATAAGAATCCAATTTTATTTTTTTGAATATGCATATCCAGTTTTCCCAACACCATTTATTAAAGAGACTATTGTTTCTCCATTATATATTTTTGGCACCTTGTTGATTAGATGACCATACATGTGTGGGTTTATTTCTGGGCTCTCTCTTCTGTTCCATTGGTCTGTGTGTCTGCTTTTATGCCAGTACCATATTTTGATTACTATAGTTTGGTACTATAGTTTGCAATCAGGATATATGATGCCTGCAGCTTTGTTCTTACTGCTCAAAATTGTTTTAGTTATGTGGATTCTGTTGTGGTTTTATAAGCATTTTAGATTTTTTTTCTATTAAAAAAGTCAAAAAATAACAAATGTTGGTAAAGATGTGGAGAAAAGGAAACGCTTTCACTGCTGTACACTGTTGGGAGGGAGTGTAAATTGGTACAAACGTTATGAAAAACAGTACAGAGATTCCTCAAAAAATTAAAAATAGAACTACCACAGGGTCTAGCAACCCACTTCTGGGTATATATCCAAAAGAAATAAAATCACTATCTCAAAGACATGTCTGCACTTTCATATTCATTGCAGCATTATTCAAAGTAGCCAAGATAGAAAAACAATCTAAGTGTTCATTGGCAAATGAATGAATACACAGTATATATATATATATATATATAGATAGATAGATAGATAGATAGATACACACACACACATATATGTACACATATATATACACACATATATAAATACACACATATATACCTATATATATACATATATATACGTATATATATACATATATATATACATATATATGTATGTATATATATAAAATAGAATGTTATTCACCCTTTAAAAAGAGGGAAATCCTGCCATTGGCAACAATGCAGATGAACCTTGAGGACATTATGCTAAGCAAACTAAACCAGACACAAAAAGTCAAATATTGCATGACCTCAGTTATATGTAGAATCTGAAAACAAAAGTTGAACTCATAGTTACAGAGAATAGAAGGGTGGTTATCAGGGTTTAGGGCATGAGGGGAAAGGACAGATATTGGTCAAAGGGTACAAACCTTCAGTTGTAACATGAGTGAACACTGGAGACCAAATGTAAAGCATGGTGACTATAGTTAGTAATAATACATTGTATACTTGAAATTTGCTGAGAGTAGATCTCAAATGTTCTCACCACGCACACACAAAGGTAATATGTGAGGTGATAGATATGTTAATTACCTTAATTGTGTTAATCATTTCACAATGTATATATGTATATCAAAACATCAAATTGTACACCCTAAATATATACAATTTTTGTCAGTAATGCTTCAGTAAAGCTGGAAAAAAGATACATTTCACACCCTCTATGATGGCTGTAATTTTTAAAAGTGAACAATAACGTGGGTTATTAGAACCCTAATGTACTACTGGAGGAAATTTTAAATGGTGAAGCCATTTTGAAATAATTGTTTGGCAGTTCTTCAAAAGGTTAAATATAGAGTTACCATAGGACCCAGCCATTTCACTCCTAGATATACATTGAAGGTAATTGATAATATATGTCCACACAAAAGCATGTACACAAATGTTCATAGCAGCAATATTCATAATAACCAAAAGTAGAAACAACTGAAATGTCCACCGACTGACAGATAGATAAATTATGGTGTATTATTCAGCCATAAAAGGAAGATAATACTGATTCATACTATAGTATAGATGAACCTCAAAACATTATGGTAAGTGAAAAGAACCAGACACAAAAGGCCAAATTAGAGACTGCTAACGGGGATGACTATACATATATATGGAGATGGGCTTTAAAAGGTGATTACGCCATGAGGGCTGCACCCTTGTTAATGGGGTTAAGGCCTTCATAAAAGATGCTTCACAGCATTTGGTTAGCTTGTTCTCATGCCTTCTGCCATGTAAGGACACAGCAAGAAAATCCTCATCAGACCAAATGCCAATGCCTTGATCTTGAATTTCTCAGCCTCCAGAACTGTGAGAAATAAATTTCTATTTTATTTATTTATTTATTTATTTTTGAGACAGAGTTTCACTCTCGTTGCCCAGGCTGGAGTGCAATGGTATGATCTCAGCTCATCACAACCTCTGTCTCCCGGGTTCAAGCGATTCTCCTGCCTCAGCCTCCTGAGTAGCTGGGATTTCAGGCATGCACTGCCACGCCCGGCTAATTTTATATTTTTAGTAGAGATGGGATTTCTCCATGTTGGTCAGGGTGGTCTCGAACTCTCGACCCCAGGTGATCTGCCCGCTTCGGCCTCCCAAAGTGCTGCAATTACAGGCGGGAGCCACTGCGCCTGGCCTCTAAATTTGTATTTTTTTAAATAAATTACCCAGTCTGTGGTAATCTGTGGTATTCTATTTGCAGCACAAATAGACTAAGACAGAACAAAATGTGGGAAGGAAGAAGGAGAAATTTCTCATACGGCAGCTTTATGTTTTAACTTTTTGAGGAACTGTCAAACTGTGTTCCAAAGTACCTGCATCATTTTACATTTCCACTAGCAATGTATGAGGGTTCCAATTTCTCCACATACTTGCCAGCTGTTGTTATTGTCCAATTTTTTTAATTATAGTCATCCCACTGGGTGTGGAGTGACATTTCATTGTGATTGGATTTCCATGTACCTAATGAATAATGATATTGAGCAGTTTTTCATGTGCACATTGGCCATTTGTATATCTTCTTTGGGGAAATTATTTAAATCCTCTGCTCATTTAAAAATTGGATTATTTGTCTTTTTATTATTAATTTGTTAGAATTATTTATATATTTTGGACCCTTATCAAATAAAAGATTTGCAAAATTTTTCTACTGTTTTGTGGGTTGTCTTTTAAATTTCTTGATAGTATCCTTTGAAGCACAAAAGTTTTACATTTTGATTAAGTCTAATTTATCTTTTTTTCTTTTGTTGCTTGTGCTTTTGGTGTCATACCTAAGAAATCATTTACTAATTCAAGGTCACAAAAGATTTACTCTTATGTTTTCTTCTAAGTGTTTTGTAGCTTTAGTTCTTACATTTAGATCTACAGCCATTTTGAGTTACCACACTTAATTACTGTAGCTTTGCAGTAAGTTTTGCAATCAGGAAATAATCTTTAAGATTATTTTAACAACCACTTGTTCAACAGATGGCTTTTCTGCATCCCTTGAATTTCCATGTGAATTTTTGGATCTGCTTATCAATTTCTGCAAGAAAAGTTCTATCTCAATGTGCTTTAGGATTTATAGTAGGTTTTCTCAATCTCAGAATTATTGGCATTTGGGGCCACATAATTTTTTGTTTTGGCTTTCCTGTACATTTTAGAATAGTTAACAGCATCCCTGGCCTCTATCCAATAGCTGTCACTAGTATGCCATGTAAAACAAAAACCAAACTCAACCAGGCATGGTGGCTCACACGTGTAATCACAACGTTTTGGGAGTCCGAGTTGGGAGGATCACTTGAGGTCAGGAGTTCAACCAGCCCGAGCAACATAGTGAGATTCTGTCTCTACAAAAAATTTTAAAATTAGCTGGGCAAGGTGGTGCATGCCTGTAGTCCTAGCTACTTGGGAGGCTGAGGAGGGAGGATCGTTTGAGCCCAGGAATTTGAGGTCACAGTGAGTTATGATCACACCACTGCACTCCAACCTAGGTGACAGAGCAAGACACTTTCTCTAAAAAATAAAAAGAAAAGAAAAAAAGAAGAAACAAACTCAATTTCTCCTGTATGTTCACAGCACACTTCTGCTATCAGATATATGGGGATTTCTCCCCACCAGCAAACAAGCAATCAATTCTGCAACAGACATCACCAGTTGGGCCTCCTCTAATTAATTCAATTCTGACAGTATCTACCTGTCGATAGCATCAGATCACACAGGTTGAAGAATCAGTCCTACAAGACTAAGCCCCACTTACAATGCTGATCGCAAGACCCAGATTATTTTATCTGTGATTCTGACCAACTGGCTATAAATCAAAGTTACCACAACCCCCTCCTTGGGTTCTATTAATTTTCTTGAGCAGTTCACAGAACTCAGGGAAACACTTTACTTACGTGTACTGCTCTATTACAAAAGATATTTTAAAGGATATAGATGAAGAGATACGTAGGGCAAGGAGTGTGGGAAGGGCACAGAGCTTCCACTTCCTCTCCAGGCATGCCTCTTTCCAGGGACCTCTATGTGTTCGGCTATCCAGAAGCTCTCTGAACCCAGTCCTTTTGGGTTTTTAGGGAAGCTTCATTAAGTAGGCATGATTGATGACATCACTGGCAATTTGTGATCAACCTTCAGCACTCTTCCCTCCCTAGAGGCTCGGAGTGGGGCTGAAAGTCCCAACCCTTTAATTCTACCTTAGTGTTTCCATCCTAGGGGCTACCAGCCATTAGCCTACTCATTAGCATACAAGTGTTACGGAGAATGGTTGTGAGAAAAAATTTTTAACGAAAATAAAACATACAAAAAGACACACCATTTTGAAGATCCCAAGGATTTTAGGAGTTGTATGCTAGGAAACTGGGATGAAGACCAAACATATATTTCACAATATCACATAATCTCTTCAGTTTTGGAAACCAAAACTGTCTTCAGACATTGCTGAATGTTCCCTAGGAGTCAAAATCACCCCTGATTGACAACCACTGGTTTATAGTTTATGTCTTTAACATCACAATCTACCTTCAAGCTATTTATACTATTTCACGTATTGTATACAAGCCTTACAATAGAGTACTTCTATGTCTCTCCTCGAGAACTTCCTGCTAATGTTATCATACATTTCACATATGCATATGTTATAAGCCGCACAACATATTGTTAATAGTTTTGTTTAAACAATTATCTTTTAAAGAGATTTAAATTATAAGGCAAAATTCTTATGTATCTAATCACATAGTTACCATTTCCAGTTTTACTTATTCTTTTGTGTAGATCCAGATTTTCAACTAGTGTCATTTTCATTCTGTCTGAAGAATGTCCTTTTTGTGGTGCAGAACTGCTGATGGTGGTTTCTTTCAGCTTTTATGTGCCTGTAAAGTTTACTTTGTCTTTGTTTTTGAACAATATTTTGAGGAGTATAGAATTCTAGATTGAGAGTGTTTTCTTTCACTTCTTTAAAGATGTTGTTTCACTCTCTTCTAGTTGATTCCTTCAAGAAATCTGATGTCAATCTTACCCTTGTGCCTTTGTATATAACATACTTTTTTTCCTCCTTGCTGCTTCTAAGAGTTTCTCTTTATCACTATTTCTAAGCAACTTGATATGATGTACTTGGCATAATTTTTATGTTCCTTGTGCTAGGAATTTATTGATCTCCTTGGATCTGTAGGCTTTTGGTTTTCATTAAGTTTGAAAAAAAAAACTCAGCCATTATTTCTTGACTTTTTTTTTTCTGCCACCACTCCAACACCATCCTCTCCTTCAGGGGCTCCAAATACACATATATTGGGTCGCTTAAAATTCTCTCACAACTCACTGATACTCGGATTATTTTTAGTCTTTTTCTGTGTTTCATTTTGAATATTTTCTATTGCTGTGTCTTCAAGTTCACCAACCTTTTTCTCTGCAATTGTTAATCTGTCATTCATCTAATACAGTACATATTTCATCTCAGATATTGTAGCTTTCATTTCTACAAGTTTGATTTGGATTTGTTTTATATCTTCCATGTCTTTACTTATAATGTTCAATCTCTCCTCTAGTTTATCAAGCACGTAAAATACATTTATAAAGGTTAGACAATGTACAGATTTGTGGACAATAGTACACAACATCACTGAAAGGATCTAAATGAAAGGAAAATATTGGAAGTGTAGGGGCCAAGGGTCTTGGCCCTCTGAAGTGTCACCTAAAAAATAAACTCACAAAAGTCAGATTAATTGGAGAAAAGGCATACGAATTTATTTAACACGTACACAACATGTACACAGAAAAAAAATCATGGAGTGGTTACCCACCCCCAGTGTGGTGCAGAAGCTTATATACCATCCTGGCAAAACAGATTGTGGGACAGGGGAGAAGTAGAATTTTGTTGAGGGGCTTACTAGGGAGAATGAATGGATCAGGGAAAAGAGACTAATTTGTACATTATCTTGTAAAAGGGTCTGTTTGGGAATGGTTACATTATTGGTCTCACATTTCCCCTCCCCCACCCAAGGGAGGGGAAGAAAAAACAATTGTTCCTTTTGGTGGGTCTGGATCTTAGATAAAGGAACTTCAACTTCTTTGGGAGAGATGATTGGGAGAAGTCAGAGACACCTTGAGGCTTCTTTTGTTCATCATGTCAACATCCCCTATTTTGAGGTATTGGCTTCTGAGCATAAACAGAAGATTGCAGACAGAGTCTTGAATGTCTATCAACATATGACAGTGGTTACAAAGTGTGAAGACCTTTGTGTCACATGTTAATGCTCACTGGAGAGTGTCTACCATGGAAGAAGCACTGAAAAACCAAGTATACAAAATGACTTGGTCAGCTAACATCAGCCAGCCACTTCAATGCTGGCATGCTGGACATGGACAAGGTGGCCTTAGTGGCAGATGTGGAGACTAAACAGGAGAACAACAGCATGAACTCATACTTAACAAGACTGGTCTAACTACTGCCACCTCTAATCTGCAACCTGCCACCATGTAGCCTCTGGTATGGCACCACCACTTCAGGTGTCCAACTGACCATTTGGTAACAAGCTGACTACAGTGGATCACTTCTATCCTGGATGTACCAGCAGTTTGTTTTCACAGCAGTGAACACATATTCCTGGTATGGGTTTACCTTTCTTAACCACAGGGTCCCAGTCAACACTGGTATCTGAAATCTTACAGAGTATTTCATCAATTGCTGTGTGATATCATATAACATCACATTAGACCAGGGGATTCATTTTCAGCAAAAACAATACAGAAGTGGACCTGTGAAGATGAGATCTACTAGTTCTCTACTGTATGATACCACCCAGAAAACTGATATTTTGACAGAGTAGTGGAATTTCCTGCTGAACAACAGCTGAAGCGCCAACTCAAAATCAATATTCTGTGAGGATAGGGTCCTATTCTCCAGAATGCAGTATATTCATTGAATCAAATAATTTTATATGGTGTATGTCTTCAGTAAGAATACATGGGTTCAGACTGGGTGTAGTGGCTCATGGCTATAATCCCAGCATTTTAGGAGGCCAAGGCAAGAGGATTATTTGAGGCCAGGAGTTCAAGACCATGTTGGGCAACGTAGTGAGACACCCATCTCTATAATATTAAAAAAAATGATACATGAGTTCAGAAACAAAGGAGTGGAAGCAAGAGTACCCACACTTACCATCACTTCTAATGACACATTCAGGGACTTTGCTTTTGCCATACCTGCAATTCAGAACTTTCCAGGGTTAGAGGTCCCGGCCCTGAAGAGAGCTCACTCTAACTCAAAGTATCTCAATTTTGTCACTTTTGTCATTTTGGGCTGGATAATTCTTTGTAGTGGGAGCTGTCCTGTGCATTATGAAATATATGACAGCATCCCTCGCTTCTACCCACTAGAAGCCAGTAGTACATTTTCCCCAACTGTGATGAAAGTATCTCCAAACACTACCAAATGTTCCCAGGGGGCCAAATTGCCCCAAGTTGAGAACCACTGCTACAGCCAATGGAGAAGACAAGATTCATATTGAAGTACAACTTGTGGCTGCCACATAGGCATTTGGACCAGCAGGCAAGAAAAGTCACCATCTTAACTTGGTCAATCAAACCTGATTATCAGGAGGAGGTAGGGCTACTGTTATACAGTGGGAACAGGGAGGAACTGTCCAGCAGTGTCTGAGCAGAAGCAGCTGCTGGTTGGCTGCTACTCTTGCTACCAGATTTGGCTGGTTAGGTAACAAGCCCAAATGAATACACATAGTTTATTACTTACATAGACAGCATAAGCAAAATCAACACAATGTCAGCTCCCCACATCCTTAATCCCACAGGACAACACTGAACCATAAGAGTCAACTGACAGGTGACATGACTTGTAGGTCACTCTGTCATTGAAGAACCAATACTAAACTGCAGCTAATCAGTGTTGTAGCCTGCAGTTTTATACTAAGGAGACAAAGGTGGATAGTGCCACACCTCATTGGACCAGGGAGGTAGATGAGAACCTGATTCATGGCATCCTCCCACAAGATAGAGAAGCTGATGAGAAATAACCTTGTAATAGCTCCTTACAAGACTATTTTCTTGCCATGTTCCTGGAGGTATCATAGAATGTTCTGTCAAGACTTAGGTCAGACAGATTGAACATTGCCTATGTTGCCCATGTGAATACATTCAACGTTGCCAGAGTGCCATGGTTGAACTATTTCCCTACAGAAATGTGTGTAGAACCCAGATGATCCACTTGAATATTTCTAGGTACTACCTTTCCCAGTTATGAAAGGGGAAATACTATATATGAACAGGTATGGTAATTCTGAACTGAGAAGGACATGATGATGAAGAATCAGGCCCCTCAAGGAGGAAGGGTCATACCACTAGCTAAGCCACTGAGGCAGTGGAGGCTGTACATTGAGGGTGAGAAGAACTTAGAATGGATAGTCAAGGAGGAAGATTGTAATAATCGATTGTGAACCCGATACCAACTGCTATAGTATTGGTTTTAGTTTGTAACACTAACCTCCCTCTTCTGAGTTTTCCCTCAGGAGGAAAGGCCAGCTCCAGTCCTGTTAGAAGCTGCTCCCCAGCTTTATAGAGAGAAATGTATCCAAGTGGCAAAAGTGGTGTATTGTTGTAGAAACAGAGACACAGTACCCAGATCCCTCTTTAGGAAGAACTTACTGCTCAGCTCTGGAGAGAGCAGTCAGCAGACTGGATATAGCTGTCAGCTTCTTCAGGGTGTGACTCAGCTGCAGAATCTCTTTGCTCAAGTTACACTCTTCCTGGGGCAGCCTACCATTAGTAACTGAGTGAGCTTGACATGGGACCATTCTGATTAGCAATATTCATTCTAGAGCTCTTTGCTGCGCATGCCAAGGTTTCATTTGGCCTACATCATATTTCGGCTTCTCCATTGGCTCAGTCCTTCTTCATCCTCTTTTTGTACCCTAGACTCCATTTCAGGATCTATTTCTGGGGAACCCAAACTGCAACACAAACCATGATGTTCAGATACTGTCTTAGTCTATTTGTGCTGGTATTAAAAAAGACCACAGACTGGGTAATTTATAAACAATAGAAATTTATTTCTTACAGCTAGGGATAGGAAGTCCAAGATCAAGGTGCCAGCATTTGGTGTTTGGAGAGGGCCTTCTTGCTGCATCCTCACATGGCAGGAGGCAGAAGGGCAAAAGCACCTAGCTAGTTCCCTCAAGCCCTGTTTTAAGGGTAGACCCCTCATGACTTAATCACCTCCGAAAGGCCCCCTCTGAATACTATTACACTGGGTCTTAGGTAACAACCTATGAATTTGGGGGAGACACATATATTCAAGTCATAGCAGACAAACATTTAGAGAAAATAGTTTATTTTAGTATGTCTCTACATCAGCAGCCCCTAACCTTTTTGGCACCAGGGACCGGTTTTGTGGGAGACAATTTTTCCACGGAATGAGGTCAGGGGCATGGTTTTAGGATGAAACCGTTCCACCTCGGATCATCAGGCATTATATTGTCATAAGGAGCATGCAACCTAGATCCCTCACATGCGCAGTTCACAACAGGGTTCGCACTCCTATGAGAATCTAATGTCACCACTGACCTGACAGAAGGTGGAGTTCAGACGGTAATGCTTGTTTGCCCACCACTCACCTCCTGCTGTGCGGTCCGGTTCCTAACAGGCCATGGACTGGTATCAGTCTGTGGCCTGGAGGCTGGGGACCCCCGCTCTGTACTATCATTTTTAGTGACATAAAGTTGTTCATAATATCCCCCTATAATCCTAATAATTCCCGGACGAATCTGTAGTGATGTCTTTTCTCTCATTCCTTATATTGGTAATTTGTGTCTTTTCTCTTCTTTTCCTAACGGGTTTAGCTAGGTATTTACCAATTTCACTGATTTCTTGAAAGAACCAGGGGTCTTGCTTTTTTTTTTATCCTGACAATCTCTAACTTACAATATTTTCCTTGTACTATATAATCTCTGGCTTCATTCTATTCTGAATAGAAAAATATTTTGTCTTTTCATTCTGCTGATGATGTTTGTTTGTGCACAGAAGTTCTTAATTTTGATATAGCCCAGTTTATCTATTTTTTCTTTTATTGTCTGTTCTTTTGGTCTCATATCCAAGAAATCATTGCCAAATCCATCCTTTTACCTTTAAATTATTTGTGTCTTTATGTTTAAATTGTGTTTCTTGGAGGCTACATATAGTTAGGTCTTGCTTTTAAATGTACTCTCTGGGCCAGGTGAGGTGGGTCCCATCTGTAATCCCAGCACTTTGGGAGGCTGAGGAGGGCAGATCACTTGAGCCCAGGAGTTCCAGACTAACCTGGGCAACATGGTGAGCCCTCATCTCTACAAAAAATTAAAAAATTAGCCAGGCATGGTGGTATGCACCTGTAGTTCCAGCTACTCAGGAGGCTGAGATGGGAGGATTGCTTGAGCCCAGGAGACAGAAGTTGTAGTGATATGAGATCGCACCATTGCACTCTAGCCTGAGTGAGAGCGTGAGACCCTGCCTCAAAATAAACAAATACATACATAAATCTACTCTCTGATAATCTCTTACTTAACTGGGGGAAAACCATTGATACTAAATGTGGTTATTCATATGGTTAGTTAGTTTAAATCTATCATCTTACTATGTGTTTTCTGTTTATCTCATCTATTCTTTGTTTCACTTTCTTTCTTTTTTTGCCTTATTTTGGATTAATTCCATGTTGTTTATGATTTAAATTTTTTAGCCTTTGTTGGTTAATTAGCATTAGCTCTTGTTTTGTTGTTTTAGGGTCACTTTAGAGTTTATAGTACACATTTTTAAGTTGTCACAGTCTACCTTAATGTGATATTGCACCATTTTATAGCATATGAGAACCTTACAACAGCAGTAAATTTCTGTTTCTCCTCTCCTAGCCTTTGAGCTATTATTGTCATGCATTTTACTTTTACGTATATTATCAACTCTATGCTATATTGTTATTATTGTTTTAGCAGTCAATTATATTTTTTAAAGATTTAAATAATAGGAAAACCTTTATTTAAAAGGAAGATATATATATACATATGTATATACATACATATATATTCTTGTCATAAACATTTCCAGTGCTCTTTGTTCCTTTATGTAAGTCTGTATTTCCACCTATCATTTCTCTTCTGCCTGCAGGAATTTCTTTAACATTTTTTGCAGTATGGATCTGCTAATAATGCATTCAGTTTTTATATGTCTGAATAAGTTTTTATTTCACCTTCTTTCTTGATATTTTCACTGGGTATAAAATTCTAGGTTAAAAATTATTTTTCTTTAAATAATTTAAAAATTTGCTCTCCTGTCATCTCACATTATTTCTGATATTAAATCTATTGTCATCCTTTTATGTAACATACTTTTTATTCTGGTTGCTTTAAGATTGTCTCTGGCACTCATGTGAGTAATTTAATCATGATATGCCCTGGTGTAGTATTCAGTTTTTTGTGTGTTTGAGATTTATTGAGCTTCTTGGATCTGTGCGTTTATAGTTTTCATAAAATTTGGAAAAATTTTTATCTATTCGTTCTTCAAATATTTTCTGTACTCCCCTTTTGGGAATATATATTTGCTTTTTGAGAAAACAAATAGTTTTCTCACAGTTGACCGATGCTTTGCTCATTTCTTTAGATGTTTTTTCTTCTGGATATCCCATTTTGGAGAGTTTCTAATGCTAAATTTTCAAGTTTACTATTTTTTTCTGCAATGTCCAATTTGCAGTTAATCCCATCTAGTATATTTTATCTCATCTCTAGAAACTTTATTTTTGCCTTCATACATTATCTGTCTTAACTTTTTGAACATACGGAATATAGATATAACTGTTTTAATGTCCTTTTCTGCTAATTCCAACATCTGTGTCACTTTGGCGTTGGTTTTGATTGATGGATATTTTGCCTCATGATGGGTCATGTTTTTCTGTTTCTTTGCAAGCTTGGTAATTTTTAATTGAATGCTCAATGTTGTTGAATTTTAACTTTGAGATATTTGTTGCGTTTGTATTCTTATAAATATTCTTGAGCTTTGTTCTCAGACACAGTTAGATACACAGAAACAGTTTGATCCTTTAGGATCTTGCTTTTATGGTGTTTTAGAGAGATCAAGAGCACTGTTCACTCTGAATCCAACTATTCGTCACTATTAACGCAAGAGCCTTTTTAGTACTCTACCCAATGTTCCATGAATTATGAGGTTTTACTAGCCTGGCTAAAGGGAACAGGCACTATTTCCAGCTCTGTGTGTACCAATTCTTTTGTGTGGTTAATTCCTTAGCCTTAGGTAGTTTCCTCACATGTGTCCATCAGTTCTTCTTTTTTTTTTATTTGACATTCTTGAGCCATGAGTCCATCGGTTCTTCAGGGGACCATTACTACTCAAAATGACCCTCTGCAGGTTTCTGGAGTCCTCTCTATCTATATTTCCCCTTTCTGGTATTCTGTCTAACAATCCCTAGCCACCTTGGTCTCCCAGATTCTCCCCCCTTCCTCTTTAACTCACGGAGTTTTCCAGACTCCACCTGAGTTCCTCTTCCTTGTGCCATGGCCTGGAAACTCTCTCCAGACAGTATGCTGAGTAAACATGGGTCTCACCTCATTTCTTTCCCATTTTTCAGGGATCACTGTCCTTCGTTACTTAATGCTCAGTGACTGGAAAACCACCATTTTGTATCTTTTGTCCACTTTCAAAGGTTTTTTTCTAGTGGGAGAGTAAAATTCAGTCTATATTATACCAACATGGCCAGTAGTGGAAATCTGCTTCCTTTTTCTGTGAAATTTTATTTCCAAATGTGTCAGTCAGGCTTCAATCAGAGTAGCAGAACTACTGTGAGGTGGAATCCACAAGCACAAGCTGGCACCCTCAAGGATGGACTAAAACCCGTATCAGTTCTTGTTTCCTCTGACGTTAACGGTATGAGTATCCTGTAAAACCAAGACACTTTGTCACAGAGCCAAACTCACACACCTGGCCCAGGAATTGGAGAAGCTAAAGGAGGATCCAGAGGAAAGTGGAGGAGTTCCAAACCCAGCTAATGTCTTGTGCCAGTGTGGTGAGCCAGCAGAAAAGAGGTAATGTATTCGAGCTCCAAAATGGCTACTGCATCACTTCCGTCCTCCAGTTCTCCCACAATAATCTCTCTTGTGACACATCCTAATTACAAACTTAAAGGAAAGAAAATTCTGAGAAATGTAGCTGAACCTAAAGAAGTTTGCCTATTACAAACCTACTACATAATGTATTTTATAATTTAAGCCATTTTGGTGAATAAAATATTTCCCCCATTTCTATCCATCCCCACTTATTCCTACTATAGGAGAATTTTTTTTATGTTTACCCTGTTTCCAGCAATCTTGACACTTGTATTAACTGTATTGGTATTTATTAATGTCTCTTGCATTTTCTGGACATACACTCACACCAGAAAAAGTTGTATCTTTTTCAGTAGTTATTATGCTATATCATTCTCTTCCTTTATTGCATTTATTGGAAACTCACAGAATATGTGAAATAATTGTAATAGCATTCTTCTGTAATTTCTGATCATCTTAAAAACATTATTGTTTCACTCTTTAGATTGATATTTGTTGTTAGTTTTAGTAAGGAGTTTTTAGGTAGGTGCTTTCTGCTTCTCTTTACCTTGTGTTTTTATTAAGGATAGTTACTGGATTTTATGAAAACACTTTAAGTATGTTATTAATATGACCCTATGATATTCTCCTTTAATTTATTTTTGTTATGAATTACATTGATGAATTTATTATATTGTCTTTGTATTCCCTGAATATATTCAACATGGTAGTAATTGATTATATCTTCAACATTGTATCATCCAGAGTTCTTTTGACTGCAAGTAACAGAGTCTAGCTAAAAGTATCCTCAACCATAAAGACATTGAATTATTAAGCAGCCCTAGAAGTCTGAAGCAGGTGGTTCCAAGGTCATTTTAGAGGTTGAATAACATGATCAAGGACCCTAGTTCTATCACTTTTCCATACTGTCATCAGAAGCATGTTGTAATCAAGAGTCTGATTCCATTTTTCAAAGCTTAAATTCTGATAGCTTTTAAAGCTCATTTCCCCTTCTTCTTCTCGTGCCTCACATCTTGGCAAGGTGATAAGAAAGCCTTGGGTCTCTCTCCTTTTTTACTGGCCATAGATTCAAACTATGCAGGCCCCATCCCATGCACAGGAACATTCACTTCAGCCTCCTCCCTCACCACCATAAAAATCTCAGTCCAGTCTCCTTTCCTTGCTTTATCAAGCCACTTACAGATAATCCTGTGATGCCTGCTCTGGTTGCCCCAGAAAGTCTCATTATGTAAGTAATAAACCTTTTATGTCCTCTTGATGTGTTGATGGCATCATTAGTCTTGACATTAAAACCAAATTTTGGATGGCGATCCATCTGGTTTCTGTCAATAGTTGGTACTGTTAGCAGGAGGTTGAGACAATGACCACCACTACCAGGTAGCCTTCTCTTGCTTTGATTTGCTAATTGACTCCACTGCCTGGTGGTAAGCATGCACTTCAAGGTACTGCCTGCTGGCTAGCTTGCACTGTGAGTTGTGCTGCTTTGTGCTGGATTTGCTAAGTCCTACTGAACCTCTATTATAGATGTAACTGACCTAAGTCAGAAGTTTGAATAATCAACTGACATTTAGAAACAGGAGCATGGGACTGGGGCCCTCCTTAAAGTTACTCTGGCTTGTGTGTCTTGGCCCAGACCTGTCTGTGTGTCTTAGAATAAATCATCTGTCTTGATTCCAGCATCAACTGTGACTGATGCTAGGCTTAGGGGAAAGAGTCTTATCCTAAGACTGTTTTATTATGGGTTTCAACCAAGCATTGGCCACTATTCTATAGAGTGCTCATGGGAAAGATTATACCTTGTGCAATATACAGGCCCATTGGGAGGTTGTCGGTGTGGAGGAAGAGCTGTCGGTATTTGAAGAGCAGTTACCATTTGAAGATTTTAATCATTGAGTCTACACACCTGTATTAGTCTGTTCTCACACTGCTATAAAGAACTGCCCAAGACTGGGTAATTTTTAAAGAAAAGAGGTTTAATTGACTCACAGTTCCACATGGCTAGGGAGGCCTCAGGAAACTTGCAATCATGGCAGAAGAGGAAGAGGCATGTCTTACATGGCAGCAGTTGAGAGAGAGTGAATGTGTGATAGAGAAACTGTCAGATACTTATAAAACCATCAGATCTCATGATAACTCACTCACTATCATGAGAACAGCATGAAGGACACTGCCCCCATGATCCAATCACCTCCCTCCAAGTCTCTCCCTCAATACATGGGGATTATGGGGATTACAATTCAAGATGAGATTTGGGTGGGACACAAAACCTAACCATAACATTCCACCCCTGGCCCCTGCTAAATCTCATGTCCTCACATTTCAAAACCAATCATGCCTTCCCAACAGTCCCCCAAAGTCTTAACTCATTTCACCATTAACTGAAAAGTCCAAGTCCAAAGTCTCATCTGAGACAAGGCAAATCCCTTCCACCTAGGAGCCTATAAAAACAAAAGCAAGTTAGTTACTTCAAAGATACAGTGGAGGTACAGGCATTGGATAAATGCTTCCATTCCAAATGGGAGACATTGGCCAAAACAAAGGAGGTACAGGCCCCATGCAAGTCCAAAATCCAGTGGGGAAGTCATTAAATCTTAAAGCTCCAAAATGATCCCTTTGACTCCATGTCTCACATCCGGGGCATGCTGATGCAAGAGGTGGGCTCCCATGGTCTTGAGCAGCTCTGCCCCTATAGCTTTGCAGGGTACAGCCTCACTCCCAGCTGCTTTCATAGGCTGGTGTTGAGTGTCTGTGGCTTCTCCAGGCACAGTGTGCAAGCTATCAGTGGATCTACCATTCTGGAATCTGGAGGATGGTGGCCCTCTTCTCACAGCTCCACTAGGCAGTGCCCCAGTGGGGACTCTGTGTGGGGGCTCCAACCCCATATTTTCCTTCTCTGTTGCCCTAACAGAGGTTCTCCATGAGGGCTCCACCCCTGCAGCCAACTTCTGCTTGTACATCCAGGCATTTCCATAGATCCTCTGAAATCTAGGTGGAGGTTCCCAAACCTCAATTCTTGACTTCTGTATACCTGTAGGCCCAACACGAAGTGGAAGCCATCAAGGATAGGGACTTGCACCCTCCAAAACAACAGCCTAAGCTGTACCTAGGCCCCTTTTAGCCACCACTGGAGCTGAAGTGGCTGGGATACAGGGCACCATGTCCTGAGGGTGCACAGACAAGGGGGTGCCTGAACCTGGCCCACAAAGCAATTTTTCCCTCCTAGGCCTCCAGGCCTGTGATAGGAGGGGTTGCCATAAAGATCTCTGTCATGCCCTGGAGACATTTTTCCCATTTTCTTGGTGGTTAACATTTGGCTCCTCTTTACGTATGCAAATTTCTGCAGTCACCTTGAATTTCTCCCCAGAAAATGGGTTTTTCTTTTCTATCACATCATCAGGCTGCAAATTTTCCAAACTTAGGCTCTGCTTCCCTTTTAAACATAAGTTCCATTCCAATTTCAGATAATCTCTCTCAAGTTCAACATTCCACAGATCTTTAGGTCAGAGGCAAAATGCTGCCAGTGTCTTTGCTGGGAGAACCTCCCCAAAGCATATTCAGTAATCACACACACACACACACACACACACACACACACACACACACATACACATACACACACAAAGAAAAGACAGAAAGACAGGCAGGAAGATGGAACGAAGGAAGGAAGGAATCTGGATACAAGGGAGGGATCATAATACTGAAATGGAAGTCTACAATTTCACCCCACTGGAAATTCAAAATTTACTTAAAGAATTTATGAAACAGAAAGATAAATGTGCACTGAATTTCTTTTGCACCTCTACAACATAGCTTATGGATTAACTTTAATATCTGCTAAAACACACCAATTGGCAAACCTTCATGGCCTCAATCAATACTTGGGTTCAAATTACAGTAATACCTGGGGATCCTTCTAAATTTGAACAACACACCCCCTATAATGTTCAGGGAGTTACTGAACATAAAAATAGAGGACAAAGAGTTATGCCCCACTTTAACTATCAAAAAAATTGCCTTGCTTAAATTCCCCATGATTATAGTAGCCATTGCCCTAAAAATCCCATAGTGGACATGGACGCTCTGACCCAGTGGGTAATAAATTAAAACTAAGTTTTTGGCACTTACAAATTGGATTTAAAATGGGACCACGTGGACTTTTCCATCTCTCCCCACCACCACTAAAATATTTAATAAGGTCCAATGTAAAATAAAATAGGGTCTTCAAGGATTGAAACACATTATACAAGGCTTATTTAGAAAAGGAGTTGTTAATACCACTGCTCCTGCTTATCACAATCCAATTTAGCCTGTTCTTTCTTTTTTTTCTTTTTCTTTCTTTTTTTTTTTTCTTAAATTACTGGGCTTCAATAGCCTGCTGTTAAACTTGGAAAAAATGAATGATGTCTCACAGTAGATTAGTGCAACCTCAGTGCTGTGGCCTCATCCATTAAGGGCCTATATCCAAAATTATTTAAGTTACTGACTACATCTAATCAGAAACTGATAAATATTTTGCTATAATAGATATGGCTAATATATTCTGTTCAATGCTATTTTAACACCCTCTCGGCTCCAGTTTGCGATCACGTCCTAAGGGACACAATATATCCATGGGGTACTTCAACAGCCTTGTCATTACACACAATCTTTGCAGATACAATTTTATCTGCTTCCAAATTTTTCATGGGCACAGTTATGCCATTATATTCATGATATCCTCTTCTGATGATATTCATTTCACACACTAAGGACATAAAGTTACTCATAAAGGAGCCCAAAAGAATGGACGGGCCATTGACTTACACAATACAAGGCTCCAACAGATCTGTAAATTCCTGAAAATTATTTGGCAAACCAAGGGCTACCCTGTACCTGGCACTGTCAAGAAATAGCTGTAGACCCTCTCAGGCCCTGCAGTGTTAAAATAAGCCACAAACCTAACATCTTTTAGGTCTTTTGGGTTCAGAAGGCAACATATTCCTCCCTTACAAATTTTACTTAAGCCCATCTATGTGGTTATTTGCAAATCAGCCCACCTTGAACGGGCACTCCTCCAACAAAAGGTTCTAGATTCTGTCCAAATTGCAATACAACAGCCCCTCCTGTTAATGCCCCTCCATCAGATTCTTTTCATGGTATAGGTGTTAGTAACCTCCTTTCGTGCCTCCTGGAGTCTCTGGACCACCCATGCTGTCCATACGTTGCCTATGGGCCAAAAAAACTGCCCTCCTCAGCCCTGTGTTGTAGGCCATTTGAGCAGCAATTGCTAGCTGCATACTGGACTTTCCAGAAATAGAGGTCCCACATGCCTTGAGCCTATGGCCCTCCATACCTAGATACCCACTATGTATTGAGTCATGGAAGCAGCACCCTGGAAGCTTGCAATGGCCACCAAGTACTCCTTACTCCCGGATGGAACCAAACCTAAACCCCGTGGCATATCCCACCTTCAGGAGGGCGTGGCCTCCCTTGTACTCAGTTCCTTACCAGATGTCATGGTGGTAGAGGATGTCACCCTTCTACAAGACCTCTTGGCCACCTGAGGCGCCCTCTAGGATCAACTAAATGAATGACAATGGGAGTTTGTATACTTTACAGATGACATTGTTACCATTACATGTGATTGGTATTCACTGGAGCTACTGTTTTTCATCCCTTTACCAGGACATCCCTGATAAAAGATGAGAGTCAAGGCCAATATAATTGGCAAACTTCAGTCAGGCATCTTAGTGCTGTTTTCTATGAGCAAAAATCAGCCCCATCTGCACCATTTTACACACTTTTGGGCCATTGTCAATGGTCTCACTATTTGGTCTAGCCAATGGCAGCAATAATAATTTCTTGTCCAAGGAGTCCCTCTTTGAGCCATAGGCTGTACCCTCTTTACCTCTTTGAGGTAAGGAACTGTGGTAATCTACTGCCTCATAGATATCCGAAATATAAATCAGCGTAGCACATACCTGTACATATACTGAAGCAATACAAAACTTCATCAGGACAATCCTTACGCTCTTTGTAGTTCCAGACATTACTGATAGTTACCAAGGCACTTATTTCACTTCTCAGAATACACAACACTGGGCTCTGAAACAAGGCATTCAATGAAATTTTCACCTTCCTTATAGGTTACAGGCTTCAGGCTTTATAGAGTCCCAAATGGCTTATTTAAACAAGTTCAAATTCAATTAAATGAAGCATGTTATATTTTTGTCATCATTCAAACATCAGGGGTAAATTACAATGAAGAGCCTGACTCCATTTTCTGATGTTTGACTGCTAACAGCTTTTAAGCCTCACCCTTCACTCTCCCCTTATGCCTCACATCTAGGCAAGTTGATAAGAAAGCCTTAGTGCTCTCTCCTTTAGTGCCAGCAGGTGTTTCAAACCATACAAGCCCCTGCCCACACACAGAAACCCTTACCCGAGCCCCATCCCTAACCATAATTAAAATTCTAAGCCAGTCTCCTTTCTTTGCTCTCTCAAGCAATTTTTGAATCAACTTGTGAGGCTTGTCTGCTCTCTCCAGAAAGCTGCATTATGTAAGTAATAAACATTTTTGTACCCTCTTAGTGCATGTGTGGTACCATCAGTCTTGACCTCTGAACCAAATTTGGGTGAGGGTTCACCCTGTTTCTGCATGATGGTCACAACATATGTCTGTTATGTCTCTTCTCATGGTCTCAAGGTAACTCCTGCAGCTCCAAACAACATGCCCTTATATACTTGCATCACAAACATAAAGGATTGGGACGCATGGTGAATGGATTTCACTTTATTGGTCCTCTATCTAATCGCAAAGGAAAATCTTTCCCTGAAACCCACCCAGAAAATTTCCTGATGTATCTTATTGACCATCACAGCGTTACATGTCTACCCCTAAAGCAGTCACTGACAAAGAATAACATTGCCTGAAACCAATCATGAGGTGCTACCCAGGGCTTGCCACTCACTGAGCAATGTGTAGGTTGTGTTAGCAAAAGAGTGGGCTTTGTTGTTGGTTATTAACCAACAATATCTGCCACAGGAAGGTTGATACAGTAACTTTACAGATATTTTATGTAGAATTTTTGCAGATGTGTCAGTATATTTTGTACTGTATTATTTTATACACTATTTTTCTGCTTGGCTGTTAAAATTGTGTTGGCTTCACAAAATGAACCTGGGAGTTGTCCCTCTTTTTCTATGCTGTGGAATATACATCTTTAACTTATAATGTACATCTTTTACTTATCATAATATACCTTCAAAAGTTATACTACTTTATGTATAATGCAAGAATCTCACAAGGAATTGCTCTTGGATATTAAACAAAAATAACATAGAAATGTCAGTGCCATCTCTTTGCAGCTATACTTATAAATAAGATGGGCCAATAGCATTCTTTTTGATAATATACTTTTCTCATTGGGTGTGATTATAGCTACACAAAATTATCTGGGGAGTTTTTCATATTTTTCAGTGGCTGAAATAACATACACCACCATAATTATCTGATTTTAAAGGTTAAATCCAAATTAACGTGGAATCATCTTTGTACTTTCAATGACTGACTGTAACTATGATTCTAACATTTGGAGTGCCCCAGGATTCAGTCCACTGTTTTCTACTCATCTCTATATGACTCTCTTCTCCCTTGGGGGTCTCATTCAGGTCCACGGTTGTTAAATACCATCAGTAGATTTCCAAATTTGTATTTCCAACACAATTTCTTCCCTTTGTTCCAGACCTTTAACTCCCAGAAGGCCTACTTCATATCCCCACCCTGGTTGCTAAGAGACATCACAAACCACATCTCTGAAACAGTACTCTTGGGCTGGACATGGTGGCTAATGCCTATAATATCAGCACTTTGGAAGGCCGAGGTGGGAGGACTGCTTAAGCCGAGGACTTTGAGACCAGCCTGGGCAGAATAGTGAGACCCTGTCTTAAAAAAATAAAAATAGAAATAAAAATAAATTTAAAACTAAAAAATTTAAAAATATATAAACAGTACTCTTGCTTTTTCTTTTCTTTTCCCAATCTTCTCCATCTCAGAAATGGTACCACCATTCACCCACTTGGCTCAAACTTAAAAACTATAGGTCACCCTTATCTCCTTTCTTTTTCTCAATCTTTACACCCCCTTAGCCAAACAATCTATAATGCCTGTCAAGTTTACTTTCAAAATATATTCTCAGCCTCTCCCCAGATGAACACCATTCCACATATTACTGGAGTTGGTGTTCATCTCCAATAACACCACTTTAGACTAAACCAAATCTTGATCATTACTTGCTTTGTCAGCTGCAACAGCTTCCACACTATTATCCCTATTTACATTCTTAATCTCCATATAATCTCTATTCCATGCCACATTCAGAGTAAAACGTTTCAGATCTGATGACGCTATCACTAAAAAACAAAAAACAAAAAACAAAACAAAACAAAACAAAACACTACAATGTCACCTACTCACACCTAGAATAAAATTCAATCTTCTTACTATTGCTTCTGAGGCCATGCAACATAATATCTTTGTTTATGTATGTTCTCAACATCATCTCATTCCACTCTCTTCCAAACTTATCATGCTCTAGTCACACTAAGATCTTTTCTTTCTTTCTTTTTCTTTCTTTCTTTCTTTTTCTTCTTTCTTTCTTTCTTTTTCTTTCTTTCTTTTTATTTCTTTCTTTCTTTTTCTTTCTTTCTCTCTCTCTCCTTCCTTCCTTCCTTCCTTTCTTCCCCCCTTCCTCCCTTCCTTTCTTTCTTCTTCTTCCTCCTCTTCTTTTTATTTTTTTTTGAAACAGCATCCTGCTCTGTCACCCAGGCTGGAGTGCAGTGGCGTGATCTCAGCTCACTGCAACCCCACCTCCCTGGGCTCAAGTCATCCTCCTCCCACCCCAGGCTCCCAAGCAGCTGAGACCACAGGTGTGCGCCACCACGCCCAGCTAATTTTTTGTATTTTTAGTAGAGATGGCTTTTCTCCATGTTGCCCAGGCTGACCTTGAACTCCTGAGCTCAAATGATCCGCCTGCCTCGGCCTCCTAAAGTGCTGGGATTACAGGCCTAATCCCAGCCGTGCCTGGCTGAGATCTTTTCTATTCCTTGGATATTTGAAGCTTTTTCTACACAAGACTTTTGCTATTGGAGTTCTAGATCTCAGCTCAAATGTCATCTCAAAGAGACGTTCCCTACATGCCTTATATACAGGGGAGAATCTCAATTCCCTGTAGAATCCCTATCTCTCGTATCAACTTCTATTATCTTGATAGCACATATTACTATTTATTTATTTATTGAGACAGGGTCTCACTCTGTCACCCAGGCTGGAGTGCAGTGGTGTGATCATGGCCAACTACAGTCTCAATCTCTTTGGCTCAGGTAATCCTCCCACCTCAGCCTCCTGGGTAGGTGGGACCACAGGCACACACCACCATGCCTGGCTAGTTTTTGCATTTTCTTTTTAAATTAGAGACAGGGTTTTGCCATGTTGCCCAGTCTGGTCTTGAAGTCCTGGGCTCAAGTGATCTGCCCGCCTTGGCCTCCCAAAGTGCTGGGATTACAGGCGTGAGCCACTGCTCCTGGCCAAGTATTGTTTTCAAGAAAGATGAGATTCTATTGAATATGTCCATCTTTAAAAGGAAAATTTGCCCAATTGCATTTAAGTTTACAAGTGGTGGACTCTGGGTGGCTGCTACTAATTAGTCGACACCCTGAAGCTGATGTTATGGAGCGTTCTATTTTTCTCCCTCTCCATTCTCCTTAACCTCCTCTCTCCTCAACACTAGGCTTTTGGCTGGGAATAGCCATGCTTTTACAACATAAGACACATCATCTTCTAGAACACTGCTTTTTCCTTGAGATTGCTATTGTCATATTGTAAACTATAGCAGTGTTCATATTTGTTTGATTTATTCTTATAACATTCATAGGTGAGGGCCTGTTTTTTGTGTCTCTAAGCTCCAGGAATCTTGCATGAAGCTGAAGATGATCTGGCTCTCAGCATGTGAAACCTCACAAAATACCCTTCTGGCTCTCATCATCCTTCACCTCAGTGAGACCTCAACTGGCTGCTGCTGAAAATAATGCAACAGAATCAGGAAAGAGATGTTCTGCATGTATTTTGGAACAAGGGAGAGCAGATTTCGTTAGAATTTAATCCTGTTGGAGAAAATGGATTGATATAGCTGAGTTCAAAGGGAGTTGGGAAAATAGCATTAAATTTTAGAGATTATAGCAAGTTTGTTTAATTTCATTTACTAATTTATTGACCAAATAGTCATTGATGGCCTAGTGTGTGTTAGAAACTATAATTATATGTTGTCATCTGGTGCACACATTATAATCCAACTGGGTGAGTTTGGTTAGATAAGAGAGCCTAATTGGTTTTTTGTTTTTTGTTTTTGTTTTTGTTTGTTTGTTTGTTTTGAGACGGAGTTTCGCTCTTGTTGCCCAGGCTGGAGTGCAATGGAGCAATTTCAGCTCACTGCAACCTCTGCCTCCTGGGTTCAATCGATTCTCCTGCCTCAGCCTCCTGAGTAGCTGGGATTACAGGCGCCTGCCACAATGCCTGGCTAATTTTTCGTATTTTTAGTAGAGACAGGGCTTCACCATGTTGGCCATGCTGGTCTCGAACTCCTGACCTCAGGTGATCCACCTGCCTCGGCCTCCCAAAGTGCTGGGATTACAGGCGTGAGCCACCGCGCCCAGCCAAGAAATCCTAATTTGAAATACAGTGTAGATCAAGGGTGTCTCTGTACCCTTGCACATAGTGTGCCCTTTGGATAAACCCAATTGAAATAACATCAAGATCTATTCTTGTAATTCTCGGAGAAGTGTCAAAGAGACTTTCATGAAAGGCCTTGAGTGACTGAACTGCTCATCACATTAGTCCCAATGGAAGTGAATGGGCAGTGGCAAATATTAGGAAAGTGCAGGCAGGGCTTTTCTGATTGCCTACTGATTTCCTCCCTTGAGAGGGACAGGCATTTTGTTTTCTTTTCTTTTTCTTTTCTTTTTTTTTTTTTTTTGAGATGGAGTCTCGCTCTGTCGCCCAGGCTGGAGTGCAGTGGCAAGATCTCGGCTCACTGCAAGCTCCGCCTCCTGAATTCACGCCATTCTCCTGTCTCAGCCTCCCAAGTAGCTGGGAATTCAGGTGCCCACCACCACGCCTGGCTATTTTTTTGTGTGTTTTTAGTTGAGAGATGGGGTTTCACTGTGTTAGCCAGGATGGTCTCGATCTCCTGACCTCATGATCTGCCCGCATCGGCCTCCCAAAGTGCTGGGATTACAGGCGTGAGCCACCGCGCCGGGACAGGCATTTTCTTGGTTGCCCACAAGCCTGACTGAAAGACCACTGGGCTGTCTTGAAGAAAGACAGTGCTTGAGGGCAGGGGGTGTTGGTTACACACTCTAGCCCTCAGCCTTGGGCTGCCCCCATCCCAAGTCCCTTTCCAGTCAACAGTGGATGAAGAACAAAATGGATTCCAAGGACAGACCTCAGGGGCACCAAGCTCTGGATGGTGCATCTCTTGGGAGGAATAAGTGGGTTAAAAATAGAACTGGACTGGGGCGAGCACTCTTGGGAATGCCTCTGGGCCCCTCCTCTCCCTCTTGGTGTGTTCACTACAGGCTCTCTGCTCCCCAAGGCAGCTGCTGCAAGGCAAGAAGGGAGCCAGGGGTGGTTAGTTAGATCTACCTCAATCTGAGCTAAAGGTGTCCTCGGGTTACCCCACGAGATCCCGCCCAGCTCACCACGATCAACCTTTGTCAAGGGTTTTCTGATCCTAACTAGTACTAAAGAGTGTGCCCTTGACTGCTGTGTCTTCTGTGTAGTGTGTATGTCAGGGCGGTTTGCTCAGAGGTGGCAGCTTAAATCTGTATCTTCCCTCCATCCCACTGAAGTTCAATCTCATTCATTACTGGAGGGCCCTTCCTCTTCCGACCAGTTACCCAAGGATTAGGGGCACCTCTGTGGGGTCTTCAGTACATCGTGATTGTTCCTGCTACCCTCACTGTCCACATGGTTTCTTGAAGATGGGACTGCTCCAGGGCAGGCTGCTCCAGGGATGGTGGGGCATGAGAGGTCAGGTGAGGAAGATGCTTCTTCTACCTAGGCTTGGCGCTCTGATGTCTGGGATCCAGCCTCCTGTGTACCACTAAGCCATTTCCCTGAGTCCTGTCTCCCTGAGGTCCCCTGATGTCCCATGTGCAGAAACTTCCCTTGTGCATTTCTGCCTGCCAAGTCACTGTCCCCTCTCTCCTATGCATAATCCTATCAAGGTGTTTAGGATTCTGGAAAACAGCCAGGCTGTAGCCTGTCTGCTCACAAGACAAATGTTCCCTGAGGTGAAGGGAAGTGGAGGCTGGCTACCTGCTTGGTATGGGCACAAGAATGGGGACAGAGAACAAAAGTGGCCCTGCCCCACCAGCATTCTCACTTCCCTGACAGTCACGATTATCAGGAGAGCCTTGGTTACTTACTTTGGAGTGCTGGAGGGGAAAGGGTCCATCAGAGACATCAAACCCAAAGCTAGGGTTTCTGGATTGGCAGCTAAGGTTTTGTGATACTCGTGTGCTGATAGCTCCTTGGAATTTTTGGAAGATAGGACACAGAGACTTGGAAGTGTTATAGTACATTTTAATGTGGTTCTCAATGTGTGGTTTCTGGACCAGAAGCATCAGGATCTTGTTACAAATGCAAATTATCAGGCCCCACCCAGACTTCCTGACCCCAGAAGTTCCGGAAGTGGGGCCCAGCAGGTGTTTCTGATGCACACTGAAGTTTGAGAACTTTTGTTTTCATCCATAGTGTAATGTGAACAAATAACCCTAGTTCTCATTATAGTTGGTTCATTTAGGGCTTCACAATATACTCTGATGTCCACTGGAATGTCTGAAGGTCTGTGCATAGCTTTTTATATAGCTCAGTGTGATTACCCAACATATCAGGGCTTTTTTCACAGTAACCTGCCTGAATCTTTGTCCAGAATCACTAAAATTGGCTGTCAATTCTCCCTTCATTCGGGGATGGGGACATGTAGCTAAAGGCAGTAAGTGAGGTGTTTGTGGGAAGAGCCTGAGCTTTGGCACCAGAGAGAACTGGGTTCAAATACCTGCTCTGCTATTCACTAGCTGTGCAACCTTGAATAAGTTTCTGAATTTCTTCAGGCCCCAAAAAGTGTTGGTTGCCTTCCCCTACTCTCGGGATTCTGTTTGTGATGCTGGGGTAATGAGTATAAGGGATGCCTCTCAATTGCCTACTCATACAATTGAGTGCCTTCTATGTGAGACTTTATGGCCATTATCCTGTTGGTAACCATCACATCTCTGTAAAGTTATAGGTATAATAGCTACCCCCGCCCTTTAACAGTTCTTCAAGGAGAATATTCTACTCTATTTTACAGACGGAGCAACTCAGTCACCTACCCAAAGTCATTCAATTGGGAGTTGGTAAAGCCTGGGTTCAAACTCCAATTTGCCTGGCACTAAACTCCATGCTTTTTATACTATAACACAGTGCCTTAACCTTTTACCCTTACCAATTAATAGCAGTTAATAGGGTATGCCAATACCTTGACCCATAAAATTGACACTAATGGAGGAAATTTGAGTCATAGAGACAGTATGGTAGAAAGGGAAGTGGGTTGACATGCCAAAAGTGTCAGGCTTCGTTGCTATGGATAGTATTGGTGCTAGGAAAGGAAATGGCAGGGGAGGGTTGGGGACATGGCTCCTAGGGGTGTTGGCCTGGCAAAACCTGCAGAGACAGAGATGCAGGAGATGGACAGCATGTGATGGTTGGCATGTCCCCTATCCCCACCCCCACCAAGGCTCTTGCCATCAAAACTTCCACTCTCATTCAGCTGCGAGTAGTGGCTCCAACTCAGACCCTTACTGTGGAAACCTCTGCAGATAATATGCAGGGATGGGGAGAAGCACCTGTCAGGCATCACAGAAGAGAACAATAGATTGATGGATACGTATGCTTCTGTATTCCTGTGGGGGCGTGAGAGCTGCGCGTGATCAAGGCTAAGTGACTGGACTAATGAACAATGTAAAATAAAGGAATTTTTCTTGATAAAAACATGTTTCAAATGAGGAGAGTGCCCTGATATCTGGTAGAAGCGGAGGCTTTGTCCTCTCACGGGGCCAGCTCTCACTTACATGCAGAATGCAAGAAAGAACCAGGCCAACACCCCTAGGAGCCATGTCCCCAATCCTCTCCTTCTGCTAATTCCTTTTCGAGCGCCAACTCTAGAAACCAAGACACACAGGAAAGAATCAAGGAGATTTAAATCCACTCTCTTGGGAAATCATTTTCCTGAGACCCTTCTGATTATCAAAATAGACTGCATTTATCAAAAAAGAACTATGAAAAACAATTCACACCATCCATAATCCCAAAACCTGGAGGTGACTGCTGTTTATACTTTGATGTATTTACTTTATATATACTCACCTATTTACAGATATACGTACATATATATCAAGACAGGACACAGTACACATTCTGTTGTGGCCTCAACTGTAGAAGTAATGGCTCCAATCTGGAGCCTCCTGTGGTGGACTCTGTACCAAGCCTGTGGTAAGGTATAAGGATAGGGAGAAACACTTTTTGGGTGGTAGACGAGTAGTTAGATGTAGATATATAGAGAGATAGAGAGATAGGGGTAGAGAAATTTACTTACCAAAACAGAATGGCACATATTTCTTTCCGACGTTCATTTTTCTCTTAACAGTAAGACACAAGCACAGTCTCATATTCTTAATTTTTGATGTCGTGATATTAAATGGCTTTGTAACATTTTGTCATGTCAACATTTCACAATATACTTACCTAGTTCTATCTTACTGGGTACTTAGATTGTTTCCAAATTTTTATTTTCACTCCCAACATCGTTAGTGTGCAGTCTTCCGTATCATGGCCAAGAGTGAATATTATCACTAAAAATATCTTAGCCAGTTTGAAAGATATCTTGTTTTAATTTATACAGGCTGAACATCTGTAATCCAAAAATCCAAAACCCGAAACGCTCCAAAACCCAAAACTTTTTGAGTGCCGCCATGATGCTCAAAGGAAATGCTCGTTGGAGCAGTTCAGATTTTTCAGATTAGGGATGTTCAACTGGCAAATATAAGGCAAATATTCCAAAATCTAAAAAAAAAAAATCTAAAATCCAAAACACTTCTGGTCCCAAGCATTTCAATGGGATACTCAACCTGCGTTTCTTTGTTTACTAGGGAGATGGAACATTTTTTTCAAGTTGCTTATCTATTTGCAATCCTTCTGGCATGACTTTGCTATTCATGTCCTTATTCCAGCTTATTCAGGGAATATTCATCTTGTTTGTATTTATTTGATAGTAAAAATATCACCTTAACTCTTTGTTATATTTAAGATTGCAAATACTTTCCTTTGTTTGTAGTTTACCTGTAAATTTGTGTCTGGTAGCATTTTAGTGGTCAGATATATTAAATGTTTTTATATGGAAATCTTTTTTTCCACTGCCATTTCTTCTTTTTCTTCTATTCTTAGGAAGGTCTTTATTTTGAGATAAAATAAACAGCCATTATATTTGATTCTATATCTTTTATAGTTTTTTTTTAAAAACTTAACTCTAATTATCCTTGAATTTATTTTGGTATTGTGAGGTAGGCGACTAAGTGTATTTTCTCCCAAATAACTAACCTAGTATCTTAGTATCTCAGCATCATATTTTTTCTAATTTATTTTTTTGAGACAAGGTCTCCCTCTGTTGCCCAGGCTAGAGTGCGGTGGCATAATCATGGCTCACTGCAACCTCAAACTCCTGGGCTCAAACAATCCTGCCACCTCAGCCTCCTGGGTTGCTGGGAATACACGCATGTGCCACCACGGCCAGCTAATTTTTTTTTATTTTTTATTTTTTGTGGAGATAGGGTCTTGCTATTTTGCCCAGGCTGGTCTCAAACTCCTGGCCTAAAGTGATCCACCTGCCTTGGCCTCCCAAAGTGCTGGGATTACAAGCATGAGCCACCATGCCTGGCCCTCAGCATCATTTTTAAACGTTCCATTCTTTCCCCACTCATCTGAAAACAACATCCTTATCAAATACCAAATATATATATATATATATATACACACACACACGCATACTGTATATACATAATGTATATACACATACACGTACATACTGCTGTATATATTTGTGTGTATACTGTGTCTTGTCCTTTGAACTGTTGCTCTATTCTTATACCCACCTAACACCTGATTCTAGCTTTCTAATACATTTTAGCAAATGCAGTGCACGTTATTATTCATTATTCATTTTTCCCTAAACTTTCCTTGTAGTCATCACCCATGTATTCTCTCAGTTGAAGCTTTATAATCTAATTCTGTATTCCTTTGAGTCCAAGATGTGCTTCTTGCAATTGGATTCTGTGAGACTTACCCCATAGCTTCACAATTCATTCTTTTTTTCTTTTCTTTTCTTTTTTTTTTTTTTGAGGCGGATCTCGCTCTGTCGCCCAGCCTGGAGTGCAGTGGCAAGATCTCAGCTCACTGCAAGCTCTGCCTCCCGGGTTCACGCCATTCTCCTGCCCCAGCCTCCCAGGTAGCTGGGACTACAGGCGCCCACCACCACACGTGGCTAATTTTTTGTATTTTTAGTAGAGACGGGGTTTCACCCTGTTAGCCAGGATGGTCTTGATCTCCTGACCTTGTGATCTGCCCGCCTCAGCCTGCCAAAGTGCTGGGATTACAGGAGTGAGCCACTGCGCCCGGACTCTTTTTTTCTTTTTAACCCAGTCTGAGTAGATTTCTGTTCCTTAAGGTTTTATCTCACCTTACTCTCTCTCTCCACTTCCTCTTTCTATGATATTATCTGAACAGCTGACATCTGTCATCTTTAGAAAGAAGTCCAGATTAATATAAATAAAAAGCTAACATTGGCCGGGTGTGGTTGCTCACGCCTATAATCCCAGCACTTTGGGAGGCTGAGGCAGGCAGATCACTTGAGGTCAGGAGTTCGAGACCAGCCTGGCCAACATGGTGAAACCTTGTGTCTACTAAAGATACAAAAACAGACAAAAATTAGCCAGGCGTAGCAAAAGGGTCAGTATGGCTGAAGTGAATACAGGAAAGTAGTAGATAAGGAGGGAAGGGCATGGGGCTTTCGCAGATTATGGCTGGAAACTTTGCAGGTAAAGATTTCTTGAAATCGGCCATGCACACAGTGGCTCACATCTGTAATCCCAGCACTTTGGGAGGCCAAGGCAGGTGGATCACCTGAGGTCAGGAGTTCGAGGCCAGCCTGGCCAACACAGTGAAACCCCGTCTCTACTAAAAATACAAAAATTAGCCAGGCGTGGTGGCTATCCCAGCTACTTGGGAGCTACTCGGGAGGCTGAGGTATGAAGAGTAGCTTGAACCTGGGAGGCAGAGGTTGCAGTGAGCCAAGATCGCGCCCCTGCACTCCAGCCTGTGCAACAGTGAGACTCTGTCTCAAAAAAAAAAAAAAAAAAAAATTCTTGAAACCCTTCCCAAAAGGCCTTAGATTTGGGAATAGGAACTGTGTATTAATAAGGTTCAGAACCACCTGGCAAAGATAGTTGAGTGTCATGGTTACAATGCGCTTAAAGCTGAGGGATGAAGGGAAGGGGTATGAATGGTATTAAGGAAAGTGAGAAGAGAGACAGTTCCATTTAGTTTCTTAAACACACTAATGCACAGTCAAAATGATTCATGGTACAGAAGAGTTTGAGAGCAGAATGACAATGATATGTGATCAGAATAACTAGATGAGGCTACCCTGAAAAAAGTGACATTCGGGCTTAATATTACTGATGAGGTACAGTGCAAACTGGCCTTGGTTTTGATCTTCCAAAAGGCATGCTGCCACAACATCCATCTGCCCCACAAGTGGGCTGGATAAAACTCAAGTTATTTTAAGAATATTGAAGAATATTTATAAGGCAACTACATACAAGATAGAAGAGTACAGAAGTCAGATTTCTGTAACCATTTAATGTAAGGCATGTGCTTTAAAAAAATCTATTGCTTCTGCAAAAGGCAGATGTATAGTGGTTAACTGCATGGTCTTTGGCGGGCAAACAGAACTGGGTTCAAATGTCCATTTTGCCACTTAATCCTGTGTGACTTTGGTTAAGTAACCAACTCAAGCCTCAGTTATCCCATATGTAAACTGGAAATGATACCCCCAACCTCAGAGAGTTGGTGTATTAAATGAAATAAGGTGTTTAAAGTGCACAGCACTGTAACTGCTCAATAAAATTATGGATTTTTCCTACTAAAGATGCATTGTATGGCAAGATTTCTCCTGTTCATTATGCATACCTCTTGAAATTAAAGGGACCCAAACTTACACTGCTATCAAAATACATGCAGACAGTAAAAACAAAGGAAAGGAAAAACATTTCATCAGAATTCTAAAGGCAGTTCTGGCATTCAAAAAGTATACACATTGAAGTTAAAAAGATGACCCTCCAAGTTGACTTTTTAGATACACTGTAACCCTCACAGCAACATATATCGAACCACTCTTCCTAATTATCAGTCAACTTAAAGTGCTTCTTTCAGAGGCCTCATGAGGTGGCAGTTATGAAGGCCATTTTTTGACTTAATTACAAGCTATTAAACGTCTTTCAGAAAATGAAACCCTATTATTCTGGAACTATGGAGGGAGCCAATGTCTAATTCCTTCTCCCACCAAAAATACCTCTCATGTAAAAAGGAGTATGTTTATGTATGTGTTGTTGTTTTATCCAATTATATAAAAATTAAGCATTAGACTAGATTGTAAGGAATTTAAAGGAAATTCACAAAATGGATAGCTCCTCCCCTTGCCCCACCATATCCCTGAGGTATATCTCACTCAGAATGAAATGAACTTCAACAATTAGTATAGTTCATCAATGCAGACAGACATACGCGGAAAGTACGTTTGTTATGATGTTCTTACATTTGTTAGATTTCCATATTTTGTTTTTGATGTTTTCTTGTAATTTCCATGACTAAGTAGGTCCCCCTATTTGAGGTGTCTGTACTAAAGGTTCTGTACTAGTGCCTTCCTAATGACGGGACTTGGTTAAGTTGCAGATCTATGAGATCCTATGATTCCTGTTGACAATCCAAGAGACTAGAATTCAAGAAACTTAGATTATACAATTAAGTCTAAGCTCTTAAGGCTGAGCATATGGAATAAAAATGAGGTTATCCATAGTGGTATGGAATGTATGATCTTTATTAATTTTTAATCCATCAATCTAAAATCACACATACTAGATCAAACAGAAGTACCACAGTATGCTTTATTTTGCAGGTATTAATTGGTTCTCTAAATCGATACATCCAAAACTTTAGTTAGCAGCAAGCATCAGTTCTTCCAAAGCAGCTTAGGTGAAAAACAATTGTTTACATTCACCAGTTCAAAGTCGTACTGTCTGATCCACTGTTGTATTGACATAAAATTGAACTCAGTAGGCAAAGCTAATTGAACACTCAGCTCATAGATTTTGAGCTTCCTTTATCTTATTGGAGTTGAAGCAGTTTTTAACCCTCTGTTAATATTCTCTATTTTAATTCTCAAAGAATTAAACACACATATTTTCTAATTAATTAAGATAGAGCCATGATAACTATTGAGGAATTAGTGATATTAGTCTCATACCCAAAAGGTAGAACACTTTTAAATGAACCCATAATTTTGAATGTATCTGAATTTCCAGTTTATATGCTTAGCAAGGTCACAAGCTGATTTTATTAATCTGGCTTCTAGATAATCATCTCAAAAATATGTATTGAAACAAAGCCACTGTTTTTTATGATGACATCATTTTAACCAAATGCTTTTATAACAAATAAGCAGTTGTTCTCAAAAGAGAACATTTTAAAAGAAAACATTCTTTACATACTTAGCAAATAGAGGAGAGTGTGAATCTGTATGTCAGAGCTATAGAGTTCTAGAGGAGTTGTAGTTGAGCAATCTAACTTTCTACTCCAGTTTTTGAGATGTACATGTTTTTGAGATGTACATATAGAGAAGGCAGTAAAGAAAGATCTTGATAAATTTTCTTTAACAAAAATTTGTAATTCCAGTTATTGGCAAAGGGTTCTGGCATGAGTTAATGGCAGCAATACAGTGGTGAGCTTCTGCATTGTGCTGAGAGGTAGATTGGGACTTAATCCTTGGAATGAATAACCAACTCACTTTATTTAAGGTTCAGGCTTAATTTTTTTAATCCAAAAAAAATTTCTGAAGTGAAGGCAGATCTTTGGGAACTTTTGTTTTTAGTTAAATGTAGAGATAAAATAGCTTGATAAAATAAACATCTGCCTTATACTAATGACAGGTGTACAAAGCAGCCATTTGAACCCTAGACAACTTCAACACTGCTTCCAAATAAAAGGGCAATTCAACAGCTGAACCAATCAAGCAGACACAGGGATGAGTGGTCTCCAGTACCTTACTCCAGAAGCCGGAGCCATTAGCAGTCCCTACAGGGATATAAGTCTATATCAAGATCAACAAATGTACAGAATAATCTTAGTCCAGCTTTGGCTAGGCAGGCATCTGACTGATGACATATCAGGGCCCACTAACCTCTAGAGTAAGCACTTGTTGCTGTGAGAAAAAAGAAATCAATATATTAAAAATATCAACTAGAGCATATTCACATAGGGAATGGGAGAGTGCAGGAGGCACACAAACAAAGTATATAGAGTTTTTGTTTTCAGTGCAGGATAAATGAACCTTCTTAACAAGTTAAGGCTCTGAGGGAAAAAAACTTTCTAAACCATAACCTTAATAAACCATAACCCATACAGGTGTTCCAAATCAACACCTTTTTTAAAAAAAGCTGGAGGTCTTACTTCATCCTTCAGTATAAATGTCAAGTCTGAGATAATCAGTATATTCCAAACTCTAGAACAACAACAACAAAAAAAGAAATCTCCTTGTTAAAATATAGTAGCTATTAACAGTAATGAAGAAGACAGCCAAACTTTTGCTATTAAATACAATATCATGAAGCCATTTCTTTCTTAACTAACAGAAAAATACAGATTTAAATAATGCTGATCAGGAGGTGGGGAAAGGAAGTCTTATCATGAACCAAATTTCGTGTCTGCCACCAATGAAAATGAATCCACTATGTTCTTGAATTTATTTCCTGAAGCAAGTTAAATTCTTTAACACCTTTGATTTTGCAAATAACATCAAAGTAGTAAAATATAAGTAACTGTAACATATAAAATTACACATCAGCAAAAATGCTTTCATAATTGGATCCAGGGGCTTAAAATCATTATTTACTTAAAAAATTCTAAGCCACAATTTTTCTTTTAATTATACTTTAACAAAGGAAGAAAAAAAACAGAAAAAAATTGGTCCTAATATATTTTGTCTTAAATAAGTGTACTCATGCCCAAGTTAGCTAGGAACTCACTGAAGTTAGTCTGCATATCTTAAACAATCTATTGCACAGCATGTCCTGGCTTTTAGCCAATGGAAACGTAACTTCTAATTGAAAAAAACAAACAAACACTAGATTTAACTGATTACACAGACTGATAACCAGTACGACTTTTCCTTCTTCCAATCATATAAGAGATAAAGACAACAATTATAAGGAAGCCCAAGGCCACACCCACTGCAACAGGAATAAGAAAGTTGAGGTCAGAGTCAGCAGAACATTCTTCAGCTGTTAGAAAAGAACAGACAGCAAGGAAAGGAAATTAGCAAAGAATGCAATTAAGTAGTAAAAAGCATGCAAGAAACATGCATTTTGAAAGTGTACATAGCTTAGTTTTTTATAGCATTACCTCTATTTTCTTATTTGCTCAATATCTCATTATCACTTTATCTAAAATCACACGAAATTCCTCAGTACGAAAAGCAGAAGGTAAGGGAAGAATGGGAAGGGTCCAAAATAGAGAATTGCGCTTGCCTAATATGGGAAGACTTTAGGTTTGATTATCTAATGACACTGGGTTAAGGAGCCATCATCTACACTTAAAACCACTGCCTGTGTATTTCCCTACTCTCTTTCTCTTCGTCACACCTATAATTAAAGTATAAATAAGAATTCTGTATAAGTAATAAAATTTAAGTTAAAAAAGACTTAGGATCAAGAATGTAGTATATATATACATATATATGTGTGTGTATATATATGTGTATATATATGTATATGTGTATATATATGTGTGTGTGTATATATATGTGTGTGTGTGTACATATATATATATATACACACACACACAATTATTTTTAGCTGAGCGGTGGCCTGGAAGAATAACAGCAGTATCTAATGCGTTGCAGTCCATTCCACCGAACCACCAGGAAAGCAACATGTGCAATGTAGATTTTGAGTTCTGGATTCAGACAGAACTGTGTTTAAATCTTGACTCCTTCCAGTACTAGCCAAAGGACCTTGGGCAAGTTATTTAAACTGGGCCTCACTTTCCTCATCTGTAAGAAGGGGATAATAATACCTATAAGGTATTTGAGGATTAAATACAATTACATTTCTAAAGCATCTGATACACATCAAGAGGTCAACAAGTATTCATTCTCTTCTCTTTTCCTCTTATGCTCATGATCCCATCTGAGGAGGATTAGGTTTTGAAGTAGCAAACAGAGATTAAAATAGAAGTGTTTTGGTATATTACTACTGAAAAAGCCCATATTAGTATTAAAAAAAAAACTTAAGCAAAACATAGTACGGAAGCCCAAAGTGCCCAATTCTGATCTCATAATTTCAAGTGTAAACCAGCTGTTGTTTTACTGTTGAGTGACTAGATTTCATTAGGGGCAATTTTTATCAAAATGCTAGTAATAGTTTTGTTGCCCACTTGATATGGAACCTCAATGAATTTCACTCCCCTTTCTGTAAATAATCGTTAAGGTCCTTTCCAGTAATAGCTAATGAAATTAACAAAATGTGTTATCTGGTGTGATTTATGATTAAGCAATAACTTGTACTTTTCTTCTAATTTTAACTTTTCCTCCTCTTGTACTTTTACCATTCATAAAAATGTTGCTACGGTTCTGAGTACACAACACTCATCTCAGTAACCACACATTAGCCTATGCTGAAAGAATTTACTATATTTTACTGAAAGCTCTCAAAGACTGACAGCTGGGTAACAAGATACACTGTATTGTTAATCAGGAAGTTATAGAGACTCTGATCATGCCCCTATATACATACAATGGGTTAATAATACTTCAATGTGGAAGTCTTCTAGTCTATTAAGCCTTCCTTCTTTATCTATGTTTCATGTCTGTGCTACTCTTATACCATGGAATATGCTTCAACAAGGGCTGATTATCTAGCTCATTTTAATGCCAACAGCTTCTCTTTACACCCCCATCTATGCACTGCCCCACAGGGGCCATCTTGAAGAAACAAGAGCCTAGTTGCTATGCTTCACTGCCTCCCTTCTGAGATTGCTGTTAGCTTACATTTCATAAGTACCACACTGATGACAACACTAAATAGATTTTAATGCTCCAGAGATCAACAAGATGAGGTAGAGAAACACAACACAATCTGTCCTAATTAGTTCATAGAATATTTCTATCTTTCAATACTAATCAGGCATCCAAAGAAGAACAAAACAAGAAACAAAAAAGCAAGTGGCTAAATATGCTTGGATCTTTTCAGTCTATATTGCTGAAAAACAAACAATTATCTTAAAAACTCTAATTACGAAGCCAGTTTAAGTTCTGTTGTAGCCTCTTGGGTCTGTATCATCCCTAGGGAAAAATCACAGGCTTGAGGTACTAACTTCATGCTTAACTTGAACTCAGAGAAATCAGCAAAAGTCACATAACCTTTAAAATGCTGATGGTCCTGAGGACATTCTCTACTTCATTCAACTGAAAACCAAGTTTAAGCATATCTGATGGGCATTTATACCACATCAATATTTATTTAATGAACTTTATGCAAAGGCACATTGATGAGTTTAAATCACTATAGTCCTTATACATTGAAACAGAACACCAGTAGTGAAATGACATTTATTAATTCCATTAAGACACAACTACATATTTTATTCTTATAATGGCCATGTTAATAAGTTCAAGGCATACTTCAAGGTTAGGATCAAAATTTGGCCAGGGCTTCTTAAGATAGACCTTAAAACATTGCACGTTGATGTTCTTTTGAACAAGTTTGTCTCCAGGACCAGTAAATATGACACTTTGGATTTTAAGCTGATTAAAGAGAACAGGTTTTATTAATAAAGACTGATCTCAAAATGCTGGGATTGATAAAAGAATTAAAGTTTCAACATATCAATTTTAAGAAGCAAAGTGTTTCAACAACTGAGAGGTAAGAAAATCTTGTTATTTGCATGTATTTTTATATAATCAATCAGGTTGCAGATTCTAAAATTGCTCATATCCAGCATGATGGTGCTTGAGACCAATAAAATAAGCCAGCAACACTAGAATAAGTACTCCTGCCAAGGCAGCTCCCACCGCTATGGGCACAAGGAAGTTGTCGTCATCTGCACTGCAGTCTTGAGCTAGATGTGGAGAAAGGACAATTGAGAACAGAAACAGTGACAAACTTTCAAATCTGTGTATTTTGAGTAAAATGACAGCACTTCCTAACACGCATATTTTGGTTTTTTATACCAAGGTAACAAGTCATTGGCATTTCATTATCAGCAAATGAGATGTTCCACAAAAGTGATTTTCCAAATAACCAAATAATACACTTTTAAGTACCAAGTAAAAATGCAGTCATTTTGGATGAAAAATGTATAACATGGTCACATAGTTCCCAGATTTCTTAAACAGAACATAATGAACAAATCTAATTAGCCTTGCCTTGATGATCAGGCCGTGAGCTTTCAGAGGCAAACTGTTATGATGTCGAAGAAGCACAATGCTTCAAATATTGCTGTTAAGTATTAACTCACTGAATGAACAACTATACAAAGCAGACATAAGAACTCAATACATTACAATCTGGGATCATTTACTAATGGGAAAAGAGATATAAGAGATATAAGTGGGCCCTGATGACATAACTGTTTGCCTCAAGATGCTCAGTCTAGTGTTAGAGTCAGACAAGAAAAATCAGTGGTTATAATTTCAAAATGTGTTGTGGTAGGAGTAGGCAACACAAAGTGCCATGGAAAAATTTCAGAGGCACACTCAAGTTCAGCCTTATTACATAAGACACACTTTGAAAAGGTGACACTTGAGCTGAGATTTTAAGAATGAATAGGAATTAATGATGCAAGTAATGGGGGAAGGGCATTCCAGGTATAAGAAATAGCACAGACAAAAATATGGAGAGTAAAAAGACATAGCACTTCAAGGGAAACGCAAGCAGGTTGGCAGAGCTAGAACAATGGATCAAAAGGTATTTTTGGCTGGATAGAAGGCAGAAAAAGTGTGCAGGGACCCAGGTCACAAAGGTACTATATGCTCTTAGGTAGTCTGGCCTTATCCTGATGAAAAAAAAATTCAGCAGCAGGATATTAAGCAGGATTTCATTTCAGAAGTTATGGCAGATGGAGGTAGTAAGGTAGGACATATCTTTATCACTAGAGTCCAGGTAACCAATAATATTGTCCTGAGCTGGATTAATGAAGTGCAGAAGAAAAGCAGAAGGCACAGACTGGAGATCAAATTAGAAGGCAAAATTGACCAAACGGATGTAGGGGGTGTACGAGGAGGAGATAATAGAATGGTTTCCAATTCCACACTTGACTGATTATGTAGATGCTGGTGCCATTCTATAAAAGAGGAAGAATATATGCATTTCAGTTTTTTGTAGTTATATGGAACAGGTGGTAAAAAGGATACGTGGAAGAGAGAGATGCTCAGTTTTAGATATGTGAGTTTAAGATATCTGTGTCCTTAGTTGAGCATGGTAGCTTACGCCTGTAGTCCTAGCTACTTGGGAAGCTGAGATGGGAGAACTGTTTGAGCCCAGGAGTTCAAGACCAGCCTGGGCAGCATATCGAGAACCCATCTCAAAAAAAAAAAAAAAATCACTATGTCCTAACCAAGTGGCTATATGAACCTAAGTGGTAGTTAAAACATGGGCAAGAACATTTCTCAGTAAGGGGAAGTAGAATAAAAAGAGGATCAGAGACAAAAACCCTTGGGAACACCAATACCTGTGGGATAGACAATGGAGTAGGAAAAAGATGTAAAAGGGCAGATAGAAAATGGCGCCAGAGAAGCTAAGGATGGAACGTTTCAATTAAGGTGGAAAGACAGCAAATAATAGTAGAAAGCTTTGAAACATGTCCATTGCCTCTAGCAATATGAAGGGTGGGAGATATGAGTAAAATTGCTGCAGGTTTAAGAGGGAATGGGAAGTGATTGGTTAGGACATCAAGAACTTGGGCAGGGTAACAAATACAATACTCATTTTGAGAAGTTTAGAATGATTAAGGCAGGACAAAAGGGAGGTAATTAGAAGGGGGACATAGGGACAAGAAAGGATAGCTTAAGGTTAGAAGAACTTAAATAGGATGAGGGAAACAGCCATTAGCAATTGACAGAAGATGCTGAATGGTACAAGTTCTCCTACAAGTTAAGAGATTGAATTCCAAAAGCGTAAGACATTAAGAACTCAATACATAACAATCTGGGGTCACTTAGTAATGGGAAAAGAGATATAAATGGGCCTTGATGACATAACTGTTTGCCTCAGTTTAACCAGGAAAAGAAAACCTACTCTGAGACTGGAGAGGAGGAAGGAATGCTACAGATGGATACACTTGCAGGAAAGAAGTTAACTGCTATTTCTATTTCCCATTTCCTGTGTCTTGTTGCCCTAGTTCTCTGCCTAGCTTGCAGTCTACCAGGGACTGATAAATCAGATAACTAAGCTTATTAGAATTGTATCAAAGATAGGACAAATAGGCTGCATGGCAATTCTGATTGTGCTTGCATTCAAGAAATGTGCCAAGCTTTCCCCGCCGCCCCCACTAGCCTCTGGGGCAATAACTAGGAACAAAATGCAACCCTGGAGTTTATAAACTTTTCTGACATTGACTTGGGCTGCCAGTTCAATTATTTGTTTTACTTGCTTCTTGGTTCTGTTAAGAATCCAGAGAGCTGAGGCTGCCAGATGTGACCTGTGAATAGATGGTGTTAAGAATCCCCAGTTAGCACCTCCCCTACAATTTCCCAAATTACCACCCAGCCCATAAACTATTAGGTGACATGTACCATAAAGTATTATGCCGTGGGTTTAATATAACTTGGTTTTTTAAAAATTCATTAGTAGATTAATTTCTTATTCTGGCAACAGACTCATAGTTCTCTCTTTCCCAAATTGGGTATTTGACCTAGTACTGAAACGACTTTCATAAATACTGCCAATAAGGCTTTCATGTAAGACAAATATTCTCAGAGTAGCTCAAAAAGGCAATTCCGCTAATACAAAGATCTTTCTAGATACTGTCATTTACTTAAAATGCTCTCAATTAGTATGTGAAATATTAATTTATAATAACTATTGATTGTATGAATTCAACCTTTAAAAATTATTTAGTTAATGGAAAAAATGTTGGTAAAACAGTAACTTTAATGGGATCACATTCTGAAGAAAAGAAAATCTCATCCTATAAGTCATTTTGATCTGATCTACTTGCCTAATGTATACTTAACGCTGTATTGAAAATGCTTCTGGGGAAAAGAGAAGTGTATTTGCAGAAGAATTTAATAGCCACAGAAGCAATAAAGATTTTTAAAGATTAAAAAGTTCCATGGCCACTAAAATTTCAGTAAGAAGTTTCATGTAGATTAAAAATGCTGTTAATCTTCAATTTTCTGCCAGTTCAGACATTTTTCAAACACAATTTTCAACACAAGAACTGGAAAGCTGAGGTATACATTTACAACAAAAACTAATAAAACTTCTCTTAAAAACCAGTTGAGGCCAGGCACAGCGTTTCATGCCTATAATAACAGCAGTTCAGGAGGTCGAGGTAGGCAGATCACTTGAGGTCAGGAATTCGAGACCAGCCTGGCCAACATGGCAAAACCCCATCTCTACTAAAAAAATAAAAAGGTAGCCAGGTGTGGTGGCACTCGTCTGTAATCCCAGCTACTTGGGAGGCTGAGGCATAAGAATTGCTTGAACCTGGGAGGCGGAGGTTGCAGTGAGCTGAGATCACACCACTATACACACCCAAGCCTGGGCAACAGAGCGAGACTCCATCTCAAACAAAACAAAACAAACAAACAAACGAGTCAAAACTTCTTTTTGGAAGGATCCACATTAAGAAGCACATTCTTAGGTGATATTTTGTTATATACATTTTATATCTATAATCAAACTGTGTTAAGTAAATCACATGCATCTGAAAAGATTCGTGAAGCTACTCAATATCATTCATGAATATCTATACCAGTTTCAAATACAAGAAATGGTGATTATTAACGCAGAAAGTTAGCTACCAGGGTAAAAGAAAAGGAGATGGGTGGAAGATGAGCCCAAGACAATTTAACATTATCTACCTAAATAAACAGATGAAATACTATCATCTTAAAAATGTCCAAGTCTTATAAGAATTCCTCCTGAAAAACTGCAGGAAACTTAAGTGGTACATTTTACACTGAACTTATAGTATGTTCTTGATACGTAACAAGTAGCTTATCAGATTCCTTCTAAAATACTAAGATGTATGAAATACTATGATGCATTCCTCTGAAATGCAAATTATCACTCAAAGAAATGAGTAGCAGGATTTTAAAGCCCCCACCCACTGGATGAAGAAATTGAGACACTAGAAGTTAAACAACTTGGCCAAAGACAATGGTAGTTAACTGCAGAGTTTGCAGCCGTGATGACTAACTGGCATTCACATGGCTTAACTGGGTAATTCAGAGAAAAGTTACCAGCTACATTGCTAAGTTTTCTTATGTGATATAGTAAGGTGACTAGGTAACTATCCGTATATGGAAACTGGAAGGCTCAAGTATTTTAGAGTGATCTAAGTAAGAGAGAGACTGCACACAATCCTACGTTGGTTCAGATCAATAGCTCAATATGTATGGCTGCAATGTAAAGCTACTATGTAGAGATATTGAATATCAACCTCAACTTAGGAATTGAGAAAAGTGTACAAAGAGATACTCCGCAGCTTTTATTATGAAATAAATATTCTAGATCACTGGTTCCCTAACTGACTATGCATCAGGTTCAGCAGGGGAGCTTACACACACACACACACACACACACACACACACACACACACACTCTCTCTCTCTCTCTCTGTCTCTCTCTCTCTCTGTCTCCTCATTAGACCTACTACGTTAAATCCTCTAAGGATGCAGCCTGGAATCTATTTTTATAAAACGCTTCCCAGGTTGATCTTATTCTGTAGCCTGCCTAGCATCAATCGAGGCCTATGTATGGGACTATTCTTCCAGATGGTAATATACAGACAGAACATCAGAACATTTTGCAAATAATTCAGTTCTACTTCTAAACATTTCTAAAGTTTTTCCATTTGAAAGAAATTGCCATTATGTAGTATACAAAATCTTGACTTTAACCAACGGGAAAAAAGGTAAGCAAATTGCCTTAAGAAATAAAAGAATCTTTATTGTTTTAGAAGCAATTTTGAGCAAACAGACAGGCAAATATCTAAAGATACCATACATCAACTAGTGGTTTAAACATTTGAAGAAAAAACATGGAAAGTATTTACATGGACCAGTTTCTTTATACAAATGCTAAAACATGAAAAACACCCAAAACCAGATAGAGCGTTACCATCAAGGTATGAATCTAGTAATACAAATAAAACTACAAAAGGTACAAAGAACATGTAGCTATAGGAAATAATAGTGTAAATAGCAGTATATAAACTGGCCCATGTAAAATACAAAAATATTCACTGAAGTCAGGTTTTCTATAAAACAGTGTTTATTAGAGGTATTTTACTATGAATCAGGCATATAATCTGAATGTAGAAACTTTTAGAAATATTAACAGCATTCAGTCAGTGCCATGCACTTGTGCTTCCAATTATTTTTTTAAAGCTGCTTTGTTTTGACTCATGTGAAATAGTTAAGGCCTACATTCTTATACACATTATCCATCTTACAAGGTTAACAATTTTACACTAAAACACAGTTTAAATTAAAAACGATTTTGAAAAATTACATCTATATTTAATCCCTAAGAAGTGTTTTAAGCTGGTAATGCAGCTCGCTGTAGCTCTAAGAGAGGGGTTAGTCAGGAATCTGATCTTGAGCCATAAAGGTTTTCAGGCTAAACAAAGAACAAATTTAAGTGACGGAAAATATTTATAATTCCAATATAACTCAGTTATATTGTTATAAAAATACCCATGCTAGCATGCAACTGCCTATATATGTGTGCATATATATATATATGTCTGTGTGTGTGTATTGATCCATTCAATGTCAATATTTTGGAACCCAGACAATTTTCTCATTTTCTAGTGAATGGGAGGCACATAATCCCACCACAAAAAAAAAAAAAACACGAAAAAACAACCCCACAGGAACCTTCCATATATGGCTGCATATTAACAATTTTAATATTTGCTCAGCCATTCCAACACACACCAAAAAAGTTCTCCTAGAAGCAGCAAGAAATATTTGATGTGTTAACTACCAAGCTGATGTATTTTGCTTTCTCCTATAAACATTAGGTGGTACACGGTAATTTGACAATTGGTACATCTCTCAGACCACAAAACTGAACACAAAGCACGTGAATTAAAAATGATTCTACCATAATGAATAATAACAACGAAAGTTTTGATTAGCACAGAACCATTTAAATGTGAAAGCCAAATTAGTGATGTTGTAGCAATCAATGCAAGCTGGAAACAAAGAACAACTTTTTAATGGATTAAGATAAAACCAAGACTTTTTGGTTAGATGCAAGTTTTGTTTGTTTGTTTGTTTTGTTTTGTTTTGTTTTGAGATGGAGTTTCGTTTTTGTCGCCCAGGCTGGAGTGCAATGGTGCGCTCTTGGCTCACCGCAACCTCTGCCTCCCGGGTTCAAGTGATTCTCCTGCCTCAGCCTCCCGAGTAACTGGGATTACAGGCGCCCACCACCACGCCCAGCTAATTTTTTGTATTTCTGATAGAGATGGGGTTTCACCATGTTGGCCAGGCTGGTCTCAAACTCCTGGCCTCAAGTGATCCACCCACTTCGGCCTCCCAAAGTGCTGGGATTACAGGCGTGAGCCGCCACGCCCAGCCTAGATGCAAGTTATTTTATAAGTGTAAGTGCACTTCGTTATCTAGGTTCTAGGACACACTGGCATTTCTTAAGAAAAAGAAAATAATAAAATACATCACTATCAACAAGAAATGTTGGAAGGCTAAAGAGAAATCTGCATTAATTTTAGTACTGCATACAGAGGCCAATTTATGAGCACAAAGTACTAATGCCCTCAATTGGCACTGGCAAGCAATTATCTCTAAAGCACCTAAAAAATGGATTGAAATGCCCAGTTGGAATAGTCTTATATATTGCAATTTAAAAGATTGAAATATCCAGTTTTTTTAAAAAAAAGATTAAACAATAAGATTAATACCTACTCTAAATTTTAAAAAGCTTTTGTATCTTTTGTCATTACAGCCACATAAATACAAATGTATTCAAAAGGCATTAGAAAAGCATTTATTGCTAAGAACATAATAATACCAGCCCCTGTTCAAATCTACTATTATATCTCTCAAAGGTCAAATATGCAGCAATGCCAAAGTAGCTAAGTTAACCTGCAAACAAAAATCACACACACACACACACACACACACACACACACACACACAAAAAGAGCAAAAGGAGCAAGTACAAATCCACGGTAGAACATGTTGTTCCAACTCAACTACCTGCAGGGAAAAAAAATCTCTTTTTCAAAAATTGTTTTTTCTAAACGGTGTATTTTTAGTCTGAATGTCTAAAATGAAAACACTGAAATACTAATTCAAGACAGTAAAATAGAACTTATAATCCAGTGATTTTGCACATCTTTTGCTGTAAAAATAACAGTTTTAAATTCCTTGGTTGGAAAAACCAAAGTCAGGCAACTAATTTGTAGTTGATAGTTTTTTGTTTAAGTTTGAAATCCCCCATACCACCCATTCTAAAGAGCTGGACTGCAACTAAATATACCTTAAGTTGACCAGTATTGCATGTTGGAACTTGTACTTGCTTTTTTCTTTTGTAACAGAGATCACGTATTGATTAGTGTTACAGAGTCTGATATCCAGCATAACTTTTTCTTCTGCCAATTACGTAAGCAATCACTATAACGATAATCAAGCCTGAAAGACCAGCACCAACTATAATTGGGATTAGAATGGTGTCATCATCCAGCGAACACTCTTGGGCTGTAGGTGAGAAAAAGTGTGTAATAAATAATGAGTATAATCACAAAAGAATGTCTCGAAGTCAAAGATGTTGATTTAAAAGTCAGAAATGTTCTTACAAGATCAACTTCAAGTAACTAAGACAGGTATATTTTTATGATAAAGCTATAGAAAATGGAGAACTGTTCTAGAATTAAAATTCTAAGACTTTCTTTGTCCTTTCATTTGTTTATGTGTATATATGCAGATATTCATATATATGAATACATGTATATTCATTTACATCTATAAACACAGCTCATATTGTAATGTGCATATATTATATGCACATTGTATATGTGTGCATATATATAATATATGCACATTATATATGATATATAATGCACACATTATATATATGATATATATTTTATATGTGATATATATGTGTGCATATACATATACATACACACATATATGTTTGTTTATATTCCAAGTCCTTTCCAAAATAGGCATATTACTTTATCAGAAATAAAGGGAGCTAATCTAGCCCACTTTTACATAGCCAGATTAGCCTCTCAGTGGTAGAGTGAATGTCTTTTGGGAAAGTGGAAACAGGATCAGGAAGGTATCATGTGATGAGAATAGCCAGGCTGGCTCTGTCTTTAGGGTCAGGGGTCAGCAAGCTGTAGCCCATGGGCCAGATCTGGTCCAAGAGCTAAAAATGGCCTTTACATTTTTAAATGGTTGAAAAAAATATTTTGTGACACATGAGAGCATATAAAATTCAAATTCCAGTGTCCATAAATAAGGTTTTATTGGAACCCAGCCACAGTCATCTGTTTATGTGTTGCTGTTTTCGTGCTACAATAGCAGGGTCAAATAGTTGTGACAGAGACCATATGGCACCAAAGCCTAAAACACTCACTGTTTGGAACTTTAAAGTTTGCAGATCGTGACTTAGTACATACAATTTTAGTGGCTGCAAAGTCAAGAAAACTGGGACCTCTTACTAATTTGAGCGTGCTTACTGCATTTCTTATCTGGTCAGGGTTGGCAGCCTAAGGGGGCTATTTTTTTCTACTTCTAGAAAGTGGTCTGATCCAGTAAAATCCAATCAACACTCTTCTGCCTTATTGCAATTCTATTTCTTTCCCCATACAGTCAAATATTACCTATGTGTTGTATTTATAGGTACCCACAGCCAAGAACCTAGTTCCACAAATAGATTATACATTCAATATCAGTATTAAATGCTGTATATCTCTTTGGGTGATATTTTTAATTCTATGTACATAAAAACCAAAGTTTCAAAGTAAGAGAAAGAGCACAGCTCATCTCTATTACAGGTGACTAGATAAACAGTCTTGAAGTGATGATACTAATACTGCAAACGATTTTAAACTGTAAACACAAATCTGGACTTAAAATTAGGGGAATAATGAAGGGGAGCCAGATAAAAAGTCCAAAAATAAAGCTACTAAAGGATCAAAATAATTGAAGTACATAAGCAAAACAGACAAAAGGGAAAATGAATTCTTGAAAATATTTTTAAAGTGTAACTAACGTCTTTAATCGCAAGAATGGTAGGGTGGAGAGCCCAATTTATTGTGGCCTAACCAAGTCAGACTAGGTATTCAACACCACTGCAAAAGTAGTCGAATGGCTCACAGTATATTCGCTTTTAAACACAGCTTCCACATTTCCTTCCAAACCATAGAATTAATGGTTGAAAAGGATGTGGATGCCTGGAATAGCTAGCTCTGCTCAACAGAGTTGTGATCCACAAACCCCCAATTTTAGGTAATAGGCTTAAAAGGACAAGTCAATTAAGGAATTTTATGTGCTTTTTTTCTTCATGCAAATTTTAATCTTGTAATGCCAAATATGTCTTTCATATTCGTATGAACACATTATAATGAGCCCTTCAAAAGGTTTCATTAAAAATCTAATAAATACCACCATTATCCCTGAGTGATCTTCAAAAAGCGTCATTCACACTGGCACATGCTTTGAAAACTCTCCAGATCGTTTTGGCTGGTAAAAACATAGTTCATGATATTTGAGGCTTTGCTACCGCTCTTTATCTTTTGTCTTAACAAAATCAGACCAAACTGCTTTCATTCAGGTATGAAAATGTTTCCAGTGAGAAGACGGCCTCAGGAAGCAGATGCAAGATGCTCAAAGCTGCTGCTCCCAAGTGCCATCTTCCCTACAAACTAAAACCCATACCTCAAATAAAGCTCACTTAAAGCTTCTATCAGTTTTAGCTTTAAGAACTTTTTTTGCAAATGATTTTAAGATCACAAAAACATCTCGGTTGAGCAAAATGATGAGCCAAATATAGAGTTGCACAATTTGGTCAAGGCTATGAATTCATATTCCTCTATTTCAACGTTTAAATGTCTATGATTCAAAGGAAAAGCCACCTGTCAACATAAGAACATAAATTATTAATGAAGTTTGCTTGATTCTTACCTGTAGAATACTTTCCTTGTGTCACATTGAAAGGCTGAACCCTTAGATCAAAGGTATTTATCTGAAATGCTCCAGACACTGAAACAGTCTGCTCTTTGTTGCACATATAAGAACTTCCCAGGGGGGCATCCCAGTAGCTGAGATTGTTATTTGCAATGCTGAAAACTTCAAAGAAAAGAAACAGGTTAGTAACTTCTTATCCTATCAACATCAAAAATGGGAAAGTTGGCCAGGCACAGTGGCTCACGCCTGTAATTCCAGCACTTTGGGAAGCCAAGGTGGGCAGATCACGTGAGCCCAGGAGATCAAGACCAGCCTGGGCAACATGGTGAAACCCTGTCTCTACAAAAAATACAAAAAAAAATTAGCTGGGCATGATGGTGCACACCTGTAGTCCCAGCTACCTAGGAGGCTGAGGTGGGTAGTTGGCTTGAACCTGGGATTGAGCTGTGGTCACACCCCTGCAATCTGGCCTGGGCATAGAGCGAGACCCTGTCTCAAAAAAAAAAAAAAAAAAAAAAAGGAACAGTCCTCAGGGTTTTTCAGTGAAGGCCTGGGGGACAAGATCAACCCACAAAAAGCAATTCTTACCATAACTAGGTTCCCTTATCTTTCTATAGATGTTTCTATAGTCTAAAAATCAGTCATATCCTTAATTATTATCTACTCTACTTTGAAAAAATGGGATACAGAAAAAGACAGAACATCATAGTTCTAAGTTACTGATTTTAAGGTATGATCAAGGTACACTTTTTACATAGCATCTTCTGTTTCATTAAATAAGGCACTATTTGGTAATAAGACCATTGTAATTTCTAATCCTTCAGGGTAATCCACAGTCTTTTTCCCCAGGCCAGTGCTTTGCTTACCGGAGCCATTAACCAAATACATGCTGATGTTCACTTCCTTCAGATAAAATCGGTTTTCATTTTTCTGTTTGAAAAAGAGCTTCCAGTTAATTAACATTTCACAACTGTCTACAGATAACAGATACGGTTAATACCCACAGAAGAAAAGCAATCTAACACTATTACACAGAAGAAGAAATCATGCGGTAGAATAAACTGCAACTAAGTAAAAGAGAACTCATAATCTGACAGAAATCCCTTTCCTCTGTATTTTGTTTCCAACTTTTGGAGCACAGGTGTAGTCATGTGGATCTCAGACACTTGAAGATTTATGGCCTCAATTTTATTCCTCCTGTCACTTGCTGAGCCCTCACCACCTCTAGCCTGGATCACAGCAGCCTCTTAAGTGGGCTCCCTGCCTTTCAGCCCCTCCAGTCCTAATCTTTCCTTTTCACTGCTATTATCTTTCTGAAGTACTCATCTGATCAGCCAGTCATTCTAATAATTTCAGAGTGCAAGTACTCCAGGAGCTACCAAAATGAACCACACTTCAATCCTGCCTTCACCCTGTTTGCAATCTGCCAGGGAAGGTAAGATAAACACATAAACAACCATATTACAAAAAAGAAAGTGAGAAGTCATGAAAATAGGAGAGAAATCACTTCCAAATAAGGGAGGAGAAAAAGTAATGCCAGCTTAGGGATGGGGCATTTTGAACCGGGCAGGATTCTCTTAGGAAACAAGTGGGAAAAGGGGTATTTGAGAGAGCAAGAGTATAAATAACGGTAGTTAGAAAATAAGCATAATCTCAAATTTTTATGCTAGCATTTGAGCACTTACTAAGTGCCCAGCACTGTTCTTAAAACTTTACATATGATGCTTCGCTGAGTAAGTACAACACTCCTATGCAATAGGTGCTGTTATCATCCCCATTTTGGGAGTATGGCTGCGGAGTCTATGTAATTATTATTACTATGTTCTCCTACCTCACAAGAAGTGCACAGAGGACAGGATGAGGGAAGCACCCTGAAGGAACTAAAGGAAACATAAGGTTCATAAAGAGGGAGTGAAGGCTGAAAATGCAGGCTGCATTGCATGGGAGAAAAGAAGGCTTGAACTACCCAGCCATGGACTTTAGATGTTACCTTGTTGGCAAAAGAGAAACATTGTGAGGCAGGCAGACCATGAGGTCAGGAGATCGAGACCATCCTGGCTAACACGGTGAAATCCCGTCTCTATTAAAAATACAAAAAATTAGCCAGGCGTGGTGGCACATGCCTGTAGTTCCAGCTATTTGGGCAGCTGAGGCAGGAGAATCGCTTGAATCTGGGAGGCGGAGGTTGTAGTGAGCTGAGGTCTCGCTACTGCACTCCAGCCTGGGCGACAAAGCGAGACTCTGTCAAAGAAAGAAAAGAAAAGAAGGAAAAGAAGAAAGAAGGAAGGAAGGAAGGAAGGAAAGAAAAGAAAAGAAAAAAGAAAAGAAAGAAAGAAAGAAAAGAAAGAGAGAAACACTGATGGAGAGATGTGCTTTAGGAAGGTTAAGTTGATGTAGAACAATGGAGAAGGTGAGGAAGAGGAGCAATCAGGCAGGAGCTGTTTGAATGGTCCAGGCAAGAGGTAATGTGGACTGGACCCAGAGCAAAGGCAATGGGGAGTAAAAGCTAGGAGACAGACTTCAGAGAAATTTCAGGAAGAAGCATAATGGAGGACTTCACACCTTCATCACATCCCTCCTCGACTTAGGCTACATCTTGGCTTTGCATTCAAGACTCCACAATTTGTCCCAATGACTTTTCCACATTTTCACTAAACATATAACACTCCTCATTCTCCCAGCTGGTCTTGATTATGCCCTTTATCCAGGGATAACCTGCACTTTCCCACTTACTCTCCTTATCTCCCTACCAATACAAATCAGACCCATCCTTGAAGGCCCAGCTCAAATGCCATCTCTGCCATTAAACCTTCCTGACTCTCCTCCAGCCGGAATTAACCTCTCCCTCCTCCATTCTCCTGCAGCACTTTGTACTATTCTCTGGTCTGGCACTCATCCCATTTCATATACACCTTCCACAGTACTATACTGCCTACAGAATCGAGTTCAAAAGCCTTGGCATGGCATGTAGGCCTTTCACAAAAATGGTAATTATTTGCAGATTTCTCCCATTACCACTAAACTGTGGGCACTTTAAGAATACTGGCTTTCTTCTCCATAACCCACCATAGCAGCCTGCACATAACGCACTCGAATTCTATAAATTCTCCTAAGGAGCATCTATCATGACAGGGTTGAAGGCAAAAATGGGCCCCACTGAACTCTGGGGACATTGCAGGTGTCTCTTGATTTTTCAGAGTGCCTGTAGCATGATTAAAATGTCACTATTTTGGATTACGTTTTAAGATAGCCTGCTGGGTAAATTAAATATTGTAATTCTTAAATACTAAACATTGCCGTATAAGAGTCAAGAGAAATCATGTTCCTTTTAGGAGTCTACCACAGCTAGAAAGATCAAACTCAATCACTTGAAAGGGAATAAACCCAAAATACTACTTTCCTTGTTCTTATTGACCATAACCCCTATTAGGTAACTTTAAAAGAGAATGTGCCTGAGGCTTGCTTTTACCATACTGGAGAGGACAAATTCAATTAGACATTTTCAATAGTAATTCACTGGTCACATGGTACTTTAACAGAGGAATTATTTGAATGCTGGAAAAAGGAACATTTTTGTAAACCTTTCCAAAATACAAGTGCCTAATGTAATCCTCAATTACTCGGCATATATTCTAAAGAGAAAAATGTGCTTTAGACTCAAAATACCAAGATCACATATGAAATAACAACATACCTACTTTTTATATATCAGATGTTGAGATTATTTCCCCATCCCCAAACACAGTAATCTGATTTAAAAACAGAACTGGTTTTTATCTAATTATACAATATTTTTAGTTTGAGAATAGTTGGTGGTTCAACATTTTCCCTCACTTACAGCTATCTTCTATTCCACCAGTCTCATTTGCCACAACATGTTCACACATACATCCCTTCACAGAAATTATGGGAATAATAGTTGCTTCTGAGAAGGTGGAAATAAAGATCCCCGATGATTAATTTATGCTAGCAAGAAGTAGAACAGGTATGCTTAACCCAAAACCTTCTGTTTAGGTTTCAGCTCTTGATCAACAACAAAAACCTGAATGCTGCCATTATAAATTGTCCTGATTTAATGAATTCATATACACACTTAACACAGAGCTTTGTACATAGTAAGTACTCAATAGATGTTACCTATTTTTATTACTGACACTATCACAAATAATATAGCCTCCAAATGGCTTCAAATAGTATCACAGAAAAACATGAGCACTACCTAACCAATAACAGAGAAAAAATTATCATGGAAATTACTTATGTATGGATAGATTAGACAATTGTGGGTTTCGTTTTTTTCTTTTTTTTGATGTGAGTTAATTCTTGCTTCTACCCTAGAGTCTCTCTAATGGTAAAATGGCCACTCTTGGTGAACATTAATGCAAGAGTCCAGTCCACAGACCATTGCACAGACTCTGAGGGATGAACAGGGATGAATGGACTACACTTTATAATTGAGTACTGTAGAACTGGAAAATAAAGCTAAATACCCCCCTCCCCCCATGCAACTATTTAGACTTTCAGATGTGTTTCTAAGAGAATGAACCTAACTTTAAAAAATCTGTTACTCACCACAGCAAAGACAAAGTCTAGATACTTAATGGTGCTGCTATTGAGTCTAAGTAGAGCAGTGTGAGAACGGCAGCTGCCTGTGGAGTGAGTTGTATTGGGGTTGATGTTAATAACTGAAGCAACCTTCAGGAGAAGAAGAAAGGGAAAAGGTACAGGTTAGCTATAAAAGTGGCCAGCAAAGCCTTACACTCTACCAAACAAAATCAACTTCAGCGTAGAACAAAAAATCTTTTGTCTGGATACTTAAAATTCATGGTGTCTTCACTTTCAAACAAAGTTGGCATGGGTCCTCAAGCTATGACTCAGACAACTTAAAAAAAAAAACAAGAGGGAAGCTTCTACAGTAATGAGCCAAATGAAAACACACATTTTTATGGAGCACAAGAGCCATCTGCCTCGCTTGTTTAAGTCACAAGATCCTGGAAATCGGATTTGTTTCTTGGCAATCCCTCTACAGCCTGAGTGGAACATTGCAACTAGAAGTGCCATCATGTACTCGGGCATGTCTACACGATCCGAGTAATCAAATAGCTGGAGAAACGGATAGCTGTGCCACTCCTGTACGCCAACCTACAGTGCATTTCAGATCAAAGTGTGAAGGAGTTATATTTTAAACTGACTGAAATAAAGGCCAATTGTTTGTACTCTGATCCACTGATGGCAAATAGAATCTAAACCCCCAAGAGTACTTTAAACTGCTAGGTTTTCTGCCGGCCAACACAACACCTGAAAGTGACATTAACACATCATGGTTATAGTAACTCCTAACTAATCAAAGCTCAACAAGCCAACATGAAATCTCCATTTAAAACTGAATCAGGCTGGGCGCGGTGGCTCACGCCTGTAATTCCAGCACTTTGAGAGGCTGAGGCGGGTGGATCACTTGAGGTCAGGAGTTCAAGACCAGCCTGGCCAAGATGGTAAAAACCCATTTCTACTAAAAATACAAAAAAATTAGTTGTGCATGGCAGTGCACGCCTGTAACCCCAGCTACTCGGGAGGCTGAGGCAGAAGAATCACTTAAACCCTGGAGGCGGAGGTTGCAGTGAGCCAAGATCATGCCACTGCACTCCAGCCTGGGCGACAGTGTGACACTCCATCTCAGAAAAAAAAGAAAGAAAAACCTGGGTGTGGTGGCTCACGCCTGTAATCCCAGCACTTTGGGAGGCCGAGACGGGCGGAGCACAAGGTCAGGAGATCGAGACCGTCCTGGCTAACACGGTAAAACCCTATCTCTACTAAAAAAATACAAAAAATTAGCCGGGCATGGTGGCAGGCGCCTGTAGTCCCAGCAACTCGGGAGGCTGAGGCAGGAGAATGGCGTGAACCCGGGAGGCGGAGTTTGCAGTGAGCTGAGATCGCACCACTGCACTCCAGCCTGGGGGACAGAGCGTGACTCCATCTCAAAAAAACAAACAAACAAACAAAAAGAAAACGGAATCATTCTAGTAACACTACCTTTGGGCTGAAGGTAGGATACGCAATATTTGAAATGAAATGCAAAAAGGATGTATTGATAAAGATAGACACCTATACCTTATCCTGAGTGATGTTCAGCTGCAGCCCCATGGTAGCCAGCAGACAAGTATCATTGCCATTATTAACTGAATAGGTTCCAGCTTCTGGTTTTTCCTTTGGAGTAGGTGTTGTAGTAGGAGATGGCACAGTGGTGTGTATGGTGGGTGCCACTGTTGAAGTTTTGTCTTTATCACACAGGAACTCTAAAACAAGCGAAAAGGGACAAAAGAAACCAAAGCGGACATTTTCTTAATTCATAAGGCCAGGGAAAACCAAAAAAAATTCTCATAATAGAAGTCCAAAAGGGTTATATTAGGGGAAGAGAATATCTTGTTAGTATATTTGAAACTAAATTAGGCAGAGGTTCTTAAACTGCTGCTTCATATACAGAATATCTACATGAGTTATGACACAGCAAACTCAGGACACATCCCTATGCTTTATCTGCTCCCACATGGCCACATACTCGTCTTTTTCAGACCCTTAAATCTTTTTATTCCCAAAGAACTTTGCCTGCCTCTGATACGAAATTCAGAGAGTTAAGTCTTAAATTTTTTGGTTCTTTATTCCCACATACAATCACCATAAGGAAGGATACTGTTTACTAGAAAAAAGCTTAGAAATCATCAAAGGACTTAAATACAAATGAACCATTTATTTGCATTAGCCCTATGGCAAATCATAGGCATTTCAACCTCTTCTTGGGAAGTGTTCATAGTTTTCCAGAACTGGTGAATGAGAAATTATTACCTTTCCATAAAGCTATATAAAAATTATAAAATCAACTTTAAAAATTCAAGATTAGAATATGAATCTGATTTCTAAGCTTTGGTCTTGGAACCGCTAAAAAAGCTGATAATCAAGCTATCTGAGGATCTGTTCAAACAATGATTAGGTTTTATCAGCTGAGAACAGTATAGGTAGTGTCTTTTAAAATACCATTCCACAACATGTACATCAAAAACTTTAAATTGTAAGATACACAAAAATAAGAATTGCTATTATTTACAAAAACTTTATAGCCTAGTAGAAGCTATGAATAAACCTTAATATATAAATGCTTTCAGATAATGACTTCAATGAAAGCTACCTGGTATACTCTACTCTTAAATTAGGATCCAAGTAGAGAAATATATACTTTACTCACCATTTGTGCTCACTGTGCCATTTTGGACAAAAGCTTGTACAAGAACATCCCAGTAGTGTTGGACAACATCATTCTTTTCCAAAGTTGATAAACTATTGCATCTAAAAAGGTCATTCAATGGAATTCTGATGGCCAAAAGTTCATCAACAGTAAGAATTCCTATAAAACAAGATTAACAATGGCTATTTCCAAGAAGGTAGGAGAAAAGTGATAATATAAATATATTTGTATAGGCTTTCTTCTTCTCTCTGCCTGCCCTACCCCAGGCACAAAGTGACAAAGGATATAGCATGCTTAAGGGCATGACTAGTTCACTGTGGCTAAAACATAAGGAGTAAGGGGGAAGAAGAAATGGGGGTTAGGGGCTGGGCACAGTGGCCCATGCCTGTAATCCCAGCACTTTGGGAGGCCGAGGTGGGTGGATCACCTGAGGTCAGGAGTTTGAGACCAGCCTGACCAACATGGTGAAACCTCGTCTCTACTAAAAAGATAATAATTAGCTGGGCATGGTGGCAGGTGCCTGTAATCCCAGTTACTTGGGAGGCTAAGGCAGGAGAATTGCTTGAACCCGGGAGGCGGAGGTTGCAGTGAGCCAAGATCGCCCACTGCACTACAGCCTGGATGACAAGAGCAAAACTCTGTCTCAAGAAAAAAAGAAAAAGAAAGAAAAAAGGAAAAGAAATGGGGGTTAAGAAGGAAAGACAAGTTGCAGGTGATCATACTTTGAAGCATCTTCTATGATCTAAGGCCTGTTTGGGCTTTTCTTTTTAGCAGTCGAGGGCTAGCCTCAGTTTTTAAAGCAGAAAATAACACATATATAATTTATTTTAAGGAAGATAGCAAATTTGTAGGGGATAAGCAGGGGGAAAAACTTTTCAGGGAAGCCACTTAAGAGGGAAACCAGAGGGTGATGGTCTGGTTAAGGTGAAGGGTAAGGGAGGGTTGCCTAAACTAAGATGGTGTGGGGCAGTAGAAAGAGAGCAAAGAAGCCAAACTGAAAACACTTATCTATGGTAGAATCATCAGGACTTAGTGACTATAACTAAAGAAGCAAGAGAGATGGATTAATCATACATTTGTATAGTAAATCCTTATTTTTGTTTTACTAGTCCCAAGTAAGTTATATTAACTCCAATGAGCTTATAGAACCGCTTCCTGGATTACATTTAAAGATGATTCCATTTCAGGGAATCTTCAGAGTATGAAAGCAGTAAGTTACAGCCATTTCATATAGTTTTTATTAGCCTGTGTATAGTGAAACTTCAAAAGACGATGATCACCCAAGTGGTTTGGCTTCTTTTGGAGAAGTAGCAAGAAAGGAAAGTATCCAAGGTCCTTAATATAGGCTGCCTTCTGTGCCTCTCCATCATGTAGCAAGCAGCCATATAATGCTGCCTTGGCACCCCCTAATGGCCATAGGAATTAAAAAACAAAACAAAACAAAAAACCAATGAACTAGAACATTTTTCCCAGAATTGCTTCTCACCGTTAACAAAAATGAATAGATACGTGACTGGCTGTATATAGATGGACTTCAAAAGCAAATCAGCAAAAAAACAACTTGCAGGCATATTGGAGTTATACTATGAATAGCTTTTTTTAAACTATGTATTGTTTATGAACACGTACTTATATAGTAAAAGACAAACATAAAGACAGGAAGGTTATACCCCAAATTTGTGAAAGTGTTTGCCTCTTAGCAGGCAAGAAGGAAAATGGGTCTGGGGAATGAAGACAAAGGAAATATCAACTGTATTGTCAACGTTTTATCTTTTTAATCAAAAAAGTAACACAAACATTAAAAAAACAGCATTTATTAATTCTGGATAATGGGTACATATGGGTCTGCTATATTATTCTCTGTATACATATATAATCTTTATAGATATATAATCTTTATATATATATATGTATATGTAGAGCCTTTTAAAAAACCCTTATTATATACGTAACTTATATATATATAATTTTTTTTTGAGATGGAGTCTTGCTCTGTTGCCCAGGTTGGAGTGCAGTGGCATGATATGAGCTCACTGCAACCTCCACCTCCTAGGTTCAAACGATTCTCATGCCTCAACCTCCCAAGTAGCTGGAATTACAGGTGCACGCCACCACGCCCAGCTAATTTTCGTATTTTTAGTAGAGATGGGGTTTCACCATGTTGGTCTCGAACTTCTGACCTCAGGTGATCTGCCTGCCTTGGCCTCCCAAAATGCTGGGATTACAGGCACGAGCCACCACACCTGGCCAGTACATTTCTATATTTTAATCACGAAAAAAATTTAAAAAAGAAAAAAGCAGCTTCAATGTTACTTCAGTTATCAGATGCCTAAAAATAAATTAGTAGTTTTTTATTTTTATTTTTTGAGACAGAATGTCGCTATGTTGCCCAGGCTAGTCTCACACTCCTGAGCTCAAGCGATCTGCCTGGCCTTCCAAAGTGTTGGGATTACAGGCGTTGAGTCACTGCACCTGGCCTAAATTAGTTTTTTTTGTTGTTGTTGGGGGTGGGTAAGGAAGGGTCTCCCTCTGTTGCCCAGGCTAGAGTGCAGTGGCGTAATCTTGGCTCACCGCAACCTCCGCCTCCCAGGTTAAAGCGATTCTCCTGCTTTAGCCTCCTGAGTAGCTGGGATTACAGGCACGCACCACTACCACCCGGCTAATTTTTGTATTTTTAGTAGAGACAGGGTTTCACCATGTTGGCCAGGCTGGTCTCAATCTCCTGACCTCCAATGATCCACCAGCCTCAGCCTCCCAAAGTGCTGGGATTACAGGTGTGAGCCACTGCGCCCAGCCATAAATTAGTATTCTTGAAACACTGAACTATATCAAAAACAATTATTAATAGTCCATTTCAGGAAGCCATTTAACATTCCAAATAGTTTCAAATATTATTATATAGAAGGTAGTAATTTAAAAAGTAATCCTCCCTTTGTTTTAAATAAAAGGGGAAAGAGAGAAGTGTTAACATTTCAGGGTCCATAGTTTTTCTATCCAAATATGTCAGATTAAACACCTCCTCCTAATAACTGCTAACAACTGATGCCCCTGTAGTCCAGGCATTTATTACATCAGCCCTTGATTACTATAACAGCTTCTTAAGCCAGCATCTCTGCTTGTAGCCTCCTCACTTCTCAACTAATCCTGCAGAATATTCTTTATAAGCTACTGTCTCTGCTTTTGTTATATCATTCTCCTGCTTTAAAAACCTAAAATGATTCCCCAGTGCCTGCCCCATCAAGCTAAATGTCTTTCCTTGGCTTCCAAGGCCCCCTATAATTTAGGCCCACTTCATTTAGCCAACTTTATTTTCCTTCTGCTACACACACAGCCTGATTTAATCAGGCAGCTCTCCAATTACTGCCGCATATGCTATGCTTCCCCCTGCTGGAAACATCCTGCTCAAAATCCTCCGCTTACTCAAATTCTACCATTAGCTGAGTTTCAGCTCAGGTCCTACTTCTCTACCAAGCTTTCTCACTACTCTAACACACACTGAGCCTTCCTTTATCACTCCTCCTAATCAGGACCACTTGTGGGAACACGGGAACACTTTTAAATCAGCCAGTCTTTTCTTTTTCTTTTCTTTTTTTTTTGAGACAGGGTCTCTCTCTCTCTGTCACCCAGGCTGAGTGTAGTGGTGGGATCACAGCTCACTGGAGCCTCAACCTCCTGGGCTCAAGCGATCCTCCACCCTAGCCACCCAGGTAGCTGGGACCACAGGCACACGCCACCACACCTGGCTTTTTTTTTTTTTTTTTTTTTGTAGAGACAAAGTCTTAATATGTTGCCCAGGCTAGTCTTGAACTCCCTGGCTCAAGTGATCAGCCTGCCTCGGCCACCCAAAGTGCTGGGATTACAGGCATGAGCTACCATTCTCGACCTAAATCAGGCACTCTTAACCACAGGGATCTACATATGGGTTCAGGGACTATGTTCCATATGCAAAGTTTACTGTGTACTTTTTCTTTTTTGAGAGGGAGTCTAAAGTTTTCCTCACACTGTCAGAAGAGATTTATGAACCCTCTACTCCCTCAAACAAAAACGCAAACAACAACAACAAAATCAGACTGAGCTCAATGTTTTCCAATTTTTCCATGTAACTCGGGAATAGCATTTAGCTTTGTCTCCCCAGCTCATTCTTAGGCTACTTGAAAGTGAGGGGCATATCTTATACTAGCTCTGAAAGGCAAAACAGGGCACAAAGATAAACTGATAAGATAGCCAATAACCATTTGCTTTAGTTATACTCTCAAACTAAGAGATTAGTAAAAAGAACACTAGGATTTGATTTCCAAGTCTCATTCTGCAATACCTCCCAAATTTTACGTGAGCTTATTTACTTCTGGTTCTTTCGAATAGGATCTTTTGACATCCTTAAGTCCAAATGAGTTATTAATCCCCAGGTCTAGGCAACTAAAGCCCATCTACCTGTTTCTGGGGTCAGAATGAAACACTATCTGCAAAGAGCTAAGCTACTACAAATACCACATTAACTCAATCTCAACGGGCAGGGGGAGAAAGAAGAGAATTATATCCCTAACAAAATTAAAATCTCGACCACGTGCGGTGGCTCACGCCTGTAATCCCAGCACTTTGGGAGGCTGAGGTGGGTGGATCGTGAGGTCAGGATTTCGAGACCATCCTGGCCAACATGGAGAAACCCTGTCTCTACTAAAAATACAAAGATTAGCCGGGCGTGGTGGCACGCACCTGTAATCTCAGTTACTCAGGAGGCTGAGGCAGGAGAATTGCTTGAACCTGGGAGGCGGAGGTTGCAGTAAGCCGAGATCAGGCCACTGCACTCCAGCCTGGGCGACAGAGCGAGACTCCAGCTCAAAATAATAAAATAAAATAAAATCTCTACACTCTATATCTTCAAAATATTTTAACACGCATTTCAGTTCTGGGAATTACTAGAATGGCCTAATTGCCAATGCTTCCCAAGTTCATTTTGACCTGAAATTGTCTTAAAATAACAGCAAATGTTGACTTTAGTCTCCCCTTATCCACGGTTTTTGCTTTCCCTGGTTTCAGTTACCCATGGTCAATTGAGCTCTGAAAATATTCAATGGAGAATTCCAAAAGTAATCAATTCATAGGTTTTAAAATGTACGCCATTCTGAGTAGCATGATTAAATCTCTTGCTGTCCCGCTCTGCACAACCAGGAACATGAATCATCCCTTTGTCCAGTATATCAACGTTGTCTACACTATCCATCCGTTAGTCACTTAGTAGCCATGTCAGTTATCAGATCAAAAAAAAAAAAAAAACATAGCATTTCCTGTATAGGGTTTAGTAGTAACTGCAGTTTTAGGCATCTACGGGAGATCTTAGAATGATACCCCCTGAGTGTAATGAGGGACTACTACACCTTTAACTAATCATCATTTACTTTTCAATCAAAATCCAACCTAAATGATAAAAAGATTTGAACAAGAGGCATTTCTCCTAGTCTCAGGTTACTTAACTTTTACACATTTAAAATAGCTATTAGTAGCCAGGCACAGTGGTGCATGCCTGTAGTCCCAGCTATTCAGGAGGCTGTGAGGCATGAGGATCGCTTGAATCCAGGAGTTCAAAACCAGCCTAGGCAACATAGTGAGACACCCCCCCCAACCCCCGATCTTGAAAATAAAGTAGCTATTAGTAAAGCATTTTCTCATTCATCAAACCTTTGTTTCATGCACACTACTGAATGAAATCAATAATAGTTAAGTATATGAATTCTGCAGGTCAATAGACTGCTTCAAACACCAGCTCGCCCACTTACCAGACTGTGTGATGTTTGGAAAAGTCATTTAATCTTATCAAGCCTCATTTCCTTTACCTGTAAAAATGAAACAACATCTACTTCCCAGGGTTGCTGTTAAGAATTAAGTGAGATGCTGCAGGTAACACACTAGGTGTGTTACTGTATACTAGGAGATATATATATATATATACACACACACACACACTAGGATATATATATATATATATACACACACACTAGGATATATATATACATATATACTAGGATATGTGTGTATATATATACTAGGATATATGTGTATATATATATATACATATATACTAGGATATACATATATATGTATATATATACACATATATATGTATACTAGGATATATATAGTAAGGTGACTTACTGTATACTAGGATAATACCTGGTATACAGTAAGTCACTCAAGCAATGACAGCAAATATCATCAGTATGTTGGATGGTGTCATATGTGCCATGCATGGGGTCAGTGGGAGGGTTATAAAGACATGAAGTTTCCATGCTAGTTAGGAAGACAGACATTCATAACAATTTTAAAATTGTTTACATTTTTATCATTAATAAAAAGCAAGAGAACATAACACAAATCCATTCTTAAGGTTACCTTTATCTTCAGCATCAGGAAATGTTGTGTTATCACCAGTGTTGTAGGAAAATGAGACGCTGTCAATTGAATAAGTAGATGCTGCCTTGGTAAAATTCGCAATCCAGGAAAAGCCAGGTCCGAACTGCACTGCTATTTTGGGACCATTCTGATCATCCCCACAAATGCTTCCATTATATGTCACAGTGCCATGGTCTGAAATGGTTACAGTTTTCTAAAAGAAATAGAAATTTGGGGGTGAGAAACAAACAGGCAGCAAGGAACACCAAGCATTTATGTAGGGCATGCCACTTCAGCCTAAATCATACATTCTCCATGGCCAGGTTGCCCTTTGCCTGGTTTGCTGTGTAAACCAGTCCCTGATTCTTCTGCTACATACCACTCCTCTGGATAAATTCGTGTATGTCTAAAAAGAAAAGGAAAACTGGCTTGAGCTGCTGTTCTTAAACTGATTTTTTAAAAAATTAGGTTGTAAGTAGTGAGGACCTTAACAAAAAGAAAATAAGAAGGCAAAGGAATTAAGAGGAGATGTCAAAAAGGGGGAGATTTTAGTGTTAGGTTGGTGCAAAAGTAATTGCAGTTTGTGCCAAAAAAAAAAATCGCTTACTTAGGTTGGTGCAAAAGTAATTGTGGTTTGTTCCTTTAATGGCAATTACTTTTGTACCAACCTAAGTAAGCGATTTTTTTTTTTTTTGAGATAGAGTCTCGCTCTGTTGCCCAGGCTGGAGTGCAGTAGCACAATCATGGCTCACTGCAGACTCAACCTCCTGAGCTCAAGCAATCCTCCAGCCTCGGCCCAGCGAGTGGCTGGAGGTACATGTGTGTGCCACCATGCCTGGCTAATTTTTAAAGTTTTTTTGTAGAGATGAGGTCTCACCATGTTGCCCGGGCTGGGTTCAAGCAATCCTCCTGCTTTGGCCTTCCAAAATGCTGGGATCACAGGCATGAGCCACCATGCCCAGATGGGAAGCTGCTTTTTAAAAGGGCAAGCTTTGGTGCTAGTACATTTTAAACACTTTACAGAAATACTTAGACCTGAACACCATATAGTCGTCTTCAGATCATTTGCCCTTAATCAAGTCCTACAAAAACTCCCAAGAACCAATGAATCAGAAGAAATATTCATTCTAACACTAAACAGAATAACTTCTGAGTGTGTATGCTTAAAAAAAATCCCAGAGTTTCAGCATTAAGTCAGTCAACGTGGAATTTCATTTGTATACGTGTATCTAAAGGATAAAGTCAATTAAATTCCTACTATAAAACTCAAAGAAAAATTAAAATATATACTTACATAAGTTTTATTTGTAGTTTCATAGCGTACTGTGAAATTCATCTGCCATTTTGCATAAAGGCAAGTGGCATTTTCTGAATCTGTCAAATTAAGTTCCAATGCATAAGACCGCACAGCTCCTGGATTCATTTAAAAAAATAATATTTTAAAATTGTACTACAAAAATTATATAAATTAAAAACAAGCTCTACCCACCACTGAAGTTCAACCAGCTCTAAAATGAAACAAAAGTATTTTATATCTATATATACACATACATATATATACATATATGTGTATATACATATATGTATGTGTATAGATACAGTATCCTGCTGACTGTTTTTCTTTGTATTTTTAACAGAATCCTATTGATAAAAAAGTTGGCATTATCCCTTACCAAAAGAATGGTTACTAGACCTAGGATGCTTAGGTCATGGCTCAGACTGGTGACATTTATTTGCCTTTTGCCTTCAAATAATCATTTCCACATGCATTTATACCTTACTAGTTTTGTTTTAGGCAATTACAGTTTGCCTGTTAGGACTTGTGGTTTTTGCGGTAAATGAGGTAAGAGGAAGCCTGGTAGGGGTGTAAAACTTCTCTCAAACCAGCTGGTGAAACATTCACTGCAAAAATAATGATAGATCCGATATTCTACCATCTTTTTGCTTTAAATCCTGTTGCAAGCTACATAATCTATGACACACGGATGTCTTCCCAAACGATTTTATTCTGATGTGATCAGATACTCTTTCTATCATGTAACCAAGGAAGCAGAGTTGCAAAGGGCTGTTAAATCCATGAGAAAAACATGAATTCTGATAAATGCAAAGTTCATCACTGTTTCACTTTAAAATCGAATTGATTAGAAAGGCTGATGAATTTTTTGACGCAAAGTTATTTCCTAAATTTTCAACCTGCTACCTCTTTAGGCAGAGAAATGTTACAGAGACAGAAAAGCCTTGGAACTTTTCAGCTAACATGGTGGATCTTCTACACTTAAACATAGAAACATTATCTATTAAACTGAAGAGCCCAAGGACTCAAAATACTAATTCAGAGGAGAAAAAATATCCCAGCAAACATGCCAGCAGCATAAATATTGGGCAACCATTTAAGGGATTTTCTTCACTGTATCACACATTACCCAAAGGGTAAGCTGTTTCCTGTTAAGATACTTGCATACTCTTTAATAATATCTGAGCAATCCACTGTCATCTACAGGTACAGACTTGCTATAGACTAGAGAAAAGTGCTAAGAGGAATATCAAGAAGGTATGCCTCAGCAACAGCTTTCAAGTTGTATAGAAGAGCCTATCGTCATGCTCTGGAGACCTGGCTGCTTTGCAAGCCAGAATATTATACTAAAGCTTGTGGTTACTGACAGTGACTAAATGCATTGGCTAAGGCTCAAAAAGACCTTGTGAGGCCTAAGTAGGTTTTATGATCATTCTTTTCTAAGTACAATACGGAAGGGAGCTGTTATACTTACTGATCCAAGGCTCCCTGCCATGGAGCCAAGAGCTCCAACTTACAATTTTAATGAACTGGAGGTTTGCTTTTTATATGCAGTCTTTTCTCGGTCTTGTTTAAGGTCTCTAGCTTTAGTATATTATTCTCCTTGTATTCAAAACATTCAAAAGTATTGAAAATTACCAAGAAAAGCCTCACATGTATTAATCATTTTCTTTCCAAATATATTAGAATAACAGGAAGAAGACCATGTAAAATAGTAATAGCATCGATAGCTTGCATCAATGTGTCTTAGGGTGTGAGAACTGACGTTTTATGAAACAAAAGGTAGAGGTTGTGGTTCAAACGTATCACTTAAAATTAAATTCAAGATAGTATACCTGGTGGCCCGTAAACAAGAGCTGAGAAACACCCTGAGGGTTCTGGCACACTCTGTTCCATTCCCTTCACAGCCTTTCTGCCTGAGTGCAATTCTTTCCACTTCTTGGTCCCCAACTCTAACTGCACAGGGACCACTTTTACTCAATATCTCTCACCTCAAACTCAGCAATTCCCAAACTAAAATTCATTCTTCTGCTTCCTCCAAACTGGGTCCCTCCTCAGCTTTGCTAGCTCTAAATGAAGAGTGGGATCAGTCACTCAAGCTCAGTTTCAGAAATAGCCTCTACTTCTTTCTCTTCAAGAAGTCCTATTGATTTTTTTCCTTCAAATCTTCTCTTAAATACAATCTTTGTCTTTTATTTCTACTCCCAATCTATCACCCCACACCTAAATTATGACAGAAAATGCCTAGATACCCCTAGAAGTGCTGCCAGATTAATAATCCTTAAGTACCATTTCCTTTTAGGACACTTTCTTGTTCAAAAACTTTTACTGGCTCCAACATTCCCATATGAAATTTAAATTCCTCTGCCTGACTTTCAAAGTAATCTTTAATCTTGTCCCATCCTATTCCTTCAACTTTTCTCAAACTATTTTCCCAGAGCACACCCTTTAATCCAGTTAAACTTGTTTCCACTGGGCTCAAATGCCATACTCTATTCAACCTCTACCCTGGGCTTCTATTGTTCCTAACACTTGAAATCTACTTTCTTCTATTGGCCTAAATGCTCACCTCAAAGATGGATTTTGCTCGCTTTTTGGCTGCCCCAAATCTGAAACACCCCTTGTCCCCTTGTTACAATTTCTGGCAGAAATCACCACCCACTATAAAAGCTGAAAACACTGGATACTTGCTTTCCCAGACTCCCTTGCAGTAAGGAGGACCACTTGTGCTAGGCTCTGCCTAACAAAGGTATCCACCCCACACTTTGAAAGGAGGGCTGCAAATGGAGCCAGGAATGGAACAGGGAGGGAGACAGGTGTGGAGTAACAGAAGCAGGATCAAGCTCCCAGGCAACAAGGCCAGCAGAGCAAGCTTCAATTTCACACTTGGCAGTGGTAGTGCAGTTCAGCAGCATGATCTGGGTTGTTGAATCCTGAACTGGGATTTGGTATATATAGCCAGGAGCACCAGAAATTCTGAGTTACCCAATATACCCCTTTAATAAACATTTGATATGTAACATATGTACAGAAACAGGCACAGTATAACAGATGTAAGGGAAAAGTGCACGTAACATTAAGTCTACAGCTCAAATAATTTCACAAACCAAAACCACCTGTGTCAAGAAACAGAACATTAACAGGTGTTGACCCACTGCACAGTTGAAAATCTGCATATTATTTTTGACTCCCCCAAAACTTAACTACTAATATCCTACTGTTGACTGGAAGCATTACCAACAACATAAACAGTCGATTCACACATATTTTGTATGTTATATATGTGTTACATACTGTGTTTTGAAAATAAAGCTAGAGAAAAGAAAATGTTAAGAAAATCATAAGGAGGGCTGGGCATGGTGGCTCACACCTATAATCCCAGCACTTTGGGAGGCTGAGGCAGACGGATCACTTGAGGTCAGGAGTTCGAGACCAGCCTGGCCAACATGGTGAAACCCCATCTCCACTAAAAATTTGCTGGGCTTGGTGGTGGTCACCTATAATCCTAGCTACTTGGGAGGCTGAGGCAGGAGAATCGCTTGAACCTGTGAGGTAGAGGTTGCAGTGAGCTGAGATCGCGCCACTGCACTCCAGCCTGGGCAACAGATAGAGACTCCGTCTCAAAAAAAAAAAATCATAACGAGGAGGAGGAAGAGGAGGGGTTGGTCTTGCTGTCTTCAGGGTGGTAGAGGTGAAATAAACTCATGTATAAGTAGATCCACACACAGTTCAAACTTGTGTTGTTCAAGGGTCAACTACACTTCCAAAGCCCTCCTTATTTCCCTTTCCCTTCCCAAGGGTTACTATTCCCTTCCCAAGGGTAACCATTATCCTGATTTCTGACACTATAGATTAATTTTATCCATTTTTCAACTTGATATAAATAAAATCATTCACTATGCTCTCTTTTGTGTCTGCTTTCTTTCCTCAATTTTAGGTTTTGTGAGATTCACCCATGTTATGCATAATTGCAGTCTGTGCTCACTGCTGTATAACCTTCTATGATCAGGTGAATACAGGCCAGGTGGGGTGGTTCACGCCTGTAATCCCAGCACTTTGGGAGGCCAAGGAGGGTGGATCACTTGAGGTCAGGAGTTCGAGACCAGCCTGGCCACCATGGCCAAATCCCACCTCTACTGAAAATATAAAAATTAGCTGGGCATGGTGGCACATGCCTGTAATCTCAGCTACTCAGGAGGCTGATACAGGAGAATCGTTTGAACCCGGGAGGCAGAGGTTGCAGTGAGCCAAGATCATGCCAATGCACTCCACCAGCCTGGGCAACAAGAATGAAACTCTGTCTCAAAAAAAAACAAAAACAAACAAACAAAAAAACTACTTATCTATGCTACCTTTAATGGGCATTTAGTTTCCAGTGTGATTCTATTACAAACACTGCTGCAAACATTCTTGCACATATTAGTAAACACATGTATGCGTGTATGTTGGCTGTATATCTAGGAATGAAACTGTGGGGCCAAAGGGTATGCATTATATCCCAGTTCTTTTTAATAAATTCTTTTCTGCTTAAAATCAATCAGATTGTATTTCTCTTCCTTGCAATTAAGAACCTGGGCTGATATGCTATCTGTTTTTTCAGTAGCCATTTTCTCCACAAAGCTTTCCCTGACTATAAAAGCCCTCAAGGAGCAGTAATAATGCACATCCCATTTCAGTATATTTTACATTATCCTGAATTATTCAGTTATTTTATAGCAGTAAATCCTGTCCCTCCTACTGTCATAAGCTCCAACACAGCAGTTTTCAACTGTCACTTCATAACAAACTGGTGTGCCATGGTAAATTATAGTATACAGTAAGTAATTTGTTACTAATAAAAAAAGTACCAAGTCTGTGAATGAATGATATATATGGATAGATTCAAGATTCCCTTTAGATAACATTTCTGTCACTCGTTTGAACTCCAGTATGCTCCCTTGATCAGATGATCTGATGTATCCCACAACCCCTAGCAGTGTGTCTTTTATATGAATGTCATCTATCATGAGTGTCATGGTAGGGGACACCATGTGTATTACTTTTCCTCTATCTCCTATCATTCCAAGTAGTGCTGAATGCATATTAGATTTTCAATAAATACTGATTAATTATATCAAGGTGAAAACACACTGCAATAGGGACCCAAAACATAGCTTAATCTAATTACAGAGAGGCCAGTCCTTTAGCTCTTCCAAATCTTGAACATATCAGTCTTCTGGATATTCCCTCAAACCCCATGTTGGGTTTCACTTCAATAAATTTTGACATGGATGTCAAGCTAGGAACAGAGCTTTTCCCAAAAGGTAAGTTTACAGTTGAAATATTTACACTTTATTAAAAAGTATCTAGCAAGCAATTTCCATCCTTATTGCTGTGTTTGATTTTACAATACCCAATTTTTAAAAGGCTTTATGACATTAAAAAACCATAGATGAATATATTCTAGAGTGTGTAATTTTAGAGCTGAGAGTTTATTCTCTAAATAAAAGAAAAAGGTATGCCTCAAAATCAACCGTTCTCAAAGTCAAATATCCTCTCAATCCTGTTTTCCAAAAAGGTCATTTGTAAATTCTTTTAGAATGCAGACCTTGACCGGGCAGTGGCTCACACCAGTAATCCTAGCACTTTGGGAGGCCAAGGGGGGCAGATCACTTGAGCTCAAGAGTTCAAGACCAGCCTGGGCAACATGGCAAGACCCCATCTATACTAAAAATACAAAAGAATAGCTGGGTGTGATGGTGCATGCCTGTGGTCTCAACTACTCGGGAGGCTGACATGGGAGGATCGCTTGAGCCCATGAGGCAGAGGTTGCAGTGAGCCAAGATCACTCCACTGCACTCCAGCTGGGGGAATGGAACAAGACCCTGTCAAAAAAAAAAAAAAAAACCTCTCACAGAGAACACAGACCTTACTTCCCCAAGTGTATGACACTGCAAAAAGTGGCTAGGTTTTTGCAAGTCTATTTGACCCAAAGTATAGCTGAAAACATAAACACACAAAATTAGGGGTGGGGGAAGAACATAATGCTAGCAATAAAACAAAACCAATAAAAAGAAACCAAACAATGATCCAAGATACAATGGATTGATTATATAATGAAGTGATTAAGAGTCCCCATTCCTGGAGTGGAAGAGCTAGAACTCAAATCTGGCAGTCCAACTTCCTAGCTGTGAGACTTTGGGCAAGTTACCCTTGTTTAGAATTATAGTGCATATTTCTCCAATAGGTTCTTTGAAAGCATATAAACCCTTCAGAGCTAAAAGAAATTTGCCAAACAAGTTAGATACCAATTTACAAGTCTCCTTTTTAGTAAACACAGCACCTAAAGGGAACCTTCCCAAGTTTTAGCTTTATGTTTACTTTCATCATATTAAATTCTGGACTCTTGTCCTCAAACTCATGAATTTAGAATGATGTTGAGCAAAAGGTCTTTTTAAAATACAGGACACAGAGGCATACGGTACCTATTTATCTTTGTTTTCTATTCAGAGTGATGGTTTTCCTACAAGTTTAAGTCAGATTAACTGTTTCTCCTTTATAATTCCTAATAATAGGTACACTCATTGCATTCAGTTACTTTATACCCTTGCTTTTGGTAAGTTTCTTAAAGGAGAAAAGCAATATGATTTTAAAGTAAGAATGTTGAACACATGAAAAAGAGTATTAAAAGTTAATAAAAATATGTTTTTAAGCTATAAAATGACTTAATTTGTTAAGGCCAAAGAGTGGGTAAGGAAACAAGATTCAACACTACTCAACTAATGGAAAGTGCTTATTGTTGAGCAGTGTTTGGCACACCTCCAGAATTCTTTCACAATGCACAGCAGGATACCAACAAGTACTTATAAAGTATACTTTTGGGTCTGAGGGGATCTCTGATCACTTTAATAAGAAATTATGATCAGAATACTTTTGCACTACAGAAAGAAGAGCAGCCTTCCTGCATCAAGGGTCATTTAAATCAGCTCCAGTGCTACGAAATAATGCTTGGTTATAGACAAAATCTACCCAAAGATATAGGGGAAGAAAGCTGTTCTTTTGGGACATATTTGAGTATCTATAACCCTATCAGATGTGACAATCTGATATTTGGGACATATTTGAATATCTATAACCCTATCAGATATGATAATCAATGACTAACAAACTAATCTGGTATTTGGGACATATTTGAATATCTATAACCCTATCAGATGTGATAATCAATGACTAACAAACTAACAAGCCTGTCCTTTCTTATCTTCTAGCTTGACTTCTGTTTTTCGTTTTTTTTTTGTTTTTTTTTAGGGTTCAGAATTTTTCAGTCCTTTACAGTATCTCTATTATAACTAGAATAATTTGGCAGAACCTCGAAATCAAAGTTATCAGTTAAATGAAATGTGTTAAGCCTATAGAAAAATCTTAGTGCTTGTTTTCTCTCAGAGAAAACCTAACTTTGTGAAAACCTAACTCTCCTCACCAAGGAACTCCTAATTCTCCATATTACCCCCTTCGAGACTACGGAGGTATATCTGAAGGAGTACAGGTAAGAAACTAGCATTATTATATGGGATTATACATTAGTAAATTACTGTATAATTATCCGTACTGCTTAGCACTGATCTTGAAGTTTTCAATCCAAAAGAACTTCTTGCAAAACATCATTTAAAATTCATGGAAGAAAAAGGAGACTAAATGAGTCTAGTTTACCACCATATCCCTAGTGCCCACCAATGAATATCTTCAACAAAAATTCACTACGGGTTAACCATGTACCAGACCCTATGCTAGGTAGGCAATGGGAAGTAACAGTACATAAGATCGTCTCTGCTCTTAGAGACTGCTACCATAGGAGAGACTTGACTAAAACTAGGGGGAAACAAAAAAGCGTGGAAAATAGGCTAGTAACCTAAGATTTTGCAAATGATAAGATTTATTCCTATTTCCCCAGATGGTCACATGGCTGGCCTCCTGCCAACACCCAGGTCTCTGCCCAAATGTCACCCGATAACGGAAGGCCCTCTGACCACATAATATAAAGAAGGATCATCCACCATCACCCATTCCTATCATCTACTCATTCTCCTTTCTCATTACCTGTGTAATTTTCTTCATAGTGTTTTTGTTTTGTTTTGTTTTGAGACAGAGTTTTGCTCTTGTCCCCCAGGCTGGAGGACAGTGGCATGATCTCGGCTCACTGCAACTTCCACCTCCTGGATTCAAGCAATTCTCCTGCCTCAGCCTCCCGAGTAGCTGGGACTACAGGTGCTGGCCACCATGCCCTTGTATTTTTAGTAGAGATGGGGTTTCACCATGTTGGCTAGGCTGGTCTCGAACTCCTGACCTCAGGTGATTTGCCCACCTTGACCTCCCAAAGTGCTGGGATTACAGGCGTGAGCCACCATGCCCGGCCTCTTCATAGTGTTTATCACTATCTGACATTATATTATTTATCTGTTGAGCTTTCTTCTCCCATTAAAATGTAAGCTCCATGAGAGCAGGAACCTCATCTGTCTTATCCATTCCTCTGTCCCTTTCACCTAATATAGTGGCTGGGACACAATAGGCATTCAGTAAACGTGTGGAAGGGAGAGGCTCCTACCAGTAACATACACTAAGAATATTTCTGTGAGGTTTTTCCCACCCAGAAAAGCCTCAAACCTAAAAAAAAAAAATTCTGAACCCTAAAAAAACAAACAAACAAACCAAAAAACAGAAGTCAAGCTAGTTATAAGAATCAATAACCACAGAAGAATCCTGAAATCTATGATATCACAAAAGGACCATAATTAGGCAATTATATAAAGAAAGGATTTTCACCCACTATCCACTTTATAACACCTCTAAATCATATAGCTTCTCTTCGGAAAGTTGTCTGGTCAGTTACAATTCATCCAAATAAACACCAGCATAATTTAATCTCTATGAAAAAGACCAATATATAGCCTCTAAGAATCCTTTTCTGTACTTATTCTAAAGCTGCTGTTTTTAAAAGGTTATGGGTGAAGCTGGGATAGAGTTATAAAGTTACAAAGTCAAACTGGCACAGCTAGAGCACTAATGCTAATAAGACTATAAATTTAGGACAGGTCCTCCTTCATTGGCACTCCGTACAGTACCCAGGCACAGTTCTAGCTACATAGTAGGTACTTTACAAATATTTATTGATTTAGCTACATATTAGGTACTTTACAAATATTTATTAAGTTTTCAAAAACCTATTATTGGTATCCATTTTGATATAGAAAAGTAACTTGTGCAAAACCCACCAAGCAACTGCTAAATTCTTGACAGAAAAAGCTATATGGGAGGACTTTGGGCTCCACACTGAACCAAGAGCCATCAGAAAATGCAGCTGTATAGAAAAATGGTTTCTATTTCATCCTGGAACCTCTTAAAAATCAGATCTAGGTACATTATTAATATTTACTTTTCCAAATCCTGCTCTGAACTTGGAGGCGGAGGGAATCAATCTTGGAAATTTTCCAAGAGGAAGAATCTAGTTAGTCCTGATCAATAAATGGCAAACTAGCAGATGAGCTGATGGGTTCTTTTATGTGCTTCTTTTTGCATGTTTATTTTCTGCAGTGAGTAAGCATTGCTTTTGTAAAAACAAAACAAAAAAGCTTTCATTAAAAAACAAAAAAAAATTTAATGACATGAAAGCCAACAAGTAGGACAACTATTATTTTTTTCACTTTCCCAAAACAATAACAGTGTTGTATTTGTGCACAGATTCAATTGGCAGGGAACTACTGATTAACAGATGCCTTGGTCAGATGTGTTCTAGTCACTGATAAGGTACTTTCCATTGTAAACAATCCTTTCTTAGGGTCAGTTGGCCCTCAGTAAGTGCTCCAAGGTACAGTTAAGGCTTCCAATTAAGTATTCAAGCAAAGCCTGCCTCAAGGCCGCCTTTCAGAAGTGCTACAGAAGAGTTTCCTGCGCGCTGTGAACAGTTGGACTACATCAGGGATTCCCAAAGTTTTGGTGTCAGGACCCCTTTACTTTCTTATCCACTGAGGACTTCACAGAGGTTTATGTGAGTCATATGTATTGGTATTTACAGTATTAGAAATTAAAACTGAGAAATGAATAAAATATAAGAACATCAGAGTGGTGAGGTCATCACATGTTACGTAGCCACTGGAAAACTCTGCTGTACACTGGTGAGAGGATGAGAGTGAAAAGGACAAAGGACAAATAACTTCTTTTTTTTTTTTTTTTTTTGAGACAGAGTTTCGCTCATGTTGCCCAGGCTGGAATGCAGTGGCGCAATCTTGGCTCACCGCAACCTCCGCCTCCTGGGTTCAAGCGATTCTCCTGCCTCGGCCTCCCAAGTAGCTGGGATTACAGGCATGTGCCACGACACCGGCTAATTTTTCTATTTTTAGTAGAGACTGGGTTTCACCATGTTGGTCAGGCTGGTCTTGAACTCCTGATCTCAGGTGATCCGCCCGCCTCAGCCTCCCAAAGTGCTGGGATTACAGGCGTGAGCCACTGTGCCCAGCAGAAAAGGACAAATACCTTCTTAACCTTATTCCGAAGTTTTGATTTCACAGACGCATGAAAAGGTCCTCGAGAGTCACTGAATTAGATAATCAAGAACCCTTCCAATACTATGGTTTTCGAGCAGGATTTATCAATGTTGGCACCATTGACATTTTCAGGGAGATGATTCTTTGTTGTCAGGGGCTGCCCTGTGCTTAGTTAGGATGTTTAGCAGCATCCTTGGCCTCTACCCACTAGATGCTAAAAGCAATCCCCCAGTTGTTACAACCAAAAATGTCTCCAGATGTTGCCAAATGTCCCCTGGTTGAGAATCACTATTCCAGGGTGTTGATTTCATTCTACTGAAATGTGAATTACAAAATGTATACCTCTCACTGCTTTCTCAGACCCCTAATATGTCTATTTCTTCCCCACTCCCATCTGGGTCTGTTCTTTATGTTATTTTATTAAGTCACAAATAGCAAGAGCAGGTGGGTAGCAACAAGCACAGCATGAATCAAAGTCAGGAAGAGACACTTTAGTCAAAGTTCACTTTTAGGCATTAAAGTTGTTAGCGACCCACTGCCTATTAGGGCACAACACAATCAGCGAACATTCACCCAGCCATTTATTTATTGATTTATTTATTTTTATTTTTTGAGACAGAGTTTCACTCTTGTCGCCCAGGCTGGAGTGCAATGGCGCAATCTTGGCTCACTGCAACCTCCGCCTTCTGGGTTCAAGCGATTCTCCTGCCTCAGCCGCCCAAGCAGCTGGGATTACAGGCATGTGCCACGACGCCCGGCTAATTTTTGTATTTTTAGTAGAGACGGGGTTTCACCATGTTGGCCAGGCTGGTCTTGAATTCCTGACCTCAGGTGATACACCCACCTCGGCCTCCCAAAGTGCTGGGATTACAGGCATGAGCCACCACGCCCGGCCCCATCCAGCCATTCTTAGGCCCTGGTAACAACCCAATCCTTAGCAAGTTTGTCTACCTGCTCCCTGCACCCCCAAAATATGAGGTAATAGGCTAGCTGTGTGATGGGGAAGAAAGAAAAGAAGAAACTCTGAAGGCAAAGAGGTAGTCTACCAAACTCAAATACTCCACCCCCAAAACCTCACATCTGGGAGGCCCTCCTAACTGAAACGTCTGGGGATTTTTTTGTCAGCGTCTGGCTGGGAGGAAGTAGCAAAACTGGGAGAAAATCGACATCCTCAATACCTCCAAGTCAGATGTGCACTCCCCATCAAAGTTCCCCCTGAACCCCTTAGTCTCCAGAGGTTGGGTCCAAGTTTTCTTTCCTGGAAATTGCCCCAGCTACCTTAGGTTCCTTCGCCCTTAAAACTATGACTACCAAACTCAAACCCAGCATCACTCCTAATCTCTTGAATCATCCTTTCTTCACAGTCTCAAATTCCAACCTTCAAAATGCCCAACCCTGTCACTGCCCCTGCCCCTCAGGCTCTACTGTCCTATCTGTCCCATCTGTCCCCCACCCACACACTTCTCCCAAGCTACTCCAGGCAGGCATGGTCTTCTCTCTTAATTTCCTATCTCACCCCATAGTTTTTCCACCATCTTCAAAACTCTTCCCTGATCTCAGCAAACCAAGACTCTCCTAATTGTCTCTGGCGCCCAAAATCTGCATGTACCACCCTCCTACGCTCACTCCTCAGTGTTTTCCCCAAGTTACTCTTTCCACGCTGACCCTCTCCACGCTTCACTCCTCCCAGCCTACTCCCTCGGCGTCCACCCCCCGTTACCGGCCCCTTCTTACTCTCCTGGGCCCTTCTTCCCCGCCATCCGTCGGTCAGGCCTTCTCTAGGTCACCGCTTGCCTCCCCGGGCCAACCGCCGCCGCCCAGTGTTAGCTGCTGAGCCTCTCAACCCCCTCCCCCTCGGACCAGTCTTTCAGGTTGTAGCTTTGAACTGGTGCCCCGGGCCCAGGCGGACAGACTAATCGGGAGGGCCCGACAACTCACCCAGGACTAGGCAGACCAGAACGAGCCCTGAGCCCGGAACCGGGAAGAGGCGGAAGCACACCATGACCCCGCAGAGCAGGCGGCGACGGCGGCGACGGCGGCGGTACAACAACAGCTGCAACACCAGGGAAAAGGCTCGCTGGACCTGGGTCAAGAGCACTGATGACCACCGACCACAGCCTTGCAAAAGCCAGGAATCGGCGCTTCAGTGCGAGTCATAAGACTAGGGGCGGGGCTCTTTCTTGCTTACAGCCAATCTCCGCGCTTGAAAGCGGCGAGAGGGGTGGTGATGTAGCGGCCGGTGGGCGGGGCGACCACGCCCTGGCTTTTTGGTTCACAGCCCTTCCTATGCTCCTGAGAGATATGCGCGGACGGCATTTTCTTTTTCTTTTTCTTTCTTTTTTTTTTTTTTTTTTAATTTTACTTTAAGTTCTGGGATACATGTGCAGAATGTGCAGCTTTGTTACATAGGTATACATGTGCCATGGTGGTTTACTGCACCTATCAACCCGTCATCTAGGTTTTAAGCCCCACATGCATTAGGTATTTCTCCTAATGCTCTCCCTCCCCTTGGCCCCCACCCCTTGACAGGCCCCCGTGTGTGTTGTTCCCCTCCCTGTGTCCATGTGTTCTCATTGTTCAACTCCCACTTATGAGTGAGAACATGCAGTGTTTTGTTTTCTGTTCCTGTGTTAGTTTGCTAAGGATGATGGCTTCCAGCTTCATCCATGTCCCTGCAAAGGACATGATCTCATTTTTTTATGGCTGCATAGTATTCCATGGCATATATGTGCCACGTTTTCTTTATCTAGTCTATCATTGATGGGCATTTGGGTTGGTTCCAAGTCTTTGCTATTGTAAATAGTGCTGCAATAAACATACGTGTGCATGCGTCAAATGGTATTTCTGGTTCTAGATTTTTGAGGAATCGCCACACTGTCTGCCACAATAGTTGAACTAATTTACACTCCCACCAACAGTGTAAAAGCATTCCTATTTTTCCTCAGCCTCGCCAGCATCTATTGTTTCCTGATTTTTTAATAATCACCATTCTGACTGGCGTGAGATGGTATCTCATTGTGGTTTTGATTTGCCTTTCTCTAATGATCAGTGATAATGAGCTTTTTTTCATGTTTGTTGCTGCATAAATGTCTTTTTTTGAGAAGTGTCTGGTCATATCCTTTGCCCACTTTTTGATGGGGTTGTTTTTTTCTTGTAAATTTGTTTAAGGTCCTTGTAGATTCTGGATATTAGACCTTTGTCAGATGGGTAGATTGCAAAAATTTTCTCCCATTCTGCAGGTTGCCTGTTCACGCTAATGCTAATTTCTTTTGCTGTGCAGAAGTTCTTTTAATTAGATCCCATTTGTCAATTTTGACTTTTGTTGCGATTGCTTTTGGTGTTTTAGCCATGAGGTCTTTGCCCATGCCTATGGCGGACGGTATTTTCTAAGGCTAAGGAGAGAGGAGGAACTTTTGAGGGCCGTAGATAGTAGACTATTTCCGTTTTGGCTCCTTGACAAAGAAGAGAAAAATTTTGCGGGCACAAAAACGGTTGCTAGGCATCTCAAACGTAATACATACAAAAATAATACATGCTTATTCTCCAAACACTGTTGTTACCTATGCAGTTCATGCTGTGAGATGGACGAGGGAACCTAGGGGGTAGTATGGAGTCACGGACCATCGGAACAAGACATGATCTTGAAATTCACCTAGTTACAGCACCCTGTTCTCAGGTGGGGGAATTGAGCTCAGAAACAAGAAGCATCTTTTTTAAACACAGGAAGAAAAAAATGAGAGAAATAAAACAGAAGGATAAAGCGGAAAAATAGAGATCATCTGTATTCCTACTATTAACATTATTATATATATTTACACACATATATACACACACCCACATCTATACTTCCAGATATTTTTCCTATGTACATACACACAAATATTCTGTAATGAGTTCATACTAAGCATACTGTTTGCTATACTTGATAGATGAACAGACAAAACCTAAAATATTCAACAGATGAAAGCATTTAAAAATCTTGAGTTGGAATAAAGCACTGATTCTCAAGTGTTAGTTTCCAAAAGAACCATCTGGTTTTGGGTTTTTTTTTTTTAACATACAGATTCCTGTACCTCATTCCCCAGAGATTCTGAAACAGTAGGTCTGTGGCAGTCTTATTAATCACTTCTTTAACAAACACCCCAAGTGATTCTGATTCTGTGGTCCATGGACCACACTTTGAGAAAAACACTGAAAGAGAGCTTCAAAATCATCTAGTCCAGGAGATTTTAATCTGGAGTTTATGTATGAGTTTAGACAGGATGGGAGAGGTGTCGGTGAATCCTCAGAAATTACATGCAACATTTATGTATGTGTATTTTTGTGGGGAAGTTTGTAGTTTTCACTAGTTCTCCAATGGGACCTGTGACTCCTTGCCCTAACCCCTACCCTAATTCAAATATTAAGAAGCACCGATCTGCCCCACTATTGTTTGCTTTAATGTAATTAATTCCTGAAAGTGAGAACATTTGTCAATGAATGTTTACTACCATAGGTGAAACTAATTTGTGAACAAGTGACCCAACACAAGACTAATGAACACTGCATACAGTGTTAGTCATTGCCTTTAGCAAAATGTCTTTTGACTGCCATCAATGAGACTTGGCAGGAGCTATGTCCTGGGCATAGTAGTCTTCAGAGAACCCACAACTGAGTTGAGCCCTCTGAAGATGCCCCACCAATACTTCCTGGACTCTAGCTCTTCTCTTTCAATTGTAAATCGCATAACTTTAATGTTCAGTAAAACCCTAAGCTCTTTCTATAAGAAGAAACAAAAAAAGAACATAGTGGAAAGAACATTGGGTTAGCAGTCAGAGGAGTTGGTTGTGAGACACCACTTACTGGCAGTGTGATCTTAGGCAGGTCACTTCATCTGTTTGAACTTCTATATCTTTATTGGTAAAATGAAATAATGAGACTAGAGCTGTTTCTTGATCCTGGCTGCATGTTGGAATCACTTGTGGAGCTTTAAAAGTGGAAAATTCCCCTTGGTCCCATCCCTTGAGATTCTGATTCAGTTTATCTGAAGTCAGGCCTGGGCATGGTGTTTTTCTCAAAACTCCCCAAAACAATATTGGTGGGCCTCAGATGATCTCTAAGTTGGCATCAGGTTTATAATTCAAGGATTCTATGTGAGTAAATGCTCATTTATTTAAAATTGGCCAGGTGCAGTGGCTCAAACCTGTAATCCCAACACTTTGGGAAGCCAAAGCAGGCAGATTGCCTGAGCTCAGGAGTTTGAGACCAGTCTGACCAACATGGTGAAACCCCATCTCTACAAAAAATTAAAAATTAGCTGGGGGTGGTGGCGTGCACCTGTAGTCCCAGCTACTTGGGGGCTGAGGCAAGAGGATTGTTCAAGTCCAGGAGGTGGAGGCTGCAGTGAGCCATGTTTGCACCACTGCACTCCAGCCTGGGTGACAGAGCAAGACCCTGTCTCTGAAAATATATGTATATATTTATATATAAGGATAGCCAGCCATGGTGGTGCACACCTGTAGTCCCAGATACCAGGGAGGCTGAGATGGGAGGGTCGCTTGAGCCCAGGAGGTTGAGGCTGCAGTGCTCTTTGATGGCGCCACTGCACTCCAGCCTATGCAAATGAGTGAGACCCTGTCTCTAACAATTAAAATAAAATAAAATACTGTCCCAATTTGTCAAATATCTGGTGTAATAAATTGTCGCCCTTTATCTCTTGAAGGTGTCATCAAATTAAAAAAATAAACACAGTGAAATATGAGCAGCCTTACAAGCGAAATCCACCCTCACCCCCATCACAACCTTTTCCTCAGGCAAATACAAATGCTGGCTCCTTGACTGGGACAGGCATCGTCGTGAGACACAACAATGTTTTGAAAGTTGTAGATACATGCTGGGTATTTTGTCAGCATAAATAGGCTAAAAATTCTCAAGTCTTTGTTTGCACTGAGCTTCCATACTCAGAAATGTTTAATGTTTTCTCCAAAAAACACTGTGAGAAAGATCCCTTTTCTTATACAGTCTCCCATTACCCTGCCCCAGATTGAAGGAGCTTTTCCTTGGCTTTCGGTGGTAGATGCAGATGTATACGTGAGACTGGGGTTAGTGTTTGAGGAAATCTGTGAGATCCCCTCCGATCTAAGCTTCACAAAGGTTGACTTGATTGTTGGTACCGCTGTATCTAGGGTGCTTTTATGTGCGCTCCTGAATATACCTCATACCACCCCAGTGCACAAACTCCTCAGCAGTCCCCCCACACTGTCCCCTACCATCATAGGTAGATTAAGACTCTTTTCAGCACCTTTGAGAGTGCATGACTTTTTGGCCAAAGAGCAGGAAATCATTGGCAAACATTTCCCTACATGTCAACATACTGAATGGTGTAAGAAATGATGACCCTATCAGATTTGGTAAATGATAGACAATGAAATGTGGGGATGAGCAGAGGAAATGAACTTAAAGGTGCAGAAGTTTAGAATGGAAGAATAATAAATAGTTATTAAATAAATGGGCTGGGCACGGTGGCTCATGCCTGTAATCCCAGCACTTTGGGAGGCCAAGAGGGATGGATCACTTGAGATCAGGAGTTCAAGACCAGCCTGGCCAACATGGCGAAACCCCATCTCTAGCAAAAAGTACAAAAATTAGCTGGGTGTGGTGGCACATGCCTTTAAACCCAGCTACTCGGGAGGCTGAGGTTCAAAAATTGCTTGAACCAGGGAGGCGAAGTTTGCAGTGAGCCAAGATCGCGCCACTGCCCTCCAGCCTCGGTGACAAAGTGGGACCCTGTCTCAAAAAATAATAATAATAAATAATAAAAATAAATAAATGAGTGCCCCTGAGGTATTGGTGTCATCTATTTGCCACCAAAAATCTTTACTTTTTAAATTTGCATTATCTTTTTATCTGCCCCATTTTTCCTTTCCCTACTCATCCTTTTTTTAGTTTCTCCTACCCTCCCTCTTTTTCCTTTCTCCTTCTGGCATGTCCCTTTTTTCTGGATAATACCTTTAATATCTACTGTCTGGATGACAGTATGGTCATCGCTCAACCCCACAGCGAGGTCACAGTGGGCTCAAGGGGCTGCCAACTCTTCAGCCAGAGTTCTCTGGATAAATGGAAACATGCCATTTTGAGTTGTTTGTTCTCCTGGCCAGTAGTATTCTCAACCTCCCCTGCCAAAAGATCTGATCCAATCTGCTAAAACAAAATGGTTTATGCATCACAACCACTGGAGGGCTTATTAAAACACAGATTACTAGGCCCCACTGTGAAGTTCAACAGCTCCGGGATAGGACACAAGAATCTGCATTTCTAGCAACTTCCCTAGTGATCTGATGCTGCTGGTCTGGAGACCACATTCTGAGTAATGAGATCTCAAACTCTCAGCAGGGGCTCTCTGTCCTCTGGGGAATGGGGTTAAGAGATGAAGGAGGGCTGGGCATGGTGGCTTATGCCTGTAATCCTAGCACTTTGGGAGGCCAAGGAGGGTGGATCACCTGAGGTCAGGAGTTCAAGACCAGCCTGGCCAACATGGCGAAACCCTGTCTCTACTAAAAAAAAAAAAAAAATACAAAAATTAGCCTGGCGTGGTGGCAGGTGCCTGTAATCCCAGCTACTCAGGAGGCTGAGGCAGGAGAATTGCTTGAACCCGGGAGGCAGAGGTTGCAGTGAGCCGAGATTGTGCCATTGCACTCCAGCCTGGGAGACAGAGCAAGACTGCGTCTCAAAAAAAAAACAAAAACAAAAACAAAAGATGAAGGAGAAGAGATTTTTATTAATTTCTGCAGTAAAGTTGTACAACGAATGGATTTTTTTTGTAATAATGAGTTTTAAATTAATGTAAATTATTAAAAATCAAATCATTTAAAATGTTATGAGCCAGGTGCGGTGGCTTATGCCTGTAATCCCAGCACTTTAGGAGGCTGAGTCCGGCAGATCACCTGAGGTCAGGAGTTTGAGACCAGCCTGACCAACATGGTGCAACCCCGTCTCTACTAATAATACAATAATAATAATAATAATAAATAATAATACAAAAATTAGCCAAGCGTGGTGGCACATGCCTGTCTGTAATCCCAGCTACTTGGGAGGCTGAGGCAGGAGAATCATTGAACCGCCCCGCCTCCCAAAAAAAAGTTATCCAAAAAGCCACCATTTCCCCTCTTTTGGACCCCAGTCCCATTGCCCAAAGTAACAACTGCTATTGGTCTTTTTTTTTTTACACTGCAGAGAAAAATCATATATGTACCAGCATATATATTTACATGCTTTTTTAAAAAAATAGACAAATATGATATTGTTTAGTGACTTACTTTTCTCACTTAGTGGCATATTTTGAAGATTATTCTTACAAATCTGTAGCTTTACCTCATTCTTTTAAAAGCCTGCATAATCTTTGTGTAGCTGTACTATAATTTACAAACATAAAAAATATTCTTAAACACCTTTTCCTCAAATCTCTAGATCTGTCTGCAGCATCACCATGTGGTTAGTATAGGGATTGCATCATAGAACAACACCACTTTATTTTATAGAGAATTTTATTTTATTTTATTTTATTTTATTTTACTTTATTTTTATTTTCTTTTTTTTTTTATTGATCATTCTTGGGTGTTTCTCGCAGAGGGGGATTTGGCAGGGTCACAGGACAATAGTGGAGGGAAGGTCAGCAGATAAACAAGTGAACAAAGGTCTCTGGTTTTCCTAGGCAGAGGACCCTGCAGCCTTCCGCAGTGTTTGGGTCCCTGGGTACTTGAGATAGAGAATTTTAATAAACCATTTAGACTTATGTCACTGTTTTGAAAACTGGAAACGTGCCACAAGATAAGCATTGCTCATCTGGCCAGCAGTTGTGATGCTGAACTAGATTTTTAGAACCCACTCAGCCATCAGATTATTATTTATTATTTATTTTTTATTTTTCGAGATGGAGTTTCACTCTTGTCACCCAGGCTGGAGTGCAGCGACGCGATCTCAGCTCACTGCAACCTCTGCCTCCCAGGTTCAAGCGATTCTTCTGCCTCAGCCTCCCGAGTAGCTGGGATTACAGGCGTGTGCCACCATGCCTGGCTAATTTTTTCTGTATTTTTAGTAGAGACAGGGTTTTGCCATGTTGGCCAGGCTGGTCTTGAACTCCTGACCTCAGGTAATCTGCCTGTCTTGGCCTCCCAAAGTGGTGGGATTACAGGTGTGGACAGCGCCCGGCCAGCCATCAGATTATTATGCGACCTTAGGAAAGTCACTTCATCCCCTTCGTGCATCTGATCTCCCTCTCCACATACAAATTATGACACACATCTCTCCCCCTCCCCCCAATTTGGAGGAAATAGGACATAGCTGACAGCAGGAAGTTGCTTCTTAGAAATTAAAACACTAGTTGGGGCCGGGCGCGGTGGCTCACACCCGTAATCCCAGCACTTTGGGAGGCCGAGGCGGGTATATCACCTGAGGTTAGGAGTTCAAGACCAGTCTGGCCAACATGGTGAAACCCCGTCTCTACTAAAAGTACAAAAATTAGCCAGACGGGGTAGCGCATGCCTGTAATTCCAGCTACTTGGGAGGCTGAAGCAGGAGAATGGCTTGAACCCAGGAGGTAGAGGCTGTAGTGAGCTGAGATTGTACCACTGCACTCCAGCCTGAGCGACAGAGTGAGACTCTGTCTCCAAAAAAAAAGAAAAGAAAAATTAAGTAACTTGCCCATGGTCACATGTCTAGTAAATGGTGCAGCCAAACCAGATTTCAAATTCTGGCAGTCCAGCCCCAGTATCCCTGCTCCTAACCATGACACTATTGTGCAAAGGTCTCTAGCACCAAGTGCTATTTCTAATCCCTGAAAAGCCTATCTGCCCATTGAACACATCGACTCAGATTGCTCACTGACACCTCCAATTTAATATATCCTAAACCAAACTCAGCATTTCTCTTTTTCTCCAAGCCAGGTGTCCCTCCCAATTTTTTTTGTTCCCACCATTCTCCCAGTCACCCAGATTAGAAATCTTGACATTACCTTTAATCCAGCTCCTCCATACCCCAAACTAGCCACACATCAACTTCTGTTGATTTTCCTTTTATTATTTTTCTTCACTCCATCCTTAGCACTCTATTCCCACCTTAGGCCAGGCCTTTATTATCTAGCTGGTCTCCTTGATTCCAATCCATTTACACACCAATGTCACAGTGATCTTCCTCAGATAATGCTTTTACCACATCCTGCTCCTATTTAAAATCTTTTGATAGCTCTCTCTCCCTCTCTCTCCTATTATATTAACTCTAGATTCTTCTGCTTGGCTTTTAAGGGCTTCAGTCTGGTTCCTCCCTACCGAGCCGATCTTTTCACATTACACATTCTCTGCTCTAATTTGGCTGGCCTCCTTACTGCTGCATAAGTTTTCATTCACATTACATCTGTGGCAGACATGGCTTGTTGCCTACCAGTTATTCCCCCTCCTTCCTTAGTAACAGAACCTTGATTATGTTACAGGTGACAGTGTGTTCCCCAAGAGGTGAATCATAATTGTTTTAAGCCGGTCATGCATGCAAATTTTTGCTAGTGATGGATATAGGGGTGACTAGGTGACTTAGTTCTGGCTAATGAGACATAAGGAGAACTCTGAGGGAGTTTCTGGGAAAGATTTTTCCTCTCTGAAAAAGAGATGATCATAGAAAAGAGCTCCATCAATCTCTTGCTTAAGTTACTAGAGTTAGGATGTGGTGCTTGATGGTGTGGCAGCCATCTTGGAACCATGAGAGGAGACATTGCCATTGCAATGAGGATGTCAAAACAAAAAGATAAAATTACTGATGATATTGTTGAGTTGCTACACAAACTCTGGGACTGCCCAGCTCCCGGTATCTTGTGAAGTGGTGCTGTGGACTGAATGTGATTTCCCAAAATTCATATGTTGAAGTCCTAATCTTCAATGTAATGGTATTTGGAGGTGGGACATTTGGGAGGTAATTAGGTTTAGACAAGTTCCTGAGGGTGAGCTCCCATGATGGGATTAGTGTCCTTATAAGAAGAGGAAGAGACCATAGCCCTCTTTCTTTTCAACATGTGAGGATAAAGCCAAGAAAGCAGCCATCTACAAACCAAGAAGAGTGCCCTCACCAGACACTAGATGTGCTGGCACTTTGATCTTGGACTTCCAGCCTCCAGAGTGTGAGAAATCAGTGTTTGTTGTTTAAACCACCCATTCTATGGTATTTTGTTATAGGAGCCTGAGCAGACTAAGAGAAGTGGACTAGCAAATATCTGTAAAAGTTTAAGTCACTGATAATTCGGGGATTTTGTTACTTGCATTTGAAGTCATCTGAACTAATACCGTACTCTTCATCCAGGAAGCTGTCCATTTGTTCCACCATCAATTTAAATACTGAAATGTTTTCAAGCAGCAGCTCAAACCCTACCTGCCGGCAAATTATCCCCTGACCACTGCAGACCTCACTGATCTCTTCTGCTGAACTTCTGAACTAATATTTAACAGGTGTCCTGCAGCTTGGTACTTCATTACGTTAAGCTTTTATGGAACTTTTCACTCTGTTTTCTCCCAGGTTTGCCTCTTCAACTGGGCTAAGTTTCTTGAGAACCATGCCTTCTACTACTGTAGTTTGCCTCCGGTACTGCCAGCAGTGCCTAGCATTGTGCCACACAGCTAGTGTCTCTCAACCTTCTTTGTCTGAAGAATATTGGTGGCAGTTGCTTGGAATTTTGAGTGCCAAACAAGAGGCACCTTGGTCTCTTCTCACAGTAAGTAACTTTTAACTCTAGGACATGTAATTCAAAGTCCAAAGTAAACAGATGACATGTTTTGAGCTGAAAGGGTTTATGAGATTTGACAAATTGTTCAGTAGTATTAAACCCTCAAATCTCTACCGTGGAACATATAAATCAGTGCTTCTCAATAATAGTTGCACATTAGGATCACCTGGGTAACGCTTTTAAACATACAGATGCCAGGGTCTCACCGCCAGAGATTCTGACTTAATTAATTATTTTATTTTATTTTATTTTTGAGATGGAATTTCGCTCTGTTGCCCAGGCTGGAGTGCAATGGCGTGATCTTGACTCACTGCAACCTCCACCTCCCGGGTTCAAGTGATTCTCCTGCCTCAGCCTCCCGAGTAGCTGGGAATACAGGTGCCCACCACCACGCCCAGCTAATGACTTAATTAATACAAGGTGTGTCCTGAATGGCAGCAGTTTTAAGAGGGCGCCAGATGATTCTAATGTACAGCCAGGGTTGAGACCCAGTGCTGTAGATCACTGTGTTGATGTTCTAGGGCAGGGTTCTTAAACTCCGGTGTCCATAAGTATCACCTGTGTTTTATACAAAAATGATGATTTCTGAGCCCCACTACCAGAGAGTCTAAAGGCCTGGGTGGGACCCAGGGGACTGTATTTTTAGAAAAACAGTCAGGTGATACAGATATATGTGGTATGTGGGCCACACTTTGAGAAACTCTGTTCTAAATGCACTTATACTTAGAAAATTTTATAATCTATTTTTTACTTGCTTAAGCAATTATGGTTGTCTGCCCTACAGAAAGGAAAAAAACAAGATTTGTTTAGATTAAACTGATGATTCAAACTGAAGGACAATGCTAATTTCCAATGTGCTAGAAATGAGTATAAGTATGGAAAAGAAAAAAATACATTTTAAATGACAGAAACATTTTCATGAAAATCAAGTGAGCATAAATTTTGCAAATTATCCAAATTTAGGAGGGCAAGCTAGTCCACCGATTCAGATTCAAATGCATGAAGATTTCTAATTATCTGGAACAGGAACAGTGGGCCCAAACCAGTGAGATGAAAGTGAACAGGGATAAACATAAAATCTAGTATTAGGAGCTTTAAAAAAAAATCTATCTCACAAATACAAGATGGAAGAGACCATATTAGCAAAAACTCATGGGAAAAAGATCTGCAGGATTATGTTACTGACAAATTATGAATCAACAGTGTGACTTTTTTTTTTTTTTTTTAATGAAAGTGAGCTGGGCATGGTGGCTCACGTTTACAGTCTCCAGCACTTTGGGAGTCCTCAAGGACAGGAGTTCAAGACCAGTCTGTCCAATATGGCGAATCCCCAACTCTATTAAAAACACAAAAATTCTCCAGGCGTGGTGGCGCACACCTGTAATCCCAGCCACTCAGGTGGCTGAGACACGAGAATAGCTTGAACACAGGAGGCAGAGGTTGCAGTGAGCCGGGACTGTGCCACTGCACTCCATGCTGGGCAACAGAGTGAGACTCTGTCTCAAAAAAAAAAAAAAAAGTGAAAAGTACAAGCTTGGGCCACTTAGGTAGAAAGCTCAAGCAAGCAAGTCAAGGGAGATGATATCCTAATGGACTCTGCCATGGAGTTATATATCCAGTTCTGGGTTCCACAGTTACAGAAGGACATTAACATACCAGAGAGCCTCCAGGATAGAGAGACCAGAATTGGGGAGGCTCTGGAAAATCTTCCCATGGGGACATGCTCAGGCTGGAGAACAGAATCTGTCTTAGCAGGGTAGCTAAGGTAGGTCTTCAAACCTTTCTTCTTCAAACCTTCTTCCTTCTGCCCTCTGTACAATGAACACAGGGTAGAGTGAAGAAGATATTTTCTAGAGCTCTGGAGAGCAAAGTAAAAAGGATAGTTTGTCATTAAAAGGAGCCAGGGTTCAGTTTAGTAGGAAGGGAGAGTTTTTAACAATGAAATCTTAAAAAGTAGTAACTCATAATTATTCGTTCTGAGACACCGGAAGTGTGGTTTAAAGAGAAGCTGAATTGAGCATTTGTCCAGAAAATATGAGTTTCAGTATCAGAAGACAAGTTAGATACGATGGCCTCTAAACACTCTACCAACTTGAATTCCACAGCTTTCTGAAATTTCTTGTGCCTCAGTAGTAGTTAGAGAAGAAAGTTTACAGTAAATTAAAATACATGGCTGGGCGCAGTGGCTCACGCTTCTAATCCCAGCACTTTGGGAGGTCGAGGTGGGAGGATCACCTGAGGCCAGGAGTTCGAAACTATCCTGGCCAACATGGTGAAACCCCATCTCTACTAAAAATACAAAACTTAGCCGGGCATGGTGGCACACACCTGTAATCCCAGCTACTCAGGAGGCTGAAGCAGGAGAATCACTTGAACCCGGGAGGCAGAGGCTGCAGTGAGCCAAGTTCACACCATTGCACTCCAGCCTGGGCAACAAGAACAAAATTCCATCTCAAAAAAAAAAAAAGAAAGAAAGAAAAAAAGGCCGGGTGCGGTGGCTCATGCCTGTAATCCCAGCACTTTGGGAGGCCAAGGTGGGCGGATCACGAGGTCAGGAGGTTGAGACCGTCCTGGCTACTATGGTGAAACCCTGTCTCTACTAAAAATACAAAAAATTAGCTGGGCGTAGTGGCGGGTGCCTGTAGTCCCAGCTACTAGGGAGGCTGAGGCGGGAGAATGGCGTGAACCCGGGAGGCGGAGCTTGCAGTGAGCTGAGATGGCGCCACTGCACTCCAGCCTGGGTGACAGAGCGAGACTCCATCTCAAAAAAAAAAAAAAAAAGAAAATACAAAAGGCATTCAACAGTGATATTATGAAAGGAAAGGCACATTCAATGCCATCAAACTTTCTTTCACAAATACTTCAGAAGAAAGCCTTTGACTTTTTGTTAATTACAAAACAGCTAGTGGAGAGAGACCCCTTACCCCCATTCCAGAGTTACTTGATCTGATAGGCAGAACAATGTGCCCCTGACAAAGGGGTCCATATCCTAATCCTCAGGAAAATGGGGAATTGGGGTGTCAGATGGAATTAAGTTTGCTATCATCTGACTTTAAAGTAGGGAGCTTATACAAGGTTATCCAGTGGGCCCAATGTAGTCACAAGAGTGCTTCTAAGTGAAAGAAGGAGGCAGCAGAGTCAGTCAAAGACAGAGATGTGACAATGGAAGCAGAGGTCACAGTGATACCACGTGAGAAAGACTCAACCAGCCATTGTTCCCTTTGATGTTGGAGGAAGGGGCCATGAGACAAGGAATTTAGGCAGCCTACATAAAGTAGAGAAGGCAAGGAAACAGATTCTCCCCTAGAGCCTCCAGAAACCTGTAAGTCTGGACAATGATTTTGGGGCAGTTTGAGGCCCTGGGTCCATTTTATATCCCTTCTGCATCCTCCCCTCCCTTCTACAACTCAAGTTTCAGGGAGCATACCTACAACTGTCTTCACTCGATAACTTCCTTCCAACTCAGCAGTTGCTCAAGTACTCAGACCTTTATTTATTTATTTTTATTTTTATTTATTTATTTATTTTTTGAGACAGAGTTTCACTCTGTCACCCAGGCTGGAGTGCAGTGGTGCGATCTTGGCTCACTACAACCTCCACCTCCTGGCTTCAAGCGATTCTCCTGCCTCAGCCTCCTAAGTAGCTGGGCTTACAGGCGCACGCCACCACATCCAGCTAATTTGCATATTTTTAGTAGAGATAGGGTTTCACCATGTTGGCCAGGCTGGTCTCGAGCCCTGGACTTCAAGTGATCTGCCCACCTCGGCCTTCCAATATTGTTGGGATTACAGGCATGAGCCACCACACCCAGCCCTCATCCCTTTAATGTATGGTACAGGTAGGATTTTTTTTTCATACTTCCAACATTTTGCTTTGTGATCACGTGTCTAGCCATTTATTCCTTTAATCAATCAGCTTGGCTCCTCTCCATCCACGTTGGCTTTCTGGCTGTTCTTCAGGTACACTCCCACTTCCGGGGACTTGACACTGGCTGCTCTGCCTGGGACTTTCTTCTCTCAGGTATCCCGATGGGTAACTCTCTCATTTCCTTGAAGTCTTTGCTTAACTGTCACTTTCTCAATGAAGCCTATCCTGACTACGCTATTTAACACTGAGACCCCCCTTCCACCCATGTCACCCCACCAACACACTTTCAAACTCCCTTTTCCTGTCCATTTTTTCATAGCACTTATCTCTTTCTAACACAAAATAGAATTTAATTACTAATGTCGTGCACTTACTATCTGTCTTCTCCCATTAAAATATTAATGCCACAAAGTGAGGGGATTGGTGTGTTTTCTGTTCACTGATATATCCCTTAGCACTAAGAACAGTGCCTGGTACATAGTAGATACTCAGTAAATACTGCTGTCAAATTAATGAATTTATTGTCTTCGTGGTGCCTATTACTAGGCCAGATCCTGGAGTAGGGCTATAAGAGAATAAGACATTTTGTGACTTAGAATCTGCCTCTCCAAATATTATACACCTATTTGATTTCATTTTGGCTGGCTAGGCTGCAAACATTTGGAGGCAGGTATACTGCCTTTGACTTGCCTCAACTCCCCTGATGCTCACTCAGTCCCTTTCCTCCCCACCCCACGCCTGGTGCCCCAACCGTAATTGCTATTCTACTGGCACCCATTCTTTCCAAGTTTCTCTTCTCTCTTCAGTGGGGAGGAATAAGTAGGAAGGGGGTAAAATCACTCTTTTCACTAAATCTAGGTACTTACCAATATATATGATGTTGGAACGCTTCAGAAAAACACAAATGATTCTTAGAACAATAATTTGAGATTTTTATTTTTACAACATAAACGTGTAGGAAAACCTCAAACAACTCTAAAACTTAAAAAAGAAAAAAAAAGTTCAGGTGTGTTTTTGCCTTAAACCAATTCCAATAAATGAGAACTCAAACTTATAAAAATAGACTGGATCTGGGAGCAGCTTTTCACATTTCAAAGGATGCCTCACTTCATATAAAGAATTTACTACATGTTTTTGTTGTTGTTGTTGTTGTTGTTGTTGTTTTGTTTTGTTTTTTCTGAGACAGAGTCTCAATCTGCCACCCAGGCTGGAGTGCAGTGGCGCAATCTCAGCTCACTGCAACCTCTGCCTCCCAGGTTCAAGCGATTCTCCTGCCTCAGCCTCCTGAGTAGCTGGGACTACAGGCATGTGCCACCACGCCTGGCTAATTTTTTTGTACTTTTAGTAGAGATGGGGTTTCACCATGTTGGTTAGGCTGATTTTGAACTCCTGACCTCAAATGATCCACCCGCCTCGGCCTCCCAAAGTGCTGGGATTACAGGCGTGAGCCACTGCGTCCAGACAGTTATTTTAAATAGTTCGTTCAATTGAATAAAAAATTGAACCCATATGTCCTACAATGGAGAAACTGAGATTAAATGATCAACGTTCAATTCATACAATGGACTAGTAAACAGTCATTAAAAGTTATGTTCTTAATAAAATGGGAAAATGCTAATATTGTAATGGGGGAGAAAGTTGAAAACAAAATTGTATAATTACAATTATTTTTAAAAATCCATAATATTATATACCTTAAATTGGTATATTGGGCTATTAAAAAAAGGAAAAACAAACAAAATCCATAATAAGAATACTGGAAGGAAAGACACCAAATTATTAACAGATTGTTTCTGAGTGTAAAGATTGTAAATAATTTCCTTTTATTCTTTTGAATTGTCTGTCTACATTTTCTATAATGGGAGTGTATTATTTTTATTGTAAAGATTAATATATGGCCAGGCCCGGTAGCTCATGCCTGTAATCCCAGCACTTTGGAGGCCAAGGTGGGGAAGATCATTTGAGGTCAGGAGTTGGAGACCAGCCTGGCCAACATGGTGAAAACCCATCTCTACTGAAAATAACCAGGTGTGGTGGTGCACCTGTAATCCCAGCTACTCCGGAGGCTGAGGCAGGAGAATCGCTCGAACCCAGGAGGCAGAGGTTGCAGTGAGCCGAGATCGCACCACTGCACTCCAACCTGGGTGACTGAGTGAGACTCTGTCTCGAAACAAAATAAAATAAAATTTTAAAAAAGATTAAAGTAAACTTTAAAAACAAAATCCAGGTTTGATTTTTTAAAATTTGATTTGCACAAAACTTTCCAGAATTGTCACTATTGAGGTGACTATTGAGTTGTCACTATTGAGGGAGAAAAAATTCCAGGACAACTGTTTATCAAGTTTTTAATCTAATCACTCATTTGCTTAAGAACGAATCTATAAGATCTATTATACAACATGGTAACTACAGTTCATTACAATATGTTGTGGAATGAAAATTGCTAAGTAGCTAGGCGCGGTGGCTCACGCCTGCAATCCCAGCACTTTGGGAGGCCAAGGCAGTAGGATCGCATGAACCCAGGAGTTCAAGACCAGTGTGGGAAACATAGCAAAACCCCGTCTCTACAAAAAAAATGCACAAAATAGCTGGACGTGTTGGTGCATACCTGTGGTCCCACTGCTCGGGAACCAAGGTAGAAGAGTGAGAAAAACTGATGGTCCTTTTAAGAAAATGTGTGGCAGTTCCTTCTGTGGGAAATGAGGGAGGAGCCTCATGTCAAGTGGTTATTTAAAACCCATATCTTGTCATTTGTGGGCTTGAAATGAATTTGGCTAAATGAATTGACTAAATTGAATTTTTAGAAATCAAATCTTGATCTTCATTTTTAAAGGTTTAAAATGTATTTGTTCTTTGTATTGAATGGAGGAATTCCGTTTAAATGTTCAAAACTGGTAGGTAGGACTGTACAAGAAAAGATGAAGGCGGTGATGACAAACCAATAAATTCAAGGAGGCCGTTTGGAGAAATCGCTGAGTCAAGAGTACGGCAATCACGTGAAGATTTTAATAAAAACGAAACTAATCAGACGCGTTTAGACTTCCCTTCCCTCTCCACCCACTTTTGGTCTTGTTAAAGGGAAGAGGAGGGTCGGTTTTAATCAATCCTTCGGTTTCCCTACTGGGCGGAGCACTGAGAAGGTGGCGGAAGGAGGGGCAACTGGGCCCGGCTGGCGCGCCTTCAGGCACGTGGGTCTGGGTTGCGGACCAGGAACACAGCGATCAGGGCGAAACATTGGCCTTTTGTGTCTCTTGCGTTTGGTACGTTTTGGGGGCCGGCTGCAGCTGTGAAAGGCCGCACTCGCTGCCAGCGGTCAAGGCGACCTTGTTCAGCAAAGCCACTATTGTACTTTGAGCTAGTGACTCCGGCGGCTTGGCAGCTTTCTAGGCATTCCTCCAGGACCTTTCTCCCCCTGGAGGCCTCAGCTTTAAATGCAGTTTGTTTTTACAGTTGGATACAGCTCTATTCTTGGCTTTGGCGCCAGGAGTAGCTTGCAATCCTTGCCAGTTAATTGTGGCCTCTGCGCGAAAAGAACGATGAAGTGCTGCCCTTTTATGTCTAAAGGTGGCGCTTCGGACTTCGCTGGCAGTAGCTGGCAGTAGGTGCTTTGAAGTCTTTCTTCAGCGAACCTACTCATCTGGTGGCCTTTATGCGAGCATGAACCTGCACCAAAGCCACTAGGCTTAGTACCTGTCCTGGGTTGGCATGTCTGTGGGTGCCGCTGTAGCTATAAATGACTTTGATTGGCATAAACACAATTGTTTCACATGTGCACTTGTCAAAATTTAATTAATTGGACACTTTATTTCTGCTAGCGAAGTTTCCTAAAAACAAATAAATAGTACACTTTAAATATATGTAGTTTATTATATGTCACTGATGCCTCAATAAAGTTGTTTAAAAGAAGCACATTCAGAAGATTAATACATGATAACTAAGATTAAGTAACTGATAAAAATACAAAATGTGTTTCTTTTATCTACATCACCGAGTAGAGAAAAAAAATCACATCTATTGCCCAATTTCGTAATTTAACTGCCATTTATTTTAAAGCCTTTAATTTCTGTAAATATAGGCACGTGGTTTTACTTGCAAAGTTTTCCTGAGGATGTTTAGTTAATATTTGATTTACTATTGCCCTGACACCGAAGAAAACACAAAGCCACTATTCTTCAAAAAAGAAAAGAAAAAAAGAAAGAAAACAAGTGATCATAGCCCCGTAGGAGATAGCCCGGCACAGGGGTCAGGAACCCTGGCTAAGGGGTCAGGCCAACGTCGGTCTGAACGGAAACTGCCATATACCAGCTGTGTGAGCTAAGTTGAATTCCTCACTTTCTCTGAGCCTCGGCTTTCTCACAGAGTTCCTGAGTGAATCAGGGTCAGCAAGGGAGGAGTAGAAGGAGAGTAATTTGGGGGGAACCTCAACTCTACGTGGGCCTCAAATATGGGCTGCTGTCTCATAATAAATTTGTGTGGAATTACTGGGAGAATGATTCTCACAAAAGTCGATCCTAAGTGAAATCCGTCAGCCCTGCTACTAGAAGGTAAGAGAATAGGAGGTCGGTGAGTGTCCTTAAAATCTGAAAGTTTCAGCTGAGTGTGGTGGCTCATGCCTGTAATCTCAGCACTTTGGGAGGCCGAGGCAGATGGATCACCTGAGGTCAGGAGTTCGAGACCAGCCTGGCCAACATGGTGAAACCTCGTCTCTACTAATAATACACAAAGTAGCCAGGCATGGTGGTGCATGCCTGTCATCCCAGCTACTCAGGAGGCTGAGGCAGGAGAATCACTTGAACCTGGGAGGCAGAGGTTGCAGTGAGCCAAGATCACACCATTGCACTCCAGCCTTGGCAACAAGAGTGAAACTCCGTCTCAAAAAAAAAAAAAAAAAAAATAGAAAGTTTCCCAGGCCTGGAGGACTTTTAATGATTAAATGAGATAATAATGAATGTGAAGGCCCAGAACGCTACCTGATACATACTACTGTGTAATCAATGGTATTTATTTCTATTTTGTCATTATCATCAGTGGTGTAATCACCACCAATGGCACTTATTTTTTTTTTATTCTCATTGGTGATCGAACCACCTACCTGATAGTATTATTGTGAGCAGAGCATTAATGAACAAAAGCAAGTAGAGTTCCTAGCAGAGAGCCTGAGACATAAGGCTAGTCGGTATTCATTTTCTTCCCCCTTCCCTCTCCCTTACTTTGAAGCATTCAGCTCAGATGCAGCCTACATCATGAAGTTTTCCCTGCTTCACATTTCCCAAGTCAACACATGTGGCCTTTCCTGTGGCTACGGGGTTGGATGGGAGAAGCGTCATTGCCAAGTGCAGGCTAGTGTGGGAGACCTGAGTTGGCTCAGCTGGCACTGAGCTGCAGGAAGGCATCTAAGCTTGCACCGACGTGTTGCCCTGGACTTTGTGCACTTCCGTGGTAGTTGCTATAAGGGAAGGAAGTGGGGTGTCACAGGTTGGGTTTTGCCAAAATAGGCTGAGGTAGAATTTGAAGTGAAAGATGTGTATTTAGAAATCAATACCTGTGAAAGGAAGGGGTGGGAGGCAGGATGCATCCCAACAACGGTGATGCCAGCCCAACACAGCCTTGACCAACCCCACAGGAATGTCTGGAGTGACTATTGCCATCAGTGTCCCACAATGGGCTGATAAGGCTGGGCCTTCATCCCCCTCTCTCTATCACTGGACGCAGGCTGCCCTGGAGAGAGCATGACCTCATGACCTGAAGTGGAGGCAGACCCTGCAGTCGCTGACAGCTAATTCTTTTTCATTTTCATTTTTCGAGACGGAGTCTTGCTCTGTTGCCCAGGCTGGAGTGCAGTGGCATGATCTTGGCTCACTGCAACCTCCACCTTCTGGGTTCAAGTGATTCTTCTGCCTCAGCCTCCCGAGTAGCTGGGGCTACAGGCGCATGCTACCACACTCAGCTAGTTTTTGTATTTTTAGTAGAGACGGGTTCACCATATTGGCCAGGCTGGTCTTGAACTCCTGACCTTTTGTTCCGCCCGCCTCGGCCTCCCAAAGTGCTGGGATTACAGGCATGAGCCACCGCACCCGGCCTGATTCTGAGCATACTCTTCACAGCTGAGCAGCAAGTCCTTTTTTGCAGGGGGATCAGAATGGCATATTCCCTGTGTCCGCCACAACGGGGGCAAACCAACAGTATAGTAACACATGGCAAACCGTTGAATGTCCCGAACAGTGAATTGCAACTATATCTCAACATGTAAGGAAGAGGACTAGCAGCCATCTCTTGACACAGGATAGTAGGAAAAGTGAGATGAAATGTCTGTGTACCAGACAACTGTACATGTGCGGTAAGAGCAGCTGCCACAGAGAAAAGAGTGAGTGCAGGAAGAGAAGGGAGGCAGGCCTGGGACCCAAGCCTTGAAGCACTCCTAACAGTTAGACTTGGGTAGAGGAGGAGGAACATCAGAGTAAGGATGAAACCCCCCCAGAAGCGAAAAGAGGGAAGAACATTTTAAGGAGGATGTGTAATCAACTGGGTCAAAAGTTCATCATCCACATCATCATCATCATGATATTACTATTCTAGGATGTTGGTTAAGACCACGTGGAGTTATTAAATGGGACTCAGTTTAAGAAATAATAGGCTGGGCCTGGCAGCTCACACCTGTAATCTCAGTACTTTGGGAAGCCGAGGTGGGAGGATCACTTGGGCCCAGGATTTCGAGACCATACAATGAGACCCCATCTCTACAAAAAATAAAATAAAAACTAGCCAGGCATGGTAGCATGTGCCTATCTATAGTCCCGGCTACTGGGGAGGCTGAGGTTAGAGGATGGCTTGAGCCTGGGAAGTTGAGGCTGCAGTGAGCCGTGGTTGCACCACTGCATTCAAGCCAGAGTGACAGAGTACGACCTTTTCTCAAACAAACAAACAAACAAAAAGAAATGATAATCTAGTGAGAAGTAGTATAACCAGGATGACTCTACATTCTCATTTTGCCTGGGACAGTCTCAGTTTATATCCATTGTCCCACATCTCATCCAATTTAGCATTTGTCTCACATGTTTTTCATTTTTGAACTAAATATTACTCTCAATAGTTCCACTAAAATAATTTGGTTTGAGTTTAGTAGATCTCCACTTTGAACTTCCAGTTTCTACAGAGTTCTCATTTTGGCTCTCACCTGATTAAATCTGAAAAACAACCACTGATAATCTCTCTTTTCCTTACCCTTTCCAGAAATAACATAACTAACCTCCCCATCAAGGAAAGCAGGCGGAGGAACTCATTGATAAAAGGAAATATGCCCAGACATCAGCAGTTAGGGACTGATAACAACCTCAGATCTCATGTAGTGGTGGAGGAAGTATCTGACACTGTTCAGCTGCCTGCCACTTGGAGTACTGGCCAGTGGTTCTTTGGCCTGTGAGTTCCATGTGTGTTTCAGAAGCCATCAGGTCAGACTTGGAACCAACCCAAATGCCCATCAATGATAGACTGGATAAAGAAAATGTGGCACATATACACCATGGAATACTATGCAGCCATAAACAAGAATAACATCATGTCCTTTGCAGGGACATGGATGAAGCTGGAAGCCATCATCCTCAGCAAACTAACACAGGAACAGAAAACCAAGCACCGCATGTTCTCACTCATAAGTATGAGTTGAACAATGAGAACACATGGACACAGGGAGGGGAACATCACACACCGGGGCCTGTTGAGGGGTTGGGGGGAAAGGGGAGGGAGAGCATTAGGACAAATACCTAATGCATGCGGGACTTAAAACCTAGATGATGGGTTGATAAGTGCAACAAACCACCATGGCACATGTATACCTATGTAACAAACCTGCACGTTCAGCACATGTATCCCAGAACTTAAAGTTAAAAAAAGAAAAGAAAAGAAAAGAAGCCATCAGGTCGCCAGTTAGCAGGGTCAATGGGAAATGTGGGCAATTATAGGTAAGGTGTACCTGTATAGACATAGGAAATAGAGGCTGAGCATACCAGCCACAGAAGATATAGAGAGCAGTCTGAAAATTCTCACAACAGTGGTTGTATAATTTACGCATGGTGTAAATATACAACTATGTATTGATTGATAATGCTTTTTTATTTTGTTATAAACCTTCTTAGCAGTAATGAGCTCAAATAAATGAAAGTACATGTTTACTGAAAATTTAGGTACTGGCGGGCATGGTGGCTCATGCCTGTAATCCCAGCACTTTGGGAAGTTGAAGCTGGAGTTTCGCTTGCACTCAGGAGTTTGAGGCTGCAGTAAGCTATGATTGCACCACTGCACTCCAGCCTGGGCAACAGAGCAAGACTCCATCTCTAAAAAAAAGCAGGTACTAAATTTGGTGATGTACATGTAACTTGCACAAAATGTCTATTGATGTTTACCACTGTGAGGGCCACAGTGATATAACTGACCACACAAAACCCAGAAGGCAATGGTCTGTTGAGGAAGCATCAGCATCTACCTCATAAGGCAGTAGTTATTTTAAGAATGTGCTTAAGGACCACAGGTTTACATATAACTCTATTCAACGTGATTCTCATCTAGATCAAATGACTGTTCTTCTAAATTCATTTTGCTCAATTTTTATTCCAACTTTCCTTGTGCACATACAAAAAGTGAAGTTGTAGCTATTAAGGTGTTGGCTGCATTAGCCAAACAGTTTAATGATGCCGACCTTATATCGGTGTCCTCAGGTGCTTCAAATAGAAGTTAAATTAATAGTGATACATTTATTTCATCCAATGTATGAAATCAAAATAACAATTTTGGAACTGATTTCTGTTGAAGAGAAGACATCTGACAGCATCATAAACGCTGTTGTAATATAAACAAGATAAAATCCTAAGCCCCCTGCCGAATGAACAGACCACTTCTTGGCCAAGAGGACCCCAGAAAAACCTTAAAACTGAGTTCCTGGCCATGATGGGATGATAGGTCAGACACGTCTTGTTATACCCTCTCCCTTATATGGTTTTGACACAACCAACCAACACTAATGTTAAAATAGAAACTGTAAGACTGACACAATACCCTCTTTGTGGCAATAAGATATGAAATTATAAACAGGACCTAAGGCCATGCCAGGCAAGGGTTAAGGAGGAAGGGTTGGGGTAGGAGCTTTATGCTAAAGAGGTTGGCTAAAGTTATATGTACGCAACAGCTTACAGGAGGAGTTATGAATATTCATGAAGGTGGTCTTGACGCATGCATATTGAACAAACATGCATATACGACTATGCTCTAACTGTCTCAAGGTTTTTCTTTTTCTCTAGCAGCTAAACAAGCACTGGTCTTGAGATAATATTAAAACAATTACAACTCATCTAGCTCACAGACCCTGACTAACTGAACCTCTGTTCCCCCAGCCGTAATTACATCTTTAATTGGACAACAGACTGATTTTAGCAACTTTCTCCTGATAAGATCTCCCACCATGGACTGGTTCTGGCCGGTTTACAGAGGCTGTGCACTTGCATGCTTACATGTCCTGAAAAGATCTTCTGTGTATAGGACCTAATTGTAATACATTTAAATGTTAAGTCTCAGCCCAGCGTGGTGGCTCACTCCTGTAATCCCAGCACTTTGGGAGGCCAAGGCGGGCAGATTACTTGAGGTCAGGAGTTCAAGACCAGCCTGGCCAACATGGTGAAACCCTGTTTCTACTAAAAATACAAAACTTAGCCAGGCATGGTGACAGATGTCTGTAATCCCAGCTACTTCGGAGGCTGAGGCAGGAGAATCACTTGAACCCAGGAGGCGGAGGTTGCAGTGAGCTGAGATTGCACCACTGCACTCCAGCCTGGGTGACAGAGCAAGACTCTGTCTCAAAATAAAATAAAATAAAATAAAATAAATGTTAAGTCTCCACCCCAAAGTGAAAATTGGTCATATATGCATGTTTGTTCAATATGCATGCATCAAGACCACCTTCATGAATATTCATAGCTCCTCCTGTAACCTGTTGAATACATATACTTTGCCAACCTCTTTTTTTTTTTTTTTTTTTGAGACCGAGTCTCGCTCTATCACCCAGGCTGGAGTGCAGTGACGCGATCTCGGCTCACTGCAGGCTCCGCCCCCCGGGGTTCATGCCATTCTCCTGCCTCAGCCTCCCGAGTATAGCTGGGACTACAGGCGCCCGCCACCATGCCCTGCTAATTTTTTGTATTTTTAGTAGAGATGAGGCTTCACCGTGTTAGCCAGGATGGTCTCGATCTCCTGACCTTGTGATCCGCCTGCCTCGGCCTCCCAAAGTGCTGGGATTACAGGCGTGATACTTTGTCAACCTCTTTAGCATAAAGCTCCTACCCCAACCCTTCCTCCTTCCAAGTACTACCTGTCTCTGGTCTTGGCTGGAGGCTGTGTTTTCCAGCCTGTGGGATGGCCATTTTGCAGGCTGTAACTTTTTATAAGAAATAAAGTCTCCTCTCCTTCTCTAAATGTATAAATTGTGTGTTTTCTAAAGATAACAGTAAGTTCAGTAACAAAGTTTAACGCTGAATATAAAATGACTTGGGTTTTTTTCAGGGATAATAGGAACACTAATTTTAACAGAGAAAGAATGTGTTAAAAATAATGTTCTTAATTAAGAAACTTATGGAGCAAAAATATCCTTGGGATTGGTTATAGTGCACATGTAATTGATAATTGCATCCATGCATCCAAACAAGCTGTAACACTATATCTATCAAATAGATAGATATTCTATTTGCTATGCTCATGCACATGCAATCCCAGCAATTTGGGAGGCTGAGACAGGAGGATTGCTTGAGCCTAAGAGTTCGAGACGAGGCTGAGCATATAGTGAGACCCCCATCACTACAGAAAATTAAAAAATTAGCTGGGCATAGTGGCATGTGCCTGTTGTCCCAGATACTCATGCGTCTGAGGTAGCAGGATTGCTCGAGCCCGGGAGGTTGAGGCTGCAAGGAGTTGTTGTCATTGTGCCACTGCACTGTGGCCTGGAAGACAGAGTAAGACTCTGCTTTAATTTTTTTTTTTTTTTTTTTTTTTTTTTGCTGGGCTCGGTGGCTCACGCTTGTAATCCCAGCACTTTGGGAGGCTGAGGCGGGCGGATTACCTGAGCTCAGGAGTTCAAGACCAGCCTGGCCAACTTGGTGGAACCCCATCTCTACCAAAAATATAAAAATTAGTCAGGCCTGGTGGCGTGTGCCTGTAGTCCCAGCTACTCGAACCTGGGAGGCGGAGATTGCAGTGAGCCAAGATGGCTCCACTGCACTTCAGCCTGGGCAACAGAGCAAGACTCCATCTCAGAAAAAAAAAAGAGAAAATGTGAAGAAAGTTTTTGAAGGGCTCCTTTGATAGTGCACCTAAGTGTCCTAAAATAGGTACTGAATTTTTTTTTTTTTACAAAGATTGGGTTATTTTGTTGAACATCAGTAGGTAATATTTAATCAAAATATTAAACAAATAGAGCACCTAAAAATCTTTGGCTTTTGAAGCTTTTAGCAAATTGCAGTTATTGAAAACAAAGCCTGAAAAACAGAAAGGCATCAAAATGTAACCCTAAAAAAAGGACTGAAACAAACTAGAGCTGTAATGGTGAACAATGAACAAATAGGATTTAACTGTGAAATTCTATAATTGTGCTTTGGAATATGTTGACTTGAGAGAAAGCACTTGACGTGTTGATAGTGCTCTTATTTTTTTAGTTGAATACATTTAATTTGATAATATTTTAATTAGACAGATTTCTATTCTGTACCTGAATGGAATGAAATTGAGAAGGCCTATGATTTTCAGCATCCACATTTGGCAAAATTTTCAAAAGAAACATAGAGACAACTTTTTACATGAGTTTTGTCTTGTGAAAATATTCGTTGAAGAATGACGTTTTGATTAGAGAGTTTCTGTAAGAATATTTGAAATGAAATAATTACCCATTTTAATTTTTTAAAGTGTAATTGTGAGTCTGGGGTAGGTAGCTCACACCCATAATCCCAGCACTCTGGGATACAAAGGTGTGAGGATCAATTGAGGCCAGGAATTTGAGACCAGCCTGGGCAACATAAAGAAATCCTGTCTCTACAGCAACAACAACAACATATTATAAAACAAAAGTAGGCAGGCATGGTGGCACACAGCTGTAGTTCTAGCTACTCAGGAGGCTGAGGCGTGAAGATTGCTTGAGCACAGGAGTTCGAGGTTGCTATGAGCCATGATTACACCACTGCACTTCAGCCTGGGGGACAAAACAACACTCCATCTGAAAAAAAAAAAAGTAATTGTGACTAAGCATGCTATAGTTAAGATGTATACCATTTATTGAACTTGAGGTGCAGGGTACTCACCTCAATACTATCTCAGCACCTGCAGACATAGTATTTTCTAAATTAAAAATAGTATGGTTTACAGATATGAGATAATTGAAGGTATGAACAATTTCAAATTTCTTAGCCATAAAATGCAAATTTTTCTCTTTTATAAAGACAAGTTTTCACTATGTTGCTCAGGCTGGTCTCAAACTCCTGGGCTCAGGTGATCAGCCCTCCTGGGCCTCCCAAAGTTTTGGGATTACAGGCATGAGCCACCTCACCCAGCCTAAAATGCAAGTTTAAAAATGATTGCGGACCATTTTATTTTAAAGTTTAAAACTATCAAAATCAGCCGAGCATGGTAGCTTATACCTGTAATCCCAGCACTTTAGGAGGTGGAGACAGGCGGATCACTTGAGGCCAGGAGTTTGAGACCAGCCTAGCTAATATGGTGAAACCCTGTCTTTATTAAAAATACAAAAATTAGCCAGGTGTGGTGGCGTGCGCCTGTAATCCCAGCTACTCGGAAGGCTGAGGAAGGAGAACTGCTCAAACAGGAGAGGCGGAGGTTGTTGTGAGCGGAGATCGCACCACTGCACTTTAGTCTGGGTGACAGAGCAAGACTCTGTTTCCAAAAAATACAATAAAATAAAAATAACAAAATCATATTGAAACAATACCTTCTTCACAAAAATACCAGTGATCCATTATAAGACAGGACTAAGAAACTGATTAGACTATGTGAACATGTACCAATAATAATTACTCCGGCTATTTGAAAATTTTCAGATAATCAATATAAATAACATTTTGCTTTAATATACACAGATGAATGTTATCTTTGTTTTTTAAATAAAGCATTTTACTTTTGACAACGGTTTTTGCACACTAATATAATAAAATCAATTTTTGGTACAAAATAAATATTTCAGAAAAGTTATATAGTTGGTTTCAGAGCTCTCCACTCAAAAGTGCATCAACTTGGACAAGAAGTTATGTGGTCACCTTAACTATAGCATACTTACCATATTAGCTTTTGCAGCAGACAGCCTGGATTTTAATCCCAGTTCTAACACTTAGTAGTTTTGTGACTTTAAGCTATTCAATCACTCTCATACTAAGTTTCCTCATCTTTGGTGTTTTTTTTTTTTTTTTTTTTTTTGAGACGGAGTCTCGCTCTGTTGCCCAGGCTGGAGTGCAGTGGTGTGATCTCAGCTCACTGCAACCTCTACCTCCTGGGTTCAAGCAATTATCCTGCCTCAGCCTCCCAAATAGCTGGAATTACAGGTGTGTGCCACCACACCCAGCTAATTTTTTTTTTTTTTTTGTATTTTTAGTAGACACGGGGTTTCACCATGTTGGCCAGGCTGGTTTTGAACTCCTAACCTCCAGTGATCTGCCTGTCTCGGCCTCCCAAAGCGCTAGGATTGAAGGAGTGAGCCACTGCACCCGGTCATAATTTTTGTATTTTTAGTAGAGACGGGGTTTCACCATGCTGGCCAGGCTGGTTTCCAACTCCTGACCTCAGGCGATTGGCCTGCCTTGGCCTCAAGTTTCCTCATCTTTAAAATGGTGATGATAATAATATAAATTCTCTCAGTGGTTTGTTGCAAGGATGAAATGAAATAATGTTTATAAGTCACTTGGTACAGTGCCTTGGAATGTTGCGCTCCCAGTAAACATGAACTATTATCATTGCTGTTGTTATTATGATTAAGAGGCTATATTCATGATTATTGTTAGATTTTCCTTACCATTAACTTGGCGTCCTAACAGCACATTAGTTGCCTGGCCTTGTCTTTATCTAGCAAAGGGATCCAGTGATCAGGAAGATTTGCCAAATTAAATGGTGGCATAGACCAGCATTGGCTTGTCTTGTCTTTTTTATTTTTTTCTTCTTTTTTTTTTTTTTGAGACAGAGTCTTGCTCTGTCACCCAGGCTGGAGTGCAGTGGCACAATCTCAGCTCACTGCAACCTCCGCCTCCCAGGTTCAAGCAATTCTCCTGCCTCAGCCTCCTGAGTAGCTGGGATTACAGGTGTGCACCACCACACTTGGCTAATTTTTGTCTTTTTAGTAGAGACGGGGTTTTGCCATGTTGGCCAGACTTAGACCAGCATTTTCAAAATTATTTTTTCTCAGAATCCTGCAAGAATACTACAACATTGCAAGGATACTGCATTATTACAGAATCCTGCAAGGTGCTCTGTCAGCAAAAGATTCTGTTGTCAACTGGTGTTGGGAAACTGTAGACATGTGTTGTAAATTCATAATACGTATTTAGCACTATAAAATCTCTCCAAAGTCCTGCAATAAACACTTTTATTTTGCTTACCCCTCAGTTTCCAAATTTATTTGATAATGTAGCCTCTCCTCCCCTCTCTCTTTTGTATGCGTGTGATGCCTTCAACATAATAGAGAGTATTCTACAAAACATTTTGCAAAATATCGATCTAATATAACATTTTCATTTTAAAAATGAGAGGATCAACTGAGAGAAAGACTTTCCCAAGGCCACACAGTAATAGTGGATATGTAGACCTAGATGCCAGGGCTCCAAATCCTTGTGCTTTTTCTTTTAGGGAAGTCTCTTTGTATGTAATAATCTTTGTGCATGGATACATTAATGTGGGCTTTATATTGATAAGTAGGTGTGTGATACCTTCGACATTTCAAGGACAAGGACATTTTATAACAGCCAGAGGGTTTTTTTTTTTTTTTTTTTTTTTTTTGAGTGGAGTCTGGCTCTGTCACCCAGGCCGGAGTGCAGTGGCGTGATCTCGGCTCACTGCAACCTCCGCCTCCCGGGTTCAAGCGATTCTCCTGCCTCAGTCTCCTGATTAGCTGGGATTACAGGCATGCACTACCACGCCCGGCTAATTTTTGTATTTTTAGTAGAGGTGGGGTTTCACCATGTTGCCCAGGCTGGTCTCGAACTGCTAACCTCAGGTGATCCCCCACCTCGGTCTCCCAAAGTGCTGGGATTACAGGCGTGAGCCACCGCGCCCGGCCGGGTTTTTTTTTAAATTGTGAAACCTACAGTTTTAACAACCTCCACGCTCTCCGGGACTGAAGGTTTCCGCTCATAGCCAGCAGGCAGGGACCACAGACCGCAGTAATGGAAAATGGTCTCTTGAACTGACACCGGATGAATGCCAGAGGGCGCTCTTTCCTAAGCGGTACCAATTTAGAGTCCCTAAGCAGGAAGGCACAAAACCAACAAGTTTCAAGGAGACGGAGGAAGAGAGAAAACACTGTCTCTGGAGGAAGTATAATAATGTTTAAGATATAAAGCCATGGACGAGAAGTTAGAAAAGAAAGGGAGACAGAATAGCACTATATCAATATATAAAACAATTTCGTAATCAACAAAACTAAGATTATAAGCCAGGCGCCGTGGCTCAGGTCCGTAATCCCAGCACTTTAGGAGGCCGAGGCGGGCAGATCGCTTGAAGCTAGGATTTCTAGATCAGCCTGGGCAACATAGCAAAACACCATCTCTACCGAAAATACAAAAATTAGCCAGGCGTGGTGGCGCACGCCTGTAATTCCAGCTACTTGGGAGGTTGAGGTAGGAGAATCGCTTGAACCCAGAAGACAGAGGTTGCAGTAAGCCGAGATCACGCCACTGCACTCCAGCCTGGGCGACAGAGCAAGACTGTCACAAAAACAAACAAGCAAAAGACGAAGATTATAAACAAAAACATGTAAATGCAAAAAAAGTTTTTAATGCATAGGAATGATAAAAAGCCAACATGCAATTATATATATAATTGCATATTATAAATAATTATAATTAAATAATTATGTAATTAATTTATATTATAATTATATAATATATGCACACATACATATAACCTGTACAAATCTATGAAACCACCAAGTCTCCAACAGCCAAAATGTCAACTTCGTATTTAGAGGAAATAATATAGAAATAATTGCTAAGGACCCCATCTCTAAAAAATAAGAGAACAGAAATTCCTGATACTTATTGAGCACATATTATGTATTTGGTAACTTATGTCCACTTTTAACACTTAAGCTTAAGCTTATGAGGTAGTTATTATTAGAATATCGTCCTCATTTTTCTGGTTTTTTTTCAACAGGGTCTTTGTCGCCCAGACAATCTCGAACTCCTGAGCTCAAGCAATCCTCTTGCCTCAGCCTCCTGAGTAGCTAGGACTAGAGGCATGTGCCGCTATGCCTGGCTAATTTAAAAAGGGAAATTTTAGAGGTGGGGGTCTTGCTATGTTGCCCAGCCTGGTCTGGAACCCCTGGCCTCAAGTAATCTTCCCATCTAAGCCTCCCAAAGTGCTGGGATTATAGGTGTGAGCCACCGTGACCAGCCTTGTCCTCATTTCACACATGAGGAAACTGAAGCTTAAAGGCATATGTAACTTGTCCAAGTTCACAGTGCTAAGTGAAAGAGACAGCTGAGACTTCAAGGTCTTCTTCCAGAGGACCCAACTACTCCCTGCTTCTTTCCCATGGCTTATAAAGCCCTGTGTGGCCTGGTTTCCACTTACCTCTCCAGCCTTCCTCATCACTCAGCTCTCTGAAAAGACCATGTTCCCTGCCTAGGACCCACTTCCCTCCATCTTTGCCTGACTCAATGTTACCCGTCCTACTGGCTCAGCTTAGACATCACTTCCTTCAGGAAGTCTTCTCTGTTCTCCAAGCCTGGATTAGGTGACCTTTCTTTGTGGGTGTTCGGCTCCCCATCATCTCACCACACTGTATGGCAACTGTCCACTTCCTGATCTGTGTCCTCTGTTAGACTGGGAATTTGGGGAGAGCAGAGAGTAGATTTGGCTTGCTCCCCACTGCATTTCCCAATCCTGGCACAATGCCTGCCACGTAGTAAGTTCTCTATACACAGAGACTCCTCTGCTTAAAACATTTCTTAGAGAACCACATGTGAAGAGCAAATGTCATCAACTCTGCCACCAGCAGATGGTTATTGGCTGCCATTTTGGTCTCTGGCATTGGTGGTTCATCAGGCATGTTTGCTGTGATTTTGCTTATGTTTGAGTAGTTTAATGAACGTTATTAACATATTATATATCTGATACATATAAAGAGTGTTGAAAGTCCCAGTAAGAAGTGACATAGGGTTACAATATAAATGAAATTAGAGCCGGGTGCAAAGGCTCAGGCCTGTAATCCCAGCAGGTTGGGAAGCCGAGGTGGGAGGATTGCTTAAACCCAGGAGTTTGAGACCAGCCTGAGCAACATAATGAGACCCCATCTCTACGAAACATTTTTTTTAAAATTAGCCGGGCATGGGCCGGGCGGTGGCTCACGGCTATAATCCCAGCACTTTGGGAGGCCGAGGTGGGTGGATCACGAGGTCAGGAGTTCGAGACCAGCCTGGCCAACATAATGAAACCACATCTCCACTAAAAATACAAAAATTAGCCGGTCATGGTGGCACATGCCTGTAGTCCCAGCTACTCGGGAGGCTGAGGCAGGAGAATCGCTTGAAACCAGGAGGTGGAGGTTGCAGTGAGCCGAGATCGTGCCACTACACTCCAGCCTGGGAGACAGAGAGAGACTCTGTCTCAAAAAAAAAAAAAAAAAAATTAGCTGGGCATGATGGCATACGCCTGTTGTCCCAGCTACTTGAGAGGCTGAGGTGGGAGGATCACTTGAGCCCAAGAGGTTGAGGCTGCAGTGAGTCATGTTTACGACACTGCACTCCAGCCTGGGTGACAAAGTGACCCTGTCTCTCAGGAAAAAAAAAAAAAAAAAGGAAAAAAGAAATAAATGAAATTAGAAATAAATAAATATGAAAATTAGCAGGATTGTACAAAATACATATGAACAGTTAAGAGTAGTAAACGTTCTAATGGACAAACACTAAATCATGCAGCGTGTGAAGAAAGCTGCATCAACGAAGGTCAAAAACATCTATAAGAACCATATATTTTGACTGGGGAAATGCGTGTCTTAGGCTAATTTCCAGAGCACTTATTTTTGGCTGGTCAAGGTGGAGTTAGAGGTCTCTGTCCACTTTCCAAAAGTATTTTTTTAATCCTGTATGACACAGGATGGCCCTGAGTTTCTCCAAAATCTATTATTGTGACATCTTGAATTTAAAGATGTTATGGCAAAGAGCTAAAATAATCAATGTTTATGAAGGAGGGTCACATCTAAAAAATAAAACAAAAAACAACACAGAAAATTCCTCCTATTGTGTATCCCCTTACCCCATTTCTATAGGATTTTAGAAGGTATTATCTAGATTTTGCAATGTATTACCATCTCCTGAATGCCTATTACAGGTCAGGCACTTTTATTTTATTTTATTTTATTTATTTAGTTTTGAGACGAAGTTTCTCTCTGTCACCCAAGCTGCAGTGCAGTGGCATGATCTTGGCTCACTGCAACCTCCGCCTTTGGGTTCAAACCATTCTCTTGCCTCAGCCTCCCGAGTAGCTGAGATTACAGGCAAGCGCCACCATGTCCAGCTAATTTTTGTATTTTTAGTAGAGACAGGGTTTCGCCATGTTGGCCAGGCTGGTCTCGAACTCCTGGCCTCAGGTGATCCACCGCCTCGGCCTCTCAAAGTGCTGGAATTACAGGTGTGAGCCACCGTGCCTGACCTAGGTCAGGCACTTCTAAATATTTTTTTCATTTCATTCATCCATCCCTGTGAGACAGATACTATCTCATTCTACAAATTGGGAAACTAGGGCCCTGAAAAGTTAAGTAACTTTCCCAAAGTCACACAACTAGGAAGTGTTTATGTTGGAATTGGAAGGATCCAATATGCTCCTTACAGTCCACCAGCCTTCCTCTGTTATCTAATTTCATTCTCACAACAATCACGTGAATGAAGTTAAGAAAATTATTCCCCCACTTCTCAGATGAAAACAGTGAAACCCAGGAATGTTCACGGTGTCACTATGTAGTGAGTAGAGATAGACATGAACTCACTTCTTGTGTCCCTAGGTCCAGTGCTCTCTCCAGGTCACCATATCTTTATTTCTTCATTGGTTGGTTAAAGGCTAGTGGTTGGAGCTTTTCCAGGGATTAGTCCTTCTTAGTGGCTGTGGAGTATGTGCCTGAGGTAGGGAGGGACTGGCCTGCTCTGTTGTTGGGATAAGGGAAGGAACAGCAGATACCCCACTAGAAGAAATGTTAGAAGATGTCCTTCATGATAACAGATGAAAATCTGGATCTACACAAACGAATGAAGAGCACTGGATATGGTAACTACATGGGTAAAATGCACAAGATTTTTTTTCTTATAATTTAAATCTTTATATTTGGCTTAAAACAAAAATAATAACATTGTATTGTGCAGTTTATAACATGTAGAAAAAATGCATGGCAACAATAGTGGTATGGTTTGAATGTGCTTCATTCAAAATTCATGGTGAAACTTAATCTCCACTGTGGTGGTATTAAGAGGTGGCGTTTTTGGGGAAATGATTAAGTCATGAGGGCTTTGGCCTCATGAATGGATTAATGCCATATAAAAGGTCTGGGATGGGAGAGGTGGCTCACACCTGTAATCCCAGCACTTTGGGAGGCTAAGGCGGGTGGATCACTTGACTCCAGGAATTCAAGACCAGCCTGGCCAACATGGTGAAACCCCGTCTCTATAAAAAATACAAAAATTAGCCAGGTGTGGTGGTGTGCACCTGTGGTCCCAGTTACTCAGGAAGCTGCAGCAGGAGGAACGCTGGAGCCTGGGAGGTTGAGGTTGCAGTGAGCCGTGATAGTGCCACTGCACTCTAGCCTTGGTGACAGAGTGAGACTCTGCTTCCAAAACAAACAAACAAAAAGAAGGTGGACTGTAACAGGTTAAAGATGTATTACTATAAAACCTAAAGCAACCACTAAAATAACAAAACAGAGAGTTATATTTAATAAGCCAACAAAGGCAATAAAATAGAATCATTAAAATGCTCAATTCATACTAATTTATTACTTTTTCCTTTTTTTCTTTTTCCTTTTTATGTGGAGGTTTTCTGGAAAACCAGAAAACCTGCTAGACAAATTCTAAAAGGGCTGTAACACTGACTTTCCTTTTTTGAATCATGCTTTTGCCCTAAATCCCATAGATTTTCTCCTATATTTTTTCTAAAAGTGTTATAGTTTTACATTTTATATCTAAGTCTGTGGCCCACTTTGAGTTTTTTTTAATACGGTGTGAGATTTAGATTGAAGTTCATTTTCTTTTGCTTACAGTTGTCCAGTTGTGCCAACACCATTTGTTAAAAAGGCTATTGTTCCTCCATTGATTTGCTGTTGTATCTTTGTCAAAAATCAGTTGGAATAGCAAACTATATGTTACATGTACTCTGCCATAATAAAAAAAGAAGAAAAAAAACCAGATGCGTTCTTTCTTCTGTTGCATTGATCTGTATGTCTATATTTCCACCAATATCACACGGTCTTTATTACTGTAACTACATATTAGGGCTTAATATCAAATACAGTAATTCCTCCCACTTTATTCTTCTTTTTCAAGAATAAGCTTGTTTATTTCTACAAAAAGCCTAGCTGGGATTTTGATAGGAATTGCATTACATCTATAGATCAGTTTGGGAAGAATTGCTATCTTTACTATGTTGTGTATTCTAATCCATAAATATGCTATGGCACTCCATTTATTTCAGTCTTCTTTGATCTCTTTCATTAGTATTTTGTAATTTTCACCATACAGATCCTGTATGTGTTTTGTTAAGTTTATATCTAAGTATGTACTGTTCTTTGGAACAATTATAAATGGTATAGTGTTTTTCATTTTGGTTTCCACATGCTCTCTGTTAATATATAGAAATACATTTGGCTTTTGCACGTTAATCTTGAATCCTGCAAACTTTCAAGCTCACCTATTAGTTGTAGAGGATTTTTGTTGTTTATTTGCTTGGTAGATTCATTAGGCTTTTCTATATAGAAAAGCATGCCATCTTCAGGTAAGGACAGATTTATTCTTCCTTTCTAATCGGTGTTCTTTTTATTTCTTTTTCTTGTCTTATTGTGTTGTGTTTCCAGTACTATGTTGAATGAGTGATGAGAGTGAACATCCATGCCTGGTTTCTAAACAGGTGGAAGCCAGTTACTCTTTCACCATTAACTGTGATGTTAGTTGTAGGGTTTTTGTAGATGCCTTTTATCAAGTTAAGGTAGTTCCCCTATCATGCTAACTTGCTGAAAGGTTTTTTTTTTTTTAAATATAAATGGGTGTTGGATTTTGTCAAATGTTTTCTCTGTGTCAATGAATATGATAATATGATTTTCTTTCTTGAGCCTATCGATATGGTGAATTACATTGGTTTTTGAGTATTGAACCACGCTTGACTACAGGCATACATTGTTTTACTGTGCTTTGCAGATATTATGTTTTTTACAAATTGAAGATTTGTAGCAACCCTGCATTAAGCAAGTCTATCAGTACCATTTTTCCAACAGCATGTGCTCACTTTGTGTCTCTGTGATAGCATGTTTTAACAATAAAATATTTTTAAAGTATGTACATTGTTTTATAGACATAATGCTATTGCACACTTAATAGACTACAGTATGGTATCAACATAAGCATTTTATATGCACTCTTTCTCCTTTTTTTGTGAAGGTTTTCCAGAAAACCTGCTAGACAAATTCTAAAAGCTGTAACACTGACTTTTTCTTTTTGTGACTCACTTTATTGCAATATTTGCTTTATTGTGATGGTCTGGAACTGAACCTGCGTCATTTCCCAGGTATGCCTGTACTGTGATGGCTAATTTTATGTCTCAACTTGACTGGCCATGGGTGCTTAGATTAAACATTATTTCTGGGTCTGTGAGGATGTTTCCAGGTGAGGTTATCATTTGAATCAGTGAACTCAATAAGTAGATTGCCTGCCCTGATGTGGGTGAGCATGATCCAATTCACTGAGGGCCTGAATAGAACAAGAGGTGGAAAAAGAAGAAAACTGCCCTTTTTGCTTCCTGTTTGCTTGCCTGAATTGAGACATCTCATCTCATCTTCTCCAGCCCTTTGGCTGGGATTTATACCACTGGCTTCCTGGTTCTCAAACTTTCAAGCTCAGACTAAATTATACTAACAGTTTTCCTGGGTTTCCAGCTTACAGATGACAGATCATGGGACTTCTCAGCCTCCATAATTCCATGAGCCTATTCCTCAATTCCTTGTGTGTGTCTCTCTCTCTCTTTTTCATCTCCTACTGGTTCTGTTTCTCTAGAGAACCCTGACAAGTACAAACACCTGGAATAAATCCTACTTGATCATGGTGTATAGTCGTTTATATAAAATATTATATTTTATTTGCTAATATTTTGTGGAGTAGTTTTTGTGCCTATGTTCACAAAAGATACTGGTCTGTGGCTCCTTCCTCCCTCCCTTCCTCCCTCCCTTCCTTCCTTTCTTCTTTCCTTCCTTCCTTCCTCCCTCCCTTCCTTCCTTCCTTTCCTTCCTTCCTTTCCTTCCCTCCCTCCTTCCTCCCTTCCTTCCTCCCTCCCCCTTCCCTTCTCCTCCCTCCTTCCCTTTCCCTCCCTCCCTCCCTCTCTTCCTTCCTTCCTTCCGATACTGTCTTAGAATTTTGTATCAGGTTAATAATCGCCTTATAAAATGAGTTGGGAAGTGTTTCCTTCTCATTTTCTGGAAGAGATTGTGTAAAATCTTTTTCAAATGTTTGGTAGAATTCTCAGTAAAACCACATGGGCCTGGAGATTTATTTTTTTGAGAGCTTTATAGTTATAAACCCAATTTATTTAATGGTTATAGGACTATTCCGATTATATTGGTTCAGTTTTGATCATTTGTGATTTTTGTGGTTTGTGGCCTATAGTTTGTAGAATTGGTTCTTCTATGTTGTTGAATTTATGAGCATAAAGTTGTTTACAGCATTCCTTTTATTCTTTTTTTTAAATGTTTGTGGGTACAAAGTAGGTGTGTATATTTATGGGTACATGAGATGTTTTGATACAGGCACGCAATGTGAAATAAGCACACCACGGAGAACGAGGTATCCATCCCCTCAAGCATGTATCCACTGAGTTAATAAACAATCCAATTACACTGAGTTATTTTAAAATGTACAATTATTAGTGACTATAGTCATCCTATTGTGCTATCAAATAGTAGGTTTTATTCATTTTATTTTTGGAGCCATTAACCATTCCCACCTCCCCACCAGGCCCCCGCTATGCTTCCCAGCCTCTGGTAATCATCCTTCTACTCTTTATGTCCATTAGTTCAATTGTTTTGATTTTTAGACCCCACAAATAACTGAGAACATGTGATGTTAGTTTTCCAGGGCCTGGGTTATTTCACTTAACATAATGACCTCCGGTTCCATCCATGTGATTGCAAATGACAGGATCTCACTCTTTTTATGGCTGAATAGTATTCCATTTTGTATCTGTACCACATTTTCTTTATCCAGTCATCTGTTGATGGACACTTAGGTTACTTGCAAATCTTAGCTGTTGTAAACACTGCTGCGAGAAACATAGGAGTGCCGATATCTCTTTAATATACTGATTTCCTTTCTTTGGGGTATATACCCAGCAGCAGAATTGCTGGATCATATGGTAGCTCAATTTTTAGCTATTTGAGAAACCTCCAAACTGTGCTCCATAGTGACTGTACTAATTTACATTCCCACCAACAGTGTACAAGGGTTCCCTTTTGTCCACATCCTTGCCAGCATTTGTTATTGCCTGTCTTTTGGATATAAGCTATTTTAACCGCGGTGAGATGATATTCCATTGTCGTTTTGATTTGCATTTCTCTGATGACCAGTGATGTTGAGCACCTTTTCATATGCCTGTTTGCCATTTATATGTCTTCTGATGAGAAATGTCTATTCAAATCTTTTGCCCATTTTTTTAATAGATTATATTTCTTAGAGTTGTCTGAACTCCTTATATACTTTGGTTATTAATCCCTGGTCACATGGGCAGTTTGCAAATATTTTCTCCCATTCTGTGGGTTGTCTCTTCACTTTGTTGATATTAGGTAAAGCAAATCGTCTCATATGTGTCCTCAAATATTATAAACATTTTTAAATTTTAAAAAAGTAATTTAGTTTTAAATTTTTAAAAAATTAAATAAATGGTATCACAGTGGATGTATTTTCCCGTGCTTTTTTGCACGCCATTGTTTTAGACATTTATCTGTGTTGACACATATAGTACTAATTCATTCAACTGTTATATAACACTGTATTTTATAAATGTAACACAATTCATCCATTCTGTTGAACACTCATAGCTTGTTTCCATTTTTTTAATACTCACTACAGACAATACAGAAATAAACATTCTTGTAGATTTCTTTTCAAACATAGTGTGAGATGTATATCCTAAGATTAGAATTACTCAGTCATAAGATGTCAGCAGCTTTGATCTTACTAAATATTACTATTGCTTTTCAAAGTAGTTGTGCCCATTTATATTCCTACCATAAATGAGACTACATTCCTCATCACGCCATCATTTAATGCTGTAAGGCTTTTCCATTTTTGGTAATCTGATGCATGTGAAGTACAATACCTTACAGTTTTATTCTGCATTCCTCTGACCATAGTGAGATTGATCTTATTAATGTATTGGTCATTCGGGTTTCCTTTTCTGTGAATCCCCTATTCATATTCTTTGCTCGTTTTTGAACTTACCTGTTTTTCTTATTGACTTATGAAACCTACTTATATTTTCTGAATATTAATCCTGTGTTGGTTATATGCACTATGAATGTCTTCTCCCAGACTGTAAGTTGTCTTTCTGATTTGTATGCGGCCTTTTGATTAGTTATATTGGAACTATCTCTCCAATGTTATTTTTGTGCTTTGTATTAACTTTACTTTTTCTAGGCTTCTTTCCTTCTTTCCCTGTTTCACTGATCATGTTTCCCCCTTCTACTGGTTTGGATGTTGGACATTCTAATTCTTTTTGAGTCAGCCTAAAAATATATATTTTAATTTATATACAGTATAATTCATTTTTGTTGTACAGCTCTGAGTTTTGACAAATGCAGAGCTGTGTAAACACTACTACAATTAAGATGCCAAAGAGTTTCATCATGCCTCAAATTCCCTCTTAGTACCCCTTTATATATCCCTCCTCTCACCCCCACCCATGCTAATTACTGATCTGTTTTCCACTGTTAGTTTTGCCTTTTGCATAATGTAATGTAGGAATTATACCTTATGTAGCCTTTTGACTTTGGCTTCTTTCACTTAAAATAATGAACTGCAGATTTATTTGTGTTGTTGAATGTATCAATAGTTCATTCCTGTATATTGCTGAGTAGTAGTATTCCATTACACAGATGTACCATTATTTACCCATTCAGCAGTTGAAGGACATTTGGGTTGTTTCAGGTTTTTGGCAATTATAAATAAAACTACCATAAACATTTACATACAGTCTTTTGTGTGAGAATTAGTTTTCATTCCTCTTGGAAAATACCTAGGGGTGACATTTCTCGGTACCCTTAAATTTTAATATGCATACAGTCCAAAGTTAGTATATACTTTATTCCCCTTTTGAATAAAACAAAGATCTTAATACATTTTAACTCCAAACTTTTACCTTCCATCTTCCATGTTAGCTTGTCTAGTATTTTAGTGCTACTCTTATTGTAATCTTCCCCAACAAAATCAGTAATTTTTATTTTTAGTCAATACTTATTTAGGTATATGAATATATTTCATCAATTACTTTGGTCATCATTGCTTCTTGCATCCCACTCCTTTCTTCTAAAAAGCACATTTTAGGCCAGGCGCAGTGGCTCATGCCTGTAATCCCAGCAGTCTGGGAGGCTGAGGTGGGCAGACCACTTGAAGTCTGGAGTTCGAGACCAGCCTGGCCAACATGGTGAAACCCCATCTCTACTAAAAATGCAAAAATTAGCCAGGTGTGGTGGCAGGCCCCTGTAATCCCAGCTACTCGGGAGGCTGAGGCAGGGGAATCGATTGAACCCAGGAGGTGGAGGTTGCAGTGAGCCGAGATGGTGCCACTGCACTCCAGCCTGGGTGACAGAGCGAGACTCTGTCTCAAAAAAATAAAATAAAATAAAAAGTACATTTTAATGACGTGCTTTAGAACAATAAATTAGAAATTAAATTAGCAGAATGTTCTAGTGTATACTAGAGCCTGATATGCCCAAAATACTCATTCCTAGATGACAGAATCTAGTGATCTGTTTTAGGTAGGAATTATATATACTGGTTTGAAATAATCTTTTCTTGTTCCTTTTAATTGCAAAGGAAGTGACTCTCCATTTATTAGTTCCTACACGAGAGTAGGGTGAAAAGGCTAATAGAGGCCTCATGCATTCAAAGAGGCTTGAGGTTTTCATACTACTCTTATCTTTGGTTAAAACATTTGACCTGTTTATATCTAATTTCCTCTTAAACAATCACATGCAAAACCATATTAAGGGCCGGGCGCGGTGGCTCACGCCTGTAATCCCAGCACTTTGGGAGGCCGAGGCGGGTGGATCACGAGGTCAGGAGATCGAGACCATCCCGGCTAAAACGGTGAAACCCCGTCTCTACTAAAAATACAAAAAATTAGCCGGGCGTAGTGGCGGGCGCCTGTAGTCCCAGCTACTTGGGAGGCTGAGGCAGGAGAATGGCGTGAACCCGGGAGGCAGAGCTTGCAGTGAGCCGAGATCGCGCCACTGCACTCCAGCCTGGGCGACAGAGCGAGACTCCGTCTCAAAAAAAAAAAAAAAAAAAAAACCATATTAAGTAGGATACTTGAAATTCCTGAACATTATATAAATTATGTTAAAAATTTAATATGTTTGAAAGATAAAGAGGAAAATGCTTATACAGTTATCTTTCTGCCTCATAATCCTTAACTCAAAGAGGAATTAGAAATAAACCTTTGAAAGATGCTAATTCCATAGTCTGAATTGCTGCTTGTGTTTTAGGACAGAAGTCTAATTCATTATGTAGGCCTGATTCTAAGAAAATTTGTCTTTGCTTCTCACTTGTGTTATCTTTTAAAAATCCAGCAAATTCCATACTGCCCTTTTAGGTATAATGTTAACCATTACAAATAATTTTTTTTTTAATAAGAAGTCTCACACTGTCACCCAAGCTGGAATGCAGTGGCATGATCTCAGCTTACTGCAACCTCCGCCTCCCGGATTCAAGCGATTCTCCTGCCTCAGTCTCCCGAGTAGCTGGGACTATAGGCACACGCCACCATGCCTAGCTAATTTTTGTATTTTTAGTAGAGACGGGGTTTCACTATGTTGGCAAGGCTGGTCTTGAACTCCTGACCTGGTGATCCGCCCACCTCGGCCTCCTAAACTGCTGGGATTACAGGCGTGAGCCACCGCGCCCGGCCTGAAGAATCTTATGACCACTTTTTAAAATGCTTTCACAAGATATTCACACACCAATGATTTAAACAAATCAACAAAGGAAAAATTTCTTTGTACTTAATAAAAAATTCTATCTGCCAAATGTTTAAAAAAATAACTTCTGACACATAGGCTGGGCGCGGTGGCTCACGCCTATAATCCCATCACTTTTGGAGGCCGAGGCGGGCAGATCACTTGAGGTCAGTAGTTCGAGACCAGCCTGGTCAACATGGTGAAACCGTCTCTACCAAAAATACAAAAATTAGCCAGGCGTGGTGGCGCATGCCTGTAATCCCAGCTACTCGGGTGACTGAGACAGGAGAATAGCTTGAATCCAGGAGATGGAGGTTGCAGTGAGGCAAGATCACGCCACTTCACTCCAGCCTGGGTGACAGAGTGAAACTCTGTCTCAAACAAAAACAAACCAACGAAACAAACTTCTGACATATAGTTAATGAAAAGAAAATGCGTTTATGCACAGAAGGGATTTTTAAATTAACACAAAACAATTGAATATCTAAAAGCAACTCGTGCCAATATTTATATTGCTTTCAACTTAAGAATGTCTCATTGGCTATTTCAGACTAAGAAATCTGAGAAAGATTTCATCTCTAAATAGGCACACAATATATAAAGATGTACTTTGGGACAATAACTACATAAAGGAGGAGAGGTAGAGCTGTATAGAAGCAGTTTTTATATATACTATTGAAGCTAAATTAGTATTAATTCATACTAGTTAGTTGTAAACTTAAGATGCCCATCATAATCCCCAGGGTAACCACTAAGAAAAAAACCCTAAAAGATATATATATGAAAATAAGCCAGGCGAGGTGGCGTGCACCTATACTCCCAGCTACTCAGGAGGCTGAGGAGGGAGGATCACTTGAACCCAGGAGCTCTAGTCTAGCCTGGGTAACACAGTGATACTTTGCTTCTATTTAAAAAAAAGATATGCATAAAAGGAAATGAGAAGAGAATCAAAACGGTATACTACAAAAAAAAATCAATCAAATACAACAGAAGGGGAGATTTACTCATCCTTCCCTGGTTGGATGTATACATGAGGCATATAATAGTCCCCCCTTATAAGCAGTTTTGTTTTCCCTGGGTACAGTTACCTGTGGTCAACATGGTCCAAGAATATTACATGGAAAATTCCAGAAATAAACAATTCCTAACTTTCAAATTGCATGCCATTCTGAATAGCATGATGGAATCTCATGCCGTCCTGCTCCATCCCACCCAAGATGCAAATCATTCCTTTGCCCAGCACATCCATACTGTATATACCACCCATTAGTCACTTAGTAGCCATCTTGGTTATCAGATCAACTGTTGCAGTACTGCAGTGCTTCTGTTCAAGTAATCTTTGTTTTAATTAACAATGGCCCCAAAGCACAAGAGTAGTAATGCTAGCAAATTGTTACAATTGTCCTATTTTATTGTTGTTAATCTCCTACTGTGTCTAATTTATAAATGAAGTATAGGTATGTATAGGAAAAAATGTATATATAGGGTCTGGTACTATCCGTGATTTCAGGCATCTACCAGGGGTCTTGGAACATACTCTCCTCAGATAAGGGGGGACTGCTGTACAAGCTATTAAACTGTTTTTCTCTTGTGAATCTATCTTTTGTTACAGGAGTCCATCACAATTAACAACTATGAAGGGTAGAGAGAAAATTATCTTTCCTCCCCTAGAGTTTCTGGTGATGAGGATAGGATCTCTGGGGTACCCTGCTCACTCTGGAACCTGCCAATGAGATCCCGGGGAAACTGACAGAAGCTGGCTAAGGGTAAGAATTCTTACCAAAGTCAACTCTCCTGGATCTGTCTGTAGCACCTAGTAGAGAAGAGGAAGGCAAACACTTTTCTTTGCTCCTTACTTTCTAACTTTGATTAGCAGGAGGAAAACATCTGTACCAATTGATTTTTTTGGATTATGACTCTGGCTTGATCCTTTCCCTCTCAGAGACAGCTTTTGCTTTCCTGTTGGTCTCGTGTCCTGAAAGCTTAGCTTGGCTTTCTACCTGTCCGGGCACACAGGTTATCAAGCCTGTATTTGCAGGCAGCCAACTGAAAGGTTGGCAGCCCCCAATAATATGGCCGGACAGAAATGGGGGTTGCACCCTACTTGTATCTAGGGTCCTACCAACTGTTGCCAGCTCTCAGAGGATTCTCTGTCTTTTGGCTATCTCTGGGAGTGGTTCTGGATCTTGGCAGTTGGGGGGAGGGCTGTATCTTTGCACCCTCTATGAAGACACCCCTTATACCCACAGTTAAGCCATTAAGGGCTTATTGGTTTTGGTCAAGTCACTCGATAAATATAACTCTGAAAATATCCCCAGTGGGGTGACATGAATTGCATGCCAGGTTCTGGACAGAAATATAGTTAAAAATTAATCAGGCTGCCCTTTGGCCCACTTTCCTTTTGCTGAAAGTCATGTAGTACTAGATACTGACTATTTGCATTCCCATTGTTCCTATAGATAGGATCTCTGACATTGGAATTATAAGGCTTTCGTTTAAAGACTGCTTAAGATATTCTCAGGATCCTGAATTCTAGTGGAAAGGCTGAAGCCAACCAGTTTCAAGACCCTCAGAGAGGAACCAAATCAGCACAAGAATATACTTGTTTCTTTTTTTAAGATAGAGTCTTGCTCCTCAGCCAGGCTGGAGTGAAGTGGCACAATCATAGCTCACTAAAGCCTCAAACTCCTGGGCTTAAGTAATCCTCCAGCCTCAGCCTCCTTAGTAGCTGGGGCTACAGGTAGATACCACTACACCCAGCTAATTTTAAAAAATTTTTTGTAGAGATGGGGTCTCCCTATGTTAGCCAGGCTGGTCTTGAACTACTTCCCTCAAGCAATCCTCCTGCCTTGGGCTCCCAAAGTGTTGGGATTATAGGCATCAACCTGGCCAAGAATACAGTTTCTTCATCTCCAAGTCCTATGACTTCATCCTGCACTCTTCAACCAATCAACAATCTCCACACTTTGGCCCACTCCAAAACCCTTTAAAACCCTAACCTCAAATTCCTTGGGGAGATAGATTTGAGGTTTCCTCCCATCTCTTTAATTATCCTACCATTAAACTTCTTTCTCGGCCGGGCGCAGTGGCTCATGCTTGTAATCCCAGCACTTTGGGAGGCTGAGGCAGGTAGATCACTGTAGGTCAGGAGTTTGAGACCAGCCTGGCCAACATGGTGATACCCCGTCTCTACTAAAAATAAAAAAATTAGCTGGGCGTGGTGGTAACGCGCCTGTAATCCCAGCTACTCGGGAGGCTGAGGCAGGAGAATTGCTTGAACCTGGGAGGCATGGGCTGCAGTAAGCCGAGATTGTGCCACTGTACTCCAGCCTGGGTGACGGAGCGAGACTCCGTCTCAAAAACAAAAAACAAAAACCTCTTTCTCTGCTGTAACCCAGCATCTCAGCATATTGATTTGCTGTGTACATTGGGCAAGAAACATATTATGATTACACCTTTGGTTTAAAAGAAAAAAAAAGGAGTTCAATTCTGCCAGGAATATTCTCTATTCTTTTTGATCCTGTTCCTTCCATGGAAACCTCAGTCAACTGAAATTCCTTTCTCAAAATCCTGCAAACTATATGCTCTGCCAACTCTGGCCACCTCCTTTTCGTTGACACAATTTTGCTAATAACTTGAAACTTCATTGGCTTCTTCAGAAAACTTAAGATCTCCCCAAACTGGTGCTAAGACCTCTTCCTCCCCGTTGCTTCTGCTCCTCCTTCTGCCACTTTCGATCTTTAATTCAGTTTCTTTGAACCTTGATCTGTTCCCCCTCCAAGCCCCTACCTCCTCCATCCTTCTGTCCACTACTGTGAGACCTTTTACCTTCCCACTCCAGCCCCTTAGTCTCTTGAACTGTAGAACTCTGGCTCTCAAGAGACTTAGGGACATCCAAAAGCAATTACATGAGGCTAAAAAGAAAAGGAAGGCTAGTTAGAAATAGACTGGATATTTCATCCACTCCGATGGGCTTTGGAGATAGACAACCACTAGGTGTCTCCTCAGTCACCTACATTTTAGTCCACAGCCTCATGACTGACCTCTGGAAATAGGCAAATATGCTACAAAACTCCTAGGAGAGAACTTTCATCCTTTCTCTGTGTCTTTGAGATGTAAAATTTCTTCTCTAGGGCCTGAGGGCTATCTCTTTTGAAATGAAAATCTCAAGGAGATGACTCTCACCTGAAGGAAAAAAAAGGAGCTGTTTGGAAATTGGGCAAATGAAGAATCTTGTCTTTTCCACAAATACTTGTAAAAACCTTTAGCCATCTGAGTAGGTAACCTTAACTTACTCTATCTGCTAGAAACACAATTTAGATACAGCTATTCTCTTACAAACGAGTGAGTTTCATATTATTGTACCTGATACATGGCTAAAATTTTTAAATGAAAGCTGTAAAATCTGTTTGTATCTGTATGTTTATGTATGTCTCTGTAGATATGACATTTTTCTATCCCCATGGTATTATGTAGTTTGTAAACAAGGTCTACTTCACTGGCTTTAAGAAAAATAAACCTGGCTGAGTGTGGTGCTTAGGCTTGTAATCTTAGAACTTTGGGAGGCCCAGGCAGGAGGATTGCTTAAGGTCACCCTCAGCAACATAACGAGATCCTCGTCTCTACAAAAGAAAATTTAAAAATTAGCTAGCCATAGTGGCTTGTGCATGTAGTCCTAGCTACTTAGGAGGCTGAGGCAGGAGAATTGCTTGAGCCCAGGAGTTCCAGGCTGCAGTGAGCTATGATCCTGCCATCGCACTCCAGTATAAGTAACAGAGACCACGTGTCCAAAAAAAAAAAAAAAAAAATGCCGAGCATGGTGGCTCACGCCTGTAATCCCAGCAGTTTGAGAGGCCGAGGCAGACAGATCACCTGAGCTCAGGAGTTCAAGACCAGGCTGGGCAACATGGCGAAACCCCATCTCTACAAAAAATACAAATATTAGCCAGGTATGGTGGCATGTGCCTATGATCACAGCTACTCGGGAGGCTGAGGCAGGAGAATTGCTTGAGCCCAGGAGGCGGAGGTTGCAGTGAACCAAGATAGCGCCATTGCACTCCAGCCTGGGCGACAGAGCAAGACTGTCTCAAGAAAAAAAAAAAAGGACAGAAAGAGAAACTTACATAAATTAAGTATTCTCTTAGAAAACAGAAGAACTAACCCAAATGCTTTTCAAGTTCACTTGACTGGTAATCTTTGGTAAATAATACTGTTGGTTTAGTTAAAAAAAAAAAAAAGAAAAGAAAATGCCTTCAGAGTTGTCAGCATCAGCATTAAATATAATGCAGACACACAACTTTTATTCTGAGTTTACTAGTCGAGTAAGCTTATGTTATTTCTACTAGATGTTTATGATTATAAAATTAATTCAACCAAGAATAAATATATAAGTAAAAATGCAGTATTTGTTACTTCATATATATCAAGTACAGCAGTGAACAAAAAACCCATGAATTTAAAAAGAAACACACACAAGAGACGGCAGTAATAAAGGATTAAGGAACAAAAAAAATATGATACATAGAAAACAAATAGCAAAATGACAGAAGTCCTTCCTCATCAGTAATTATTTTAGATGTAAAAAAATTAAACTCTCCAATTTCAAAAGTCAGAGATTGGCAGAATGGATTTAAAACCAAGATCTAACTATAAATTGTCGACAAGAAACTCACTTTAGGTTCTAGACACAAACAAGTTGAAAGAGAAAGGATGGAAAAAGACATTGCAAGCAAACCAAACCAAAAGAGGGCTAGGGTTGCTCCACTAATGTCAGATAAAATAGACTTTTAAGTAAAAAAGTGTATTATTACAAGAGACAACAATAATATATATTGATATAGGGGTAAGGTATTAATAATCATAAACAGACATACCTAACAGTCCCACTATATATGAAGTAAAAACTGGTAGAATTGAAGGCAGAAATAGACAGTTCTACAATAATGGTTGAAGACTTCAATACCCCACTTTCAATAATGGATAATACTAGACAGAAGATCAATAAGGAAATAGAAAAACTGAACAACACTACAAACCTACTTGGCTCGGTAGACATATACAGAACATTCCACACAAAACAGTAGAATACACATTCTTCTCAACTCCACATGAAACATTCTCCAGGATAAATCACGTTAGGCCACACAACTCTCAATAGATTTAACAAGACTGAAATCATATACTATCTTCTCTGGCCACATGGAGTAAAATTAGAAATCACTAATAGACCAGGTATGATGGCTCTCGCCTGTAATCCCAGAAATTCGGAAGACCAAGATGGAAAGATTGCTTCAGGCCAGGAGTTCAAGACTAGCCTGGGCAACATAGGGAGACCCAATCTCTGCAAAAATTTTTAAAAAATTAGCTGGGTGTGGTGGCATGCACCTGTAGTCCCAGCTACTCAGAAAGATCGCTGAAGCCCAGGAGTTTAGGCTGCAGTGAGCTGTGACTGTGCCACTGCACTCCAGCCTGGGCAACAGGGTGATACCGTCTCAAAAAAAAAAAAAAAAAAAAAGAAAAACATAGAATAGACTCAAGTTACTAAAATCAGAAATGAAAGTGGGATATTACTACTGATCTTGCAGAATTAAAAAGGATGATAAAAGATTGCCATGAGGCTGGGCACAATGGCTCACGCCTGTAATACCAGCACTTTGGGAGGCCGAGGTGAGAGGATTGCTTAAGAGTTTGAGACCAGCCTGGGCAATACAACAAGACCCCATCTCTACAAAAAAATTAAAAAAAAAAAACTAGTTAGGTGTGGTAGTGAATGCCTGTGGTCCCAGCTACCTGGGATGCTGAAGTAGGAGAACTGCCTGAACCTGGGAGATCTAGGCTGCAGTCAGCTATCATCGTGCCACTGCACTCCAGCCTGGGTGACAAGAGTGAGACCCTGTCTCAAAAAAAGAAAAGAGGATTGCTATCGACAATTGTATGCCAACAAATTAGATATCTAAGAGAAAATCGAGGCAAGTGGATCACAAGGTCAGGAGATCGAGAACATCTTGGCTAACATGGTAAAACCCCGTCTCTACTAAAAATACAAAAATTAGCTGGGCGTGGTGGTGTGCGCCTATAGTCCCAGCTACTCTGGAGGCTGAGGAAGGAGAATCTCTTAAACCCAGGAGGCAGAGGTTGCAGTGAGCCGAGATCACACCACTGCACTCCAGCCTGGGCGAAAAGAGCGAAACTCCATCTCAAAAAAAAAAAAAAAGACACGAAAAAAACAAACAAACAAAAAAATACAAATTCCTAGAAATATACAAATGACCTAAAACTGATGCAAAAAGAAATAGAAAATCTGAACAGACCTGTAGGATACTAAATAATCGAAAACATCCCCCAAAAGAAAAGCCTGGTACCAGACAGCTTCACTAGTGAATTCTCTTTTTTTTTTCATCATCCTCTGACTTTCACACTGGTGAATTCTGTTAAAGAAGAATGAACACCAATCCTTCTGAAAGTCTTCCAAAAAACAGAAGACCAAATACTTGATAGTTCATTGTATAACACTAGCATTACTCCGATACTAAAGCTGGATAAAGATACTGCAAGAATAGTACAGATCAATATTCCTTATGAATATAGATGCAAAGATCTTCAAAAAATAATAGCAAATCAAATCCAACAACATACCAAAAGGATTAGACAACATGACCAAATGGGATTTATGCCAAGAATGCAAGGGTGATTCTACATATGAAAACAAATCAATGTATTACACCACATGAATAGAATGAAGGAAATAAACCACATGATCATCTCAATTGATGCAGAAAAAGCATCTGACAAAGTTCAACACCCTTTAATGACAAAAACATTCAGAAAGCTAAGAATGAAAGAAAACTTCCGGCCGGGCAGTGGCTCACTCCTGTAGTCCCAGCAATTTGGGAGGCCAAGACGGCAGATCAATTGAGGCCAGGAGTTCGAGACCAGTCTGGGCAACACAGTGAGACCCCTGTCTCTATTAAAAAAATGTTAATTAGCCAGGTGTGGTGGCAGGTGCCTGTAGTCCTAGCTACTTGGGAGGCTGAGGTGGGAGGATTGCTGGAGCCCAGGAGGTAGAGGCTGTAGTGAGCCATGACTGTATCATAGCACTCTAGTCTGGGTGACAGAGCGAGACTCCATCTCTAAAAAACTAAATAAAAGAGAAAGAAAACTTCTTCAATAAGATAAAGGGCATTTATAAAACACCCACAGGTAACATCATACTCAATGGTGAAAGACTGAAAGCTTCCCACCTAAGAACAGAAACAAGTCAAGAATGCTCACTTTAGCTACGTATTTAACATTGTTGAAATCTCCACTCAGAGAAATTAGGCAAGAAATTGAAGGCACCCAAAATGGAAAGGAAGAAGTAAACTGTAGATGGCAAAGATGCTATAAATAGAAACTCCTTAAAAATCCACAAAAATTCATAAGAGCTAGCAAACGAATCCAGCAAAAATGCCAGATACAAGATAAACATGCAAAAATCAGCTGTATACAGTTGTATACACTGGCAATGAATAGCATGAAAAGTAAATTTAGAAAACAATTACATTTATGATAGCACCAAAAAGAACAAAATATTTAGGAACATAATTAGGGAGAGACAAGAAAAGTACACTGACATATATAAAACTTTACTGAAAAAAAAATTTTAAATACCTAAAAACAGAAAGACATCTTTTGTTCATGGATTAGAAGACTTCATATTGTTAAGATGACAATACTCCCCAAAGTGATATATAGATTCAATGCAATCCCTATCAAAATCCCAATGGCCTTTTTTGCAGAAATGAAAAAGCTGATCCTAAAATCCATATGGAATTATATGTAAGGCACCTAAATAGTTAAAACAATCTTGAAAAAGAGGAAAGGTGAAACATTCACATTTTCTGATTTCAAAATTTACCAAAAAGCTATAGTAATCAAAACAGTGTAGCACCAGTGTAAGACGGACATATAAGAAGAATGGAATAGAATTAAGAAATAAACCCCATCTCTGTGGTTTTATCTACCTTTGGTCTTTGATGATGGTGACATACAGATGGGGTTTTGGCATGGACGTCCTTTCTGTTTGTTAGTTTTCCTTCTAACAGTCAGGACCCTAAGCTGCAGGTCTGTTGGAGTTTGCTGGAGGTCCACTCCAGACCCTGTTTGCCTGGGTATCAGCAGCGGAGGCTGCAGAACAGCGAATATTGCTGAACAGCAAATGTTGCTGCCTGATCGTTCCTCTAGAAGCTTCGTCTCAGAGGGGTACCCGGCCATGTGAACATCGATGCAAAAATCCTCAATAAAATACTGGCAAACCGAATCTAGCAGCACATCAAAAAGTTTATCCACCATGATCAAGTGGGCTTCATCCCTGGGATGCAAGGCTGGTTCAACATATGCAAATCAATAAACATAATCCAGCATATAAAGAGAACCAATGACAAAAACCACATGATTATCTCAATAGATGCAGAAAAGACCTTTGACAAAATTCAACAGCCTTTCATGCTAAAAACTCTCAGTAAATTAGGTATTGATGGGACATATCTCAAAATAATAAGAGCTAGTTATGACAAACCCACAGCCAATATCATATTGAATGGGCAAAAACGGGAAGCATTCCCTTTGAAAACTGGCACAAGACAGGGATGCCCTCTCTCACTACTCCTATTCAACACAGTGTTGGAAGTTCTGGCCAGGGCAATCAGGCAGGAGAAAGAAATAAAGGGTATTCAATTAGGAAAAGAGGAAGTCAAATTGTCCCTGTTTGCAGATGACATGATTGTATATATTTAGAAAACCCCATCATCTCAGCCCAACATCTCCTTAAGCTGATAAGCAACTTCAGCAAAGTCTCAGGATACAAAATCAATGTGCAAAAATCACAAGCATTCTTATACACCAAATAACAGACAGAGAGCCAAATCATGAGTGCACTCCCATTCACTATTGCTTCAAAAATAATAAAATACCTAGGAATCCAATTTACAAGGGATGTGAAAGACCTCTTCAAGGAGAACTACAAACCACTGCTCAACGAAATAAAAGAGGACACAAACAAATGGAAGAACATTCCATGCTCATAGATAGGAAGAATCAATATCGTGAAAATGGCCATACTGCCCAAGGTAATTTATAGATTCAATGCCATCCCCATCAAGCTACCAATGACTTTCTTCACAGAATTGGAAAAAAAACTAAAGTTCATATGGAACCAAAAAAGAGCCTGCATTGCCAAGTCAATCCTAAGCCCAAAGAACAAAGCTGGAGGCATCACGCTACCTGACTTCAAACTATGCTACAAGCCTACAGTAACCAAAACAGCATGGTACTGGTACCAAAACAGACATATAGACCAAGGGAACAGAACAGAGCCCTCAGAAATAATACCACACATCTACAATCATCTGATCTTTGACAAACCTGACAAAAAACAAGAAATGGTGAAAGGATTCCCTATTTAATAAATGGTGCTGGGAAAACTGGCTAGCCATATGCAGAAAGCTGAAACTGGATCCCTTCCTTACACCTTATACAAAAATTAATTCAAGATGGATTTAAGACTTAAATGTTAGACCTAAAACCATAAAAACCCTAGAAGAAAACCTAGGCAATACCACTCAGGACATAGGCATGGGCAAGGACTTCATGTCTAAACACCAAAAGCAATGGCAACAAAAGCCAAAATTGACAAATGGGATCTAATTAAACTAAAGGGCTTCTGCACAGCAAAAGAAACTACGATCAGAGTGAATAGGCAACCTACGGAATGGGAGAAAATTTTTGCAAGCTACACATCTGACAAAGGGCTAATATCCAGAATCTACAAAGAACTCAAACAAATTTACAAGAAAAAAACAAACCCCATCAAAAAGTGGGTGAAGGATATGAACAGATACTTCTAAAAAGAAGACATTTATGCAGCCAACAGACACAGGAAAAAATGCTCATCATCACTGGCCATCAGAGAAATGCAAATCAAAACCACAATGAGATACCATCTCACACCAGTTAGAATGGCAATCATTAAAAAGTCAGGAAACAACGGGTGCTGGAGAGGATGTGGAGAAATAGGAACACTTTTACACTGTTGGTGGGACTGTAAACTAGTTCAACCATTGTGGAAGGCAGTGTGGCGATTCCTCAGGGCTCTAGAACTAGAAATACCATTTGACCCAGCCATCCCATTACTGGGTATATACCCAAAGGATTATAAATCATGCTGCTATAAAGACACATGCACACGTATGTTTATTGTGGCACTATTCACAATAGCAAAGACTTGGAACCAATCCAAATGTCTATCAATGATAGCCTGGATTAAGAAAATGTGGCACATATACACCACGGAATACCATGCAGCCATAAAAAAGGATGAGTTCATGTCCTTTGTAGGGACATGGATGAAGCTGGAGACCATCATTCTCAGCAAACTATCGCAAGGACAGAAAACCAAACACCATATGTTCTCACTCATAGGTGCGAACTGAACAACGAGAACACTTGGACACAGGAAGGGGAACACCACACTCTGGGGCCTGTTGTGGGGTGAGGGTAGGGGGTAGGGATAGCATTAGGAGATATGCCTAATGTAAATGACGAGTTAATGGGTGCAGCACACCAACATGGCACATGTATACATATGTAACAAACCTGCACGTTGTGCACATGTACCCTAGAACTTAAAAGTATATATATATATATATATATAAAAAGAAATAAACCCATACAGCTATGGCCAATTGATCTTCAACAAGGGTTGATAAGATTATTCAATGGGAGAAAAAATAGCCTCTGACAAATGGTGCTGCGACAACTAGATAACCACATGCAAAAGAATAAAGTTAAACATTTACTTCATATCATATATAGAAACTAACTCGAGATCAAAGACCTAAACATAAGAAATAAAACTGTAAAACTCTTATAAGAAAACACAGGGGTAAAACCATGAGCATTGATTTGGCAATGGTTTCTTAAATATGACACCATGACATACAGACAGCTTATAAGTGAAAATAAAAAAAAAATGACACTAAAAGCACAAGTAACAGATAAAAAATAAACTAGACTTCATTAAAATTAAAAACTCTTGTGCAAAGGTCGCCACTAAGTGAGTGAGAAGGCAATTCACAGAACTGGAGAAAATATTAGAATATAGAAAGAATTCTTACAACTCAATAAAAAAACAACCTATTTAAAAAACAGCCAAAAAATGTGAATAGACATTTCTCCAAAGAAAATATACAAATGGCCAATAGCCACATAAAAAGATGGTCAACATTATTAGTCATTAAAGAAATGAGATTCAAAATCACAATGAACTACCACTTCACACTAAGATGATTATGATAATACCTGAAAACCAGAAAACAGCAAGTGTTGAGGATGTGGAGAAATTGGAGAAATACATTGCTGGTGGGAACAGAAAATGGTGTAGCTGCTGTGGAAAAGTTTAGTGGTTCGTCGAGAAGTTAAGCACAGAACTATCATATAACCCAGCAATTTCACTCCTAGGTATATTCCCAAAAGATTTTAAAACAGGGACTTGAACAGATAATTGTAAACAAATCTTCATAGCAGCACTACGCACAACAGCCAGAAGGTGGAAACCATACAAATGTCCAACACCTTGTACAACACAAATGTCCAACGTGCTATTATTCAGACATAAAAAGGAATGAAGTATCAATACATATGACGTGGAGGAACCTTGAAAACATCATGCTAAGTGAAAGAAACCAGATACAAAAAGTCACATAATGATTCCATTGATAGGAAATATCCAGAATAGGCAAATCCATAGAGACAGAAAGCAGTGGTTTCCAGAGGCTGGGTGAAATGGGGAATGGGAAATGACTGCTTATTGGTGCCAAGTTTCCTTTAGAGTTGATGAAAATGTTCTGGAACTACATAATGGTGACTGCACAATATTGTGAATGTACTAAATGTCAGAATTGTATACTTTATCATGGTTAGAATGGTAAATTTTGTGTGTACTTTACCACAATAAAAAATTTAAAAATTAAAGAAAAGTTTTGAAATTAGAGAACAAATGAAGAGGATCTGTTGTTGTTATAGCTGGCAAAACTATTAAGTTCTAACATGCCAGTGCAGCACATTCTTATATTTTACATCCAATAGAAACGGTTTTACAAAAGAAAGGTCAGAGTCTTTTTCACTATGCTAGAGATGACTTCTAAGGATTGTTAAACATAAAGGTACATTATGTGTCCATTCAAAAGAAGAAATACCCTTTTTTATAATAGCAAGGGGAAAAAGGAAAATAATTGAGCAAAGTGTTTGATTTCAACCAAGTGTTTGCAGGTGAACAAACTTCAGTATTCAAATGTAAAGCAGGTGTTTTTTTGTAGGACACTGAAAAATATTCATTAATGAAGCATTAGCAAGATATCATTTTACAAAGCATAATTATGCAAATTTTCATCAGTACTGCTCTTTTCTTTTTAATGAACAATTTGTTTTGGCAATTTTATGTAAATAAGAGAATAGAACACGCTCACAACACTCCTGCCATTCACAGCATTAAACAGAGTGGTCATGAAAACAAAGACCAGCTCATTTTAAAAGATTTATGAATATCCAGATTAAAAAACAAACTTCTCAAATCTTTAGATCCAGATGCCCAGATAAACTGGTTTTCTGAACTGTACACTCACATACACAGCAAAAATTTCAAGAGTATGGCTAGACATCATATTAAGACCATTCAAGCAGACTCAGGAACTGGGTTCAAAAACTTTGAGGAACATCTTACTCTGAGAGTATCTGGCCCAGAACTCAAAAAACTATTAACAGAAAAGGCAGAGCAAATGCCATAACTAAGAGTAATCTTTTCTTCTCCCCTGAACTCAAATCTAGACTCATTTCATATTGACTTTATGAAACAATTTGACACTGAGGATTTGAATGAAGCAATGTTTATACTTGTATCCGCATGTTTAAGAATAATTATCCACCTTGAGGATTCCTGGGAATTTTCCTCACCCTGTTAACCATGCCCTCCCCCATACTCTTATAGCATTACCACAAAACCATTACAAAATTTTTAAAAAGTTTAAAAATAACAAAATCAACAAATGTGAGTTCATTAGAAGTTGTTAGGAAGATTTTAAGTCCTGTGATTTTATAACTTTCTTACAATACTTGAATTTTAAAGATCTTCTCTAGAAACTTTTTTTAAATAAAAGTTTTATTGGAGAAAAATAGAACCACCACGTACACAGGGAAAAGAGCACAAAAATTCAACTGATACAGAACAACAACTGAAAGTCACAATTATCCAATGTAGTTTGCAATTACTTTTCAGTTTCTTAAACAGCTCCCCTCAACTTTTTTTTTTTAACAGTCTTGCTAATTTTTCAGCTGAAACAGCATCAAGTTTTCAAAGAATTAAGAGCCTCGGGGAGGGGACCCGCTTTCAAGATACTGAAGGTGACATCAAGAGTCTCCTCCTAACAGGACCAACTCTATCTAAAAGTTGCTTACGAGTAACTTGAATCTTGTGTAATAGTCTACATCTCACAGACCATCAGGGATGAGTTAGAACACTGTTGTTGATGGTCCGGTATGAAGAGAGGGTAAACAAAATAGCTGCATTTGCTTGTCAGCTGAGCTCATATAAAGAAATCAGTGAGGAGCTGAGAAAATATAGGCAATGGCTGCTCAATAAGAATTACAAGTTCCGAATACCACATATAGTTAGACACCAGTGTGCAAGTTGATGCAACTAGAAAGAAATAGACGACTTTTTAAAATACCTGGCCACAGGTCTTTGAGAACTCAAGCAAACAATCAACAGTAGACACAAGAGTCAAAAATCTTCTCAGGTTGAAGATTAGGACATAGGTAATCTTCCTAACGGCTCCAACAGGCAAGGAAATATGCTGTGGCAAAAAGCATTAAGTAGTTCTGATTTTTAACAAACATAAACAAAATTTTCTGCTTCTCCTCCCTTCAAAGCTTCAAGGAAATAGAAACAAGGAAACAAAATAAAAACAAAAAAAAATCAGTGACAGTAAAGAGAAGCCTTTGCTTGAATTATCAATTCGAAAAACAGTACTTTTGCCATTTTGTATATATAAACAATCTTGGGACATTCTCCTGAAAACTAGGTGTCCAGTGGCTAAGAGAACTCGATTTCAAGCAATTCTGAAAGGAAAACCAGCATGACACAGAATCTCAAATTCCCAAACAGGGGCTCTGTGGGAAAAATGAGGGAGGACCTTTGTATCTAGGGTTTTAGCAAGTTAAAATGAAGATGACAGGAAAGGCTTATTTATCAACAAAGAGAAGAGTTGGGATGCTTCTAAAAAAAACTTTGGTAGAGAAAATAGGAATGCTAAATCCTAGGAAGCCTGTAACAATCTACAATTGGTCCAAGTTGAAGACAAAACTGTCCAAACAACATTTAAAGTCTAAAGTATGTTGAAAACTAGTTGCAAAGTTTTTGCTCCTGTAACAATTTACAAAACACGTTCATTTTGGTCTCTTTTGCAATTTTCTTATTGTATTCATTTTTAATATAAAGAGTTGGATTTTTCTCTTCTATGATGTTCCTCTAGTACAACTGATCATTAATTTTCTACTTTAGCTATTTTTATAAGTACTTGTTAATCAGCACAGTTAACTTGGGGCTAAGCCATATACACACATCCCATACTCATAAATGAAAATTTTTAGGATGTGAATATACAAGATATTATGTAAGCAACTGTCCCCCTACTTGAAAACTTGTTTCCAAATAATTTTTTTTAAAAAACATCCCTTTCAGTGTAACAGAACATCACCTAGTAAAATATCAATAGCTATGACAATTCATTTCTCTTTTCAAGGGAAATCACAAAACGGGTGAACAACCAAGTCAAGGGTGGTTTTTCTATTTGATAAATACATCCAGAACTCTGTACAGTAAATAAAGTTTGCATGCAGTTTAAGTATCTTTAAATGACATTTTAAGCAAATAAACCTTTTGCTTCATAATTAATGGTGTGTAAGAACCCTCCCCCCTTTTTAATAGCCACAGGGATCTCTTTCCCAGTTCCAAAGAGGAATTCATGAAGACCAGGTACGTTCTTAAGTGTTTTCTGCACATCATACTAAATAACATGCAAAGAGTTCAACAACATTCTTCTTAAAGGTAAGTATTACTCTTTAAAATGGGCATGTTAACCACTGAGAAAAAGTCCACTCAACTATTTCCATTAATTACACTGCTTCATTTGGTCATCGGTAGTAAAAAAGGAGTCAAATAATATTGAATCAACAGGTTAGTTTATCCACTGGCTACTGCATATGACACCAAATGCTGCAAGGCCAACATTCTATGCAATATAGTTGTACTGGTTTGGATTTTCTTTATCTCTTTCCATGTAGTCCCGGTCAATTAAAGATTCTATTCTCTTCTTAAGATCAGCAGGCTGTAAGAGAAGGCAAATTTTCAATGTAAAGTTCATTATCATTGGCTCAAGCCCATTTAGTTAATACCCCATTAAAAAGACAACAGTTTCGGCTCATGAATTTAATCTCCTTTTTTAAAATTTTTATTTATTTAAATCTCTTTTTTAGAGAAAAGTATCATGAAAATAAACCAGGTTAAAAAATGTTTTATACACGTTGAAGATTCTTTTTTTTTTTTTTTGAGACGGAGTCTCGCTCTGTCACCCAGGCTGGACTGCAGTGGCACCACTTTGGCTCACTGCAACCTCCACCTCCTGGGTTCAAGTGATTCTTCTGCCTCAGCTTCCCGAGTAGCTGGGACTAGACACAAGCCACCACGCCTGGCTAATTTTTGTATTTTTGGTAGAGATGGGGTGTCACCATATTGGCCAGGCTGGTCTTGAACTCCTGACCTCAGGTGATCCACCTGCCTCAGCCTCCCAAAGTGCTGGGATTACAGGGATGAGCCACCGTGCCCAGGTATGTTGAAGATTCTTTAACGCCAAAAGTGTTTTTGATTTTTGATTTTTTTTTGGAGCTTTTAATTTTTTTAATAGACAGGGTCTTGCTATGTCGCCCAGGCTGACCTTAAACTCTTGTTCTGGAGTAATCCCCCCAGCCTCAGCCTCCCAAAGTACTGGAATCCCAGTACTCACAGGTGTGAGCTACCATGCCTGGTCCTGACTTTTTCATTTTGGTATATTTGCATATACATAGTGAGATACCATGGAGATGGGACCCAAGTCTAAACACAAAATTCATCTATGTTTCATACATACCTTACATAGCCTGAAGATAATTTTATACCTTTTGTGCATGAAACAAAGTTTTGACTGCAACCTGTCAAATGAGGTAAAGTGTGGAATTTTCCACCTGTGGCATCATGTTGGCATTCAAAGTTTCCAATTTTAGAGCATTTCAGATTTTGGATTCTCATTAAAGGTGTTCAACCTGTACTATATACTATACATACATTAAACTGTCACATCCTTGTCATATTGTTACGGAATACTTTCTATTACTTTTCTATTTTAAAGAGGTCATGCCAGAAGCAGCTACCCTTCGCGTGGTTAAATACAAAAGACTACATTTATTGTAACTTCACATGAGCACTGTAAGGTAGTTTAAGGACACAGAATACTAGTTTTGTCAAGATAGTTCATGAAGCACACCTTTACTTTGGGCAAGAGTTAGTTGGCTTCATTTTTATAAATTAAGATTTAAAACGTACTGATGAAATCACTATTTAGACCGGGTGTGGTGGCTCATGCCTGTAATCCCAGCACTTTGGGAGGCTAAGATGGGTGGATCACCTGAGGTCAGAAGTTTGAGACCAGACTGGCTAACATGGCAAAACCCCATCTGTACTAAAAATACAAGAATTAGCCAGGTGTGGTGGTGGGCGCCTGTAGTCTCAGCTACCAGGGAGACTGAGGCAGGAGAATTGCTTGAACCCGGGAGGTGGAGGTTGTAGTGAAACGTGATCGCGCCACTGCACTCCAACCTGGGTGACAGAGCAAGAAGACTCCATCTCAAAAAAAAAAAAAATCACTATTTAAAAGAATACTGGACAGGTGCAGTGGCTCATGCCTGTAATCCCAGCACTTTGGGAGGCTGTGGGCAGATCATGAGGTCAGGAGTTCGAGACCAGCCTGACCAATATGGTAAAACCCCGTCTCTACTAAAAACACAAAAATTAGCCAGGCGTGATTGTGCGCACCTGTGGTCCCAGCTACTCGAGAGGCTGAGGCAAAAGAATTGCTTGAACCCGGGAGGCAGACGCTGCAGTGAGCCAAGATCATGCCACTGCACTCCAGCCTGGATGACAGAGCGAGACTCCATCTCAAAAAAAAACTACATGAAATGGCTTGATAAATGAAGTACCTCATAATTTAGATCTTCATATTTCTGGTTTAGTGCATCTAAGTGACTTGGATTTCTGCATCCTGTGATTTAAAAGTAATCAAGAAAGCTTGTAGCTTTATCTTCATGATTGCATTCTAAGCTCCTGGATGACAAAATTCCACTATATATCTTATGTATCTAGTCTGTAAATATAATATAATCTTGTTTGCTAATAGAAAGTTTTTCAGGATAAGTAAAATGACCACTTGTTCAAGAGGGGAAAAGAGGGGAAGTAGTCTGATACAGCAGTGAAAATTTTATCCAGTAATCCCAAGGTTGGGAAATCAGATGACTTCTCTTAATTATGGTGAAAGACCTAGAATATCAGCACAATATTAACTACAGCGATCCCCTAATTTCCCCAGCATCAGTGATCTCTCTGGCTTGAGGTGAAATGACTATTAAGCAGAGCATGAGGGTGAGAGGGTGGTAATGAGGAGTGCGATATTAGGTTTGGAGAAAAGAAAATGCTTACCTTATTAGAACTAAGAGCTACCGAGTGCTTATTATGTACCAGGTCCAGTGCTAAGATTTTTACATTCATGATCTCACTTAAACCTCACAATAATCCTACAAGGTAAGTACTATTATTATCTCAGTTTTACAAAAGAGGAAACAAGATCAGCATGGTGAAGTGATTTATGAAAGTCCAAAGCTCATAAGAACCCTAATAGCTAGCAGTCTATTCAAACTCTATCAATGTTTATCATCCAAGGGTTTGGCTATCTACCTCCTAAAACTTGGAAAAAAGGCCAGTACAACATCACATTAAGTGACTTTATTATTGGTCATTCACAATGGAACGTTTCCATTTAATGACCAATTTCAGTTTACCAGAACTATCACTACACTTTTCAAAAAGATGCTTAATCATGACTAGTTATCTGTATGGTTTTTAACAGATGATCTCTTATATAAGCTAACTAAACAGGAGATTTAACTCAATCCACAATAACTAAATCTGTCAAATACCATGGTATTTCAATAAATACCATGGTATTTCAAGAGGAAAAGAAGTAAATAACCAACCAAGAAGTTCAAAAGAAATATAGTGAATAAACTTGAAAATTTCAAACACTCATTTAGCAGTTAAACTTTCAGGTATCCAGGCTTTTCTGTTATTTTTCCCTTTTGTCACTGCTGCCCACATATGCCAACAAAGTTTTTTTTTTTGGAAATCATATGCATCAACATGGGAAATTAAAACTTTTCTCTCTCTAAATGGTCATGACGCTTTATGTTTGCAAGATTTGTGTCTGAAAATCTAATGTACTTTCTTTTATTTATAACACGCTCAATAGGAAAACACAGAAGTACCTACCTTTACTGGAAATTTCAACTGGTTGTACACTTCTGAAACAAGGAGATTGTGGCTAAGTGTCTTTCTCATCTTCATAATTCGAACAATTGCAGCATCAATTTGATACTGTCTGTCTTGAAATACTCTTTCTGTAGTGCTTGCTTGTTCTTCAACCTAACAAAAAAGTTTTAAACCTAGGAATTATACCAGAAGCAAAACCTGACTATTTACATAAATTGTGCATTTTAGGGACATGACATTGTTATTGCTTTAAAGGTACTGAATTATCTAAATGGGGTCTTATAAATATAGATGCTGACAGAGAAAAATCCTACAAACATAACTCCTTTCTGTTCTGATTATATTGCCCTATACCAATGAAGTAATGCTAATATTAGTTAATAGAAAAACATCATCTTTGAATTGCTTTTCTAGAAGTAGAGATAGCTGATGTGGAATTTACCATTTTGTTTTTTTACTCTGTCTTTGATATATCTTCTAAATGTGTGTATCAGTTTCAATGGATTGTTAACCAGATTTCTCTATGACAATAGCTTGTCTATAAGGTGACTCTGTCTGATCTCTGACTCAAGGCATGGTATTAACTGGCTAAGCAAACTAGTTAAGAGTCAACCTCTTTGAAAATTAATTTTTATTTTGTAATATATAAATCAGACATGCATGCCATTAGTGCTTACAATCCTTCAAGACTTACAGAAATGTAGGTATTTAGGAGGCGGTTTACCAATCTTGATGCTAAAGTAAAAATGTTCATCTTTAGTAATTAAACCAAAAAAACAGTTTGGCCTTTTTGCAGCAGTTTCTTCCTGGTACAGCATAAATGTTTTAAAAGTAAGGACATGGTAATCCTTTAAGAAAATATCCTGTCTTTGATGTGTATGTGAAAATGACAGGAACTTGTTTGGAGATACTGGTCGCTGTCCTACATTAAAATTTTTTCAGTCGGGCTCAGTGGCTCACACCTATAATTCCAGCACTTTGGGAGGCCGAGATGGGCGGATCATGAGGTCAGGAGTTCAAGACCTGCCTGGTCAATATGGTGAAAACCCATCTCTACTTAAAATACAAAAATTAGCCGGGCATGGTCGCTCACGCATGTAGTCCCAGCTACTCAGGAGGCTGAGGCAGGATAATCGCTTGAACCTGGAAGGCGGAGGCTGCAGTGAGCCAAGATCGTGCCACTGACTCCAGCCTGGGTGACAGAGTGAGACTCCACCTCAAAAAAAAAATTTTTTTTTTTTCAAATATTGCATTAAACCTTATTGGAACTGAAACCATCAGTTTCAGGATGCTGCAGTTGGAAGTCTCTTACAAATTCAAATGGCAAAAACAAACAAAATATTCACCTTCCCTGTTTTTGTTTTTTTTTTCTTTTTTTTAAACAGAGTCTCACTGTCACCCAGGCTGCAGTGCAGTGGCGCGATCTCAGCTCACTGCAACCTCCACATCCCGGGTTCAGGTGATTCTCATGCCTCAGCCTCCCAAGTAGCTGGGACTACAAGCACGCACCACCACGCCCAGCTGATTTTTGTATTTTTAGTAGAGACAGGGTATCGCCATGTTGGCCAAGCTGGTTTTGAACTCCTGACCTCAGGTGATCTGCCCGCCTCGGCCTCCCAAGGTACTGGGATTACAGGTGTGAACCACCGTACCTGGCCCACCTTCACTGTTAATCAAATAAATAGTGAATAAATCAATTCAGATTTTTCACCAAGCAAGTTGGCAAAAGAAAATATAATCTTTAGTGCTGGGGGACATAGTAAGACAGGCTCTCATATGCTGCTGGACAGAGTATAAACTGGTCCAGCCTTTCCGGAACACAATATGACATTATGTACTAAGACTCCTAAAATGTTCATACCCTTTAACCCAAAAAAATCTACTTCCACAAATTTATCATATATCAGAGATTAAAATTTAGTTTCAAAGAGGTTTCTTGCAATCTTATTTATAATACTAATAAGTCATGAATTTAATTGCCCCAAAATGAACAGTGGTTGAACAAACTATAAGAGCCATGTAAAAATATTACACTGCCATCTGCCATTTTTCGAAGCTATTTAATGGCATGGAAAAATTCTAAAGATTGAATACTAAATAAACAAAGTAAGATATGAAACTATGTTGAGTATCATCTCAATCCTGTACAACCACTCTCCCAAACACCCAAAATCAAATCAGGAAACATATTTAGCTGGACATAGACACAAAAAATATTAATGGTATTGGCAGTATTACAGGTATAAAAATCTTTATATATTTTGATTATTAACATGTATAATTCCAGTGTGTTAGGACTAAGAGAAAGTGAAAGAAATACCGTTTCTTTCATCTGGATTTGATTGATCTTTATCCTGAAAAGTTTATGTTTGAAATCATCATTACAAATGAACTTGTCACCATCTTCAATGTCTTTGCCCTTTGGATTTTTCGCCAGAACTCTAGCTTTGCCACAGGCTAATGACTGCAGTGTTCTCCTTAACTCTCCATCCTCTGAAGAAGAAACAGAGGTTTAGTTATTTGTTACCAGCATGAACAACTACGACATTCTACCTCAATCTAGCTTCCACTCCATCCCCCTATTAAAACTATTTCATTTTTTCCCAAAGGTCACCAACAACTTTTCTTTGTTCTAGCCAATGGCTTTTTTCCTAGTCCTCTTCTTTTTTAAAAAAAATAGAGGCGGGGTTTCACCATGTTGCCCAGGCTGGTCTCAAACTCCTGAGCTCAAGTGATCCACCCGCCTTGGCCTCCCAAAGTGCTGGGATTACAGATGTGAGCCACCACGCCCGGCCCCTAGTCCTCTTTTAAAGACGTCAATTATCATACCATGTGGGCAACTACCAAATATTCCAAAATGACATTTCACTTCTCTCCAGTTGCACGTTTAAAGGGCAATTCCGCCTGGCTGTTTTACTATCAACTGTAGTTACGTCCAAAATTTGATTCATCATCTCCATATAACTGTGTCCTCTTTCCAATTGTCAGTGGTGATACCACTAACCTTCTCAGTTGGGAAACCCTAAAATCATCTTTTAACTTTTCCTTCTCCTTCATCCTCAACATAATAGCTAGCCGCTGCTTCCGCAGAGATGAGTTTTCTCCATTTTCATGGTCTCATTCTAGTCTAAGTCCCTTCTACTTTATGCCTGAATCATCCCAATAGCATCTAAACTGGAATCCCTTGATCCTTCCAGTTGCCCTGTAGATTGATTTCAGTAAGTGGTCCAAATAATTACTTCCACCATGCCACATAGTTGAGACACTACAGTGTAGGTTTCATTTGCTAGACTTATCAGGTTCTCCACAATCAGGCCCTACTCATCTTACCTAATTTTTTAACTCACTATTCTATGTTACAATTAAGCTCTTCATGATTCTTCATGATTCTATGCTACAATTAAGCTCTTCATGGGCCTATACTGTGCCCATTCCTACCTCCCAACCTCATCTCAAAATATTTCCCCTTGCTGTATATGCCTTCTCCCTGACCAAAACTTGAAGGCCCAGCTCAAATGCCACTTGCTTCATGACAGCTTTCCCAATTGTGCCAGTCCACGGTGATCTCTTGCTTTGTTGCACTCTTACCACACTTATAGTCAGTACCACAAGCCAGTACTTATGGGTTTTGACATTATTTCAAGTGTCATTTCCCCCTTTCCCTATGGTTATATAAAGAGTTCTGGCCAGGCGCGGTGGCTCACACCTGTAATCCCAGCACTTTGGTAGGCCGAGGCAGGCGGATCACGAGGTCAGGAGTTCGAGACCAGCCTGGCCAACATGGTGAAACCCCGTCTCTACTAAAAATACAAACATTAGCCAGGTGTGGTGGCAGGCGCCTGTAATCCCAGCTACTCGGGAGGCAGAGGCAGGAGAATTGCTTGAACACAGGAGGCAGAGGTTGCAGTGAGCCGAGATCGCGCCACTGCACTCCAGCCTGGGTGACAGAGCAAGATTCCGTCTTGAGGGGAAAAAAAAAGAGTTCTGGCTGGCTGCAGGGGCTCATGCCTGTAATTGCAGTACTTAGGGAGGCTGAGGCAGGAAGACCCCTTGAGCCCAGGAGTTTGAGACCAGGCTAAGCAACATAGTGAGACCCTGTCTCTACAAAAAAAAATTTTAAAAATTAGCCAGGCACGGTGGCATGCACTTGTAGTCCCATCTGCTTGGCAGGCTGAGGCAGGAGAATCACTTGAGCCTGAGCCATGATTGTACCACTGGACCCCAGCCTGGGTGACAGAGTGAGACCCTGTCTCATTAAAAAAAAAGAAAAAAAAAACTCAAAACAGTTCTGAGGCAAGGAATTATTCCTATAAATATGTCCCCCAGACCTCTTAACATAGTGGTGTGCACATAGTGAACAATTAATGTTTGCTACAAACCTATTCCAGTTGCCTGCTTGATCTCTTCTAAACTGAACTCCTCTCCCTCATTAAACATTAGCAGCACCAGTGTTTGAAAAAGAGAGACCTGGAGTTCCTTTTTACCCTGTTGAAGAAATAAAAGTGTTTAGTCATCACTTTTTTAAAAACACATGAAAAATTAATCATCTCTTATAGGAAAAGCATTTTTCAATTAGTGGATTTAGAAACATGATTAGCATTATCCAGCAAAGCCACTTGACGTGGTAATACAGTATTTCAGTGTGAGGTTTAGGTGTGACCCTACCTAAAATAGGGGGAAGGATTAGCTGACCTTTTAACAGTTTTTTTTTAAGCCTTATAAATAGAATACAGTAATGAAAATTAATCAGCCTTATGTGTCATTCTAGATATTCATCACAAGCAGCAAGAAATCACTATTTCAAATGTATTTTTGATTTGTTTGGCTCAGATTAGTCATGAAAAGCTAAAGTTTTTTGAGATTAGATATTGCACACTGTTTCCCTTAACTCCCACTCTATTCGTAGCTCCCAGCAACAAGATTTCTGTCAAGAAGTGGCAGTGTTAGACTAAGTGTAGTTGCTCATGCCTGTAATCCCAGCACTTTAGGAAGCGGAGGCAGGGGGATAGCTTGAGCCCATGAGTTTGAGGTTACAGTGAACTATGATTGTGCCACTGTACTCCTGCCTGGGTGACAGAGTGGGACCCTATCTCTAAAAATAAACAAATAAATAAAAATAGGAAGTGGCAGTGTACAGTTTTCATCCACAGGTGAGGAAAGGGTAGGGGGAAAGTTCACTGCTTTTCATTTTGCAGAAGGGCCAAATCAATCGTGGAAAGACCACACACCTAAAATTACTTAAAAATACATAAAGCTATGACAAACTATCACTGTCATCATGCGGATATCTAGGATACAATTATAAAACAACAGCTTAAACTGGCCAGATGCGGTGGTTCACACCTGTAATCCCAGCACTTTAGGAGGCCGAGGCGCGTGGATCACAAGGTCAAGAGACAGAGACCATCCTGGCCAACATGGTGAAACCCCGTCTCCACTAAAAATACAAAAAAAATTAGCTGGGTATGGTGGCGCACGCCTGTAGTCCCAGCCACTCGGGAGGCTGAGGCAGGAGAATCACCTGAACCCAGGAGGCAGAGGTTGCGGTGAGCCAAGATAGCGCCACTGCACTCCACTCTGGTGACAGAGTGAGACTCTGTCTCAAAAAAAAAAAAAAAAAAAAAAAAGAAGAAAACAAAAAACAATAGCCTAAACTTTCAGTTAAGAAGGATGACCTAAACATTAAAGATAAAGATGAAAACTAAAAGTTTTGGGAACATCCACTTACCTCTTTAAATTCTGCTTTTAACACACAGTGTCCTAGGGTTGACTGCCACTGAAGTTTCCTGCCACTATGTTTGCCTAGGTAAAATGTCTTGAAAATCTCCTGAAGTTTTACCATCTAAAGTAAATAAAATAAGGCTTTATTTAAGCTCTGTATCCAATACCACATTTACCATTTTTATACTTACCTCATGTGATATAGTTTCTGGAAAATTTTAAGACTATATCCAGTAGGTCCACCAATCACTTTGATGAAAAACAATGATCTCCCAACCACCAAATCAAATGGGATTTATTAGGATTTATACCTTTTGCTCTCTCTGAACATTTAATCATCCCCTCTTTTGAAACATTCACCTGCAGCAGCTTTTGTGCCTCTGCACTATGCTGCTTCCTTTATTTCACTGTTGCTTCTGCATTGGTTTCCTTCACAGGTTCCTCTTTCTACCATCTGCCAAATGTGAGCCTTTTCTAAAGTTCTGCCTCTGCTGTTTTTTCTTCCTCTTTGAGAGAAATCTACTCCCTGGGCCTTCATAATCATCTCCATGGAGGATTCTCAATATCTATCTGTCTAGCCTTAATCCCTTTTATGGGCTTCAGTCCTGGACTAGACAGTTTACCAGGAGTCAGGATAGATTTAATCAAGGACCCATCATTTAGCAATCCCACCTATGGGTGAAATATGTGCAAGAATTCTTAATAGCTAGGTAGAGTGAGGGGTATAACCTGGGAAGATGGAAGAAGAGCCAGGGAAATTGACCCTGAACCCAGAAATTTGGCATTATTAGCTATGTGCTTAACTGGACTTCTAAGTACAAAAGTAAAACATTAAAGCAGTTGGTATTTGGTGTTGGTGCGCTTACTGACATACACTTTTAAAAGTATCCATGCCAAGCCTGGTGACTTACACCTGTAATCCCAGCACTTCGGAAGGCTGAGGCGGGGGGGATCACTTGAGCCCAAGAGTTCAAGACCAGCCTGAGCAATACAGCGAGACCCTGGGTCTCTATTTTTTTCTAAGTATCTATTTTTAAATGACAAGCAAAATGGAAATGCTATGATTTCTATGCCTATAACTCAGTTCTAAACAGTAACTCTTACCTCTGGTGGTAAATGAACTTCCATAGGCACATATGTCGGCCAATAGCCCATTGTCAGGATATTCACAGTTAACTCAATATTTCCCGGAACATTCTGATTCTGCATATACTATAAGAAGATCAAAACACACACTGAGATCTTAAAACTGCATACATTTCATATCATAATAACCTATTTAAGAAGTTCCCTGTTATGAAATTACATGCAAACACTGACCATCCTTAAAATAAAAGGCAACTATTAAGAAGACTTTAAATGAAACCTACACAAAATGCACTAGGCAAGTACAGAGGTTAACATTTTGATACAAAGGCATACAAGGATCACATGACCTCATTACAGGCGTTATCAACTTAAATAATTTCTCACATACAGCTGGGCCGTTATAGGATCTCTTCTCCATTCTTTTCCCCAATACCACCTGCAGTCCCCACCTTTGAATACCCCTATGTGGCTTAAACACCTTGCAGCAACCCCCATTCCTCACCCCCCAGCCAGCCCAAGTCTCCAGTTTTTCACTTGCTCCACTGCCTGTCTGCAGGGAGTGACCTGGAGTAGGGAAGGAAAAAGAGGGGAAAAGGGCAAAGCAGATAAGCCCTATTCTGTAGCTACTATAGAATCCATAATCTTACTGACCCTGATTTTTTCTTAATTCTTTCACTTCCACTTCCCACCTTAGCAACACTGTGGGGTAAAGAAGTCACTACTAAAACCCAAAAGAGGAAAATCTAATTTGCCATCATTATCACCTATGATCTTAAACATTTCAAAACTACTTTCTACCTACATCTTCAAAACTGTGGATCTAGCTTTCTATCCCCAATGTCCCCAAAGGCTTTTATACAGCTGCATTATCACTTCTCCTCTCTCCCCATTGCAAGCTCTGAACATGCAAATTACCAAACGATAAGATGCTGAGGAAAGCCCTTTTCCCACTATAGCTCTTCTTGTACTGACTTCAGTTCAATACATTTTATTTTTATTTTTGTGTTATTCTGGGTGTTTGTCAAAAATAAATCCTAAAGTAGGTCAAATATACTTATATTTCACCAATTTTTTTTTCTACTGTGAATATCACCTCAGTTGCCATGAATTACAACAAACACGTTTCTATTTATCCTCTTTAGTACAAATCATAGCAAGCAGATAACTAAATACAACTAAGTTTGAGGAATTAAGAGTTTAACTCACTTTTACCTGTTTGAACTGAATCATGATGTCTTTAGAAAGTTCCATGTCTTTAAACATTCCTTCAAGTTTGCTGGTGAAAGCAGCTCCGCATTCTATTAAAGATGTTTGTACATGTATAATATTTTAAAGTGGTAAAAACAAAAGAGGTTTAAAAGTGGGAAACACGAAATACAAAACTTTAGTATGAAGTATGATCTGTAACTTTCATAAGAATAAAAAGAAATCCTTACCCCAAAGTGTATGCCCCATTAATTCAGAGTCAAACTCTTTAATCCTGTAGTAACCTTATCTACTATTTAGGTATAAAATAAATGGGAAATTTTTATACAAATAATAAAACCAAGAACAATGCTTTATCTTAAAAAAAACAACTCTGGATATTATGTACAATAAGTTGGAAACCTCAGGAGCTTGCTCAATTTATGTTTTCATCATATATACATAGACATGAGTGACAAAAGAGGAAATCGATTGAAAGGGTAAAAAGCTAACATTCTCCTTCAGGAATCAAAGAAAAGGAACAGAAAGAATGAGAAACCTACCATGTTTAAGTTTGGACAGCATTGATTTTTCAGCATCTACAGATGCACTCTTTCCGACTAACAGGCGCTTGGCTAAATCTTTCTTATAGAAGGCCTCAAAAACATCCTTGCCTATGTAAAAAGAAATGCAAAATTTATAATATTCCAATAAAAAGTACTGACAAAACTGCTTTAAAGTGCTTTAATAAAGCACACCATTATTCCAAGTTATTTTACTTTACACATTTTATTTAAGTTTGTTAAATGCAAGAAACAGTAGAGATCCATTTTTGTGCCAGACATTTCGAAGTCTTTATTGTAAAACTTTTTTGCATGTAACTGTCTTGATTGCATTAACTTTTCTTCAGAAAAGCTTTTGTGGACTGGTAGCTTTGGTGCCAATATTTAAGAGATTAAGCCAAGTAGCAAAAATCAAGGCACTTAATACTAGAAGAGCCAAAGCATAGGACAATCAGGTAACATTCCTCACGTATCCCCCCAATGAATTAAACACAATTTTAAATCTGTAATTTCCAAATAAATATTCCCTCCAGTTTGAATATACTTGCTAGCTTCTCTGTTGAGTGCTATTTTAAAAGAAAAATATTAAAACATTAGTAAATACTTACCATAGATAAATCTAAATATGATCATAATTTTATCCAACATTTTCTCAAGTTCTTCATCTGTAGCTTCTTTGTTGCCTGCACGAAGTTTTGAATCTACATACTTAGCTAAAATGGGGGAAAAGTTTGTTGTTTAATAACCGGGGAATACACGAGGTACTGGGCACTATATATACCCAAAGAGGAGTATGATACACTGAGTTTTTCAATACTTCAGAAATTTATATGCATTTTTAAAAGTCTCCAAAGTCAGGAAGATCAACTGACTTGTTCAGTGCCATAGAGCTAATAACATCAGGGCCTGAACACAAACCCAAGTGTTCTGACTCCAGATCAAATGTACTTCCCACTATACTGATGTTTATGAAAATAGGATACGGATATCCTGTGGGGGAGGTCTCATGTAGCCCTGTGAGGGCATCATGTAATCCAAGCCACGAAAAGACATGAGGAATCTTCTGGAGTATCCATTTTATAGGAATAGTAAGCAATCTTAAACATTACTTTTCTATTAAAATAAACCAGATACATCGTAGAGTAGAAGGTAAAATTTGCTACATGTTTACGGATACATAGTAGATAGGTTGCAACAAAATTTCATCCTTTTGGCAGAGGACCCTAGACCTTCTCAGGTTACCTCCTCCTCTGACACTAAGGGTACTTGGGTGGAAAAACCTGAGAAGCACTGTAGTGTATATCACATCCTTATGCTAAATGGGCCCAGATTATTAGGTTTATTTTTGCCCTGGACTTTTTTCTTTTTCACTGACAACTGTAATTTCATGCTGCCCTTTTTTGTAGCTTGAAATAACACCCTGCCTCATTTTTAAATCATTAGGCTAGGAAAACAGATTAGCTTATTATCAATAAAGGTAAATAGTGTCCAACGTACTGTCTTTGAAAGAAAGCACATTATGTTTGACATGTGGGCTTTCAGTACTTACATCCAGGTTTTTAGAAACACTCTTCAAACTTGATATACCAGCTAAGCAACCTCAAACAAATCAGGAATTAGTAATACTACAACCTGGTAAAAATTTCAGATTGAGATTTTATGACTCAAAGAACATCATTAAACAACTGGAAAAAGGACTGGAAAACATACCTATAAGTTCAGCTGGTTTATTTGGTCTTTTGTTAATGAACGTTTCAAATGCTTCTTTCATGGCATTGATAAATTTCTCATTCTTCAGAAAGCAGATATCAATTATATGGTCAACCTTATCTTTAAAATCCAGCAATTCTTGAACCATGGTTTTATCTTTTTCAGGATTAATTACAATAGTGCTGCCAAATGCCTAAAACAAAAAATTACCACTTTTTACTGTAATCGAATTGTCTACAATGAAAACAATCCCCAAATCATATTTTAAGTGGCATATATATTTAAAGATCTTTAAAAAGTAAGATAAAGCTATTTTTAAGATGGAATCTTGCTATGTTGCCCAGGCTAGTCTGAAACTCCTAGGCTGAAAGGATCCTCCTGCCTCAGCCTCCCAAGTAGCTGGAGTTACAGGCATGTACCACTGCACCTGGCAAAATAAAGCTGATAGTGAAATGAGGACAAAAAAATAAAGTGCTAAATATCCACACTGTTAACCACTCATCTATAATCACAAAAATAGTAAGCAATGATCACTGGGCATATGATATCATAACAGGGTATTATTAGAAGCCTCTGGGATCTTTTCCTTATTTTTAAAGAAGTCAGCTTTCAACTTCCTTAAAATGGCAATCTGGCTTTAGTGTAAGATTGAAGAAAGGAAAGAAATTTGGGGTTCAAAGTCTTTTTCTACATTTACTGCTTTAAGTGGTAGAGACAGAAATTATGTCAGCCATCAATCAGGTTTTATAGCTGATATGCCACACAGCTACCATTCTCAGGTTGACTGTTCTCAAAATTCCCATTACTTTTTAAACAAATTTAAAATTCCCTTAAAAGAACTGGATCAAGTCCGGGTGTGGTGGCTCACGCCTGTAATCCCAGCACTTTGGGAGGCCAAGGCGGGTGGATCATTTGAGTTCAGGAGTTCAAGGCCAGCCTGACCAACATGGTGAAACCCCGTCTCTACTAAAAATACAAAATTAGCCAGGCATGGTGGTGCATGCCTGTAATCCTAGCTACTTGGGAGGCTGAGGCAGGAGAATCACTTGAACCTGGGAGGCAGAGGTTGCAGCGAGCTAAGATCGTGCCACCGCACTCCAGCCTGGGTGACGAGAGCAAAACTCTGTCTCAAAAAAAAAAAAATTGGATCAAACAAGAAATGCTTGCCAATATGCACTCTTGATGTGTAGATAAGCCATAAGAGAGAAAAATCACAGGTAAATTGTTAATACCTTGATATATTCGATCCACTGCTGCAAAAGAACCTGAACTCCACCTCGAACTCTACTGAAGAGCTGATACAGAAGAGACAAATCTTGAATTCGGTTTTCATCAAGGAGGTTATTTAAACCTGTATTTTAAAACATTTTGGCATTAAAATATAGTGAACAAAAAAGTGAACAAGATTATCAGACATTTTAATAAAATTTGAGTTATAATCATTATTGTGATACTGGTTTGAACTATGACTAGTCTGTATGTGAGTTGTAATGTAAGATTTCCTTTGAATTAAACCCAACCATCTTTCTGGGTAAAAACTAAATATAGAGACTTTAGTCGCTATAAAAATAAAAACAGGCCAGGCACGGTGGCTCACACCTGTAATCCCAGCACTTTGGGAGGCTGAGGCAGGAGGATCAATTGAAGCCAGGAGGTCAAGACCAGCCTGGGCACAACAGTAAGACCCCCTCCCCCTCTCTATTTTAATTCAAAAAGTTAAAAAAATTAAAAAGAAAAAGAAAAATGGTTAACTCCATAATGGTTTGTGCCATTTAGCATGATAGATTAGAGGCAAAAACAAACTTATAAAAACTGGCTTACATAAATATACATTATAAATACCTCATATATGTAGTAGCCATATTATGTACATAGTTATATTTCAGAATACTGGATATAGCCTGTGATATATCAAAAGCCATGCATAAATAGGTCAAATTTAAATGAGGCTCTAATAAATATTTGATTTCCAGGATGAAATAACAGTATAACTGCATTAAATTTCTAAATATATAAATTTTTATACAAAAGAAAATATTATTGGGGAGAAAGGTAAGGCTTTTACCTATTTGCGGCATTCTCAAAGTAAAATGTAGGGTATACTCTAAATTCACTTGGGATTAGAAGTGCTTGGTTTGACATGCCATGAACAACAAAAAACCCTCACCGCTTTAGTGTAAAAAGGAATACCTTTCCTTACTGAAAGCTTACATATTAAGTCAAGAATTTCCCACTTTTTTTCTTTTATTTTATTTAAAGAGACGAGAGTCTCACTATGTTGCCCAGGCTGACCTCAAACTCCTGGGCTGAAGCAATCCTCCTGCCTCAGCCTCTCAAGTAGCTGATACTACAGGCACATATCAACCACTGTTTTTTTATTGGTATTTGTGGATCCCTCTCTTCTAGTTCCTGTATCTTTCAGATAAGAAAACTGGCACCTCCAGGAAGTTTACTGTGATTAATAAGGATTGTGTCCATCCTCAGAAATGCAGCCACATGCTATCAAACTTTTAAAAGGGCAACATCTTTAAAAATTCCCTACTAGTTTGCCACTACCATTTAAAAAGCAATCTCTTATTTACAAATTGCCAATTACCTTTCTGAAGAATTGCTGTTAAGTGTTCACCTAGAAGTTGTTTTTCTACAGTAGCAATTAATGACTTCCTACAAGGAAAAAAAAAAAGGTTAGTATTATTGACGTTTGACTTCCAGAAAATGTAAAGCCTCTCCTGAGGGGGGAAAAAAATCAAATAGCTCATTTTATGTTGATTTCAAGATTCCTATCCTATGTATAAATTTATTGGTGCTCAGAGTTACTATACTTTATGCCTAAAAGAAAAAGACATAAAGGAACTGACAGGCAAAAATTTTAAAAAAACACTGCATATTTTAGAATTTGGTTTACATAACGAAATAAATATCTCCAAGACCTTGCTGTAGTCGGCTTTTTCCAAGTTTTGCTACTTTTATTAGGAAGGTAAAGAAGTACTACATACAGAGGCCCCTCGACTGGCAATATTAATACTTAGGAAAGCACAGAAATAGGGGAATCCACTGAATTTTAATTGGCCTGAAGAGTTTAAAGGTCACATCAGCCTCTAGTATTATTTCTAAATTACCTTCTAAACACACACACACACACACACACACACACACACACACACCCCTAATAATCGAATCCTTGGATGAAAACTAATTAACTAGGGAAAAGAATAACTTGAAGTTTGTATTATGAAAACAACTGTTAACACTTCAAATCACACCTGAAAACAGTTACTAACATGTTTAGGATGGCTAAAGTGCTGCAAGTGATTTAACGACAGTTTAAGACTATTAAATTCAGCATGTGGTACTTACTGGGTGGTCTGATCTAAGTAAGTAATAAGTCTGTCTGCTTCTTCTTCTAGACGTTTGTTAACATGATGTAGATATTCAGGAACCTACAAAGATAGTTTTTTACATTATTGTTTTCCTCCCCATAAATCATTCAGAAAATGTCAAGTCCAAAAGATCCTGGAAGTGGCCCTGTCAAATGTGACAGGGTAGAATCATATGTAAAAATTTATAGGTAGAGTTTATGATCCAGAATTCTGGCCTTTAAGAAGAGAGAAAAGAAAGGAGCACCTAAGTGAGAGAAGAGCATCACAATGTTGGGAAGATAAATGCAAAGGGAAGCTTATATTCTACAAAGTAAGGTCTATTGTGAGAGACAGTGAGAATTTATTAGTCATGATTTTTAAATACCTCTCTTTCTTGCATTAATTTTTGGCCTTCAGCTGCATAGAGCCGGTTAGTTTCTTCCAAAAATCGTTGTTCAAAAGAATCTTGATAAATCTGGAGGGGGAACAAAATGAAGGAGATCATTTATTTAGCAAATATTTACTAAATGTCCTCTATGTCTATGTAAACAGCATTATGAATTTGGTTTTTAAACATCAAGCTAGGATCCTTTTGTAGTTGAGAAGCATGATGATTGGGTTTTTATGCTCATATATGAGATGTGCTTCCTTCAAACCTTGTTATGACATCAGCACATTACCTGTCTGATGTGGGGGGAAAAAAAACTAGGATAGCAATCAGCTCTGTATAGTAGGTGTAGTAGTTAACTTACTTGCAAATCAGACAGCATGCTTAAAAGGCTTCGAAGTAAACTTCTATCAATTGCTTCACCATTCCTTTCCCTCTCAATCAAGAGAAGAATGCCATCAATTGTCTTATTCTGCACTTTCTGATCACTTATAATATGAGCCCTAAATAACTCCAGTCCCATGTCCCTAAAATAAAAAACACATATAACCTAAATTAATTGACAATACCACTTCTGAAGAGGTTTGCTTAACTTCTTACCACATGTTCCCATGCTAATTAGGGCTCCAGGGCTTTGAAGCAGCAATTGTCAAAAAATAAAATCCACACATTTAATTTTGAATAACATTATTAGATTAAAGAACACAGGAAACTCATTTTGCCTTTACTGAGAATTGAAGCTAAATTCCTATTTTCCTCCATAACTAAGTTTTGTTGTATTATTTCTTTTTGTGGATTTCTTCTTTGCTCAAATCAACAGACAAAATTAGTTCTAAGACATAAAACAGTTTTCACTGTACTGGTATTGAAAGCTTATTTGGTTATTTATCAACTGGTTTCAATACTGAAGAATCAGTGAATTCTGATCATTGCTGTAGGCAGATGATAGGTACATGGGAGGGGGAAGAGTTCATGATACTATTCTATTTTCGTGTATACATGGACTTTTGCATAATGTTAAATGAGTGAACTCTTGATGGTCAGCAGCAAAATGAATCACAATCATAGACATTCCAGAGCAAACTTTAGTCCCCTCGGCTAACAAAAAACTTCTTCATAAATTAATATATGCCCAGGGAATGTTAGCTATCTTCAATATTAGCATAGGCAACATATTATTAGGAAGATAAAACTGCTACAAAGGAAAGTCTAGAACCAAATGTGAATTTTTAGAATATTCACAGTATAGCTTATACACTTTCATTAGTGTAATTAAGATTTGAGTATGATTTGGAACAATCTTTTCATATTTTTCTGGCATCCTTACCAAATGGAGGGTAGCATTGAATTCTGAAGAACGTAAGTTCTATCCAGAAACAAAAAAATGCTCCTGATCATGATCTGCCAATGAAAAAAAAAGAAATCAAACAAGTTTTGTATGTTGTGAAGCTGAAATATTTGCTTTCAATAAGAATAAAACTGAAGAGTTTGTCTGTATATATATTACATTACTAAGATCAAACATGCAGATAAACACATCTATCTGAGAATATGCCCATATAGTTTTTATTACTCAACAGTCAATCCTTTTTGTGTTTTCTAGAAAAAAGACACTTAAAATGGCCCTCTGATTTACTGCTTGAGAAGTAACTGAAAAATCAAGGGGACGCTCATATAATTCTTCCTGCGCCACAGTGCTAGGGAATGAAGCTGCCTTACATTGCACATGTGAGGGTTTTTATTGGCAGGGGGTGGGGGTGGGGAGGGGTGATGGATTTTAAGATTTTAATCTGTAGAATATAAGGTATAAACCAGATTAAGAAAAATGGAAAAGGTTGTTATCTGAATAAACTAAAACACAGGACCATCAGGCACCTTCACAGGTAATCAAATAGTGGACAGGATAATCATCAAGAGAGAAAAAAAAATAAGAGTGACAGACGAAATGTAGCTTTTTAATGAATGAGATAAATACATTTTTGGTAAGTGTGACAAAAATAAAAATGAACCTAAGGTGCAAGACATTCTGAAATGCAGGTTTACCTGTAACTTGTGGTTTTAAAATAGAAAACTCAACCAAAACTAGTTTCCAATTCAGAAAAGGAACTTGGGAGGAAGAGTGGGAGGGGGGCGAGGGATAAAAGACTACAATGGTGCAATGTATACTGCTCTGGTGAAGGGTGCACCAAAATCTTACAAATCACCACTAAGGAACTTACTCATGTAACCAAATGTCACCTGTACCCCAATAACTTACGGGAAAATAAAAAATAAATAAATTTTTAAAAAAAGAAAAAAAAAGAAAAGGAATAGATATTGAAGCAATCTCCCTATTGCTAAGTTTTAAAAACTAACATTCCTGTATTTGAAGAAATGTTTTTAACTATTAATACAATGTTTAGCCGAAATACAATACTTTTTCCAGCTTACCATTTGTCTGCAATGGTTTTGCCAGCATCTATCAATCTTCTTTAAAAAAAGAACGCTATCCAATGAATCCCTGAAACATATGTTAAGGATATTTTAAAGCGTTTGGTACAAGTCATATGTGCCATGTGACAGAGAGCATATTAGTCTTAAACATGAATACCTTGCACACTAAGTGAAACTAAATGGCACTTGATTATGCACCAAAGTGCTATTTCCTAATTTGTAAAAGAAAAAAAAAACATAGTTTATACTAAAAAACACCTTTAAAAACAAGTCTTAGACATAACTGAACATCGTGTTTTCAGTTTACTATTTCCCTTAGGAGATTATTTTTCCTCAAGTGGAAATCTGATAGGGCAAAAAGGATAAAGACATAAGGACATCTTATTTACATGAATACCACACGTAGTCCTGGACACGAATTAAGGCTGAAAAGTCAAAATGTGTTTCTTTCTCGAGAAACACAAGGCACAAAAAATGACAAACCTACAAAATACAGGCATTCTACTTCAAGCTGGGTTAAACAGTGAGGGGTAGGGACAGAGAGGAAGACAAAACTATTCACGATTTTTTGTTTTAAAAAGGATATTCTCTGAATTGATGAATCTGTGCTTTGATGTGATCTTCGCAGATCTGTCTCAGCTGTTTGTACAAGTTTGCAGAAATCTTGTAAGAACAGAGATTTTCTACAGCCTGCAAGGTTAAAATACTTTCTTAAGGAGAGGATGAAGGATTTCTCAACTATTTACATCAGATTCTTATTAATTTGATATTTCTACCACATCAGCTTATTAAAAAGGGTTATTCATCCACTTAAGACACAAGGTAAAACAACAAAATATATCAATGTGGGTGGCAAACTTTCTCATAACCAATGCACTGTATCAAAAAAGAACAAATTACAGGTTTAGCATCTTTAATCTAAAAATCTGAAATCCAAAAAGCTCAAAAATCTGAAACTTTTTGAGTGCCAACATGCTGCTCAAAGAAAATCCTACTTGGGCTGGGTACAGTGGTTCATGCCTGTAATCCCAACATTTTGGGGGGCCAAGGTGAGAGGATTGCTTGATGCCAGGCTAGAACAGCCTAGGCAACTGTGATGGTTACTACTGAGTGTCAACTTGATTGGATTGAAGGATACAAAGTATTGATCCTGGGTGTGTCTGTGAGGGTGTTGCCAAAAGAGATTAACATTTGAGTCAGTGGGCTGGGGAAGGCAGATCCATCCTTAACCTGGTGGGCACAATCTAATCAGCTTCCAGTGAATATAAAGCAGGCCAAAAAAAGTGAAAAGGAGAGAAGGGCCTAGCCTCCCAGCCTACATCTTTCTCCCATGCTGGATGCTTCCTGCCCTCGAACATCAGACTCCAAGTTCTTCAGTTTTGGGAATCAACCTGGCTCTCCTTACTCCTCAGCTTGCAGACAGCCTATTGTGGGACCTTGTGATCGTGTAACTTAACACTTAATAAACTCCCCTTTATATATATCTCCTACTAGTTCTGTAGTTCTGTCCCTCTAAGAAAACCCTGACTAATACAGAAACAAAGCAAGACCCCATCTCTACAAAAAATTTAAAAATTAGCTGGGCCCAGTGGTGTGTACCTGTAGTTCCAGCTATTTAGGAGGCTGAGGCAGGAGGATCACTTGAGCCCAAGAGTTCAAGGTTGAAGTGAACCATGACTACGCCACTGCACTCTAGCCTGGGGACAAAGTGAGACCTTGTCTCAAAAATAAAAAAGCTGTCTTGTTTAAAATGTTAATCATTTTCACAAGCAGAGCTTCATTTTGGGTTTAAAAAAGAATTTCACCTGTTGTTTATGTATCAGATGGGTTGGGCAGTCCTACTACAATTGAATTAAAATTTACTTAAACGTTCTTGGATTTTCCTGAACAGAACAAAGCAGAAATTATTGCTAGTAGTATGATAATGAGTATGATATAATACCAAGGAATTTTCTCCAACATTTCAGTTTAAGAATAGTTAAATATAGATTTTAAAATCTGTGGCTGGGCGCAGTGGCTCATGCTTGTAATCCCAGCGGTTTAGGAGGCTGAGGCGGGTGGATCACTTGAGGTCAGGAGTTCAAAATCAGCCTGGCCAACATAGTGAAACCCCGTCTCCACTAAAAATACAAAAATTAGCCGGACATGGTGGTGCACGCCTGTAATCCCAGCTACTCAGGAGGCTGAGGCAGGAGAATTGCTTGAACCCAGGAGGTGGAGGGTGCAGTGAGCCGAGATCACACCAGTGCACTCCAGCCTGGGCAACAGAGAGAGACTCCATCTCAAAAAGGAATAAAATAAAAAATAAATAAAATTTGTACAACTGAATTAACGCCAATTACAAAAGAAAGAACTGCATTTTTACTTCACTTTAATAACTGAATTGGTCTTCTTTTATACTCAGATTCCAGAAGGATGACCTTCAGATTTCCGTAAGTTTCCTGTTATGCATATATAAAAGACTTTCAAATTTAAAACAACAGGCATGCTAAAACTCTTTGGGAAAACTCTGATATAATCTATAATTCCAAGTGGTAATGACTTAAATGTAACACCAGAATTCCTTTCTCACCACAACAGAAGAAAAAAATTCCATTAAAATGAACTCTAGGGGGGCATCCAAGTTCTGTGGGTTGGAGTGGAATTTTAAAAATATGTAGTTAGAAGTCACATTCCCAATATGCAGGTCCAGTAAATAAATCAGCAAATGAAAAGAAAGCTTGGCAGAGCGCGGTGGCTCACGCCTGTAATCCCAGCACTTTGGGAGGCCGAGGCGGGCAGATCATGAGGTCTGGAGTTCGAGACCACTCTGACCAACATAGTGAAACCCTGTCTCTACTAAAAATACAAAAATTAGCCGGGTGTGGTGGTGTGCACCAGCTACTCGGGAGGCTGAGGCAGGAGAATCTCATCAACCCGGGCGGTGGAGGTTGCAGTGAGCCGAGAATGTGCCATTGCATTCCAGCCCAGGCAACAGTGTGAGACTCTGTCTCGAGAAGAGAAGAAAAAAGAAGAGAAGAGCAGAGCAGAGCAGAGCTTAAAGGAAACCTCTTACACCACGAGACAAGTCACCACACCTCATCAGGAAACAGCAGGCCAATTAGATTGAGCAGCTATGGAGGAATAAGAAGGCTGAGACCCTGCTGGCCTGCCCACTTTTCACGTGACCTGGGGCTAGGCCACAAATGCTTAAGGGAATTTACATTTATTTCATGTGCCTCTCTGTTCACACAGGTCCTTTGTGGACTGTCCCCCTTCCACCTTTAGTATTCCTCTCATTGTATCTCACCGTTCCTTCTGAATGACTGTTTTCTCAGCATTTCTTATCGCTTTGCTTAGATTCTGTCATATGACTTAGTGCGTACTTCATCTTTCCACATTGTGCACTTCCGGTACTTCTCTAAGTCCTATTTATCCCATTTCCTTCTGCTATGTTCCCTTCTCAAATAAAACAGTTCTCGGCACATCTACTTATCTTCTCACACAAGATACCATATTCCCTTACTACTCAATTAGGTCCCACTTCTTCCAATAAGTTCTTCTTAATTGACTCAGCTACCAGTGACTCACATGGCACTCGCACCCATCATACCACACTGACTTAGTCATTGAGTCAACACTATTTATCTCCCAACCACTGGACACTTCTTACACAAAACTACTTATCTTTTTATGTGTATATCTTGTCTCTCTGACTCCTTAATGACAGAAAGACATTGTGTGTTCATCTATCTATAAGTTCTTTAATACTTTTTGAGCTTTGAACCAAGTGAATACATGAAGTATTCAAAAAAAACTCTAGCAATGTGTCCTGCACATAGAAAGGGCTTCTAGTATGAGAAAAGTTGCCAGAAAACGTGTAATTACGATTGAGTGTGCTAGATGCTATGATGAGGATAAGCAGAGAGATGAGGCCCCTAACCCAGCATTTAGGGGAGGGCAAGTCAGAAAAGCCTTCCTGGGAAGAGGTAAAGGGACAGAGTCCCAAAGACCCACAGGGAAACAGATAAAAAGTTAGTGGAAATAGTGAGAAATCGAGAATTAAGCTGGGCTTTACAGCACAGAGTCTCACCTGTGTTTGGCTGGAGGGTGGTTTAAGAACTTTAAGGCAAGAAAGGCAGGAGCATCTAAGGTGAGTTTTGAGGTCAAGTTCGGAGGGAACATTCTGTTTTTCTAATTTAGCCTTGACTGCTTAACCTATAGACCGGATCTAGTCATTTTCCTTCCTCAACAACCTTCCATCAAGCTTTTCCTGTACTGTGATGGAGCAATCTCGTAATAGGTATAAATAAACAAACAAAAAGAACTATCCGGTACATGGTCTGCTATCATTTATGTAAAAAAGGAACAAAATAAAAACATACACAGTCGTTTTACGTATATAAAACATCTCTGGAAAGATACCCAAAAAACTAATAATGTCTGTCACAAAGAGAACTAACTAGGGGACTGGAGGATGGGGTGGAAGTGAGACTTCTCACTACATGCTCTGCAATACTTTCGGGGCTTTGAACCAGAGGAATATATCAGGTATTCAAAAAACTTAAATACTTGCCTTCCCCAATAAAAGCCTTTCTAACTTCCCCACCACCATACTTTTTAGCATGGTGTTCAAGGCAAATCTTACCACTTTCATCTCATGTCTGATTATAACTTTTCTTTTTTCTTTTTTTTTTAGATGGAGTCTTGCTCTGTCGCCCAGATTGGGGTGCAATCTTGGCTCAGTGCAACCTCTGCCTCCAGGTTCCAGTGGTTCTCCTGTTTCAGCCTCTCAAGTAGCTGGGATTACAAGCATGCGCCGCCACACTCAGCTAGGTTTTTTTGCATTTTTAGTAGAGATGGGGTTTTACCATGTTGGCCAGGCTAGTCTCGAACTCCTGACTTCAAGTGAACTGTTCACCTCAGCCTCCCAAAGTGCTGGATTACATGCATGAGCCACCTTGGCCACCCGATTATAACCTTTCACACATCCTTTGATCCAAGTACTCTACTTTTCTCACCTTTAGGCAAGATTTGGAGTGGTGTCTGTAAAACAGTGGCTTCCAAAATGTTTTGACCCAAAGCCACAGTAGGAAATCTAATGTCACAATCCATCATACATAAATTTATGTAACTAAAATAAAATCTTCACGAACCTACACATCATTACTCTATGTGATGCATTCTGATATTTGCTATTTCATTTCTTTTTAAAAAATGCTGGTCACGAACTATTAATTTCATGAACCTATTAGAACATAAGTAACTTAGGGTAGGTACTTATGCTCTCTTACTAGTACTAAGTGCTTTCCATAACCCCAAGGTATCAGTCCAGTTTTGGACACAGTAAGCAGTCATGGATTGAACAAGGAATGACTGTTTACTAAGTACTCTTCATCCTATTACATGCTGGGATGGAAACAGGAATAAGAAGGTGTTTGAGATAAGCTCTATTTTACTCTAGATCTTTGAAAAGCACTTTTACAAATATATTCTTTTAAATATTATGTATTTATTATTTATGTATTTTTACATATTATGCATTGTTTTATTTAAATATTATGTATTATTTATGTATTTTTACATATTATGCATTACGTATTTATTATTTACACTAATAAAACACTTTGGGAATCTCTGGAAGTAACCTCTTGCCTCACAAACAACTATTTGTAATAAACAGATTCTAGATAACTGCAACCTCTGCCTCCTGGGTTCAACCGATTCTCATGCCTTAGCCTTCCCAGTAGCTCGGATTACAGACACGTGCCACCACACCTGGCTGAATTTTGTATTTTTGGTAGAGACTGGGTTTCACCATGTTGGCCAAGCTGGTCTTGAATGCCTGACCTCAGGTGATCCGCCCACCTTGGCCTCCCAAAGTGTTGGGATTTCAGGCGTCAGCCACCGCACCCAGCCTTACAAGTCTTTTTAATAAAACTATCTTTTTATTTAAGCTCCCACTAATTACCAGTAAATATGCTGCCTTAAATCCTTTGAAGGTACTTAGGTATAAAATACAGGCATTCTAGCAAGCTTCTAACCCTTATTCTTCCAAATCCCAGCCCTTCCCCTCCAAAATCCACAGGATACATAAAAAATGTGTCTTTCTTCACAAGGATGAGCTAAAAAAAAGTGTCTGAAAAAAAAACACAGTCAAAAAATATATATAAACGTGTAGCAAATGACATATGCAAATATTTACTGAACAACAGACAATAAAAAAGATACTGAATTTCCACCAGGGTGTTGAACTCTGGTCACTGGTCTAAGGAGTGGAGTCTTAGTTTTCGAGCTATGTTTACAGATAGTAAGTAAAGCACATAACAAAAAATTCAACAACTGATATAGCAATAAGATCTACATTATCTCTCTTTTTATGTCAAGTAAATATGGCTAAGATACTCTAAGTATTCAAAAACTAAGAATCTGTTTAAAGGAAACCAACTATACAATGAAACCTAAACTCCTTTTCTTTTTACTTCCAGTAAACAGGACTTAAATAAGACTGAAAATTATCAAGGACTAAGAATTTGTAAGTGCACATTTTAAAATTTTTTATTATTTAATAATCTATTGTATATTTCAAAATAACAAAGAGTAGAATTTTAGTTGTACATTTTAAAAAACAGCAACAATAGTACTGATTAACGATTCAGTAAAAAGAGAAATACATAATACATAATAGACTAAGCTTTAAGACATCAACAGGGTGACAAAAGTTACACAGACTCCAACAGCTAGTCATCAACAATGCTAAGAATCTAACTGCTTTCTTAATAATCACTGACTGCTTAAGCAACCAGATTTTACAATTGATAATAACCTATACTATTTGATTCTAGTCCTGTGGTCATCTACTCTATAAATGAATCGTTAATAGAAAGGTTCATCATTTAAGGTTTATTTCACAAAAAGGTAACTACAGTTCCCATTATTAATAATAAATAAAATTATTTTCATCAGAATTGAAGTATGGCCTAGGCTTGACTTTAAAAATAGCTAGAGATTTATAGGAAAGATAAATGTTACACGCTCCTGTACAAACTTCCAGCATCTCCAAAAAAGGTAGCTGATCTTAAACACTGTAGTAGGCCAGACATGGTGGTTCATGCCTGTAAGCCTGGCACTTTGGGAGGCCAAGGCGGGATGACTGCTTGAGGCCAGGAGTTCGAGAACAGCCTGGGCAACATAGCAAGACCCCCATATCTCTATTTAAACAAAACAAAACAAAACACTGCGGCTACTCATACAAAAGTTGAGAACATGAGCTCATAATAGGATTATGAAAATAATCCTATTTAAAATATTACTTATTAATAGTAAAAAAACTCACACCAAAACCAAAATTCCAACTGTATGATACCACATGTGAAAACAAGACACATTCTTTTTAAGCGTAGAGGGACACTGTTCCTAGAGAGTTCCTGTCTTTTTCTATTATTTTTTCAATTTCGCTAATGGTGTCTACTGAAGCACATTTGGAATGTAATCTATTTATCAGACAGCTGCTCTGGCCCAGTGTAGATTTAGAATTTAAAATCGTGTGGCTTCAGAGCTCTAAAATAAAATGTAATTTTAAAATAAAGATTTCTTTTCTAAAGACTCAAATATCTACTATCATTGATGACACATACCAATATATAGCAGGAACTGTGATAATTACTTTTTTGCAATATTTCATTTACGTCTAAAAAACCCTACCATATAGGTAGCCGTTAGTCTCACCATCTTGTAAATGAGGAAACCAAGACTTAGAGAAGTAACTCGCCCAAAGTTATATGATGAGTGACAGATTTGTAACCTAAGGCAGGCTGGACAGCTCAAAAGTCAGTGCATTTAATCAGTCTTATTTGCAGTCAATTAAAAACAAGCACGCAAACAAACAAAACAGTCAAATGAAAACATTAATCACTGCCTCACACCCACAGGATCTCAAGGTTGTCAAGGAAAGATAATTTTAAAACTCAGGTCCAATTCTAATTTAAAATTACTTTAAAAAGACAATGTTTGCTTACTGCAAGTGTACTTAGAACAGCATGTTCTTTTATAGAAATTAAAAACTTAGTAGGCAGTACATGCAACCCACACTAGGGACTTCCATACTTAAAGCTTTAAAGCAAAATGTTTTTTCATGCAGAAGTAAGTTCTAAGCAGATATATGCCAGTAAGTGTTTACCTCAGAGAAAGAGGGTGGGACAGGGGTTTGGAGAACTTTTGTATAACTACATATTTCCACATTATTTCAATTTTAGAAGAGTACTTTTTCTTATGTTTTTATTTCCCACTCAGGTAGATTGAGAGAGTACTTCTAATTACGTTTCAATGAGTCAAAATCAAACAAGCACCTGAAGTCCAGATTATATGAAATAGCTTTACCTCCTTTATCCTCCTGTTTGAACTTGAACATCTCAAAATAATCTTTCTGAGAACAATCCAAAGGAACATTTATAAAATTAAGGTCAAAAACAGTAAAAGAGCTAAAAACCAATGCTTTTGAATTCATTATAGCAAAAGCAGTAAGGTATTATGAAAAATGCAAACAGTGAAGTTATAAGACTTGTGACTAGGCTAAAGAAATGCAACTGAACAACAGCAGGTAAAACTTACGAAGTACAAGAAAACAAAAACAAGAGATGCAAGCTCTATGCTCTTGAAAGAAAAAGATTTAACAGAATCAATGTATCAGGAAAAGTATTTTCAAATCAAAAGCTCTGGAAAAATATTCAAGGTAAAGTAAATAGGGTTAATTAATAACCACAATAAACATTTGTTACAAATATGGAATATATAAAATATTATTGAAATTAAATATGCTGTATACCAGCATATCCAAATAAACACCATATACTATCCAAATAAACACCACTTATGCATGCACAGATAAAAATACTACTAAAATTATAAAGAGCTTTTTCCCTAAAGTAAAACAATTTAATTGTTTCAAACACTGCACTACAGTGGTATTCAAAGTACCAGGGTATATTAGTGAGGTGGTACAGGAGTAAAAGTGCAATGAACTAGAAATCCAGCATCTCAGTTTGAGTTGCCCCTGCTCTGCCAATATGTGACTCTGGGCAGGTTATTCAACTTCTCTGAGACTCAGTCTCCTCATCAATAAAGTGGGGATAGGCCAGGCGCGGTGGCTCACACCTGTAATCCCAGCACCTTGGGAGGTGGAGGCGGGTGGATCACTTGAGGTCAGGAGTTCGAGATCAGCCCGGCCAACATGGTGAAACCCTGTCTCTACTAAAAATACAAAAACTAGCAGGGCGTGGTGGCAGGCGCCTGTAATTCCACCTACTTGGGAAGCTGAGGCAAGAGGATCACTTGAGCCCGGGAGGTGGAGGTTGCAGTGAGCCGAGATCACGCCACTGCACTCCAGCCTGAGTGACATAGCAAGACTCCATCTCAAAAAAAAAAAAAAAAAAAAGTGGGGATAGTAACTACTACCCTACGTACCCCAGAAAGGGTTTCCATAATGCTTATATGAGATAATACGAGATGAATCCCCTTTGCAGGCTGTCATGGACACCACAAAGAAAAAATATTGGACCACATGCTCTCTTAAGGCCTTTCCAAGTCAGTTTCATATTTTGGCTTTTATTGTTGTACATTTTAAGAGACGCATATATAATACGCCAAAAGAGCCATATGAAATGGGCTTATTCTTAAGTAATAGCTTAGTACTACAACTACTAGCCGACATTTGCATAGCATTATAATGCTTATAATGTTACACGGCATTATTACTATGTGTTGTGCACTGATTTGAGTATTTTGCGTGTACTAATTTTCACAGCAACAGAAACTGGTGATCTCAATTGTCATACTACAAGTGAAGAAGCTATAATGTGGCTTGTAAAAAAGTTTGACTCGTGATACCATCTTATATTTGTAAGATTATAGTGCCTGGAGGCGTTTTCCACAAATATCTTATTTGATTCTTATCAGCAACCTTGTGAGACAGGTAGGGCAAACTATTATTTCCTCTACTTTAGAGAGGAGGAAATTTAAATTGAGAGTGACGGCTGGGTTTGGTAGCTCATGCCTGTAATCTCAGCACCTTGGGAGGTTGAGGTGACAAGACTGCTGTAGCCCTGGAGTTCAAGACCAGCCTGGGCAACATAGCAAGACCCCTATCTCTTAAAAAAACAGGAAAAAAAACTGAGAGGGCTTTAGTACCTGGCCCAAGATTATGAGGGTAACAGCAGTCAAAACTAGATCCCAAACCCATCTTCTGACTCCTAATCCAGGTTTACCCATCACCATACTAGCTCTGCAACTAAAATATACAAATACTGATAAATAAAACCAACATAATTTCTTACAAGGTACTCATCAATACAAAAATTCAAGCTATTGTACTCTGAAGTATATATATATTTTTTTTTTTTTTTGAGATGGAGTTTCACTCTTGTTGCCCAGGCTGGAGTGCAATGGTGCAATCTCGGCTCACCGCAACCTCTACCTCCTGGGTTCAAGCGATTCTCCTGCCTCAGCCTCCTGAGTAGCTGGGATTACAGGCATGCACCACATTGCCTGGCTAATTTTGTATTTTTAGTAGAGACGGGGTTTCTCCATGTTGGTCAGGCTGGTCTCGAACTCCTGACCTCAGGTGATCTGCCAGCCTTGGCCTCCCAAAGTGCTGGGATTACAGGTGTGAGCCACCGTGCCCGGCCTGAAGTATCTTTTAACACCAAATCCCTGACACTCTAATGAAAGTAACTTCTTGAATTGGTTGTGTGTCAAATACACAGTAGGGAAAAATTTCTTGGTAGCAAGGGATTGCCCTTAGGAACTGCCCTTAAAATTATATTTAAGTGTAAGGACCCATTTGCTAAGTAAAGAATCTGAACCTCAGACTAAGCTGCTGGACTACAAACTGCTACTCATTTCTGGGCTAAGGTGCGTCTTGTAGCCCAGGTATTAGAAAAATGTAAAGAGCAAGAAAAAGAAATGGCAAAGTCTACTATTAAGAAGGAGGTAGAATAAAGGATATGAATAATATCTGCATGTCTTGAGGCCTTTCCTATGGGTAGGTAACACAACTAAGAAACAATTATCACAATAGAATGACATGTCACCAGAAATCATCTTTGGGATTCATGCTATAGGATTACATTATAGGTAGAACTTCTATTACACCAAGGTACACGTAACTGTAATTTCTTATCAGGAGGGTCAAATATAAGCACAACTTATACTGGTATGACTGTACCCATGGTTTATGTGAGAATACGTGGTCTAATTATAGAGTTCATCAATTAATGGAGAAACTAAAATTAGAAGGGAACCAAAAGTCTACTTAAGAACCTATTTCAGAAAGCAAAATCCATATACATCCCACCTCAATTTATGTTAATCAAATCTGGTTATGCATATTAATACATACCTGGTAGAGTTCTTCTAAATTGTACTTAATTGAAGTACTATTCTGAATAGCTTCCACTGCTTCTTTCAGTTTTTGCCAGGTTTCATCTGTGTAGTTTTCTGGTAATTTAGGCTTATCTAGATGATATGTAAAAGGTTGGCATCAGAATACCATGTCAGATACAGTAACCAAAGATTCATAAAATATAATAGCATTACTAATTTTAGGGTAAATTGTGATCTTTATAACTATTACACCTAATCATTAAAGTAACCACTGTATTTAAGCTTAATATAAAGAATAAAATTTGAAATGCCATAATACTGTTTAAGTCATTTTGACTCACCTATTAAAATTGAAGGTGAGGTTTTTCTCCTATTGATTGTATTGCTTCAAAAAAATAAAAATTCAAGAATGACCATAAAAAATAACAATCCTGATCTTATTTCATCATGTGTAAAACCTAAGTCGACATGAATTTTTAACCTGAGATTTAAAGTACTGTCTATGTGCAAGGTACTTTATAAGCCTCTTAATCTTCCCAACAATACCCTGAGGAATCTATTTTACAACCGAGGAAACTGAGGCTGGAACTCATTTAGTAAGCTTGCCCAAGGTCATCATAGCTAGTCAATGGCAAAGCTGGGATTCTAATTCAGGTCTGTTTGACCCCCACATTTATGCAGCATCTATAGAAATGGAAACATCTTAACTCAGGTTTTAAACTACATTTACGAGCAGAGTGAAATTTTTAAAGACTGAAAGAAATGACTCCAGAAACCATGTTGCATTTTCAGAATAGAAAGAAACATCTTACTCTAGGCTTTAAACTTCACTGACTAGCAATGAGTGTGGGGAAAAAAGTTTTAATTAGAATATCCAAATGCCTTAATAATATGCTTTTATTTTAGGAGGGAGAGAAAAAAATCTCTGAAACCAATTTGAAAATGCAACCAGGATCATAACTCATTTAAAAATCTTTAGCTACAAAATCCATATATTTTTAAGTGAAATAATGAAAACGTTACTCAATTACAATTCATATTGACTTCAGAAAGCTCTACTATTAAATCAGAAACTGAGAGCCTGGGTATGGGAAGGTAGTGATATAAAAAAGAAAGGGTTAAAAATAGACAACACCATAGCCCTCTGCTTGAGACAAAATAGAGCATACTCCTGATTTCCACACAATGTTAAAAACACAAGCATAGAGAACCTAATCTTCTCAATACTAATATTCAGCCACAAAGCACTTATCTCATAAATATTACTTAAGTTCATTCATTTACTTCTCTATTTAATAAACACTGTAGCACTGATTACCTGGCAGTTACGGGTGTTGAAAAAGTAAGTCAGAAAAACAGAAACACATTCAACAAATAAAAATTAATTCAGCTCAAATACATTTTTAAAAATTGCTGATTTTATATTTGCCTCAATGTATTCATAATACTCTCCTCACATATCTCAAACACGGTCTGAACAAATTTTCCTAAAAGCTGCAGGTCGATACTTTAAAATCCATTTTAGTGATGGAAAAAATAGATGTAGTAATTGTTCCTATCTTTAGACTAGTGGTACACAGAGTTACTACTTCTGTGTATACACAATGTTTTTCACTTTCAAACCCTACCTTTGGAAAGAAATGCAGAGAACATAAATTTTTCTTCAAATATTCCTTCCAAATGAGTTTCATGAATACAGTATAAATCTAATTATAAATCTTATTTGAGCATAAAAAGATCACTATTGCTACCTGCATTTCTAGGCATTGGATAATGTGGCCTACTGAAGCATAAAAATAAAAATCCCAGCAATGCCAAGGCTCGCTATGCACCTGAAATAAATAAACCTCTTTAGAATACAAATTTCTCACCTGCAAAATCCGGATCAATCATACCGATTGTCAGTGTTATAAGGAATAACAGATTAAATACAATAGGTTGAAAAAGACCTCAAAATACTGCACAGAAACACCCGGTGTATGCTTCAGCACAAGGATCCTAACCACCCCCGGAAAATGAACCCTCCACCAAAAAAGGACCTCCCCTCCACCTCATTGATTATGCATAAAACATTAGGCCACCTCCAAACTGTTTAATATATTAACATAAATAGAGCACGTGACCCCTCGAGTGTCAAATCCTTATTAGGTGATTATGGATTTTGGCCTTGGTTACCTTTAAAGTTCTTGATCACTAACTTCTTAGCAGAGCCAGGTTTGCTGTTAGCAAAGCTAGAGACGGTGGTAGAAGATTTGGCTAGGCCGTTTGCATGATGCACCGAAGCCACAGAAGAGATTAATATACTCTTATTTTTAAGTTGCTGCTGCTGAGATGTTGCAGCAGTTGGTGAAGATGAGGAGGAGGAGGAGGAGGATTCCTCAGCCATCTTCGCATCAAACCCTACAAACTCCAGGGTGTCTTCAAAACGCAGCTTCTTCTGTATCGGTACGTGGCTGGAAGCAGCCACTGAAACCCCCAGGCAGAAGGACGAGGTTGAAGGGGATGCCGAATCCCTGGGTTGTAAAGGAGGAGTGGAAGAGGAGGAAGAGGTGGAATCAAAGTCTTCTCTCTCGTTACTACTGTTACTGCTGCTACTGCTGCTGCTGTTTAACTTTCTCTTCTTGGCAGAGGTGGGCGGAGTGGTGCTGGTATTACCATCAGTGGCAGATCTGACCTCCTGAGCAGCAGCAGCAGCTGAGGGACTGGGGGAAGAAAAACCTGTTGGAAACATGAAAATAGCGGGGTCAACAGGCAGAGGAGCATCAAAAACCTACGTTTATATGCCTGCGTGCGTGTAGGAGAGAAGGTAGCAATGCTAGAGGGGGAAGGGAAGAAAGAAGAGAGGAGAAACACAGAGGACGAGAAGGAAAGTGAAGGGGGGGGCTACACCGGGGGAATGGGAGGGTTTGGGAAGGCGGATAGGCTGACACCAGGAGTGAGCAGAACGAGGGGGGAGAGCGAATGAGGAGGCAGACAGGTAAACGGCCGTGCCGTCCCCCTCCCCTGCTTTTCGATCTCTCTCCCCCCCTTTCTGCAGGAGCGACTCAGCGAGTCTGTGAGGCTGCAGCTCCTCCTCCTTTTCTCCCTCTCCCTGGGAGGGGAGAGGCTGTGGTTGGGGGAAAGGGGGAGGGGGAAAGAACCAGGGCTTGTTATTGTCAATAGCACAAGAGGCTAAAGATGGCGCCATTTCCGGTCACGCGGCGCCGAGGGAGGGGCGGTGTCAACCTCAGGGAGTGGGGGTGAGGGAAGCGCTGCAGCCGCCCGGGGGGCGGGGGAGCTCGCGCGTGAGGGGGCGGCTGGAAAGGGGCGGCTAAAGTGCCCCAGACGCTCGCGCTAGTTCGCTCCTGCTCCCGCTCCCCTTCGCGATCCCCTTTCCTGGCAGCGCCTTCCTTCCCTGGCCCACCGGGAACTCCCACTCCCTCCTTAACGGTCCCGCGGGAAGCTTCGCGCCGCAGCGCCCTTACCGGAAGTGACTGGGCAGACACTTTTCATAGCGCCCAGATCCCGAAGCCCCCAGGTCCGCAGGACTTGAGTGGGGGGGGGAAGGGGGGAGGGAGAAATTGGGGGGAAGAAAAGTGGATAGGAGGAGGGGGCGGGCCTTCGAGACACCTTCGGAGCTCCTGATTGGAGCTTTCTGAAGGCGAGGGGGTGGGGGGGGTGGCGGGAGGAGCGGGAAGGAGCCTCGGGGGAGGGAAGGTAGTGACGGCGAGGGGCGGAGTGAGCTAGCTGGGAAAACGGAGGAGGAGGAAGAGGAGGAGAGAGGGAGGGACGGAATAAAACGTAAGGGTCCGGGAGAATAGAAACTTTGAAAGAGATGAAAGAATAAGGAGTGGTTGCAAGGCTAGGGGAGTAACCCTAAATAGAGGAAAACATAATCATGCCATTATGCCCGCTGCTGGAGAGGAATGTCCCTATGTTAAGATAGGAAAGGAGAAGAAAACGAGCTAAGATAGGAAGAAAAGGACTTTTTAATTCGGTGCCGGTATAAATTGTTTCTCTTTTATCTCAAGGCACCACAGACCCAAGGCTGAATAAGGCCTGAATTTTGATGCCTTTCTCTTTCATGTAGCTGTAAATCCTTTTATCTTACTACCAGGAGCATTTTCTAAGCTGGCTGGCCAAATTAAGTGTGTATTCTAAGGCGAAGAAATGGAAAGGTAACTAACCCCTCACCCACCCAGCACTATGCCCAGGATCGTCCTAACCCCCACTCTATCAGTCCTTAACTCAGTAATTTATAGACCCAACAAAGCTAAGACCCACTTCCTTCTTTTGCCAAATCTCAGTTTACACGCTGTCCCAAAGGAGACATTTTAGAACCATATCGGCAAAAGTCAGTGTTTTCTACTAATGTGTTTCATGACCCCATGCTTTACAATTGATTATTGATTTAAAAAATCTTTAAGTTTGGTTAAATTAGCAACAATAAACCTTGTAAATTCCCTGTTGGGAGTTTTTACTTAACCTTGGGGCATTCTCAGAGGGAGGTAACACAATATCAAAAACTAAATTTGCCAACCTGTTGATCATTCTAACTGCAAAAGCATTCAGTTAGCATGTATGGTAAGACTATGCAAGGTCTCTGCCCTTGAGAAGCCAGTAGGGGAAGATAGTTTCAAAACTAATTTCCATAACAATAATATGACATATATACAAAGTGCTGTCAGAAGAGGCAAAACAAGAAATTTGGGAGAAATCTGGAATAGGAAGAGTTCTACAGAGATTATGTTTATGCTGTGTCTCAAAGTGGGAGTTGCCAAAAAGAGAAGAGGGAACAGGATGAAAGGCATTCTGGGGAACGGAAACAAGGGCAAAGCAAGGAGTGAAAGGGCCAGGCCTGTTTATGGAAACATGGAAAGTGCAGTGAGGCTGGGAAGTAGGATGTCTGGCTGGGAGTAAGGAAGATGAGGCTCAAAAGTGCCTGGCACACCAAGCCAAGAATTTGGAGTCTACTCTGTAGGCGATCATAGATAGCAGGGAGACAATCCAGCAAGCAGAGCTTTTACAAACCAGGGGTGACAGGATTGTGAGTGGAGTAAAAGCAGCTTGTATGGTATACCTTGTGATAGGTGAATCAGAACCCTGCAAATAAATCAACTTTCTAACTTTGTTTAAACAGGCCCACTTGTTTTTGTGTCTTGAAAAGTCCCTGATTAAAATGCAAATCAACCTTTGGCATTATTAGACAATATCATTGCTATTTGATGACAGCCTGCTGAAAGCAAGGCTCTAATGGAACTTAGAACCGCTGAGAAGGGAGATGGGGGCCTGAAAGGAGACAGATGGAAGCACTCCTATCTGTTTTGAATATACCACATAGTTTTTTTCATTTTGTTTTGTTTTGAAGACAGAATCTTGCTGTGTCGCCCAGGCTGGACTGCAGTGGTGTAATCTTGGCTCACTGCAACCTCTGCCTCCCGGGTTCAAGCGATTCTTGTGCGTCAGCCTTCTTGAGTACCTGGGACTACAGGCATGTATCACTACGCCTGCTAATTTTTTTTGTATTTTTAGTAGAGTCAGGGTTTTGCTATGTTGGCCAGGCTGGTCTCGAACTCCTGGCCTCAAGTGATCCGCCTGCCTCAGCCTCCCAAAGTGCTGGGCCTACCATATAGTTCTTGCTGCCCAAATAGAAACAGTAAACTCTTAAGGCCAGGAAAGACACCTTAATACATTGAACTTTCCTTTATCGTGTCTCACAGTTCACAAAATGCTGAACCACTGTAAATGCAGGGTAAATGCTTATTGAATTGAGTATTTCATTGCATGTGAATAAAATAATGCTGTGTCTTTATAAGGGAGGATTAACTGACTCATTTTCAGGATTTAATGAACAAGGTTGTTCTAATTCATGTAGTTAAAATCTTTAGGAGGGTATATGAAGTGCTAGCCATTTTAAAAAATTACAAATATTAGTGCAACTGAAAGGGAATGGACATAAAGATAAGAGAAAGCTGCTTTTGCCATACAAAGATAAACTTTTCTACTAACCTAAATGATAGCTGAGTCCTGTTAATATTTAACTACATTCTAGTAATAATAGTTCCCTATCTCACATGGTTATCTAAGCCCTTCAGTCTTCTGAGTTACATGTTGGTTTTAAAAAGCACAGATCTGGCCACGCGTGGTGGCTCATGCCTGTAATCCCAGCACTTTGGGAGGCCAACATGGGTGGATCACATGAGACCAGGAGTTCCAGACCAGCCTGGCCAATATAGTGAAACCCCGTTTCCACTAAAAATACAAAAATGAGCCGGACATGGTGGTGTTCACCTGTAATCCCAGCTACTCAAATGGCTGAGGCAAAAGAATCCCTTGAACCTGAGGCAGAGGTTGCAGTGAGCCAAGCTCACACTGCTGCACTCCAGCCTGGGTGACAGAGTGAGACCTTGTTACAAAAAACAAACAAACAAACAAAAAACAAGGCTAGGTGGCTCAGGCTTGTAATCCCAAAACTTTGGGAGGCTGAGGCGGGCCGATCACCTGAGGTCAGGGGTTCAAGACCAGCCTGGCCAACATGGTGAAACCCTATCTCTACTAAAAACACAAAAATTATCTGGGCACGTTGGCAGGTGCCTGTAATCCCAACTACTCGGGAGGATAAGGCAGAAGAATCGCTTGAACTCAGGAGGTGGAGGTTGCAGTGAGCCGAGATTGTGCCACTACACTCCTGCCTGGGCAACAGAGAAAGAGTCTGTCTCAAAAAAAAACAAAAACCTTCCAAGTTGGTTTGTAAAATATCTTTTACATCAAGAACCAACTAATTGAGGCTAGTTGAAGAACATAAGCGTATATTCTGTACACCCAAATGTTTGCCAATCAACGTTAAACACATTCTCAACATTAAAATACATTTTCAAGGTTGAACTCACGGGAGCCACACTAATCAAGATGTGTAATGTAGGACACCATACAATTATAGCCATTATCAGACTAAACCAGACTGGGCACTTAACACATATTCCATATTTAGGATCTTTCATCTTGTGAGTTCAACTCATACCTTAGAAACATTAATTAAACTTTACAATGTTGCCACATGAAGTGTAGTTATTATTGGCCACCTTTAACCAAGCTGTTTATAAAGGTAAGTATATGTGTAAAGGAAGAAATACAAACAAAGACAGGGAGCTAGCTTTTACAATGTCAATTCCTTTATTTCTGTGGACATCTCCCTAAAAAGGCAGAGTGTAACCCATTTCCCCTTTTTGATCACAGGGATTCCCCAGGGTGCTTGGGGAATCAAGATGTGTAATGTAGGACGCCATACAGTTATAGCCATCTGGGGTGCTTTAGGTCCTCTCCAGATATCTCATACCAGTGGCTTGCCACTAGACAGACACTCCTGGAAGCCTTCCTATCCAATGGGTGGGATTTTCCTTAGGAATGGGAGAGACTGCTTGCCCAGGAGAATCTGAAGATGTTTCTGAGAATGCATTAAAAAAACACAAACAACAACAAAAAGCAAAAACCAAAACAAAACAAAACAGAAAAAACGGCTGGGCACAGTGGTTCACACCTGTAATCCCAGCACTTTGGGAGGCCAGAGTGGGTGGATCACTTGGCCAGGAGTTTGAGACCAGCCTGGGCAACATGGCGATACCCTGTCTCTACTAAAAATACAAAAATTAGCCAGGCCTGGTGGTGCACATCTGTGGTCCCAGCTACTTGGGAGGCTGAAGTAGGAGAATTGTTTGAACCCGGGAGGCAGAGGTTGCAGTGAGCCGAGATTGCACCACTGCACTCCAGCCTAGGTGACAGAGTGCAAAAAAAAAAAAAAAAAAAAAAAAACTGCTAGGTAAAGGGCAGTCCATTTACTTTTTTTTTTTTTTTTTGTCTGAGACAGTGTCTCGCTCTGTCACCCAGGCTGGAGTGCAGCGGCGCCATCTCAGCTCACTGCAAGCTCCGCCTCCCGGGTTCATGCCATTCTCCTGCCTCAGCCTCCCAAGTAGCTGGGACTACAGGCGCCTACCACCACGCCCAGCTAATTTTTTTTTGTATTTTTAGTAGAGATGAGGTTTCACTATGTTAGCCAGGATGGTCTTGATCTCCTGACCTCATGATCCGCCCGCCTCGGCCTCCCAAAGTGCTGGAATTATAGGCGTGAGCCACCGCGCCCGGCCCAGGCAGTCCATTTTCTTCATCCACTTTTCTGAAGGATCATCTTTGAAGCAGGAAAGTACAGAGAAGGCAAACTAAGCAATGCTGAGATAGTAAAGATTGTATCATAATAAGGGCTTTGTTATGCTATCAACACCAATGGGCTGCTGAGGAGGCCAAAGCTCAAGCAAAAATAATCCAACTACACAATGTGAATTCATCAGTTTCCCATCCTGAGATTGCTATATAAAAGCAAGGAAAGTAATAACATGTGCTGAACCTATGTGCTAAGTAAAATGTAAATAGATAACAGATTTCATATGTATGTGTGTGTGTATAGGTATATATATATATATATATATATATATATATATATATATATATATGTATATATATTTGGGTTTTTTTTTGAGATGGAGTTTCGCTCTTGTTGCCCAGGCTAGAGTGCAATGGCACTACCTTGGCTCACCACAACGTCCACCTCCCGGGTTCAAGCGATTCTCCTGCCTCAGCCTCCCAAGTAGCTGGGATTACAGGCATGCAGCACCACGCCTGGCTAATTTTGTGTTTTTAGTAGAGACGGGGTTTCTCCATGTTGGCCAGGCTGGTCTCGAACTCCCAACCTCAGGTGATCTGCCTGCCTCAGCTTCCCAAAGTGCTGGGATTACAGGTGTGAGCCACCGCACCCAGCCAAATTTCATATTTTTAGCAAAATTGTTTATCTTACATCGCCTGAAGTTACTGACTTGGTACATCAACCATTCAAGCACTTCGTTCCTTAGCTCAGAGATTTTATCTGTCATACCTGTGAACCATCTGGAAAGCAGATTTAAGGACTAAAAGTTAGAGATAGGCTGTTTTCCCTGAGGGTTTGGGAGTGGGGAGCCAGAGCAGCCACAGATGACTTCTCCCTTGGGTGCTGCCAAGGACTTGCTTATGGAGTTGCTGGGCCTATATATATATTTGGCGAGCTGATGTGCCATGGCATGGGCCTATTTTTAACATTCTGTTTACTTTATCGATGTCTCTCAAAGTCCCTCCAACCCCACCCTGCTCAATGTTTGATCTAATGGCATTCAGCTTTTCTTTTTCTCACAGACAAGGCCAATTTAGATTTTTTTTTTTTTTTTTTTTTTTGAGACAGAGTTTGGCTCTGTCGCCCAGGCTGGAGTGCAGTGGTGCAATGTTGGCTCACTGCAATCTCCATCTCCCAGGTTCAAGTGATTCTCCTGCCTTGGCCTCCCAAGTAGCTGGGATTACAGGTGTGCACCACCATGCCCAGCTAAATTTTTTGGTATTTTTAGTAGAAATGGGGTTTTGCCATGTTGGCCAGGCTGGTCTTGAACTCCTGACCTCAGGTGATCCGCCCACCTCGGCCTCCCAAAGTGGTAGGATTACAGGCATGAGCCACTGCACCCAGTGCCAATTTAGATTTAAATCCAGGGTTCCCAACTCACTGTACAATAGAATGACCTAGGAGTTTTTTTTGTTTTTTAATCTTTACCCAGGTCCAAACCTAGTCAGTCCAATTCAATCAGAATCTCTGTGAGGAGGACCTCAATTATCAGTATTTTTAAGAAGCTCTTGGCCAGGTGCGGTGGCTCATGCCTGTGCCTGTAATCCCAGCACTTTGGGAGGCCGAGGCAGGAGTATTGCTTGAAGCCAGGAGTTCAAGACCAGCCTGGTCAACAAAGCGAGACCCTGTCTCTATCGAAAAAAAAAAAAAAAAATTAGCTGTATGTGCTGGCATATCCCAGCACTTTGGGATGCTGAGGTGGGAGGATTGCTTGAGCCCAGGAGTTCCAGCTGCAGTGAGCTATGATGGTGCCAATGCACTCCAGCCTGGGTGACAAAGTAAGACTCTGAAGAAAAAAAAAAAAAACAGCTCTCCAGGAAATTCTACATACCTCCAAGTTTGAGAAACCATAGTTGTAGATGAAGTAAGTATGTCTTGTGATTTGAATGGGGCTGATAAGCACTTGTATTCCGTTTAATGCCTGAAATTTCATGATTATTTATTCACTCATTTGGATAACACATTGCCTCCTTCTCTAGGAATCCTTTTTTAAAGTGCAAATTAGCCAAGGAGTCTTAGTTCCTAACCCTTTAAGGTGAATGCCTCTTGGAGGAAAAAAGCTAATAGGAAAGTCCTAGGAGACTGGAGGTAAACAGAACTAGAAGAAGCCACTGCAATAGGGAGTGGTGAGAGGTGAGGTTACCAACCAGGAAGGAAAGATTTCTGAGAGTACATTTTGCTGACCTCACAGTATTGCCTAGGGCCAATCCTGCTTTTTGATGACTGCATATTTAAAACCTAATCAAGTTTGACAGCTTATCTAAGCTGCCAAAATCATACTAAAAGAAAATTTAAATATTTTTTATAAGCAAAGCAGAGAGCAGACATTGGGTATGTAGGTTTAGAGCTATCCCTAAATGCCCAACTTTTAAATTATCACTCACCTCAGGGAAGTTTCTATTACCAAGTCATGTATTTTTCCTGCTTCTATTACTAAATGTCCTTTATTCCCACCAACAGCATTATTTCTCTCTCCAATTCCTTTGGTCATTCAACAAAAATATATTGAGCAAATACTCTCAGCAACGCATGGTGCTAGATGCCGTGAGGGAATACAGAATAACACAAAATTCAATTTGTAGTTGATTTCACAGTTTTTCAAAGCACTTTCACATACAATCTTATTTTATCCTGATAAACACACTGTGAGATAGATCAAGTACCATCCCCACTGTACAGATAAGAAGTAGGCTCAGCAAAGGAAGTTAAAATTATTTGCTAAAGTCACAAAGCACACAGACCTAAGTCCAGTTCTTCACAGACTCCAAATACAGCACTTCCCATAGTTTACAATTTCGTAAGGAGACTTGCCATAAAATAGTCTCAAGTAGTAGACATGTTAGAAAAAGACGTTCAGAGCCCCACTCACCAAGAGAAAAAAATGAAGAATAAGAAAATAACTCTTTTATTGAGATAAGCTAAATCAAAATGCCCAAAAGGAGACCAAGCTTGCATGCAGTTCAGGCCACCATCAAGCAGGTAGGACAAAACAGCCGGCAATGCACATTTAAGGATATGGTGGCAATCTTGTTCTAGAGAATCAGTCTATTCTCTGGCTGGACCCTCAGCCAGTGGCTGATCTTCACAAGAGGTAGAAACTGGCTGCTTCTCCTGGCCAAATCCAGGAAAACAGTGAAGGAACCCTGCCGGCAGACCCATCATGTTCTACTCCCTTAGTATACAAAGACAACCCTTGCCCTCCATTCTCAATTGGCAATGTAGGTTTAGAGCTATCCCTAAATGCCCAACTTTTAAATTATCACTCACCTTAGGGAAGTTTCTTTTTTTTTTTTTTTTTGAGACGGAGTCTCGCTCTGTCTTCCAGGGTGGAGTGCAGTGGTGCCATCTTGGCTCACTGCAAGCTCCGACTCCCTGGTTCACGCCATTCTCCTGCCTCAGCCTCCGGAGTAGCTGGGACTACAGGCGCCCGCCACCACGCCCGGCTAACTTTTTATATTTTTAGTAGAGACGGGGTTTCACCGTGTTAGCCAGGATGGTCTCGATCTCCTGACCTTGTGATCCAACCGCCTCGGCCTCCCAAAGTGCTGGGATTACAGGCGTGAGCCACCGCGCCCGGCTGGGAAGTTTCTATTACCAAGTAATATATTTGGTGGGTAAGGCAGACAATTACAAGACAGAGTGACAAAGGCCACTATGAGAACGCAGAGGTGGGACACCTGGCCCAGCCTAGGAGGGTGAGGTGGGGTGCAGTGGAGGAAGGGAATTAAGAATAGCTTCCAGAGAAAGAAATCCAATTTAAATCCCCGAGAGTGAGTGGGAATTAGCCAGGCAAAGGGAGTGAAAGGGAGCAGGGGGCATAAAGAAGGAAGATAGGAAGCACATTTAAATCCTAAAGGAAGAGAGAGTAAGGCACATTCAGGACATTGCAAGGAGACTAGTTATTAGAGTGTAACTTCAGTCCTAACCAGAAACTCTGAAGAGCTAATGAAGGAAATGAAGGCAGCATCCCAATCTCAAGTCTGGTACAGCAATCTTAGGCCTCTTAGCACCAAATCTTACTCAAATACCCTACTTGCTGTTGGAGCTGTGGCTACAGATAACACTTCTTGCCTTGAGCCACACTGGTTCAGGAATTGGATTTACAAGTCAGGCTCACTCTTAGATATAGGAGGTGAGAATCACAAAGCGGGAGAATAGGGTTTGACACGTGCAAAGTAAGACAAGGGCAGACTTGATAATAAGAACCACAATACTGGGCAACACTACAAAAATTCAGATAAACTACAGCAGGGTTTGGAAACCACAGCCCATGGACCAAACCCTGTCCTTTACCTGTTTTTGTAAATAAAGTTTTATTGGAACATTGCAATATTTATTTGCCTATGTATTTTCTGTGGCTGCTTTTATGCTAAAACAGCAGAGTTTAGAGTTTTGACAGAGACCGTATGGCCCACAGAGTCTAAAATAGTTCCTACTAGTTCCTTAACAGAAAAAAAAATTGCCAGTCCTTGCATTTGAATATACTAATTGTTAAAAACAGAGACATGGCACAAAGGAGAAAGTGATTTAGAACATGCTAAGGATTTTCTATTCCTATTCTGCATGCAGACTTCAAAGGATGGCAAGAGAATATTCTTTGATAAGAAAATGGCTAAATAAATTGTGGTATAGTCACATAATGAAATACTATACAGCATTGAACAATGAATAAATTACAGCCATGTGCATAAGTCTCAAACAATGTTATGTGAAAAACACAAATCACCAAATAATACCTACAATTTGATAACTTTTTAAATAAAGCTCAAAAATAAGAAAAACTTGCAGATATATAATATGATAAAAGTATTAAAGTATAGAAGGAAAATAGCTGGGTGATATGGTATGCACCTGTAGTCCCAGCTACTTGGGAGGCTGAGGCAGGAGGATCGCTTGAGCCCAGGAGTTCGAGACTAGCCTGAGCAACACAGGGAGATAACAAAAAAAAGGGGGTGGGGTGGGGTGGGGGGAATAATTAATGTAAGATCTGGGATAGGAGATTGCTCTAGGGGAAGTATGGGAGGAAAATTTAGGGAAGGGGAATTTAGGTAAATTCAAAAGCATCAGTAATGTTCTAGTTCTTACACACAGATGATAGATTCCTGGATGTTTATTTAATAATTATGCTCCATAAATTACACATCATACATCTTTTGTATGTATTAAAATTACACAAGTCGCCATAGTGTTTGCAGAAATTTTTAAAATTAAAAAAACTAAAAGGTTTTTTTAAAAAAAGTTTCAAGACAGGAAGTGGTGACTTATTGAAGGCAGACCATGACAGTATGCAGAAAGAATAGCTGGCAGAGATAACAAATGACAACTAGGATTGATTTTTGTAACATTTAAGCATACCTTGTGGATTTCTGGAAATTACTCAAGGGCGGGGGATGCACCCTCCAACCTGGTGGAAGAATGGACTCTCTATGGTCCACAATATGGGGGCTTAACGTTGTAACCTGTATATTAATCATACAAATCCAAACTTAATTTGTAGTATCAGGACAGTGAGATCTAGAGATCTATGGATTACTTGAAAAGGGGAACAGTGTGTGCAAAGACATGGAGGCATGAGAAAGATCATGGCCCATTTAGGCAACTGTTTACAGGTGACCCTTGAACAATTGGGGTTTAAACTGTGATGGTCCATTTATACACATATTTTTTCAATAAATACAGTCGGCCCTCTGCATGGGCGGGTTCCACATCAGCAATCAAGCAGGAATGGAAAATACAGGATTTGCAGGATTGGAAACCTGTAAAGGGAAGGCCAACTTTTTGTATCTGTGGGTTCCGCAGAGCTGACTGTGGGAGTTGAATATGCACCGATTTTGGTATCTGCAGGGTTCCTGGAGCCAGTTCCCTGCAGATACGTTGGAACAACCATATTACCATGCTGTGTGACTGATGTTCAGTAGGCCTGTGGAGGAATGATGAGAGATGAAGACAGAGAGGTGGGGTGGGTTCAGATCATGGCGAATATTGTATGTCATCCTCCAGAGTTTAGATTCTATCTAGTAGGTCATGGGTAACCACTGAAGGGCATCAAATATGGAAGGGAGTAATATAACCAGAGGTACAGTTAGAAATGTCCAGGTCTTGGCTAGGCGTGGTAGCTCATGCCTGTAATCCCAGCACTTTAGGAGGCCAAGGCAGGTGGGTCACTTGAAGTCAGGAGTTCAAGACCAGCCTGACCAACATGGTGAAACCCTGTCTTTACTTAAAAAATATAAAATTAGCCGGGTGTGGTGGCGCATGCCTATAATCCCAGCTACTTGGGAGGCTGAGGCAGGAGTATTGCTTGAACCCAGGAGACGGAGGTTGCAGTGAGCCGAAATCATGCCATATAGCACTCCAGCCTGAGCAACAAGAGCAAAACTCCTCAAAAAAAAAAAAAAAAAAAGAAAAAGAAAAGAAATGTCCAGGTCTCAACAACCTTTGACTACAAAATAAGGTGAAATCTCCACTCAGTCCCTGTTCCCCAACTAAAACCAGCCCCCAAAGGTAACCTCAGTTAAGTTTACTGATTAAAGATCTTTTTCTATACACTTAACCAACGTGCAGTTTTTGCTTTTTTTAAAAAAAGGATCACACAGTATAAATTTTTCTGTGACTTTATTTTTTGCTTAATATTATATCATGAACATCTTTCCTTGTCACTACACACAGATCTACCTCACTATTTTTAAGGGCAACATAGTATACTATATATGGATACATATTCCTATCACTTAAAAAAATCTAATTATCACACGTTATTGTTGTTGCTTTTTTCTCTTACCTTACGTTGCTGGACTGACAATTTCCTTTGTTTCTTTTTTCAACTATTAGTGTTTTGGAAGTTCTACATACTATTTACATTCTATTAATGGTCACGTTTCAGTTCTGTTTAGTTATGCAAATGATATATAAACATTCTTTTTGTAAGAAAAAATTTAAACAATATAGAAGAATATAGGATAAAAAGTGTAAGTGTTGGTGGTCAGATAAGCATACAAAAAAGAAAAAATAAAATTAAAAGTGTCTTTTACCTGTTAAATTTGGTGCATCACCTTCCTCAGCATTTATGTACATATATACTTGTATATATACAAATAGGAAGCTTTAGTATTTTTTAAAATGGCATAATTACTGTACATATAGCTCTACAATTTGCTTTTTTCGCTTAATATATATTAGAGATCTGTCCATGACAGTATATAGAGATCTACCTCATTCTTTTTAAGGGCTGTACACTATTTTACAGTAAAAATATACCATATTGTATTAAACCATTCCCCTATTTTTGGACATTTGGTTATTTCCAATTTTTGTGACTACAAACATGCTCCAATGAACATCCTTGTAACATAAATCTGTGCATGTATAAAAGTATTTCTGAGGATATATTTGAAAAAGTAGAATTGGGTCAAGGGGAAGGTATATTTAAAATTTCGATACACTGTCATATTTACCCTTCAAAAATGTTGTGCCAACATATGATCCCCACCTTCTGAATGACCATTAACTGCCCCATATCCTTAGCCACACTAAATTTTATCAAACCTTAAAGTTTTTGCCAAAATATTACATGAATTCATTCTCACTGTAAAGCAACAAAAACAAAGTAAAAGCAGGAGTGCTCTCTTGACCACCATCCCCTGATCCCAGTTTTCTCTGGGAAAATTTGTTTCTACCTTGCTATTAAATTTTTTATTAATTGTTTCATTACGCTAGATGTTCTGAGGAATTTCCTTCCTTTTCTTTTTTCTTTTCTTTTTTTTGAGACGGAGTCCCACTGTTGCCCAGGCTGGAGTGCAATGGCACAATCTCTGCTCACTGCAAGCTCCGCCTCCCACATTCAAGCGATTCTCCAGCCTGAGCCTCCCTAGTAGCTGGGATTACAGGCGCGTGCCGTTACCACGCCCAGTTAATTTGTGTATTTTTAGTAGAGACGGGGTTTCACAATGTTGGCCAGGCTGCTCTCGAATTCCTGACCTCAGGTGATCCTCCCCGCCAACCCCTCCTCCCCCATCACCTGCCCCCCTCTGCCCCAGCCTCCCAAAGTGCTGAGATTACAGGCGTGAGCCACCGCACCCGGCCCTGAGGTATAATTTCATAAGAATTTACTCAAGCTTCCTAGACATGTTGTTAACAATATTTTTTTTTTGAGAGGGAGTCTCGATCTGTCACCCAGGCTGGAGTGCAGTGGGCGATCTCGGCTCACCGCAAGCTCCGCCTCCCGGGTTCACGCCATTCTCCTGCCTAAGCCTCCTGAGTAGCTGGGACTACAGGCGCCCACAACCACGCCCGGCTAATTTTTTGTATTTTTAGTAGAGACGGGGTTTCACCGTGGTCTCGATCTCCTGACCTCGTGATCTGCTCGCCTCGGCCTCCCAAAGTGCTGGGATTACAGGCGTGAGCCACCGCGCCCGGCCTGTTAACAATTATTTAGACTTAACTCTTGAGTTTTACTAGTTCATTTACTCACCACCGTCTTTAGAGGTAGTAGCCTCATCATCATTCCCATCTCCTGATCCAGATGACTGTGACATCATCCGTCCTTTGGGTCTACGATAGAAAACAGAGAATTCACTTTTCCAGCAGTCCTCTCCCATATCTGTATAGTGTTATGAATTCATTGACTCTGGTTTCCCAGCCAATTTTATCCTATTTGTTCCATATCTTCAAGGAAATTATCAAAATTTTGGTCTGCTAATCACATCCTTCCTTGCTAACCCTTGCAATTTTAGTGCTATTCTTTTACTCGTTTTTTTCTTCTGTCATTTCAAGCTGATTTGGCAGGGAAAACACATTTGTTAAGATTCTCTTAAATTGGAAGCCTGACATGCCATTTTAAATTACAATGGCTTGAACTCCTACGGGCTTGAATGTCAACAAAACAGATTCCCCTCAAAGTGTCCTCCAGCTATTTCTGGAGGTTCTTCAAAGTACTATCTCACTTATGATCTGAATCAGTCACAAATTTTCTTCTGTTCCTGCCTCTTCTTTAAGCTGCAGTGCTATGGTTGTTGAAGGCCATCTTGTGATCACCACTTTGCTGGGTAGGATCTTCACCACAAATAACTATGACTCTAACGAGCTTTTCCCTAAGTTATCCGCATCACAGGTGAATAAAGGCTGTAACTTTTAACATACCTCTTATAAATATTTGGGAATAACGAAACCTAGCACAACATTGAGAATAACTTAAAATTGCCTAAAAATGTGGCTTTGCTTAGGTCTTGTGACCCATAACCAGGTACATAACCAGGTCCACCTTCAATAAGTTCCTAAACAAGATCCTCCCCACATTCCGAAATCTCAAAAGGGCATTTTAGCTCACCGTCAGTCACTGGAGGATCCGTTGTGTTCTTCTATCTAAGGTCCGAGCTGTCTAAAGCAGAGGATTGGGAAGACCTTTTGAAAACACTTTAGCAATGCCCGCCCTTTCGGCGGGCTAGGTTCTGCCCGCCGAGGCTGGCTTTCATGTGTATTTAACACCTTCCGGGATGATAGACTGCAGGGCTGACCAATCTCTGCAGGGGAAACCCCATTAGTCTAACAACAGAGGCCTGGTTGGAGCCAAAAGAAAAACAAAACGAAAATTTCAAACGATCTCAGAGTTATACAGTTCCCAAAGCCTGGGTTATTCTCTAATAATACTACCTATGGGACTTAAACAGATAAGCCTAGGTTGTTCTATACCAAGACTGGCAGTTTCTAAACTGAACTGCTGGGGAGGGATTGTGTCTTCACAATTGGGTAGTGCTGACGTCACCCTCATGGGGAGGGGTGGTGCATCAGGGTAGTGCTGACGTCTCCTCCATGGGGAGGGTGAGGGGCATCAGGTTCTCCACGTGGTCTCTGCTGAGCGGGAAAAGGTGGGGGATGGGAGATGGGAACTGGAGCCTTCTAAGAGCCGAAGTCTAGGCTCCTGTTCCGCCATTGCTGGCTTGGGTAAGGGTGAGTCTGCATTTTTTCTTTTTTCCCATGGCATTTGGCTTGACTAGATTAGCTATCTAAAATTTTCTCGATTGCTAGATTGCTCCTTTTTGGGTTCTTTGTCTTGAGAGACAAGTTTTGTTAAGGCTTTAGTCTGTGTCTGTTGGTGTTTCACACTGTTGTGAATGGGATATATATATGCACACATAATGTCTAGTTCTGTTATTACTAGAATAAGAGAAAATTATTGGAATATAACAAAAGAATGTTAATTTTAAAATCTAGGTGGTGGGTGTATTGATGTTCATTGTAAAAATTCTTTAAACTTTTCTGCATGTTTGAACATTTTTATAACAAATATTGGAAAATAAAAGGGAGCTATTTAATAATACTTTGAAAAGGAAAAAAATGGAAATGATGGGATTCTATATATTTATTTTGCATCTGGCTTGTATTAGGACTCTTGTTTGCAAGTGACAGAAACCCAACTTGAATAATCTTAAGAGGAAAATTGAGTTTATTGGTTAACGTAACTGGGAAGAATAGGGCAGATCTCAGAACCAACTAGATCGAGGGACTCAAATGGTATCTAGGCTCTCACTCCGTCTCATCTTTCATCTCTGCTTCTCTCTGTATCGCCTAATTCTCTAAGACTCTTACATGGTAGAGACCCGACATGGCTACTAATTTCTCTGGGTCACATCCTTACAGTTCAATATCCAAGGAAAAGAGAAAATTACTTCTTTACCTTTGATTTGGAAAATTCCAAGGGAGATCTTGTATCTCTGGGCCAGGTCTCATGCCTACCACTTGGAGCTACCACTGAGTCCAATGGGGTTGGATATTATGATTATGATGTTATGATTAGTCCATCCTGGGTTAGGTGCCCAGCCACAGGCAGCGGAGGGGACTATTGTGATTGCCTGTCCTACCAGGACTATATTGAAAGGATAAAGTAGGAGCAGGTACCCAAAGGAAGAAGAATGCTGTTGCTAGAAGCAGAGAGGAAGGAATGCTGGGCAAAGCAAAATAGCAGATATCCACTACATAGGCTTATTAGTTTTAATGTTTTTAAGTTACATTTCTTGGATTCTCAATGTGTATAATCATATCTATAAATATACTTTTTCCTCTTTTCTCTTTCTTTTAGATTTATACAGCTTATTTTGTTTTCTTGTTTTGTCACATTCCAGAGCCTTCAAAACACTGTAGTGGACATCTATGCTTTATTCCTGAATTTCAGGGGACGTGACTTGATTATGATGCTTTCTATTGGCTTTTCGATACTCTTTACTGTGTTTAGAAAGCTCTTTTCTAGCTGGGTGTGGTGGCTCATGTCTGTAATTCCAGCGCTTTGGGAGGCCGAGGTAGGTGGATTGAGCCCTGGAGTGCGACAGCAGCATGGGCAATATGGTAAAACCAGTCTCTACAAAGAATACAAAAAATTAGCTGGGTATGGTGGTGCATGTCTGTAGTCCCAGCTACTCCAAAGGCTGAAGTGGGAGGATCACCTGAGCCTGGGGAGGCAGAGGTTGCAGTGAGCAGAGATCACGCCACTGTACTCTAACCTGGGCAACAGAGCGAGACCATGGCCAAAAAAAAAAAAAAAAAGTTTTTTTTCTATTCTCATTGTACTTTCTATACTCATTGCACTCATTTATAAGGAATAGCTGCTGATTTTTATCCAGTGCCTTTTGGCCATCCATTAACAGGTAAGACTACATCAAAATTAAAAATTTTGTAAGGAAGATAGTAAAGTACAGAAATCACCTGAAAACAAGAAAATGGAGAAACTGGAATGTAGACTTTACCTTCCGTGAAACTAGGAGTGGTAAATGCTACATGAAAACACTGCTTAGAGCTGGGTGTAGTGACTCAAGCCTATAATCCTAGCACTTTGCGAGGCTGAGGAGGGAAGATCGCTTAGAGCCTAGGAGTTTCAGACCAGCCTGGGCAACATGGTGAAACCCTATCTCTACAAAAAATACAAAAAGTAGCTCAATATGGTGGGCACACACCTGTAGTCCCAGCTACTAGGGAGGCTGAGGCGGGAGGATTGCTTGAGCCCAGGAGGTCAAAGATGCAGTGAGCCGTGAGTGTGCCACTGCACTCCAGCCTCGGCCAAAGTGACACCCCGTTTCAAAAAAAAGAAAAAAAGAAAAGGAAAGAAAAAGAAAAGAAAGAAAGAAAGGCAGATGGAAAGCAGATGGATAGGTGACTAAATTATTTTAGCTAGCCCCAGTAGAAGCACTCATCATAAATCCCATGGACGTTCTAAGTGCTTTACATATGTTACTCCAGCAAAAGAGGTCTATTATTTGTAGAAACTAAACAAGAGACATCTGGATGCTCATTATGTAGCTTTATTTGTAAAAGTTCATTGAGCAGTACACTTATAATTTGTGAATTTCTTTTTTTTTTTTTTTTTTTTTTTTTGAGACAGAGTTTCGCTCTTGTTGCCCAGGCTGGAGTGCAATGATGCAATCTCAGCTCACTGTAACCTCCACCTTCCGGGTTCAAGCGATTCATCTGCCTCAGCCTTCCTGAGTAGCTGGGATTATAGCCATGTGCCAACACACCCGGCTAATTTTGTATTCTTAGTAGAGACGGGGTTTCTCCATGTCGGTCATGGCTGGTCTCAAACTCCCGACCTCAGGTGATCCGCCTGCCTCAGCCTCCCAAAATGCTGGGATTACAGGCGTGAACCACTGTGCCCAGCCAATGATTTGTGCATTTCTGTATGTTATTTATCAATAAAACGTTTTTAAAATAGACTAAAATGCAAATAAGTGAAAATGAACCACAGAGGTTATAGACTTAGAGACAAGTAGGGAAAGTAGAGTATGCTAGACTGAAAATAGGAGGAATAAAGTCTGGGATTCTATTTCTCATATCTAGTTCCTGGAATATAAGCAGGCAGTCTTATATCCCAGATAGGAGATTTAAAGGATCCTTCTCTGAAGAATTGAGCCACATCAAAGAATAGTCTACTGGTACAGGTACCTCAACCAAAAAGCATCCTGCTATCCAATTGCCATACATCAAAGCCCACCCCTTCTCCCAGGCATTCAGAACTTCCAGCCAGCTTTTTAGTGCCTCACTCTTAAATATGAACAAATCACTAAAGATTTCAAACAACTCAAGGAAAGTACCAACATGAAAACCAGAAGTGAAACAAAAGCCAAAAAACAGAAAAGGGGAGGTGGGAGAAAATATAAACAATGAAAAGAACAAATAAAAACATTTTAAAAAGCTGGGCGCGGTGGCTCACGCCTGTAGTCCCAACACTTTGGGAGGCTGTGGTGGGCAGATTACTTGAGGTCAGGAGATCAAGACCAGCCTGGCCAACATGGTGAAACCCTGTCTCTACAAAAATAAAAAAGATTAGCTGGGCGTGGTGGCGCACGCCTGTAATCCCAGCTGCTCCGGAGGCTCAGGCAGGAGAATCACTTGAACCCAGGAGGCAGAGGTTGCAGTGAGCCGAGATCGCACCACTGCACTCCAGCAACACTGTCTCCAAATAAATAAATAAATAAATAAATAAATAAATAAATAAATAAATAAATAAAAAACGTTAAAAAAAGCCCTACTAAGCTTCTACTCCAGTATATGCAGAAAGATAAAAGTGTTATATTCATAAAACATGAAGCATGAGCGAGAAAGAGCCCCACATGGAGGCATACCATTGTAAAATTTCAAAGTATTAAAGCAGACCTTAAAAGCTTCCAGAAGTAGGAAGAAGTAAAAGTTTCCATACAAAGGATCAAGAATAAGAATGGCATTTGGCTTCTCAATAGAAATCAGTAAAGCTGAAAGACAGCGGAACCATACTTCAAAATTATTAGTGAATATGATTTCCAATGTAGAATTCTATATTCAGTCAACATATCAGTTGAGTTTTAAGGTAGAATAAATACATTTTCAGTCATGCAGTGCTTAAATAATTTTCCTCCCATGCACACACTCACAAGAAGTGACTAGAAGACATGCTCCACTAAAACTAAAGGGCAAACCAAGAAAGAGGAAGACATGGCATCCAGGAAACAGATGATCTGACACAGGATATTGAAATAGGAAGACAGAGGCATCTAAGAAAATAAAATGGAATGGATAGATCATCTATTAATTTAACTGTCTATAAAATTATATTGAAAGTCTGGCTCTCTTCTCAGAAACCCAGCCCCCTCACCCCTCATTCACCCTAGAGGAAAAATAAAGGAGCTCTGTTTCATAGTTCGGGATGACTTAGCCATAGGTACAGGCAGGGCTGCCATATATAACTGCATAAGTTATGCACTGCACAACTCCACAGAGCACCATAGAAAAATGAAGCAAATGAAAAGGAGAGGCAATTGTTAAATCCAGGAAAAGCAAATGTTTAAGAAAGGAAATGTAATTATAATATATTATGTGGCTCATCAGTTAATTATTTACACATAATAGTTTATCCAAAAGTTGCTATAACTCTGTTGAGAGGATGAGGAGGAGAGAACTGGGGGGAAGATAAGAAAGCCTAAATAGATTATGGTACATCCATGTAGTAGAACACTGCAGCCATTACAAAGAAAATGATGGCGCCGTATGTATCCATCTGAAAGGAGTCTGTGATACATTAAGTGAGGCATAAAACCAGTTGTAGCCCAATGTCTATTGACTAATCCTATTTTTGTTTTAAATATATAAATAAAGGTATATGCATTCTGGTGTATCTGCTGATGGCCCTGGTGAGTGAGTGAAGTAAATTGTGGGAGAGAGGTTGTAGCATGTCCAATAGATGCCTCGTCTCTAATTCCTAAGGACAACTCCTAGGGAGTCCTAGTGGTGGTTGATGGTCTCTAAGAGTTGTTGGTGGCATTTGCATTGAAGACCTCTCCTCGGCCGGGTGCGGTGGCTCACGCCTGTAATCCCAGCACTTTGGGAGGCCAAGGCGGGCAGATCATGAGGTCAGGAGTTCGAGACCAGCCTGACCAACATGGTGAAACCCTGTCTCTACTAAAAATACAAAAATTAGCCACGCATGGTGGTGTGTGCCTGCAATCCCAGGTACTCAGAAGGCTGAGGCAGGAGAATCGCTTGAACCTGGGAGGCAGAGATCGCAGTGAGCTGAGATCGCGCCACTGCACTCCAACGTGAGCGACAGATTGAGACTCTGTCTCAAAAAACAAACAAAACAAAACAAAAAAAACTCTCTTCTTGGTGCTGAGAGTGACTCTATTAGAAGCCTAAGTGAGGAGAGCCTAGTCTTTAAAACCAGAGTTCCCTGGTTGTTAGAAGGATGATCTCTGGGCTGCTCTGCAATGTTGGCTCCGCTAGGACTCAGGGATTCAGGGCTGTCTCTTGGTGCAGTGGAAAGTGGGGAGCAAAGACTGCTGTCATAGAAGGCCTACTTTAGCAAAGTCTCTCTGAGTTTCAACTGACCTTTCAGACCTGTGCGTGGAATTGGGAGACACTCCAGAAGGCAGAGGCCTTGTCTCTGGGCATTGTGATTAGCACCAGCAGAGGCCACCATAATTGGTAATATGGTTCTGCAGCCTATGCCCCCCACACAGCTATGTGTGGGGAAATGAAATCTAGCCTATACTGTACTAGTAACCAAGCCTTGTGTACTAATTCAGGGGTGCCATGGTCAGCAGAGAAAGGCAAACTTTCTTATGACTGGCCTATCCAAAGAGGTGCCTTTTTCCAATTAATCTACCCCAAGGGGAGACTATTTTTTGCAATGTTTCTGCTCCGAAGGTCATACCCTTTTATAATTTGCCCTAAGGGGTCTTATGTGCTAGCTGTAGCCTTTGCTCTTTCTAAAACACTGATATGCAGATTGTAGGTCCTTAAGTCCTAATGGTCATGAGTAATCATAATATAAATATTGTACAATAGTAAGAAAGAGAAGAAGAAGAAGAAGAAGAAGAAGAAGAAGAAGAAGAAGAAGAAGAAGAAGAAGAAGAAGAAGAAGAAGAAGAAGAGGAAGAAAAGAAGAAGAGAAGAAGAAGAGAAGAAGAAGAAGAAGAAGAAGAAGAAGAAGAAGAAGAAGAAGAAGAAGAAAAGAAGAAGAAGAAGAAAAGAAGAAGAAGAAGAAGAAGAAGAAGAAGAAGAAGAAGAAGAAGAAGAAGAAGAAGAAGAAGAAGAAGAAGAGGAAGAAGAAATCCTGAGTAATCAGAAGCCTTCCCTGGAAGAGGCCCTTTCTCCTTGCCTCTCTGAGTGAGCCCTGGCCAGTCTCCTCACCTCAGGCAAATTGACATAAGAAAATGACTCTGGTCAGATTAAATCAAGATGGCAGCCTACGCACCTGTAACTTTGTTCTCATCCTCCCCACTTCAAATCCCTTAAAATATTACAATGGCAAAATAAACAAGAGCAGTATAATTAAAGGAAAGTGTACCATCAGCAGTCCAGAAATTGTGAAGAATCCCCTGAGGATAGAAATCAGTTAGAATCATATTGATAAGAGAGGAAGAGAAGCCTGGTCCAAAACCTGCAAGAGAAGATTACGGGAGTAAATCCAGAGAAAATCAAATTTCAGAATAAATAAATGCAAACGCATGGGAAGGGGGAACTTCCAGTTAATTAAAGAATTGCATTCACTACAATTGGAATGGAGCAGTTAAAAAAACAAACAAATGAGAACTATATTCAGAAAAGAAGGGTCACTTCTGTGGCTGTTTCTGTCCTTCCTTCCCCCCAACTTATTCCAAGGTTAAAACCTAGAATTTCACACTAAAGAAAGCGAACTACTTGCTTCCAAAGGTTTGCTAATGTGAGTGTAGGATCCTAGAAAAACGAAAACAACAGAACAGACCTTTGTGTAATCTGGACTTTCAGGAAATATAGGGAAAAAAACAGAAGCAGTTTTGATCGTGAGAGAAATACACTCCTGAGTAATACCAGTGAAACTGCCTTTGCAAAATTATGACAGTAAAAGGCCTTTATGCTTTTTCCCTTCTTGGATCTTGTTTTTTGAGGAAAAGGTTTTTTTCTTCCCAGTTGACTGAATTATGTTTCTCCATTTACTTCTGTCTGCCCTCTTGCCACCCTTGATGCCCACATGAGAGGACCTAAGATGATTCCTAACAGCATGGGACCCCTCAGGAAAAACAGAAGGCACCACAGACTCTGTTTTGGGTGGAACCTCTGTTTTCCTCATGGAACCCCAGGAGTCGTAAGCAAACAGATTAGATATAAGGCTCTACTCTGTTTTGCACTGTAATACCTGACCTTTTTACTTTGCGTATTGAGATAGCTTTTAGCCTTGGTATGTAATAGCTAGGTAGGAGATATACTTTTAGGGATGGTTAATGGCAGTTATGGGGGGATACTCGGTTCTTTGCATGTTTAGATAATAAAATAATGCTTTTGGTCACCTGGAAGGTATGGAAACATTCCCAGCCCGCACTGAGAGGTAAGGCTCTGATATGGTTTTGCTGTGTCCCTATCCAAAATCTCATCTTGAATTGTAATCAAAATTGTAATCCCCACATATTGGGGGAAGGTCCTCGTGGGAGGTGATTAGATCTTGGGGGTGGTTCCCTCATGCTGTTCTTATGAGAGTGAGTGAATTATCATGAGATCTGATGGTTTTCTAATTGTCTGGTTAGACAATCTGATTGTCCCTCCTGAGTAGCTGGGACAATAGGTGCATGCCACCACACCCAGCTAATTTTTGTATTTTCTGTAGAGACGGGGGTCTCACTGTGTTGCCTAGGCTGGTCTTGAACTCCTGGCCTCAGGTGATCCTCCCACCTCAGCCCCCCGAGTAGCTGGGATTACAGATATGAGCCACCATGCCTGGCAAAGGGATATTTAATATTGATAAAAGGTGCACTCCACCAAGAACATGTGACTGTCATGGACCTTTATGCACATAATGACATGAATAAGAAATATAAAGCAAAGTCTGTTAGAAATACAAGGAGAATAAACATTTACAAATAGTCACGGGGGGAGAGTCCCCTCTCTTGCTCTCCCTTCTCTCCTTCCCAACTTCTCTCCTTATCTTTTTCTTGCTTTCTCCTCTTCCTTCCTCCAACAAATAGATATTTAGCACCTTGTATGTATTAGGCATTGTGTTAGATATTGTGGGCAGAGTACCAAGCAAAACAATCTTGGCGCCTGCCACATGAAGCTGACAGTCTAGTGAGGGAGATAGACATTATTCAAATATTCATGCAAATACATGTAAAATTACAACTGTGATGAGTTCTCTATTAATTACTCAATTAATTATTCTGTAGGAGAGGCACACAGAATATGAGGTCAGGGAGGTTTTCCTGACCAAGCAAAACTTCCTCAGAGATTTGAAGACTGCACAGGAGTTAACCAGATGAAGCAGGAAAAAAAGCATTGCAAGCAAAGGGGAAAACATGTGCAAAGACCCTCTGGCAGGAGGAAGCCCAGTGCATATGGAGGACAAAAGAAAGCCAGTGTAGCTGGGGCTCAGACATCAAGTGGAGAATTTTATGAGGCTGAAGAGGTAGATATTGGCCATGCTATGCAGGGCCTCAGAGGCTATATTAATTATTTTGTTTTTAATGCTAAGAGAAATAGGAATCATTGAAAAGTTTACAGCCTGGGCAACATAGGGAAACCCCATCTCTACAAATAATAATAATAATAATAAATTAGCCAGGCATGTTGGTGCATGCCTGTGGTCCCAGTTACTTGGGAGGCTGTGGTGGAAGGATCACCTGAGCTCAAGAGGTCAAGGCTGCAGTGAGCCATGATCACACCACTGCACTTCAGCCTGGGTGACAGAGTGAGACCCTGTCTCAAAAAAAAAAAAAAAAAGTTTAAAAGTGAAAAAGACCACACTGACTGTAAAAAGTATTGGATGAGGGGCAAAAGTCAAAGCAGGGTGATCAATTAAAAAGCTATTACTGAGAAAAGAAGATATCTTAGGTAGAAGTGGTAGAAGGAGTGGTAGACATTGAGAAAGAACGAGTAAGCTTTTTTTTTTTTTCTTTGAGATGGAGTCTTGCTCTGTTGCCTAGGCTGGAGTGCAGTGCCTAGGTGGACTGCAACCTCCACCTCCCGAGTAGCTGGGATTACAGGCGCGTGCCACCATGCCTGGCTAATTTTTTTTTTTTTTTGTATTTTTAGGAGAAACGGGGTTTCACCATGTTTGCCAGGCTGTTCACGAACTCCTGACCTCAAGTGATCCACCCACCTCGGCCTCCCAAAGTGCTGGAATTACAGGCATGAGCCACTGTGCCTGGCCCAAGCAAGCTTTTAAGAGACATTTAGTGGGCAAGATGAGTAACAGCACATAACAAGGATGACTTCCTAGTTTCTGGCTTGTGCAAATGGATGGATGATGGTGCCATTTACTGAGTTACAGAATACTGCAAGAGGACCAAATTCTTGTTTTGGTTTTGGTTTGGGGGAAAGGAGGAAGAAGGACTAGACCAGTTGGGGGCAAGTTGGTCATCTCTCTCTCTCCAGACATCCCTTCATGTGGCTAGCTAGGGTCTCCTTACAGAATGACAGACTCAGGGTAGACAGACTTGTTACATCGTGCCTCAAGGGTCCAAGAGGGAGTGTCCCAATAAGCCCAGGTGGAAGCTGCAAGGCTTCTTATGAACTAGCCTTGTAAATCCCAGAATGTCATTTCTGCTGCATTCTTTTGGTTAAGCAAGTCTCTAAGATCAGCCCAGATTTAAGAAGAGAGGGATTAGGCTAAACAGAAAGAGAAAGTGGAAAGGCCATGTGCCTCAACTAATGAACCAATATTGATTATTGTTAACTAAAGTCTATGTTTTATTCAGATTTCTTTAGTTTTTTACCTAATGTTCCTTTTTCTGTTCTAGGATCTCATCCAGGATACTATATCATATTTAGTTATTATGTCTCCTTAGATTCTCTTGGCTGTGAAAGTTTCTTAAACATTCCTTGTTTTTGATGACGTGGACAATTTTTAAAAGTCTGTTGAGGTATTTTACAGAATTTGGGTTTGTCTGATGCTTGTTTCATAGTTAGGGGTTATGGATTTCTGGAAGGAAGATCAGGAAGGTAAAGTGCCATTATCACATTATATCAAAGGTACATGACCTATCACCGATGATGTTAACCTTGATTGTGAATATAGAAAACTATTTCCAGGATTGTTGCTATAATGGGGAATAGGAAACTTTAATGGTAGTTAATGTGGTATTCCATTTATTCATTCAACAAATATTTATTGAATGTGTACCATGTGCCAGGATCTTGGATAAAACAGTGAACAAAAACAGGCAAATCCTTGCCTTCATTGAGCGTACAATCTGGTTGAGAAGAGACACAATAAATAATAATATAACAAATTTTATAGTATGTTAGAAGGTAATGCATGCTATGGAAAAATTACATCCCTGAGCAAAAGGGATGGGAGGGCAAATGACGTTATTAGTGGAGTGACTAGGGCAATGCCTCATTGAGAAGGTGACATTTGAGCAAAGACTTGAAGGAAGGGAGGGATGTAGTCATTGGAGATCTAGGGTAGAGCCTTCCAGGTAGAAGGAACAGCCAGTGCAAAGACCCTAAGGTATGAACATGGCTAGTGTGTTTGAAAAATAGGAAGGAGGAGGCGGGGCACAGTGGCTTACGCCTGTAATCCCAGTGCTTTGGGAGGCCGAGGCGGGTGGATTACCTGAGGTCAGGAGTTCAGGACCAGCCTGGCCAACATGGTGAAACCCCGTCTCTACTAAAAATACAAAAAAATTAGCCCAGTGTGGTGGCAGGCGCCTGTAATCCCAGCTACTCAGGAGACTGAGACAGGAGAATTGCTTGAATCCGGGAGGTAGAGGTTGCAGTGAGCCAAGATCGTGCCATTGCACTCCAGCCTGGGCGACAAGAGCGAAACTCTGTCAAACAAAAACAAAAACAAAGAAAGAAAGAAAGAAAAGAAAAATAGCAAGTAGGTTAGTGTGACTAGAGAAGAGTCAGAGAAAGTAGGGGAGACTAGTAGGAAATGATGTTAAAGAGATAACAGAAATCCAGACAATTAAAGACCTTGTAAGCTATTGTACAGACATTGGTTTTCTTCTAAATGAGATGGGGAACCACTGGAGATGTTTGAGCAGAGGAGAGACTTTAATTTAACTTTCATTTTTAATAGGAAAATCTGACTCGTGTTGACAGTAGATTGTGGTAGGGGGCAGAGGTATAACACCAGTTAGGAGGCTATTGAAATAATCCAGGCAACAGATAATGATGACTTGAACCAGGATGGTAGCTGTGAGAGCTGTGAGAAGTGGGTGAATTATTGATATATTTTGAAGAGTAAATAGGATTTTTTTATTATTTGAAGATAGAATGTGAGAGAAAGAGAGGAGTCAAAGAAATACCAAAGAGTTTGGATCTAAGCAAAGGATGCAGTGCCATCCATATGAAAGGAAGCAACTGTCATCAACTGAAGGCTGTCAGTAATATAAGTTTTCGGATGTGTGTGGGGAGGCAGAATGGGGAGAGACTAGAAGTACTGTTTTGTTTATTTTTTTATTTTATTTCAGTAGTTTTTAGGAAACAAGTGGTAGTTTTAGACATGTGCTATGAGATGTCTTTTAGATATTCAAGCAGAGAAGTCAAATAGGTACTTGGATATACAAGTCTAGAGTTTAAGGGAGAAGTCTAGGATGGAGATATAAATGGTGTTTAAAGCCAGGAGACAAGATGAGATTATCAAGAGAGGAAGTGTGGACAGAGAAGAGAATACCAAGGATAGCATTCTGGGAGAGAAGAAGGAATCAGTGAAAGAGTCTCAGAAGGAGCAGCCTTCTGAACAAAGCTGGAGGCATCATACTATGTGACTTCAAATTATATTACAAGGCTATAGTGACCAAAACAGCATGGTATTGTTATAAAAACAGACACATAGACCAATTGAACAGAATAGATAATCCAGAAATAAATCCATGTATTTATAGCCAACTGATTATAGACAAAGGCACCAAGAACATACATTGGAGAAAAGACACTGCCTTCAATAAATGGTGCTGGTGTTGTTACATGGATATATTGGGACACCCACACACACACACACACACACACACACACACACACACACACCACAAATAAATGGTCCTGCAAAAATTGGATATTTATATTCAGAAGAATGAAATCCGACCCCTATCTCTCACCATATACAAAAATTTAAGATGGATTAAAGACTTAAACATAAGATCCAAAACTATAAAACTACTAGAGGAAAATGGGAGGAACACTTCTGGACATTTATCTAGGCAAATATTTTATGGCTAAGACCTCAAAAGCACAGGCAACAAAAACAAACAAACAAAAAGGACAAATGTGACTTAATTAAACAAAAAGCTTTTGCATAGCAAAGGAAACACAAAATAAAAAGGCAACCTACGGAATGAGAAAAACATTTGCAAACTAGGTATCTGATAAGGGTTTAATATTCAAAATATATAAGGAACTCAACACCATAGTAAAAACAATGACAAAAACAACAACAAAGTAATTCTATTAAAAAAGTGGTCAAAGGGCATGAATAGACATCTCTCCAAAGAAGACACACAAATGGCCAAAAGATATATAAAAAATGCTCAATGTCGCTAATTATCAGGAAAATGCAAATCAAAACCACAATTAGATATTGTCTGACCCCAGTTAGGATGGCTGTTATTAAAAAGCAAACAACGGATGCTGGTGAGGATGCAGAGTAAAGGGAACTCATATGCACTGTTGGTGGGAATGTAAATTAGTACAGCCACTATGGAACACAGCATGGAGGTTTCTCAAAAAACTAAACATAGAACCACCATATGATCCAGCAATCTCACGACTGAGTATTTACCCAAAAGTAAAGAAATCAGTATAACCAAAAGATACTTGCACCCCAGTGTTTATTGTAGCAGTATTCATAATAGCCAGGATGCAGAATCAACCTAAATGTTCATTAACAGGCAAATGAATAAAGAAAATGTGGTATTTATACATAATGGAATACTATTCAGCCATAAAAATGAAATCCTGTCATTTGCAGCAACATGTCTGGTCATTATGTTAAGTGAAATAAGCCAGGGACAAAACGACAAATATCACATGTTTTTACTCATCTGTGGGAACTAAAAAAGCTTATCTCATGGGGGTAGAGAGTAGAATGATAGAAACCAGAGGGGGTGGGAAGTGTATGTGGGTGGGGGGGGTTGATGAAGAAAGATTGGTTAATGGGTACAATAATACAATTACATAGAAGAAATAAGTTACAATGTTTGATAGCAGAGTAGGGTGACCATAGTTTGCAACAATGCTTTGTACATTTCAAAATAACAAGAAGAAAGGACTTTAAATATTCCCAACACATAGAAATGATAAAGACTCAAGGTGATGGATACTCTAAATACCCTGACTTCATTAATACACATTCGATGCATGCAATGAAATACTACATATACCCTATAAATTTATGCAAATATTATGTATCAGTTTAAAAGCATGTGTGTAAGACTATATTTTCAGGGGTCACTTCTATAGTTTGTTACTAGAGAAGTTTCTCTGAACAGGTAAAGATAAAAAGCACATATGTACTGTGTATATAAATGCGCCAAAAATTTCTGGAAGGATATACACACAAATGTACACACAATATACACACAAAATTATTGCCAGTCATTACCTATGGGGAAGGAAGGGAAGAGTTAAGGAGGGGAGGGAGAACGAGGTGGAGTGGGGCAGGACAGGGCAGGACACAGCAGGGACACTTTAAATGTGGTAATTTAGAGAGCATAGTGTTGTGACCACTTGAGTTCAAATCCAGATTCTGGTATTTCATATCTGCGTAATCTTCGGCAAGTTACTTCTTTTTCCTCAGGTTCTTAATTCAAGAAAAGAGAAAATACTAATAGTATCTACTTGATAAGTAATTCTGAGAATTAAATGTGTTAATACCTGAACGCATTTGCAACAGTGCCTGGTACATGGTAAGTCCTCAATAAATGTTAGCTATTATGATTGTCGGCTTCTGTGTTGTTTGGATGTTATATAATGTTGGAATATTCATGTACATCCTTTGAAAAAGCCAAGAGAAAGGGGCCAGTAGAGAGTGAGAGGTTGAAAATAGGAAAGAGGTAATAATAGGTTGAGTATGGCTAGTGAGGAGACCTGTACATGAATGGGCTCTACAATGCACATGGAGGAATTACACCTAGATTGGAAGAGGGATATCTTTCATTGTAACAGTAGAAAAGGATGGCTGTGAATATGTTTCTAGTTTGGTAGTAGGAAGTTGGTTTCCATCTGGAGACTTCTATCTTATCTTTGGGGCAGCTGAGTAGTTGGAGTTTTGAGGAAAATGAAGAAGATTGAGAAGTATCATTTGGGAAAATGAGAGAGTGAGTTGAAAATATGACAGGAATCCCCAGAAATATTGAAGGTCCACTTGACGTTGGTGACTACGAATTCAGAGTGGTAACAACCTGTTCATCTATGTGACTTTCTCTTGCAGTGCTTAACACCCCTGGGGGTAGGAGTGAGAAGAAAGGCTGTGAACCAGATGCCAGCATCTTTGATGAATGAGTACAGGAGAGCAAAGAGGTGGAGTCAAGGTGTAACCAAATATCATGAAACTCAGAGGAAGAAGGATCAGGGGGTTTTGCCTGAGGGTGGAGGAGGAATGGTTTGAAAGGTGCAGTGTGGTTGGAAGAGGATACCCACCTTACCTCCTCCATATGCAGTACATGCGATGTGTTGGTATAGATCACTTTCACTGGAAAGGGCTGTAAAGGAAGCTCCATCCTCATGGGAAACCCAGGAACGTGGATATTCGGGGATGAGTTTGTGGATGGCAGAAGAGTTTGTTAATCATGGAATAGTGTTCCAGGAGGCACAGCCGAAGCATGTAAGGAGTGAAGGTAGAAGTGGGAGGTCAGGGCCGGGCATGGTGGCTCACACCTGTAATCCCAGCACTTTGGGAGGCCAAGGCAGGCGGATCACCTGAGGTCGGGAGTTCAAGACCAGCCTGACCAACATGGAGAAACCCCGTCTCTACTAAAGTGCAAAATTAGCCGGGCATGGCGGCACATGTCTGTAATTCCAGCTACTTGGGAGGCTGAGGCAGAAGAATCGCTTGAACCCGGGAGGTGGAGGTTACGGTGAGCCGAGATCCTGCCAGTGTACTCCAGCCAGGGCAACAACAACAAAACTCCATCTCAAAAAAAAAAAAAAAAAAAAAAAGTGGAAGGTCAGGTTCAGGGAGAAGAAGCACAGAGCAATATGGGAATGCAGTTAGAGGATAAGAACAACAATAATAATAAAACATAACAATAATAATAATAATCTAACAGGGCTTTGCATAGATTATTTCATTTAATCCTCATAAAACCTCATGAAGAGTAGACCTTAATTTTACAGATGAGAAGACAAGCACAGAGCTCAAGTGATTTGCCCAAGGTCACAAAGCAGGTATGTCAAACTGGATGCTTACATGTTGAATGATGACAGAGGAAAACAGGGATGTAAATGAGGTATGGTGGGTTTGGCTCATCACAAATTTGGTTAGATGGTTAGTCCTGCTATTTTGTGATAAACGGGGGCTCTCAGGTCTCCCCAAATTTAGCTGTATTTGGACCTGGAGGCAGGAGTTGCTGTTTTATTGGTGTTCCTTACATTGCTAGGTGTGGAAGGATCCAGGCAGTGGCATGACCAGTATATTTTCTCACCTGTGCTCTGCAGAGCAATTGGTGGTAGCGGCAGTGGTGTGGTTCTTAGATGCGTCTTGCCCTAGTTGGATATATAAGGCCAGGCTGCAGCTGCCTCTAAGGTATAAGGCTGAGAGGCAGTTTGTGGGAAATGGGAACCTACTGGAGGACTTCACAGGCTGTAGATTCTGAGAGATGTGAGGCCCAGCAGGGGTCTGGCAGTAGCCCAATTCTTTCTTGCAGTGAAAGCATCTCCTCCAGTGTTCAAAGCTTTGGCCTAGCTCCTAAAGAAACCTTTCTTTACTGAAAGGTTTGGGTGCCATGCTTGGTGCTCAAGGAAATTTGTAAAAAAGAACAGGAGGCCTTATTGCAAACTTCCTTGGGCAGCATTTTAGAGCCTTGTGTCAAGATGACCCTATAAAATCCTTTCAGGATTCTAAGAAGGTAAACACAATTGTTGAATATTTAATGCTTATTACAGCTACATTACTTATTTTAGTATAATGTATGATAGACTTGGGTTTTCTGTGTCCTGTGCTACATGTACCTCAAGGACCCTTGTAAGATAAATTTCACAGAACATTTATGCACAAGTTACAGGACAGAGAAAATGTATGTCTAAAACATAAAGGTCCTTTATTACATGACTAAATGAAGTTCATTGTTTTAATTTTTGAAGAAGTTTATTTTGAAGCATTTCTTTTTTAATGACATATGGTTAGTTGTAGCAAGTATTTATTTGAAGACAAGTTATTTGTCAGGAGCAAACCCTCAATTACAGCCTTGGAAAAACAGAATCCACTTTATGATGATACCATTTACAACACAATATCCAGAAATGCATTGCAGTGAAAAGTGGGCCCTGCTTATGTACCTGTATAGATGGGTTATGAATGAAGGTACTTATGCACACGTACAGATCTGAATAGCACGTTAATACTAATGACCAAACGTGGTATTTGTCATCATTCAGATTTAGTTTCTGTGATTGTCAGAGTGTATGAAAGTAGATTAAAATATATATGTACATGTGGTTATATATCAATTCCCATGCATGTAAGATCCATCATAACTTAGATAGCATATGTGTAATTTTTATAAAATTAAAATTTATGGGCCGGGTGTGGTGGCTCATGCCTGTAATCCCAGCACTTTGGGAAGCCCAGGCGGGTGGATCACCTGAGGTCAGAAGTTTGAGACCAGCCTGGCTGACATGGTGAAACCCCATCTCTACTAAAATTACAAAAAATTGGCCGGGCGTGGTGGCAGGTGCCTGTAATTCCAGCTACTCGGGAGACTGAGACAGGAGATTCGCTTGAACCCGGGAAGCAGAGGTTGCAGTGAGCTGAGATTGTGCCATTGCACTCCAGCCTGGGCAACAAGAGCAAAGCTCCTTCACAATAAATAAATAAATAAATAAATAAATAAATAAATAAAATTTATTATTTCTTGGCTGGGTATGGTGGCTTAAGCCTATAATCCCAGCACTCTGGGAGGCCAAGGCGGGCAGATCACTTGAGGTCAGGGATTCGAGACCAGCCTGGTCAACACGGTGAAACCCTGTCTCTACTAAAAATACAAAAAAAAAAAAAAAAATTAGCCGGGCTGGCACACACCTGAAATCCCACGTACTCGGGAGTCTGAGGCATGAGAATCTCTTGAACCCAGGAGATGGAGGTTGTAGTGAGCTGAGATCGCACCACTATACTCCAGCCTGGGTGACAGAGCGAGACTGTCTAAAAAACAAACAAACAAAAAAGTTAACTCTTACTATTATTTCTAGCACCACAGATTTTCAGTGTAATACTTTTATCATTCTTTTTTTTTTTTTTTGAGACAGAGTCTCGCTCTGTCGCCCAGGCTGGAGTGCAGTGACGCGATCTCAGCTCACTTCAAGCTCTGCCTCCTGGGTTCATACCATTCTCCTGCCTCAGCCTCCCGAGTAGTTGGGACCACAGGCGCCCGCCACCACGCCTGGCTAATTTTTTGTATTTTTAGTAGAGACGGGGTTTCACCGTGTTAGCCAGGATGGTCTTGATCTCCTGACCTTGTGATCCGCCCTCCTGGGACTCCCAAAGTGCTGGGATTACAGGCGTGAGCCACCGTGCCCGGCCATTTTTTTTTTTTTTTTTCCAAGACAAGGTCTTACTCTGTTGCCCAGGCTGGAGTGCAGTGGCGTGATCCTGGCTCACTGCAATCTACCTCCTGAGTTCAAGTGATCCTCCCACCTCAGCCTCCAGAGTAGCTGGGACTATAGGCACACACCACCAGGCCTGACTAATCTTTAAATTTTTTTACAGGTGGGGTCTCGCTATGGTGCCCAGGCTGGTCTCAAACTCCTGGGCTCAAGCAATTTTCCTGCCTCAGTCTCCCAAAGTGCTGGGAATATAGGTGTGAGCCCATGTGCCTGGCCTATTGCTGTTTATAATGTATTTATTGTTAAATGGCAGGCTCCCAGGGTGATTTGAGAGTTGCCAGGAGAGGAAGGCCATTTGGCAAGAATCCTGACAGACAAAAGCTGGAGGAGGGTAGAGCAAGATGGCAGAATAGAAAGCGCCACCGATCATACTCCGCCCCCACAAGGACACCAAGTTAACTACCTACACAGAAGAAATACCTTCATAAGAATCAAAAATCAGGTGAGCCCTCATGTTCATACTGCTAAAAGAGGCACTGAAGAGATTAAAAAACAGCTTGGAATTGCCTACACCACCTCTCCCCACCCCCGGCAGCAATGGCGTGGTGGGGAGAGCATCTCTGGGTGCTGGGGGAGGGAGAACACAGCAATTGTGAGGCACTGAACTCAGTGCTGTCCTGTTAGAGCAGAAAGGAAACCCAGACCAAACTCAGCTGATGCCTGCCCTTGGAGGGAGCATTTCAAGTAGCCCTAGCCAGAGGGGAATCACCAGTCTCGGTGTTTGGAACTTGAGTTTTCACAAACCTCACCAGTGAGAACTATAGCACTCTGCGTCTCCAAGTAAACTTAAAGAACATTCTAGGCCATTAGGACTGCAACTTGTCGTGAGTCCTAGTGTTGAATTAAGCCCAGAGACAGTGGACTGTGGGGGCATGCGCCATACTGAGACACCAGCTGCAGTGGCTAAGGGAGTGCTGGCATCACCCCTCCCCCAATCCTAGGCTGCATGGTTTGTGGCTCCAAAAGAGACCCCTTCTTTCCACTTGAGGAGAGGAGAGGGAAGAGTGGGTAGGACTTGTGTCTTGCATCTAGGATAACAGCTTAGCCACGGCAGGATAGGGCACTGGTCAGAGTTGTGAGGTCCCTGTTCCAGGTTCTACCTCCCAGATGACATTTCTAGACACACCCTGGGCCAGAAGAGAACCCACTTCCTTGAAGGAAAGGATCCAGTCCTGGCAGCATTCATCGCCTGCTAACTGAAGATCCCTTGGGCCTTGAATACCAACAGCAATACCCAGGTACTACATCGAAGTCTTTGGGTGAACCTCTGAGACTTCCTGGCTTTAGGTGAGACTCAGCACATTACCAGCTGTGGTGGCTATGGGACAAAACTCCTTTTGCTTGAGAAAAGCAGAGGGAAAAGTAAAGGGGACTTTGTGTTGTACCTTACACACTGCCACAGGGGGTAGAGCACCAAGTGGGCTCTTGGGATCCCCAATTCTAGGACTTGATTCTTGGATGGTATTTCTGGACCTGCCCTGGGCCAGAGGGAAGCCCACTGGCCTGAAGGGTGAATCCCAGGCCAGGCAGCATGCATGACAAGCTGACTTAAGAGACGTTGGGCTTTAAGGTAACATCTGCCATAATCTGGCAGTACTCCTTGTGGCCTGGGGTGGCAATGGCTATGGGGTGAACCTCCTCTCCCTTTGGAAAGGGTAGAGAAGAGTGGGAAGGACTGAATGGTGTGGTTTGAGTGCTGGCTCAGCTACAATACAATAGAACACCAGGTAAACATCTAAGGTTTTTGACTCTAGTCCCTGACTCCCAGATGGAACTTCTGGACCCACCTGGGGCTTTGGGGACCTCACTGCCCTGAAGGGAAGGACACAGGCTTGGCTGGCTTTGCCACCTGCTGATTGTGGAGCCCCAGGACCTTGAGCGAACATAGGCAGTAGCCAGGGACAGGTTACAATAGGACTTGGGTGAGACCCAGCGCTGTGCTAGCTTCAGGTCTGACCCAGTGCAGTCATAGTGGTGGTGGCCACAGGGGTGCTTGTGTCACCCCACCCCAAATTTAGGTGGCTCAGAACAGAGAGACTATGTTTGGGAGAAAGTAAGCGAAGGGAACAAGATTCTCTGCCTGGTAATGCAGAGAATTCTCCCAGATCTTGTCCAAGACCATCGAGGCAGTACCCCTATGAGTCTGCAAGAACCACAAAGAAATTTAAGGTACCACAGAGAAGGAATTCAGAATTCTATCAGATAAATTTTAAAAAGAGACTGAAATAATTTGAAAGCATCGAGCTGAAATTCTGGAGCTAAAAAAATCCAATTGGCATACTACAGAATGCATCACAGTCCTTTAATAGCAGAATTGATCAAGCAGACAAAAAAATTAGTGAGCTTGAAGACAGGCTAATTGAAAATACACAGTTAGAGGAGACAAAAGAAGAAATAAAAAACAAGGAAGCATACCTACAGGATCTAGAACATAGCCTCAAAAGAGCAAATCTAAGAGTTATTGGCCTTAAGGAGGAGGTAGAGAAAGATATAGGGGTAGAAAGTTTATTTAGCGGGATGATAACAAGAGAACTTGCCAAACCTAGAGAAAGATATCAATACCCAAGTACAAGAAGGTTGTGGAACACCAAACAGATTTAACCCAAAGAAGACTACCTCAAGGCATTTAATAATCAAACTCCCAAAGGTCATGGATAAAGAAAGGATCCTAAAAACAGCAAGATAAAAGAAACAAATAACATTGAATGGAGCTTCAATACATCTGGCAGCAGTGGAAACCTTACAGATTAGGAGAGTGGTGTGACATATTTAGAGTGCTGAAGGAAAAACACTGTAACCCTAGAATAGTATATTTGATGAAAATATCCTTCAAACATGAAGGAGAAATAAAGACTTTCCCAGGCAAACAAAAGCTGAGGGATTTCATCAACACCAGACCTGTCCTACAAGAAATGCTAAAGGGAGTACTTCAATCAGGAAGAAAAGGGCATTAATGAGCAATAATCACCTGAAGGTACAAAACTGACTGGTAATAGTACACAGAAAAACACAGAATATTATAACACTGTAACTGTGGTGTGTAAACTATTCTTATACTAGGTAGAAAGACAAAATGATGAACCAATCAAAAATAACAACTACAAAAACTCATCAAGACATAGTCAATACAATAAGAGGTAAATAGAAACAATAAAAAGTTAAAAAGCGGTGGGGATGAAGTTAACGTGTAGAGTTTTTATTAGTTTTTTTTTTTTTTGCTTGTTTGTTCCTTTATGTGTATAGTGTCAACTTGTTATCAGGTTAAAATAATGGGTTATAAGTTATTATTTGCAAGCCTCATGGTAACCTCAAACTGAAGAACATACAATGGATAAAAAAACATAGAAAGACATTATGTCATATCACCAGAGAAAATCACCTTCACTAGAGGAATACAGGAATGAAACAAGGAAGAGTAGACCACAAAACAATCAGAGAACAAATAACAAAATGGCAGGAATAAGTCCTTACTTATCAATAATAACATTGAATGTAAATAGGCTAAATTCTCCAATCAAAAGACATAGAGTAGCTGAATGGATGAATAAACAAGACCCATTGATCTGTTGCTACAAGAAACACACTTCATCTATAAAAACACACATGGACTGAAAATAAAGGAATGGAAAAAGATGTTCCATGCTAATGGAAACCAAAAAAGAGCAGGATTTGCCATACTTACATCAGTCAAAATAGATTTCAAGATAAGAACCAGAAGAAGAGACAAAGAAGGTCACCGTGTAGTGACAAAGGGGTCAATTCAGCAAGAAGATATAACAATTCTAAATATATATGCACCCAACACTGGAGCACCCAGACATATAAATCAAATATTATTAGAGCTAAAGAAAGAGATAGGTCCCAAAACAATAATAGCTGGAGACCTCAACACCCCATTTTCAGCATTGGACAGACCTTTCAGACAGAAAATCAACAAAGAATCATCAAACTTAATCTGCACTGTAGACCAAATGGGTCTAATAGATATTTACAGAACATGTCATTTAAGAGCTGCAGAATACACATTCTTTTCCTGAGCACATGGATAATTCTCAAGGATAGACTATATCTTAGGTTACAAAACAAGTCTTAAAAAATTCAAAAATTGAAATAATATCAAGCATCTTCTTTGACCACAATGGAATAAGACTAGAAATTAATAACAAGGGGAATTTTGGAAACTATACAAACACAGGGAAATTAAACAATATGCTCTTGAATGACCACTGGATCAGTGAAGAAGTTAAGAAGGAAACTGAAAAATGTCTGGAAACAAATGATAATGGAAACACAACCTATCAAATCCCATGAGATACAGCAAAAGCAGTACTCAGAGGAAAGTTTATAGCTCTAAGTGCCTACATCCAAAAAAGAAGAAAAACTCCAAATAAATAATCTAATGATGCATCTTAAAGAACTAGAAAAGCAAGAGCAAATCAAACCTAAAATTAGTAGAAGAAAAGAAATAGTGAAGTTCAGAGCAGAAATAAATGAAATTGAGATGAAGAGAACAATACAAAAGATCAATGAAACAAAAAGATATTTTTTGAAAAGTTAAAGAAAATTGACAAACATTTAGCCTGATTAACTAAGAAAAAAAGAGAGAAGATCCAAATAAAACCAGAAATGAAAAAGGAGGTATTAAAACTGATACTACAGAAATTCAAAGGATCATTAGAGGCTACTATGAGCAACTATATGCCAATGAATTGGAAAATCTGGAAGAAATGGCCAAATTCCTAGACACACACAGCCTACTAAGATTGAATCAGGAAGAAATCCAAAACCTGAACAGCACAAAAGCAAGTAATGAGATCAAAGCTGTAATAAAAAGTCTCCCAGTAAAGAAAAGCCCAGGACCCAAAGGCTTCATTGCTGAATTCTACCAAACATTTAAAGAAGAACTAATACTGATCCTACTCAAACCATTCCAAAAAATAGAGGAGGAGGGAATACTTCTAAATTCACTCTATGAGACTGGCATTACTCTGATACCAAAACCAGACAAAGACACAATAAAAGAAAACCACAGCCGGGCGTGGTGGCTCACACCTGTAATCCCAGCACTTTGGGAGGCAGAGGCGGGCAGATCACGAGGTCAGGAGTTCAAGACCAGCCTGACCAACATGGTGAAACCCTGTCTCTACTAAGAATACAAAAAAAAGCTGGGCGTGGTGACGCGTGCCTGTAATCCCAGCTACTTGGGAGGCTGAGGCAGGAGAATCACTCGATCCTGGGAGGCGGAGGTTGCAGTGAGCTGAGATCGTGTCACTGCACTCCAGCCTGGGTGACAGAGCAAGACTCAGTCTCAGGCCAATATCTCTGATGACCACTGATGCAAAAATCCTCGGCCGGGCACGGTAGCTCATGCCTGTAATCCCAGCACTTTCCCAGGTTGAGGTGGGTGAATCACAAGGTCAGGAAATCGAGACCATCCTGGCTAACATGGTGAAACCCTGTCTCTACTAAAAATACAAAAAAATTAGCTGGGCATGGTGGTATGCACCTGTGGTCCCAGCTACTCGGGAGGCTGAGGAAGGAGAATGGCATGAACCTGGGAGGCAGAGCTTGCAGTGAGCCGAGATCGCACCACTGCACTCCAGCCAGGGTGACAGAGTGAGACTCCGTCTCAAAGAAAAAAAAAATCCTCAACAAAATACTAGCAAACTAAATTCAACAATACATTAGAAAGATCATTCATCATGACCAACTGGGATTTATCCCTGGGATTCAAGGATGGCTCAATATACACAAACCAATCAATGTGATACAGCCTGTCAACAGAATGAAGGATAAAAACCTTCAGTTTCAGTTTGAAATAAAAACCTTTCATTTCAGTTGATGCTGAAAAAGCATTTGATAAAATTCAACATTTCCTCATGATAGAAACCCTCAATATCCGGGGATAGAAAAAACATACCTTAACATAACAAAAGTCATATACGATAGACCTGCACCTAGTATTATACTGAAGGGGGAAAAACTTAAAGCCTTTCCTCTAAGATCCAGAACATGACAGGATGCCCACTGTCATCACTGTTATTCTGAAAGTGCTAGTTAGAGCAGTCAGACAAGAGAGAGATACAAAGGGCATCCAATTTGGAAAAGAAGAAGTCAAATTATCCTTGTTCGTTGATGATATGATCTTATATTTAGAATAAACTAGACTCCATGAGAAAACTATTAGAACTGATAAATTCATTAGAATTGTAGGATACACAATCAAAATGCAAAAATTAGTAGCATTTCTATATGCCAACAGTGAACAATCTGAAAAAGAAATTTAAAAAATAATCTCATTTACAATAGCCACATGTAAAATTAAATACCTAGGAATTGACTGAACTATAAGAAGTGAAAGGTCTCTATAATGAAAAGTAAAATACACTGGCCGGGCACGGTGGCTCACACCTATAATCTGAGCACATTGGGAGTCCAAGGTGGGCAGATCACTAGGTCAGGAGTTTGAGACCAGCCTGGCCAATATGGTGAAACACCATCTCTATTAAAAATACAAAAAAAAAATTAGCTGGGCATGGTGGCACACGCCTGTAATCCTAGCTACTCAGGAGGCTGAGGCAGGAGAATTTCTTGAACCCGGGAAGCAGAGGGTGCAGGGAGCTTAGATCGCGCCACTGCACTCCAGCCTGGGCAACAGAGCGAGACTCTCTCTTGACATATAAAAAAGTCAATTCAAAATGGATTAAAGACTTAAATCTAAGACCTCAAACCATGAAACTACTGCAAGAAAACATTGGGGAAAATCTCCACAACATTGGTCTGGGCAACGACTTCTTGAGCAATACCCAACAAGTACAGACAACCAAAGCAAACATGGGCAAACTGCATTGCATAAAGTTAAAAAGCTTCTGCACAGCAAAGGATACAATCACCAAAGTGAAAAGACAACCCATGGAATGGGAGAAAATATTTGCAAACTACCCATCTGACCAGTGATTAACAACCAGAATATATAAGGAGTTCAAACAACTCTATAGGAAAAAATCTAATAATACAATCAAGAAATTGGCAAAATATTTGAATAGACATTTCTCAAAAGATGACACACAAATGGCAAACAGGCAAAAGAAAAGTTGCTCAGCATCATTGGTCATGAGAGAAATGCAAATCAAAACTACAAGATATCATCTCACCCCAGTTAAAATGGCTTATATCCAAAGACAGGTAATAACAAATGCTGGTGAAGATGTGGACAAAAGGGAACACTTGTACACTGTTGGTGGGAATGTAAATTAGTACAACCACTATGGAGCACAGTTTGGAGGTTCCTCAGAAAGCTAAAAATTGAGCTACCATATGATCCAGCAATCCTACTCCTGGGTATCTACCCAAAAAGAAAGGAAATGAGTATATCAGAGAAATATCTGCACTCCTATGTTTCTTACAGCGGTGTTTACAACAGCTAAGATTTGGAAGTAACCTAAGTGTCCATCAACAGATGTTTGGATAAAGAAAATGTGGTACAGATACACAATGGAGTACTATTCAGCCATAAAAAAATGAGATCCTGTCATTTGCAATCACATGGATGGAACTGGAGTTGACTATGTTAAGTGAAATAACCCAGGCCCTGAAAGACTAACGTCACATGTTCTCACTTATTTGTGGGATCTAAAAATCAAATCAATTGAACTCATGGACACACAGAATAGAAGGATGGTTACCAGGTGCTGGGAAGGATAGTGGGGGGTTGGGTAGTGGGGGGTTGGGTAGTGGAGGTGGGGTTGGCTAATAGGTATTAAAAACAGAAAGAATGACTAAGACCTTCTATGTGATAGCAAAATAGGGTGACTTACATGGTTTGGATGTGTCCCCCCCAAATCTCATCTTGAATTGTAATCTGCATAATCCCCACATGTCTGGGGAGAGACCTGGTGGGAGGTGATTGGATCATGGGGGTGGCTTTCTGCATGCTGTTCTTGTGATAGTGAGTGAGTGCTCACGAGATCTAATAGTTTTATAAGGGGCTCTTCACCCTTTGCTCCACACACTTCTTTCTCCTGCCACCTTGTGAAGAAGGATGTGTTTGCTTCCCCTTCTGCCATGATTGTAAGTTTCCTGAGCCCTCTCCAGCCATGCAGAACTGTGAGTCAATTAAACTTCTTTACTTTATAAATTACACAGACTCAGGTATTCTAGCAGTGTGAGAATGAACTAGTACTGTGACTATAGTCAATAATAACCTAATTGTATATTTTAAAATAAGTTAAAGAGCATAATTGAATTGTTTGTAACTCAAAGGATAAATACTTGAGGGGATGGACGCCCCGTTTTCTATGATGTGCTTATTTCACATTGCATGCCTGTACATCTCATATACCCCATAAATTTATACACCTACTAGGTACCCATAAAAATTAAAAAAAAATAATCCTGCCAGTGTGGCAGTCACCACAGCTTGGGGTCTGGACATCAGTTTCACATGTTCATAATGTCAATATTCTAAATGTTGCAGAGTTGATGGATGCTGGGAATGTGGATTCTCACTAAGGATGTTCACAAGAGAGTGTTGTATAAACCAGAATGCCAATTTATTAATTTACAAATGCAAACATAATTGTTCATGCAGATTTGATTGGAACGTAGCTAATTCTTTCCCTGTGGGCAGATCTTCATGGGAAGCCAAATTATAATCAGAATATTGTTCATACCATAGAATTAAGACAAGGTGTTAGTTGGATCATTTAAATGCATAGTACTGTTTGCTATAATTGCTCTAATGGCCCGTCTCCTCAATATGGACTAGAGTATTTACTCCCTGGGGAGACTGGTGTATTTGTTTTGGATGTCAGTGCCTACCCACCCCACCTCCTGCGTAGGGCCTTTTCAGGTTTTTAAATTTTTCCATGATTTCTTGGCTGATCAAAACCCTTGATTAGGCCAGGCACAGTAGCTCATGGCTGTAATCCCAACACTTCGGGAGGCTGAGTTCGGGGAATTGCTCGAGGCCAGGAGTTCAAGATCAGTCTGGGCAACTTAGTGAGACCCTGCCTGTCTCTACAAAAAATTAAAATTCGCCAGGTGTGGTAGTGCATGCCTGTAGTACCAACTACTCCGGAGGCTGAGGCGGGAGGGTCACTTGAGCCTGGGAAGTTGCAACTCCAATGAACCGTGATCATGCCACTGCACTCCAGCCTAGGTGACAGAGTGAGATGCTGTCTCTAAAACAAAAAACAAAGTGAAACTCTTGATTGGCATAATTTTGTTTCTCTATCAGCTTTATTTTTAAAAAAATTACATAAGTAAAACATGTCTCTTTAGCTATTATCTCTTAAATCAGATTACCTTCTGTAATAATTCTATGGGAATTATTCTACGGGAGCACAGTCATTCACGCTTGTAACCCCAGCACTTTGGGATGCCAAGGTGGGAGGACTGCTTGAGCCCAGGACTTTGCAACCAGCCTGAGCAACATAGACCCCGTCTCTACAATAATAATAATAATAATAAAAATAAAAAAATTAACCGGGCATGATGGTGTGTGCCTGTAGTCCATGCTACTTGGGAGGCTGAAGTGGGAAGATCCCTTGAGCCAAGGAGGTAGAGGCTGCAAGTGAGCCATGATAGCACCACCGCATTCAAGCCTGGGCAAGAGTGAGGCCCTGTCTCAATAAAAACCCGCAAAAAACTTTGGGAGCATCGTACGGTTGCCAGTGAATAAGGTTATAAGATAAAAAACAGGATGCTCAATTAAATTCAGCTAAACAAGCGCTGTATATTTTTAGTGTAAGTATATCCAAAATATTAATGAGGTATACTTACACTAAAACAAATATTCATTGTTTACCTGAAATGCAAATTTAAATAGGCATCCTGTATTTTCATTTGCTAAACCTGGCAATCCTACCAGCACTTTAACATGAAGCCATGAGGGTTGCCTGGATTCATGCTGGTAGGTAAGCACCAATCCATTCGGTTGCCTCAGACAGGACAGAAACCATTCCCTCTAAAAAAATCGTTTACTTTGACGATAGGTAGCAACGAAGCACGGAAGAATCTTGACCCTTTGAGGAACCCGTAACTGACGCAAGTGCCATAAATGCTACTTTGATTGATTCTCCGCCCCCTCCATTCTTCTCTTCCTGCAATTGCTCTATCACTTCTTCCCTCTCAAGTCCCGCCCTTTCAGCTACCTCCAACTGCTGAGGAACCGGTTGCCTAAAAGGAGCCGGCAAAAGCGCCTACGTGGAGTCCAGAGGAGCGGAAGTAGTCAGATTTGACTGAGAGCCGTAAAGCGCGGCTGGCTCTCGTTTTCCGGATAACGACTACAGCTCCGACTGTCAGTGCCGGCCTTCCTCGTGTGAGGGGATCTGCCGGACCCCTGCAAATTCAATTTCTTTCCCATTCCGGGCCCTTCCCTATCGTCGCCCCCTTCACCTTGGATCATGTTCAAGAAGTAAGGACATGCTGTGGCCTCCATCGGCTGCTCACAAAGGCGGTGGGGTGGGGGTGGGGAAGAGGGCGAGAGCTAAGATCCTCTTTCTCTCTCCCCCGCCCCTGCCATCCTGACTCCCTAAGGTTTTCTATAGTACTATGCTCTCACTCCCAACTTGAACACTTCTTTAAGCTTTCCATCCGTAGTCCTTAATTGGGTTTCAGTCCCTCCACTCCCATTGTTTTTTCTCCTTACCCCTCTTTCTCTTTTGCCCCCTCCCCCAATTCTGTCTCCATTCCTAGGGTTCTACCAATCACATCCGTGCACTGTGATTTAGAGGCATATTCTCTGTAGCTGAGAGGGGAGCCCTGCGCTCACTGCCATATGTTTATTAGTTATGAACTGAATAAAGGAAGGCTTGACTTCCTGGGTCATGGGAGTGAAGGAGTCTGGGTGACAGGAAGCAAGCGGCCTGTCATGCCTATTGCCTAGCTGCCAGATTAACCTTGCCTTGAAAATAACGATTGCCCCATAGGCTATTCAGTGTAAGGAAGACAAAAATTCCTTGGGAACCTACTAGTGGGTTTGCCTTCCAGATTTGGTAGACGCAAAAAGCAAAGGGGGAACATGGGCAAAGGAAGGTGGGTTTTGTGCATGAAATTTTGAGCAAAAACGAATAGGGATCTTAGAAATCATTATTATCATCACTTAAAAAAAATCTCAGCAGATTACATAGCCTAGCAGGGGCCGATTTTCTATGTTATGCTTGGGTTGGTCTTTTGTATCTCAAGAATTGAGGGTTTTGTTTTCTGATCTCAGGTTTTATTATTGGTGGGAGCCTGTGTTTCTTCCTGGGTAGAATTGAATAAGATTTTCCAGGAAAGGCATTTGTGTAGCTAATTACAGATTATGGTGCAAAGTATGTCTCATATTCCTCCCCCTAACCCCAGCTAATTGCTGTATACTTGACAGTTTATTTCAATATTGTATTAAGACATTGGTTTTGTGCTGGACAGAGTAAAAGGGAGATGGTATTTTTTTTTAAAAGAACAATTTATTTCATAATTAAGTATCTAAATACTTGGTTGGGAATAAATGACTAATTAGAACAGTACCTTTAGGTATTCTGATACCTCTACTTAGAAATGCCTTTTCTTTTCTTGCAAAAATTACTTGGCAGATTTGATGAAAAAGAAAATGTGTCCAACTGCATCCAGTTGAAAACTTCAGTTATTAAGGGTATTAAGAATCAATTGATAGAGCAATTTCCAGGTATTGAACCATGGCTTAATCAAATCATGCCTAAGAAAGATCCTGTCAAAATAGTCCGATGGTAAGTCTTTGTTTTTGTCTGTGTAAAGCTCGGTATAGCTGAATATTTAATGATTAGATTGCACTCATACTAAATGGAATTATTTTCAGATTAACTATTGATAGATTAATAATGGGGTAGACACAGAATAACTCTAAAACTCCAATATTTGTATTTTCAAAGATTTTCTATGTCCCTGAAAAAATGTGGCTTTGTGTATTGATTGTTCTAGTAAAGAGTTAAATGTTTTAGTTCAGAGTTGGATTTAATTTATTTCAGTTTGTTGTTTAGAGAATTGTTTTATTGAATTACCTAACAATGGAATTAATAAAATGTGAAATAAAATTGGTTGTAGCAGGTAATATTTTTCTTTTTTTCTCTACTGGACTTGCATGATAGGAAAAACAATGTAAACAATATTTTTTGGCCAGGATTTTTACTGACTTTTTAAGAAAGTTTATCACTGTATATGCGTGTTTTATATTGTGAATTTTTGAAAGAAAATATCTAACTTGGTACTTTGTGACATTTGTCTTACAGCCATGAACATATAGAAATCCTTACAGTAAATGGAGAATTACTCTTTTTTAGACAAAGAGAAGGGCCTTTTTATCCAACCCTAAGATTACTTCACAAATGTAAGGTTTTTTTATTTTTATTTTTTGAAATTTTACTCCTATTGCAATATTCAAATGTAAAGTCTTGTAAGAAATATGCATTTAATCAGATAAGACACTGCTGGGGGAGAAAAACAGAAATATGCATTTGGGAATACTGAAAGACACAAAAAGAGTTTAGAGTGACTTCTGATAATTGACTCATTATTTATTAGTACTAGGTAATAATGGATGTAAAACTAAAATGAATGCCCATCTTGTGGTAAATCTGAAAAATGCAGATTCTCTCATGCATTCCAGAAAGCCCAAGAAAGATCATTTATTAATTCATTCAACAAATATTTATTGCCGGGCACGGAGGCTCACGCCTGTAATCCCAGCACTTTGGGAGGCCAAGGCGGGTGGATCACCTGAGATCAGGAGTTCGAGACCAGCCTGGCCAACATGGTGAAACCCCGTCTCTACTAAACATACAAAAGTTAGCCGGGCGTGGTCACAGGTGCCTGTAATCCCAGCTACTCGGGAGGCTGAGGCAGGAGAATCACTTCAACCCGCGAGGCGGAGGTTGCAGTGAGCAGAGATCACGCCATTGCACTCTAGCCTGGGGAACAAGAGCGAGACTTAGTCTCAAAAAAAAAAAAAAAAAAAAAAAGACAAATATTTATTGAACTTACTATGTGCTAGGCATTCAGCTAGGTGCTGAGAATACAATGGGAAGCAAAGACATTGTCTCTGTCCTTAAGAAACTAATAGTCTAGTTTGGAGAATAAACAACAATTAGATAATTACGCAAATATGTATTTACAAACTGTGATAAGCATTGTGAGCATTTTCATCTTTTATATTTGTATCTATTTGCCTAATAGAGAAAAGTCTATATATGGGAAAGCATTGACTAAGTGTCCTTCCGTCCAGGTATTTCCTGTGATGTGTGTAAATGCATTTTTTTTTAAAATTGGGCTCTCTGTTACATAGTTTTTAAAAATTGATACGTCATAGCTGTACATTGTCTGCTGTTGTGGTGCCTGTATCCCCCACCACCTATATATATTTATAATAGTTGTACATATTTTAGGGGTACATGTGATATTTGATACCTTTATACAGCGTGTAATGATCAAATCAGGGTAATTAGGGTATCTGTCACCTCAAACGTTTATCTTTGTGTTGAGAAGATTACAATTCTTCTAGCTATTTTGAAATATAGAGTAAATCATTGTTAAATATAATTTCCTTATTGTACTCTCGAATACTAGAACTTATCGACCTGTATTTTTATACCCCTTAACCAACTTCTCCTCATCCCCTTGTAGTTTTTTTTTAAATTAACAGGCTTTTATTTTTTAGAGCAGTTTTAGGTTTCCAGAAAAAGTAAGCAGAAAGAATAGAGTTCCCTCTCCCCAGTTCAGATTCCCCTATGAATAACATCTTGTTTTGGAATGATACATTTGTAACAATTGAACCAGCATTGATACATTATTATTAACGCAAGTCCTTAGTTTACATTAGGGTTTACTCTTTGTATTCTACAGTTTTATGGTTTTTCCCAAATACATGTCAAGTATCTACTGTTAAAGTATCATACAGAATGGTTTTACTGGCCTAACATCCTTTGTGCTCCACCTATTCATCCTTCCTCCCCCCACTTCCCCAACCCCAGGTAACCACTGATCTTTTTAATCGTTTTTTTACTCTGCGTTTTTCACTTAACATTATATCACAAAAATTTCCCAGGGCATATTAAGTAGTCTCCAAAAACCATAGTTTTGAAATTACGGTTTTTGGAGAATACTTGGGATGCTGAGGCGGGAAGATTGCATGAGTCCAAGAGTTCAAGGTTATTGTGAGGTATTGATTGCTCCACTGTACTCCAGCCTGGGTGGCAGAGCAAGACCCTGTCTCAAAAAAACAAACAAAAAAGATTACCAATTTGGTAAACAAATGATAGTGTTTCAGAGTTTTCTTTTGTATCTGTCAGATTAATTTGGGGAAATACTGTTCAGATCCTTTGCCTTTTTCTGTTGAGTCATTAGTCTTATTATTAATATATTGTATATCTTTTCTTACAGATCCTTTTATCCTGCCACACCAGCAGGTTGATAAAGGAGCCATCAAATTTGTACTCAGTGGAGCAAATATCATGTGTCCAGGCTTAACTTCTCCTGGAGCTAAGCTTTACCCTGCTGCAGTAGATACCATTGTTGTATCCTTCCCAGGCTAAAACTGCTGAAAAATGTATTCATTGTGCTCTTATCATTACTGCGAAAGGTGTACCATCCAAGAGAACATTAGATGTACTTTTTTGAAGGTTACTGTTACTCTTATCTCATGCCTTTCTGGTTACATTTGAAGTTGTACAAAGTAATTTTATTTGTTGCTACTAAATTATCTCATCTTAGGTCGTTTCTTAGAAGTTAAATGAGAACAAGTTACAGAAGAGTCTCAGCTGCATTTCAGCCCAGTCAGGGCCTACTGTTATCAGACTTAGGACACAATAGGGAATTCTTGATTACTAGGGGAAAGGATATAGATGATATAATTGGATCAGCTTTTTGGATATCAACTTGCCACTGTAATGTTCATTTTGACTTACTGACATACGTTGGAGTGAAAGCTCTCAAAAGGGAAAAGAATTTAGGCACCAGGTATAGGTATCTCTTACCAAGCAACAATTTTGTGTTAGGAGTGAATAGTGGGAAATATTGGCAACCTCCAACTTTTATTTTGAAAATTAATTATTTGAAAAGTTGAGTTTGGGGGCCTCAGAGCACGTTTTCTCAAAGAGAAATGTCAGAGTCCCAGATGGTCCTTAAAGATCGATTCAACTCATGACATAGCTGAATAATTCTGCATTATTTCCATTTCTACCATGCTGTTTCAGCTATTTTCTGGATTAAATAGATTTTTGTGACTATTCTGGACAGGAGAACATCTTCTCCTTTATCATAGCTAAAGTAGCCATTTGCCTCGGGTATAGAAAAGGAATGGTACTTGGTGGGAATAGGGAAACTACTTTTAGAGTGTGTTTATCTTATTTTAGTTTTTGAGATGGAGTCTCGCTCTGTCGTCCAAGCTGGAGTGCAGTGGCACGATCTTGTCTCACTGCAACATCTGCCTCCTGGGTTCAAGCAATTCTCCTGCCTCAGCCCCTCGAGTAGCTGAGGTTACAGGCACCCACTACCACGCCCGGCTCATTTTTGTATTTTTAGTAGAGACAGGGTTTCACCATGTTGGTCAGGCTAGTCTCAAACTCCTGACCTCAGGTGATCCACCCGCTTTGGCCTCCCAAAGTGCTGGGATTACAGGTGTGAGCCACCACACCTGGCCAGGGGTGTGTTTAAGAAGAATAAGAAAAAAAAATGATATTCTCTGTTGGGGCAGTTATAGCGAAGAGGTAGTATAAGTAGTATGTTTATATTCTAGGAACAGCTTATGTTGACATGCTTTTTGCCTAATAGGTGCTCACATATTTGGAACACTGAGTGAATTGAAAATCAAGGGAGAAAAGTGAGGACGGGTTTTTTGTTGTTGTTGTTTGTTTTTAATATTTATTAAGTGTTGGTAAATTTATAGTTCTGGAGTTAACCTTAAATGGAAAATTTCCTTAGTACCTAGTCTTTACTTTTAAAAATAATTTTTATTTTGAAACAGTTACAGATTTAGAGAAAGTTGTTAAAGAAAATGGTACAGAGAGGTCTTGTGTACCCTGAATCTTGACTTTTTAAAATATGTACTGCAGTGTTTAACATTCCAGAAACTTCATATGTTAACCAAGACCACTCTGGTTTTTCTAGAAAGGTTGAAACTGTTATATCAGGCTCTTAAAGATAGACTGGGAATTTACCTATTATTTTAAAACAGCCTTTACATAAAACCACCATTCAGGCCGGGTGTGGTGGCTCATGCCTGTAATCCCAGCACTTTAGGAGGCTGAGGCGGGCAGATCACCTGAGGTCAGGAGTTCGAGACAAGCCTGGCCAACATGACGAAACCCTGTCTGTACTAAAAATACAAAAATTAGCTGGGTGGGGTGGCATGCGCCTGTAATCCCATCTACTAGGGAGGTTGAGGCAGGAGAATTGCTTGAACTCAGGAGGCAGAAGTTGCAGTGAGCTGAGATCATGCCACTGCACTCCAGCCGGGTGACAAAGCAAGACTCCATCTCAAAAAAACAAACGGCCGGCTATGGTGGCTCACGCCTATAATGCCACCACTTTGGGAGGCTGAGGCAGGCGGATCATGAGGTCAGGAGTTCAAGACCAGCCTGGCCAACATGGTGAAATCCCATCTCTACTAAAAATACAAAAATTAGCTGGGTGTGGTGGCACACGCCTGTAGCACCAGCTACTCGGGAGGCTGAGGCAGGAGAATTGCTTGAACCCGGGAGGCAGAGGTTGCAATGAGCCAAGACTGCGCCATTGCACTCCAGCCTGGGCAACAGAGTGAGACTCTGTCTCAAGAACAAACAAAAATCCCCACTAGTCAGTGATCAGAATAATTAATCAGAACAATTAATATTTATTGATTTCACAGTTTTTAGTATTTATGTGCAAGAAATTTTACTCCTTTTTTGTGTGACTTATTCTGGTTTTGTTAGCATGGGGTTATAGTATTAACATTTGACTTGAAAGAAAAGGGGTTATTAGATTTATTCATTTAGCATTTACTGAGTATTTACAGTGTACCCACAGACTCTGCTAGGTCTCTGCTCTCAAGGAGTTAATGGTCTAGGAGAAGACACAAGAGGGGTTCCAAGTGGCTTAACTAGTAACATGATCATTATTTGACACCCTTCCCTTGATGGGGAGGCCCCAAGGCATTTTGATAAATAGTTTTCTTAGCTGTGTTCTTTCAGGCTATCATGGCAGAAGGAAAACAGCATGCTCTATGTGTTGGAGTCATGAAGATGTCTGCAGAAGACATGTAAGTCTTACTTTAGGCCCCCTTAACTTTTGATATATGGGTAACCAACCCAGGAAGCATCAGAATTACAGGTGAAATTTGCTATCATGCATACCACATTACACAAATATCCAAGCACAGAAGCTTCATTTCTGATATTTCCTAACACTTAGGAAGCCAATGAAACCTATTTTGTCTTCAGGATTGTAGTCTTTCTTAAGCACTGAAAAGAACCCATGTGCCAACACAGCTGTTTTATATGTGTGTACGTGGTACTTTAGGAATCTTATTTAGTATCATTTAAATTGGGGGAGGAGGGAAGATGTTTTACTGCTAGCTTCATTTTATTTATTTTTATTTTTATTTTTTTAAGTTTTTTTGAGATGGAGTCTCACTCTGTTGCCCAGGCTGGAGTGCAGTGGCGCGATCCCGCCTCACTGCAACCTCTGCCTCCCAGGTTCAAGCGATTCTTGTGCCTCAGCCTTCCAAGTAGTTGGGATTACAGGTGTGCGCCATAATGTCCAGCTAATTTTTGTATTTTTAGTAGAGATGGGGTTTCACCATGTTGGCCAGGCCAGTCTCGAACTCCTGACCTCAAGTGATCCACCCACCTCGGCCTCCCAAAGTGTTGGGATTACAGGTGTGAGCCACTGCACCTGGTCATTACTGCTAGTTTTAAAAACAGTGATATATCTCACCACCACACAGTATCTTATATCCTGACCTGGTAATACAAGAAATGTAGAATATTTAGAGAACTAGTAAAGATATATTATCAAAACATAGGCAGTATATTTAAAAATTTTAGAACCCATTTGATGACCAAATTAGTGGTATTAATTTTGTTTCAGGGTTAATGTAGCACTTTGATATTCCCCTAGTCTTGTGACATTGTTACTCTGGTTCTATAGACCCACTAGTTAGATCACTAAAATCACTTTTAGATATGAGCTGCCACAGAGTAATGTAGTTTAATATAAACAACAATGTAATTGTGATGTCAATAAGTTCTTTACTTGTGGCTTAATAATTAAAAAATAACAATATACTTTGAATTATATTTATCACGAGTAAGACTATAAAAATGCATAAAAGTATGTTTATGTGTTTTTTTTCCTTCTACAGTGAGAAAGTCAACAAAGGAATTGGCATTGAAAATATCCATTATTTAAATGATGGGCTGTGGCATATGAAGACATATAAATGAGCCTCAGAAGGAATGCACTTGGGCTAAATATGGATATTGTGCTGTATCTGTGTTTGTGTCTGTGTGTGACAGCATGAAGATAATGCCTGTGGTTATGCTGAATAAATTCACCAGATGCTAAAATTCTGTTAGCTTCAGAAATTATTTTAAGTTTTCTTAAACTCAAGTTAAAATTGGGTAGCAAACTTGGACATTAAAAGGTATCTGGTAAGTAAGCAAACTCATACAACTAATGTCCTTTCTTAGGCTAATGATATAAGAGTGAAGAGCAGGACTTGGTCAATGGATTGCCATTTTATGGTAGACCTCTAGAGAAACTGTCTAGTTAAATGGGGCTAGAAACTAGACTAGGAATTTTATTCTATTACTCCAGGGGACCCAGCAGTGCTCATTCTCGTGTGTGTGTGTGTGTGTGTGTGTGTATGTGTGTGTGTGTGTGTGTGTGTGTTTTGTTGATTGTTTTTTTAAAAAAAACTTCAATGGAAAATTCTAAACATATTAAGAAGTCTGGAGAATAGTATAATGGACCTCTCCATATCCATCACCCAGTTTCAGTTTATGGTCAGTCTTATTTCATCTATACCTCAATTATTTCTCCCCACCCCCCAATTATTTTGAAGCAAATCCCAGACATCCTATCATTTCATCCATAACTACTTTATTCTTTTTTTTTTTTTTTTGAAACAGGGTCTTGCTCTGTTGCCCAGGCTGGAGTGCAGTGGTACGATCTTGGCTCACTGTAACCTCCACCTCCCGGGTTCAAGCGATTCTTGTGCCTCAGCCTCCTGAGTAGCTGGGATTACAGGCACGTGCCACCATGCCCGGCTAATTTTGTATTTTTGGTAGAGATGGGGTTTCGCTATGTTGGCCAGACTGGTCTTGAACTCTTGGCCTCAAGTGATCCGTCCCCCTCTGCCTCCCAAAGTGCTGGGATTACAGGCATGAGCCACCGTGCCCAGCTAATTTTTATATATTTTATAGTTGGCCAGGCTGGTCTTGAACTCCTGGCCTCAAGTGATCAGCCTCCCAAAGTGCTGGGATTATAGGCATGAGTCACCATGCCTGGCGTCATAACTACTTTAGTGTGTATCTTTAAAAATTAGAAAAACCCCACAATACCATTATCACACCTAAAAAGTTGAACTGTTTCTTAATATGATCAACTGTCTAGACTGTTAATTCTCTTTAACTGTTGGTTTGCTTGAAATAGGTACCACACAAGGTTCATACATTGCATTTGGTTGTTATTTATTGAAGTCTGTTTAATTTATAAGTTACCTTTTCTTTTCCCCCTTAAATTATTTAAGAAATCTAGTTGTTTTGTCTTTAAAGTTTCCACACATATTCTGGATTTTGTTGATTGTATCACTGTGAAGTCATTAACTTGTTTTTATGCCTCCTGTATATCCTGTAAACAAATAAGATTGATCAGATTCAGGTTCAGTTTTTTTAGTGCCTTCTTTTGAGTAAAGTCATACCAAACAGATGCCCAGAACATCTGGATTTGGGTCCCCACTAGACTCCTTAAATAATGTATATCTTCTATAAGTGGAATATGAGGGACATGGACCTGCTTTAGTAAGAACAGTAATCTGTTTGGGGAGTTAAAAGAGCAGTTGTGGATTTATTTATTGATAAAGACCATTTTTCTTCCTAATAACCTTGCTGTTATTCTAGTGTCTTAGCCATCTTCATTTGGTTGTTTACCAATATATGACATGTGATTTTATTTTTCAGATGGATACAGACATATACAAGATTGTGGTGACCTGTGTTACAGTTAGAAGTTGGTGAGAAAGGTGAGGGTGGATAGCAAAAAGAGAGAGATCATTTGGCTGGCTGTTCCAGCTGGGTCTCCCAGGATGTAACATAGGTGGACATAGATCCAGGGTCTGACCCTCAGCTTGAGAAACCATTTCCCACTGATGAAACTTGAGAGACTTGGAGATTCCCCAGTTAGAATATAAATGTATTAATTCATAGTGATAGGTCTGCCTATGGTAAACAATTAGGAAACAGGAAGTTACTTGGTAAACACAGGTATGAGCAAAGGAAGATTGATAAATTGGGGTAATATTTCAGTTGTGCTGAGGTAAGACTTGGAGAATTTTTCCTGCTTCATCATTAATTAGAATGCTTATCTCTGCCAAAATCTCATCTCTTTCCTAGCCCATAGAGGTGCCCTGATATTTTATTTCCTATATCCTTTTCAAGTTCCATGTAGTTTTCCTTATGTTATGACAGTTTTATTCTGCAGCTTACCATATTATTTATTCCTGGTCCACGAAAGTATAAATAGTCTCATCAGGAACTCATTTGTAAGTCATCTCCCAGGGGGGTTTCTTCAACAGATAGTTTAATTTTTTGCTGACTTACTGGCTTCAAATTCAGATGTCTCCCTATTTGGGGGAGGAGGCACCCTATTTGAGGCCTGTAGCTCCTTATGTTCTTAAAAAGAATATACAAGTCATTTATGTCAGAATCAAACTTTGAACCTTTATTTTTGTTGCTAAGAGAATGTTTTTTGACCAAGACTGCCTATGGAGTATTAGCAATGAAAAACAAAGCACACATATACATACATTAGAGAAGTAAAAACTTTTAATAGCTTGGTTTTTGAAATAATTCATCTTTGTGTCTAACCACTGTTACAGTGGGTGTAAGGAACACTTTTTAAATATTCAACATCAACATCTGTGCTTGTTTTTCTACTGTGCTGAGGTACACTGTGTTGCCTTGGTGATATGGACTAAATATGTATGTTCTCTGCTTCCCCTGGGTCTGAGGCCTCTGCTCATCACTGTTAATCAGGGATGTCACTCTACATGTGTGATCCTTGTCATTTTCTAAACATTAGGTCATACATGAAAGGCAATTCAAAGAGATTAAACTAGCAGATGTGTCAGCATCTTTAGATACTGTGCTTAATGGAAACTTAGTTTACCTATATTCGTGAGAATAGGAATACAGGGATAGAGAGCCTGCTTCTCTCAGGCAGTGTGTCTTTAGTTCATTTTTAGTTTCAAAATTAAGTTTGTGTCAAACCAACCTACAATCTAGTAACTTGTGTATTGGACTCACTTTTACTCAGACAAGGTCAGTTCAGCTCAATAGGTATTTATTGAGTATCTACTAGGTTCTAAGTGACGTGGCATGAAGATGAATAATACAGAAGTAGCCCTTGCTCTTAAGGAGCTTCCAATCTAGTGAGTAAAGAAAATTTACATTTTAAATAATCTGGGTAATGGTGACAGCCCAATACTAATATGTAAAGCCAGTAGGAATGTACTAATCCTTTTCCAATTTTAGTCATCAAAAATTGTAAATTACAAATGAACTAAATGTAGTAATATTCCATAGATTGTATCCAATGTGAGGGTAAAAAAAAAATCCCAGATGTCTTGGAGTTGCCGTGATTCAGCATCCCAACTCAGATGATTGTCCTGTTGTCCGGTGACATAATGGCCTGATCAGTTCTCTTCTAGCAGACTGTCTGTTATGGTGGTTTGGTAGTGGTCTGTTGGGAAGCTGCATTTTTCCTTTTCTGTTTTTATGCTCTGGACCCCAAACAAAAACAGCTGGATTTATCCCATGGGTAGTCATGAACATTTCCAATTTGAGGGATTTTATATTCCCCAAACAGAAGGTTATATGGCATATATCAAATAATAATGATATCCAGCCAGGTTCCCTGTCGTACCCAAATCAGTAACTGAAGATACGTATTTCTAAGTATAATACTTCAGAGGAAGAGATAAGAATTACAATTCACTAAATTCGTGGAGGTGTTTCATTATAATAAATATGTCACTTATTAATAATGTAGCAATTATATATTAATGGAAATATGAATGTATGCCCAAGCAAAATGTCATAAATATTTTAACTTTGTTTGTCTAGGTTCCTTAATTTTGAGACTATAATTATCAAGGCTCTTCAAGAAACTCAAAATGATTCTAATTTCTAAGTAGTATGCATTAAAACTGATATATAATGAAAGAAAAACAGTGAAAATGTATGCATCAGTTTCTAAAGAAATCATACTTGTCATTGTAGAGATGCATGTAAATTAAATGTATTATACATTTTTATACTTGTATGTATTTTATACTTTGTATGAATACTTTTATTACACTTTTTAAGGCAGGTAAAAGAATGAGTAGATGTTATCAACTATAACAACAATTTGTTGAATACTGTGTTAAAACCAAGTAAAGGACCACAACTCCACGAGATCAGGAATGAATGAAGAAAATTGAGGGCCAGTTTTTAAATCATTGTTGAGACTATTAGGTTCATCTGTCTGTTTAAGAGTCTGGCCTTAGGGAATATAATTTATGCATGTAAAAAAATACAGGAGATGATTCACTGGAATGTCTCTTAATAATACCATGTTCATTAAGAATAGGTCATTGGGAGGAAAAATAAATAAAAACATCTGAACTCATTAGTATAATTAATACTTGCCTCTTAGAATGAAAATTAAAGAACTCCAAATTTTAGCCTTGAATACTTTGAGAAATAAAAGATGAATTAGTGAAATAATTTCTACTTAAAATCTTAGTTGTTACAGAGAATGACATGCCTCACTATTAATGTCCAATTCTAATTAATGGATTGTTTTAGAAATGTATTTGTGAAATATAGCAAACATAGCTAGTAATACTAACAGGTGAAAACTGATATTTCAAATGACTAAATAGACTTAAGATTAGAGGAAGGTAGGAAAAGGTGTGCAACTAACAGAAGCAGTTAACCAAAAAATGAGCTTCAGGCATCAGTCTTATTTGGAAGACTGTAAATCAACAGGCTAACGTTCAAAATATGGCAGACATCTTAATATCAATATATGCTAAATTGGTTTATCTTTAGGCAGAAACAGAAAGCAAAAAATTAAACTCATCCAACTCATACATTTGTTGTTGTTGTTGTTGTTGTTGTTTTTGAGATGGAGTCTTGCTTCATTGCCCAGGCTGGAGTGCAATGGCACGATCTCGGCTCACTGCAACCTCTGTCTTCCGGGTTCAAGCGATTCTCCTGCCTCAGCCTCCCGAGTAGCTGGGATCCCATGCGTGTGCCACCACACCTAGCTAATTTTTGTATTTTTAGTAGAGACAGGGTTTCACCATGTTGGCCAGGCTGGTCTCAAACTCCTGACCTCAGGTGATGCACCCGCCTTGGCCTCCCAAAGTGCTGGGATTACAGGTGTGAACCACCACACCCGACCCAACTAATACATTTTTAAAATCCCATTTTAAAAGTAAAACCACAGTTTTCATATAACAAATGTTATTGCTCTTCATTTCATTCTCCAATTTTAAAATGCTTTACTTTCAGCCAATATGTGAATATAGGAGACTTCAAAAGCATAATCAATTACTCCCTTAAAGTTCATTGTAAGTGTTCTCAGAACTCTACCACCTAGAATTTAAAGACGGGAAGATTTACTTTATAATTTTAATTTCTTATCACAAGACTCGATTGTCAATAACTGTTAACGTCCATTTAATAATCTATGGTGAAATAGGTAATTTCTTCTTATTTTCACAAGCGTGTGAGTAAAAGACTGGGTTTTAAGCAATAAATCATTTGTTCTAACTAAGCACATGCTTGGAAAAAGTGCTATTTTTCCAAACGTATGCCTTGAAAACAAATACAATTCAATTGCCTTTTTGGTTCATGGGAAGCCATACTGCGGTGGCTTCCAAGGTTGGCCAACCTGTTTTTATTCTTACCACCTCTTTCAAAAAGGGATGTTGTCTTTGTCCCCAAATTCTGGTGTTGTCCTATGCTGATGCATAATGAAGCCCTGAGGCTTGGAAACTTGCAAACCAATAAGATGATTTAATGATGAAACGGCATGTCAGTTTGACACTGTCTATTAATAGTCCTTGAGTGAGCTTAAATTTGAGACACTTTTAAAAGCGGCATGTAGTTCCAGTTTTGCTTCCCTTATCAGTGGAGCTTGAGATGTCTGTTCCTGCCGACTGATGTTTTAACAAATTTTTAGTTTCTCATGATGTGAAAGATTTTGTATGCACGTCTTAGTCTGGATACTGTTTTCATTAGTTCTAATGCTGCTGCATGCAAATTTTGTTTAAAACCAAAATTGACTCTTCACATCTGGACTAGATTGGACATGGTGAGGAGGCTGGAAGGAAAGTCCTTTTTGCTCTGTAGGCTCTGGACAGCTTTCTTAGAGTTGACTTATCCAGGATTAAGAAAAAGTTTTCTTTTGCGTGACTAAATTCTTTCCACAGTTTGCTTGTGTAAGCATTTTAGATTTAAGCAAGTTCAACTTGAAATATATTTGAATATGAAGTAGAAACAGCTTCATTTAATGGGATAATAGCAATCTCTAACCCATCAAATTAATATCTACTAAATAGCTTCCAAAAAGCACTGACTGGAAAATATTTTTCACTATCATGGCTTTATTCAGTTTCAAAAACAGTAGGGGCTAAAATGTTTGGACATTTATCCTGCATTTATTTTGTGTTTCACAAGGTTAAAATTTTGTATTTTGTAAAGTGTCTGAAAAGGAGTCCACAAAGTATTTCTGCTTTCTTGCTCCTGAATGCAAAGGTCTGAGAGAAGGCACATCCTCATTAGCTTCTGGGTGTTGTCAAACCCAATCCTCTCTCAAGTACCAAATGCCCAGATACATTTATTGGGATGCAGGAATCTCACTTAAGTAGCGGTTTTTGCTGATATAAAGACAAACATCTTGATTAAAGTGTAGGGAGATAGAAACTATACCAATTTGGGCAATTTTGGCTCTAATGTCTAATTTGTTGTGAAAGGGGAAGATGTTCTAAGCTAATGTTCTTAAAAGTAACTTATGAATTTCTTAAAAATAGTTTTTAAAAAGCTGTTTCAGGAAAAGCTGTTTTATTGCATGGCACAGATTAAATGTACAGATGTTATCTTAAAACAATGAAAGAGTTCCCCTAATTTGAATATTCAATACCAGCTGTTATTCACATCAATATTTTAACATTTTACCATCAAGATATTTAATACAAAGGATTGATACATATTTAACTGTTTAGAATTCTAGTTAAACTTGTCCAGATGAGTAAGAGGGAAGGAGAAATAACATTCTCCAAGTACCTACCATGTGCACAAGCTCTACTTATATATCTTGCTTAATCTTAGCAATGATTCCATGAGGTAGATTTTAACTCTCATTTTACAAACGAGGAGACTAAGGCTCAGAGAGGTCATACAACTTCAGGAAAGTTGTATGACCTCTCTGAGGTAATAAATGGCAGAACTGGAATTTGAACCTAAGTCTCCTTGTCTGCAAATCCTGTGTTTTGCAGAAAACTCTCCTCTTGTATTTCATAAAATGTTAAATCTTGGCCCAAATTCAAATCACCATCTTTATGGGTTATTGGAGAGAGGTATAAGTTGGCAAGACTCTGTTCCACGATGGGAAAAAATGGGTAGGATTTGAATGAGTAAGAGTGGGATACTTGCACAGTATCATATTTGTGTGGCTGGAGTAATGTTTTTCTGTTTCCCTCTTAGCAAAGTGGAGTGGGAGAATCTTGAAATTGAACTCAGTCCTGAGGTCTGATTTTCCTATTATTAGTCACTTTCAAGCCAGGTGATTTGTGACCATTTAAATGTTATGCTATTTCAAAGTCTTCTACATCTTTAGAAAAGGACATGAGGGAGGGTTAGTTAAGTGGGGCAATGAGAATGTAGAGTGTAATGTGCAAAAGCAGGACTAGCAGTTGCTTTGAAGATATCTGGGGAAGGCCGGGCACGGTGGTTCACGCCTGTAATCCCAGTACTTTGGGAGGCCAAGGTGGGCGGATCACGAGGTCAGGAGATCGAGACCATCCTGGCTAACGTGAAACCCCGTCTATACTAAAAATACAAAAAATTAACCGGACGCAGTGGTGGGCGCCTGTAGTCCCAGCTACTCGGGAGGCTGAGGCAGGAGAGTGGCATGAACCCGGGAGGCGGAGCTTGCAGTGAGCTGAGATCGCACCACTGCATTCCAGCCTGGACAACAGAGCGAAACTCCGTCTCAAAAACCAACCAAACAAAAAACAAAAATTAGCTGGGCATGGTGGCGCGTGCCTGTAATCCCAGCACTTTGGGAGCCAAGGTGGGTGGATCATGAGGTCAGAAGATTGAGACCACCCTGGCCAACATGGTGAAATCCTGTCTCTACTAAAAATACAAAAAAAAAAAAAAAAAAAAAAATTAGCCGGGCGTGGTGGCGCGTGCCTGTAATCCCAGCTACACAGGAGGCTGAGGCAGGAGATTTGCTTGAACCTGGGAGGCGGAGGTTGCAGTGAGCCGAGATTGTGCCACTGCACTCCAGCCTGGGCGACAGAGCAAGACTCCGTCTAAAAAAAAAAAAAAGATATTAAAATTAATGACAGGAAGAGTTTGGGTTCAGTTATAATTTAAGGGAAAAAACATTGAGGGGCCTAATCTACATTTTGCTCCGGATCCAATGATTTAATTTTTGGGAAGAAAAATCCAGTGATTAAAGTCATGCAAGGAGATGGCCTGGGGCTTGCTAAAAGTCAGGTTGCAGTTTCCATTGCATTCAAGAAAATCAGAAAAATAAATACAACTTTTAGAAGAAACTAAGTTTTCTCCCATTCATGTTTAGCTATTGGGGGGTCTCATACTTCTGGACTTGCTTAGACCTATGCTATCTAATATGGTAGCCTCTGCCCATCCATATGTGGCCACTGAGAACTTGAAATGTGACTAGTTTGAATTAAGATGTGCTGTAACTAAAATACACCCTGGATTTCAAAGACTTAATAAATAATGTAAATTATCTATTCTTTCCTGTTGATTATATATTGAAATGATAATATTTTGGATATGTTTGGGTTAAATAAAATATATTACTAAAAGTAATTTCACCTGTGTCTTTACTTTTTAAATGTGACTATTAGAAAATGTGAAATTAAAGGCTGGGCGCGGTGGCTCACGCCTGTAATCCCAGCACTTTGAGAGACCGAGGCGGGCGGATCACGAGGTCAGGAGATCGAGACCATCCTGGCTAACACGGTGAAACCCCGTCTCTACTAAAAATACAAAAAATGAGCCGGGCGCGGTGGCGGGTGCCTGTAGTCCCAGCTACTCGGGAGGCTGAGGCAGGAGAATGGCATGAACCCGGGAGGCGGAGCTTGCAGTGAGCCGAGATTGCGCCACTGCACTCCAGCCTGGGCGACAGAGTGAGACTCCATCTCAAAAGAAAGAAAGAATATGTGAAATTATATATGGCTCATGTTTTATCTATTGGACGGCGATGGGTTGGAGAAAAGGCAGTATTCCCTGAAGCTTCGTGCTAGAGGCAAGTGCTTTAAAGTGGTAAGTATGAAAAAGATTCTCAGTGCCAGCATTCAGTCTTCCATCAAGCCAGGAAGTTTTTCCCTCTTCCCCTCAGATGGTACAGGGGTGGTATTTTGACTATTAGAATATTTCCATTAATTCAACACTTTGGGTAACTAGGTGGATGTCTGTATCATTCACTCACTAGATCAAAGCATTTTTTTTTTCTAATGGAAGTCTGTCACTCATTAAAGGCAGTTATCCTATTTATCTCTCTAAAACCTGAGTCTTATTTTTAAGTCCTGCTCTTTCTGCTAGGGTTTTTGCCAAATTTCCAAAGCAATGGCATAACCAATGTGGCTATTCTTGCATGTAATCAGTAGAAACCTAAAGAAATGGGAACTATGTGGGTTAGAAGAAATAGCATTTATCAGGCAGGGCGCAGTGGCTCATGCCTGTATTCCCAGCACTTTGGGAGGCCAAGACGGGTGGATTACTTGAGGTCAGGAGTTTGAGACCAGCCTGGCCAACATGGTGAAATCCCGTCTCTACTAAAAATACAAAAATTAGCCGAGTGTGGTGGTGTATGCCTGTAATCCCAGCTATTTGGGAGGCTGAGGCAGGAGAAACGCTTGAACTCGGGAGGCAGAGGTTGCGGTGAGCCAAGACCGTGCCACTGCACTCCAGCCTGGGCAAAAAAAAAAAAAAAAAAAAGCATTGATCAAATCCAGGAATTTTAAGACAAAAGGGCTGACCACTATATTCTAGTACTACATTATTAAATTACAGTTTGTCTTATTGCTCATGCAAAGCTTATGTGAAATGATTATTTGACTATGATGAATTATGAGTTTGGGCTCTTTCTGCTTTCCACAAAGTACCAGGCCTACTGCCTACTGTTGACCTCATAGATACCCAATATATACAAAGAAAATTATAGTGTATGGATGCCACACTAGTAAAGCTGGATTTTTTTTATTATGGTAGAGACCCTAGAGATACACTATGTCATCATTTTATACTTTCCAAACAAGTCATTTTCCCATTACCCTTTAAATGCTTTATAGTATTCTATTTTTGGTTATATTAGAGTTATTGACTATAGTTATTTTTTGTCATTTTTTTCAAACTTGTAAAAACTGTCAAGTATAGTTATTTTTAAAATTTGGGGCAATATTTTTTTGGGGGGGAGTTGATAAACATTGCTGAATGTCTTTGTATGCCAAAAGAAAGCTAACTTCTATAAACATATGCTTCTCACATAACCACTCAGGCAAGTACTGAGTGCATCAAAGTCAGCCCATACCAAAAGGAACACAATATTGTTTTTTTTTTTTTTGAGATGGAGTCTCGCTCTTGTCCCCCAGGCTGCAGTGCAATGGCACGATTTTGGCTCACTGCAACCTCCACCTCCCAGGTTCAAGCAATTCTTCTGCCTCAGCCTCCCGAGTAGCTGGGATTACAGGTGCCCGCCACCACGCCCAGCTAGTTTTTCTATTTTTAGTAGACACAGGGTTTCACCATGTTGGCCAGGCTGGTCTTGAATTCCTGACCTCAGGTGATCTGCCAGCCTCAGCCTCCCAAAGTGCTGGGATTACAGGCATGAGCCACTGTGCCCAGCCAGAACACAATATTCTTAACAAATGAAAGGGAAATTAGCGGTACATCATCATTAGACTATATTTTCAGCAACTTTTCTATTACAGGTATGCCCTGCTTTAAGAACACCCAATAACTGAGTTTGTTTAAATGCATTATAGAAAAATCTGGGCATTATGAATCAGATTTGATACACAAGCAACCTTTTAGCTTACTCCCCTGCCAGCCCACCGCCCCAGAAAATAGCCAAGGGGTCTAAATCTATATTTTGCTCCAGATCCAATGTTTTACTTTTGAAAAGGAAGATTCAGTGATTGAACTCACACAAGGCAATGGTCTGGGGCCTGCTAAAAGTCATGCTGTGGTTTCCATTGCATTTGAGACAACCAGACAAACAAATACAACTTTTAGAGGAAACTTCAAGTTTTCTCTTATTCACATCTCAGCCAGGAGTGGGATCTTACACTTAGAATTGCTTAGACCTGTGCTGTCCAATATGACAGCCACTAGCCGTATGTAGAGTATATTCACAATCCCGATCAATTTCCATCAGACCTCCATTTTTTCCAACTCTCTCATCATGAGTGGGGTTAGGGTTATTGTTTTCGGTTACTGAATATATTATTTTTCTATGTAAAGCTAACAGACATATATGGTGATCAAATCTGTAACCACAACCTCAGTAGTACTATTTTCTGTTATTGATTCAGATTTTATCTGCAAGACTGGCTGCAAGTAAGTTCAGAGAGACAGCATATTATTTGAGACACCTAACATTTCGTTAAAAAAATACTCAGTATCGGCCGGGCGCAGTGACTCACGCCTGTAATCCCAGTACTTTGGGAGGCCGAGGCGGGCGGATCACCTGAGGCCAGGAGCTTGAGAACAGCCTGATCAACGTGGAGAAACCCTGTCTCTACTAAAAATACAAAATTAGCTGGGCGTGGTGGCACATACCTGTAATCCCAGCTACTCGGGAGGCTGAGGCAGGAGAATTGCTTGAACCCGGGAGGTGGAGGTTGGGATGAGCCGAGATCACGCCATTGCACTCCAACCTGGGCAACAAGAGCGAAACTCCGTCTCAAAAAAAAAAAATATGTATAAAGATACAATCAAGAGCATCAATTTGGCTTAAAAGGCAATGTTACCTTAGTACTCATTAGCAAAACACACAATGCAATGCATTCTGACATGTTTATGATGATACTCTGATGTACTAATGTAAGTGAAGATGATAAATGCAATAGAAAAATTTTAAATATACTGGTGTTGGGGGCAAGGTGACAGATAAGCTGTGTCACACTCTGAGAGATACTGTTTATTACTGTACTCACATTGAACATGATTTGATTGTAGTAATTGCATCTGAGACCACATATTAGGGGGCTTCATAAAGGGGTTTTGTTATTCTTCAAAACTAATAACGCTTCATCTTAACCAAAACCCTCAATGAGAATAATCAGAAATAAAGCAAAGTTTTACACACTACCCTGAGGATCAATAACTTCAAGCCCAAGGCCATCTTAAGGAAATTTTCTTTCTGGTTTGCTAAAGCTGTGGGAGACCATTACCATCATGAGGCCAGTTACAAGAAATATTGATCTCTAAAATGTCATGCTCTAACACTCTATGCGGACTCACAGCATGTGCTGGCCAGATTGCAGAACAAGTCAGCTCTAAGTATTTCACACATTTATCAGTACAGGAGCTATTGCATTTACCACTGGATTAAGTTTCTGAGTAGCCATTGAAATTTGGGAAAAGGTATGGTAATGCAAAGTAGATAGGTTAGGACCTCCACACTGAAAACAGATATGGTACAGCTGTGAACATGGGAAAATTCCCTGAACTTGTACAAGGAAACAAAATCCAGAACAGGCTGGGCGCAGGGACTCATGCCTGTAATCTCAGAACTTTGGGAGGCCGAGGCGGGTGATCACCTGAGGTCAGGAGTTCGAGACCAGCCTGGCCAACATGGCAAAACCCCATCTCTACTAAAAATACAAAAAATTAGCCAGGTGTGGTGGTGGGCACCTGTAATCCCAGCTACTTGGAAGGCTGAGGCAAGGGAACTGCTTGAAACCAGGAGGCAGAGGTTGCAGTGAGCCGAGATTGTGCCATTGCACTCCAGTCTGGGCGACAGAGCAAAACTCTGTGTCAAAAAAACAAAACAAAACAAAACAAAATACAGAACAGATTCAACTCAGGTAAGTGAAACTGCCAGATGGCCAAAACAAGTTCTTCAAATTTCCACAGAACTCATTGACCCAGCAGGACTACATTTTTATCCAAATTGCAGCTGGGAGCTTGATTAACTGAGAAACAACACAATTAAATGACATGACATTCTTCATAGGCACCAATCCAATGTCAGTATCTGCAGGCTGAAGTACAGACAGTTACACTGAAATTGCGTATGCTCTGAGGAATGACACTAAATTCGCTTCCAGGAAAATTACTCAATTTTGTAAGTAATTTTCAGTTTTTTTTCTCAGGGATATTTTTCAACTTTCACTTTAATTTTCTTTAGTTGCTTAGTTGTACATTTTGAGAAGGCAAATCCATTGGAACTTGGGGAGGCTTAGAACATAAATCAGTATTAGAAGTAAAGGGAACACACAGCTAAAAGTTTTACTTTAATCACAAATTCACAACTAGAGATATCATTTGCATATCTTAGAACGCTAAAGACCTGTTAAAATTTTTTAACCAATCAGCAAAAATATGTGCCCCACAGATTTCTAATGTTCATAATTTAGAATTTATCACATATAATATTTATTAATAGTTTATTTGCAAAATTATTATTCTTAAAACACTTCTTTCCAACACATTTACAATGTTCATGTGTTTTAAAGAAAAAAACCACCCTCATTTAAAAATGTACTACTGACTTTAATGTGTGGTTATACCAGTGCCACCAAATTAGAAAAGAAAAAGAAACATACAGCTGTATTGGATATGTAGTTACTACTACAAATAATGACAACACACGTCCTATACAAAGATCATATTCACGCTTTTCTACCACTTCTCAGTCATTGTCAGAACCATTTGGAGGTAAGAAAACCAATGCATCATTGAAAATATGCCCAAATGCCCTAAGGCGGTATACCCCATACATCATCACATGCATCTGATTTGGAGTCAGTCCATTAAAAGTAACAGCCATATCTGAACAACAGCCTTCTACTACCTGGTTGGGGTGATAAGTCATTGCCTCTTTAATAGAAAGCCCAACAGATTTGGTATTAAATACATCTTTTCCATCAGCATCTTCTGCATTTTCTGCAAATACTCCAGCATATTTCAGGCAAACTGCTAGCTGTTTATCTTCAGATATCTTCCAAATCATCCCTCCCTGTTCAGGACACTTTTCTGGGATATTGAGAAGGCTGTTAAGTCTTTTCATTGATTCTACACTTAAGACAATTCCTCCTTCCATACCCACATATTCAAGGTCTCCAGATTTTATAGTGTGGCCTAGATAGAAAGGCTGTGATGGATCCTTTTTTAACAAAAAATACTTTAGGTTTTCAATGATAGCAAACGTAGTGGGGCGTGCAAGGAAGAACCAGTTGTATTGGTCTCTATACTTATCAAAGGCGTATTTGTAAGCTTTTCTCATCATTAACCACATGTCATTTGTGTCCATATTAATTGACTCAAACACTTTAACATTTTCAGAACTGAAGAACTCTGCTTTGTCACAGTGTTTGGTCCAAGTCTCCTTTACTGCAGCCCAAAGACTCACATCTTTGGGTTTTACAAGGATAATACAGTATACTCGAAAGCTCTTACTGAGCTCCATGCGCTCATCCTCTGAAATTTTCAAGATATCTTCTTTGTTAGGAGCTTGTAGGTGATGATGCTCATGGTGGTGCATTCTATTTCCATGACCAATCCTAATGTGTCCTAGCATAGTGATCAAAGCACAGAAAATGCTTCCAAGCATCACACCCTTCAAAAAGGAGCTGCTTTCAGAAAGCATTTTTCCTATAAAGAAGAAAAAGACTCTTAAAATACTTAATAGAAAAAGATTAGTCTATAAATTTGATTTGGTATTCCTTATATACTTACATTTTGCTTTTAATGTTTTTTTTAAAAGGTTCCCAAGCTTGAAATCAAGTTAGTTGCATATAGTACAAAAGGCTCTCAAAATCTTTAGCTTCCAATGGAATCTGATTACTGTTTGGTATAAACTGGAACTTTGCAACAACTCCTCTATGGAGAAGTTTGTTTTGCACTTCATCTATGGGGATTTAATAAACCCTTGAAACCAGTGTTACAGAGGTTATCCATCCACCATTCTCTTTAAAGAATTTCACATCACAAGCTTGCATTATTTAAATACCTCTAAAAATATAGTGAACTTTTACACCAAAACCTTGGGTTGAACAGATAAAACCACCTATAAATGGCAAATCACCAATGGTATTGTGCTGACATTTCTGTTCTCAACATAGTGCTTTCTTTAACTGATGGCTGCTGTCCTTAAGTGTTTTGAGTAAATCTAAACCAAGTTTCTTGAGAATAACACCATATAGGTTAATATTTACCCTTTTGTTCCTAAAACTAAATGGTTTCCAATACAGTATCCCAACTATTGATGTAATAGAAGCCCATAATAAAAAGTTACATCTTTTGGATCAAAAAGGAATATTGATAGATATATCTGGGGCCCATTAATAAACATTTTCATTTCCTCAAAAGGAATTTTCTTCTTCTTTGGGGAAGTAAAAATGGAAAAATTTACACTTTTATTTCAATTAGAAATTAAGAGGCAGGTGCAGTGGCTCATGGCTGTTATCTCAGCACTTTGGGAGGCTGAGGTGGGTGGATCCCTTGAGTTCAGGAGTTCGAGACCAGCCTGGGCAACATGGTGAAACCTTGTCTCTACCCAAAATCCAAAAAATTAGCCAGACGTGGTGGTGGGTGCCTGTAATCCCAGCTACTCGGGAGGCTGAGGCACAAGAGTCTCTTGAACTTGGGAAGCGGAGGCTGTAGTGAGCTGTGATCTCACCACGGCACTCCAGCCAGGGCATCAGAGTGAGACTCTGTCTCAGAAAAAATAAATAAATAAAAGAAATTAAAAGCTGACATTAAATAAACTTGTTGAAAAAAATTGTATGTTAACCATTTATTCTAGTAAAGGCTGAATTTTCCAATCTTCCCTCCATCTTCAGAAAAAAGCAATCTATTGAGCTACTTAGACTTCCCAGTTTTCTCTTATGGTTGAAAGGAGCCTTAGAAAACTACCCAATGTCAGTCACTTCTCTCATTTTACAGAGAGGAAATGGAAGTCCACAGAGGTTAAATAACTGACTCAGTCACACAGTTAGACAGTGGTATAAGTGGACTAGAAACCACATTTCTCAATATCAGTTTAATGGTTTTTTTCCATTACAGAAGAATAATTGCCATAGTGCTTCTACCACATTAGAGTTTAATAAATGGGTTACTGAATATCCTTGTTTTCATACAAATGGGAAAAAAGTGGGATCTGTTGACCATAACTGATATTTTGCACCCAACAGCACCATATTGCTACAAGGAAACCACTCCTGTGGTTTTCTGCTAGAGGAAATGGAATTTTGACTTCTACCAGAAAGACAAGGTGTGGAATAGCTTGGCAGATGTAATTTCTGAGCGGTGGGTGGGGCAAGAGGCAGGAAGACTTTCCTGTGTCACTCACAGAACTTGGTCAATAAACACAGTTCCAAGAAGAGAAGTGACAGAAAACAAGCTCGGCATAATATTAGAATTGTCGGCTGTGTGCGGTGGCTCACGCCTGTAATCCCAGCACTTTGGGAGGCCGAGGCAGGTGGATCACCTGAGGTAGGGAGTTCAAGACCAGCCTGGCCAACATGGTGAGACCCTGTCTCGACTAAAAATACAAAAATTAGCCGGGCATGGTGGCATATGACTGTAATCCCAGCTACTCAGGAGGCTGAGGCAGGAGAATTGCTTGAACCCGGGAGGCGGAGGTTGCAGGCAGTGAGCCAAGATCGCACCACAGCACTCCGGCCTGGGCAACAAGAGCGAGACTCTGTTTCAAAAAAAAAAAAGAAAGAAAGAAAGAAAAAAGAAAAAGAATTGTCAGGTGCACTCTAAGATTAATTTATATAGGATTTTTGTATTTCATGTCACGCAGTTTTCATTATTTCTGGCCAATACATAATTCACATGTTTCTTTGCTCAATTATGGCATATGTGTCAGAATTCTTCCTGATGGTGATCCTACTCCTGGCTGCAAAAATAGTGATCAAAACTCAGTAAGTCTACACATTTTAAATAAAATAATTTGCAAAAATTATTCTAAGGAGATTTTTTCCCCATCACAGAGGCAAAAAATATAACACTAGGGATGCATATGATAGGATACTTTGTGCAGAAGGAAACAAAACTGCACACGAGCACAAATGAAACAGAAACTACCCCAATGGTTTTTAGATGAACCTTTTTGGGTGAAGGTAGTTGGGGTGAAGTACGGAAAACGAAGACGAAATAGGGAAGAGAAGTGAGAGGGAGGACATGGTAACCTCGATATCCCTCTGAGGGACCAAGAGAGCGCCCCCAGGAAGAAGACTCTCGGTCTCCTGTGCTGACAATCCTCCCGCTGCACCTGCCCAAGCATCCCGCGTGGAGCATGCTGGGAGAGGGCTGGGGCCCAGGCCTCCCCCAAGAGAGGGAGGGGAGTCAGGGTGCGCTTGGGGTGGGGGTCGAGGCCCCGCCACTCACCCGCGTCTAGAACGGCTTGGGGACAGGAAAGCGCAGCCGCGCACGGGTTTCCTCTCACGTTGGCGCACCACTCCGTTACGCTCCTGACCAGGCTGTTCTAGCTGCAGGCGGTGTTCTCTCGTTGGTCTCGCTAAAGGTGGGGAGCGCCAGGAAACGAGCGCCGCGAAGGCGGGGGTAGTGGGGCGGGGTAAAGGAGCCGGCGGCTGGGCGGAGCCGTCCGTTTGCCCGCCCGCGCAGGCGTCGGAAGGGCCGGCGCGCCCGCTGCGCGCACACTGCGTGCCCTTTCTCCCCGCCCCCTGCCGAGTTCAGAGACTTGCTATAGGCCTGCGTGACCCGGACGCTCTCCTTTACCCAACGGGCGTCCAGAGAAGAGGCCGTGCGTACGACTCGCTGACACCTCCCATTTCACCTTCCTGGCATGGAAATTGCGAGAGCGAGAGATTCTTGCTCCCGGTGTCGCTTTTTATCAGACCTCTTGATGGTTTCTCTGATGTACCCCTGCGTCCTTGAACCCTCATATTGCCCACCCCCCCAGTACTCCTGGGCTGAGACCAAAACGCAAGCCACTGAAATAGTCACGTAATTATGACACCAACGGTTTCCTATTATTACTGGAATGAGATCTGAAGCCCCACTGCCTGGAATCCAATCCTGTCTTCACCACACCTTTTGATATCCCAGGAAAGTTATTTCACCTCGCTGTGCCTCAGTTCCCTCATTTGTAAAGTACAGAAAATGTCACAGTAGTGCCTATTTCATAGAAAATTAGATGAGATAGTGCATATGACTCCCTTAGCAAAATTTCAAGCCTAGAGTAAGCATTTACTAAAAAGTACTGGCTGTTATTATTCACCCCAGTATTTCTAGTACTTAACCACAGTGCCAGCACGCAGTGGACAGTAAATATTAGTGGAATTAATGAATATTAGAACTACAGCTGAGGAACCAGGCCTAAAAAGGATAAGGAAATTTCAAAAGTCCACACAGCAAGTTAATGGCAGAGGTGGGACTGGAATCCAGGTCTCTTTTTTTTTTTTTTTTGAGACGGAGTTTCACTCTTGTTGCCCAGGCTGGAGTGCAATGGCACGATCTCGGCTCACTGCAACCTCTGCCTCCCGGGTTCAAGCGATTCTTCTACCTCAGCCTCCCTAGCAGCTGGGATTACAGACGCCCGCCACCACGCCCGGCTAATTTTTGTATTATTAGTAGAGACGGGGTTGGCCAGGCTGGTCTTGAATTCCTGACCTCAGGTGATCCACCCGCCTCGGCCTCCCAAAGTGCTGGGATTACAGGCTTGAGCCACTGCGCACGGCCCCCAGGTCTTCTAATTAAGAGTGCAGAGCTCTCTTTCCACGAAATATTTGATGTGTCTCTTTTTTTTTTTTTTTTTTTTGAGACCGAGTTTCGTTCTTTTTGCCCAGGCTGGAGTGCAATGGCGGGATCTCGGTTCACTGCAGCCTCTGCCTCCCGGGTTCAAGTGATTCTCCTGCCTCAGCCTCCCTAGTGGCTAGGATTACAGGTGTGCGCCACCACGTCTGGTTATTATTATTTTTTTTTTTAGTAGAGACGGGGTTTCGCCGTGTTGGCCAGGCTGGTCTCGAACTCCTGACCTCAGGTGTTCCACCCGCCTCGGCCTTCCACAGTGCTGGGATTACAGGTGTGAGCCACCGATCTGTCTTTTAAAATTCATTTTTGGCCAGGCGCAGTGGCTCACGCCTGTAATCCCAAAACTGTGGGAGGCCGAGGCAGGTGGATCACCTGAGGTCAGGAGATCAAGACCATCCTGGCTAACACGGTGAAACCCTGTCTCTACTAAAAATACAAAAAATTAGCCGGGCGCGGTGGCATGCGCCTGTAGTCCCAGCTACTCGGGAGGCTGAGGCAGGAGAATGCCGTGAACCCGGGAGGCGGAGCTTGCAGTGAGCCGAGATAGCGCCACTGCAGTCTGGCCTGGGCGAAAGAGCGAGACTCCGAGGCGGGCGGATCACGAGGTCAGGAGATCGAGACCATCCTGGCTAACACAGTGAAACCCCGTCTCTACTAAAAATACAAAAAATTAGCCGGGCGAGGTGGCGGGCGCCTGTAGTCCCAGCTACTCGGGAGGCTGAGGCAGGAGAATGGCGTGAACCCCGGGGCAGAGCCTGCAGTGAGCCCAGATAGCGCCACTGCACTCCAGCCTGGGCGACAGAACGAGACTCCATCTCAAAAAAAAAAAATAAAATAAAATAAAATAAAATAAAATAAAATAAAATAAAAATTAGTCGGGCGTGGTGGCTCATGCTTGTAATCCCAGCTACTCGGGAGGCTGAGGCAGAAGAATTGCTTGAACCTGGGAGGTGGAGGTTGCAGTGAGCCGAGATCGTGCCACTGCACTCCAGCCTGGGAGAGTGAGCAAGACTCCATCTCAAAAAAAAAAAAAAAATTCATTTTTGTGGCAGAAGGCTTTTTGCTAAAAAGCCCAAATTTTTACAATTATTTAAAGTGTATTGTTACTAGGTTCCATTAAGATAAAATTGAGTGGTGACTTACTCGGGCCTGAGTTCCTAAAGACACACATGTATTTGAGTGTTGTCAGTGACCTAGTTTAAGTAGACTGAAGGTTTCAGGGAACTCTGAAACAATGAACAAATATATTGTAGGTAGTTACTATCCTGGCAACACTATCTTAAAATCTGGAGATACAGTGGTGAGCAAAATAAGTACCCTGACTTCATGGAGCTGTCAGTCAAGTGGGGAAGAAAGACATTAAACAATTTATTACAAATAATTATAATGGTGGTATGTTTTCTAAAGGAATACCAAAATGAATTTTATTTCTGACAGTGGGCCCGCTGGAAAAGAAAAAATGAATTTTAGAACTGGAAAAGAATTTAAGACCGTGGAATATTTTCATTATATTTTGTTAAGTAATATAGTCTATTTCACATATTATATAAAATATATATGTATGTATGTATATATACCTATATAGTTAAGTGAAACAAATTGCAGAATACTGCATATTATATGATTATGTTTTGGTGGAAACAAACGTGCACATAGGTTTGATCTGTTCGTATGAACAAAGAGAGTTATGGAAGAATACTCAGCAAGCTCTTAATATTGATTACATCAGGAGGTTGAGGTGGGGATGATTAGCTTTGTCTTTATACATCCTTGTATTGCATTGTTTCACTGGTTATAAACAAGCACCTATTTTGAATTTGAAGACCAGCAAATAAAAGGACCTTAAAATTACAGGGACAAAAAGAAAAAAAAGAAAAGATACCAATAAAAATATCTTTTAAAGAATGCAGAGAACCACTCTGTCCTCGCAAAAAGGGACCAGGAAGGACAGAAATGACACTCAGAATTCAGACTGTGATGAAGAGGCAATATAAAATGTTTCTCCTAGAAAATAAGGGCACCTATTTGAGATGATGAATATGTTCATTAGCTTGATTGTGGTAATCATTTCACAGTGTATACATATAGCAAATCATCACATTGTGCACTTTAATTGTATACATTTATTTGTCAAACATACCTCAATAAAGCTGGAAAAAAATAAAATGATTCTTCTTTTAGTATAGAAAAGTACTGTATACCAAACTGGAAGTATTAATAATATAAGAGCAGCGCTTCTTATAGTGGTTGGTAATTTTAAAAAATATTATTTAAAAAATGACACAAGAGACCAGGCATGGTGGCTCACACCTGTAATCCCAGCACTTTGGGAGGCCGAGGCAGGCGGATCACCTGAGGTCAGGAGATCGAGACCATCCTGGCTAACACGGTGAAACCCCGTCTCTACTAAAAATACAAAAAATTAGCCAGGCGTGGTGGCGCACGCCTGTAATCCCAGCTACTTGGAAGGCTGAGGCAGGAGAATCGCTTGAAACTGGGAAGCGGAGATTGTAGTGAGCCGAGATCATGCCATTGCACTGCAGCTTGGGTGACAGAGCGAGACTCCGTCTCACACACACACACACAAAATTGACATAAGATGCTCTGAGACAGAATAAACCATGGGATTTTCAACACCAAAAGCTCTGTTAATAAGAAATTGTCTAAGAACCCAGTTCTTTACTTGACAAATAACTTACATATACTTAGCATTTTAAATAAAGTTAGTGAGATGATTGACTTATGGCTTTTTTTTTTTTTTGAGACAGAGTCTCACTCTGTCACTCAGGCTGGAGTGCAGTGATGTGATCTTGGCTCACTGTAACCTCCATCTCCCAGGTTCAAGTAATTCTCCTGTCTCAGCCTCTCGAGCAGCTGGGACTACAGGCGCATGCCACCACGCCTGGCTAATTTTTGTATTTTTAGTAGAAACAGGGTTTCACTACATTGGTCAGGCTGGTCTCCAACTCTCAACCTCAGGTGATCCACCTGCCTTGGCCTCCCAAAGTGCTGAGATTACAGGCGTGAACCACCACGCCCAGCCAGTAATGGCGTTTTTTTTAAAACAACATTCCATATCTCAGCCTTAATTTAAAAAACATGTGCAATTAGTATCTATTAAAATTAAGATGTTCATACTTTTTGGCCCAGCAAACCCATTCTAGTGATCTCTCCCACAGAAATAGGGGCAAATGCATTATTGTTTTTCTGTTTTTGTTTTTGTTTTTGTTTTTTGTTTTTGTTTAGAGACAGGGTCTCACTCTGACACCCAGGCTGGAGTGTAGTGGTGCAATCATGGCTCACTACAGCCTCCAACTCCTAGGCTCAAGCAATCCTCCTGCCTCAGCCTTCCAAATATGGGGTCTACAGGCAGGCACCACCACCCTGGATAATGTTTTGTAGAGACAGGGGCTTGCTGTGTTGCCCAGGCTGGTCTTGAGCTCTGGCCTCAAGTAATTCTCCAGCCTCGGACTCACAAAGTGCTGAGATTACAGGCGTATGCCACTGTGTCAAGCCAGCAGTTTTTTTTTTTTTTTTAACTTTCATTTTAGGTTAAGGGGTAATGTGCAGGTTTGTTATATAGGTAAACTGCATGTCTTGGGGGTTTGGCATACAAATTATTTTGTCACCCAGGTAATAAGCATAGTTCCCAATAGTTAGTTTTTTAATCTTCTCCTTCTCCCACCCTCCACGCTCAAGTAATCTCTGGTGTCTGTTGTTCCCCTCTTTGTGTCATGTGTTCTCATTGTTTAACTCTCACTTATAAATGAGAGTGCGGGTGTGGTGGCTCACGCCTGTAATCCCAGCACTTTGGGAGGCCAAAGCGGGCAGATCACCTGAGGTCAAGAGTTCGAAACCAGCCTGACCAACATGGTGAAACCCCGTCTCTACTAAAAATACAAAATTAGCTGGGTGTGGTGGCACACACCTGTAATCACAGCTACCCGGGAGGCTGAAGCAGGAGAATTGCTTGAACCTGGGAGGCAGAGGTTGCAGTGAGCCAAGATCACACCATTGCATTCCAGCCTGGGCGACAAGAGCAAAACTCTGTCTCAAAAAAAGAAAAAAAAAAGGCATGGCGCAGTGGCTCACGCCTGTAATCCCAGCACTTTGGGAGGCCAAGGCAGGCAGATTGCCTGAGGTCAGGAGTTTGAGACCAACCTGGCCAACATGGTGAAACCCCATCTCTACTAAAAATAAAAAAAATTAGCCAGGCATGGTGGCACACAACTGTAGTCCCAGCTACTCGGGAGGCTGAGGCAAGAGAATCACTTGAGCCTGGGAGGCAGAGGTTGCAGTGAGCCGAGATCGCACCACTGCACTCCAGCCTGGGTGACAGAGCGAGACTCTGTCTCAAAAAATAAAAAACAGAACATGTGGTATTTTTTTCTTTGTTCCTATGTTAGTTTGCTTATGAGAATGACTTCAGCTCCATCCATGTTGCTGCAAAGGACATGGTCTCATTCTTTTTTATGGCTGCATAGTATTCCATGGTACATACATGCCACATTTTCTTTAGCCAGTCTACCATTGATGGGCATTTAGGTTGATACTATGTTTTTGGTATTGTGAACAGTGCTGCAATAAACATATGCATGCATATGTCTTTATGGTAGAATGACTTATATTCCTTTGGGTATATTCTCAATAATGGGATGGCTATGTCAAATGATAATTCTGTTTTAAGCCCTTTGTGGAATCACCACACTGCTTTCCACAATTGCTGAACTAATTACATTTTCACCAGAAGTGTATAAACATTACCTTTTCTCCACAACCTTACCAGCATCTGCTATTTTTGACTTTTTAATAATAGCCATTCTGACTGGCACAAGATGGTATCCCACTGTGGTTGCGATCTACATTTCTCTAAAGATTAGTGATGATGAGCATTTTTTCATATATTTGTTGGCCACATGTATGTCTTCTTTTGAGAAGTGCCTGTTCATGTCTGTATTAGTCTGTTTTCACACTGCTATAAAGATACTACCTGAGACTGGATAATTTATAAAGGAAAGAGGTTTAATTGACTCACACTTATTCTTTTCCTTCTTCTTTTTTTTTTTTTTTGAGACAGTCTCACTCTTTTGCCCAGGCTGCAGTGCAGTGGCACAATCTCGGCTCACTGCAACATCTGCCTGCCAGGTTCAAGCAATTCTCCCACCTCAGCCTCCCGAGTAGCTTGGACTACAGCCGCATGCAACCACACCCAGCTAATTTTTGTATTTTTAGTAGAGACAGGGTTTCACCATGTTGGCCCAGATGGTCTTGAACCCCTGACGTCAGGTGATCCACCCACCTCGGCCTCCCAAAGTGCTGGGGTTACAGGCTTGAGCCACTGTGCCGGAACTGACTCACAGTTCTGCATGGCTAGAGAAGCCTCAGGAAACGTACAATCATAGTGGAAGGTGAAGGGGAAGCAAGGCATGTCTCCTCATGGTGGCAGGAGAGAGAGAGAGGAAGAGTGAGGAAGTGCTACACTTAAAACAATCAGCTCTAGTGAGAAGTCCCTCACTATCATGAGAGCAGCTTGGGAGAAACCGTCCTCATGATCCATTCACCTTTCACTGGGTCTCTCCCTGGACACGTGGGGATTACAATTCGAGATGAGATTTGGGTGGAGACACAAAGCCAAACAATATCATTGTCCTTTGCCCACTTTTTAATGGTGCTGTTTTTTGCTTGTACATTCATTTAAGTTCCTTATAGATTCTGGATATTAGACCTTTGTTGGATACATAGTTTGCAAATATTTTCTCCCATTTTGTAGGTTGTCTGTTTACTCTGTTGAGAGTTTCTTTTGCTGTGCAGAAGCTCTTTGGATAATTAGGTCCCATTTGTCAATTTTTGTTTTTGTTGCAATTGCTTTTGGCATCTTTGTCATGAAATCTTTGCCAGGGCCTATGCCATTTAGTATTTTCTAGGTTATCTTTCAGGGTTTTTATAGTTTTAGGTTTTACATTTAAGTCTTTAATTTATCTGGAGTTTATTTTTTTATTTTTTATTTTTATTTTTTTGAGACGGAGTCTCGCTCCGTCGCCCAGGCTGGAGTGCAGTGGTGCAATCTTGGCTCACTGCAACCTCCGCCTCCCGGGTTCAAGCGATTCTCCTGCCTCAGCCTCCTGAGTAGCTGGGATTACAGGCATGCACCAGCATGCCCGGCTGATTTTTGTATTTTTAGTAGAGACGGGGTTTCACCATGTTGGTCAGGCTGGCCTCAGACTCCTGACATTGTGATCTGCCTGCCTTGGTCTCCCACAGTGCTGGGATTACATTGAGTTGATTTTTGTGTATGGTGTAAGGAAGAGGAACATACTTCAAAATAATAAGAGCCATATGTGACAGCCCCACAGCCAACATAATACTGAATGGGCAGAAGCTGGAAGCATTCGCCCTTGAAAACTGGCACAAGACAAGGATGCCTTCTTTCATCGCTCCTATTCAACATAGTATTGGAAGTCCTGGGCAGGGCAATCAGGCAAGAGAAAGAAATAAATGACATCCAAATAGGAAGAGAGGAAGTCAAACTGTCCCTGTTTGTGGATGATATGATTCTACATCTAGGAAACCCCATAGTCTCTGCCCAAAAGCTCCTTGATCTGATAACTTCAGCAGAGTTTCAGGATACAAAATCAATGTACAAAAATCGGTAGTATTCCTATATGCCAACAACATCCAATTGAGAGCCAAATCAGGAACACAGTCTCATTCACAATAGCCACAAAAGAATGAAATACCTAGGAATACAGCAACCAGGGAGGTGAAAGAACTCTACAAAGAGAACTACAAAACACTGCTCAAAGACATCAGAGATGACACAAACAAATGGAAAAACATTCCATGCTCATAGATAGGAAGAGTCAATATGTTAAAATGGCCATACTGCCCAAAGAAATTTACAGATTCAATGTCATTCCTATCAAACTACCAGTGACATTCTTCAGATAATTAGAAAAAACAATTTAAAAATGCATATGGAACCAAAAGAGAGCCTGAATAGCCAAGGCAATTCTAAGCAAAAGAACAAAGCTGCAGGCACCAAGTTACCTGACTTCAAACGATACTACAGGCCTACAGTGACCAAAACAGCATGGTACTGGTACAAAAACAGGCACATAGACAAATGAAATAGAATAGAGAGCTCAGAAATAATGCTTCACACCTACAGCCATCTGATTTTTGACAAAGTTAAAAAAAAAAAGCAATGGGGAAAGGACTCCCTATTCAATAAATGGTGCTGGGATAACTGGCTAGCCGTATGCAGAAAATTGAAACTGGATATTCTTGTTTATAATAGCAAAAGTGGGAAATAGCCATTAATAAGGGAATGTTTGAGTTCATTATGGTACATCCATATAATGGAATATTAAGCATAAAATAGAGAGCTTATTTCACTAACCTATACTAAACACTTCCTTAAACACAGTAAGCTACACCTTGTGTGGGAGAGTTGCTTTGAATTTGGTTGCATTCATGTACACAGCAGGCAAGGCAAGAATGCATTAAAAACTGACGACACTGCATTTTGGGTAAGGCTCTTCTATCAAATGCATGCATTATTCAGCATGAGAGGTCATTAATTTCTAGTAATTAGTGATTCACTTGCACGTGAGCACTCAAATCTGCCCAAAGGCCTTTGGGAAATTAAGACAGCTTTCCACAAGAGTTCGCTGGAATAAAAAATATTGAAGGACATCTACAGTGAATTTTCCGCATAACATCTTTTTGAAGGGTTAAAAATGTTTTCTGTGATTACCTTAATAAAGTGCCTATAATATATGTATCTCTTCTGCCCAGAGTTTCTCAACTGTTCATGTTCAATAAACAAACTCTCTTGTCTGAACAAATGTATTGTTTCCATTTGTGTATGGTGTAATCTTTAAATGAATCTCATTTGTGTGTTCAGGCATATTCATGCTTGTAATTTCATTTCAAAAATTTTTTTTATTTGATGGCCATCTGAGGGTTTTTTTTTTTTCTTGAGTCAGAGTCTCACTCTGTTGCCCAGTCTGGAGTGCAGTGGCGCCATCTCAGCTCACTGCAACCTCCACCTCCTGGATTCAAGCGATTCTTGAACCTCAGCCTCCCAAGTAGCTGGGATTACAGGTGCACACTACCACGCCTGGCTAATTTTTTTGTATTTTGAGTAGAGACAGGGTTTCACCATATTGGCCAGGCTGGTCTCAAACTCCTGACCTCAAGTGATCCACCCTCCTCGGCCTCCCAAAGTGCTAGGATTACAAGCGTGAGCCACAGCGCCCAACCAGAGCTTTCTTTTTTTTAAATTAACAAACCCATTCACCCTCCAGCAAACATATATTAAGTGTTTGCAATACATCCGGCATTGTGTTAATCATTATTTAAACTTTTTTATTATGGGTAATTTCAAACATATACAAAAGTAGAAAAAAAACTATAATGAAATCACTTTTTATGTAGATTTAACATCATCAACTCAAAGCCAGTCTAGTTATACCTGTACCCGTATTTCATTCCTTTCTAGATTATTCAAAAGTGTCTCCTGGACATTATATAATTTTATATAATTTCGCCGGGCGCGGTGGCTCACGCCTGTAATCCCAGCACTTTGGGAGGCCGAGGCGGGCGGATCACGAGGTCAGGGGATCGAGACCATCCTGGCTAACACAGTGAAACCCCATCTCTACTAAAAATACAAAAAATTATCCGGGCATGGTGGCGGGCGCCTGTAGTCCCAGCTACTCGGGAGGCTGAGGCAGGAGAATGGCATGAACCCCGGGGGGCGGAGCCTGCAGTGAGCCGAGATCGCGCCACTGCACTCTAGCCTGGGCGACAGCGAGATTCGGTCTCAAAAAAAAAAATTTATATAATTTCATCCACAAACATTTCTGTATATCTCTATAAGACATAAGGAGTTCTTAAGAAAAACCCACAATACCACTAGAACAACTAAAAAATTCCTTAATATGATCAAACATCCAGTCTGTGTTCAAATTACCAATATCACAAATGTGATTTTTTAATAGTCTGAATCAGAATCCAAATAGTCTTCACATTGTGATTGTTTATGTGTCTCTTAGTTCTCTGTTGTCTATAGGTTTCTTCTCTCTCTTTCTCCCCTTGATATTTATTTATTGAAGAAATCTGGTTGTTTGTCTTTTTTGTTTGTTTTAGAGACAGGGTTTCACTCTGTCACCCAGTCGGGAGTGCAGTGGTGCAATCATAGCTCACTGCAGCTTCAAACTCCTGGGCTCAAGTGATTCTCCTGCCTCAGCATCCCAAGTAACTGGGACTACAGGCTCATGCCACTGCACCCAGATGTTTTTTTTTTAATTTTTTGTAAAAATGCACTTTGTTGCCCAGAGTGGTTCTTGAACTCCTGGCTTGAAGTGATCTTCCTGCCTTGGCATCCCAAAGTGCTGGGATTACAGTCATGAGCCACTGCACCCAGCCTTATTTTCTTGTACCTTTACCTAGTCTGGTGCTGATTGCCTCATCCTGGTTCCTTTAATATATTTCTCTGTCTTTTGTGTTCCTCATAAACAGGTAGTTGGATCTTAAGTAGGGCTGGGCTGGGTGTGATGGTGGCTCACGCCTGGAATCCCAACACTTTGGGAGCCTGAGGTGGGAGGGTTGCCTGAGCCCAGGAGGTGGAGGCTGCAGTGAGCTAACTTCAGCCTATGATCGCGTCACTGCACTCCATTGTGGCGACAGAGTGAGACCCCATTTCAAAAAAACAAAAATAAAATAAAAAGTAAAGTAGGGTTGCCAGATTCAGAAAGATAAATGCAGGACTCCCAGTTAAATTTAATTTCAGATAAACAATGAATGGTTTTGTAGTATAAGCATGTCCCAAATATAATGTATGGGACATACTAAATATTGCATGGGACGTGCTTACATGAATATATATATATATTTATATAAATATATATTTATATAAATTTCACATATATAGTTCACATATAAACATATAATTTATATATATAATATATACAAATAAATAAACTATATATATATGTATATATATAGTTGTGTTTTTTTTTTAGGTGGAGTCTCGCTCTGTCGCCCAGGCTGGAGTGCAGTGGCGCCATCTCTGCTCACTGCAAGCTCCGCCTCCCGGGTTCATGCCATTCTCCTGCCTCAGCCTCCCGAGTAGCTGGGACTACAGGTGCCCACCACGATGCCCGGCTAATTTTTTGTATTTTTAGTAGAGACGGGGTTTCACCATGCTAGCCAGGGTGGTCTCAATCTCCTGACTTCGTGATCTGCCCGCCTCGGCCTCCCAAAGTGCTGGGATTACAGGCGTGAGCCACTGCGCCCGGCCTATATATAGTTGTTTATTTGAAATTCACTTTTCACTGGGCATCCTGAATTTTACCTGGCAACACTAAGCTTAATCTCAAGGCTATGCTAGATTCAAGATCAATATTTTTTTGAGACAGGGTCTCACTTTGCTGCCCATGCTGGAGTACAGTGGCACAATCATGGCTCACTGAAGCCTCAAATTCCTGGGCTCAAGCAATCCTCCCGCCTCAGCCTCCCAAGTGGCTGTAACTACAAGTATGTGCCAACACACCCGCCTATTTTTTTACTTTTATTTTTTGTAGAGACGAAGTCTCCCTGGTCTCACTATACTGCCCAGACTGGTCTCGAACTCCTGGGCTCAAGGGATCCTCCTGCCTCAGCATTCCAAAGTGCTGGGATTACAGGCGTGAGCCACCGAGCTTGGCCCAGGTTTTTTTTTTTTTTTTGAGATGGAGTCTTGCTCTGTCTCCCAGGCTGGAGTGCAGTGGCATGATCTTGGCTCACTGCGACCTCTGCCTCCCAGGTTCAAGTGATGATTCTCCTGCCTCAGTCTCCTGAGTAGCTGGGATTACAGGTGCCCGCCATCATGCTGGGCTAATTTTTTGTATTTTTAGTAGAGATGGGGTTTCACCATGTTGGCCAGGCTGGTCTTGAACTCCTGACCTCAAGTGATCCACCGGCCTAGGACTCCCAAAGTGCTGGGATTACTGGCGTGAGCCACCGCGCATGGTCTTTTTTTTTTTTTTTTTAAGGCAAAACTGTTTCATAGGGGGTGGTGCTTGTTTCACTCAGGAGACACATAATGTCTGGTTGTCTCTCTTTGTGATGATAGCTGTCTTTGATGCTCAATATCTAGATTGGTAATTCACTAGAGTTGCAATATGGTGATCTAATTTTCCAAGGCATATTTTAAAGAGGAAACTTAGTGTTGTGATTAAGAGATCCTGCTCTGAGATGGGAAAGACTTGGTTTTGAGATTTGGTCCTACCACTTCCTAGCTGTGTGACCTGGGACAAATCAGTTCGCTTCTCTCAACCGCAGCTTCCTCATCTGTAAAACAAGATTAATAATAGTACCTATTATTACTCATAAAGTTTTCGTGAGGATTAAATAAGGTAGGGTATGTAGGGGGTTTAAAACAGTGCCTAGCACATGGTAGATGCTCAATAAAAGCCAACTATTGTATCTCATGAGATTCTTGAAGAATTACGGCCTCTCAAATTCAGAATTTTCCAATATTCAAATCCTCCATTCAACAGTTAAATTACATTTTCACATTGTTTATAAAAATAATAATAAAGATTAACGAATGAACAGTCTCTCATATTTGTCCAGTGCTTTATAGCCAACAAGGGCCTTCTTCACATGCATTCTTACTTGATCCTCATAGCTGCATTTTAACCAGAAAGACTGGTTTTATTCATTTTTTACATCTGAAGAATCTTGGCCTTAGGGAGGCAATTTGCTACACACAACACATCCAGAAAGTCACACAATAGAGCAGGGAGTAAGTCCTAGCCCAAGGCTCTTTAGATGGAAAACAGGTCTTCCCTCCTGCAAAGATTTCATTTCTTGGTTTCAGTTACAACACCAATGTCTTGTTTTCTTTTTCGACTTTTCTTCTTTTCTTTTCTTCCTCAATCATTTACTTGTTTGTTTATAGTTTTTTTTTTTGGTAGAGACACTATGTTGTCCAGGCTGGTCTCAAACTCCTGGCCTCAAGCCATCCTCCCACCATGGCCTCCCAAAGTGCTGGAATTAACCGGCGTGAGCCACTGCACCCAATCCAACCTTTCAACTTCTCATTTCTTTCAAATTATTCCCTCCTTATCCCCATTCTTGGTGTCTCTTTCTCTTCTTCCCAAATACAGTCATTCTAAATTTCTTTCCTTGGGTCATTTTAATTGCTATATTCTCCCCCTATGATATCTACTCAATAGCTTCATCTAGTCAAATAGCTTCAACTACTCCCTCTGGGAGGATGATTTCCAAATCCATATTTCTGGCCTCTATGTCTTCCTTGAGTTTTGGACCTGAAATTTCAATTGCCTGCTTGATATCTCCATATGACTGCTTCAGATAGAATCCAACGTTCAGTGAATCTGCTTATTTGGATCCTGATTTCAAACAATCAACTGTAAACAAACAAGTAAATGATTGAGAACATTTAAATGCTTAATGGATATTTGATTACGTTACAGGCTTAATGTTGATTTTTTAGGTGGCCAAGCATGGTGGCTCATGCCTGTAATCTCAGCATTTTGAGAGGCCATGGCAGGAGGATTGCCTGAGCCTAGGAGTTTGAGGCCAGCCTGGGCAACATGGCAAGACTCTGTCTCTGCAGAAAATTTAAAAAATTAGCATGCACCTGAGGTCCCAGCTACTCAATAGGCTGAAGCGAGAGGATCACTTGAGCTTAGGAGGTCGGGGCTGCAGTGAGCTGTGTTTTTGCCACTGCACTCCAGTCTGGGCATCAAAGTAACACTGTGTCTCAAAAAAAATGTTTTTAGTTGAGATAATTGTATGTAATTGTAATTAGAAATATATAGTGAATTGTTTGTGGATTATATCATATGATGTCTGGGATTTACTTCAAAATAATTCAATTCAGAAAACAGTATGGAAGTCCTTCAAGAAATTAAAAATAGAGTTACTACAGGATCTAGCAATCCCACTACTGGGTATTTATCCAAGAAAAATCAAATTAGTATGTTGAGGAGATATTTGAACATCCATGTCCATTTCAGTACTATTCACAATAGCCAAGATATGGAACCAATCTAAGTGTCCAACAGTGAATGAATGGGTCAAGTGTAGTATGTATACACAATGGAATACTATTCAGCCACCAAAAAGAAGGCAATTCTGTTATTTGTGACAGTATGGATGAATCTGGAGGACATTATATTAAGTGAAATAATCCAGGCACAGGAAGACAAATGGATCCCTTAGAAGTAGAGTAGAATAGTGGTTGCCAGGGCTGGGGGTATTAACAGGGAGAAGGGTTGGGGGGTGGTCGGTCAAAGGATACATATTTACAGTTAGATAGGAGGAATATGTTCACGAGATCTATGATACAGCAAGGTTACTATAGTTAATAAGGATATATTGTATCCTTGAAAAACGTAAAGAGAGTTGAAGTTATGTGCTTTCACTGCAAGAAAAAATGATTAACCGTGAGATACTGTAGTTGTTAATTAGCTGGATTTAACCATTCTACAATGTATATATACTTCAAAAACATCATGTTGTACATGATAAATATAAACAATTTTACATGTCAATTTAAAAAATAAATAAATTTGAGGCCAGACGCTGTGGCTCACGCCTGTAATCTCAGCACTTTGGGAGACTGAGGCCGGTGGATCACGAGGTCAGGAGTTCCAGACCAGCCTGGCCAACATGGTGGAACCCTGTCTCTACTAAAAATACAAAAAATTAGCCAGGTGTGGCTGGGCACGGTGGCTCACGCCTGTAATCCCAGCACTTTGGGAGGCCGAGGCGGGCGAATCACGAGGTCAGGAGATCAAGACCATCCTGGCTAACACGGTGAAACCCTGTCTCTACTAAAAATACAAAAAATTAGCCGGGCGTGGCAGTGTGCGTCTGTGGTCCCAGCTACTCGGGAGGCTGAGGCAGGAGAATGGCATGAACCTGGTAGGTGGAGCTTATAGTGAGCCGAGATCGCGCCACTGCACTCCAGCCTGGGCAACAGAGCGAGATTCATCTCAAAAAAAAAAAATTAGCCAGGTGTTGTGGCGTGCACCTGTAATCCCAGCAACTCGGGAGGCTGAGGCAGGAGAATCGCTTGAACCCGGAAGGCGGAGGTTGCAGTGAGCTGAGATCGCACCACTGCACTCCAGCCTGGGTGAAAGAGCAAGACTCCATCTCATAAAACAAAACAAAACAAAACAAAACAAAACAAAAAAAACCATACATTTGAAAAAATAAAAAAAAGTTCCAAGTTTAATTCAGGAAGGGGAGGAATAGGTAAGATTGATAAAACAAAATTGACCTTGAGGTGACAATTGTTGAGCTAGGTAATGGGTATATAGGGCTTCAATATCCTATTCTCTCTATTTTTCTCTCTGTTTGAAAACTTGCATAATAAAGATTTAAAAATATTAAATAGATCCAAAATCAAATTGATCAACCTCACCTACATCCATCTCCTGACAATTGTTTTCTCATTAATGTCCTCTTATCTTTCCAGTTACTTATTGTGAACATGCAAAGTTCTCTTGGTTTTCTCCTTCTCCCTAACTTCTACATCCAGTCAGTTGCTGTCAGGTCAATGCTCCCTTCACAGCGAATCTTGCATCCATTTTTTTTCTTTTCAAACTGCCACCACTTTATTAAGTCCTTCATCACTTCTTGCCTTAAATAGTGTAATAGCATACATACATTCCTCCCCATTTCCAGTCCCTCCTTACTTTATGCATATCAAACATCTAGCATAGTGCTTGGTACTTAGTTTTTTTTTTTGGAGTGCTGTGGTGCCATCTCGGGTCACTACAACCTCCACCTCCTGGGCTCAAGTGATTCTCGTGCCTCAGCCTCCCAAGTAGCTGGGACTACAGGCATGCGCCACCACGCCTGGCTAATTTTTTGTATTTTAGTAGAGATGGGGTTTCACCATGTTGCCCAGGTTGGTCTCGAACTCCTGAGCTCGGGCAATCTGCCCATCTCTGCCTCCCAAAGTGCTGGGATTACAGGCATGAGCCACCGCGCCTGGCCAATACTTAGTTCTTTCTCCCTTTCTCCTCAACCATGAATTTATCTTTCTCACTAGTGCCTGCTTAACCCTCTGATTGCACCTTCTGTCTTCCCTGAGAGACATGCATAGACACTAGGTATGCTTTCATTTTTCATTTTTATTTATTTATTTATTTATTTATTTATTTATTTATTTATTTATTGAGACACAGTCTCACTCTGTCACCCAGGCTGGAGTGCAATGGCACAATCTCAGCTCACTGCAACCTCCGCCTCCTGGGTTCAAGAAATTCTCCTGCTTCAGCCTCCCGAGTAGCTGGGATTACAGGCGTGAGCCACCACTCCTGGCTAATTTTTGTATTTTTAGTAGAGACAGGGTTTCACTACCTTGGCCAGGCTGGTCTCGAACTTCTGGGCTCAGTTGATCCATTCACATCAGCCTTCTCTGAGAGAGACTGCCCTTCACTTCCTTTCAGCATTGCTTTTCTCTCTGTCCTTGCTTGATCCTCAGTAGGCTTCACTGCTGCCTTCATTCCACCCTAACTGCCATGCTTTGTGGAGGAAACGTGTGTATTTGAATAAAGACTGACTTCTCAGTTCCAAAGTTAGATGTGAGAGCAGTATTTTTCCTAGCTCTGGATGAACGGGCCTTTACATTTTGAGAAAATAGTCATACTGAATGTGAGTAAAAGAGAAGCAAGTTTTAAATCTCCTTCTTGTCCCCCCACTCGGTTGGGAAGAAAAGGGAAGATCTTTAGTTCAGAGGGATCAGCTTCTAGATCCAGGCAGGATAGGGTAAATGCTAATGTTGAAGAAGGAAATGAGCGGATGTTATTCCAGTAAGCTGGGGGCTTCTTGAGGAAATATTTCTTGCCTAGCGATGAACAGCAAGAGCTGCCACCAGTGGGTCTCATAGAATCAACATCAGCAGTGTAGATTGGGTGAAGGTGCTGTGGCCCAGGGATGTCTCAGGGAAATGACTATAGAACCCTTGTTTTTTGAGGTCTGTCTGGTGTAGTTCTGTTTGTTATGGACAGCAGCCAAGCCATCAGGGGTTGGGCTGACCATGCACAAAGAACCGTCCTATCCTTCAAAAAGAAAATGCCATAAGTCAATCACATTCTACCATTTTAAGCATAACACTTGTAACTAAATCAAACTGCTGTATTATAACCAAAATGCATCCTCCCGTTTTATATTTAAGGCCCACAGGCTTCAACTAATTTAGGGGACCATCTGGTAAGAGAGACAGAAAGTCTCATTACAAAGTGGCATTTGTTTTCAGGCTCAGACCTCAAAAGGGATTGTCCTGAAGACCCCAACCAATTCCCTGTGTGAGGGTCTAGCGCTCCTGACCTTACCACTTAGGTAGAAAGAACATGACTTTGGAGTCAGATAAGATTCAATTCTCTCCTTCAACTCTCCCAAGCTGGGTGCTTTGAGCCACAGGACTCCTGAGGTTTGAGTTTTCTCAGTTTCCTCATATGTAATATGGGAATTAGATTATACCTGAAGTTGTTTGGAAGATTAGAGGAGACATAGGCTCCCAGAGGGACCCTAGAGCTATTGGTCCCCTTCCCAATATCTATAACTTAATCCTCCTTCATTGTATTCACTCTGAGTCTTGCTATTCTGGCCTTGTTTGCCTAACATCCACTTTTACATACATAGACACTAGGCATGCTTTTATTTTTCTTTTATTTATTTATTTATTTTTTGAGATGCAGTCTCACTCTGTCACCCAGGCTGGAGTGCAATGGCACGATCTCAGCTCACTGCAACCTCCACCTCCTGGGTTCAAGCGATTCTCCTGCCTCAGTCTCCCGAGTAGCTGGGATTACAGGCGTGAGCCACCACACCTGGCTAATTTTTGTATTTTTAGTAGAGATGAGGTTTCGCTATGTTGGCCAGGCTGGCCTCGAACTCCTGAGCTCAGGTGATCCACCTGTCTCAGCCTCCCAAAGTGCTAGGATTACAGGCGTGAGCCACCACGTCAGGCCTAGGCATGCTTTTAAACAGATCTTTGAACTAAAGGGCTAAAAATAAGTTTTGTACTAATCCTGTTATTTGTTCACTTTTCTAGGAAGTAAAGAATTGAAATTGGGATTACCCTGATATAAACTTGTCAGAAGGCAATTTTGCCTCTTATGTAGTGTGCTGAGCAAATCTATTCTCAAAGTCCTCCTCTCCTATATTTACATAGTTGAAAGGGTTAGATTAGTTGGTTGGGACAAATCTTGGTTGCAGCTCAGGGGTGGGGAGGAGAGGGAGTGAAGAGTAGGTTGGTTAGAGATGGAAAATATGGGAATAGGGATGTTTTTAGACTCTATCTAGATAACTGTTATGTAGGTTACAGCTTTATTTCAAGTGAGAATGTGAATATGGCCATCTTCCTAGTTAGAGCCTAATGCTCAAAATTTCCTTGAAACCAAGAAACAAAATAAAAAAATGATGATTAATATTGGCAGAATGTAATTGCTGAAGCTGAGTCATGGATATGTGGAACTTCATTGTGTGATTCTCTATACTTTTGTGTGTGTGTTTGAAAATATCCATAATTAAAAGATTTTTATGTGACAATAGAGGTCAAGAACTGAGGAGTTTGACTGTCATGTCAGAAAAGCTAGTAGAGCATATCTGAACCAGTATAATTTGTTAAAGGAAATTATGGTGATTTCTGTAATGCTTATTTAGTTAACTGGATTTACTTGAAAGATTATATAGCATATGGCAAACAGATAAAACATTCAGTGGATATAATATAAATTGATCTCAAAAAAGTTTTTTTTTTTTTTTGGCCTGGTGCTGTGGCTCATGCCTGTAATCCCAGCAACTTGGGAGGTTGTGGGCAGATCACTTGAGGCCAGGAGTTCAAGAGCAGCCTGGCCAACATGGTGAAACCCCATCTCTACTAAAAATACAAAAAAAATCAGCCACGCATGGTGCCGTGCACCTGTAGTCCCAGCTACTTGGGTGGCTGAGGCAGGAGAATTGCTTGAACCCGGGAGGCAGAGGTTGCAGTGAGCTGAGATCATGCCACTGCACTCCAGCCTGGGCAACAGAGGGAGACTCTGCCTCAAAAAAAAAAGTGTGTTTTTGTTTTTGTTTTAATTCAGACGGGATTTGCAGGTCACCAAAAGGCTTCTGACAGGATGTCACAACCACTGGTTCTGTTTTTTTTTTTTTTTACGAGACAGTGTCTTGCTCTGTCACCCAGGCTGGAATGCAGTGGCATGATCATGGCTAACTGCTGCTTCAACCTCTTGGACCCAAAGGATTCTCCTGCCTCAACATCCTGAGTAGTTGGAACTACAGGCATCAAGCACAAGCCACCATACCTAGTAAATATGTTTTATTTTATTTTTGTAGAATGGGGTCTCACTATGTTGCCCAGGCTGATTTCAAACCCCGGCGATCCCTCCCACCTTGGCTTCCCAAAGTGTTGGGATTACAGGCATGAGCCACCACTCCCAGCTGTGCATAACATCTGTTTTTAAGGGAATTAAGTCACCATAGGATTGTAACCCACTTTCCTCTGAGTAGATATTGCCTGAGAAGTAGGAAACAAAGATAAAGATAAAGGAGGTTAAAGGATTGTTTTGACATTTCAAAAGCATGATTCCTTAGGGATAGGATTGGGTGGAGCAACATTTTTTAATAAATGTATTTCTATAAAAGAGCTGAAGGAATGCACAGTGAAATCTCTGAGTTGATTACATTAAACTCTTCTTGAGCCATGAATTACTTTTATTTTTTATAAACCAGGAAGAAGCCAAATACCTGAATAGGCCAATAACAAGTTCTGATATTGAGGCAGTAATTAATAGCCTACCAACCAAAAAAAAGTCCAGGACCAGACAGATTCACAGCTGAATTCTACAAGAGGTACAAAGAGGAGATGATACCATTCCTTCTAAAACTATTCTAAACAATAGAAAAAGAAGAACTCCTCCCTAACTCATTTTATAAGGCCAGCATCATCCTGATACCAAAACCTGGCAGAGACACAACAAAAAAAAAAAAAAAAAGAAAATTTCAGGCCAATATCCCTGATAAGATCGATGCAAAAACCCTCAATAAGATACTGGCAAACCGAATCCAGCAGCACATTAACAAGCTTTTCCACCAAGATCAAATCAGCTTCATCTCTGGGATGCAAGGCTGGTTCAACATACAGAAATCAATAAATGTAATCAATCACATAAACAGAACCAATGACAAAAACCACATGATTATCTCAAAAGATGCAGAAATGGCCTTTGACAAAATTTAACACCCCGTCATGCTGAAAACACTCAATAAACTAGGTATCGATGGAACGTATCTCAAAATAATAAGAGCTATTTATGACAAACCCACAGCCAGTATCATACAGAGTGGGCAAAAGCTGGAAGCATTCCCTTTGAAAACCGGCACAAGACAAGGATGCCCTCTCTCACCACTCCTATTCAACATAGTATCGGAAGTCCTGGGCAGGGCAATCAGGCAAGAGAAAGAAATAAAGGGTATTCAAACAGGAAGAGAGGAAGTCAAATTGTCTCTGTTTGCAGATGACATGATTGTATAATTAGAAAACCCCATTATCTCAGCCCCAAATCTCCTTAAGCTGATAAGCAACTTCAGCAAAGTCTCAGGATATAAAATCAATGTGCAAAAATCACAAGCATTCCTATACACCAATAAACAGACAAACAGAGAACCAAATCATGAGTAAACTCCCATTCACAATTGCTACAGAGAGAATAAAATACCTAGGAATACAACTTACAAGGGATGTGAAGGACCTTTTCAAGGAGAACAACAGACCACTGCTCAAGGAAATAACAGAGGGCAGAAACAAATGGAAAAACATTCCACGCTCATGGATAATAAGAATCAATATCATGAAAATGGCCATACTGCCCAAAGTAATTTATAGATTCAATGCTATTCCCATCAAGCTACCATTGACTTTCTTCACAGCATTAGAAAAAACTACTTTAAATTTCATATGGAACCAAAAAATAGCCCACATAGCCAAGACAAGCCTAAACAAAAAGAACAAAGCTGGAGGCATCACACTACCTGACTTCAAACTATACTACAAGGCTACAGTAACCAAAACAGCATGGTACTGGTACCAAAACAGATATATAGACCAATGGAACAGAACAGAAGCCTCAGCAATAACACCACACATCCATAACCATCTGATCTTTGACAAACTTGACAAAAACAAGCTATGGGGAAAGTTTCCCTATTTAATAAACGGTGATGGGAAAACTGGTTAGCCATACCATATGCAGAAAACTGAAACTGGGCCCCTTCTTTACACATTATTCAAAAATTAACTCAAGATGGATTAAAGATTTAAATGAAAGACCTAAAACCATGAAAAACCCTAGAAGAAAACCTAGGCAATACCATTCAGGACATAGGCATGGGCAAAGACTTCACAACTAAAACACCAAAAGCAATGGCAACAAAAGCCAAAATTGACAAATGGGATCTAATTACTAAAGAGCTTCTGCACAGCAAAAGAAACTACCATCAGAGTGAACAGGCAGCCTACAGAATGGGAGAAAATTTTTGCAATCTATCCATCTGACAAAGGGCTAATATGCAGGATCTACAAGGAACTTAAACAAATTTACAAGAAAAAAACAAACAACCCCATCAAAAAGTGGGTGAAGGATATGAACAGACACTTTTCAAAAGAAGACATTTATGTGGCAAACAAACATATGAAAAAAAGCTCATCATCACTGGTCATTAGAGAAATGCAAATCAAAATCACAGTGAGATACCATCTCACTCCAGTTAGAATGACAATCATTTAAAAGTCAGGAAACAACAGATGCTGGAGAGGATGTGGAGAAATAGGAACACTTTTACACTGTTGGTGGGAGTGTAAATTAGTTCAACCATTGTGGAAGACAGTGTGGCGATTCCTCAAGGATCTAGAACTAGAAATACCATTTGACCCAATAATCCCATTACTAGGCATATACCCAAAGGATTATAAATCATTCTACTATAAAGACACATGCATACCTATGTTTATTGCAGTGCTATTCACAATAGCAAAGGCTTGGAACCAACCCAAATGGCCATCAATGATAGACTGGATAAAGAAAATGTGGCACACATACACCAGGAAATACTATGCAGCCATAAAAAAGGATGAGTTCATGTCCTTTGCAGGGCATGGATGAAGCTGGAAACCTTCATTCTCAGCAAACTATCATGGGAACAGAAAACCAAATACCTCATATTCTCACTCTTAAGTGGGAGTTGAACAATGAAAACATATGGTGCAGGGAGGGAAACATCACACACCAGGGCCTGTCGGTGGGTAGGGGGCAAGGGGAGAGATAGCATTAGGAGAAATACCTAATGTAGATGATGGGTTGATGGGTGCAGCAAACCACCATGGCACATGTATACCTACATAACAAACCTGCACGTTCTGCACATTTATCCCAGAACTTAAAGTATAATTAAAAAAAAAACGCAAATAAAATTGTCAGTAATAAACATCAGTATCAGCAGATTTGTAAATTATATGTATCTCAAATTCTTTTTTTATACATGTACTTCATTTTTTATTTAAAAATATTTGTCAAATAAAGATTGAGTATATTTTGAAACACAAAAAAAGAAGAAATTACTTAGGCAGATAGTGAGGGAACGGAAGTCCTCTGTAAGGTTTTACTTTTAATAAAAAGCAGCCCTAAATTATTTTCCTTTTTAACAAAAAGCAGCCTGTAAAATCAAGCTGCAGACATAGATGCCAGCAGTTGTGCCAATCATGCTCAAGATGTTGGCTCCATCTTCCCTTCTCTTCGTCAGCCACGTGTACAGTAAGGAGCAGACCAGATGGTGTCTGCCAAGGGGAAAGTTCATTTGCATAATAAGATTAGGGTGGGGCAGCCCACATCCCTGTGCGCTATGTAAACATCATACCTGATCCAACCAATCTGTGAGCCCTATGTAAATCAGACACTGCCTCCTCAAGCCTGACTATAAAATCTGGGGCATCCACCAAGGCTGGTGGCCTTTCCTCTGGGAAGTCCCCTGTCTTCTCACTAGAGAGAGAGCAGTTTTCCTTTCTTTTTCCTTGGCTATTAAACCTCCACTCCTAAACTCCTTGTGTGTGTCCGTGTCCTAAATTTTCCTGGTGTGAGACAACGAACCTGGGGTATATACCCTGGACAACGTAGCTGCTTCACGACTGAAGAGAAATTGAGTTGCAGATACATTTACTTGGGGCTAATGGAATATATTTATGTGGTGTGGTGTCACTTCTGTGTATAGTTAAGTTATTGCTGGCCGTATCAGTGCAGTAATGACTTATGGGAACCCTTCTAAAGTAGTCAATTCAAAGCTTTTTAAGTATTAGTCATTACATAAAAGACCTGACATATCCTAAAATCTTACAGCTTGTATATAAAAGAAATAATAGAGGTTTGATAGAGGTTTTCTTAAATTTGACAACAATCCAGAACTTTACATCACATTAGCCAGTAATGGGTTGCCATGCTGAAAGAGGCTTTTCTAAACTCTTGGGAAAAACTAAATTGTTTTTCTATTCTCTCCATAGAAATTACACTACAAAAGTAGTATTGGATGAAGAGGTAATCAAAAGATATGCAGACAAAAATATAGGAAAAAAGGTAGCGTGGAGGTGCGTCAGCTAATATAATGAAAATATTATATTATTTTTCCTGATTTTGTGATGTTTGTGGTATTTGCCAGTTTTAAAACTTGTAGTTTCTTGTGATTTGTTTTCTCATTCTAAATAAATGTTCAGGGTTTTACCTAACTTTATTCTTTAAAAATAAACTTATTTAACCCAAATGATATAAGCTTCTGCCCCACAAAACTTGGATCTGCCACTACTGATGGGGTAAATAGTGATGGTCATTTGGAGTGTGCCATGTTATAGATAAGGACACTGGTTTGCCCAAGCTAGCATAGATAGGGGTACAGCCAGGATGCAATGTTGAGTCTTCTGGATTCAAAGCTTATGTTTTCTTCACTATCCGAAACTATCCTCTTCCAAATGAAAATTTATGGTAATCAACACAAATTGTAGTAATAACAACAATCTATCAAGTGCTTAGTAGGTGTCAGGCATCAATAAATATTAATTTCATTTAAACTGCACAATGACTGTCTGTATTATCATCCTTATTTTACAGTTGGGAATACTAAGATTGAGAGAAGTGAATTAAATTGTTCAGGCTCACACAGCTAACAAAGGATGAAAGCCAGGATTTGAATTCGTGTCTAAATGAGTCTAAAGCCTCTACTATGTTACAAACTGCCTGGGGAGAAAATCCTGGAGATCCCTACAAGGGAAGACTGGCTTATTGTTTCCTTCCATCAACCTCCAGTTGAGTACAGAAGAGGACAGTGCCTTCTCTGACCTAGATGTGAGCAGATCAAATCCTTCCCCCAAAATTTTGGCACACCAATATGAACCAAATGCCCTAGGTGTCTCTTTCCGCAAATCCTAGACAGTGTTCTGTCATTGCTTTTGCCCACACCTATCCTCTCAAAAGCTAATCTTGGCTGCTCAATTGTGGTGTTCCTGATAGACAGGAGGCCTAAATATGATCAACCAAAGAACTTTCTGGCCTCTTCTTCAGGGTTATACTCACAGTTACCATTGAGGGCCCACAGGCACTGCATTAACACTGAAGCAACCTTGTACTTCCTCCTTTGCTATCACCAATCCTGCTTTTGGCAACACTATTACCTTTTTCAACCTTTTTGTTTTTCTTTTTTTTTTTTTTGAGACGGAGTCTCGCTCTGTCGCCCAGGCTGGAGTGCAGTGGCGTGATCTCCGCTCACTGCAAGCTCCGCCTCCCGGGTTCACGCCATTCTTCTGCCTCAGCCTCCCGAGTAGCTGGGACTACACGTGCCGGCCACAACGCCCGGCTAATTTTTTGTATTTTTAGTAGAGACGGGGTTTCACCGTGTTAGCCAGGATGGTCTCGATCTCCTGACCTCGTGATTCGCCCGCCTAGGCCTCCCAAAGTGCTGGGATTACAGGCGTGAGCCACCGCGCCGGGCCTACCTTTTTCAACTATTTAAGTGATGTCAAATATGGTTGTGAGAACCTGGGCTGCCAGGATTCCTTTGATTCCTCTTAAAGTCTTCAAGAAAGGGAGATGCTGTCCCCAGGGCACATACCTGAATCCTATTAGTTCTCACCTCACTTCTCAGCTTGGGGGACAACAAAAGACCTCTGTGTCACAGCCTTTCCATGTTCCAATATGAGATTTCAACCTGACCCTCTCAGTAGGGCAGCAGGAGACTGAAATAAGCATCCCTGCCTTCCAGGGCACCAAGTACCTGAGGATGTTTCTGTACTTGTCTACTTTTGTGCTGCAAACTCGAATTTTTGAACTTGATTCCAAGTCTCACCAGCTGACCTATTCTAGTTGTCAAAAATCAGTAGTTATTTTCTCCTCTGTATTTTTATGACATAGCACTGCTTCTAAGTCATCAAAATTGGCATCTATTTGTCAAAGGTCTTGGAGGTAGTGGACAGCATATGCTAAAACAGAACCTTGAGCCAAGCAGGTTGACAATTTCCAAAATGTTGAAGTAAGAGGAGGAGCACATGAGAGAAGTTTGCCCAGGTGAAAACTCCTTCGTCTGTTAGTTTGCTTTCTGGGGGATCCCTCAGTAAGGGCAGCTTTATTTTGATAGGCCACGTAGTTGAGCCGCAAACACTCTTCCTCACTGTCAGGCCCTGGCATTTTGTACCTGCTTCTCCCTTCCTCTTCAACTCCACAGCCCTTTCTAATGTGTGCTCCAATTCTGACCTGACCATCCTGAATCAACTCATTGATGAGCTTTGCAATCTTTGAACAGTCCTTCAAACAGCTCCTGTGGTATCTGCTGAATCTCCCAAATGTCTTTAAATGTTGAACACTGGCCATTCAGTGATCTTTTCAGGGTCTATGCCCAGCCTCTGCTGTGATTTTATATATCCAACGTATTATTTTTTGTTCCAAAGTTTGTTTGAACTGATTTTTAAAAATATCTACCCAAAATATTTTAATGAGGTCTTGCAGAACTGGCATTTGTCAAGGGACAGTTTCAGGCTGTGTTTCCCAAGTGATCCAGTAAAATGAGGAGCAATTGCTCCTCTCCTCCAAAGTGCCACCAAATATAATTATGTCATCTAAACAAGCAAGTACCTCCAGGTAATTCATATCACCAATTGCCCTTCCATAAAACCCTGGAAGGTGTCTGGGGCTGAAAAGATGTATGGGGCAGTCTTTCAAATAGGTAAAACCCCACAGAGCAGATGAAAGCTGTCTTTTCTTTATTTCAGTCAGCCATAGGGATTTAATAATAGCACTTCTCAAACACAGAATTGGAAATCACTGATTCCCTACCATACAGTCTAGAGGGTAATCTGTCCAAAAAACTCGCTATCTTAGGTGAAAAATGATAATAGGACATCTATATTCCCGGCCCTGTGTCTGCCCTCTCCTACAGTGAGCTTTGCTTCTTCCTCTTTATGAATTTGTTTATTCAGCTAAATTAACTCTGACTGCACATTATAATCTATGGAGTTTGTTATAAAACATCTATCCCTGGATCCCACCCACCCCTAGAGATCCTAACATTTTCTAAATACCTACTCTATGCTATGCCCCATGCCTTGCTCTAGGTGTAAAGGAAATCCAGTCATGGACCCTGCCCCTCAATTCATAGTTGAGGGGCAAAGATGGATAAATAAAAAACTATAATTCATCAAGAAAATACAGTATAATTCCATGTTCTTTTCTTAATCTAGATTGTTTCTCATAAAATTGTGCCAGTATGGGTAAGGTAAACATGGATTTGTTCAACAAGTCCTTGTATATAGGAGGAGGAGTGTTTCCTGGGATCTTGGGTGACATAAATTGAGGATTTTTAAAAAATAGTAAGATGAGGCTGGGTACAGTGGCTCATGCCTGTAATCACAGTGCTTTGGGAGGCTGAGGCAGGCAGGTCACTTGAGGTCAGGAGTTCAAGACCAGCCTGGGGCAACATGGCAAAATTCAGTCTCTACTAAAAATACAAAAATTAGCTGGGCATGGTGGCGGCCACCTGTAATCTCAGCTACTCAGAAGGCTGAGGCAGGAGAAACGCTTGAATCTGGGAGGCAGAGGTTGCAGTGAGCTGAGATCATGCCACTGCACTCCAACCTGGGCGACTCTGTCTCAAATATATATATATATATATATATATATATATATATATATATATATACACACACATATATATACACACATATATATTTATATATATACACATATATATTTATATATATACACATATATATTTATATATATACACACATATATATTTATATATATATATTTTTATATATATATGTATAGTAAAGTAAGATATATATGAATGTCCATAGAAGTTTCATTTGTAATAGCCAAAAATGAAACAGCCCAAACATCCTTCAAACGATGAATAATTGAATAAACTGTGGTACATCCATAACTTGGAATACTACTCAGTAAGAAAAAGGAATGAATTATCGATACACATGACAACATGGATGAATCTCCAGACTATGCTGATTATGTTGAGTGAAAAAGGCTAATCCCCAAAGGTGACATACTGTATGATCCCATCTGTGTAATCTTCGTGAAATGACAAAATTATAGAGATGGAAGAGTGATTAGTGGTTGTTAGGGGTTAGGGAAGTTGAGAGGGAGTGAGGGAGGGAGGTGTGGTTATGAAACAATAACAAGAGGGATCCTTGTGGTGACTGAAATGTTCTATGTCTTGATTGATTGTAGTGATGGTGATGCAAGGCTATACTATGGTAAAATTATATAGAACTAAACACTCACCCACACACCACATGCAAATATACATGTAGAGCTGCTGAAATCTGAATAAGCACTGTGGATTGTACCAATGTCAATTTCTTGGTTTTGATATTGCACTATAGTTGTATAAGATGCTAACATTGGAGGATACTGAGGAAAAGGTATACATGCCTTGTAATCTTCTGTGAATCTATAATTGGTTCAAAAAATAATAGTCTGAGAAGCTGCTAACCAGAAATCAAAAGGATTAAAAATGTCAGACACATTTGTAAATGCAAAACTACAAATGGTGTCATTAGGAGAACCTGGGAATATAGTTAATCTTCGATGTTACAAGGAGGACAAACTGTCTCAGGGAATATTACATTTTATTTTTATTTTATTTTATTTTGCTTTGGACACACAGTCTTACTCTGTAGCCCAGGCTGGAGTGCATTGGCACCATCTCAGCTCACTTCAACCTCCACCTCCCAGACTCAGGAGATTCTCCTGCCTCAGTCTCCTGAGTAGCTGGGACTACAGGCATGCACCACCATGCCAGGCTAATTTTTTTTTTGTACTTTTAGTAGAGATGGGGTTTTGCCATGTTGGCCAGGCTGGTCTCAAACTCCTTACCTCAGGTGATCTGCCTGCCTTGTCCTCCCAAAGTACTAGCATTACAGGCGTGAGCCACAGAGCCTGGCCAGGAATATTACATTTAAAAACAGATAAGTTTCATTGTTTTTCCAATTATAAAAGAATGTTTCTTGTGGAAAATTTAGAACATGTAGCCCCAAAAACATTATTAATAATCCTACCAATTTGAGATAACCATTATTTTTCGACATTTAGAGTGGGATTTTTTTTGTTTGTTTGTTTTGTTTTTAGCCATAGAGTCTCTCTATTGCCCAGGCTGGAGTGCACTGGTTTGATCATAGCTCACTGCAGCCTCAAACTCCTGGGCTCCAGAGATCCTCCTGACTCAGCCTCCCCAGTAGCTGGAACTACAGGCACGTGCCACCACACTCAGCTAGTTTTCTTTTTAGTAGAGATGAGGTCTTGCTATGTTGCCCAGGCTGGTTGTGAACTCAAGCTCCTGCCTCGACCTCCTAAAGTGTTGGGATTACAGGCATGAGCAACCATACACGGTCTTTTTTTTTTCTGTGTATAAAATTAAAACAAAAATTTTCATACTCAGCAATACATTTGTTTCTCGTCTTTAAAGAATAATTTATTTTGAGCCAGGCTGGATAAAATGATCATTTATTAATATAACTTTAATGAACATATAGTATTCTATCATATGGATGCAGAATTAATGATTTACCTAACCCCCTATTTTGAACATTCAGGTTGTTTTCAAGTTTTTGGTATTATAGATACTGCTGCAATACATATCATCGTACATACATCTTTGTATATATCCCTGATTACTTCCTTAGTATAAATTCTCTGGAGAAAAATTATTGGGTCAAAGATTATATACATTTTTAAAGTTTTTGCTACATCTGGCTAAATTGCCTGTCAGAAAGTTTATATTAACGTTCCACCTATTTTTTTTTTCCAGAGCACATTCCCGGTTGCTGATGTCAGCAACAAGGCTGGATAGACCCACTGTACCAATTTGTTTGCTCCTTAGTCCAGTGCTATAGAATCTAGCACAAGGCTGAGTACATACTAGGCCCTCAGAAATATTTGTTGATTTAATATCTTTCATAATGTATTCTTTGAAATTTGCATCTGGAACTGGTGAGAAACAACATAACCAAAATATTAGCATGCTTTAACCCCAAATTATATTACTGACATCTAGTGAAGAGTGAGGTCTTGAGGGAATAGGACAGGCATGTTTTTATAGAGAGGAAGGATCGGGGAAAAATCTGGAGGCTCTAAAGTAGAAAGCAGAAATCACCGGAGGTTTCTGGGAGTAGACTGAGGGAGTGTAAAAGGAGGAGAGAGAGGGCACTTGTGAAGTGCACCCACTCCATCAGTTTGCTGGAAAGGGAAAAGTGTCTGAGGCATCAGGGTGGTTGTTGGGGAGATGGGAAAAAGGCTCCCTGCTTCCTGCTACTCACTCCTGTAAGCACTCGGGATGCTAATTGACCTGGTAGCTTGGATATAAAAGTATCTAGTGTGCAAACTTCTCCCAGCAGAAGTCTGGGCAGAATTATGCTCAACTGTGCTTTTATTTTTTATTTTTTTATTTTATTATTATTATTATTTTTCCAAGACGGAGTCTTGGTCTGTCACCCAGGCTGGAGTGCAGTAGCGCGATCTCAGCTCACTGCAACTTCTGCCACCCAGGTTCAAGCAATTTTCCTGCCTCAGCCTCCTGAGTAGCTGGGATTACAAGCACCCACCACCACATCCAGCTAATTTTTGTATTTTTTTTTTTATTAGAGATGGGGTTTCACCATGTTGGCCAGGCTGGTCTCGAACTCCTGACCTCGTAATCCACCCGCCTCAGCCTCCCAAAGTGCTAGGATTACAGGCATAAGCCACCGCACCGGGTCGTGCTTTTGTTTTTTATCTGGGGGAGGGAAGGCACAGGTTTCATCTGTCTTTCCAAGTTTTCCCCTTTATGTCCTGCATGTGGATGTTACCAGTTACGTGGGACCAATGGTCTGGGCTCCTGATCATTGCAGCTCCTTTCACTCTTGGTCTGAAATGCAAACAGGGCGGGGACCATAAATGTCCCAGGGCTGTTTGGGAGGAGCCCTCCGTGGTTTCGGAAAAGAAGAGGCAACAGCCAGCTCTATTTAATCACCAGACGTGATTAAATAATAAAAATATGTGAGCACTTAAAAAATTATGCCAGGCTCTTCTTGAATGACTGTATGTTACCACATTTAATCTTCATAACAACCTTGTAAGACAGGTCCTTCTTATCCTTGTTTTACAGTTGAGGAAACTGAATTAACTTACCTTGATCACCCTGCCAATATGTTGCAGAGCTAGGATTTGCAATTGGATCTGAAAGCCCACTTATGTGATTTCAAACACCTGCTCCTAACCACTGCCTGAGTTAAACCACACAGGGCAATGGGCATTCCTGAACCTATTTCCTGCATTGCATGTCTTAATTTCTCAGATTCCACCATTTGAGATTCAATCCCTTGGATCATGAAGGCTTTCCTAGCCAAAGATCTTTTTTAAAAATAAATCTGGTACCTGGCATGGTGATTCACGCCTATAATCCCAGTGCTGTGGGAAGCCGAGGCAGGAGGATAGCTTGAGCCAGGAGTTTGAGACCAGCCAAGGCAACAGAGTGAGACCTTGTCTCTACAAAAAAAATTTTTAAATTAGCTGGGTGTGGAGGTGTGCACGTGTAGGCCTAGCTACCTGGGAGGCTGCGGTGGAGGAGGATCAATTGTGCCCAGGAAGCGTAGGCTGCAGTGAGCTATGATTGTGTCACTGTACCCTAGCCTGGGTGACAGATCAAGACCCTGTCTCTAAAATAAAAAAAAAATTAAAAACTGAATCTATCTAAACGAGCAGCAATGATTTATCATCAGCTAGCACATCAGATAACATTTGAGTGGAGAAAAATGGGCTGTTATCTAAATCCTTCAAACAGGCTAGGTGCAATGGCTCACACCTGTAATCCCAGCACTTTGGGAGGCCAAGGCGGGCGGATCACCTGAGGTCATGAGTTCAAGACCAGCCTGGCCACCATGGGGAAACCCCATCTCTACTAAAAAATACAAAAATTAGCAGGGCGTGGTGGCAGGCACCTGGAATCCCAGCTACTGGGGAGGCTGAGGCAGGGAGAATCACTTGAACCCGGGAGGTGGAGGTTGCAGTGAGCCGAGATCCCACCACTGAACTCCAGCCTGGGTGATAGAGCGAGACTCCATCTCAAAAAAAAAAAAAAAAAAAAAAAAAAAAGGCCAGGCGCAGTGGCTTAGACCTGTCATCCCAGTACTTTGGGAGGCCGAGGCAGGTGGATCACGAGGTCAAGAGATCGAGACCATCTTGGCCAACATGGTGAAACCCCATCTCTACTAAAAATACAAAAAATTAGCTGGGTGTGGTGGCGCACGTCTGTAGTCCCAACTACTCGGGAAGCTGGGGCAGGAGAATCACTTGAACCTGGGAGGCAGAGGTTGCAGTGAGCCGAGATCGCGCCACTGCACTCCAGCCTGGCACTGGAGATTCCGTCTCAAAAAAAATAAAATAAAATAAAAATAAATAAATAAATAAAAAATAAAAAAAATCCTTCAAACAAAGGACATGCGTAATTAATTCAGTTTCCTCAAAGTGATCAGTTTTGGAGAATCAGGACACAAAAGTCCAAAAAGGATAGATTAACTTTTTAAAATATTTTTCCCCGCTAGCAAAGAATAAATTTTATATTGGTACCCTTGAGGTTTACTACCGTTTAGAAAGCCAATCATTTGGGGCCTTGTCCATTGTTTTTGCATGCCAGATGACGTTGCCAGCACGTTTAGTAAACAATACATTGTAATTCTCAGAAGGTTGACTGCAACCTTCTTCTGTAGCCTTTCTTACCTCCCTGAAAGTTCCCTTTGTTTTTCAAGATTACACGAAGACTCAATCGCAATCACGTATCATGATGGAGTTTTATTTCTTCTCAGCATGCTGTAACAGGCTGTTTGATTTTCTGGGTTTGGGCTATCTCCTCTACAAAACTATAAGTTCCGGGGAAGGGATCTTGTTTGTCTTGTTTATCTCTCTATTCCCAATGACTAACATAGGGCTTAGCATATTGTAAGTGTGATGGTAATTTTATGTGTCAATTTGATTAGCTTAAGGGATGCCCAGAGAGCAGGTAAAACATTATTTTTGGGTGTGCCTGTGAGGGCGTTTCCAGAAGAGATTAGCATTTGAATTGGTAGAGTGTAAAAAGAAGGTTATCCTCATTAATGTGGGTGGCCATCATACAATTTATTGAAGACCTGAATTTGGAGGAAGAGTCAATTCACTCTCTTGAGCTGGGACATCCGTCTTCTCTCACACATCAGAGCTCCTTGGTTCTCAGGCCTTCAGATGCAGACTGAATTATCCCACTGGCTTTTCTGGTTCTCCAGCTTGCAGAAAGCTAACCATGGGACTCTTTGACCTCCATAATTGTGTGAGCCAATTCCTACAACTGAGTCTCTCTTCCTATTAATACATACATAGATATAAATATATTTTATTGTTTCTGTTTCTCTGGAGTACCCTGACTAACACAGTAAGGTGTTACATACATATTTGTTGAATGAATGAGTGAAACTTATAAAGGCTAAGCTAACTTGCCTATTGTTAAATAGCTATTAAGTGACTGATCCAAGACTTGAACTAGGCTAGCTAATAGTAGACCCCAAGTTGTAACCACCATACCAGACTATCACTGTTCTTTTTTGCAACTGAACCATGTCAAAGGCCATAGAGTAATTGCTAGGGAACTTAGAATCAGCTTTTCCCTCTCCTCTCTTTTCCCCTTTCTTTCCCTCCCTCCCTCCCTCCCTTCCTTCCTTCCTTCCCTCCCTCCCTCCCTCCTTTTCTTCTAAGATCTGGAAGGGCTATTTGAGGTCATCTTGTTCAACCTGCACATTTTACAAAGGAGAACCCTAGAGTTGAATCAGTCACGCGGCTTGCCTAAAGGCAATAAGTTAGTGGCAGACTTAATAGATAAGTTTAGCTTTCGTGGTGGGCATCATTCTAACAAAATCAATGGAGATCTAATTTATTTCATTCTTGTTTACCCAATATCTGTTTATTATAACTAGATTAGTCATGCCACTAACCTGGGACTGTGTCTTGCTCATTTCTACCTAAGTGGCATAGACCACACTGGTTCCTTTGCTGGGGATTTATTCTTTTTTCCTACATCGATCTATTTTATTCATCCTTCAAGCCCTAGCTCTGTTCTCCCCTCCTCCATACAGACTTCTCTGGCTCATTGCAAACTCATACAGCACTCTGCATTTGGTCTTTAATCACACATTACCATGTATTTTCATTTAAATGTTCTCAGGTATGTCTTTCCCACAGGCTCCCCCCACCACAAGCTCATCAAGAGCAGGATCTATATCACATGTAAACCTCTTTTGTAATCCTCTAGACTCCTAGAAAAGCACTAGACACATAGTAGACACTCAGGGAATAATTCTTGAATGAATGAATGAATAAATGATATAAACAAGAAAAAAAATGAAATGGTAAACTCTGCCATCTTGTGGTTATTCATCTTTGGTGTTGTCATTTTCACTGTATTTTTTTAGTGTTGAAATTAGAAAAGCATCACATGGTAAGAAACTAAGGTGATGATGGTGAAATTGGGAAGGTTTCTTTTTCTTTTGCTCAACGTACCAACAGCATGGTTACTGAAATATTTCATAAGAAAAACTAGAGGTGGAGGGAAACAAAAACCCAAAACAAATCGTGTACCTGAGGATTGAATATAGACCTGGGAAATATTTATTGGATTTCCTCAGGTACAATCCATGCTTCGAATGGGTCAAGTAAGAGAAATTGTCCCAACATGTTCAACAATTCAGAACTCTGATCAGATAACCAATCTACTTATTTAAGGGGAGCTATTAATAGACCTTTTATAACAGTCATCTGGTGAAGAGAAGCACTGTTTTATTTATTTATTTATTTATTTATTTATTTATTTATTTATTTATTTTGAGACAGGGTCTTGTGCTGTCACCCAGGCTGGAGTGCAGTGGCGCAATCTTAGCTCACCACAGCCTCAACTTCCTGGGCTCAAGCGATCCTCTCACCTCAGCCTCCTGAGTAGCTGGGACTATAGGTGCGTGCCACCATGACTGGCTAATTTTTAATATATATATATTTTTGTAGAGGTGGGGTTTTGCCATGTTGCCCAGGCTGGTCTATGAACTACTGAGCTCAAACCGTCTGCCCGCCTCGGCCTCCCAAAGTGCTGGGATTACAGGCGTGAGCCACTGTGCCTGGCTAAGAATCACTGCTTTTGATTTAACAGTCCTGGGATCCAGTCTTAGTTTTGCTGAACAACCTTGCGCAGATCACACAACCTCTCTTATCTCAGTTTTCTTACCAGTTAACTTGATGCCTAATTTACTTCCCAGGGCTCTCATGACACTCTATAGGACCACAGGCATGAAGGTTCTTCAAAACATTTTAAAAAAGTGATATACATGTTTAACAATACTACAAAAGAAAAATAATGTTTATCCTTTTCATTTGTACAGCACCTGAGCATTTTAAAATGCAGTCATGACAGCGGGTGGGGGCTCACTCTTGTAATCCCAGCATTTTGGGAGGCCAAAGCAGGAGGATTGTTTGAAGTCAGGCATTTGAGACCAGCCTGGGCAACAAAGTGAGACCCTGTCTTATGAAAAGAAAAATTTAAAAATTAGCTGGATGAGGTGGTGCTCACCTGTAGTCCCAGCTACTCAGGAGGCTGAGATGGGAGGATCTCTTCAGCCCAGAAATCTCTTGAGGCTTCAGTAGGCCATGATCATGCCACTGTACTCCAGCCTGGGTGACAGAGTGAGGCTCTGTCTCTCTAAAAAAAAAATAATAATAAAAAGTAAATAAAAACATCATTTTTTTTAAAAAAAGTGCCTTCGTGCCCATTATCTATTTTCAGTCTCACAGCAACCCCAGGATGCAGGCAGGCATTATTACACTCAACTTACAGATGGAATTCAGAGGTTCATATACAGAGTCAATAAAAATATATTGAGGACCTGTTATATGCCAGGCATACTGATAGGTACTTTCCCATGTTAGAGAAGTTAAGTTAGTTGTCCAAAATCATCTGGTGGTTAAGTGGCAGAGTCTGCACTCCAACTCAGATCATCTGATTTAGGAATCTAGGGCTCAAACCCTACTATCTTTAGGTCAGTCTAATTCCTCTCCTGAGGGTATTCACATTTGATTTTTCCCTTTCTTTTATGGAATGAAATATTTTGTTTTCTGTTAGATATTTAAGGTCTCAAGAGCAGGTGCACCAAAAAACACTGGGTGCAGGCTACAAGCCTATACTTTATTTAATGCAGTGGTTCTCAGCCCTGGATGTAAAATAACATCACCTGGGGAGTTAGAAAACAATTACCCACATTCTGGCCCCACAAGAAAGTGATTAAATCAGAGCCTCCAGCAGTGGAGCCTGAGAAAAAGTTTTTTTTTTTTCCTTTTAAAAGTTAATTCTAATGTACAGTTAGGGTTGAGAACCACATTGCTATAGGAGAAAAGTCAGTGACCCAACATCTTAACATAGTCAATTCAACTTTTCTAGAGACTGTTCCTAGCAAATACCAAGAAAATTCAATGAGGAAAAAGGAAGAGGAGTAAATAAATATCTTAGAAATGTCATTTGTTCAATCTGATTTAGTAGTGCAAGTAAGTTGGATGGCAGTTGATGGAAGTAAACCATTAGAGATGAAGAACCAGGAAAGAAAAGGACATGGATCCCACTTTGAGGTAGGGAGAGAGATGGCAGACACATCTTTCTTACCTCATAAGAGTAGACACTATAAACCCCTATTCATTCATTTATTCCTAGATCAAATATTTACTGAGCATCTAGTATGTGCCAGACGCTATTCTAGGTACCGTCAGTATAGCAAGCCAGATACAGACATTAGACTCATGGAACTTTCATTCTAGTTGTGAGTGTAGAGGAATGAATGGTTCTGCTGTGATGCCCTGGTGACCTTGAACACCTTCACCTATGTCACACAGCCAAGGTTCAACCATGGTCTGACTCAAATCTTGGAGGAATACTCTGTGATCTCTCTGCAACATGGCAAGATAAGAAATATTGTGATAAGTTGTCACAAGCTCATTTCTCAACTGCCTCCTTATCTTGTGGGAGGGTGCCATGAGGTAGTTTCTTATTTGCCTCCCTGGTTCCAGTGAAACATAGAGCTTTGTACCATCACACACATACACACACACAGCCCACTTCAGTAGAGCTGTAGCATAAACTGCTTGGCTATAATTTAGAGTTGGCTTCTGCACACCAGAGTGACCCATTGCTTGTGTCATCTGCCATCTGACATCTCTAATTCAGTGTCATCCTGTGGGATTAGCAACATCATACTGATCTTGTTTTGCTGCCTGTGTTAGTAATAAACTGTATCCATTTGGGCTAGTTGTCTTCTTATTGGCTGAATCTATGGAAGTGTGCTAAGCTAACCTAGCAGCTACCAATGCACTGTTGCTTAAGGGGCTTGACTGTTTGAAAAATTGGGACAGATCTGATCCATACCAGTTAGATAGAAAAACAAAATTATTTCAAATTGTGATAAATACAATGAACCCTAAAATATCAACCCTACGTGGGCTTAGAAATCACCTAAACACTGGGGAGAATGTGCAGGTTTAATTGAATAATTTCAATAAACAAACATGTAAGAAATGAGAAAAACACAAAATCATTGAAGAAACACCGTAATTGTTGTGGGCAAAATGGATGTTAAAATTAGTGGGAGAAAAAAAAGAAGCAAAAAAAAAAATTAGTGGGAGAAAGTTTGAGAAGAAGTAGGGCTTCAAAGTATCTCTCCCATGATATTTATTAATTACAAGGGAAAAATGATAACTTTCCAGTAGAGAAACTCAGCTCCCTCTGTTTGAGTGGGAACATATGAGAGACAGGAAATAAATGAATAGAGTCCTGGCCCAAGAACAGGTCACTGTGGGTCTGCTGGGTCTATGGACTTATCTGATGGTCATTTCCCTAGTTCCAGAACGTATAATTGGACTGGCAAAACTGAGAAGTTTGCAGAACCCCTATATTGATTATTTAAACAGCAGAGTAAAATCTGTTGTAGGAGGAAAGGCAAGCAAAAGCCTCAGAAATTTCTCATCCCCTCTTACCAACATAGTAAGTAAATAAATAAATGAAATTGACAAACCACATTACATCCCAGGGAGAATTGCAGAATTTAGTGCCTTCAAAGACTTATATAATGCAGTCCCCATCAGATACCTATTTAATTCACCAGTGTGGCTCCTGAGAAAACCAGATAAATCACGGCAAATGACAATGAAGTACCACAAATTTAACTAAGTAGTAGTAACGACTGTAACAGCTGTGTTAGATGTCATATCTTTACTGAAGTAGATTAATATACGTGTATATATGGCTACTGGTCAAGTGAATGTTTTATTTTCCATACCCCTTTGAAGGTGGATCAGAAAGAGTTTGCATTCACATAGTATGGACGTCAGCACATGTGGTGAATGCTGTAATGGGGCATCCAGATTTCCCTTCAGCAATGAAGATGTTATTACTCTAGCTGCTGAAAGCACATCTAAAAGATGGCCTTTGGGTGCCAGTTCTCTCTAGAGATTACCATAGCTAAAGAAAACTGCCTCACCCAATTGAAACCTCATACCTCTTTCCAAGGGCAGCCCACACTCAGTGATTAGTCAATGCAGGGATATAAAGGCCCAGCCCTCTCAACCTAATTTGGGACAAGCAGTCATTCTAGTTCCAGAGCCTCCCATGGGGTTGGCTGAGGCCTTCATTAGAACTACATCATGGCTTCACTTCTCCCTCTGACTAATCCTCTTTCTTTCACCTCCTTTCCACAAGTGTTGATCTCAAGGGGCACTCCCTAATAAACACCCTGCACACTGGTCTCCATCTCAGGGTCTGTTTCTTGGGGAACCCAGACTCTGTGACAGTTGATGACAAGAGTGGTCTGAGAAAGCAGGTACCTTGATGGGATTTTGGATCTGGATCAACCACTGCCTAGATGACATCGAGGACATCATTAATGTTGGTAGGTGGAGCACTGATATTCCCTGACATAGGTAGAAGTGCAGGTAAAACTTTCATTGGTGAAAGGGGATACAGTAGCTATTGGGATATATTAGGCATTTGAGAACTATGGGGAGAATAGTAATCTTAAAAAAGATGGAATTTAGTAGCTATTCTGAAGTTTGATTGCTACTCTGAACAAAGATAACACAAAGCTGAAAGTGATTAATTAGCAATTTTAAGTTAAGAGTGAAAGCCATGGAGCCTCTTTGGTAGCATATAAAGAGGCTCTTACTTCCTGCAGCAGGATGATAGAGAAAGCTAAGGACCAGGTCTAGGACTTAATTGTAAGAGTAGTCAAGCTCCAAAGGTGGCTAACATATCAACTAAGACAAGTGTGCTATGCCAGGGTCAAGGCTGTGGTTGAAAAAGAAAGAGATCTTGACACATGGGATAGGGACTTCTGGGCCTGAAAATCTTGAATTCCCAGATTTCCCTGAGACCTCTGAGCTTGTAGAAGTGGCCTGCACCTTCCTATTAAGAGCTAGCATGCCCTATTTGCTTGAAGACAATACAGAGGCCTCTCTCTTGCAAGACAACATGTGCCTGCACCCCCTCCTCCTGGACATAGGGTTTGATTTAACTAGGGTTAAATCACAATGTAACCCATATGGGGATATGCTATGCCTGCTAAGATGTGAACTGGATAAGACTCTGAAACTGCAGCATCTGGTCAACATGTACTAGCAGGAGCTGGGAAGTAGGTATGGGCAAGAATTTTGAGAGTGCTGATTTTTTTTACTTTACGATAGTGCAAAAGCTGTAAGCATTAAGTAGAAACTGCACTTCAAGTACCTATACATCTGATATGGTTAGGCTTTATGTCCCTGCTCAAATATCATCTTGAATTGTAATCCCCATACTTCCCACATGTCAAGGGTGGAGTGGAGGTAATTGAATCATGGGGTCATTTTCCCCCATACTGCTCTCGTGATAGTGAGTTTTCACGATATCTGATGGTTTTATAAGGAGTTCTTCCCCCTTCACTTGGCACTTCTCCTTCCTGCTGCCTTGTGAAGAAGGTGCCTTGTTTCTCTGCCTTCTGCTATGATTGTAACTTTCCTGAGGCCTCCCCAGCCATGCTGAACTGTGAGTCAATTAAACCTCTTTCCTTTATAAATTACCCAGTCTTAGTCAGTTCTTTATAGCATTTATAGCAGTATGAAAACAGACTAAAACAACATCCATTCTGTTTTTTTTTAACTTTCAGTACCATATTCAATAAATTACATGAAATATTCAACACTTTATTATAAAATTGACTTTGTGTTAGATGATTTTGTCTGTCTGTAGGCTGAAGTAAGTGTTCTGAGCACATTTAATGTAGGGTAGGCTAAGCTATGAGGTTAGGATGTTTAGGTGTATTAAGTGCATTTTTGACATAGTATTTTCAACTTACAATGGATTTATTAGGATGTAACCCAATCATGAATCAAGGAGCATCTTCACTTCCGAGTACGTGCCCTAAAAAATAGAAAGCAAGGACTCAAGGAGGTATTTCTATACCCAAGGTCATAGCAGCATTGTCCACAATAGCCAAAAAGTAGAAACAACCCAAATGTCCACTGGTGGATGAATGGGTAAGCAAAATGTGGTATATGCCTACAATGGAATCCTACTAATTCTACAACATGGATGAAACTTGGGAGGGCTTTACGCTAAGCAAAATAAGCCAGTCATAAAAGGACAAATCCTGTATGATTTCTTTTTTCTTTTCTTCTTTTTTTTTGAGACGGAGTCTTGCTCTGTTGCCCAGGTTGGAGTGCAGTGATGCAATCTCGGCTCACTGCAACCTCCACCTCCCTAGTTCAAGCGATTCTTCTGTCTCAGCCTCCCGAGTAGCTGGGATTACAGGCGCCTGCCATCATGCCCAGCTAATTTTTGTATTTTTAGTAGAGATGGGGTTTCGCCATGTTGGCCAGGCTGGTTTCGAACTCCTAACCTCAGGTGATCCACCTGTCTCGGCCTCCTAAAGTGCTGGGATTACAGGCGTGAGCCACACGTGCCCGGCCATGATTTCATTTACATGAGGTACGTGGAGTAGTCAAATTCGTAGAGACAGAAAGTAGAATAACAGTTGTTGGGGGTAGAGAAGAGGGTAATGAATAGTTATTGTTTAATGGAAACAGAGTTTTAGTTATGCAAGATGAAAAGAGTTCTGGAGATGGATGGTGTTGATGGTTGCACAATAATGTGTAGGTATTTAATGCCACTAAATTGTACACTTGAAAATGGCTAAGATGAGCCAGACATGGTGTCATGTGCCTGTAGTCCCAGCTATTTAGGAGGCAGAGGTGGGAAGATCGCTTGAGTCCAGGAGTTTGAGTCCAACCTGGGCAATATAGCAAGAGCCTGTCTCTAAACAAACAGACAAAAAACATTAAAAAATGGCTAAAATGGTAAATTTTATGTTATGTGTATTTTACAACAAGTTTTTAAATGTTAAAAAATTCAGCCTTATTCTCATGGGCCCTATATTCTATTATAAGAGGCATATAATACCAAAGTAACAAAATAATATAACAAAATTATGTATATCCAAAACAATTTAAAGTTTTCATTTATTCCTCCCTCTTCCCCTAAACTTCTTTCCTCTTCCCAAAGGTAATAATTGTTATCAGTTTGGAATTACCCCCCCACGCTTTTAAAAATGCATATGGGCTGATTTGATCTTTACAAATTATATGAATGTATTAAATTATCACATGTACCTTGAAATGATATACAACTATTATGCATCAATAAAACATGTGTGTATAATGCCTATATAAATATATACTGCTGTGTTTAAAAACAATTACATAAATAGTATCATACTGTATGTGTTTTTCTCTTACTTTTTCCTCTCAGCAATATATCCTGGGGATTTTTCATGTCCATTTATACATGAAACATTCATACTAATCCACAGATGGCTGTGTCCTGGTACATTTAGCCTTTCTCTAATGAGTAGACATTTGGTATTTATCTCGTCTTTTTCTATTACAAACAATGTTCCAGCAAACATCCTTGCATCTGACTCTATGCCTCAGTCTTCAAACTTCTTTGTATAACTTGTCATCAGAAATGTGAATCTAACACTTCAGGAAGTACCAAGATTGCTATGAATATTAGTTTTTTGGACTATGGCTATATTCCAGGAAACTAATTACTTAAGGTAAATCATGAAAGAGTCCATGAATTATGGAGCTACACAAAGATATTTCACAAAAGAGTTACAGATTAGGGAAATGGAAAGGATGAAGCATGGGTGGAGAAATGAGCTGAGATAGTGGGAATAGTCCAGATAAGCTTGACTATCTTGAGGAAGTGGTCAGATTTAAATAGCAATTAGCAGTGTTTTCACTAGAGGAAAAGTAGAATATTGAGGTAAGATAGGATTATGTGGCAAACACAGGTTTGAATGTTTTGATAAATTAGGAGACTGAAGAGATGAGGCAAGGGATTTAAGTGAGGGTCTTAATGTGCAATATTGGAAATTACAATCAAAATGCCCAAACTCAAGGGGTGCACTTAGGAATGATTTGTTAATACATACACAGGCCTAAGAATCATTTTTATGGAACTCATTTCCTGTAGGGCTTTTCTGAAAGAACACTGTGCTCCTTTCTAAGCTTATTTTTCTTTGTTCTGATCGTCATTCTGCCCTTACTCGCTATGTTTGTTGCCAAGATCTAGGAGGCAAAAAATAGGCAAGAGAGCATGTCACAGTCCATGACTAGACAAGCTGTGTGACTCAGGAGGCCAAACAAAGGTCAGGGCACGGAAACCTGCCTTGGCTGTGCTCTTAAGCAAATGAATGGGTCAGTTGGCCTATCTTTTACAAAAATTTATCTGTTTATATGGCAATGTGCATTTTGTAATTGTTCTTTTCTACATGATCTTATGACATGCTGATTCTACTTCCATTATACCACTGATTTTATTCTGACTTGTATTATAGTTACTTATAATTTGAGGATGCAAAATGGTGGTGTATAGGTCACTTCTAGCCTATAGATATGCTTCATTTGGCTAACACAAGCTCACATTAAAAAATAGTTGCCAATATTTCAAAAATAGGAAGGTTCATACAAAAATATGCATTCCTGATTTCTCCTGAAAAAATGAAATCTGGCACACAGGGCCTTCATTTCCTCATAGCAACAACTGACTGGAACTGAGCAGTAGCTGCCCTTATTATAATATCAACTTGATGTTGAATCTGAAAGTTGGTTACCATTTTTCATGGAACTGACATTGTTATTCTTACAGTGACATTAGGAAAAAAAAGTGAAATACTTTTCTATGCCCAGTTTTTATAAAAGTTGGGAAACAAAAGCTAGAGTAAGGGGAGAGGACTGTTGTGCTTTAAGAATTGAAATATAGAGATGGGTTGAAAAATAGGTGAGGCTAGGAATAGAGAGCTTGGGCGAAACTGCTGAGAAGGCAGAATGACACGCACAAGGAAGTAGTTAGGTCACTTCTCTTACTAGGCTTCTCATGGGGGGCATCACTCCTAGGGCACATTGTACTGCCTCTCTGCCTTCAATTGAAATTTTCATTGAGCATCTACATCATATCAGTCACTGGGGAGACCGTGGTGAACAAAGCAGACATAGCCTCTGTTCTCATGGAGCTCACAATTGAACGGGGGAGCCAGACATTAATAAACACCATGAGGGAAGATAGGAAAGTGCTAGAAAACAAACACTAAAGAAGATTTTTCTAATTTAGCGGATCAGGGAAGTCTTCCCCGAGGAAGTGACACTTAAAATGGGGCCTGAAGAGTAAGTAGGAGTTGGTTAGGCAAAGAGGAGGGGATCAAGTTTTAAGGCAAAAGGAATAGCATGTGCAAATATCACAAAACAGGCAGGAATGTGGGACTACCGTAGATCTGACAGAGGCCAAGTGGCTATTGTTAGATAATAGAGATAGTAGCTGGAAGGGTTAACAAGGCCATACCATGCAAGGCCTTGGAGGCTATGGAAAGGATTTGTATCTTCAGAGCAGTGAGAGTCACCAAAAAGTTTTAAGAAAAATCACCATGATTTGAATTTTGCTTTAACTTTTGCTTTGGCCACCCAGCAGTGAGCTCTTATCCACAGTTATAATTCTCATTTATGTGTGTGTGTGTGTGTGTGTGTGTGTGTGTGTGTGTGTGTGTGTGTGAGACAGGATCTCACTCTGCCACCCAGGCTGGTGTGCAGTCTAGTACAGACTAGGTGGCTTAAACAACAGAAATTAATTTTCTCACAATTCTGGAGACTAGAAGCCCAGGATCAGCAGGGTCTTGGCAGGGCTGCTTTCTTCTGAGGCCTCTTTCCTTGGCTTGCAGGTGGTTGTCTTCTCCCTGTGTCTTCACGTGGTCTTCCCTCTGTGTGTTTCTGTGTCCTAATCCCCTCTGCCTATGAGGACACCAGTCAAAGTGGATTAGGGTCCACTCTAGTGGCCTCATTTTAACTTAATCACCTCTTTAAAATCTCTATTTCCACATATAGTTACACTCTGAGGTACTAGTGGGTGGGAGTTCAATACATAAATTTGGTGGAGGTTGCGGCGGCAGGGGTGGGGCGCACAATTCAGTCCAAAACAATAAATCATGTGTACCAGAAGCATCTGAAGTGCCTTGTTAAGAGTGTTACGCCTCCTGTGATCCATCTCAGAGTGACAGTGATTTAGAATCTACTTGTCGTAAGTCTCGGGACACGTAGGTTGTTCAGCTCTAGAAGCCCTCAGATTGGCAGGACTTCACTCTTCTCACCAGAGAATGTATGTCTGAAGGGAAGTCATGCTTCTACCTTTGTTCCTATAAATCCTGGGATGGAGGAATTCCACTGCTTCATTCTTCTCCAATTAATCTCTTCGCACAGGTCAGGCCCTGGAATATGTACTACATTTGCTTTGTAACCCTGGACATATACTCCCATCCAGCTCTCACAAGAGCAGAAGGCATGTACTACTGTCCACTCTGGTTTTGGTTGTTTTAATGTACCTCACATTTTCACATATATGGGAACATCAATAATAATACCAATAGTAATATTAATAGAAATACTATTCAACATTTATTGAATGCTACTGTATTTCAGGAATTATGTTAAGCATTTTGTACTATTGCATCTAATCTTTACAACAAAGTTATGGGGGCAGGTATAGTTGTATTAGATTGTTCTCATGCTGCTATAAGGACATATCCAAGACTAGGTAATTTATAAAGAAAAGAGGTTTAATTGACTCACAGTTCTGTAGGGCTAGGGAAGCCTCAGGAAACTTACAATCATGGCAGAAGGGGAAGCAAACACATTCTTCTTCACAAGGTGGCAAGAGAGAGAAGAATGAGTCAAGCGAAGGGGGAAGCCCTTATAAATCCATCAGATCTTGTGAGAACTTACTCACTATCATGAGAATAGCATGGGGGAAACTGACCCCATAATTCAGTTACTTTCCACAGGGTCCCTCCCATGACACATGGGGTTTATGGTAGCTACAATTCAGGATGAGATTTGGGTGGGGACACAGCCAAATCACATCATTCCACTCCTGACCCCTCCCAAATCTCTTGTCCTCACATTTCAAAGCACAATCATGCCCTTCCAACAGTCCCCCAAAGTCTTAACTCATTTCAGCATTAACTCCAAGTCCAATTCCGAAGTCTCATCTGAGACAAGGCAAGTCCCTTCCACCTATGAGTCTGTAAAATCAAAAGCAAGTTAGTGACTTCTTAGATACAATGGGGCTATAGGCATTGGGTATATACATCCATTCCAAATGGGAGAAATTGGCCAAAACAAAGGGGCTACAGGCCCCATGCAAGACCGAAATCCAACAGGGGAGTCATTAAACCTTAAAGTTTCAAAATGATCTCCTTTGACTCCATGTGTTACATCCAGGGCACACTGATGCAAGAGGTTGGCTCTCATGGTCTTGGGCAGCTCCACCCTGTGGCTTTGCAGGGTACAGCCCCACTTCCAGTTGCTTTCATGGGCTGGCATTGTCTGCAGCTTTTCCAGGTGCACGGTGTAAGCTATTGGTGGATCTACCATTCTGGCGTCTGGAGGATTGTGACCCTCTTCTCACAGCTCCACCAGGCCATGCCCCAGTGGGGACTCTGTGTGGGGGCACCAACCCCACATTTCTCTTCTGCACTGCCCTAGTAGAGGTTCTCCATGAGGGTTCCATCCCTGCAGCAAACTTCTGCCTGTACATCCAGGTGTTTCCATACATCCTCTGAAATCTAGGCAGAGATTCCTAAACCTCAATTCTTGACTTCTATGCACCCACAGGCCCAACACCATGTGTAAGCTGCCAAGGCTTGGGGCTTGCACTCTCTGAAGCAATGGCCTGAATTATATGTTGGCCCCTTTTAGCCACAGCTGGAGCTGAAGCAGCTGAGATGCAAGACACCATGTCCCGAGGCTGCATAAAGCAGGGGGCCCCTGGGCCCAGCCCATGAAACCATTTTTCCCTCCTGGGCCTCCAGGCTTGTAATGGGAGCAGCTGCCATGAAAACCTCTGACATGCCCTGGGGACATTTTACCCATTGTCTTGGTGATTAACATTTGACTCCACGTTACTTCTGCAAATTTCTGCAGTCTGCTTGAATTTCTCCTCAGAAAATGGGGTTTTCTTTTCTATTGCATAGTCAGGCTGCAAATTTTCCTAACTTTTCTGCTTCATCTTGAATGCTTTGGTGCTTAGCAATTTCTTCCCCTAGATACCCTAAATCATCTCTCTCAAGTTCAAAAGTTCCACAGATATCTAGGGAAGGGGAAAAATGCTACCAGTCTCTATGCATAGCAAATTCATCTTTACTACCGTTCCCAACAAGTTCCTCATCTCCATTTGAGATCATCTCAGCCCGAACTTCATTGTCCATATCACTATCAGCATTTTGGTCAAAGCCATTCAACAAGTCTCTAGGAAGGTCTCACAGTTTCCCACATCTTCCTGTCTTCTGAGCCCTCCAAGTCTCTAGGAAGTTTCAAACTTTCCCACATTTTCCAGTCTTCTTCTGAGCCCTCCAAACTGTTCCAACCTCTGCCTGTTACCCAGTTCCAAAGTTGCTTCCGCATTTTTAGGTATCCTTAGAGCAGCACCCCACTCTCTGTGGTACCAATTTACTGTATTAGTCCGTTCTCATGCTGCTATAAGGACATACCCAAGATTGGGTAATTTGTAAAGCAAAGAGGTTTAATTGACTCACAGTTCCACAGGGCTGGGGAGGTCTCAGAAAACTTACAATCATTGCAGAAGGGGAAGCAAACATGTCCTTCTTCATAAGGTGGCAGGAGTGAGAAGGATGAGAACTGAGTGAATGGGGAAGCCCCTTATGAAACCACAGATCTTCTGAGAAGTTACTCACTATCATGGGAATAGCATGGGGGAAACTGCCCCCATGATTCAATTACCTCCCACTGGCTCCCTTCCACAACACATGGGGATTATGAAAACTAAAATTCAAGATGAGGTTTGGGTGGGCACACAGCTAAACCATATCAATAGTAATCTCCATTTTACAGACGAGAAGCAGGATCAGAGAAGTTAAGTGATTTGGTGAAAGTGGTGTAGCTAGTAAATGGCAGACTCTGGATTCTAGCCCAGGTTATACACCTCTAAAGTACATGTTTTGCTACAAGGATAGGGATTTTTGCCACTAGGTTTATGAGAAATGTTGATCAGTAATTTTCTTTTCTTGTACTGTTTTAGTCTGGTTTTGGTATCAGAGTAATGCTTACCTCATAAAATGCATTGGAAAGTGTTGGCTTCTCTACTATTTCATGGTAGAGATTGTGTAGAATTGGTTTTTATATTCTTTAAATGTCTACCAGTGAAACCACTTGGACCTAGAAATTTCTTTTTTGAAAGGCTTTAAAATATGAATTCAATGTCTTAAATAGTTATAGGACTATTCAGGCTATTTATTTAATCTTGGGTGAGTTTTCACAGCTTGTGGTATTTGAGGAATTGGTTTATCACATAGAAGCTGTCAGATTTATGTGCATAGACTTATTTGTAGTATTCCCTTATTTTCCCTTTCAATGTCTGAGTCATCTCTACTGATATTCTCTTTAATTTCCTATATTGATAATTTGTGTCTTGTTTTACATTTATCAGTTTTTGTCAGATTTGTGAATTGTATTCATCTTTTCAAATAATTAGCTTTCATTTTAATTGATCTTCTCTATTGTTTTCTGTTTTCAATTTTGTTAATTTTTCCTCTTATTTTTATTATTTTCTTCATTCTGCTTGGTTTTGGGTTATTTAGCTCTTTTTGTTTTAGTGTCTTAAGGTGGGAGCTTATATTATTGACTTGAGTCTTTTCCTCTTTTCACCTCAGATATATTGAAGTACAATTAACAAATACAGTATAAGTTTAAGGTGTACAACATGGTGATTTGCTATATGCATATATTGTGAAATGGTTACCACAATCAAGTTAGTTAAGAATCTATCACCTTATGAATTTGCCATTTTTTAGTGGTGAGAACATTTAAGATATCAAGTATTTAGCAGAGAATTTTAATAAACTATGGTAATCATGCTGTAGATTAAAATTACCAAAACTTCTTCATCTTATAATTGAAAGTTTTTACCCTTTGACCAACATCTCCCTATTTCCTCCACTCCCCTGACAACCACCATTGTACTCTGCTTCTATGAGTCTGACTTTTTCGATTCTACATGTAAGTGTGATCATACAGTATTTGCCTGTTTGTGAGTCTGGCTCATTTCACTTAGCATAAGATCCTTCAGGTTCATCCACATTGTCACAAATGACAGGATTTCCTTCTTTTTATGGATGAATAATATTCCATTGTATGTATGTATGTATTTATCTATCTGTCTATCTATCTATCATATTTTTTTCTCCATTCATCCATTGATGGATGCTTAGGTTGTTTTCATATCTTGGCTATTGTGAATAATGCTGCAATCTCTTTGAGATGCTGATTTTGTTTCCTTCAAATATATGCCCAGAAATGGGATTGCTGCATTGTATGGTAGGTCTATTTTTAGCATTTTGAAGAACCTCCATACTGCTTTCGTACCAATGTACATTGTCATCAATAGTGCATAAGGGTTCTCTTTTCTTCACACCCTCTCCAACTCTTGTTATTTCTTACCTTTTTTGTAATAGTCATCCTAACAGGTGTGAGGTGATATCTCATTATGGTTTTGATTTGCATTTCCCTGATGATTAGTGATTTTGAACATTTTTTTCATATACCTGTTTACTATTAGTATGTTTTCTTTGGAGAAATGTCTATTCAGGTCCTTTGACCATTTTTAAATTGGGTTGTTTGGAATTTTTTTTGAAATTGAGTTGTTGTATGAGTTTCTTATATGTTTTAGATATTAACCCCTTATCAGATATATGGTTTGCAAATATTTTTTCCCATTCCATAGGTTGCCTAGTTATTTTGTTGATTGTTTTCTTTGCTGTGCAGAAGCTTTTTAGTTTGATATAGTTGCACTTATTTATTTTCATTTTGTGGCTTGTGCTTTTGTTATCATTTTCAAAAAATCATTGCCCCTCTTTTCTAATACAGGTTGAGTGTGTCTCATCTGAAATTATTGGGACCAGAAGCGTTTTGGATTTTAGATTTTTTTTTCAGATTTTGGAATATTTGCATAAATATAATGAGATATCTTGGGGATGGGACCCAAGTCTAAACACAAAGTTCATTTATGGTTTATTTATTTATTTATTTATTTATTTTGAGGCAGAATCTCTCTCTGCTGCCCAGGCTGAAGTGCAGTGGCACAGTCTTGGTTCACTGCAACCTCTGCCTCACAGGCTCAAGTGATCCTCCTGCCTCAACCTCCTGAGTAGCTGGGATTACAGGCATGTGCCACCACACCTGGCTAATTTTTGTATTTTTAGTAGAGATGGAGTTTCACCATGTTGGCCAGGCTGGTTTCGAACTCCTGGGTCCAAGTGATCCACCCGCTTCAGCCTCCCAAAATGCTGGGATTATAGGCATGAACCACTGCGCCAGCCTATGTTTTATATATACCTTATACACATAGCCTAAAGGCAATTTTATACAATATTTTAAATACTTCTGAGCATGAAGCAAAGTTTTGACTGCAACCTCTCATATGAGGTCAGGTATGAAATTTTCCACTTGTGGTATCATGTTGACACTAAAAAGGTTCAGATTTTGGAGCAGTTCAGATTTTTGGATTAGGAATGCTCAACCTATGTAAGTATTCAATGCTATAAATTTCCTTCTAAGGATTGTTTTAATTGCATCGTACATTTTTTTTTTAAAGATAGGGTCATCTTACGTTGCACTGGCTGGACTCGAACTCCTGGGTTCAAGCTATTCTTCTGCCTCGGCCTTCTAAGTAGCTGGGACTCTAGGCACGTACCACCACAACTAGCTGCATCCTACAATTTTGATGTTTTACTTTCATTTTCATTCAGCTTGCTCTTAAGCTTTGTTAGGACAGGTCTAGAATACCCTTTAGTTTAGGGTTAATTTTGCACTCCTACTAAGGTATCATTCTTCTGAGGATTCTACTAAGTAATCTGTGTATTAGGAGATTTTTCTACTCTGGCTGGTGAAGACATGTACTATTACCAGCCTTCTGTGAGCTCCAGGAATGATTCTAGTTACTCCTTTTTTGGTGATTATTTCCTTGGCTCTTGGTATTTTCTTCTTACTTCTGTGCAGATCAGTACTTAGCCAAAGACTTAAGGGGACTCTTCTGCCAATCTCTGGGACATTTTCTCTGTGCAGCTTCTTCCTCTCTGGTAGTCTGTTCCACAAATTATAGTTGCCTTGACCTCCCTGAACACCAGTCTCTGTCTCCTCAACTCAAGGAGACTGCTGGGTTCTGTTTGGGTCTCTTCTCCTTGTGCTGCATACTGGAAACAGCCTTATGCAATGGCAGGGTTAACTTTGTGTGTTTCCAGATATTTGGGGGTTACAATTCTTCACTGCTTATTGCCCCAATGTCTAAAAACAGTTCTTTCATACATTTCATACAATTTTATAGTTTTAAGGTGGTAGGATAAATCCAGCCCCTGGTACTCCATCTTGGCCATAGTGGAAGTTGAATTAACTGACTTTTAACTTTCACTTTGTTTTTTTTTGTTTGTTTTTTTTGTTTTTTTGTTTTTTTTTTTTTGAGACAGAGTCTTACTCTGTCGCCCAGGCTGGAGTGCAATGGTGCAATCTCGGCTCACTGCAACCTCTGCCTCCTGGTTTCAAGTGAGTCTCCTGCCTCAGCCTCCTAAGTAGCTAGGATTACAGGCACCCGCCACCATGCCTGGCTTTTTGTCTTTTTAGTAGAGATGGGGTTTCACCATGTTGGCCAGGCTGGTCTCAAACTCCTGACCTCTTGTGATCCACCTGCCTCGGCCTCCCAAAGTGCTGGGATTATTGGTATGAGCCACCGCACCCGGCCATTTTTCTTTTCTTGTTATGCCTAGCTTTTAGGGGAATGAGGTAAACAATAAAAAAAGAAGGCTGTATCAGGAATTTATTTTAAAAAATAAACTTTTATAGCATGTCCCTGGTTAGTCTGCACTCAGCTAACCTGACAAATATATGCCCTAGATGCCTAACTTTCATAATTGACTTCAGGCCATTTGACAGCAGAAAAATTCTGTCTTAGTCAGAGTCTGCTCACTAAGAAATGTTGCCAAATGCCACGGTGGGAAGATCACTTGAGGCCAGGAGTTTGAGACCACCCTAGCCAACATAGTGAGACCCCATCTCTTAAAAGAGAGAGACCAGGAGATTCAATTTCTATGTTTATTTAGAAAAAACCATAAACATCAGTTTTTAAATTTTTTTTATTCCTTTTTTTTTGTGTGCCGGGACATGTTCTCATCTAAAAAAACCATAAACATCAGTTTTCTGGGAAAATTGGGCTGGTTTCAAAAGGATGATGAACTCAAATGTTTTGTCTTTTTTTTTTTGAGACACAGTCTCACTCCATTGCCCAGGCTGGAGTGCAGTGTTGTGATCACAGCTCACCGTAGCCTCAAACTCCTGGGCTCAAGCGATCCTCCTGCCTTAGCCTCCTGAGTGGCTAGGACTACAGTCACCATGCCTAGCTAATTGTTAACTTTTTTGTAGACAAGTGGTCTCACTATATTGCCCAGGCTGGTCTCAAAGCCCAGGCCTCAAGCAATCCCCCAACCTTGGCCTTCCAAGGAGCTGGAACTACAGGCTTGCACCACCATGCCTGGCTCTTGCCTTCCTCTGTTGTTCCTATCAGTGCCCCTTCCCCATAGACACCATCTTCCTTCTGGCCCCTACATGTCAGGAGCTGGGCTACATATCTTAAACTCCTATTAGCCATGAATCTTGATGTAACCCAAATCTCTCTAGCTGCACTTTTTACTGTCTCTGCCATGGTCTGCCATGGCCCCTCTATAGGCTGGTTTTCTCATTGTCTCTTGAATATGTTGTACTTATTTGAAATTTTAAGTTCATACTCATGTTGTTGCCACTGTCTACAATGTCCCTTGCCACTACAAAGATTGACCATCCTTCAGGGATCAACACAAAGTTGCATGCAGCCATTTTTTACCTCAACTCTACCAAGTGCCCCCTTTCAATCTATATCATTCACTTCGCACTTAATACCTTGCCGGGATTTCTGACACTATCACTCATGTGTACACCTTGTCTCCACAATCACATTGTAAAGTCCTGCAGAGTAGAGACTATTTAGAGGTGTTCTTTTCTTTCTTTGTACTCCAATCCCCAGCCTCCAATGTCTAATATTGTGTTATATTCGTGATAAAGTAAGCACCCAAACTATACATATAATTTTTTTGTTTTTAGATGGAGTCTCACTCTGTCACCCAGGCTGGAGTGCAGTGGTATGATCTCAGTTCACTGCAACCTCCATCTCCCAGGTTGAAGCTATCTCCTGCCTCAGCCTCCCAAGTAGCTGGGATTACAGGCGTGTGCCACCATGCCCGGCTAATTTTTTCTGTATTTTTAGTAGAGACAGGGTTTTGCCATGTTGGCCAGAGTGGTCTTGAACTCCTGACATCAAGTGATCTGCCCACCTTGGCCTCCCAAAGTGCTGCGATTATAGGCATGAGCCACCGTGCCTGGCCTAAACAATATTTTTTGAGTGAGTAAATGAATGGAGTAATGAAAATAGGATTCAGAAGTCTTTAAAATGATAACAAAAGCTAACACTTATTGAACACTTTGTGCTAGGTTTTTGCTAAGGACCATACATAGTCTATCTCATTTAATTTTCTCTTTTTTAGAGGGATCAGCATTTATTTTCTTTCCAAATGTTACAATGGAGCCAAGTGGGAATGATTTTAGCAATTAGAATGTATACATCTTCAGGATTTGGCCATTATATGTTATTTACAACAAGGGAGACAAAAAATAAGATGTATTACATTAGACACTTTCCTCTCTCTCCCTGCCTTGGCCTGAAAGCCTAACCATTCCCCGACCATGTCTAAAATGGACACACAGTTGATTCCCAGTCTGGAGGGATAAACCTAGGGAGGGTCAATGTCCCAACTCAGAGACCCTTGGAAAGCAAAGGAAATTAAAAACTCAACATAGGGTGGCAGAGGTGTATGCTCAGAGTCTGGGAGTGAAAACACTCCACTCTGGCTCTGGGATTTAGTGGGCAGGTAAACAAAACTTACCTGGAATAGAAGTAGGGAGGAGAATCAGAAATTGACCTCTGCAAGTGTAGAGCCAGTGAAAGAGGTGGGGAGATGGAACAGATGTATTTTACATGACTAAACTCACTCAGAAAACTGTAAAAGATCATTTTCAACTGTCCTTGAGGAGGGAAGGGCAGATGGATTATGGGAAGGTCCTCAGGAAAGAGAAAGGGGAAAATGTGGCTGTGGGGAAGCAGAAGACAGTTTTTTTTTTTGTTTTTTGTTTTTGGCATGGGGAGAAAGTGAGGGTACTCGGTCTGGCCAGTCACCCTACAATGACAGTACAATTTTTGCAGCTTAGCAATCACTTGTGTGCTCCCAACCCAGCTCTTCATTGTGCTTCCTGACCCTTGGTGTCGGTGCTGGTCTCTGGCTTGAGGGGGTGGACAATTCTGTGGCTTGGAGCCCTGTCTCTTCTTTTGTGTTTCCAGCATTACTGGTAGAGGTAGCCTCTGCTTGGGACTCCTGGCTCTTGGGAGAAGGTGGTGGCGGTGGCCTTTCCTTCCTGGCAGACTGTTCAGCACCACCAGCACAAACTTCCCCTTCTCTTGGTTGGTGAGGTGGGAGACACAATATCTTCAACCTCTTTCTGGTTTCTCTTGAAAGGCCTGTATTTGAAGGACTCCATCTTTGTCCATTCAGTCTGCTATAACAGAATACCATGGAGTCGGTGATTAATAAACAACAGAAATTTATTTCTCACAGTTCTGAAGGCTGGGAAGACCAAGATCAAGGCAACAGCAGATTCAATATCTGGTGAGTGCCCGTTTACTGGTTCATAGTCAGCTGTCTTCTCACTATAACCTCACAGGTTGGAAGAGGAGAGGAAAATCTCTGAGGCCTCTCGTTTTATTTTACTTTTCTTGTATGTCCAGCCAATGAAGGGCCTCTTTTATAAGGGCACTAATCCCATTCATGAGGGCTCCACCCTCACGACCTAATCACATCCCAAAGGCACCACCTCCTAATACTATTACATTGGGGATTAAGTTTTAATATATAAATTTTGGGCCAGGAGCAGTGGCTCACGCCTGTAATCCTAACACTTTGGGAGGCTGAGGTGGGCGGATCACGAGGTCAGGAGATCGAGACCATCCTGGCTAACACAGTGAAACCCTGTCTCTACTAAAAATACAAAAAATTAGCTGGGCGTGGTGGCAGGCGCCTGTAGTCCTAGCTACTCGGGAGGCTGAGGCAGGAGAATGGTGTGAACCTGGGAGGTGGAGCTTGCAGTGAGCCGAGATCGTGCCACTGCACTCCAGCCTGGGTGACAGAGAGAGAGACTCCGTCTCAAAAAAAAAAAAAAAAAAAAAAAAAATATATATATATATATATATATAAATTTATAAATTTTGTTGGGGGGCACAAACATTCAGTCTCTAGAAGGCTCCTCCTCCTCCATCTCCTCATTTCCTTCCTCTTTTCTTCTTTTATTCCCCTCATTATCCTTCTCCTTCTTTCTTCTTCTGAGTCTCTTTGGGGCTCTACATTGCGGAGTGCTGGTTTGATGGCATCTGGGGTAGCCTCGCCTGCCTCATCCGTTCCATTTAAGGTGATGAGACTTCCCTTTGCCTATGAGTGCCAGGTTTTAATTGCTTTTCAGGTGGCCATTCTCCTGTTTTTTGACCTTGGTGATGGAATGGGGGTGAATTGTGTTCACATTTCCCTAGAGCACCTAGGAGCTCTGGATGCTCATGCTAGGGGTTTGCTGTGGAGTACCCAGAGGCTTCTCAGATCCACACCTCTGGAGCGGGGCTAGTGAGGTATGACTGGCCAGTGGAGTGATAGGCCTGCATTACTGAGGGATGGGGGTTTCAGGGAAGGAACTGCACAAGATCTCTCATTTAATGCTTACAACGACTCTATGAGATAAATAGCTGTATCTATCTATTCCTTATTTACTTATTATGAAACTAAGTCTTAGAGGAGTTAAGTAACTTGTTCAAGGTCACACAGTTAGTAAGTATGTGTGTGTGTGGTCTCTTAAATAAAGACCCATGTTTGTCTCCAGAGCCTGTGTTCTTAACCAAGATAGTTTAGGCTAATTTGATGGCAAATCATTAAACTATTTGAATGCTGGTAGTAGCAAACAGGACTTTTCTTGCTGCCAACCATGGGTGTAAGAAGGTTTTTGAGAGATGAATATTTTAGAGATATTATTTTCCCCTCTGACTTGTGTGCCTTTGTGGACAGGGACTGGACCACCTACTGTTCAGATGTTGTAGCAGATATAACTAGGACCCCTGAAGGGAATGGAACAGTTGCCAATTGGATGACAAATTCAAGTCACTGTGTTCTGGCTAACAGAGTCACAGGAAATGCTGAAGGAAACATAACTAGTAGTAGCCAAAGAAGGAGAAACACATTTTGGAGCAGAATTCCTCTCGTTTGCCAATCTTTTTACAAAAGATTTTCCTGATGAAACTCGTCTGGACTTTGTTTCTTGAAAGAGTCAGGAGTGTAGAATGTGGGCATCTGGCTGCCAGCGGGGTCCTGTATCCCACTATTGGAAGGTGCCAGCCAGAGTTCTCCTCTGAATGTAATAATTACCAAGCCATTATTGAAATGGTCTTTAGAAGAAAACTTGTTTAAAGGGTTACATCCTGGGAATTTTTGCTCTTCCAATGTTATTAAAACCTAGTTGCTGTTTTCTCAGTTAGGCAAATGTTAGAGGAAATGAAATATAAACAGAGATTAATTTCTTCTCTCTGACATTTGATTTTCATTAGTTCCAAGTTATACTGTTCCTTTTATACTGTGTTCTTTTTATACTGTGTTCCTTTTAATTATCTGTTCCACAAGTTAACGTACATATTTTTTTCTTTTGAGATTCATAATGAACTTTAAAATGATGTTTTAAGGACAGAGCTCTGATGAGACCTGACTTTTTTGTTTGTTTGTTTTTATTTACCAAATGATGTATTCTTGAATAAACCTTTTTGGGTGGAAAACAGCCACCAAGTTGATTCCTCCATGCAGGGATAGACATAGTTGTGAAGGAGGCTGCAAAGCTGCCATTGGTAGTTCCCCATGTCTTCAGCCATTTTCTCCAATCCCCCATTCTTGCTTCCAGCCAGCTTGTTACCTTATAATATGTGCCCCATTGTTATGTGCCCCACCTTCTTTCGCTTTCTTTCAAGAACTTCACCCTTATCAAAATGTCCTCCTTCAGAGTCTTCTACTTTGCCTCCTGGTTTCCTCCTACCATTCTCTTACTTTCATTCTGAACTGGAACTGATTCCTCCTTAATGTTTCTCCTGGTCTGACACCTACATGACTCTTGTTTCAGTCTTCCTATAACCTACATTGTGCCAGAGGCAACAATAAATATTGAATAAATGAATAGATAGGTGAGTGAATGAATTAATTAATTTGAGGAATTCTGATGATCAAACAGGATGTCAGGTCCTCATTTTTATTTTTATCTTTATTTGTTTTTTGAGATGGAGTCTTGCTCTGTCTCCTGGGCTGGAGCGCAGTGGCACGATCTCAGCTCACTGTAACCTCTGCCTCCCAGGTTCAAGTGATTCTCATGCCTCAGCCTCCTGAGTAGCTGGGACTACAGGTGCATGCCACCACATCCACCTAATTTTTTTATTTTTTAGTAGAGACAGGGTTTCGCCATGTTGACCAGGCTGGTCTTGAACTCCCGACCTCAAGATATCCTCCTGCCTTGGTCTCCCAAGGTGCTGGGATTACAGGCACGAGCCACTGCACCTGACATGTCAGGTCCTTTATTTAATTTACTTAGATTAATTTATTATTTTTTTTAGAGACAATGTCTTGCTCTGTCACCCAGGCTGGAGTGCAGTGGCATAATCATAGCTCACCTCAACCTTGAACTCCTAGGCTCAAGTGATCCTCTCTCCTAAGCCTCCTAAGTAGTTGGGACAACAGGCGAGAGGCACTGCATCTAGCCCCTTTATTGTGTTTATTACTTCTAAATCATTTTAGTATGAAAAATTTCAAATATACAGATGAGTAGAGGGAGTGGTACAAACAGTCCCTGTGTATGTATCACACAGCTTCAATAGCTACCAACATGGAGCCACTCTTCTTTTATTTATAACCTGTCTGCTTTTTGTCTGGTCCTTTAGCTGAATTCAGTTCAGTCAAGCAAGTGCATTATGGGTGCTATGATCTGAATATTTGCGTCCCCGAAACTCATGCGCTGAAACCTAGTTATCAGTGTGATGGTATTAGGAGGTGAGGCTTTTGGGAAGTGATTATGTCACAAGTGGGACTAGTGCACTTATAAAAGAGGCCACAGAGAGTTAGCTTGCTCCTTGCACCTTGTGAAGACACAGTGGGAGTGTGCCATCTGAGAACCAGAAAGTGAGCCCTCACCAGACACCAAATCTTCCAGTGCCTTGATCTTGGACTTCCTTTTTTCTTTTCTTTTCCTTTCCTTTTCTTTTTCTTTTCTTTCTTTCTTTCTTTCTCTTTCTTTCTTTTTCTTTCTTTCTTTCTTTTTTTTTTTTGGAGTCTTGCTCTGTCACCCAGGCTGGAGTGCAGTGTCACGATCTCACAATCTTGGCTCACTGCCACCTCTGCCTCCTGGGTTCAAGTGATTCTCCTGCCTCAGCCTTCCGAGTAGCTGGGATTACAGGTGTGCACCACCATGCCCAACTAATTTTTGTATTTTTAGTAGAGACAGGGTATTGGCATGTTGGCCAGGCTGGTCTCAAACTCCTGACCTCAGGTCATCCACCCATCTCGGCCTCCTAAAGTGCTGGGATTATAGGCGTGAGCCACCGTGGCCGACCGATCTTGGACTTTCTAGCCCTCAGAACTGTGAGAAATTAATTTCTGTTGTGTATAAGCCACCCACTTTACAGTATTTGGTTATAGCAGCCCAAATGGACTAAGACAATGGGAACATTTTAAAAACCGCTACAGGTATCTGCACTTAATTTAGACCTCCTGCTTGCCCTCTCTATTATAAAAGAGGCAGATTTGTTTGTAACTTTTCCTGCTTCCTTGTTTGGCTCTTGTTTTTTACTTCTACCAGGGGTTCTTAATCTGGATGCACAAATCCCCAAGGAGTCAATGGGTAAAAATCAAGGGGTCTATAAACTTGTATAAAAAAAATACAGTTTCATTTTCACTAACGTCCAACTAAAATTATATTATGAACATAAGCAGCGAACCACAGTAGTACGTGTAGTACATGCAACTTTGAAAGGAGTAGAAATCTTTTAATATAAAATTTCAGAAGTTGTAGAGGCTTCAAAGTACCTTTTATGCTAATCACTACTTTGGAATCATAATAGTTACTAGACCTGCCACCAGATCTTGTTATTGGATGTGTGAATAAGGAAACACATACATTACTGTATCACTTATTAATATTTTTATGATTGTACAGAGATATATTTGGTTTCATTTGTAGCTCATTATGTTTTATTTTATATACTTAAATATTATTCTTTTAAAAGAAATTTATAGTTTTTCCTAAACTGTCAAAGGGTCCTATGGCTCAAAAAATATCTAGACACTTTAGTTGATAACACATTTGTATTCCTTATTCTAATTTTGACTTGATGTCTCCCTATCACCCACAACCAGTATAATTTATTACTTGTCTTCTGTGTAATACACAGGAAAGAAGTACCTCTCTTCCAAGTCCTGTATGCAGGGCTAGCTCCCCAGGACCTGCTCCTTTTACTCCCTGCCAGAGCAGGAGCCAGAGCAACCTTTGCTAGCAACCCCAGAAAATAGATTTAGCCAATTATCATTTACTAGCAACAGGAGGGCCTGATGGATGACTTTAATATATTTTAGTTTTCTACTGCTCAAGTAATTCTCATAATTCAGTTGGTTTTATATTATAATCTATTTTAGCCACCGACTGTTGGGTAAATATTGAATCCCTGACTCCTGTGCGATTTTGGCAAGCCTAGCCTTGCCCTTGGCATTATGAAAGAAGCAGATTGAATTATGTTCCCCTTCACATTTTCTTTTATCAATCTCCCTCTCTCCTCCTCTTTTTTGTTAATACTTTCTCCCCTTTCTTACTCAGAGACTGTTTCATTCTTTCCAGGCCCAGATCTGTGCTATGCAGCAAGAGATAAATCTACTTGGTCTCACAACCTGATGGCCTCTGCACTGAATTTACAAGCATGAGGTATAGAAACATCGCACAGATTGTAAGGGGTGGCCATCCCAGTTGTGTGATAAGTCTCTTGTGCCACAGGTTTTTCTTTCTGACTCTTTGCCTCAACTTCACTCAGCTGTCCCCATGTTATCTACCTGCTATCACTCTTAGCCTTAGGACATAGACCTGACCTGGACAAATAGCACCTGGGTTTGGTTGCTCCATAGATGGGGCTTCCATAGCAGGTACCAACACTCCAGGAGCCTCTCTGTTTCATATGGTATCCAATTTCCAATATCCAGTGGTCATGTAACAGACAATTGCTGTGTCTTCCATTTCTAAAGTCTCTGTGCCTATAATAAAGTGTCATCTAAGTTCTTTTATTATGTCTGAGGAATGCTGTTATTTCTATTGATTATTTGTGGAGGAGGAAAGATTGACATGCCCCGATTCTTCCTTTCTCAGGCTAACAGCTCTTGTCAGTTTCCCAGGTTACTTCTCTCCTTAAAAGGGAGTGTTCTTAAAAGAGTCTAATAATGATGGTTTATAATGCCAAAAATACCTTAAACGTTCCATTCTTTTCAGGCCCTTAAATGTAATGTCAGTCATGAGAATCCTATAAAAATCTGAGGCAGATAGCTCAGAAACAATTCAAGCCCACCCTAACCCACTTCATGTGTTAGCTTCCCTGTCTCCTTAATTTTTGCTTTCATATCTTGGTTCTATATTTCTGGTAATCCTTCAGCCTTGGTGATTTATGTTTTGTGCTCTGTATCAGCTAACATCTTGGCATCCTCAGGACTCCACATTTGGAATCTGCTCCTTGGCTCCATGTATTATAACCCTGGGCAACAAACACGTTGCCTTCACCCACAGTCCTTGGAACATCCTCTTCCCTCCCCTAACAAGAATGCTGAGCTCATTCACTTTCCAGAGCCTCAAGAGGTCTCCTGCGTAGAGTCATGGATCATGCATCTCATCCTAAAGCTCAACTAAGCAGCATCTGATGAGAATGTGACGAAGGCTGAACCAGCACACTGAACCACCATCATCCTTGTGCAAAAGCAAAACTGGAGTTGCTGGCACTGTTCTTTCAGGTCCCCTATCAAAATGCCCTTGAGCTGCGTCTGGTTCTGTTATGGCTTCTCACTTCAAATAGAACCATTAACACAGACACAGCAACTGCTTTTTTTTTTTTTACTGTGGTAAAATACGTATGAAATAGACTGCTATTTTAACCTTTTAAAGTGTAAAACTCAATGGCATTAATTACATTCAAAATGTTGTACAACCATTGCCACTATTTCTAAATTTTTTCACCCCCGCAAACGGAAACTATGAATCCAGTAAGCAATAACTCCTCATTCTTCCCTCCCTCCTACTCTCAGTTTCTGATAACCTTTAATCTAATTTCTGTCTCTATGAATTTACCTATTTAAAATCTTTCATGTAAGTGGAGTGACATAGTATTTGTTCTTTTGTGCCTGGCATATTTGACTCAGAATGTTGTAGTATGTGTTGGAGCCTTACTCCTTTTTATGGCCGAATGATATTTCACTGTATGGATATACCAAATTTTGTTTATTCATTCGTCTATTGATGGACACTTGGGTTGTTTCCACCTTTTGGCTGTTGTGAATAATGTTGCTTATGAACATGAATGTACAAGTATCTGTTTGAGTCTCTGCTTTCAATTCATTTGGGTGTATACTCCAAAGTGGAATTGCTGGATCATATAATAATTCTACATTTAAATTTTTGAGTAAGTGCCAAGCTGTTTTCCACAGTGGCCGCACCATTTTATATTCCCAACAGCAATGCACGAGTGTTCCAATTTCTCCAAATCTTCAGCAATGCTTGTTACTGTCTGATTTTTTTTTACTATAGTCATCCTAGTAGGATAGAAGTGATATCTCATTTTGTGTGTGTGTATGTGTGTGTGAGTGTGTGTGTTTGAGACCAGGTCTCACTCTGTCACCCAGGCTAGAGTGCAGTGGCACAATCTCGGCTCACTTCAACCTCTGCCTCCTGGGTTCAAGTGATCCTCCCACCTCAACCTCTCGAGTAGCTGGAATTACAGGCACGTGCCACCACACATCTGGCTAATTTTTCTATTTTTAGTAGAGATGGGGTTTCGCCATGTTGGCCAGGCTGATCTTGAACTCCTGACCTCAAGTGATCCACCTGCCTTGGCCTCTCAAAGTGCTAGGATTACAGGTGTGAGCCACCACACCTGGACCTCATTGTGGTTTCGATTTGCATTTTCTTAATGACTAATGATGTTGAGCATCTTTTCATGTGATTTTTGCCATTTGCATATCTTATTCGGTAAAATGTTTATTCAAGTCCTTTGCCCATTTTAAAATTGGGTTGTCTTTTTGTTGTTGAGTTGTAAAAGTTCTTTATATATTTTGGATATTAAGCCTTTGTCAGATTTGTGATTTGCATGTATTTTCTCCCATACTTTGGGTTTTCTTTTCACTCTATTGATAATGTCCTTTGATACACAAAAGTTTATAATTTTAATGAAGTGCAATTACTATATTTTTTCTTTTGTTGCCTGTGCTTTTGGTGTCAGATTTAAGAAACTATGCCCAAATTCAAAGTTGTCAAGATTTGCTCCTCTGTTTCTTCTACAAGTTTTATAGTTTTAACTCTTAAATTTAGATATTTGATCCACTTTGAGTTAATTTTTGTATATAGGGTAAATTAAAGTCTACTGCTTTTGACATTCTCCATTCATAAGTTTTCTTGGCTCTTTCTTCAAATTTGGCTTTATAAAATTCCTATCAATTTTTAAAAATTTACACTCTTGGATTTCCTATGCAGCTAGGACCTTGGACCCATCATGTCTCTGAAACCATGGGTAAAGGTCACTTAACTTACGTGCTCTCTGCTGGTGTGTCAGAGGAAGATATCAGACATAAACATAGAGTACGAGATGACTGACCACCAACTCTAGGAGGATGTTTTCTTACATTATTATGCAGGAGAACCATGTGCTTAGCACATACCTAACTGAATCCAACATAGCAGGCTATTGTAATACAGAATTCAAGAGGCTTGAAGAATCATAGGTTGCTTACAAAAGAGCTATAAGAGCTGAGATCGGGCTGTCTCCACTTAGTCAGATGATCCTAGCTCTGCTACATGTTCACCCTTGATAGAAAAAAAAAACACACAGAACAACAACAACAACAACAACAACAAAAACCCAAAAAAACCTAACCCTTTAAAGAGTGAAGACTATACTAAGAAGATAAGGCAGCATGACAGGCAACTGTGGGGGGCCACTTGGGACAGGAAGCTCTTTTGGTGCTGCTAGGTGTCCACCACACCATGCCGCTGGTGGTTGATTATAGAATGTTGAAACTGTCTAGAAGGAGTAATGACTTTGCATCTAATGTGAGAGAAAATTACTTGAATGAAAGCCTTGCCATATTCCCATTCATGCTGTAGATGACAGCCTCTCTCAGTTCCTTTACTGGCTGATGCTTTGGCATGTGCTAAGGAAGGTTGAGAATTGCTTCTTCCTTCTTGTGTTGTATAATACAATGAAATTTCACTGAGCATCATCTATTTCAGGCCAGGCCCTGTGCTAGACACTGGGGAATGAAACGTGAAAAAGACTTGGTTCTGGCTGGGAGTGGTGGTTCATGCCTGTAATCCCAGAACTTTGGGAGGCCGAGGCAGGCAGATATCTTGAGGCCAGGAGCTTGAGACCAGCCTGGCCAACATGGTGAAACCTTGTCTCTACTAAAAATACAAAAATTAGCCGGGCGTGGTGGTGCACACCTGTAATCCCAGTTACTCAAGAGGCTGCTCCATGAGAATCGCTTGAACCCAGGAGGTGGAAGTTGCAGTGAACTGAGATTGTGCCATTGCAATCCAGCCTGGGGGACAGAGCAGGACTCCATCTCCGAAAAAAAAAAAAAAAAGACTTGGATTCTCATCATAGTCTTGTTTTGTTGCTGTCTTTATGGAAAGTTGAGTGTTTCAGTTTCAGTTGGTACTAGCTTATGGGGACATTTGAAGGAACTTACATGGTAAATAAACTCAGGATTATATACCCAGGTTTCCATAGTGGAAATGGGCTTTAAGGATGCATGTGAGAAAGACTTAGATATTTTTTACAAGTCTCAATCAATTTATTTTTTATTTATTTTATTATAAATTGACAATTTATACCTGTATATGTTTATGAGGTACAAAGTGATATTATGATTTATGAATACCATGTGTAATAATTAATTCAAAGTAATTAACATATCCATCACCTCAAATACTTATCATTTTTTGTGGTGAGAACATTTGTAATTTACTGTCTTAGCAATTTTGAAATGTACAATACACTATTATTAAATATATTTACCATGCTGTGCAGTAGATGTAAAAAAAAAAACCCCTTATCTCTCCTAAGGAATGAGTTGGTGCTTATGTGTGTGTGAGTGTGTGTCTTTTTAAGACAAGGTCTAGCTCTGTTGCCCAGGCTGGAGTGCAGTGATGTGATCATGGTTCATTGTATCCTTGACCTCCTGGGCTTAAGTGATCCTCCTGCCTCAGCCTCCTGAGTAGCTGGGACCACAAGTGCATGCCACTACACCAAGCTAATTTTTTCATTTTTAGTAGAGATGGGGTTTTGCTATGTTACTCAGGCTGGTCTCTAACACCTGGCCTCAAGCGATCCTCCCACTTTGGCCTCCCAAAGTGCTGGGGTTATAGGCATGAGCCACCACACCTGGCCTATTTATATTTTTTAACCATCATCTCCCCATGCACCCCACCCCCAGCCTCTGGTAACTACCATTCTATTCTCTGCTTCTATGAGTTCAAGTTTTTTAGATCCCACATATAATTGAGAACATGTAGTATTTGCTTTTCTATTCTGGCTTATATTACTCAGCATAATGCTCTCTAATTCCATCCATGTTGTTGCTGCAAGTGACAAAATTTTCTTCCTTTTTTAAGGAATGGGGTCTTGCTATGTTGCCCAGGCTGGACTTGAACTCCTGGGCTCAAGCAATCCTCTCATCTTAGCCTCCCATGTAGTTAGGACTACAGATGCATACCAACATGCCTAGCTAGAATTTCCTTTCTTTCTTTCTTTCCTTCTTTCTTTCCTTTCCTTTCTTTTCTTTCTTTCTTTCTTTCTTTCTTTCTTTCTTTCTTTCTTTTTCTCTCTCTTTCTTTCTCTTTCTCTTTCTTTCTTTCTTTCTTTCTTTCTTTCTTTCTTTCTTTCTTTCTTTCTTTCTTTCTTTCTTTCCTTCTTTCTTTCTTTCTCTCTTTCTTTCTTTTAGATGGAGTTTCACTCTTGTTGCCCAGGCTGGAGTGCAATGGCGTGATCTCCTCTCACTGCAACCTCCACCTCCTGGGTTCAAGCAATTCTCCTGCCTCAGCCTCCACAGTAACTGGGATTACAGGTGCCCGCCACCATGCCAGGCTAATTTTTGTATTTTTAGTAGAGATGGAGTTCCACCATGTTGGCCAGGCTGATCTCGAACTCCTGACCTTAGGTGATCCACCCGCCTCGGCCTCCCAAAGTGCTGAGATTTCCGGTGTGAGCCACCATGCCCAGCCAAATTTCCTTCTTTTGAAAGGCTGAATGGCAGAGTGGGGGGCGGAGGGGAGTGTCCAAGATAGCCAACTAGAAGCAGCTAGTGTGCATGGCTGTCAGGTAGAGGAAAAGAAGGGGCAAATAAATACAACACCTTCAACTGAAACATCCAGGCATTCACACTGGGATTAATCAAGGAAACAACCTGACCCACAGAGAACGAATAAAAGCAAGACAACAGCCTACCTAGGAACAACATGGAGCCAGGGGATCCCCCCGCCACACAGGGAAGCGGTGACTGAATGAGTGACCCGGGGAAACCAGGCTTCTCCCAGGGGGCTGAGCCGCAACAGCCCACACACCCCACTTCCATGGCACCTCACAAGATAAGACCCACTGGCTTGGAATTCCAGCCAACTACCAGTAGCTGCATCGCACCTCCTTAAGAAGGAGTTCCCAGGGGAAGGGGTGGGCCACCATCTTTGCTGTATGGGTGTCTTGGCCATTCCAGCCTTCAGACTTTGGAGTCTGAGCTGAAGGCTGAAGGGATCCCCCAGCACAGCACAGCTCCTCTACCAAAACATGGCCAGACTGCTGCTTTAAGCAGGTGCCTGATCCCGTTCCTCCTCACTGGATGGGACCTCCCAATGGGGCCTCTGCCCACCCCTGCCTGAGCTCTCCGGCTGACAAAGATCTTAATTCTCCCTAGGATTGAGCTCCCGGAGGGAGGGGCGGGCTGCTTCTTTGCTGTTTGGGTGACTTAGCCATTCCAGCCTTTGGGCTTCAGAGGGTCTGAAGCGATCAGGGGCTGAAGTGCACTCCCAGCACAGCACAGCTACTCTACCAAAACGTGGCCAGGCTGCTTTTTAAAAGCAGGTTCTGATCCCTTCCTCCTCACGGGGTGGGACCTCCAAACTAGGGCCTCCAGCCACTTCCTACAGGTGCCTTTGGGCCAGCAACAGGTTTGCACCTCCCTGGGACAAAGTTCCCAGAGGGAGGGACATGCTGCCATCTTTGTCTTTTTGCAGCCTTCACTAGTGACACCTCCAGGTTCTGGAAAATCTGAGGTGACTAAAGACTGAAGCAGGCCCCAAGCATACTGCAGCAGCCCTACAGAAAAGTGGCCAGACTCTTACGATACACCCGTTCTCCTATCTCCTCACCGGGCAGGTTCTCCAGGCCTGGGCCTCCAGACACCCTGCCACCAGAGCTCTTGAGCCAGTACAAACTCAGCAGCTCCCTGTGCAGATCCTCCAGGGGCATTTGAAAGCTTCTCTGCCACTGCCCTTGCCACCCTCAGACTAACAAAGGAACAAAGACCCTAAGTGCCTTATCCATACCTCCAACAAGCTGCAGTTGACCCAAGGAGAGGTGGCCAGTCTGTGTCCCACGGGTCCCACACACCCACCGTGGCTCATCACCAGGCAGGGAACCCCTAGCTTGGGTCCACAGCACAAACCCTCCATCTTGGGCTGACTGCACTGAGCAATTGCTGACCTGCATCTCTCTGGCATAGAGGCCCCAGGAGTCGAGCAAACGACCCTGGGCCACAACCATTACTAAGATCTCTTCCTTAGCAGCTCTGAGATTGCCCCAGAGCTGCAGTGGGCAGCCCAAGAGTGCCAAGTCATGAACTATGGCCAGCACTTAAGGGGGAGAGGACCCCACACTTTCAGGGCACTGAGAGGGAACACAGCTGCAACTGAGAGGAAACATAGGGGAGCCACACAACCGGACAAGAGTCTACCAACTGACCAATAAGCCTAAGTGTCACCTGCTGGATCACACCCCAAAGCTTCAACACGAAAAATACTTCACTAACATATCCCCCTCTGAAACCAGAGACAAGACATCAGCTTCAAATAAAGACTCTACACAAAGCCTTGGCCCAGTGAAAACATCCAGAAAAGAAGTCTATTGTCTGTACTGAATCTATGTTGCAGTTTCATGTGGTTTCTTACTGTTTCCTTTTCTTTGAAATGCCAAAGAGTTGCACAAATTGAGAATGTCAGGGTTGGAAGTCCCCATAAATGCTGTCAACTCCAACAATGCATCTGGCTCTTAAGTCTTCTGTACAGTTTCTCTAAGTGGTTGCCCACATTGTGGTTAAACACAGCCAATGCAATGAAAGCAACCACCTGATAGGCAGCCCATGCCACCTCTCAGCTGCTGGAAAGCTGTCTTCCCCCTTTAGCAGCCATCAAATCACCACCCCTCCACAGCTGACACCAGGCCCTGCCCATCTACCTTACAGGACATCTCTTGTAGGGTGTATTGATCTTCCTCGGCATCTGCATGTTGCTACCAACATGCAGAGATGAGAAAGAACCAATGCAAGAACTCTAGTAACTCAAATGGCCAGAAGGCCATATGTCCTCCAAACGACCGCACCTCTTGTTCTCTAACAAGAGTTCTTAACCAGGCCGAACTGGCTAGAATGACAGAAATAAAATTCAGAATATGGATAGGAACAAAGACTATTTAGATTCAGGAGGATGGCAAAACCCAGTCTAAGGGAAATAAGAACCATAATAGAGTGATACCGGAGCTGAAGGGTGAAATAGCTGGTTTGAAAAAGAACCTAGGCTGGGCATGGTGGCTCGCACCTATATTCCCAGCACTTTAAGAAGCCAAAGCAGGTGGATCACATGAGGTCCGGAGTTCGAGACCAGCCTGGCCAACATGGCGAAACCCCGTCTCTACTGAAAATACAAAAATTAGCTGGGCATGATGGCAGACGCCTGTAATCCCAGCTACTCGGGAGGCTGAGACAGGAGAATTGCTTGAACCCGGGAGGTGGAGATTGCAGCGAGCCAAGATAATGCCACTGCACCCCAGCCTGGGCAACAGAGTAAGACTCCGTCAAAAAAAAAAGAAGGAGAAGAACATAACGGGTCTGACAGAGCTGAATAACACAGTACAAGAATTGCACAATACAATCACAAGTATTAACAGCAGAATAAACTAAGCTGAGGAAAGAACCTCAGAACGTGAAATAAGAGAGTCAGACAAAAATAAACAAAAAAGAATAAAAAGGAATAAATAAAACTTCTGAGAAGTATGGGATTATGTAAAGAGGCCAAATCTATGCGTCACTGGCATCCCCAAAAGGGAGGGGGAGAAAATCTATTTTGGGATATCATCCATGAAAACTTCCCCAACCTTGCTAGAGAGGCCAACAGTCAAATTCAGGAAAACAGAGAACTCCTACAAGATTCTCCACAAGAAGATCATCCCCATGACACATAATTGTCAGATTTTCCAAGGTCAAAATGAAAGAAAGAATGTTAAAGGCAGCTAGAGAGAAATGGCAGGTCACCTATAAGAGGATCCCCATCAGGCTAACAGCAGACCTCTCAGCTGAAACCCTATAGGCCAGAAGAGATTGGGGGCCTATATTCAACATTTTTAAAGAAAAAAATCTTCAACCAATAATTTCATATCCAGCCAAACTAAGCTTCCTAAGTGAAAGGGAAATAAGATCCTTTTCAGATAAGCAAATATCAAGGGACTTCATTACCACAAGACCTGCCTTACATGAGGTCTTGAAGGGGGCACTAAATATAGAAAGAAAAGACCACTGGTAGCTAATACAAAACCACACTTAAACACACAGACCAGTGTCATTGTAAAGCAACCACACAAGCAAGCCAACATAATAACCAGCTAACAGCCCAATGACAAGATCAAATCCATAAATATCAATACTAACCTTGAATGTAAATGGGCTAAATGTCCCACTTAAAAGGTGCAAAATGGCAAGCCGGATAGAAAAGCAAGACCCAATGGTATGCAGTCTTCAAGAGATCCATCTCACAAGTAATGACATTCATAGGCTCCAAATAACAAGAGGCTGAAAAATCTACCAAACAAATGGAAAAAAGAAAAAAGAAGGGGTTGCAATTCTAATTTCAGACAAAACAGATTTCAAACCAACAAAGGTCAAAAAGACAAGGAAGGGCATTACATAATGGTAAAGGTTTCAATTCAACAAGAAGATTTAACTATCTTAAATATTCATAAAGCAAGTTCTTAGAGAGCTACAAAGAGACATGGACTCCCACACAATAATAGTGAGAGACTACAACACTCCACTGACAGTATTAGATAGATCATCTAAGGAGAAAATTAACAAAGATATTCAGGACCTAAACTCAGCATTGGATCAAATGGACCTGATGAACCTTTACAGAAGTCTCCACCCCAAAATAACACAATATACATTCTTCTCATCGCCACATGGCACATACTCTAAAATCAACTACATAATTGGACATAAAACAATCCTCAACAAATGTAAAAGAACCAAAATCATACTAGACACACTCTCGGACCACAGCACAATAAAAATAGAAGTCAACACAATGAAAATTGCTCAAAACTATACAATAACATGGAAATTAAGCAAAATGCTCCTGAATGACTTTTGGGTAAATAATGAAATTAAGGCAGACATCAAGAAGTTCTTTGAAAATAATGAGAACAAAGACACAACATACCAGAATCTCTGGGACACAGGTAAGGCAGTGTTAAGAGGGAAAATCATAGCACTAAATGCCCACATTGAAAAGTTAGAAAGTTCTCAAATTAACAACGTAACTTCACAACTGAAAGAATTAGAGAAGCAAAAACAAATCAACAGGAAAGCTAGCAGAAGATGAGAAATAACAAAAACCAGAGCTGAACTGAAGGAATCAAGACACACACACACACAAAATTCAAAAGATCAACAAATCCAGGAATGGTTTTTTTGAAAAAGTTAATAAAAAAGATAGGCCACTAGATAGAATAATTAATAAGAAAAGAGAGAAAAACCAAATAAACACAATTTGAATGACAAAGGAAATGTTACTACTGACCCCACAGAAATAAAAACAACCATCAGAAACTACTATGAACACCTTTACACACACAAACTAGGAAACCTGGAAGAGATGGATTAATTCCTGGACACATACACCCTCCTAAGCCTGAGCCAGGAAGAAATTGATTCCCTGAACAGACCAATAATGAGCTCTGAAATTGAATCAGTAATAAATAGCTTGCCAACAACAAAAAAAGCCCAGGACTGGATGGATTTACAGTTTAATTCTACCACATGTACAAAGAAGAGCTGGCACTATTCCTATCGAAACTATTCCAAAAAATTGAGGAGGCAGACTTCTCCCCAACTTATTCTATGAGGGCAGAATCATCTTGATACCAAAACCTGGCAGAGTCACAACAAAAAAGAAAACTCCAGGCCAATATCCTTGATGAACATCAATGCAAAAATCTTAAACAAAATACTTGCAAACTGAATCCAGCAGCACATCAAAAAGCTAATCCACCATGATCAAGTAGGCTTCATCCCCAGGATGCAAGTTTGATTCAACATATGCAAATCAATAAATGTGATTTATTACATAAACAGAACTAAAGACAAAAACCATGATTATCTCAACAGATGCAGAAAAGGCTTTTGATAAAATTCAACATCCTTTCATGTTAAAAACTTTCAATAAACTAGTTATTGAAGGAACATACCTCAAAATAATAAGAGCCATCTATGACAAATCCACAGCCAACTTTATACTGAATGGGCATAAGCTGGAAGTATTGCTCTTGAAAACCAGCACAAGATAAGGATGCTGTCTTTCACCACTTCTATTCAACATAGTATTGGAAGTCCTAGCCAGAGCAATCAGGTAAGAGAATGAAATAAAGGGCATCCTAATAGGAAGAGAGGAAGTCAGACTATCTCTGTTTGCAGATGACATGATTCTATATCTAGAAAACCCCATAGTCTCAGCCCAAAAGCTCCTTCAGCTGATAAACAACTTCAGCAAAGTCTCAGGATACATAATCAATGTACAAAAATTACTAGCATTCCTATACACCACCTACAACCAAACTGAGAACTGACCCAGAAAGGCAATCCCATTCACAATTGCCACAAAAAAATAAAATACCTAGGAATACAGTTAACCAAGGAGATGAAAGATCTCTACAATGAGAATTACAAAACACTGCTCAAAGAAATCAGAGAAGAACAGGTGGAAAAACATCCTGTGCTCATTGATAGGAAGAATCAGTATTATTAAAATGGCTATACTGTGCAAAGCAATTTACAGATTTAATGCTATTCCTATCAAACTACCAACAACATTCTTCACAGAACTAGAAAAAATTATTTTAAAATTTCTATGGAACCAAAAAAGAGTCTGAATAGCCAAGGCAATCCTAAGCAAAAAGGACAAAGCTGGAGGAATCACATTACCCAACTTGAAACTATACTACAAGGTTACCGTGACCAAAATAGCATGGTACCGGTGCAAAAACAGGCACATAGATGAATGGAACAGAATAGAGAGCCCAGAAATAAGGCTTCACATTTACGACCATCTGATCTTTGACAAAGCTGACAAAGACAAGCAATGGGGAAAAGACTCCCTATTCAATAAATGATGCTGGGATAACTGGCTAGCCATATGCAGAAGATTGAAGCTGGACCCCTTCCTTACACCATATACAAAAATTAACTCAAGATGAATTAAAGACTTAAATGTAAACCCCAAAACTATAAAAACCCTGGAAGACAACTTAGGCAATACCATCCTGGACATAGGAGTGAGCAAAGATTTCATGACAAAGACACCAAAAGCAATAGCAACAAAAGCAAAAAATTGACAAATGAGATCTAATTAAACTTAAGAGCTTCTGCACAGAAAAAGAAACTATCAACAGAGTAAACAGACAACCTACAGAATGAGAGAAAACATTTGCAAACTATGCATCTGTCAAAGGTCTAATATCCAACATGTATATGAAACGTAAGCAAATTTACAAGAGAAAAACAAACAATCCCATTAAAAAGTGGGCAAAGCACATGAACTGACACTTCTCAAAGAAGACACTTCTCAATGCGACCAACAAGCATATGAAGAAAAGCTCAATATCACTGATCATTAGAGAAATGCAAATCAAAACCACAATGAGATACCATCTCATGCCAGTTAGAATGGCTATTATTAAAAAGTCAAAAAATAACAGCTGCTGGTGAGGTTGCAGAGAAAAGGGAACACTTACACGCTTTTGGTGGGAGTGTAAATTAGCTCAACCATTGTGGAAAGCAGTATGGTGAGTCCTCAAAGAGCTAAAAGCAGAACTACCATTTGACCCAGCAATCCTGTTACTGGGTACATACCCAGAGGAATATAAAACATTCTACCATAAATACACATGCACGTGAATGTTCATTGCAGCATTGCTCACAATAGCAAAGACATGGAATCAACCTTAATGCCCATCAATGACAGATTGGATAAAGAAAATGTGATACATATACACCATGGAATACTATGCTGCCATGAAAAAGAATGAGATAGCATTTTTTTTTTTTGCGGGAACATGAATGGAACTGGAGGCTATCATCCTTAGCAAACTAATGCAAGAACAGAAAACTAAATACCATATGTTCTCACTTATAAGTGGGAGCTAAATGATAAGAACTTATGAACACAAAGAAGAAAACAAAAAACACTGGGGTCTACTTGAGTGGAAAGGGTGGGAGGAGGGAGAGGAGCAGAAAACATAACTATTAGGTACCGAGATTAATACCTGGGTCATACAATATGTACAAGTAACCCTCGTGACACGTGTTTAACTATGTAACACACCTTCACATGTATCCCCAAACCTAAAATAAAAATTCACACACACACACACACACACACACACACACACACACACACACACGGCTGAATAGTATTCCATTATGTATATATACCACATTTTCTTTATCCATTCATCTGATGACGGACACTTGGATTGATTCCATAACCTAGCTAATATGAATAGTGCTGCAATGAACATGGGAGTGCAGACATCTTTTTGACAAACTGATATAAAATCTTTTGGGCAAATACCCAGAAATGAGATTGCTGGGTTAGAAATGTATAGATATGAATGACATAAATTGGCTAAGCTCCTAAAAGGGAATCTCTCTGCCAGCCACTATATGGTTGTATCTTGTTAGATTGTTGGGCTTTGATAATGTATTAATCTAACACTAACCATAATAAATAATGAAAAAAATAGTTAATACTTAATGAGCACTTATTGTTGTCAGGTGCTATACTCAGCATTTCACATGTATGAACTCATTAAATCTTTACCTCAACCATATGAAGTAGGTGCTGTTATCATCTCCATTTTACAGGTAAGGAAACAGGCACAGACTGATATGTGGATTTTGCTGTCTCTAAGTTTATATAAATAAAGCAGCATTCTTGGGGATGGATGTTTTCTCTCAAGAGGATGCCAGTCCAGTCAAGCTCTGCCTAAATTGGGGTTGCATTTATCATCTAAGAATCTCTGGTGGCCATGTTAATCCTGATGGTGTGGATGAAAGGCTGGAGACTATTTGAACTTTTTTTAGGAAACTATTCCCCTTCTGCTTTTACCAGGACTGCCGCTGCTAAAAGGGGCTATCAGAAGTCTTAGAAACATGTTGGTTAATTTCAAAATGTTACCAGAAAGGTGAAGCTAATGTTATCTTTTGGGAGAACAGCCTGAACTCCACAATTTGTTATAACGGACTTAGCATCAATTAAGAGATCCAGGACATGAGGATTTTAAGTCATGGATACTAACTCTGGAAACTCTGATTAACCAAGCAAATATACCTCTAGTTGTGCTTAGGAATTTCTTACCTCAGTCAGATATCTCTGGCTATGAACTTGTTAACTGTTAATGTTGAGTGTTTTTTAATGTAATCAACATTGTAACCTATATAACTATTAGCCTTATAACTATTGGCTACAGGCTATCATCCTAGAAAGCTCTTGGAGTGGGGATGAGGGGCTGAGTAACAAATTAAAACATTCCTGGGATAGACTGTTCCCTCTTTATCTTACTCCTCCTTATTCTCTCCCTCTTCTTTTCTTTCAAGCAAATATTCTGTCCAAAACTCTTACCAAAATACACAATCAGCTTTGTAACTGGATAGAAAGAAACTCTATTTAGATAGCTTCCAATCTCCTTTTTAGTTGCAACATGAACAGCGAGCTAATGACAGGTGGGAGACATTTTGCAAATTGCACCAATTGTACAAAAACACAAGGTAAACTTCTTCTTCTTCTTTTTTCTTAAGACGGAGTTTCGCTCTTGTTGCCCAGGCTGGAGTGCAATGGCATGATCTCGGCTCACCGCAACCTCTGCCTCCCGGGTTCAAGTGATTCTCCTGCCTCAGCCTCCCAAGTAGCTGGCATTACAGGCATGTGCCACCACGCCTGGCTAATTTTGTATTTTTAGTAGAGACAGGGTTTCTCCATGTTGGTCAGGCTGGTCTCGAACTCCCGACCTCAGGTGATCCACCCGCCTCGGCCTCCCAAAGTGCTGGGATTATAGGTGTGGGCCACCATGCCTGGCCAACGCAAGGTAAACTTTTAACGTGGAATAGAAAAAATAATTTTGTTAAATCCCTGGGATGGAAATAACATAGCGACCAAAAGAGTACATCTTTCTCTCACATGGCAAAGTTTTCTTCTTGATGCTACAGTATAAAAGTAAAAAGCACGGTTTCAGTCTTCCACCAGATGTTTAACCCCAATCCCCACTGTTGTTTTTCACAAAGCTTCTGGGATCACCTGTTCCACTTAATTCTCACTGCTGAGGGCAGGGTGGTCTGCTATTCCACTATACCTGCTTTGCTGCCAATAGTCTCCTGGCTCAGGTTCATCTCACTTCAAATTCTCTTGCATACCTTGCCAGATCAATCTTCCTAAAATCCTGTTTCTCAAACTGTGCTTTGGGAAACATTAGCCCTGATACATGCTCCTCATTAAAAGGAGGATTTTGTGCTAATGTGAGTTTAAGAACCAGGGCACATTCAAATCCCTCCTGAAGATTCACTATGTTTATTATCATGTTAAAGGGTCTGAGAAGTCCTGCAATAAAGAACCATCTCTAACTTTAACCCTACATTCCCCAAACTTAATTGCCCACATAACTTTTTTTCATGTAACATCAATTAATATTACATACCACACCTTTTTTTCAGAAATGATGTACTAAAGCATTGCTTTAGTCATGCTATTTTCCCAGTTATAATATGTCCAGTGGTTCCCCAGCCTTACTTCAAGGACCTTTGGAACTTGATCTGAACTTAATCCAGTCCAATTTCATCTCCCTTTGCTTCACTCCATGAAACATTTTTTTTTTCCAATTAGACTGCTTTCATCATTCTGTACTCATCACATGCTGAGGGCCAGGTGAGGAGCTGAGGCCAAGAATGGTTAGGGACAGAGATCTGAGACTTTAGGTAGGGGTCATTAGTTAGTAGGTATGCTTGGAAGGACCAGCAGCAGGAACATGGGAGTCGGACAACCCAAGTAGGATGAGGTGAAGGTAGAGTTCAGGGTGAGTAGGTGTGAGAATGATGTAGCTGGAAATGACTTATAATATGAGGTATAACCATGGACACACCGTGCAAGTCCTTATAGCCAGAGAAGTAAACATCAAGACAGGGAAGATTCCTAAAGGAAGTGCCAAAAAAAGAAAGAAAGAAGGAAAAAAGAAAGAAAGAAGGGAGGAAAGAGAGAAAGAAAGAAAAGAAAAGAAAAAAGAAAAGAAGTGGTAGGTGAGATCAGGTCAACTATTTCTCATGTGCAGAAGCAGCTATAGTGCCTGCCAGGATGAGATCAGAAACTGAAACATCCCTAAAGACGGGATGTGTGTGTGTGTGTGTGTGTGTGTGTTGCCTTTGTTCAAGGCAGTGATTGTTGATATTCTTTGAGAATCTGATGGAAGTTATGAGCCTTCTTGCTATGGTTCGAATTTGTCCTCCAAGATTTATGTGTTGAAACTTAATCCTCAATTAAGTTTCTTTAATCCTTAATCCTTAATTAAGAGGTGGGGCCTTTTGGAAAGTGACTAAGTCATGAGGACTACACCCCCTTGAATGGGTTAGTGTCTTTTAAAAGGGCTGGAGGGAACTAACTTAGGTCCCTGGATATACATCAATAATGTTAAAGCTGAGAATCAAATCAAGAATACAATCTCATTTATAATAGCCACAAAAATGTAAATACCTAGGAATACAGACAACTAAGGAGGTGAAGGATTTCTACTAAAAGAACTACAAAACATGTTGAAAGAAATCAGAGACTACACAAATAAATGGAAAAACATTCCATGCTCATGATTTGGAAAAATCAGTATTGTTAAAATGGCCATACTGCCCAAAGCAATTTGCAGAGTCGATGCTATTCCTATCAAACTACCAACATCATTTTTCACAGAATTAGTAAAAAAATTATTGTAAAATTCATATGGAACTAAAAAAGAGCCTGAAGAGCCAAACCAATCCTAAGCAAAAAGAACAAAGCTGGAGGCATTGCACTACTTAACTTCAAACTATACTAAAAGACTAGAGTAACCCAAACAGCATGGTACTGATACAAGAACGGACGTATAGACCAATGGAACAGAATAGAGAACTTAGAAATAAAGCTGCACACCTACACGCATCTGATCTTTGACAAAGTCAACAAAAATAAGCAATAGGAAAAGACTCTTTATTCAATAAATTGTGTGGGGATAACTGGCTAGCCATTTGCAGAAAAATGAAACTGGACCCAGAAATTTTACCGTATACAAAAATTAACTCAAGATGGATTAAAGATTTCAATGTAAGACCTTAAATTATATGAATCCTAGAAAACCTAGGAAATACCATTCTGGACATTGGCCTTGGGAAATAATTCATGACTAAGTCCTCAAAAGTAATTGCAACAAAAACAAAAATTGACAAGTGGGAACTAAATAAACTAAAGAAACTATAATTAAACTAAAGAAACAGGCCGGGCACGGTTGCTCACGCCTGTAATCCCAGCACTTTGGGAGGCTGAGGCGGGTGGATCACTCAAGGTCAGGAGTTCGAGACCAGCCTGCCTAACATGGTGAAACCCCATCTCTACTAAAAATACAAAAATTAGCTGGGTGTGATGGCGGACGCCTGTAACTCCAGCTATTCGGGAGGCTGAGGCAGGAAGATCTCTTGAACCCAGGAGGCGGAGATGGCAGTGAGCCAAGATCGTGACACTGCACTCCAGCCTGGGTAACAGAGCGAGATTACATCTCAAAAAAAAAAAAAAAAAAAAAAAGAAAAGAAAAAAAAGAAAGAAAGACATACAAGTGGCCAAAAAACATGAACAAATGAGCCACATCACTAATCATCAGAGAAATGCAAATCGAAACCACAATGAGATATCATCTCACACCAGTCAGAATGGCTATTATTAAAAAAGTCAGAAAGCAACAAATGTTGACAAGGCTGCAGAGAAAAGGGAACACTTACATACTGTTGGTGTGAATGTAAATTAGTTTGGCCACTGTGGAAAGCAGTTTGGTGATTTCTCAAATAACTTAGAACTACTATTTGACCCAGCAATCCCATTACTGGGTATATATCCAAAAGAAAATTAATCATTCTGTTATACCAAAAAGACACATGCACTTGTATGTTCATCACAGCACAATACACAATAGCAAAAACATAGAATCAACCTAGATGTCCATCAATGGTGGATTGTATGAAGAAAATGTGGTACATATACACCATGATATACTATACAGCCATAAAAATGAACAAAATCATGCCCTTTGCAGCAACATGAATGCAGCTAGAGGCCATGATCCTAAGTGAATTAAAGCAGGACCAGAAAACCAAATACCACTTGTTCTCAGTTATAAGTGGGAGTTAAACATTTGGTACACATAGTCATAAAGATGGGAACAATAGACATTGGGGACTAGTAAGAGCAAGGAGGGACAGAGGTGGGCAAGGGTTGAAAAACTACCTATTGGGTACCATGCTCACTACCTGAGTGATGGGATCAGTTGTACCCCAAACCTCAGCATCATGCAACATGCCAGTGTAACAAACCTGCAAATGTACCCCTGAATGTAAAATAGAAGTTGAAAGTATAAAAAAATAAAAAATTTTATCTATCTATTTATCTATCTATCTATCTAAGGAAACTTTAAATTTCACTCATGGAAAAGCCCATGTTCTATCACAAAAGTATATGGTCAAATTCCTCAGACCCTGGGTTTTTTTTTTGGTAGGTATACTTTATATTTTCATTATGATACAAAGGTAGACAGAACAGTATAAAGAAACCCCATGTTCCCATCACTCAGATTCAACAACTATTAACTAATAATCAATCTTGTTACTTCTATATCCCCACTACTTTCCCAACTCTACCCCACCCTATCCCACAGTTGCCATCCATACACTGTTATTGGTTGATACGTCTCATATTTACTTTAATTTACAGGTTCCCCTCCTATCTCTTTATTTTTGGTAATTTATTTGTTGAAGAAACTGGATGGTTTATTTAGTAGAGTTTTTGACATCCTGGATTTTGCTGAAAGCTTTCCCATAGTGTTTAACATTTTTCTCTGTCCTCTTTATTTCCTATAAAGTAGTGGTTGGCTGTTGATGCTTATTCAGGTTCAGGTTCTTTTTTAATAGCCTCAATTATTGAACACTTGGATCAACTCATAACCAATAATTGAAAAAAGGCCCTCTAATGCATTTAATCAATTCTACTATTGTAATTACTACCCAACAACTCATTAATATACAGAAACATGGAAAAACTATCATCCACCCATTCTTCATGCAGCAGTTTGCCACTCTTGAACAACAGGGCTCATGTCACTGAATCTGAGTAGTTACTTTTCACACCATCTTGAGTGAGGGGATGACTTAAGCTCACATGCAATATATAAATATTTCCTTGCAATAAAGTAACAAGTTAAGGCAAAACATTTTGCATAATTTACTACTAAACACCATAAAAACTGCCTTAACTTAAGCTCTTTTTCGCCATATCAAGCAGGCTAACAGGGCATCCTAAGGCACGTTAGAGACTCTCTCATCACAGATGACGCAAAGGTTAAAATCTTCAAATAACAGCACCAGGTATGCTTCCCCAGTCTTCTGAAGCACTCTGTGGCTGCACTCTGGAAACTGAAATCTATTTTGAAGTCCTGGATGATTTCCCTTATCAACTTCTGGATCAGAAGCCTTATTGCTTTCCAGCCTGTAAGACAAGGCTTTCTAAACCCTTGGCAGCCTTAGTGGCCAGCTAATTTTGTGGGGCTTTCAAGTGGCGGATTTGTGAGCAATACAGTGTCACTCATTTTCTTTAACCCAATAATAAAGTCTTCTAGAAATATTTAATAGACAAAGATTTAATATAATCATGGTGTACAGTGTGATGATCTAATACACATATACATTGTGAAATGTTTCATAATCAAATTAATTAACACCTCTCTGACCACCCATGGTGTATATTAGAGCCCCAGAACTGGTTCATCTTATAATTGTAAGTTTGTACTCTTTGACCAACTTCTCCCCATTCTTCCAGCACAGGTTGCCCGTGGCAACTGCTGCTCTACTCTCTGCTTCTGCGATTTTAACTTTTTAAGATTTTACATATAAGTGAGATCATCCAGCATTTGTCTTTCTGTATCTGGCTTATTTCACTTAGCATAATGTCCTCCAGGTTCATTCATGTTGTCACAAGTGGCAGAATTTCCTTCTTTTATATGGCTGAATAATATTTCTCTCTCTCTCTCTCTCCCTCTCTCTCTCTCTCTCTCTCTGTGTGTGTTTGTGCGTATGTGACGTTTTCTTCATCCATTAATCCATTGATGAACCCTTAGGTTGATTTCATGTCTTGGCTAGTGTGAATAGTGCTGCAATAAATATGGGAACACAGATGTCTCTTTGACATAGTGATGTCATTTTATTTGGATATATACCTAGAAGTGGTATTGCTGGATTGTATGGTAATTCATTTTACATTTTTTGAGTGATGTGATGGTTAATATTGAGCGTCAACTTGACTAGATCGAAGGATGCAAAGTATTGTTCCTGGGTGTGTCTGAGAGGGTGTTGCCAAAGGAGATTAACATTTGAGTCAGTGGACTGGGAAAGGCAGACCCACCCTCCATCCAGGTGGGCACAATCTAATCAGCTACCAGCTGGCCAGAATAAAAGCAGACAGAAGAACGTGGAGAGACTAGATTGGCTTAGTCTCTCGGCCAAATCTTTTTCTCCGACTGGATGCTTCCTGCCTTCGAACATTAGACCGTAAGTACTCTTGGATCTTCGACCACAGACTGAAGGCTGTTGCACTGTCGGCTTCCCTACTTTTGAGGTTTGGGACTCAGACTGGCTTCCTTGCTCCTCAGCTTGCAGATAGCCTATTGTGAGACCTCACCTTGTGATCATGTGAGTCAATACTCCTTAATAAGCTCCCCTTTATATATACATATATCCTATTAGTTCTGTCCTAATACAAGAGACCACTATACTGTTTTCCACAGTGGTTTAATAAATTTACATTTGCACCAACAGTGCATAAGGGGTCCTTTTACTCTATACCCTCTCCAACACATGTTACTTCTGTCTTTGATAATAGCCATCTGAACAGGTATGAAATGATACCTCATGGTGATTTTTATTTGCATTTTCCTGATGATTAGTGATGTTGAGCATCTTTTTATATACCTGCTGGCCATTTGAATATCTTCTTTGGAAAAATGTTTATTCAGATCATTTGCCCATTTTATAATCAGGTTATTATTATTATTTTTTGCTATTGAGTTGTGTGATTTCCTTATATATTTTAGATATTAACTCCTTATCAGATATATGGTTTGTAATATTTTCCCATGCTGAAAGTTGTAGTTTCATTTTGTTGATTGTTTCTTTTGCTGTGTAGTCCCATTTGTTTATTTTTGCTTTTATTGCCTGTGTTTTGGTGTCGTGTCAAAAAAAAAAAATCACTGCCAAGACAAATGTTGAGCTTTTCCCCTATGCTTTCTTTGAGGAGTTTTGTGATTTCAGACCTTGTTTCAGATCTATTTAAGTCTTTAATCCATTTTGAGTTATTTTTGCACATGGTGTAAGAAAAGGGTCCAATTTCACTCTAGCATTAAAAAGAGTAAAATACTTAGGAATAAATTTAGCCAAGGAGGTGAAAGATCTGTACACTGAAAACTATAAGACATTAATGAAAGAAATTGTATTATAAAAATGAAAGGAAAATGTATTTAAAAAATGGAAAATTATATTACTAAAATAAATGGAAAATATGTCATGTTCATAAATTGGAATAATTAATATTGTCAAAATGTCTATACTACCCAAAATGATCTACAGGTTCAATGCCATCAATCCCTATCACATTTCCAATGGCATATTTCACAGAGATAGAAAACACAATCCTAAAGTTCATATGGAACCACAAAAGACCCTGAATGGCCGAAGCAATCTTGAGAAAAAAGAACAAAGTTAGAGGCATCACACGCCTTGATTTCAAACTATATTACAAAGTTATAGTAATCAAAACAGTATGGTACCAGCATAAAAACAGACACATAGACCAATGGAAAGAAATAGAGACCTCAGAAATAAAAAATAAAACCATGCATATATGGTTAGCTAGTTTTTGACAAGGGCACCAAGAATACACAATGAGGATAGGAAAGTCTCTTCAATAGATGGTATTGGGAAAACTGGATATCCACATGCTAAAGAATAAAATTGGACATTTATCTTATACCATATTCAAAAATTGACTCAAAATGGATTAAAGACTTAAATGTAAGTTCTCAAACCAAAGGCTTAAAGTGCTTCTGTATCTCTCTCTGCTGCTGCTTAGCAACCTAACTTAGCAACCAAACTAAGAAACAAAGCTGCTCTTTCAACAAATACCTAACTTTCCCACTCTTAGAATCAATATATTTGTTTTGTTTTGTTTTTGAGATGGAGTCTCACTCTGTTGCTTAGGCTGGAGTGCAGTGGCGCAATCTTGGCTCACTGCAACGTCTGCCTCCTGGGTTCAAGTGATTCTCCTGCCTCGGCCTCCTGAGTAACTGGGATTACAGGCATGCACCACCTCACCCAGCTAATTTTTTTGTATTTTTAGTAGAGACGGGGTTTCGCCATGTTTGCCAGGCTGGTGTTGAACTCCTGACCTCAAGTGATCCACCCAGCTCAGCCTCCCAAAGTGCTGGGATTACAGGCATGAGCCACTGAGCCTGGCCAAAATCAATGTATTTTTAAAGAATATATATATATATATGTATACAGAAAGTAGGTCAATGAAACAACCAGGCTGGTAACATATATACCAATCTCACAATTGGCTCAGTTGTATTTGAAAGGCTGTACTTTCATGTATGTGTGGACAAAGTTGTAAGTATTCTACTCACTGGTATTTATTTATTTTAAATATGTATGCCATCCCTTCAGGATTATCCAGCAGGTTGGAGATGAGGGTATGTGGATACTTGTCCCTTTACTATTACCACTCAGGCTGTAAACAGTAGGATAAAAATGGGGCAAATCTGGAGCTTGCTGTTTTATTTTTCTGGCCATGAGAAAGTGTATTTATTTTGAGGAGACTCAGACCATTGGTGCAATTTTAGGTCCTTGAGGAAACAATGCCTGAACTTCCATTTCTGAGAATTTACTCAGTAAAGAAGACACGTAACTATTGGAAATAATTAAATCTAGTCCGGGTGGGCTGTGCTGCTGCTATTGCTTCAGGCCAGAGGTGGTTTGGACAGAAATAGGCCAAGATGAAACATACCGCTCTTCGGAACTCCAGGTTTGGACCTGGAACCAGACATTTAACAGGTGCGAACACAGAAAATAAAGGATAGCAGTTCTGCTTGTTCCTGTATGTAGGTGCCTTAGATTTTCAGAAGCAAGATCCAGGTCATGCCAAGTCCCTGCAGACAGTGATGAGATGCTCCCACAGAAGTACTGTGTGCAGACAATGCTTCTGGGGCTGTTGCTGGAGAGGTGGATATTTGTGTCTATAAGATCAGTCTGCCAACTACTTAGTAGACTGATGCCATCAGTCAGAAAGTGGTAGCTTCCTCTCTCAGCTCTTATGATACCTAGGATTAGGAATGACAGAGCTGCTGTGAACTCTTCCAGGATGATGTGGTTTGAATCTGTATCGCCACCAAATCTCATGTCGCATAGTACTCTCCAGTGTTGGTGGTGTGGCCTGGTGGGAGGTGATTGGATCATGGGAGCCGAGTTCTCACGAATGGGTTAGCACCACCCCTTTGGTGCTGTTCTTGTGATAATGAATGAGTGAGTTGTCGTGAGATTTGGTTGTTTAAAAGTGTGTAGCACCTCCCCCCTTCTCTCTTCTTCCTGTTCTGGCCATATAATATGTGTCTGCTTCTTCTTCACTTTCCACCATGATTGTAAGTCTCCTGTGGCCTCCCCAGAAGCAGAAGCTATTATGCTTCCTGTATAGCCTGCAGAACTGTGAGCCAATTAAATCTCTTTTCTTTATAAATTACCAAATCTCAGATATTTCTTTATAGCCGTGCAAGAATAGACTAATGCATAGGAGGTGTCTCTAGGACAAGCAGTTCATGAACTGATGTCTAGGTCTGGCCAGTGAAAGTGAGGCAGGCTGAGTATGAGAGCCATTTTGGAAGGAAAAAAAATGACTAGAAGCATATTGAGGTTGAGGTCAGGCTGGAATGGAGAGATACCCTATTAGTGGGATGGAAGGCCAAATATAACACTGGAATACTAATCTGAAAACCTAGTTTGGACTCTACTTCTGGCCTTAGAGTGGTGGGTTTCTAGTCTTAGGTTTTTATAACTTTCCAGACTAGAGGCTGTAAGTTTTTCCAAAATAGAGAGGGGTTGAAGCTGAAGGTACAGGGACCAGGCTACCAGGATTTAGAAATCTGCAAAGGAAAAAGCTAAGTAGGATTGAACCTAATCATTTTGAGTGTACTTCTAAGAATTGTTTAAGTGGCCCAATTGACATCTTAAAATCTAGGTTCCCTTCTGCCTTCCCCATTTTCTGGACAGCTAGTTATTTGCAATTAGCAATGAGTTAATTGCTTGGAAATATTTGCTTAACTGGGCCAAGATTTATTTTTATTTTTATTAAAAAAAATTTTTTATTCCCATAGGTTATTGAGGAACAGGTGGTGTTTGGTTACATGAGTAAGTTCTTTAGTGGGGATTTGTGAGATTTTGGTGCACCCAACACCCTGGGCCAAGACTTAAACTTGCTTCCAGGAAAGCATCTTGGAGAGTCAGAAGCCTTTAATGGGTAATTGGCTGCAAAATGGAAATTAGATGGAGAAGGAATCCATCTCTATTAATCTCCACTTAGGCAGTGATTAGACTTGTGAATAGAGCTAAGAATTTAATTGCTCAATGTCATCAGGGAGTCAATTATTTTAATCTCTCTTCAATAGTTATCTATTAATTAACTAGGAATAAAGAGGACAATAATTGGAGATGAATTTGTTCAGCTATCTTGTGCCCTGTAGAGTCAATATTCTTGGCTGTTAATGACCTCTTGGACAAAAGAAAGTAGGCACAAAGAGACATTCTAAAAAGAGGCAACTAGCTGGAGGTGATGCTTGGTTGAGAGCAATATGATAGACTAGGTAGACATGGGGTATCCTTCATTCTCTCCCAACTTTTTCCAGCCATCTTTTTCCCAGGGCCCTACGTAACAGTCCCAGTCCTGAGACTACCCTGCTTGTAGGCATCAACCCAAGGTTTCATGTGTAATGATCGAGAGTAGGAGTTTGATCTCAAATCTCAGCTAGAACCTCAGAATGGCCACTTACCACCTGTGTGATCTTGCATAAATTAGATAATCTAAGTCTCAGTTTCCTCAGGTATAAAATGGCGGTAATAACAATAATTAACACATGATTATTCCAAGAATTATATGAAATCTATGCATGTAAAGCACTTAGCATAATGGCTGACAAATAAAAGGTACTAGAGAATGAATATTTTCTTCCTTCCATGCTTTCTGAGACCAGGAACCTTCTGTGGTAGAAAAATCTCAACTGCTCTAATGTTTTACATGTATTTATTCCTGTAAGGCTGCTACAAAGGAACTCTTATTGAACCACTGGGCCCTCTCGGGGTTGTGGCCTGGAGTAGCCCATCTGTCTCTGACAAGCCCATCCCTATCCTTTCCAATATAGCATCATTTTTTTTTTTTGAGTGTGGACTCTGGAGTTAGATAGATCTGGGCTGGAATCCAAGCTCACCTACTTGGTGGCTGTATAACGTTCGGCAAATCATTTAACCCATCTATGTCTCAATTACCCCATCTGTAAAATAAAGATAATAATATGAAGTTACCTTTTGGGATTATTGAGAGAATCCAATGAGTTGATACATGTAAAGAATTCAGAATAACGTCTGGCACATGGTAAGTGCCCCAAAAGTGGTAGCTATATTATAATCTATATTATTATCTCTATGCCGGCTCCCATTCTCTCAGGGACCTGATGGGTATCAAGTGGCTCATCTGACAAAATCATATAAACAGACACTTAATGAATGGTTTAGGTGTCTCCTCCCTACCTGCCCCATAAAACCAAACGTACCATTAGTACCAGAGTATGGGTACTAAGATCATTTAAAAACGTGATCCCCAAATTTTTGACACTCCTCTCATTGACAGTTGATGCCTAGTCCCTTCCCCTTGAATTTGGATTCTGAGAATGTCTGACCAATAGAATATGGTAGAAGTGACACTGTGTCAGTTTCTGGGCCTATATCTGAAGAAACTGGCATCTTCCTATTCTGGGAGTGTTTGTTCTTGGAATCCAGCCACATGCTGTGAGAAAGCCCATGCAGAGGTTCCTGTGGAGAGGAATCAAGGCTCCTGGCTTTCCACCCTGGCTGGACTCCCACCTGACAGCCAATACCACTTTGCCAGCCAATGCTAGTGAGCCATCTTGGATACAGGTCCTCTAGCTCCCAGTTGAGCTGCCCCAGCTGATACCACATGATACTACTGTGACAAACATTGTCCATGTTGTAGATCAGTGACCAACATAAATGTTGTTGTTTTAAGTTACCGGAATAGAAAATCAGAATACAGGCTATGGGCATCTGGCCAGTAGAATGGGGGAGATCTTTTGGGGACACGCTGTTCCATGCTCTGCCAACTACACCATGTAAGTGGTAACTGGTTCTATCCATTTGTAGGATTGATCTTTGGCTGAATTATGAGACGAAATTATCATGAGATGTGATTATTAAGTGTATTGTTTCAGTTTTTAGAAAAAAATACACAAAGTTTTTTGACCCAACATTTGGACATTATTAACTAAATATTGATTCCTTCAATGCCAAATCTAATTCCTCCCCCATAACCTACATCTCAGAAATAATATAACAGTCTATCCAATTACTCAAGTAAAAAAATGTAGGGGTCACCCAGGAATCCTCCCTTTCTCTGAGTCCTCACATTCAGTTCACTAGAAAGTGCTGTTGGCTCTATCTTCAAAATGTACGCTAAATCTGTCCTTTTTTCTCCATCCCCACTGCCACCAACCTAGTCCAAACTACCGTTTTGTCTTATTTGGACTAACCTTCTGTATTGGGCACAAACTTGTGTACCTTCTTAGATTCTTTTCCAAGATGCTATCTGCTTTGCAAACTGTGCTGCTACCATTTCAGGTTTTTTTTGGCATCCCTTGTGAGCTCCCAGAGCTACGTGGTATTCTAAGTTGAAGCCTTGCACGTGAACGGCCTTCACATTCTACACCCTGAGCCTATCAGTGCCAAGTTATCACTCCACTTCCATACTTGGGTAAAATGCCATACCATGGGTATGGGATTTGGCTTTGTGAGAAGCTGTCAAGGGACCAAATGATGCAACCTAGAAGTGAAGGAGATTCGGGTCTCTGGGGTATGAACCTTAACTCATGGAAATCAAGAGGCATGAGGGAGCCAGGCAGACAGTTCACTTCACCCTTATAAAACTACTCTAAAATATGTGTGTTTGTGCATGTATATGTGTGTGTGTGTGTGTGTGTGTGTGTGTGTGTGTGTGTGTTTTCCTTGTTTTCCTTTCAACCATTCTGGAAAAAGTCCCATGTGCTGAGCAAACATACCTGGCAAGTGACTTGTGATTTTTTGAAGTAATGGCCAGTGAGGTAATACATTGCATCACATTGGTTTGCATCTTTTTTGCCTGACTTACCCTTTTTCATCACCCCTGTTGCTTTGGGTTTGCACACACTCAAATGGTTAATACTTGAATTATTGTTCAGACTCTGTTTTCTAGAGGACCCTGGCAAAGACATTTGATATTAGAAGTGGTTCTGTAAAACAGACAGGATAGGATTTTGGAATTGGATTTTTCACTTGTCTAAAAGCAATAGGGACCCTATTGCTGGTGATAAGTGGTATGGCCATAACCCTGGCATGAAGTGACTTTGCAAATACTTGAGCTTTTCCCGTGGTATGTGCTATTTTATTAGAATGACGTGTAGGTGGAGGGAAAGATATGGGGAGGTCAAGTGGCTTTGATGCCTAACTGATATATAAACAATGTTATTAATAAGGATTTTGGAGTAGAATGGCTGATTTGAAGGCAGTAGCAGCTCTGCCTCTATAGCAGCTTTAAAGGAGAGTCTTACCTCCCACAGCTGTAGGGACAGAATGTATTAAAAACTAGACTCAAGATCTGATAATAAGGGTGACAGAACTGTGAAGACGACTAAATGTCCAACCTTGTCAGGTTCATTAAGCCAAAATCAGATAGGAAAAGAATGGAACATGGAGATCTGGGATATATATGAACCCAAGTGTTATGACCTCTCATATTTCTCTGAACGTGCTTTTTTTTTTTTTTCTAGTTGAAGCAGCTCTTTTCCCTTGCCAGAGAAGAATAACTTCTCTTTTCATGGAGACCAGGTAATGATTTCATGTGAAGAAGGTTCCTTGTGAGATGGTATTTTTTTTCTCAAGATCCACCCTACCATCCTCATTGCCTCCTGGTAAGTAACCAGAATCAGATTTCATCACAGCTTGGAGAGAGAAGCAATTATTCTGTGCTTATTAATGAGGAGAGTCAAAAGCAGTTCATAATCTCAAAACATCTGAATTATTTGCATGAAAGAAGCCAGGCATACACACAAAATGCATACGGAACGATTCCATTTATATGACTTTCAAGAACAGGCAATACAAGTCTATGGAGAAAGAAATCAGAAAGTGGTTGCCTCTGGGTGGGCATAAGGGGATTAACTAGAAAGGGCATGAAGGAACTTTCTGGAGTGATGGAAACGTTACATATCTTGTTCTGAGTGGTTACATGGGTACATAAACTGTCAAAACTAAAGTTTACTGAGTTAAAGTTTGCTGAGTTGCAATGTTATCACAAACTTAGCACCTAAAAAACCCATACATGTACTATCTCCTAGTTTCCTCCAGGAATCTGGTGTTGGCTTAGCTGAGTCCTCTGTTCAGGGCCAGAAAGCTGCAATCAAGGTGTTGGCCAGGTTGCATTCCTTTTTGGAGCTTGGGATCCTCTTTCAAGCTTACATGGTTGTTGGTAGAATTAAATTCCTTGCAGCTATAGGACTGAGATCCCTGTTTTCTTTCTGGTTGTTGCCCAGAGACCTCTCAGTCCTAGAGACTGCCCACAGTTCCTTGCCACATGTCCCTCTCACAGGTCATTTTACAACATTGCAGTTTAGTTCTTTCTTCTGTTTTTTTTTTTTTAGAGACAGTATAGGGTCTTTCTGTGTCTCACTCTGTTGCCCAGGCTGGAGCATAGCGGCAACATCATAGCTCACTGTAACTTCAAACTCCTGGGCTTAAGTGATCCTCCTGCCTCAGCCTCCCCAGTAACTAGGACTGCAGATACACCCCACCAGACCTGGATAATATAGTTTAGTTCTTAAAGGCCAGCAGGAGAAACTCTCACTTCAGCCTGGCAAGATTGAGTCTTATATATAATGTAACATAATCATGGGAGGGATTATCCCATTGCTGTTGCCATACACTATTGCCTAGAAGCAAGTGGCAAGTTCCACCTATACTCAAGGGGAGGGAATTATACAAGTGTGACTCATGAGGGGGCCTTAGAGTGTCTCCACTACAGGCATCAAATGACTGTGCAGTATGAGTTTCTCATAATAAATTGGGTGTAGTCTCATCTACCAAGCTATAAGGATGGGCATGAGCAGCAACAATCTATCGTGGCCTAGGCTTAAGCGCATTTAGTAGGCATGAATAAAATGTAGGAGCAGATGGCCCAGACAGAAGTCACCTGTTTCCACTGCACCACCACTCCTCTTTCAGCCCACATCTATGTTGCATCATGTTGAGGGGTCTGCTGCTGTCATCTGATAGAGAAGGAAAGGATTCAGGCCTAATTCACAGATGGGTCAGTGCAATATGTTGGCACTATGTGGAAGGGGATTGCTATCTCATTATATCCCCACTCTACAGTAGCTCTGAAGAACAATGGTGAAGGAAGTACTCCCAGTGGGTAGGCTTCCTATCACTAAAGCTGACCTAGCACCTGCCACAGCAAAGATCCATAGCTAAAATCTCAACCTGCCAGCAGCTCTCCATCCAGCATCATTCTTTAGGGAGACCAACTGGCTACCTGATGTCAGGTCAATTACTTAGGTCCTTTCTATCCTGAAGGGGACAGCAATTCTTCTTCAGCAGAATGGTTATCTATTCTAGATATGGATTGGCCTTTTCTGCCCACGTGGCCTATGCTGGCACCACTGTCTGAGGGCTTACAGAATGCTTGGTATAATAATAGGACAAGCTGTTGGAGTCTCAGCCAAGGTGCCAGAAGGAGGATAAAACTTTGTAGGGCTGGCAGATATATATTAAATGCAGGGATGTGGTACATGCCTTGGTCCCCTGGTCAGTATACAGTACCGAATCCTTTATAGTTAGAATACACAGATCCAGGAATCTGAGTCAGGAAGAAAATTCCTGTAATTACTGTAGGAAGTGGGAGTATCCCTGACACCTTGGTGGGGTAACAGCAGTGATAGCAGCAGAGACATTGGGTATGTTGATGGCAGCCATAGCTGTTGCCAGAGGCAACCAAGCATTCAAACAAAGAATGACATTGTCAGAAGCATCTGGAACAGCTTAACAGCAGTTAAAGAGAGTGGAAGAATCAGGTAAATGGAATGAACTTTGGGGTTCTGGGTGCAGTGAAAGGAGCTAGAGCTCCAGAATCATAGAGATCTAACTCTAAATCCTGGTTTTACAAATTACCTGCATGACTTTGGGCAAATGACTTTACCTTCTTATTCTCATTTCCTATACCTATAAAACAGAGATAATAATAGTGCCTATCCACAGGGTTATTGTGAGAATTCATAAATATTTGTAGTGATCTTTGTAAGATGCTTAGAACAGTGCCTGGCAAAGACGGGAGTTCAACAAAATTATGTATGCAATTAACATACATCTCATTTTAAGATAGACATGGTATGACTTTAAAACAATGAGATGAAATTGTTCCAAAAACTACTTGAAGGAGCTTCTTTTTTATTTTTTATTTTTGTTTCATTAGTTTTTAGAGAACAGGTGGTTTTTTGTTACATGGATAAGTTATTTAGTGGTAATCTCTGAGATTTTGGTGCACCCATTACTCCAGCAATGTACACTGCACCCAACGTCTAGTCTTTAATTCCTCACCCACCTCCCACCCTTCCTCCCAAGTCCCCAAAGTCCATTATATTACTCTTAAGCTTTTGCATCCTCATAGCTTAGCTCCTGCTTATAAGTGAAACATGCGATGTTTGGTTTTCCATTCCTGAGTTACTTCACTTAGAATAATGGTCTCCAACTCCATTCAGGTTGCTGTGAATGCCATTATTTCATTTCTTTTTATGGTTGAGTAGTATTCCATGGTGTATATATACCACATTTTCTTAATCCACTAGTTGGTCGATGGGTATTTAGGTTGGTTCCTTATTTTTGCAATTGCGAATTGTGCTGCTATTATAAACATGCGTGTGCAAGTATCTTTTTCATATAATGACTTATTTTCCTCTGGGTAGATTCCCAGTAGTGGGATTGCTGAATCAGATGGTAGTTCTACATTTACTTCTTTAAGGAGTCTTCATACTGTTTTCCATAGTGGTTGTACTAGTTTACATTCCCACCAGCAGTGTAAAAGTGTTCCCTTTTCACCATATCAATGCCAATATCTGTTATTTTTTAGTTTAAATTATGGCTATTCTTGCAGGAGTAAGGTGGTATCTCATTGTCATTTTAATTTGCATTTCTTTGATCATTAGTGATGTTGAGCATTTTTTCATGTTTGTGGGCTATTTGTACATCTTCTATTGAGAATTGTCTATTCATGCTGTGTGCTCACTTTTTGAAGGGGTTATTTTTTTTTTCTTGCTAGTTTATTTGAGTTCCTTGTAGATTCTGAGCATTAGTCCTTCCCTGGATGCATAGTTTTGTGAATATTTTCTCCCATTCTGTGCGTTGTCTGTTTACTCTGCTGATTATTTCTTTTTCTGTGCAGAAGCTTTTTAGTTTGATTAGGTTCCATGTACTTATTTTTGTTTCCGTTGCATTTGCTTTTGGGTTCTTGGTCATAAACTCTTTGCCTAAGCCAACATCTAGAAGAGTTTTACTGACGTTACCTTCTAGAATTTTTATGGTTTCAGGTCTTAGATCTAAGTCTTTGATTCATCTTGAGTTGATTGTTGTATAAGGTGAGAGATGAGGATCCAGTTTCATTCTTCTACATGTGTCTTGCCAGTTTTCCCAGCACCATTTATTGAATAGGGTGTCCTTTCCCCAATTTATGTCTTTGTATGCTTTGCCGCAGATCAGTTGGCTGTAAGTATTTGACTTTATTTCTGTATTCTCTATTCTGTTCCATTGGTCTACATGTCTGTTTTTATACCTGTACCATGCTGGTTTGGTAATTACTGCCTTGTAGTATAGCTTGAAGTTACGTAATGTGATGGCTCCAGATTTGTTCTTTTTGCTTAGTGTTGCTTTGGCTATGCAGGCTCTTTTTTGGTTTCATATGAATTTTAGGGTTGTTTTTACTAGCTCTGTGAAGAATGATGATGGTACTTTGATGGGAATTGCATTGAATTTGTAGATTACTCTTGGCAATATGGTGATTTTTCACAATATTGATTCTTCCCATCCATGAGCATGGGATGTGTTTCCATTTGTTTGTGTTAATCAATGATTTGTTTCAGCAGTGTTTTGTAGTTTTCCTTGTAGAGATCTTTCACCTCTTTGGCTAGGTATATTCCTAAGTTGTTGTTGTTGTTGTTGTTGTTTTTTGCAGCTGCTGTAAAAGGGGTTGACTTGATTCTCAGTTTGGTCGCTCTTGGTGTATAGCATATAGCAGGGTAAATTTATTTTGTAAAGGAAACTTTACCGAATTCATTTATCAGATCTAGGAGCTTTTTGGATGAGTCTTTAGGGTTTTCTAGGTATATGATTGTATCACTGGCAAACAGTGACAGTTTGACTTCCTTTTTACTGATTTGGATGCCCTTTATTTCTTTCTCTTGTCTAATTGCTCTGGCTAGGACTTCCAGTACTATTTTGAACAGAAGTGGTGAAAGTAGGCATCCTTGTCTTGATCCAGTTCTCAGGAATGGAACAATGCTTTCAACTTTTCCCAATTCAGTATAATGTTGGCTGTGGGTTTGTCATAGGTGGCTTTTATTACATTGAGGTATGTCCCCTATATGCTGATTTTGCTGAGGGTTTTAATCGTAAAGGGATGCTGGATTTTGTCAAATGCTTTTTCTGCTTCTGTTGAAATGATCATATGATTTTTGTTTTTAACTTTATGTGATGTATCACATTTATTGACTTGCATATATTAAACAATCTCACCATCCCTGATATGAAACCCACTTGATCATGCTGTATTCTCTTTTTGATATGCTATTAGATTCAATTACAGCTAGTATTTTTTGAGGATTTTTGCATCTATGTTCACCAGGGATATTGGTCTGTAGTTTTCTTTTTTTGTTATGTCCTTTCCTGGTTTTGGTATTAGGGTGACACTGGCTTCATAGAATGATTTAGGGAGGATTTCCTCTTTCTCTATCTTTTGGAATAGTGTCAATAGGATTGGTACCAATTCTTTTAATGTCTGATGGAATTCAGCTGTGAATCCATGTGGTCCGTGACTTTTTTTTGTTGGTAGCTTTTTAGTTATTTCAATCTCGCTGCTTGTTATTGGCCTGTTCACAGTTTCTATTTCTTCCTGGCTTAATCTGGGAGGATTGTACATTTCCAGGAATTTATCCCTTTCTTCTGGTTTTCTAGTTTATGCCCATAAAGGTGTTCATAGTAGCCTTGAATGATATTCGTATTTACACCAATCTGAATAGAATTTCTTAAGGCATTTCTGGCTGACTACACCAGATTTTACTATGTAGGCACAACATGCAACATAGTATGTGTACGTATATACATATACACTCACATAGAATCTTATAACTTTCATTTTGGAATTTTAGCCATGAGATAATAATAAAAACTCATCAGTTTATAAATGGTAATTAGATCCAAATTATACTTCTTACAACGTGGGACCTGTTCATAAGGCTAAATAAACTTTATTTGCCCTAATAGGTAATCTAATGAAGGCTGTGGACCAAAATTTTGAGTAAAGCGTCCTGATTTTTTTTAATCCCGTTTGCCTTTTGTCCCCCCCCCCTTTTTTTTCAGTTTCAAATGAATATAAGGTTAAAATTTTAATGTGTACATTCTAGCTAGAACTGGCTAAACTGTATAAGGAAACCCAAATATCCAAGTAGCCTTAAATTTTTATTAACAAATCTATCTTTCGTTTGTTGGTTTGGTTTGTGTGACAAGTTAATGTGGGCAGGGAAGCGTCCTTTTTTTTCTGGCTTTTTTTTCCAGTTTTTTTTTCTGGCTTTTTTTTTGGCCCCTGCATGGCAGACAAAGCAATTTTTATGTTGGACAAAGATAGCTTATATTATAATTGCTCTGAGCTTAAGATTTTGTCCTATTTGAGTAGAGAGGCTTTTATACACATTTATCTAGTTCTATTTCTTATAGAATATTAATTCTTCAATTAACTGTTCCATCACCCTAAGCTATTGCTATTTAGGTAAACCTAAATTTATGTTAAAAGGGATGTCTCTTAGGTCTAGGTTGTTGGTTGCCATAGAGATGTTGTAATTTGTAAAGCTGTTAATTTGAAAGCCTTTTAAGACCTTTTATTTCTTGGCTGGAACGCCACAAGTCGTGAGTTTATCTCAATACCAGTAGAAAAGTCAGCAGATTCAAAATAGGCAGAAAAACAGTAGAGAGATAGAGAACTTAGAAGGCTCTCTGTATTAACTCTATAGTTGGTTTCAGGTTTTTTTTTATAAGCTCAGACAGTTTATATAATGGCCATTGAGCTCTGAACTTTTCTTGATGTAGTTTGCCCATTATTTTAAACATGTGCACTAGGCCGGGCGCGGTGGCTCATGCCTATAATCCTAGCAGTTTGGGAGGCCGAGGCAGGTGAATCACTTGAGGTCAGGAGTTTGAAACCAACCTGGCCAACATGGTGAAACCCCCATGTCTACTAAAAATACAAAAAATCAGCTGGGCATGGTGGCAGGCGCCTGTAATCCCAGCTACTTGGGAGGCTGAGGCAGGAGAATCGCTTGAACCTGGGAAGTGGAGGTTGCAGTGAGCCGAGATTGTGCCACTGCACTCCAGCCTGGGCGACAGAGTGAGACTCCATCTCAAAACAAAAACAAAAACAAACAAACAAACAAACAAACCATATGCGCTAGAATCTCTAATATACTTGGCTGGAATCCCAGAAAACCTGGCATGCCTTAATGTTTAAGAATCTCATTCCATTTCTTATTAATCTCTTGAAAGCAAAGAAAATCTTATAAATCCTATTAGAGACTGTCAGGAGTTTGGACTAATGTTTTAGATGGTGGTGATCGCCCTAGTGGCTGTTAAATACTTTTAGTTTTACTAGTTTTTTTTTTTTTTTTTTTTGGAGAGATGGGGGCCTCTTGGTTTATTGCCCAGTCTGGTCTCAAACTCATGGCTTTAAGTGATCCTCCTGTTTTGGCCTCTCGAACTGCTGGGATTACAGGCATGAGCCACCATGCCCAGCCACCCTAGTGGCCTTTGACCAGCCTCCTTGTGCCCACCATTTACAATTTTTTATTTTTGCTCTCAGAAGATTTTTAGAAACAAGCAAGGGAAAACAGAGAAATCATTTATAGAGATGCAAAACCAAACCAAAATGAAATCAAAATTAGAGTGCTCATAAGAATTTTAAATGAAGCATGGAGATCAAATAAAATATTAAATTGGGTGTGTAGAAAGAACCAAAAGTAAATTCACCAGAAAAAGACATGTCTCACAGACAGGGTGTAACTTCTATAGAAACTAGAGTACTCAAACCAGAAGGACATTGTCTTTATACCAGAAAGACAAAAAGTCTTTTATCATCCTAGGAGGAATGTAAGGTCTCTTTTTAAGGTGGCCTTATTACCAAGTCCTGAATAAAGTCAAAATCATCTACAAAAAGAGAGAGGCTTGGCCTGACAGAAGACTCATCAGGGCAGAAAAACTAGGCTGCAGAAGCAGAGAGCTCAAAGGGCTCAAGTGAGTGCTGTACACCAGTTCCAATAATCACCAATTCCTTCGGATAGAGATCTTTTTCAGGTCCCACTTCTGCACACCATTTATGTCAACCTAAATAACAAACAGAGAGAGGCCCTCCAAAAGAAAATGATATGTATTCAGGAATAGAGCATTGCAATGTTAATATGTGTCCTAGTAAACTATGTGCGTTTTTGGGGAGGTAGATGAAGACAAAGTTTTTAAAAGAAAAATGAGGATTACTTAATTGTTTGGAGATACTTATCCTTGGCTACAAGGATCAGTAACAAGGGTGGCATCACTCCAAGGCTGGACAGGCAGCTGATGGGCAGATATCCTTGCAGAAGTATTTTTGTGTGTGTGAGGTTGTGATGGCCTTTGTGCAAGGTTGTGGTTTTTGCAGTCTTTTCTGAAAGTTCTTGTTATCTGTCATTTATGCATGAGAATCCTCCCTTCATGGTCTTCCCTGGCTCTATTTGTCATTTTTTTTTTCCACAGTGACTCCATTTTGATTCTGAGAACTTTCACAGGAGTTCCCTACTCCATCATTTTCATAGATGTCACCTGGAATTTTTTCCTTCTTTTTCATGACCTTGACAGTTTTGGGGAGTACTGGTTAGGTATTTTTTAGAAAGTTCCTCCACTGATATTCGTATTATGTTTTTCTCATAATTATGCTGGGGCTGTGGGATTTGGGAGGAACTCCACAGAAGTAAAGGGCTATTTTGACCACATTATATGACTGGTATGTACGATCAACATGACTTATCACTGTTAAGAAAAGGGGAAGTAGAATGTAGTGGTTTAGGGGTTTGGGCTCTCAAGTGAAACACATCTGAATTCAAACCCTAACTCCTCCACTTGCTTGGAGCTTTTCTGAACTTTGGAGCTTTTCTGAGCTTCAGTTTTCTCATGTGTAAAACAGATGTAATAATAGCAGCTACCTCATAGGGTTACTGTGGAGAAGCACATGAGAAGATTCATGTGAAGTGATTAACTTGATGTCTGGCACATAGTAAGTACTCAATATAGGTGAACTAGTAGAATAAGAGGATGCGTGTTTATGTGGGTAGGTGGATATATACAAGAAAAATTTATCAATTAGTATTAGGAGGACCTGAAATGATTTTTATTATTTAAAGCCATAATTTTATTGAAAGATTTGATGGGAAACCCAGAGTTCCATGGGGAGATATTAGATAATATGGGAAATTTTGTACAATGGGGCATTACTCTGGAGGACAGGCATAGATGGTTACTGTAGTTTTAGTTCCTAGGTAGCTAGGGGATAGTATAAGGAATTCCTGACATTATATTATATTTGTGGTCAGGGAGGGACCCTAGAAGAAAAGAAAGGGGTGACAACTATGTAGTAGTTAAAAGCACTACTATTGAAATCATACAAACCAGGGATCAAATCCTAGCTTTCCATTCATAGGCTTTGTGCCCTTGGGTAAAGTGACTTAACTTCTCTCAGCTCTCAGTTTCCTCATCTGTAAAATGGAGACAATAAATTGAGTAGTAAATGAAATAATCCATGTAAATGACCCAAAGCATTTGGTGTCCCATAGTGCTCAGTCGATATTAGCTGCTCTTTACTACCTTACAATCGTGACTTAGTCTGGGGACACCCAATAGAAGTCATAGGTCTTCAGATCAGAGAGGATTTTGTGCGAAGAACTGGCTTTAGGAAGCTTCGCCTTTCAAGATGGAGGATGTTTTGAGCTCCTTCTCTTTCTAGTCACAGTTTCTGGCTCAGGCCTGCTGCAAGCTGCCCTAGGGGCAGGGTGCTTTTATGATATTTGTGATGGCTAAAAATCGTTTTCTTAAAAAAAATACTTTTGATGTACAATAAGAAAGAAAATGGAAACCACATGGAAAATTTAGCCCATTCCAATACGTTCTTAGTCTCCCATTCTACATATTGCTAGGGCCTCTTCTGCAGATGATGGCTGAGAATATCCTCTGTAGAGCAATAAATCACAGAATCATTAAATGCATCCTTGCAGCTGCACCAGGGCTAGTTAGAGGCCTATTCAAGAAAAGGGCTTATGTGGAGGGGATTTTTCCTCCTTCTTTTAAAAAGCCACCTGTACCATTTTTGTCTTGGTTTTTAAGTGGATGATTTAAGATATCATTTTCTTCCTCTACTTCTATTTATGATGTACAAATAGTCCTTTGTTAATAGGGAAAGAAAAACACCACAAACTCAAATGCCAAACCTAATTAAGGCTCCTTAGAGAAAGTGTGCCTCTTTAACTTTCCAACTTCCTTTCTGAGTTAGTAATTTAGGGACTGGACAAGACACAGGTGGAAGGAATTGTTTCATCAACAGCTGGTGCAAAATCCCTCATATTCCTGGAAGTGCACCAGTTCAGGGTACAGAAATATCTGAGAGAACTAGGGCTAGTCTGGAAAGAGCATGTATTGTAATCTAAATGTTTTTCCTGTTGATTGGCAAACTCTCAAAAGTTCTTTGAGGCTAGGAGAGATAGCTTTGAGGAAAATATTGGAACCAGATCATGTAATCCAGATGTTGAAAACAAGGCCTTGAGAAAGAAAAAAAAGTCATTTTATTATAAATGAAGCCTTGAGGGGAAAATTCAATTTCTTTATAAACTAGACCTTGAGCAGGAAAAATCCTTTTATTGTAATCATATCAATTCTAGTTAGATTCACATAATGAGGCTAACTGTGCAATTTGGTGAAGATGATGATCAGCCACGTAGAATGATTTAAAGAGTTCCAGAAGCACTTTCTCTCTACAATAAAGTCATCCCTACTCAGAGGTCATAGTGCCCGATATCCCTTCATCAGTGTTTCTTAACCCTTTTTTGGTCAAGGACTTGCTTTAGAATCTGGTGAAAGCTACTGACTTTTTCCTCCAGGAAAATGACTGAACATGTGGATATACACACATCAGCATACGTTTTGATGAAGTTCACAGACTCCTGTGAACAGCCCTGGGGAGTTTTTGAACAGTCAGCATTTCTCATAGTTGTTTTTTTTTTTTTTTTTTTTTTTTTTTTTTTTTTAGATGGAGTCTTTCTTTGTCCCCTAGGCTGGAGTGCAGTGGCACGATCTTGGCTCACTGCAACCTCTGCCTCCTGGGTTCAATCAATTTTCCTGTCTCAGCCTCCTGAGTAGCTGGGATTACAGGCACCATGCCTGGCTAATTTTTGTGTCTTTAGTAGAGACAGGGTCTCACCATGTTGGCCAGGCTGGTCTCGAACTCTCAACCTCAGGTGATCCACCTGCCTCAGCCTCCCAAAGTGCTGGGATTACAGGCATGAGCCACTGCACCCGGCCTCATAGTTCATTTTCAAGAGCCACATAATGGGCATCCTGGGCTGGGCATGGTGGCTCATGCCTGTAATCCCAACACTTTGGGAGGCCAAGGTTGGAGGATCGCTTGAGGCCAGGAGTTTGAGACCAGCCTGGGCAACATAGAAGACCCCATCTCAACAAGATACACAAAGAAATTAGTCGAGTGTGGTAGTGCACACCTGTAGTCCCAGCTACTTGGGAGGCTGAGGCAGGAAGATCACTTGAACCCAGAAGTTTGAGGCTGCAGTGAACCATGATTGTGCCACTGCACTCCAGCCTGGGTGGAAGAGCACGACTCTGTCTCTCTGTCTCGGGGAAAAAAAGGGCACCCTGCTGACACAGACCATCCTTGAGGTAAACTAAAATGAATCTCCATCATATTTTTCATTTCACCATCACATTAAAGTATTATTTGAAATAATGTACTTAATAATGATTTTATATTAAGGAAAGAGATGATATTTAGGGGCAATAATTCACCAAGGTATATAGGTTTACCTTGGTGACACACAGCTTGATCACAGATCAGCTTCCATGTTGAGTTGATTTCTTTCCTTCCTATTTCTATTAAATTTTAAAAAGTCAAGCTTTAAAAACACTTTAAAATGCTCCACAATATTACAGGATAGGTGAAATAAGAATGCTAAATTTTTTTTTAATTTTTATATTTATTTATTTATTTATTTATTTATTTATTATACTTTAAGTTCTAGGGTACATGTGCACAACGTGCAGGTTTGTTACATATATATAAATGTGCCATGTTGGTGTGCTGCACCCATTAACTCGTCATTTACATTAGGTATATCTCCTAATGCTATCCCTCCCTCCTCCCCCCACCCCACAACAGGCTCCGGTGTGTGATGTTCCCCTTCCTGTGTCCAAGTGTTGTCATTGTTCGATTCCCACCTGTGAGTGAGAACATGCGGTGTTTGTTTTTTTGTCCTTGCGATAGTTTGCTGAGAATAATGGTTTCCAGCTTCATCCATGTCCCTACAAAGGACATGAACTCATCATTTTTCATGGCTGCATAGTATTCCATGGTGTATATGTGCTAAAAAATTTTAAACTATTTGTCTTAGTTGGATTCCTCCACAGCAGTCTGAGGCAAGGACATGGGTGCAGTTAGTATATTTAGGGTGTTATTCCAGGAAGCAGGAGCGAGGTAGTAAGGAGAATTAGAGAAAGAAAAAAAGTCAGTGCAAAGGTGCATTATGAGGTTGCTGCATTGGGCAACAAGGGCTGAATTCTGGTTAGACTGCTTGGGGGAAGCTATAGAACATTCTCCCAGAACTCTCCCTTTGATGGATGAGAGGTTGCAGCTCTCATCCACCAGTTATTGTCCCCCTCATTTGAGGGTTATCTCCAAGGCTAGGAGGTGTTTTCATGTGGATTGGCTTTCATGAAGGCCTTGAGGGCAGAAGCAGAAGAGAGAAACTTGATTTTGGGGCAGGATACTGTTTGTTAGGGTGATGTGAGTCTGAGCTTACATAGAACTGTCTACCCCAGCTCTGGCTGAGCAAGGTGGAGAAAGAGGCTGTGATGTAGGGCACCAGAAGCATTTATTCCACTATTGAATCTGGGTAGTGAATACCTGGACTTTCATTATCCTATCTACTCTACTTTTGTACATGTTTGAAGTTTTTCATAATAAAAAGTTAAAAATTCTAATTCAGAATCCTAGGTCATTGGGAACTGCCTTAAGTATTTAGTGGCCTTATCAAACCTATAGATATTATACATCCAAAAAGCTAGATATTACAAGGACGGTTCCCTGATAGTACTTTGAAGCACTCCATCAGATACTAAAGTCCCTGAACAAATCACAGTCAAAGGCTAGAAGACAGAATAGTTGAACTTGGGAAACAGATGGGTGTGCATTCCTAAATTACCACTTTGACTGCATTTAGTTCAAAAAAGTGTGGTTACAAGTTCCACTGAAGAACTTGAACGTGATATTTACATATACCCAATCATATATAGTCGATTTCTTTCTTCAAGAAGTGCATAAAGTCTCCACATGTTGGGACAGAATCAAATTCTTAGTGACAAAGCTGTTTGCATCATAGTTCAGTCTTCTTAAAAAATTCTGATTATTTTATCTTTAACATTAAACATGGCAGTATTTCACCACTGAGCTAATAACTACAGGTTCTTTAATATTCTGAAAATGTGGCTATAAAATATGTCTTCAGCAAGGCATTTGAATATGAGAAATGCTCTTTAGTGGCATTATCATTTTCATAAGGTCCCTTTCCCTATCCCTTGTATCAAAAAGTTATGGGAGAGCAGCTTCTCTCAACAGCTGGCATGCTTAGTGTGGAAAAGTGGAGATTAGTATTTACTGCTTATTTCTTTGTACAGCATGCTGGGAAGACATCTTCTTAGGGGCCAAAATTTTATTATACTCACAGTATTTGTTTTTTTCAATACTGAACTGTGATCAGAAGGCATGTTGCTGATCATTGTTAATCAAGTCGTGAGTGGCTTCACATACGGGTGCAACCTCTTTTATTTGCTACATATTTCTGGGCGGCAGTCATGGCTAATGCTCTTCAGAATTGGCCGCAGTGCCCCTTTTCCAATCTACTTCATGACTCATTAAAAAAAACCACTTGTTAACTAAATTAAAAACCTTTCCTTTTATGAAGAGAAACTAGATCTCTCCTATATTGCTGGTGGCAATGTACAATGGTACAGCTACTCTGGAAAAGAGTTGAACAGTTTCTAATGAAACCAAACATGCAACAACCATACAACCCAGCAATTACACTCATGGGCATTTATCCCAGAGATTTAAAAACTTATGTTCATACAAGAACCTGTACACAAATGTTCACCGCAGTGTATTCCTGATAGCCCCCAATTGGAAACAACCCAAATGTCCTTCAACATGTGAATGGTTAAGCAAACTGTGGTATATCCATAGCATAGAACACTACTCACAAATGAAAAGGAACATATTATTGATATGTACAACATCTTGAGTGGATTTACAAAAATTGTACTAAGTGAAAAAAGGCAATGACCCGATTATATATGATTCCAAATGTATAACATCCTTGAGATGACAAAATTATAAAAATGGAGAACATGTGAGTGGTTGCTAGGAGTTAAGAAGGGGGTGGAGTTGGAGATAATGGGTGTGGCTATAAAAGGGCAACATGAGGGATCCTTGTGGTGATGGAACCATTCTGTATCTTGACTGTATCAATGCCAATATCCTGGTTGTGATACTGTATGGTGTTGCAAGACACTGTCATTGGGGGAAACCGGGAAAATGGTACATGGTTTCTCTTTGCAGTATTTCTTACAACAACTGCATGAAAATCTGTATCTAAGGTAACAAGCATAATTTAAAAAAAAAACCTCTTTTCTCTTATAGCATGGGATTTCAGTGTCAAAAATGTGGAGCACTTCTCCCGTGTGTGTTTGTGTGTGTGTGCGTGTGTGTGTCTGTGTGTGTACATACCACTCCTATGCCAAGAGTCTGCATATCCGTGTTTTTACCTGTCTCTAAAGTAGAATATCTGCTGGTGTCCACATGTGATAATAATTGCCTTTTATATTGTGTGCCATAGATATTACGGATGTCCTATGACGTTGTTATAAAAATTCTGCTGATGACTCACTCTGCTTTCTCTAAGTCACTTTGTCATTGATATTGTGCCTGGTTTTATAAGCTTCTTGGCAATGAAGTGATTTGTACTTGTTTTGCCAAGAGGTCTAATAACGTTGAATGAAACCCCCATAGCTTTTATATCTTCCCTGCCTTCGTCACAATATTCATCAACTTCATACAGCAAAGAATTACTTCGTGCTTGCTTTCAAAATATTCAATTGGTTTATCACAGGGTTAACTGTACTTTGATTAATAATTATGTAAAAGCGGCCGTGGGCCGAGGAGAGCTCTAGGTGGCCAGCCAAAGACCTGGGGCGTCGTGGGCTTCGGCGAGCATGCAGGGATGAGCGGGTCCCTCGGCCGAGCGGCGGGCTCGGGTGCGGGCGGTGGTGTTTCAGGGGAGCGGCTGGACGCACTGGTGAAGGACAAAGTGGTTGTCTTCCCTCAAGGGGACGGCGGAGCAACCCCAGTGCGGCTTCAGCAACGCCATGGTGCAGATCCTGTGGGTGCACGGCGTCCGCGACTATGCGGCCTACGAAGTGCTGGACGACCCCGAGCTGCGACAAGGCATTAAAGACTATTCCAACTGGCCCACCATCCCGCAAGTGTACCTCAACGGCGAGTTTGTGCGGGGCTGTGACATTCTTTTGCAGATGCACCAGAATGGGGGTCTGGTGGAAGAACTGAAAAAGCTGGGGATCCACTCCGCCCTTTTAGATGAAAAGAAAGACCAAGACTCAAAGTGAGGGCGCCCGGGTCCTCCCTGAACAGAGGGAGCCGTTCGTGTCAGAGACTCACTGCCAGAAAAACCTTACCGATTTTGGTTTTCACTACTGAGACAACTGCGTTGCACTGATCATTTCCGTTCGTGAGCAGTCGGGTGATTTTAGGTTGTCTGGTGTTTGGGCTAATAAGATTTTATTGTGAGCTTAATTACAACCACTGCACTGTAATAATTCAATGCTGTATTATGATATTGCTGTAAACAAAATTTGTTCTTATATTGCCATTTATTTTTTGCCTGATTCAGGAGTTAAACTAGGAGCTTTGGAATCATTATTCATGACCCCTCTGCAAATATGTCAGTCTGCAAAGACAATATCTTCCCCCAAATTATGTATAGCTTCTTCCGTTATGGAAAACGATGGACAAAGAAGAAACTGTGATAACTGGGTTTTTTTTTTTTTTTAAATAAACTGCCAACACAGGAAGAAAGTTATGTAAAAGCTTTGATGACTTCGTGCTACAATTTGATACATTTTATTATAAAGAGCATGCTGGAGACTGGGGCAAATGGATGGCAGGTCTAATAAAATCAAATTTTCAGACATTTATCTTCTTACTTCATATTTGCATTTTCGACTGCTTATATGATATTGTCACACACACACAGGCTTATTTTTATTGTTACTTTAATATTCGACAAACCTTTTTTCCTTAGTAAAGTTTATTTTTCCAACATAAAAGTAATATAAAACTTGGAAAATACAGCAAAATAAAAAGAGGAAAAATCAACATAATTTTACTGCCCCAAAAATCCCATTGACTTTTTTTTTTTTTTTTTTCCTTGAGACGGAGTCTCGCTCTGTCGCCCAGGCTGGAGTGCAGTGGCGCTGTCTCGGCTCACTGCAAGCTCCGCCTCCCGGGTTCACGCCATTCTCCTGCCTCAGTCTCCTGAGTAGCTGGGACTACAGGCGCCCGCCACCACGCCCGGCTAATTTTTTTTCGTATTTTTAGTAGAGATGGGGTTTCACCGTGTTAGCCGGGATGGTCTCGATCTGCTGACCTTGTGATCCGCCCATCTCGGCCTCCCAAAGTGCTGGGATTACAGGCGTGAGCCACCGCGCCAGGCCCTGATAGAGATTTTGTTCATTTTTTTAAATTTGTTTGCTTTGTTGATAGCTTGAGAGACCTTCACATTTCCATGTACCTGAGTCATCAAAATTTCTAAATCTGGTGGGTTCTTCACCCTAGAGTCCCAAGAGTGCCATAAGATACATCCTGGCATGGCAGTGGCCAGAGGGGCTGGTCTGGAAAGGGTGACAGAGGCCCTGATGTCTCAGGGAAAAGCACTCAGCATGAACCAGTAATCTGCACAAGGGTCGACCTAGTCCAGAAAGAACTTTTCCTGGGCTCGGTTCCCACCCTGGTGGTCACATCGCCGTGACTCAGCAGGAAGAGGCCTCCCCAGAGCCCAGGTCTCTCACAGTTAAGTGTTGTCAGAGGCTGCCGCGTGGGCCAGCAGTCCATCTCATTGGGTTAGCAGCAGCATTCCAACCCACAGGATTTGTTCACAGGCTGGAATGCTGGCCTCAGGGCTGGGCAGTGGCACTTCCTCCACTTGGTCCTGATGCTTGCAGTGATACCCTGTGGTGGTGCCATAAATCAGCTCTGCTCTGTGCTTTCCCAGAGAGATTTCCAAATGAATTGCCCTCCAAGCAGGCAGCGTGAGATACCTCCTTTCAGATGTCATGAACTAGATGGAATTTTGTTTTTACTAGAGGGGGGTAAATAGCAATGCCAGGCTATGATGTTGGAGTCTATTCAGTTTGCCTCACTTGACCCACATGTCAGTTATGAGCTAAACCTCACAGGCTGTCTCCTCAGGGTTAGTGGTTATTTTTCCTCAGCTAGAGGGAAGAACAAAGGAATGGAGCCCAGATGCACCAGAATGGGGACCTGGTGGAAGAACTGAAAAAGCTGGGGATCCGCTCCACCCTTTTAGATGAAAAGTAAGACCAAGACTCAAAGTGAGGGTGCCCGGGTCCTCCCTGAACAGAGGGAGCTGTTCGTGTCAGAGACTCACTGCCAGAAACTGTCACAGCAGCTGCAGGTTTGCACACCCAGTGCTTGACATTAGGCAAACCCCCTCATTTCTCGGGGTCCTCGACCTCCTCAAAAGTTTTTTCTTTTTTTTTTTTTTTTTTGAGACAGAGTCTTTCTCTGTTACCCAGGCTGGAGTGCAGTAGCATGATCTCGGCTCACTGCAACATCTGCCTCCTGGGTTCAAGTGATTCTCTTGCCTCAGCCTCCTGAGTAGATGGGATTACAGGCATGTGCCACCACGCTTGGCTAATTTTTGTATTTTTAGTAGAGATGGGGTTTTACCATGTTGGTCAGGCTGGTCTCAAACTCCTAACCTCAGGCAATCCACCCACCTCGGCCTCCCAAAGTGCTGGAATTACAGGCGTGAGCCACCGCACCCAGCCGGAAGTTTATTCTCTTAACTGGAGCTCAAGACTTCAAGACCAGTCTGGGCAATATGGCTAAACCTGGTCTCCACAAAAAAATACCAAAGGTATCCAGGTGTGGTGGTGAATGCCTGTAGTCCCAGCTACTTGGGAGGCTGAGGTGGGAGGATTGCTTGAGCCTGGGAGGTGGAGGTTGCAGTGAGCCAGGATCGCACCACTGCACTCCAGCTTGGGTGACACAGCAAGATCATGTCTCAAAAAAAAAATACATAAGGATGGTTAAGAATGTAATTTGACAAAAAGAATGTAATGTGATTGCTGTAAAAAATCATAATTAGCCTTACATCTCAAATATGTGGAAGGTATGTAAAGAAATAATATTATTGCTTTTTCCTCTGTCACTGGCTAGGTTTCTGGGAATGATCAGTGGCCCTGGATCACCCAGAGTCCATGCACCACACTTTGAGAAACAGTGCGTAAGGGAAAAGTATATGCTATGCTTTAAACACATTTATTAATACATTAAGTTTGATTCTATTTAAATTGGTTGAACTTTATTATACTTGATCATGAAGTTTCTATCATGGGTAAAAAATTATGACAAAATAGATGCTTTTTACTGATAGTTTGGCATCTTCCTTAATAATAGACCTGTAGCCAGGGTGAGGATGTCCAGCTAGGTACTTACGTACATTTTCCAGCCCGCTTTGTGGTCTGGTGTGGCTCTGAGACCAGTGAAATGTAAGTAGGAGTGATGTGTGCTTTTTCTAGGCCCAGCTCTTTAAACTTTGCACATGTGCTTCTCTTTACTTTTTTCCTCTAACAGAAGAAATATGGATGTGCCCATAGCACACATTACTCAGCTTTGAAACTGGCAGATAAGGCTGTTGCCTTACAGAAGGGCAGAGAAACATGAAGGAATCAACCCAAGTCCATGAGTGACTGAATGAGTTGAGTAGGCCACCTATGTGCTCTGGACTGTCAAGTGGAGAGAAACTTGACAAGTGGTGAGTTCTTTGACTCCCTGTACTATTGGGTTTTTATATTATAGAGGCTTAGCCCTTTAAGCCTGATAAAGCCAGGGAAACTTGGAGGTCTGAAAGCTCCGATTGGTAGCTTGTGGGGAAGAGTGGCTCTTGGTGGCACAGGACAGGTGGGAAGGAAAAGGGAGTCAGGATTTGGCACAAGACTACCAACCATGGTAGGTGGGTATGGCAAGTGCGTGTCCAGTTGATTTCTAAGGATGATTTTGGTGGTACTGCCAGGTAGGGGAGATAAGAAATAAGGAATAAGCTTGGTTGTGAGTCATACAGAAGTGTAGTTTTCTTATGAGAAAGAATAACTGAGTCAGGGGAAATGGTACCACTTAGTCATCCAGTTTAGGATTAGAGAGAAATGAAATCAAGGGAGCCACATCAGGCATAGGTCATCTCTGGGTCACCTCATGCAGGATCCAGGGAAGTGACACTTCTAAGCTTCCTGAAGGGTCCCTGGGGCTCTTGCTACTTTTCCTACTTTAGTCATGATTAGCATAAAAACTGTGGTGGAACTGTGGTGGCTTCATTAGTGGCTTCAGCTGTAAAGACTTGAAGCTGGAACAAATCAGAGATAAATCTTATTTACCTCACTTATTTACCTTTCATCTACATATGATTTAGTGCCTCAGCCACTGCTAGGGTACCTTTCTGTAAACTGGAAAAAGTGCTCCTTTTTGGGTTGGGGGCATGGCCTAGCAAGCACATGTATCAAACTAGGAAAGGAAAGCATTACTTGGTGAGTACAGTGCAGTATGGATTTCAGCCCCCATTCACCTCCATGACTGGGTATCCTTTGTGCAGTGAACAACATGCACAACTGTACATGGTGGCCTTGCAGACTACCAGAGGCACAGTGAGCATGAAGAGTGAAGTTGGAGAGTAAAGAAACAATTCAAATGTAACCTGCTGGCCAGAGGTACTTATAGGAAAGGCAAAAGAGAAGCAAAAGGTGAAGGGTGATTTAAGAACAGTTTTAAACTTAATATCTGAAGGGCCATCCCCAAATAGACAATATACTTTCTTGTATCTTTACCTTTGCTCATGCTGTTCCTCATCTGAAGTATCCTCTCTGGTTATATGATTCCTACACATACTCCAAAGCTTACTTCTAGACTTAACCTTTCCAAAAAGCCTTCCGTGAACTCTGTAGCTTACAAAGATCCCTCCCTCCCTCTTTACACTAAACTCTGACCATACTGCACTTAAGTTTCTGCCTTACATCATGCTCAGTGATTAGCTGGCCTGCTTTCCTTTTTGGCTGATTACTTCGTTTCTGAAACCATCTCTTGTGCCCCCCCCCCCAATAGCTATGGGAGTTTATTGAACTTAGTATTTATACATCAGTCTCTCCTCAGTGGATTCTAAGCTCTGTCAAGGCAGGGACTGTGGGTTTTAAAAAAATTTCTATCCCCAGCCAGCACAGGGCTCAACAAGTGTTTGTTGAATAAACAAATGGGCAATCCATGCTCAAAAAGATGTCTATTTGTTTGAGTGACCGAGAGCCTGGAAAATTTCTTCTCCAGTCCCAAACTATGTTTTTATTCAGGGAACCTCCGCTAAGCTCCCCACAGCAGGGTATGGGGACCACTTGTGACCAATTAACTTAAAATCTTTCCCCTGTTCAGACACTATTTTAACAAATCCTTGCAGTAGAAAGAGCACTGTGCTCATTGGGTGGTTCTAGTTCAGTTCTGATACTAACTAGCCATGTGACTTTGAGCAAATTGAAATCACCTGCCTGGCCAGCCTTAGTTTCCTATACTGTAAAATGAAAAAGTAGCTTTAATAGTCTGCAATGTTGTAAAGCAACATGATAAACAATGTGGTAATTGAGCTGAACTGTGAAAATATATTCATATCCATGGTAATACCTAACTCCTATCCTAGCTCAGCTTGAAGCAATTTTTCTTCGGCAGTGAAACATTCATAAGATGTTTTATGCGCCCCATGACCAATAAACAGCTGTAGGAAACTTGGGGAAAATATAACTCTCCCTCTTGGCCTGTATAATTTTACTGTTGTTGTTGTTGTTAATGGGCAGCCACCACTTCTTCTCTCTCCTTCATGGGGCTTATTTGTTCATTCTATTTAGGGTTGGCAGGTTCATCAAATAAAAGTGCAATATGATTCCTTCATATTTGTTCAGCACTTCACAGGTTATGAGGAAGCAGGTTAATGTATTAGAATGCAGAATGGCAGAAATAGCCTTGCTATCTAAAGTGTGTCCCCCCAACTGATAGCATTAGCATTACCTTGGAGCTTCTTAGAAATTCAAACTCTGAATCCCACCCCAAACCTACTGAGTCAGAATCTGCATTTTAACAAGACCTGCAGGTGATCATGTGTACACTAAAATTTGAGAAGCCCTGGGCTAGTTCTAACTGCCTCCTCCATTTGCTCAACAGCTGTCCCTAAACTCTGGAGTAGGAAAAAGGGAGTAGAGTTGCCCAAAATATGAACTCTTCAATTGGCTCCTTCCTATATTGTAGGGACTATCACACATGTGGTGGTCTTACAGGGCAGTGCATAATAAACAGCAGATAATGTTAAGTTTTCTGTCAGGGCCATCTGCTCAAACAAAGTCAGAAACCACATCCAAAAAGAAACCACATCTGTAGTATGATGAAGGCACTATGTCTAGGCAAGGCTGGACCTGAGTCAAGTTGTCATCTCTGCCTGGTTGGGATATCTATGCCTGTGAATATTCTTGAACTCTCCCTTTTGGCTACAATTCTTCACTACAAGGTTCTCTCCCTTTTTCTTTCAGATACTGAGTGTCCTCCTCAACCAAAGTGAACATTTAGAAAGGCATGTACTCTACTGTAACATTAAGTACAGTAGGTGTTTCTCCTCACCTGGGCTCTATATTCTCAGTTCTTTGCAAACATCCTCTTAAAGGGATTTCATTCCCCCAAGTAGCTATTGGAATAGGGTATTTTGGAAGGGTCTGGGTCACATACTCCACCTAAGAATAAAGCCAGCTCTGCTTCTAGGCTCTCAGCCTCAGCCTTACCCATATTCTCAAATCTCTCCACTCGCTCAGCCTCTCATACAGTTGCCCTTCCTGCCTTCACAAGTCTCTGTCTCTTTCCACTTCTCTCCTCCCAATTCGGGTCAGGCTAGACTGAGGATGGCTAGACCTTAGAGATCGGCCAGAAATACAGAGACACGGAAGTGATCTGCAGATGTCAATGAAACCAGAATAGTAAGAAATCCAGAGAAGGAGGCATAGTGTGATACCAGTTGGTCTGATAAGAGGGGACTAGGAACTGGGATTCAGAGGCAAGAAAGACTTTAGTTCTCATGAGAATTAGGGAGTCAGTCTCAGCTCTGGGAACCTGACATGCTGACCAGGGATCTAGCAGAAAGGGAGAGTCATGACTGGGCACGGGTAATTGGCAAGAAACCAGGGACTGGACAGAGGTTCTGAGGTCAGAAAAGGGCCAGAAGCTGGGATAGATTTGGACCTATGGCTGGGGTTGGTGGCTCCAGGAGTGAAGGCTAGAGTCCTGTGCTGAAGTTCCACCATTTGTTTTATTCATTTGAGATATAGATTTCGCTTTATAGAGTGGAGGTTAAGAATGTTGGCTCTGGAGCTAGATGGCTGGGGTTCAATTCTGTCTTCATCTCTTACCAGAGGTTTGACTTTGGTAAGGCTCTTAATCTCCCTGTGCCTCATCTGAGGGATGCTGTGAGGCTCCAATGAGACAATGTATGCTAAATGCTTAGCAAAGCACTGGCCCACAGGACATCCTAGCTAAATGCTATGCATGATGATGGTTAGCCCTCGAACTCCATGCCTCCATTCCTCTACTCCTCAAATTCCCTTCTGGTCACTGGGACATGTTCCCTCTGCTTAAAACAGCTTTTTTCCCTTAACTCCTTTTCATCGTTTAGGCCTCAGTTCAGACCTCAGTTTCCATAGGGGTCCTTTCCCAGATGCTCTTGGAATGGGTGAGGGGTTCTTCCTTGTGCTCCTATAGCACTTACACTTTTTTTTTTTTTTTTAAGACAGAGTCTCACTCTGCTGCCCAGGCTAGAGTACAGTGGTATGATCTCAGCTCACCTCAACCTCCACCTCCCGGATTCAAGCGACTCTCCTGCCTCAGCCTCCCAAGTAGCTGGGATCACAGGCGTGCACCACCATGCCTGGATGATTTTTGTATTTTTAGTAGAGACTGGTTCTCACCATGTTGGCCAGTGTGGTCTCGAACTCCTTACCTCAGGTGATCCGCCTGCCTTGGCCTTCCAAAGTGCTGGGATTATAGGCATGAGCCACCGCACCCGGCCAGCACTTACACTTATACATCATGTATTGTAATTGCTCATTTCCTTGTCTGTGTCTCCCATTAGTCCCTCAGCTCTACAAGTTTGGGGATTGTATCAGTTTTTTCCACTGCTCTCTCAGTTTCGCTGACACACAATAGAAATTTATTAAATGTTTGTTGATTAAATGAATAAAATGGTGAGAGACTTCAAGCTTAGGTGCCTTGGGAGAGCCATAACCAGACAGGATTCCTCTGTTAAAGCTTAATCTATGAGCTGCTGACAATTGTAAAGCCAGAGCCCCAAGGCCTGCGGTCACTTTCAGATGATGTCCCTTTCGGGAGGTGTCAGTGAAACCCACCTGCCCACCACCTTGCCTGTCTGTTTTCTGTGTGCTGTGTGGGCCAAGTAGTACTGGGAGGAGCAGCTTTAAATCTGAAAGTGTCCTATACATTTTCCAAGCCTCTGTAGCAGTCACCATTTTTCCCAAGCTAGCTTGTGTAATAATGCCTGGAGGCTAGTAAACAATGAACAATCCAATACCTTTCAAAGCATCCTGGAAGTACAATATTTGTGCTCCTTCTGTGGCATGTAAATATGTCTTATATCATGCAACATGCTGCTTTTCTAAATATTCATAAAATCTTATCTTAAATTTCTTTTATTTTAATAAAATGAAAATCTCGGTCTGTCTTTGTGAGCAAAATGATGTTTCCACCAACAAAGCTACTGGAGCCAGGCTGGGGATTGCAGGCTGCAGCGGCTTGAAGAGATGGACTTAGAAGTCACAGGGGAAAGGCTGGACGATAATTCCCTCCTTCTTCCTCCTGAACTCTGCTGATTCCATGGGGAGCAATCAGAGAACATTCTTGGAGACCTCTAAGTGACTATCTCCATGCCTAGCCTCATGTAGAGACATTCTACACATTTCTCTAAAACTTGCAGATGGCCGAGTTCACCTGGGAAGAGTTCATTTTGTGTGAGAAAAGTGGACAATTAACCTAGGGCAAGTGAAAATTGGAGGCAGGGATATAGCCAGCTGCTCTTAACAGAAAAACTAGTCATGCGTTCTTATTGCATGTTTGGGGACTGGGGTTAGGGCCGGAGAGTTTGACTCTCATTAGACAATTTGAAAAAAGTACATTTTAGCTTGGGGGACCCTTATTTCTCACCCCTTTATCAGAGGATAATTTAGAGTCGCATATGGGGTCTCTGGGTAGGGTTTTGCTAAATTTGCTAATTTGCCAGATTTTGCAGATACAAATATAGGATGTCCACTTAAATTTGAGTTTCAGATAAACAAGAGATTTTTTTTAGCATTTGCATATCCCAAATGTTTCATCCTGTAATGTATCTGGCAACCCTATTCCCAGGTAGTTATCCCTTGGAGCACCATGTTGTTGGTCTGCTTAATAAGGCAAAATGCCTAAGAAGCCTTCTGCTACTGGGACACCCTTAGCGGCTGGAGTTAGATCATCTCCCTTAGTACTGCTGGAAGCTCTGAGAAGCCAGTAGACCCCCTAATGAGCTGAACAGTGTGTGGGGGGGTGGAGGTGGAATGTTGTCTTAAATAAGCCCCTACTGATAGTGTGCGTAAAGATAGAGTTGGATGGAACAGCTGGTCTTTCAGGAGCCCTGTCCCCTACTTATCTTTTCTCCTTTTTGTGTGCCTTAGAAAACCCTACTGCTTTATTCTACCCTAAATCTCTTTTCCCAACAGCCAACCCAAATCAGTCAAGGCCCTTGAAACTTTCAGCCTAAAGTCAACTTATCCTGATAAACAAAAATGTAGGACTCAAAGGAAGCCACTACATGTAGAATATTCAATAGGAGAAAGCAAAAAGGACACTTGCTTACAGGCCTCATGCTTATTCCCATGGAAATAAAGAAACCAAATATGAGAATGAGAGAGGACCACCAGGACCTCACTTGGCTATTTAAATAAGAGAAATGATGCGGATTCAAGTGAAAGACAGATGGAACCGGAAGCAGCATCAATGCTTGGCAAAAGTAGTTTTTGGACTAGTGAGCTGAAAGGAGGGGCTGTTTGTTTCCCTGCAGATGTCTCGCAGGCTCCTGTAAGGAAGGAGTTTTTCCCACGTGCTCTTTGGAGTTGGACTGGGAAGGCTTAGTGTTAACTTACCTACCTTAGCCTAGTCACAGCACTAAAGGGCAAGTTGGCCTACTTGAGAGTGAGGCCCCTGAGAAGAACACAAACCACCCTCAATACACTTTAAATACTCTTCCCAGGGTTTTGTGCTCAGGAGTTGTTTGAAAGGCACAGGCACCTGGGTGGTTTTATGGGGTAATAAAAAGATGTGGAATGGAGGTGGGTGTGGATCATTTCTGCCCCTCTGTTCTGTTCCCAAGAAACCCTGGAGTACAGTGATTCTGAGACACTGTTAGGCCACCTGTGGTAGACATGAGTGGCCTTTTTCCAATTACTTCCTTTCCCCCTAATCTCAGATGATATGAGGGCTGGGTTCACAAAAGCATGGTAGAGGCAAGGCTTAAGACGAGAGGCCCAATGGGCTTGAGCCAGACTGTTGGCCAGACTGGGGCTAAAGACTCGTCAGCATGGTCAGACTAGGACACTCCGGCATGTGATTAACCATCTACAGTTAGGGCTGGAAGAGTTTTAGCTGGCATTTGGGCATGACTTTATAAAATGACCTTCCACACACAACTCTAAAATCAGGTCTGGGGTCTGAGGCCAGCCCTAGGTCAGCTCCCACTGAGGTACTTTGCACTGGCTGCCTTTTTCTTTTGGGAGGGACGACTGTAGCCTTTGAGGTGGGTCCTCATAGGCTTTCAGTAGTGTGAAGCTTTGGTCAAATCTGGGTGCCTAGCACTATATTTAAGCACATACATATCTGCTCAACGTCACTCAGCTAGTAAGTAGTAGAGTCAGTGCTGGAAACCAGATCTGTCTGACTTCAAAGCTCAAGCTTTAAACCATTACCCCACCATTTCTCAGCCTCCAGCCTCTCAAATACCACCTTCATGATTTTTGCCATATCGTGTACTGCCTACACTATTATTTTGTAAAATTTTTTAATTTTTAATTTTTATAGGGACATAGTAGGTATATATACTTATGGGGGACATAAGATGTTTTGATACAGGCATGCAATGTGAAATAAGCGCATCATGGAGAATGGGATATCCATCCCCTCAGGCACTTATCCTATGTGTTACAAACAATACAATTATACTCTTTAAGTTATTTTAAAATGTACAATTAAGTTATTATTGACTATAGTCACCCCGTGGTGCTATCAAATACTAGGTTTTATTCATTCTTTCTAACTATTTTTTTGTACCCATTAACAATCTCCACCTCCCTCCCTTAGGTTCCCACTCTCCTTCCCATCCTCTGGTAACCATTCTATTCTCTATGTCTGTGAGTTCAATAGTTTTGATTTTTAGATCCCACAAATAAGTGAGAACATGTGATGTTTGTCTTTCTGTGCCTGTCTTATTTCACTTGACATAATACTCTCCAGTTCCATCCATGTTTTTGCAAATGACAGGATCTCATTCTTTGTTTTGGCTGAATAGTACTGCATTGTGTCTACACTATTATTTCCTTAATATTTTTGAATCAACTTTTAAACTTTCATTAAAAGGAAAATCTATGTCACTGCCATAAACTGAAATCCAGTATCAAGTACCCTAAATGGAAGAAAATTATACTAATATACCTATAACTGCTTATTATAAATGTTCATCTGGGTATGACTGATAATCATCTCATATCTCGCTGGTGGTTTGCCTACCACACTTTGGAAAATACCGCACTATTCTAAGCAGCAGGATTATAATAGGCCTTGAAGGCTACTCTGGACTAAATGTTTGTGTCTCCTCCCTGCCCTCCCAATATGGTTTGGCACTGTGTCCCAACCCAAATATCATGTTAAGTTATAATTTCCAGTGTTGGGGGAGGGATCTGGTAGGAGGCGATGGGATCATGGGGGCGGATTTCTCCCTTGCTGTTATCATGATAGTGAGTGAGCTCTCATGAGATCGGATAGTTTAAAAGTGTGTGGCACTTCTCCCTTCTCTCTCTCTCTCTCTCTCTCTTTTTCTCTCTCTCTCTCTCCTGCCACCATGTGAAGATGTGCCTGCTTCCCCATCACCCTTCTGCCATAATTGTAAGTTTCCTGAAGGCTCCCCAGCCATGCTTCCTCTATAGCCTGTGGAACGGTGAGTCAATTAAATATCTTTTCTTCATAAATTACCCAGTCTCAGGTAGTCCTTTATAGCAGCGTGAGAATTGACTAATATAACACCCCCCCGCCACTTGCATACATTGGAGCCCTAATCTCCAATGTGATGGTGTCTTATTCTGTTTTCTGTGGCTACAGCAGAATACCTGAGGCTGGGTAATTTATAAAGCAAATAAATTTATTTAGCTCACAGTTCTGATGGCGGGGAGGTCCAAGGTTGGGCAGTTGCATCTGGTTGGCTTCTGGTGAGGGCTTTATCAAAACATGTCAGAGAATAGAAGGGGAAGTCAGTACATGCAAAAAGGGCAAAACACAACAGGCAAGCTAAGAATGAATCCATTTCCCCAAGAACTAACCCAGTCTCATGAGAAAGACATTAATCCATCTTAATGAACTAATCACCTCTTAAAGGCACCACCTCCCAATGCTGCCACGTTGGAAACCAATCCTTAATATGAGTTTTGGTGGGGACAAACAATATTTAAAGCATTGCAGATGGGATTTGGAAGTGTGGCTTTTAGGAGGTAATTATGCCATGAAAGTAGAGCCCTCATAAATGGGATTAGTGTCCTTTTAAGTGACACAAAGAGATGATCTCTCCCTCCACCATGTGAGGGCACAGCAAGAAGGCAGCCATCTGCAAACCAGGAAAAGAACCCTCACCAAGAACCTCGATCTTGGATTTTCTAGTCTCCAGAAGTGTGAGCAATAAGTGTCTACGGTTTAAGCCACCCAATCTATGGTATTTTTGTTATAGCAGCCCAAAGTGACCAAAACAAAGGCCATCTAATGAACCTTCCTCCCCTTTTCAATTTCAAAATAGCCTGTGCAATCTTTTAATTAATATCCTCTTGCCTGAGCTTGAACTTCTCTTGTGAGGAGACAGAAAACATTTTGCTTCTGACCAGAAACTGCCATCACACATGTTTCTTTGTTCTTTGATGTTGACACAAGTATACAGCCTTTGAAGAACTTTTACTACTGCGGCAAACTAGACATAAGGCCACTTGTGTGCCCTCACCTTTGCACTGTCTTTTTCTCATCTTTTTAAACTTAGCTGTTGTGGAGAGAAGGACAAAAAAGTACACAGGTGATGTTGGTGTGCTGGAGTATATACAGGATTGAAGTTTGATTTACGTACTTCACTCTGAGGGAAACACAAACCAGGCACAGAAAGTTGGATCCAGTAAGAAATCCTTAGTATTGGGAGGGAAGGGGAAATTCTGAATGCAGATGTGTATGTCTTCTGGTCCAGCTGCCTTTGAAATAATTTCAACATCTTCTGAGAAAAAGGAGGTGGAAGAGAAGAGTCGTCTCTTTAAAAAACCTTAGTAGGACATCAGCACATGAGCATGCCGGTTTGGCTGTGCCTCTAACAAAAAGTATCACAAAGGGAAGAGAGATCTTTTCCCCCTATGCAGAATAATATATTGCCTAGCTTTGGCATTTCAAGGGCCCCAGTGCCTCAGCTGTAGCAGCAGATAGCAGTGCCCAGTGGATGCAGGGTTGCTTAGCACAGGCACCAAGAGATAAATAGAAGGGCAGCAAGAGCAGCCCCTGGCAGGAAGCAGACATCCCTTGGGGACTCTAATATTATTAAGGGGTCCTTTGATAGAGGCCAAATTCTGCATAAGAGATAAAGGCAAGAGCTGGCAAAATTTGGAAGAGTGAGAGATTGTGTGACCTTTTATATACCTGCAGGCTGGCAAGGTCTGGGGAAACTCAAAGTACACACAGTTTAGAGAAAAATCCTGGACCACTGCCTGCTACCCCAGTTCCAGACATCACAGAAAAAGGGGTACATGTCCATATAATAAAGATCTCTTTCAAAAGTCTCAGAAAGGCTTTTCAAATACGTACAGCCAACTGATCTTTGACAAAGCATACAAAAACATAAACTGGGGAGTGGACACCCTATTTAATAAATGGTGCTGGGAAAACTTGCAAGCCACAGGTAGAAGAATGAAACTGAATCTTTATCTCTCATGTTATACAAAAATCAACCCAAGATTGATTAAAGACTTAAATCTAATACGCGAAACTATAAAACTTTCAGAAGATAACATCGAAAAAACCCTTGTAGACATTGGCCTAGGCAAAGAATTCATGACCAAGACCCCAAAAGCAAATGCAACAAAAACAAAAATAAATAATTGGAACCTAATTAAACTGAAAAGCTTCTGCACAGCACAAGAAATAATCAGCAGAGTAAACAGACAACCCACAGAATGGGAGAAAATCTTTGCAAACTACATATCTGAAAAAGGACTAGTATCTGGAACCTACAAGAAACTCAAACAAATCAGCAAGAAAAAAAATCTCATTAAAAGGTGGGCAAGTGACATGAGTAGGCATTTCTCAAAAGAAGATATACAAATAGGCCAGGCGTGGTGGCTTACACCTGTAATCCTAGCACTTTGGGAGGCCGAGGCGGGTGGATTACTTGAGGCCAGAAGTTCAAGACCAGCCTGGCCAGCATGGCAAAACCCCATCTGTCCTAAAAATACAAAAATTAGCCGGGCATGCCTGTAGTCTCAGCTACTCAGGAGGCTGAGGCACGAGAATTGCTGGAACCCAGGATGCAGAGGTTGCTGTGAGATGAGATGGAGCCACTGCACTCCAACCTGGGTGATAGAACGAGACTCTGTCTCAAAAAAAAAAAAAAAAAAAAAGCCCACAACAAAACAAAAACCAAAACCAAACAAACAAAAATGGCTCAAAATCACTGATCATCAGGGAAATGTAAATTAAAACCACAATGAGATACCACTGTACTCCTGCAAGAATGGCAATTATTAAAAAGTCAAAAACCAATAGATGTTGGCATGGATGTGGGGAAAAAGGAATGCTTCTACACTGCTGGTGGGAATATAAATTAGTACAACCTCTATGGAAAACGGTATGGAGATTCCTTAAAGAGCTAAAAGTAGATCTACCATTCGATCCAGCAATCTTACTACTGGATATCTACCCAAAGGAAAATAAGTCACTACATGAAAAAGACACTTGTACACATAGGTTTATACCAGCATAGTTCACGATTGCAAAGATGTGGAACCAACTTAAGTGTCCATCGACCAATGAGTGGATAAAAAAAATGTGGTATATACATATATACACCATGAAATGTTACTCAGCCATTAAAAGGAATGAAACAATCTTTTGCAGCAACTTGGATGAAGCTGGAGGCCATTATTCTGAGTGAAGTAACATAGGAGTGGAAAACCAAAAACTACATGTTCTCATTTATAAGTGGGAGCTAAGCTATGAGTACACAAAAGCATACAGAGTGATATAATGGACTTTAGAGACTCTGAAGGGGGAGGCTGGGAGGGGGGGCAGGGATAAAAAACTACACATTAGGTACAATGTACACTACTCGGGTGATGGGTGGACTAAAATCTCAGAATTCACCACTACATAATTCATCTATGTAACCAAAAGCCACTTGCAGCCCAAAAGCTATTGAAATAAAAATTTAAAAAAATATATTAAAGAATTAAAAAACCCAAAAACAAAATCCAAAATTCTCAGAAAGGCTTTTAAAATATGATACATGGGAGAAAACCCTGCAACAAAGACATGAGGTCCCATCATTATTGTGAATTAGCCCCTTGATCAACAACCATCACTTGAACATACACGGACTGCAGCAGCAAATGGGTTAGAAAAATGGGAGGCTAGCTATTTGTTCTTTAGGGAGACAGAGCTATTAGGGCGATGTCTGGCTGAGTTATTGAAGGAGAGGGATGTGTTCAAGGTACAAAATGGGTCCTTGAAATAGTTTCTCGTATGATGGCTCAGAAAGAAAAATAGGACTCCAGCCCTTCACATGACGGCAACCACCATTTGTTACTGTCTGCTGCATCTAGACTGGAATGGGGTCTGTCAGTGAGCTTCATGTTGACACAGGTGCTGGGGAGAGGTTGAAGAGGGGGAAGTTAGCTGGAGACACTGCTGTCAGGATCAGCACTGGGGCAGAGAGGAAGCAGCTGCGTTTCGGTGGTAGAAGTGGGAGGGGAAGGAAGAGGGGTCTGCAAGGGTTCTGTACATCCTGCACTGACAGAACTCAACAGCCCAGCCCTGCCTGGCTGGCCCTGGACAAGATAGACCCTGGGCAGCAACTGGGAGAAGGGAAGAGGAGAAGGGGAGCTCCTGGGGCCAGAATCATTCAGCAGAGGCTGTGGTTTCAGTGCATACCTTTGTGTGAAAGGAGTGCACCAAATCATTGAGTTGGGCTGTAATTCCAAGGGCTATAATTATAATTCCAATTCTTTTTTGTTTGTAATATTTCAAATTCTTGGTTCCTAGATATTGATCAGCAAAAAATTCCTCAGATGGCAATAGCCTCTTTTCTCCTGCAGCTCTCTCCCCACCCTTAGCCCTTACAAAGTAGAGCAGGAAGCTATTTTCTTTCCTCATTTCCATGGGAGAAGGAAAAAAGAAATAATAACAAAAGCCCATATTTGTTGAAGACTTTCCATGAGCTGGGCACTCACAACAATCCTGAGAGGTAGGTATTAATATTGGCCCCATTTTACAGATGAGGATATTGACGGTCGTTTACCCCTGCTTATTTCCTTCACAGTGCTGATCACAATCTCTAATCGTCTTATTTATTTGTACCCTTGTCTGTTCACTCCCATAGAGTGTGCACTCTATAAAAGAGGACTTTTGTCTATTTTGTTCGCTATATATGTGCAATGTGTAAAAGTGGGTGTGTGGCACATCACAGATTCTCAGTAGCTTGTATTTCTGTCAGGTTTTGGATTTGATTTTACCCCACTTACAATCAAATAATTTAGCTTGTTACTGTTTTATGATTGCTGGAAGAAAATACAAGACTTCTGGATCAGAGACAGACTGTATTACTCACAACACATTAAACAACATGAGCATCAGCAAGTTTGTGTCACTTGCCCTTGTCCCCAAGTCCCATAGGGATGACACAGAGGGACCCAAATTCATGCTTTATATGCAGTCGGTTTACATCACAGCTGTGGGACAATGACACTAAGCTTGGGGAGCCCAGAGTTTTGTAGCAAGCGGTAAGGATTCCCACTCTTTGTCCCAGAGGCCATGTTACCTCACCCCTGAAAATTTCTCACTGCCACTATTAATATAACCCTGAGAAATGTCCCTGGAAAAGAGTTGCCAGGGCCTTGCATTCTTGGCATGCCCAACAAGAAGTATAGGAGCATAAGAGATCCAGGGAGGAGTGTCTCCCAATATCCTACCCCACTTACCCCACTTAATTACTTCATGCAGAAAATGGGGATGACAGTATCTACTTGATATAGTAGCTATTAAGTGAGTTATGTGCTCAAATGTCACTTTTTCAGTGACACATTCCCTGACCATCCTACTTAAAATAGAGGTCACACCTCCAGCATTCTCTGAAAATACTACTTTATTGCTTTATTTTACTTCACAGCACTTACCACTATTGAATATACTCAACATTTCACTCATTTATCTCTCTCATTGTCTGTCTTCCATGAAATGGAATGCAATGCAGGGATATCTTTCATATCTCTCTGTCCTGCTTATGACTGGATCATCAGTGCCAAATTCAGGGCCTGGCACATTTTAGGCATAAATAATAAAATACTTGTTGAATGGGTGAAAGCACCCAGCCCAGTGCTTGACACAAAAAAGGGCTTCATATATACTAGTTTCTCTTCCACCCTGCTCATGCCTGTCTCCCTTTTTTTCAAACTGCCCATACATCCATCAATCCCCCAACCATGCTTGGGCTCCGGTCCACCCTCCCACCTGCTCTATCATCCCAAGCCCCTGCTGAGTTGCCCGTGCACACCCAAGAACCCACCCTCCCTCTTCTCCTTTTTCCTTCCTTCCATTTGGCCAGTGGGGGTGGGAATTACTACCTTCTAAATCTGAATCTGAGCGCACACAGAAAATATGATGGGGGTCCCACTTTCCACAGGAGCAGTAAAAAAAAAGATAATCATAAATTCTCCCATGTTATTGAGTGCTGAACATGTGCTGTATCATTTACACGTGTTTGCTCAAGTAGTCTTCACGGGAACACTGGAGGGGGAAGTATTATTATTGTCCTCACTTGACAGATAAGGAAAATAAAGCTCACAGGGGCTAGATGACTTAACCCACCTATAGCTGGGACCAGAACCCATGCAATATAACTCTAAAGTCCATGGTCCATTGAAGGGCCCAGGAACTGAAGGTAAGTCTATTGAAGACAGAAGGTATTAAATGAGCCAAGGGTATGTAATTTCTAACCTCTCCATGGACTTCCTGCCTCCTCCCTGAACTTCTGAGCTACTCAGTGGGCACTTGTATTAGCCTCTCTTTAATGCAGAGGCCTTATCTCCATATCTGGTCTAGACTGCAAACTTATTGTGGATAAGCCCATGTGTTATTACTGTCTGTGGCACTCATAACTTTCACACAGCAGGCTCTTAGTAAACAACAAAGGCAATGACCATAGCATCAGCAGCAGGTGTTGGAGTCACAGAACTAGGTTTGAATTTCAGCTTTGATTTGAACTCGTTTTGTGACCACGGGCACTTTGTTCCACCCCTCTGAACCTGTTTCCTTGTCTGTAAAATGGGCATAATACAAGTACTTATTTCAGATGGTTGTAATTTACAAATGAATTCAAATGTAGTGATTAGAACAGTGCTTGGCATGAAATAAATATTCAAGAAATGTTAGCTATTTATTGTTGCTATTATTATTAGAATCCCTATATGCCACTTTAATATTCACTTTAAAAATATAATCTTATCACACTTGAACATAATAGGTGTTATTACTATTTTATACACATGTCTCAGAAAGATTAAGGTAACTTTTACACAGAGTGACAGAGTGAAGTTTTGAATCCTCGATGCTATTTCTGCTACATGAATTGAATGGTTTCGTCTTTTCTGAAGGAGTGGAATGGTGGGCTTCCTTGATTAAGCCATTTCTTTAATGAAATGCTTGACCAAGACCCTAACAGCCACCAAGCTATGGAGGATCTTACTCAGTTATCTCCAGAAACCTGGCCAGAGGGAATGGGGTGAGGGAGAAGCTGAAGGCAAGGTGAGGGGGTGTGTGTGCTGGCTTTCTGAGAAGCTTAGGGTTAGAACAGGGAGTTGAGGAAGGGCCAAAGTAGAATTAAATTCAAATGCAGGTGATTTCACTGAGGCTAAGAAAATGATACCCCCCTACCCTCCACCCCTCACAGCTGCAGTGGGGCCCAGCTTGCAGCTGGGAAGGCTTTTGCGTTTACTACTCACAGTTCTCTGGGAGCCAATGTTTGCTTCCCTTTCTCCGGGGTTTTGTGCAGGGAGAGGTGCAGAGCAACAATCAGAGACCAAATAACTTAATTCAAGGCCAAACAGATGCTTTTTTTCTTGAAGGTATCCAGGGGTATGATCTGCAACAGAGCTGCTCATCACCGCTCTCTAATTTTGGGGCCTCGTGTAGGGGAAGAGCTCATTCGCTTCTCTTGGGATGTGAGCCAGCTGGGATAGATGCTTCACTAAGAGACATGTGTGCACTTTGTCCTGATCTGAGCTCACTGTGAAGGGCCTTTGAACTCATCAAGCAATTCCAGGAAGTGGAAGATGATCAAAGAACACAAGAGAATCATGGTTTAAGCTTCTTTTAAAGTCGAGTTTGGATGTGCTGTGAAGAGGGAGGAGGCAGCTTTCTTGTCCACCGGCATCACATAAAGAGAAGAGCTGTGAATCCCCACAAAGAACCACTTGCACCATAAGTACCAGGGCAGGGGAGGCGTGGGGCTTGTAACATTAGATTATTGGGCCCTCCTCACACCCTCAAAATCAGAATTTGGTGGGGCGGGGGGCTGCGGGAGGACGGTGAGAGTAGGTCCCAGCAGTCAGCAATTCAAATAAGCCCCCAGGTGACTCTAATGTACTGGAAAGTTTGAGGACAACTAAGTTAAAGCATGGGACTTGGAGAGTTCCAACCCTGCTTCTACTACTTATCAACTCTGTGATCTTTGGCAAGCTATTTAACCTCTCTGAGCTTTAGATTCTTCCTTATAGAATGGAATAACCATAGTACCTCCCTCACAGTGCTGTGGGGAGGATTAAATGAGATAACATGTTCCCAATTAGAAATGGTAGTTATTAAATTTCTTCTCCCATTATGCATTATTTTTGTTTCTCCTTTTGAGTAGGAAATGCAAATTTATCTTTCTCCACTTGAAGCACACCACCCCCCGCCGCCCCCGCATTTTCCTTTCACCAGCAGGTGTTTGGCACGTCTAAACACTTGTTTAAAACCCTGTTAAAAACATAGGCAAAGCAGAGGCTCCATACAGTGGCTAAAGATGTTTACCACATGGATGGCACACCTGAGAAGTGCCTACCTGAGCAGTGCCCTTTTCAGATGATCTTCTCCTAACTTCCCACCTCCCTCTCCCTAAATTAAAACCTTTGCATCCAGTGTACTGTCTCTGTACGGTTCTTCTCTGTGTCAGGGCTAGAGCACCAATGAGTTAGTCATGCAGTTGCATAATTATGCAGTGTTATCAATCTCTTGTAAGTTTGGTGAATGGGAGTCGTCAAGAAGATCCCACCTCGCACCTGTGTGGGCTGGCAAAATACGGTTTTTCACCTCTAAAATGGAAAGCCAGCTCCTGGACCTAAGTCGGCCCCAGGAAAGCACTGCTATTTGTAGACACTGCCTCTCTGTCTTACCTCTTAATCATAGCACACTGAATACTGCCTCACAACACCGCTAGCTGTCCCTTTTGGTTTTTTCCCCTTGATGATGGTTGGAACCTAATTTCACCTAGATTCTTTCATTTAACAAATAATTATTGAGCTAAGAAGGGTAATCCCAGAGATGGCTGTTATTAAGAAGAGCTATTTGACTTTTTAAACCAGGAGTTAACGCTGGCTATACCTTAGGATTACCTATATAGCTTCGAAGAAAGATTCCTGGGTCCTACTCTTGGAGATTCTGAATTATCTGGTATGAATAGATTTAAAAAGCCCTCTGCCCAGATGATTCTAATGTATAGTCAGGGTTGAAGGCCACTTCTTTATTTAAAAAAAGACACACACACACATTTTTTTTTTCTAAACATTATGCCGTAAGGGTAAGGCCGTTACTTTAAACTAGGTGAATTCACTTATTCCACAAATAGTGAGTGCTTATCATGTACCAGGCATTGTTATACGCCCTGGGAATACATCCATGAACAAAAGAGACAAATATCCCTACCATCATGGAGTACGATGTTTTAATGGGAAAGACAGACAATAAGGTAATAAGATATGTGTTATGTTAAATGACGATAAGTACAATGAAGAAAAAGAAAGTAAGGAAGGGAGATTGAGAATGCCAGAAGTGATGTGTGATCGAATTTGAATTAGGGTGGTCAAAGAAAGTTTCACAGAGAAAGGGACAATGAGGAAAACCTGTAAAAGGTTTCTGGTGTCAGCCATGCAAAAATCTGGAGAAAGAGATTCTTGGCAGAGGTCACAGCCAGAACAAAGATCTTGATTCAGGAGTGCGTTTGGTGTGTTCTAGGAAAAGAAGTCTAGTGTGGCTGGAGGGAAGTGAGTGAGGGGAAGAGAGGTAGAAGATGAGGTTAGAGAGTTCATGGGGTTAGTGACACCAGATTAGCAAGTTGCTTAGGGCCTTGTAGGCCATTGTAAGGATTAGGACTTTTAATTTGAGTGAGACAAAAAGACATTGGATGGGTTTAAGCAGAGGAGTGGTGTGATCTGAATTAAAAGGGATCACACTGGCTGTTGTGGGGAGGATAAATTATAGAGTAGCAAGCATGGAAAAAGGGAGGCTATGTCAGGGGTTGGGGAAGTATTATTTGTTTGAGTGTTCTTGAACTCTCCTGTTCTCTCACCTTGTTGGGTTAGGGGGAGGGGTGGGGTGGTTTGTGACCTAGGACTTTGTGCCTTTTGAAAAAGGGAAGTAACTAACACGTGACAGTGTGTGTAACATTTGCAGATGTGGCTTCTCTGGATCAAGAGCCAAACAAACCTGCCATAGCAATTTGAATTTCTTCCTCTTAAGCCTCTTATTCCACTTCAGATCCCCCTCCTGACCTATTCTTTGGGGATTCTTAGATACATTTCCATCCCCCATAGTGACCTAGGTCTCTTATCCAGCTTTATTTCCTGCTTTTGACAGAGGAAAAAGATAGACTTCTGAATTGATGTGAGTGGAGATCTTATTATAGTAGCCACCTATAAAATAGCAGGAGGTAGAGATGTTTAATGTGTAAAATGGTTGTTGTCCTGGAAAAAAATCAATACCATAAATGTGAATTTAATGGGATCCCTCAGGGAATGGGAGTCTGGGCAATGTAACATTTTAGTTAATTGAAAGGTAACCCACTTCTCACCTTTGTTTTTTTCCCTCTTTTCTTTAAATTAGCTCTTGTTTCTGAGTGTGACAATCAAAGTGTTTACTGTGTGCATGTAATGTGCCAGGCACTGTGCTAGGTGTTTTACACACAGAACCTTATGCAATCCCTGTAACAACTGATGATGTAGATGTTTTCTTTATTCCCATTTTAAAGTTGAGGAAACCGAGGCTTGGAGAAATTAAACCGCTCACCTGAGGTGTCTTAGCTGATAAATGCCCAAGCTAGTCTGTCTGATGCTGAGACGCAACCTCAGTGATCAGTGTCTTGCTCATCATGGACTCTATTGTGTTTAATTTCTGGACTTCAGACAGGGCTTTAGCATTATCCTGCTAGCCATCTTGGAAGACTGTTCTAGGTTAGAAATGGAGGCAGAGAGAGAGGGTCAGGAGCCTGGGCTATGTGATGGCAGCCTTGGGAATGGGGTCCATTTACTGTTATTACTTTTTAAAGTAAAAGTTTTAATATCAACCTGTTTTCTTGTTACTAGGTTCTTCTAATGGACTGCAGAAGAGCAGTGTTTAGTTAACTGATAACAGTGTTATGATGTTACTTTAAGCATCGAAGCTCCTTAATTTGGTATGCCCAGTTTTTATTTTTGGTGGGGGACAGGGTGCAAGGAAATCAATCGGAATTAGCTGTAAATCTGAAATCCAGACTGTTTTAAATAAGTGCAGTCTCGTTTCATTTTTTTCAGTCACATTTAGTAACATAATCTAATGCTAACAAAGTGTCAAAGTGAGGCCTATTTTAATAAATACATTAAAAAAGTCATTCACTGTTCTATGCAAATGAGTTCTTTCATAGTTTAAAAATGAGCCTACTCATTTGCTTAACAAAGCTGATTTTCCCAGATCAATGCACAATACCTTGATCTCAGCCCTGGTCTGAATTACTGCAAAATTTGAATGAGAAGTTCTGCGCTAGATAGTTTTTGTCTGCCTCTTCAGGTCCTCACTCCAGTCTTCCCTCCTGCACTCTACCCTGGGAAGCTGACCTGTAGGGATGACATCAAAAGTCTCCCTTTTCTTAGTCAGGCTATGATGGTAAAGGCATCTCCAAATCCTCTTCCTAGCCCTGAGTTACCCTGCCTACACCTTTATAAATAGTCCATTTATTAATATTGACCCTTACCCCTCTCCAAAATAGCCATTTTGAGTGTGCCATCTATTTCCTGCTGGGACACTGATTGATACAGGTTTTGAATTATGTCTATATCTTTATTTCATGTACAGGTCTGAGACTGTATATGAGGGTAATATGACCATAGTTCTAATTTGAATGTACAGAGCACCATACAAGTCCGGTGGTTTACTGGGGAGTGTCTAGGAACACAAAGGAAAAAGGAACAATCACAGACCTGTCCATCAGATTCCTGTGATGTGGGTTTCAATAATCTGAGTATAGATGGATAGATAATGACTGGGCAAAAGAAAGGACTAGAGTAAGGAGCGATATTGACTTGTCTGGATTTTTTACTTTCCTATCAAGATCCTCTGACTGGCATTGGATCTTGGGGATGGGGTTAAGGCAGGAGACCCCTATGGACTGGATTTAATGCCTACAACTCGTCCAAGGAGGAGGGTAGAAACACCTGGTACAGGTAAGAGGCTTAGGAAAGGAGTATGAGTCAAGAATATAACAACGTGACCCAGGAAAAAAACCAGATTATAAACTCTTTGAGGGAAGACATTTTGACTATCTTGCTTGATGCTATTCTCTAATTAGTACCCAGCCAATAGACTGGCAAATAGTAGGCATTCTATAAATATTTGAGTGAATAAATGAATGCAGGAAGACAGAAGAACATACAGACTTAATGCACAATGAAATTACAGGACTTCCCTAGGGAGAATCCCAGCCCAGGTATCAGGGCCAATGTTTAGGAATGAGAGTGATAATTTATTTCCCATGGATAGAAAAGCCCCAGCTGTGCACTGCACATAATCCTTTGGGCAAATTAGATTATTAGAATCAAGGACTAAAACCAGTGGTCAGTTTGCCCACTGCCAATTTTAAACAGAGAAGACTTTGAGCAAATGGGGATCTAATTTGAGGAAGGTTTTCTTGGTGCTTAAGTAGCTGTTTGAAAACATGGGGCTTTTTTTTTCTACTGAAAAAAAGTGCTCATATGGCCTCTGCTGTGTTCTGAATATTTGTGTTCCCGCAACAATTCATGTGTTGAAACCTAACTTCCATTGTGATAATATTAAGAGGAGGGCTTTTGGAAGGAGATTCATCCCATTCATGAAGGGATTAAGTGCCCTTATAAAAGAAACCCCAGAGAGCTAGCTAGTCTCTTACACCATGTGAGGACACAGCAAGAAGGTGCCATCTTTGAAGCAGAGAATGAGCCCTCACCAGACACTGGATCTGCTGGCACCTTGATCTTTGACTTCCCAGCCTCTGGAACTATGAGAAATAAATTTCTGTTCATAAGGTACCCATTTAATGGTATTTTGTTATAGCAGCCTTAATAGCCCAAGACAGCCTCTTTTCCTAGAAACACATAGAATATTATTTTCAGGCATTCTTGTCAAAGATAACAATAGAAGATCTAGTAGTGAATCAGCACATTATAGTTCTGTTGATGCTTCTGTTGCCAAGGCCAGTTGTTTTACTTAAGAATACAATGTGCAAGTAAGATGTTTTGGGGTTTTAAAAGTGAGTATGTGACGAGAGGATCTTCGCCTTAGCATTTTTCCTTCTACAGGCCTCTTGAAGACTTCCACCTGGTAATGATTGGCGGGAGGGGGGCACCTAAAGTCACACTCTGTGCTTTACATTAAGAAGGCAGTTTATAGTACTGGAGGACTGGATGTTTTGGATGCATCAGATAATTTATCTAGGAAGCCTTTTCAAATTCACAGGTATCACTATCTGTCTGTGCTCCCCCACCTCCGTGTTAATCAGAATCAGTTGGGAACACCAATTTAAACTGCATCAGTTTGGACCAGACTTCCCCCTTCCAAAGATCTGAAATGGGTGGTTTGACTGAATTTCAAGAAGCATGAACAATGGTTTGGAAGAAATGGAGTCAGTGAAGTTTAATGAGTCAACCAATGGTAACGAATTATGGTGATTCTAAGTGAATGCCCTCCTTTCTTCCCAACTGGCTGAACTTACAACATTTCAGGTCAGCCTTGGTGACTAGAGCCATTGAGAGAGAGCATCTTCATAGCCCTTATGAGCACCAGCTGACAAAAAAGAGGTCATGTCTTTCTTTTACACAATTTTAATGTAATCCTCACCAGCATTAGCGAAAATTGCTTTTTGGTGGCCAGAGGGAAGCAAAGAGCCCTTGACTATCTTAACATCCTGACAGCCTCAGTGAAAATGGAAAATTATTGTGATGGGAAGATTGGCTTCAGAGACTCTGACCGGGGCAGTAAGTTCAAATCAATTTTGATTAATCCATTTTCTTTGAAAATTGGTTGTGCAAAATGGTCAAGGTCAAAAAGAGACACTTCAGTTACTGAATCCCATTCACAGAGTGATTGCCCTGTCTTGTTCATGTAAAACACTAAATGTGCCATAATTTTGATAGGGAGGAGGTATTCAGAAAAGGAAAAGGAAGGTACAGAAGGGGAAGAGGCAGAAGAATTTACAGAGTGGGGTTAAAAGTAAAGGGGGAGGAGATAGAAAAAAGTGAGGGGTAAAAAAACAAATGTGAGGTGGGGGAAAAGGGGTTATAATTCAGCCCCAGCAGGGGATTGACAGAGCCACAAGGGCATGCTGAGAGCAAGTGCTGGAGAGCTTAGAACTAAAACCTAGATTAGGGGGAATAAAAAAATGGCGTAAAATCTAGCTTCTTGGGGAGAGGGCTAACAATCCAAACACCAAGTCCAAACGAAAAGGGAGCAAGTTTAATCTACTGGAGTCTGTGGGGCTTTTTGCCTATGGAAAGTATGACAGGAGTGCTGTCCTGGGGGATGTAAGGCAGAGATGGTGACAATAGCCATTTCTACACTGGTCTGCCTAGAAGTTCAGTCAGAACCCAGCCTAGCTTCAAGATTAATGTTGTGACGGTTGGGGCCTAGGGGAGACAGAAGCTGCTAGAGCCCTTGGGGCTTAGGTAGACATAGCATCAGTAGCTCAGCTGTCTCTGCTGCTTAGGAGGACTTCCTGCTAAGGGAGCTGCAGTGCTGCTGCATGCACCTCTGACAAGGGAGCTAAAAAGATAAAGAAGCTTTGCTCTGGCACTGAGTGATTCCCAATACCCTGGCAGCTGTGGAGGCCAGGCCTAAACAGTGCTGGCCCCTACTTCCCCCAAGTCTGCTGTGAGGGAGAGGTGCAACCTGTAGACCTCCCCTGAATATCAGGCTACATGCCTGAGCATAGGACAGGAAGAGGACTGTACTTGGAGGAGAGTGAGTCTAAGAGAAGAAACAAGGAGTAGGGAGTGAAGAAGAAAGGCTGGAAGAAAGCAAGCATGCAAGATGTCTTTGTCCATTTTCTGTTACTTACAGCAGAATACTTGAAACTGGGTTATTTATTTATTTTTTTGAGACGGAGTCTCACTCTGTCACCCAGGCTGGAGTGCAGTGGTGCCATCTCGGCTCACTGCAACCTCCAGCTCCCAGGTTTAAGTGATTTTCCTGCCTCAGCCTCCTGAGTAGCTGGGAATATGGGTGTGCGCCACCACACCCGGCTATTTTTTTTTTTTTTTAGTAGAGACGGGGTTTCACCATGTTGGCCAGGCTTGTCTCGAACTCCAGGGCTCAGGTGATACACCTGCCTTGGTCTCCCAAAGCGCTGGGATTACAGGCATGAGCCACTGCACCTGGGCGAAACTGGATAATTTATTTTAAAAATGGTACTTATTTCTTACAGTTATGAAGGCTGGGAAGTCCAAAGTTGAGGGACTGCTTCTGGTGAGAGACTTCTTGCTGATGGGAAATCTCCAAAGAGTCCTGAGGTAGCTCAGGGTATTGCATAGTTGAGGAGGACTGAGCATACTAATGTGCTAGCTCAGGTCTCTCTTTCTCTTCTTATAAAGTCATCAGTTCTACTCTCATAATAACACATTAATCTATTAACTCTTTAATTCATTAATCCATGAGTGTATTAATCCATCCATGAGGGCAGAGTCCTCATGATCCACTCAACTTTTAAAGACCCCACTTCTCAACACTGCCACATTGGGAGTTAATTTATTTATTTCCTTCCTTCCTTCCTTCCTTCCTTCCTTCCTTCCTTCCCTCCTTCCTTCCCTCCTTCCTTCCTTCCTTTTCTCTGTCTTTCCCTCCCCTCCCCTCCCATTCCCTCCTCTCTCCTTCCCTTCCCTTCCTTCTTCTTCCCTTCCCTTCCCTTGCTTTTTTCTTTCACTCTCCTCTTCCATTCCCTTCCTTTCCCTCTTTCAAGCAGAGTCTTGCCTTGTTGTCCAGGCTGGTCTCAAACTCCTGGGCTTATGTGATCCTCCCAGGGCCTTGCAAAGTGCTGGGATTACAGGCATGAGCCACTGTGCCCAGTCAGAAAATTAATTTTCAACATGAGTTTTGGAGGAGACGTTCAAGCCATACCACAAAGTGTCAGAGAAAGTTGTAGAATCCTAGATTCAGGAAATTGGAGGAAAGGAAAGATGGTAAGAGAAGGAAAGATCAAAGAGTTTGTCCTTTCTCATCTTCCCATCTTTGAACTTCTTAATTTCTGAAAGGCAGTCTTGTTCTCTAGTGATGATTTATGAACAGAAAGTTTTTGTGGATTATCTGCTAATTTGACCCTGAGTTATTTCTTTTGCCCTATGGTATGCTGCACATTGTAGTTGTAATTATTCCCCAAACTGTAACTGTTGCTCAGATACCATTCCTTGTGCTATGTCTAGGATTTTCTGGATCATGGTGGTGGTAATGATGGCACTGGAGTGCTGAAGACATCAAGTGAATGGTTTCGGGACCCTCATTCTTTCATATACATTAACCAGTCTCAACATGATCTAAGGAAGTAGGCTGCCAAGTTAGCCTGGCTCTGCCTATGTATGTGAGTTCCCAGCTGCTCCACTAATTAGGATCCTTTTAAAAGATGTGGCTACTGAGTTACCCTACTTTTCAAGGTAGTGAGGTGTGGCTGGCCTCCATCGCCAGAGGTGCTAGCTGTTTCTTGCAGAGCCCCAAGGGAGCCAGTTTTCAGTGGCTCTCTATTTGCTGTTTCTGAAAAGACCAGATACGTCTGTGTTCTGTGTTTTATGTGTTTCTTCTGGCCAACTGCTTGCAGAAGATTGTGAGGGCCAAACACTACAAATATTTGTCTGAGGCGGTTGTTATCCAGAATCTCTGATGTCAATGGAGGCAAAATTAATGCTAAAAGCACGAAGAGCCTCTCATTGACCTTTGGAACACATGTGGTTGTACTTGATTCATCCCACATGTTTGGTAACCATCCTGAGTTTACTGAAATGTTTAATAACATTTAAAGCTCTTTCTTAGTAGAAGGAAGAGATTGCTACCTTTTCCATTGGTAGTTAGCAAGCATGTTTCTGGGGCTATGTGGTATATTAAAAAGAACACTGGATTGAGGGTCAGGACACTGGTTCTATCAGGTATCAACTTAGTAAACCTGGATACCTGGGTCTCAATGTTCTCATCTGTAACACAAAAATGTTGGGCTAGAGCAGTGATTCCCAATTTTTTTTTTTGTTTGTTTTGTTTTAGATGGAGTCTCGCGTCTCGCTCTGTCGCCCAGGCTGGAATGCAGTGGCACAATGTCGGCTTACTGCAACCTCTGCCTCCCGGGTTCAAGTGATTCTCCTGTCTCAGTCTCCCGAGTAGCTGGAACTACAGGTGTACATCACCACACCTGACTAATTTTTTTTTTTTTTTTTTTTGAGAGGGAGTCTTGCTCTGTCGCCCAGGCTGGAATGCAATGGCGCGATCTCGGCTCACTGCAAGCTCCACCTCCCGGGTTCACGCCATTCTCCTGCCTCAGCCTCCCGAGTAGCTGGGATTACAGGTGCCCGCCACCATGCCTGGCTAATTTTTTGTATTTTTAGTAGAGACGGGGTTCCACCGTGTTAGCCAGGATGTTCTCGATCTCCTGACCTCGTGATCCTCCCGCCTCGGCCTCCCAAAGTGCTGGGATTACAGGAATGAGCCACTGCACCCAGCCCTAATTTTTGTATTTTTAGTAGAAACGGGGTTTCCCCATATTGGTCAGGCTGGTCTAGAACTCCTGACCTCAGGTGATCCACCCATCTTGGCCTCCCAAAGTGCTGGGATTACAGGCGTGAGCCACTGCGCCTGGCCTATTTCTCAATCTTTTACATGCATTGGAATCACCTGGAGGGCTTCTTCAATCACTGATTCCTGGGTCCATCCCTCAGAGTTTCTGATTCACAAGGTGGAGCCTGAGAATTCTCATTTCCATAAATTCCCAGATAATGCTGATGTGGCTGGTCTGGAGATCATACTTTGAGAACCACTGTACTAGTCTCACCAAGACTGTCCCTTTCTGAAATGTTGGGGTTTTGTAATTACATACAGAATGTAGCATAGTGAGGAATAGTCAGAGTCAGTCTTTTAGCTAGAGTTAGAGGTAGCATCTAGTGTGGCTAAAGGGGCACAGAAAATTAGCTCCTTTCCCTGCCTGCCATGGGCCTGAAATCCTTACCACACATCTCTTGCTTGGCTTAAGGTTCCCGTTAGAATGTAAATCTATTACCTGGGAAGAGAAGGCATTATGCCACCATTAGTCATTCGTTTACTGAATCTACTCTTGTCACTCAGCAGGGCCTGAAGGACTGGGACATAGGACAAACAAGCTTCAACTAGGTAAGACAAGGGCTAGAGCAAGATGAGTGTTATGTATCTATCCATAAGGACTAAGTATAAAAATTATTTTTAAAAAATACTTGCTTCTGGGAGAGGTTGTGTGTGGGCTACCATGGAAGTTAGAAACTCCTGGGGGCTACAATCCAAGGGGGACTCCCACCAGGTTCTCAAGGTGAGGATCATAGAAAGGTGCCCTCTTGGCCTTAGCTGGGGAGGGGAAGAGAAGCCACTGTAACACATGTCTGAAGCCTGTTCCATAACAGAGGCTTCCTCTCTCTAAGGGGAAAAATCTTTACCATTGGGTAATATTGAAACATTATCCCACTTGGGAGAGTTTCATCTACCAACATTTGGTGTTGTCCGCCTTCTTAATTTTAGCCATTCTGGTAGGTATGGAGTGATATTTCATTGTGGTTTTAATCTGCATTTCTTTGTTGAGAATCTTTTCATGGGCTTACTGGCCACTGTTATATCTTCTTTTGTGAAGTGTCTATTCAAATATTTTGTCCATGTCTTAATTTATTTTTTGTCTTATTATTGAGTTGTGTTTTTTATATACTCTAGATGAATGTCCTTTGTCAGATGTATGTATTGCAAATATTTTCTTTCATTCTATGGCTTAATTATTTTATTTTCTTAATGAGGTCTTTTGAAGAAAATATTTAAATTTTGATGAAGTCCAATTTAACCGTTTAGAAACTTTTTACACTAATTGAAAGAGGAATACCTGTATTTGATTAAAAATTCAAACATTAAAGAATGATAACGAAACTCTTATTTGTATATGTTTTTACGTACTAAAGTTTTAAATTCTATGTAGATGAATTTGTCAATATTTTTCTTAATGTTTTCTAGTTTTTTTTAAAGTAATTAGGCCTTCTGTATTACAAATCATCTTTTAAAAAACTGGGGTCTTTTGTAGTTTTATTTTATTATGTTTGATAAATCTGGCATTAATTTTAGTATAAGAAGTGAGATAGAGACCAGCTTAACTTTTTTTCCCAAATAGCCTTCCAGTTGCCCCAAGATTCTTTACTAAATTATTTATTTTCCCATTATTAATTTGAAATATTACATAATTTATCACTTATCAAATTCCCATATGTAGGTGAAAACTCCACAATTTCATTTATTACACCCCATCTCTCTTTTCCATCCCTCTGATCCCACACGCACACACAAAAATCCCTTCTAGGCACATCTCTCCAAAAGGCAGACTAATCATATACTTGAATCACTGGCCTAGCGGGGACCGATAAGAAAATGTGAGAGAGACTCATATGCATGTATCTACACACGCACACACATGCACTGACAAGCTTTGATGATCTCAATCAACATTTTGTGAAAAAACATGTAGAAATAAGGGGCCAGGCGCAGTGGCTCACGTCTATAATCCCAGCACTTTGGGAGGCCGAAGCGGGTGGATCACCTGAGGTCAGGAGTTCGAGACCAGCCTGGCCAAAATGATAAAACCCCATCTCTACTAAAAATACAAAAAATTAGCCAGGTGTGGTGGCGGGCACCTGTAATCCTAGCTACTCGGGAGGCTGAGGCAGGAGAATCGATTGAACCTGGGAGGCGGAGGTTGCGGTGAGCCGAGATCACGCCATTGCATTCCAGTCTGTGCAACAAGAGCAAAACTCTAAAAAATAAAAATAAAAAATTTTAGAAATATAGGACAGCTAAAGTTAAAAATACTGACAATTCCAAGTACTGGAAAGGATATGGAGAAATGGAATCACTCATATATTGCTGGTAGCAATGTAAAATAGTACTGCCACTCTAGGAAACAGTTTCTTTAGAAAACTAAACATTCAATTATCATTTACCCAGCAATTTCATTTTCGGCATTTATCCCACAGAAATGAAGAAATTACAGCCACATACATAGTTGTTCATTGCAGCTTTATTTGTAATAGCTGAAAACTGGTACATCCGTACTATGGAAAACTACTCAGCAACAAAAAGGAATGAACTATTGATACACTCAACTTGAATAGATCTCAAGAGCATTAAAAAGAATGTTATATAAATAAATCATATAGCGTGAAAGGTCATATGCTGTATGACTGATTTATATAACATTCTTAAAATGACAAAATTATAGAAATAAAGAGCAGATTAGTGGTTGCCAGAGGTTAGGGATAGCAGAAAGAGGTTGGTAGGTATGACTTTAAAGAGATGTCAGGAGGGAGATCTTCGTGGTGATGGAATAGTTCTGTATCTTGATTGTGGTGGTGGTTATACTCATGTACATGTGATAAAATGACAAAGAACCTTACATACACTTTATACCAGTGTATATTTCTTGGCTTTGATATTGTACTGTACTTACCTAAGATGTAACCATTGTGGGAAATCAGGTAAATGATACATAGAACCTCTTTGTGCCACCTTTTGAACTTCTTTTGAATCTATATTTTGAAATAAAAGTTTAAAATGATCTAGAAAAATTACTTGAATTTTAGTACGCATGTAAATGTTGTATCATTTTGAAAATTAAGATGTTATGTTGAGTAACATGAGATGGGTGCATGGGTAGAGTGTACTATTTTCAGTATTTAGGGCCTCTAAAGGACTAAATCTGGCCCTGCCTGCCCTCCTCAGAAGTATTTTACCCTCTGGCCCTTTCTCTCTCAATTAAAGCCAATCTTCTGTGTATCTTCTGTCGTGATGTGTGCAGGCACTTGGCCTCAGGAAAGGTAGCTGAGGAGCTCTGTATACCAGCTGGGATGGAAAAGTCTGTCATTCAGTATGGGGAGGTCTGGCAAGTGGTAATCAGGAGCCTCAACAGGCATGATGGCAGAGCTGGGTCAGGGGTTGGGGCAGGGATTCTAATTCCAACAGTAGGCAGAAACCTAGAGAGTGAAGCAATGTCAGGAAAATCTGGCAGCCAGTAAACAGCAAGAACCTGAAAACAGAGCTAGATTTATGGCTCACAGTCCTAGGCCTAGGCAAGGAAAGTCAAGAGTAAGGCTGGGCAGAGATACACTTTAAGGATTAAGAACAAAAGCTATGGAGGCCAGGCAAGGTGGCTTATGCCTGTAATCCTAGCACTTTGGGAGCCTGAGGCGGGAGGATTGCTTGAGCCCAGGAGTTCGAGATAAGCCTGGGCAACATAGCAAAACCCTGTCTCTATAAAAAAAGTACAAAAAATTAGTCAGTCTTGGTGGCACAGACCTGTGGTCCTAGCTACTTGGGAGGCTGAGGTGGGAGGATCACCTGAGCCTGGGAGGTCAAGGCTGCAGTGAGCTGTGATTGTGCCACTGCATTTCAACCTGGGTGACAGAGTGAGACCTATCAGCTCCTTTATCTAGTAGTTATGTCATCTTAGGCAAGAGACTTACCTCTTGGCACCTCAGTTTTCCCATCCATAAATAGGAAAAACAATAGCATCTACTACTTCATATGGTTTTTCTGAGGATTAAATAGGATGATGTATCTAAAGTGCCTAGAATAAGGTGTGGCACATTGTAAGTGCCCCTAAAGGTTAGTTGATGTCATTACTTTTGTCACCCATCCTTTATTTATTTGTCCACTTGACAAATATTCTTTGAGCACCTACTGTGTGCCAGTACTGTTGTAAGCACTAGGACTATGGCATTGAACAGGATAAATACAGTTCCTATCCTTACAGAGCTTGTACTTCAGTTGAGAGGAGAAAGGCATTAAACAAAGAGACATATGACATAAAAATTAAGAAGTGAAGTTTGCTATGACAAAAACTAAAGCAAGATAAGGAGATGGGGAATGATTGGGTTTTATTTTATTTTTATTCTTTTAAACCTTTTATTTAGAAATAATATCAAACAGAAAAGTCATAAGAATAAAAATACCCATATACTCTTTACTTAGTCTCTCCTCTCTTTCTCTATATGTGTATGTATGTATATATGCACATATATTCCTGAACTGTATGAGAGTAATGTATATATCATCATGGACTCTTAATACTTCAATGTGTATTTCCTTAGAATAATGATATTCTCTTACATAAGCATGGTATAATTATCAACTTCAGTAAATGTAATGCAGATACAGTATTTTATCTAATCTACTGACTCTATGGCAATGTTTCCAATTTACTAAATAGTATTCTTCTTAGCATTATTTGCCCCTCCAGCATAGGATGCAATCTAGAGTCAGGTATTGCCTTTGGCTATGTCTCTTTCACCTCTTTTAATCTGGAACATTTCCATAGCTTTTGCCTTTTATGACACTGATACTTTTGAAGAATAAGATCTTTTTTTAAAATAATAGAACACTCCTAGGCTGGGCGCAGTGGCTGACACCTGTAATCCTACCACTTTGGGAGGCCGAGGTGGGCGGATTGCCTGAGCTCAGGAGTTCGAGACCAGCCTGGGCAACACAGTGAAAACCCGTCTCTACTAAAATACAAAAGAAATTAGCTGGGCATGGTGGCGGGCACCTGTAGTCCCAGCTACTCGGGAGGCTGAGGCAGGAGAATTGCTTGAACCTGGGAGGTGGAGATTGCAGTGAGCCGAGATGGCGCCACTGCACTCCAGCCTGGGCAATAGAGCGGGACTCCGTCTCCAAAAAAAAAAAAAAATTGGACACTCCTTATTTTGGGTTTTTTGATGGTTCCTCATGGTTAGATTGAGGTTATGTGTCCCTGTTTGGAAAACTACATAAGTGGTGCTGTGTCCATCTCAGTACATCACAGAGGTCCTTGATATCCATCTGCCCCTTTGATAATGCTAACGTTGACCATCTTTTCAAAAAGTGTTTTCCAATTTCTCTACTGTGTGCTTACAGTTTTTTCCCTTGAAAGTAATAAGCAGTCTGTGAGAATAGTGTTCCAGGCAGGGGGCCTAGTAAGTATAAAGGTCCTGAATCAGGAACATGCCTGGAGTATTGGAGACACAGCATGGAAGCTGGTAAGGCTGAAGCAGAGTGAATGAGGGTGAGACCAGAAGGAGTTAGAGGTCAGAGGAATATGAGGTGGCAGACTGTGAGGGCTTTAGACACCATTGTAAGAAATCTGGCTTTATTCTTACCAAAGTGGGAAGCTACTCAAGGTTGAAAAGGAGCAGCTTGTCATTTTTTGTTATTATTATTATTATTTAAGGGTTCCAAGTTTAGAGAAGCTAGGTCTCAGTGAAGCAACTTGTTCCCAGAGAACAGACATTTCTCAATTATTAGATTAGATAAATTAGATGAATCAAAACACACGACAGCACTCTAGACTAATGGTGATGGTAAAATTGCTCATATAAGTGAAATCTCAGACTGTGAGTCTACAGATGTCAATATCTTAGATACGACTTTTCAAACTTAAGAACCTATGAGGGAATAGTATATGTCCAAGTACAAAAAGGAAATATGGCATTCTTATCCAGTTAGTCATTCAACAGGAAGGACTTCATCAGGCAATATTTGGTTACAGGAACCTGAGCCATCCTGTTTTGCTAAAAGGATGTATGACTTTTATGTTTCTACATGAAAATTTACTTGATATAGTTTATAAGTGGACAAATGCTGAAAGCAGATGTGTATCCAAAGATGACTAGAAAGAAAAGGATGATGTAGAAATGAAAAACAAAACATCATTGAATCAGTCATCTGAATTGGTTTTTGGGAATCTAAATATGAAAATATTTTGCAGTTATTGAGCAAAGACGATGGCCATTCTTCTTTCAGCAAAATTATGAGCTGCCAAAGTTTTCAATCTTGGCATTATCAATTAATTAATTTATTTTATTTTATTACTTCTATTTTTTTGAGTCAGAGTCTCACTCTGTCACCCAGGCTGGAGTGCAGTGGCACAGTCTTGGCTCACTGCAACCTCCGCCTCCTGGGTTCAAGGGATTCTCATGCCTCAGCCTCCCGAGTAGCTGGGACTACAGGCGTGCACCATCATGCCCAGCTAATTTATATATTTTTAGTAGAGATGGGGTTTCACCATGTTGGCCAGGCTGGTCTCGAACTCCTGACCTCAAGTGTTCTTCCTGCCTCGACCTCCCAAAGTGCTGTAATTACAGGCATGAGCCACTGCACTGGGCCCTTTGAGGCTGATGAAAGCTCCAGGATCAGAATTAGGGGGAGGGGTAAGGTCATGCTGCCCAGTGGTTACGTGCATGATTGCTGGGCTAAAGACTGCTATGCTGAGGGAGCCCGGGAAAAAACCCTGGACATGATGGAGACATCGCTAGGGCCGGAATGGCTGAGGCATTCCCATTCCTTTGGCTTTGACTCTATTTCATATGGAGCACCAGATGTCTGGCCAAAGGATGTCATGCCTCTTCCCTTGCCTAGTGTGTGTTGTCTGCCATCTGCATGGCATTTGAAATACACTTGGGGTTTTGCTTAAGAATCCAAAGAAGGCATTTATTTTAATCAGAAATTGTTTCCCATTCTTACTGAATATAAAAATAATAAAATTGTAAGTATATAAACATGGACAAGCAACAGTCACCCTCCCCACTTCCACTCTCCAGAGATGACCGCGGTTAAGTTTGGTACCTATTCCTCCAGATGTTCTGCCTACCAGTACTCAGGTCAGCTGTGTTTTATGCAAGGAATGTGTTCCTGAGGGCACCACATAATTAGATATTTGCGTAATTCAAAACCAGCCTTGACAAAGGAAGGGCAGAATTTCTGTTTGTCAGCTAAACTGGTGCCACCATGTGGCAATAGTGTAAACATGACTTACAGTTCACTTAGACTTCCAACTTTGAAATTATGTGATTCTTAGTGACATTTTAATTTGGGAGGACTTGCATTATTTCAAACGTTGTACATATACTGAAGCTAAAATATTTTATATCACAATATTTCAAATTCTTAAAATTCCAATTTATTTAAAATGTGTTAATTTTAAAATGGTATCATATTACTAAAGTTTTTCTAAAACTTGCTTTCTAAAATTCAGATAACCATATATTTTGGGCATTCTCCCATGTCAGCAAATGTACTTTTGTTTCTTTCTTTTTAAGGGCTGTGGATCATTCTGGTGTAGCAGTGCATCCTAATTCATTTAACTAAGTCTCTATATTGATGGATAGTTCTTCCCAGGGATAAGGTCTCCTTCTTCTGTCTTTCTGTCATCAGATTTGTCTTCAGTTTCAGGGCCCTCAACAAATCTATGTAGTTCTCAGTGCCAGAGACTTGTGGCCAGAGAAAATCAAACTTCTGTCTCTTGGCAACCATTCAAGCAGTGACCCTGAGCCCTGACCAAGTGCCCCAGAAGTCACTTGCTTTTTTCTGCACTAAACACACTTGGCATTGTCACTGAACTGACCTGGTCTGATGTTGTAGGATGGATTCTGTGGAAGTAGTTGCTGAAACAGAGTTTGAAATGTAAGCTATTTATTAGGAATGTAACACACAGCCAACAGATATTAAATTATTGGAATTCAGGGGCTCAATTTGAGTTAAGGGGTTCACTTTGAGTTAAGTGTTTCTGTCCATATTCCCTTAAGAGCAAAGTGTGTCAAGAGAACTGGGTGGGGTTTTTAGTTGGTTTGTTGGTGGTTGGCCTTTTACTTTTTGGTTAGAATACAAATTAGATTCAAGAATGCTCCATACCTGGAGGCTCTGACACAGTATGGAATTCCAAGCTTTATGGGTCATTATGGCTATAATCAACCTATATAATAGTCTTCAGAGTGACTTTCTCAAGCTTTTTTCCTCGTGTCTGAAGGCTTCAGTTAGGCAGCTTTTAATGTGAGGAACTTCACTTCCTCCTATCTTTTCCATAGCATTAATTATCTATTCTGGAAACTTCTGCTCTAAAAACAGATGTTACTCCAGGAACTTCTCTAAGTTTTACTCATTAGTGAAAAGCATTGTACAGAACCTTTTGGGGAGGGGAAAGGAAAATGACTGCCGCCATCTAGCTTGACCCTTCCTCAGTCCTCACTTCCCTGGTTGAGACAAGTAGGGCTCAATAATGTCTGTCTTCTCCTCTTCTTCCTGAGTATACCACCAGATGGCATTTCTCTGCCCCCTTGCTCCTAGATGGGGCTGTATTACAGTTCTTGTCAGTGGAATGTGAGCCAAAATGATGAGTGCCACTTCTAGGCCTGGCACATGAACCTGCCAGAAAAAGAGGATCCAGTGGAAGACCCAGAGACCCTAAAAGATGGCAGAAGCCACATGATGGAAAGAGCATGGATATGTGAATGACTGCATGGTGCAAAGCCATCCACGCCACTCCATGTTCCATATTAGACTATAGCATGTGTGAGAAATAAACCATTAAGCCATTTCGTGTTAAGCCACTGAGATTTCTTTTAGAGCAATCTGCTAATAATCAGCCTCAACTAATAATTTCAGACCTGCTTCTCCTTATTGGATCAGGAATGAGCACCTGCTACTTCAAGGACAGTAATCTCCTCACTGGCTAGTGACCCCATGGCCTAGCATGCAATATGAACTGGCACAATCAGATTTCTTCCTTCACGAAGAGCCTCAACTTGAAGTAAATGTAGTTGGATAGGAATCTCAGTCCATATTATGTAACTTATTATAAAATGTAACGTATTTGTTTCCTATATCTGTTTTCAGTTTCCATTTGGCCAGTTGGCAGAAACTTAATTTCCGTCATTTTAAATTTCAGTTAGTTCAGGGTTTCCTTAGTGAATTCAGAGTGCCAACCTCCTCCTTCCCAGCTGCAGATGGCATCTATGTTTGTGGTGTTTTCACTTTCTACTGTGGTAGAAAGCCATCCACTGTTAGATTATTGTCCTGAGCGCCAAGTCTTCCTGATTTCAGCTCTCTCTCAGCTATTTCCTTGCTCCTCTGTACCCAGAGGGGTACATCTGACTGCTCCTAACACCACTGTTGCGAAGTTCCATGAGGCTATCTCAGTTCCTTTGCATAGATATGTGACACAACCATCTCTATTGCTCCTTTTGCATATTGGTGAGGGATAACTCTGCAGGGCTTTCCACTTCTCTGGGCTCCATCTAAGAAGTTAGGCACATGTCCAGTTTATTTTTGAACCCCGCCCCCAGCCTATTCATTTGGTTTTATGATTGTCCCCAAGAAATTGGCTCAGGCTTGTAGGGCACAGGGATTCCCACTAACATATAATGATTTTGCTTCTCATCTGCTTCATTTTCTCTGTCGCCCAAGGAGCCCTCTGGTATGAGTGGGAGGAACGGGAAAACAGTAATGATAACAGGAAATAATGGGATAGGAACTATTATGATTAATATGTTAATATCATTCTGCTTCCACAAAAAAAATCTGCTATCTGGTAACATAACAGAAAGAATCAGACTGAAGAGTAGAACTGAGTTGGGTTAATGATGGAACACTAGCATATAGGTCCAGAGCCAGCTAGGGCCCCAAATCGCATTGTGGTTCCAGCTTAGTGAGGTTCAACCCTCCCTGTACTTACAGTCTTGGATTTCTGTTATTATTAATTTGAGCAATTTCCAGGGAAGCTCTCACTAAAATGTGTCCACTCAGTTTCCTAAGCTGGAAGCCTTGGAGTCTTCCTAGGATTACTGCAAGTTTCCACAGATGACTATCTTGATATGAAAATAGAGATCATATTAACAGCAATAACTCACACTTTTTTTTTTTTTTTTTTTTTTTTTTTTTGAGACGGAGTCTCGCTCTGTCGCCCAGGCCGGACTGCGGACTGCAGTGGCGCAATCTCGGCTCACTGCAAGCTCCGCCTCCCGGGTTCACGCCATTCTCCTGCCTCAGCCTCCCGAGTAGCTGGGACTACAGGCGCCCGCCACCGCGCCCGGCTAATTTTTTGTATTTTTAGTAGAGACGGGGTTTCACCTTGTTAGCCAGGATGGTCTCGATCTCCTGACCTCATGATCCACCCGCCTCGGCCTCCCAAAGTGCTGGGATTACAGGCGTGAGCCACCGCGCCCGGCCAATAACTCACACTTCTTAACACAGGACCCAGGAAACTGATGCTTGGCTATATTAGTTTATTAGGTATACCTAGACATATCTGTATCCCAGTCTATGTTCACCCTAAATGTCCCCACCCCATGCAGATATACACAAATGACTCCCCTCTTCCGTCTTTGATATTCAGTAAGTCATCAAGTCTTTTTTGTTCTACTCCCTTAATATTGTTTGAACCTGTCCCGTCGACTCAGTCTCCATCCTCAGTGCACTGTCTTAGGTGTGGTCCTCATTTCTCACCTGGTTTACTGGAACACCTCTCAACTGATTTCCCTCACCTGTCTGATATCTTCTCAATCACTTGTCCTCCACATGGTAACCAGAGTAATTTTCTTTTAGAAATGTAAAGACATCTGATCATGCATCTCTCTATCTTTCAATGGCTTCTTATTTCCCTCTGTGTAAACTCCAAACTGTTCACGTTACCATACAGGGTCCTGCATAATCTGGCTGCTCTCCAGTATCACGTACCACCACTCCCTGACACACCCACCTTCATGCCTGTCATGTGGAACTCTTTGTAGTTTCCTGATTGATGCAGCTTCATACCTTGGGGCTTTTGCACGTGCTGCGTCTTCAGAGGGTTTTCCCTGCCCAAGCCACACCCCAGATGAATTACATCACAATCTCTTGATGGGGTGGGGAGATATTGGTGTGTGTTAAAGCTCCATGGGTGCTTACACTGTGCATTCAAGTTTGAGAATCAGCACTTTAAACTGCAAGTTAAGCATCACTTTCTCCGAGAAACATTCCTTGAACCCCCAGCCTGATCAAGTTGTTCCTTCTCTCTGCTTCCATAATACCATCTGTGGCTTTCTACCATAATGGCGATCATTCTGTATAGAAATTGTTGATTTCCTCATCTGTCTCTGTTATACTTTAAACTCCTTGAGGGCGTGGACCATGTCTTAAATGTCTTCGTATCCCAAGGGCATAGCATGATGCCTAGCACAAAGTGGGCACAATAAATAAATATACGTGTTTATGAAATGTTATTGAAAAAATTTATAGACCATCTGCTATATTCCAGGCATGATGCTAGCAGGTTTTTATGTTACCTCATTTAATCTTCACAACAATCCTAATAAATATAGATTATCCCAGTGTTATAAGTGAGGAAAAAAGAATCAGAAAAGTTAAGTGATGTGTCCAGTTACACAGCCAAGATCTAAGATTTAATCCCAGATCTTTTAGCTCCAAAATTAGTGTTTCTTTCTACTTATGGCTGGCAGAAAATAATGCTTGGTAGCTCCATGTCACTTATATTAGTTTTCTATTATTGCATAACAAATTACCATAAACCTAGCAGCAAAAAACAGCATGTGCTTATTAGCTCATAGTTCTTTAGGCCAGAAGTCTGGGTACAGTGTGGCTCAGCTTGTTCCTCTGCTCAGAATCTCATGGGGTAAAATCAAGGTTTCAGCCAGGCTGAGTTCTTATCTAGGAGCTCTGAGGAAAAATCTGTTTCAGTGCTGATTCAGGTTGCTGGCAAAATTCTGTTCCTTTCTGTTCTAATACTGAGGTCCCTGTTTCCTTGCTGTCTGTCAGTGGGGGACTGCTCTCAGCTCCTGGAGTGTTTTCTTATCAAATGGTCCCCTTCCACCCTCAAGCTAGCAACAGCATGTCGACTTCTTGTGTTTTATTTTTTTTTCTTTTAAATTTGTTTTTGTCTTTTTTTTTTTGAAGCAGAGTCTAGCTCTGTCGCCAGGCTGGAGTGCAGTGGCACGATCTCGGCTCACTACAACCTCCGCCTCCTGGGTTCAAGCAATTCTCCTGCCTCAGCCTCCTGAGTAGCTGGGATTATAGGCACGTGCCACCATGCCCAGCTAATTTTTGTATTTTTAGTAGAGATGGGGTTTCACCATGTTGGCCAGGCTGGTCTCAATCTCCTGACCTCGTGATCTGCCCACCTTGGCCTCTCAAAGTGAAATTTTTTTATTTTTAATTTCTGTGGGTATGTAGTAGGTATATATATTCATAGAGTACATGAGATATTTTGATATAGGCAAACAATGTGTATCTTCTTGTGTTTTAAATCTCAGACCTAAAGGGCTCATGTGATAGGTCATGCTCATTCAGATAGTCTCCCTATTTTAAGGTCAACTAATTTGGAACTTGAATTATATCGGGAAAATCCCTTTACGGCTTCACTTAATGTTGGATTGAATAATTGGGAGAAGGTGTGTGTACACTAGGGGCCCAAATCTCAGAGATCTTTGTAGAATTTTGCTGCCATTGTCTGAATGTCTGTGTCCCCTCCAAAATTCATGTTAGAACTTAATCCCCAATGATATCATATTAGGAGCTGAGGCCTTTAGGTGGTGACTAGGCCATAAGGGGTCTGCCCTCATAGATAGGATTAGTGCTTTATAAAAGGGCTAGAGAGATCTAGTTATTATTTTACCCTTCCATCCCTTCCACCATATGAGGAAAGAGAATTAAAGTTGCTATCTTGGACGTAGAGACCAGGCCCTCACCAAACACCAAACCTGCCTACACCTTGATCTTGGACTTCCTGGCTTCCAGAACTGTGAGAAATACATTTTTATTATTTATGAATTGCCCAGTTTGTAGTATTCTGTTGTAGCAGCGCAAACAGACTAAGACATCTGTGTACCACACTGCCTTATGCTTTAGAAAGCTTTGTCTTCACATATTATTTCATTTTATCTTTTTCGATAACCATATTACATACGCAGGATTATGTTATGACCACTTTTTAACACATATGAGGAAGTTGGAGCAATAAAAAGCAGCTAAGTAATGACAGAAAGAGAATTGAAACCCTTTCTCATTCAATGCTCTTTTAATGCCACATCCATCATTGCTTTAAAAAAATACTAATCTAATTTGGATATAATAGAAATGAAGAACAATTTTAGAGTCTTATGGAAGTAGGTTTGCTCCAAGGTAAGAAGACATGATACCCACTGTATTCTAATCCATTTGTATAAAAATTCACATTAAAGAAGAATTAGTGATGTTATAAAAATAGTTTACAGTGGGGCCCTTTACATTGTACTCATTATCACCCCTGTGTGCTTAGTGAACAATGATGACAACTAAACTTTTGTGTTAGTGTTCTCACACTGCTATAAGGACATAACCGAGACTGGGTAATTTATAAAGGAAAGAGGTTTAATTTACTCACAGTTCAACATGGCCTGTGGGGAGGCCTCAGGAAACTTACAATCATGGCAGAAGGGGAAGCAAACATGTCCTTCTTCACAGGGTGGCAGGAAGGAGAAGAATGAGAGTTGAGCAAAGTGGGAAGCCCCTTATAAAATAATCAGACCTTGTGAGAACTTAGTGTCAAGAGAATAGCATGGGGGAAACCACCCCCATAATTCAATTACCTCCCACTGGGTCCCTCCCATGACACGTGGGGTTTATGGGAACTACAGTTCAAGATGAGATTTAGGTGGGGAAACAGCCAAACCATATCGCCTTTATTAATGTTTTACAGTTTGTAAGGTATCTCTACCCACGTTTTATTTGATTTTGTGCCCACCATCAATTAAATTTATTGTAATAAATGCTTGTACATGTAAAAGTGATTTAGGAAAGTCATTTGAATTAGAATTTAAATTGGCTTCTATCATAAAAATTTGATCAGGAGTGTCCTTTGGTGAAAAGTGAGGTGTGCCCATAGAAGGTTTGTGTGTGTAGTTACAGAGACATGCAGTTGATTCTGTAAGCAAATGTAAACCTATGCCTGGGTCTTTTCTATGTAATTGCCCTGGCTTATTTGAAGTCAGATTGACAGAGTAAACCATAGGCAGAGGTGGTATAGCAGGACATATATGTATGCCACTGTGTGTGTGTGGTAGGAACACACAGGAAGGCACTAAAGAGGGTGAGAAGGAAAGTCTCAGAGTGAAAGACCAAGATGTAGAGACTACTTAAGTGTTTTGTGGCAATGGGCATGGATTCTCCATTTGCTGACTCTAATGGGAAAGTTAGTTCTTTCATACCTAATCCACACCTGCCACCTCCCTTTCCCATCTCTGATAGCTCAACCACCTAAAGGATAGGCGGTGGCAGCTTGAAAGGAAGGTGTTTCTACACTACTGAGAACTCTGTGTCTCTTTCCTATCTCTCAGAGAGGCCATCAATATAAACAGACTCATGGGCTGCAAGGGGACAGGTTCTAGGCTTCTGCATTCCACTCCAAAAGCAGTGGCATGTATTGACAAAGGCTTCTTATTACTGAGACAATTTGATTATAGGTGGTAGGGGAAAAGTCGTTGCATTTCTTGGGACTAAAAATGTATTTGTGGGAGCATTTTCAAGATATCTACTTAAAAGGAAGGGAGAGAACTGGAAAATCTCTGAGTAGGGTTTCAGAATTGCTGATCTGTATGTAATCATTTGGGCTAAAAGAGCTAGCTATCTATGCTACCAAGGTAGAAATATGTGCTTTGGGGATGATACTAAGAGTGAGATTCTCCTCCTGAGAAATGAATTGGGTGCTGGGTAATCGCCTCAGATGTGAACTTTGGAGGAAGAAATTCCTTCCTCTTTATACTGCTTGATAACAGAACAATAGTTCTCTTTCTTTCTTTCTTCTTTCTTTCTTTTCTTTCTTTCTTTCTTTCTTTCTTTCTTTCTTTCTTTCTTTCTTTCTTTCTTTCTTTCTTTCTTCTTTCTTCTTTTCCTTCCTTCTCTTCTCTTCTCTTTTCTTTCCTTCTTTCTTTCACACAGGGTTTCACCATGTTGCCCAGGCTAGCCTTGAACTCCTGGACTCAAGTTTTCCACTCACCTTGGCCTCCCAAAGTGCTGGGAATACAGGCATGCACCACCATGCCAGGCCGGAACAATAGTTTTAACACACTTATTTGCAATCTTGACTTTCTATCATGTCAGTCAGACAGGCCACAAAGCTACTATCAGAAATTTCTGAGAAAGCAATCCTTTTTAAAAATTCAACTAATTTACAAACTTTTCTTCCTATGGTCAAGTAGACTAGAAAATAAAATGCTTATTCACAATAGCAAAGACATGGAATCAACCTAAATGCCCATCAATGATATACTGGATAAAGAAAATGTGGCACATGTACACCATGGAATGCTATGCAGCCATAAAAAGGAATGAGATTATGTTCTTTGCAGGGACATGCATGGAGCTGGAAGCCATTATCCTCAGCAGACTAATGCAGGAACAGAAAACCAAACACCACATGTTCCCATTTATAAGTGGGAGCTGAATGGTGAGAACACATGGATGCATGAGGGGAACAACACACATTGGGGTTTGTTGGGGGGAACAGGGGGAGGGAGGGCATCAGGATGAATAGGTAATGGATGCTGGGCTTAATACCTAGGTGATGGAATGATATGTGCAGCAAGCCACCATGGCACATGTTTACCTATGTAACAAACCTGCACATCCTGCACATGTACCTCTGAACTTAAAATAAAAGTTGAGGGAAAAAAAAGAAAATGCTTTTCTTTTCAGACGTACACACACACACACACACACACACACACACACACACATAATTAAAGACAAGTCAAATTATATTTCTTCTTTTGGTCCTGACATTACGGATTAAGTGGTTAAGTATATGAGCTTTGTAGTCAGACAGACCTGGATTTGGTCCCAGTTCTATCAATGAATAGCAGGGTGATCTCTGGCAAATCATTTTGCCTTTCTGGGCCTTAAGTCTTTTCACCCATAAAGTAGGGGATAATACTAATACTTGCCTTATAGGGTTATATTGAGAATTAAATGGGATAATAAATTTAAAGTATATAGTACAGTGACTGAAACATAATATTCAATAAATTTTAGCTATTATTATTGTTGTAATTAACTAGTTGTGGAAGTTGACATATATTGCTGTTTTAAAACTAGAAGACCCTTTGGCCTTCAAAAGACGATCTTATGGCCTCCACTATCCCTCTGTTGAATGATTTGCACATTGAAAGAGAATTTCTTTCCAGATCTTTTTTTTTTTTTTTTTTTTTTTTTTTTTGAGACAGAGTCTTGCTCTGTTGCCAGGCTGGAGTACAGTGGCACGATTTCAGGTCTAATTTTCAAAGCAGCCTTGCTATGTTCTATAGGTCCCTGAGCAAGATGGGGAAGCAGTACAAGGCAAGCAGGGCTGTGGGCTTGGATCTTGTCTGGTTTTCAGTTGAGAACATACTTTTATTTCCACCAAGGAAGCAGAACCGTAAGATGGGTAAGCTACAGGGGAAATAAACCAACAATTTGGGCTGTACAGAAGAGCATTTGTTTCCAAATGGACCAAGGGAGAACACTGAGGAAAGATGTGTAACAAGGAGCACAATGTGAACAGTCCTGGGCCTCTGCAAATGGTGATAACAGTACTACTTAAACTTTATGAGGATTGTTGTGAGGATTAAATAAGATAATGCATGCAAAATGCTTAGCACAGTACCTGGCACACATAGAAAATACTCAATAAATATAAGCTATGTACCTATTAATGTTGTACAAGTTCTGTTACCACTCTTTGGAGATTCTGATTCAGTAGATTTGAGGAAGTACCTAGGAATTTTCTTTTTGTAAAATCTTCTCCAATTGATTCCTCGGCCTTAAATGGAAACATGTTGCTGTATGTCCCTGCCACGATCATGTCCTTCTACTTCCACAAGCCACTCTAGTCTCCCCACTTCAGGATAACACTCAATACTTCAGAATTGACTCTTAATGGAGTAAATAGTACCAGAGAACTACATACTGGAGTAACATAGTTATATCCTGGAAGCTGCCATTTAGGATTCATTATATCTCAGGAAATTTGTGCCATTCTAGATTAAGAAGTGTGTGTTCCATTTGCCTACTAACAACAGTCATCTTTTTAGACCATGTTGGAAAAATAAATCCCTAGGTGAAATTATTTTTATTGATAGCAGACTCGAATTTTCTTAATTCTGGAAATATCCAATCAGTGCTTTCTTTTCACCAGTCTCTCTCTTCTTCATGCTTAAAACCAAGTATTTTGGTGTGCTACAGCCTGGTAAAAGGAGTGAAAGCTCATTTAGAATGATGAGGCAGGGATTAATTTTAGTGCCGTAGATTTGGAGCATAAATGAAAGAGATGGACAGAAAGGGCAACTTGGAACCTAGGACTTTTCTGGTCAGCTCTGTGGAGGTTTGCCCAATTCTCAGACCATTCCATTTCCTTTTTCTGATCTAACACCAGAAAGCCAAGCAGGCCCTTCAATTCCCATGGAATGAGGAGAAAGTTGTGTTATACAACTCTTCATCACCAGCAAAGTGTTAGTAAGACTGGAAAGACTTTTCCTCTTCCAGCTATAAATGGGGCCTATTTTTAAACAAAATAGAGACAATAGAGACTGTTGGTGATAGTAACCGATGCCTCGGGGAAACAAGTCTTGTCACTGCTTGTTGATTTCAAATCCATAAACACAATGCGATTACTTATTCCTATTCCCATCTAGAAATGTGGGATGATGGATCACAGCATCTTTTTCCTTACATCTCTAGTTGAATCAAATTCCAGGAAAGATTAGGCCTTGACAATAACTCCTCCCTTCATCCCAGCTCTTAGGAAAGCAGGCTTTACAACAGAGCTACCATTTACAGAGGAGCAAACTGAGGCTTAGAGAGGTCAAGTAATTTGCCCCGTGTCTTGCCAAGTGGGGGAGATGTCCAAATGCATGTAATCTGATTCCAGAGCCACAGCTATTAAGGTTAAACTCTCTCTATGTGTATTTTGACAAAAACCTTATAAGAAATTCTGATGTGCCTACCTAGTTAAGAACTCCTAATTTATTTTTTTGAATCTTTAAGTAAATTTTGAGTAAAAAAGTAATACATAAACATGTTAGCAAGTTCAAATTATACAAGAGATTATACAGTGAGAAGTGAGTCTCTCTTTCCTACCTACATTCCAGTTTCCATCCCTAGAGGCAACTACTATTTTTTTTTTTTTGCATAACTTTCCAGAAATAATCTGAGCACATACTAACATATATATGTCCATATATACCCTTAAAACATAAATAGAAGCATGTCATACATACTGATGTTTCCATTCTTACTGAGAAATCCTGCCTTGGCAAATACTACCATCTCCAAGATCCAAGAAAGCCTACTAGCCAAACCACAGATGAGGACTGGATACATACGATTTTCTGTACAACCATGAAAACGTGATGCAGTACAGAATTCATTCTGCAGTGTCAAACAGTTAATCCACACAGGAAATGACTTCATCTGGAAGTGTCTGCTTTGAGAGACTCAAGCTCACTTGGTATATGCTATATGGCATTGTTCCCTGAGTGTAGAGATTTCCTATGTCTTATGAAGTATTGTATTCCACTCAGTATCTAATGAAGTTAGTTCCTCATGAGTTTGTACTAGGTGTTTAGTCAATGAAGACTGTATGTATGCCTGCAAAATGTCTGTTTTGTTTGATTTAAAAATATCCTTCTAGCAGAGTATTATAAACAATTGGTGTTAAATTTCTAAACAAGTACTGCCAGTTTGGGAGGGGACAAAGTTTATGGCAAGGATTATGGGTATGGGAGGTAAAGGCAGGAGATATGTGTGCTTAGTCAAAAGTAAGGCATTGAACAAAACTAAAACATGAACAAAACCTGGAACGAATCACACTAATTTGCTAAATGTGTGTGTGTGTGTTGGGGGGGCAACCTGGTGTAGCAGAAAAAGCATAGATTTTACAGTTGGACAGACTTGGATTCCAATTCAACTTTGCTCTTAGGGACCCTGAATGAGTTACTTAACTTCTTTGAGCCACAGTTTCCTCATGTGTAAAATGGGTATGATCATTGATTAAAATCTTATTATAAAATGAACTTAAGAAAAATAAACACTCACCAAAGAAAATGATCCTTTTATTATCATTGAGGCAAACAAAGCCTCCAAAACACATAGAAATATCTTTCCTTATTAATTGTTGCGTTAATAGCCTATACTTATTTTCACAATTAACTTTGAATCTTAATTTTCTACTCCAAAGCCTTTTAGAGGTTTTTCTTTGATTCTTGTGTTTATTACCTTTCCCACTGCGGTAGACAGATTCCTAGGATGGTCCCCAGTGAACCCCACCTTCTCATATTCATGCCCTTGTGTAATCCTCTTTGAGTGTAAACTGGGCCTAAGGACTTGCTTTTAAGAAATGGAACAGAGCAAAAATAATAGGATATCATTTCTGTGGTTAGGTTATAAGACTGTGACTTCCATCTTCCTAGCTGATTCTCCCTCTTGCTGGTTTTGATGAAGCAAGATACCATGTTGGAGAGGCCCATTTGGCAAAAACCTAAGGGTGTGCTCCAGCCAATAGCCAGTGAAGAACCTCAACCCAACAGCCTGTGAGGACGTGAATCCTGCCACCAACCACATGAGTGGGCTAGGAAGTAGATCCTCCCTCAGTTGAACCTTGAGATGAGACCCTAACCCTGGCCAACAACTTTATTATGGGTTTGTGAGAGACCCTAAAGCAGAGACTCAGTTTAGCCATGTCTAGATTCCCACAAAACTGGAGATACTAAATGTGAGTTGTTTAAGCTGCTATATTTTGGAGTAATTTGTTATGCAATAGTAACCATTATGCCTAGAATGAACTTTATAGTACCATTTCCTAGAAGTCAAAAGAATGCCACCTTCTAGACTTTCAACAGAAAAGTATAATAATAATAACAGCAGCAACAACATTGTTTATCATTTATTGAAAATTTTATATGTGATAGGTATAGTATTAATTGTTTTACTATATTAAACTTATTAACTTATTTAACTTAACAGATTAGGAAACTGAGTCTCAGAGAGAGGTTAATTAACTTGTCCAAATTAGAATGGATAATGGATTGTATTACTTCAAAACTCATGTTCTTAAATCAGGTAAATACAATGAGCTTTTATCACAATATGATGACTTCAGATGTACTCTAACTGTGCTTAGCTCCGTGCTTGGCACACAGTAGCTGCTCAGTAAATGTAAGCTGTGATTATTAGATCTTGAACTCACAATAAAGAGACCCTGTGTCAGTTTGCATTGAAAAGCCAGCTCTTCATATCCTGCTGGGGTACATGGTCTTGCTCATAGTGATCACAGTAGTCCACACATTTTGAGCAAGGCCCTGCTTCACCAAGTGACTTTAATAGCCCATCCAAATATGTCTTCTCAGGAGGCCTGTCTAGTGTGCTGCAACGTGCTGAACTAATTTTCATTCTGCTCAGATCGTACCATTGACCTCTGGGGGCTCTGATCCATTCACATAGGTTGCCCATGCCCATATACAGATGCTGGGCAATAATATTTAGAAGAGTGATCAAATATGAGGCACCAGTTGCCTTCCAATGATCTGTTGCAGCTGAAATTAAATACTCCTTTCTTATTATCTCTACAAGACTTGGTTAACTCCTATTTACAGATGGAATTTTATAGCCAGCATATTTTATAGAGCACTTACCCTAATGACAATAACAGAAACACCTTATAACTGTGTCAGCTTGACTGTTTATAAAAACACTTTCATATGCATCTCATTTGATTCTATGGCACTTCATCTATGCCCTATGAAATGAATACATTTCTACCTCATATTATAGCTATTTATACATGAGGCTGTATGGTCTAGTGGAAAAATCATACTCTGGCTTCGGACAAACCTGAATTTGAATCCCAGGTCCACCACTTCCTAGATGTGTGACTTGAACAAATCTGTGATCCTCATTAAACTTTTGTTTTCTGCATTTGTAAGGTGGGCTTAATCATGCACATCTTATAGGGTTTCTGTGAGGTAAGAGATAACATGTAAAGTGCAGGGCAACTACTATGTATTCAACTAATACTTTCTTAAAAATATTATCATTAGTTTGTATGATGTTAGCTAGCAAAATCTGTGACTATTCATTTTATCTCCAACAGACCCAGAATTGTGCCTTTTATCTTTAGAAAGAAGCTTAATACATACTTCTTGAATAGACAAACCTGAGGTAGGCACAGGAGTTATTATCCCAGTAGATGGAGGTTAAATGGCCTGCCCAGGGATCACATGGCTGATAAATGATAGAACTGGAATTTGGATTCTGATTGTTTGCTGTCTAGTCCAGTGCATCTTCCTGCAGTCTTTTAGATTGGTTTGCAAAACTGACATGCTGGAAATAAAGTCTCTTGTAGAAGACAGCCTAGTAAGCGACAAGTCTAGGTTTTCCACTAGGATTCAGATATCTTTGGATGTGCTGTAAAGAGACACCTCATCCTACTTCCTCATGGGCTATAAGGAGTGTCTTAGAAAGAGAGCCACAGGCCGGGGGTGGTGGCTCACGCCTGTAATCCCAGCACTTTGGGAGGCCGAGGTGGGTGGATCACGGGGTCAGGAGGTGGAGACTATCCTGGCCAACATGGTGAAACCCCGTCTCCACTAAAAATACAAAAATTAGCTGGGGGTGGTGGCGCGTGCCTGTAGTCTCAGCTACTCGGGAGCCTGATGCAGGAGAATCGCTTGAACCAGGGAGGCGGAGGTTGCAGTGAGCCAAGATCCTGCCACTGCACTCCATCCTGGCAACAGCGAGACTCCATCTTAAAAAAGAAAGAAAGAAAGAAAGAAAGAAAGAAAGAAAGGGAGTCACATACCCTAATAGACATGCTATTGGACATGCTCAGTCCAATAAAATGGGCTTAGTTGTTGGAGAGTTGGGGTAAATCTGAGCATAGTCTATTGCCCACCATTAAGATTTACCCATCGATCTAGTTTCCCAGGAATTTATGTCTAAATCTTAGGTAAAGAGGTGTTGAAAGTAAAAATAAAACACAAACAGAAAAAAACAGTAGTTTCTCTAAAGATCTCTGTGGGATATTGGAAGAAAGATAAGGCAGCACCGCTTTTATGCCTACCTAATTGAGAGTTAGCTCAGAACATAGCCAACTGTGGCACATGGGGTTTCTAGGGAGCAGAACTCAGCTTTGGCACTTGGAAGGCGTTAGCACATCAGTGATGCCAGGGGCAGCACAGAGCTGCAGATGCTACCCAGTCTCTAGTAATTGGCACAGCAGTAGCACCTTGTGCCATATTGTTTAAAGAGCAGTACAAGGCAGCATCAGTGGCTTGATGTGGCCTTGGAGACTTTGGGAACTAAGCAGTATCCTTGGTACAAACATTAATGCTGTCATCTTTCATGGTAGGCACTGGTAGCAGCGATGAGGTGCCTGTGGTTTGGTATAGGTAGCAAAGGTCTAGGAAGTCCGTAAAGTGGAGAAGGCTTCTTTATGGGTAGACTTGAGACAACCCATGGGGGTTATGAGAAATAAGTGGAGAACCTAGAGATACTGTAATGATAGATTTGGGGGAAAACCAGAGAAAATGCTGTTTATGATCATTAATATCCCACTTTTACCTGTAGCTTCATATGGTTTGGGGAATTATTGATTATGATTATGATAGTAACCTGACATGAGTGGCCAGATTGATCACAGTATAGATAGCCTGGGGCCCTTCCAGCTCCTGTTCTTCAGTATGAGAGGTTTCTAATTGTCACACGTGGAATTCTGCCTTCTTCCTCATACCTGCCTCCTGCTCCAACACGCTACGAGTTCAATATTCGGTGCTATCAAGCAGCATTCCTGGAAGCACAGAGATTTGAAAGAAAGGTTTCTGAATGTCATGCCAAATCTCCATCTGACTGGAGTAACTCAAGCAAATAGTCCAAAACTTCCAGAATAAATTGGATAAAGGTGGTAAGCACTTTCGAGCTTCCAAGAAGTGGGGCGGGGATGGAGGAAGCTGCCCAATATTAACAATATGCACAGAGACAGAGGCATTTGTATTACAGTGGGTGGTATGCTGTGTTTCCCTCTTACTAAGTGTTGCCCATGCAAAGGCTGAGATGGTGGCATGATGCCTTTGCTGTCAGTGATACCAATTGCATTTGTGTACTCTAAGAGAAATAAAATAAGCTTCTTTCCCTCATGATGATATAATTGTCTTTCTTGTCCTTCGAGATTAGCCAAAGATGTAGTAAAGGCATTAGATATGTGTTAAGAATGACACCACCACAACCACCACCATTACCAGCAACAACAAGAGTAAACACTTACATAGCACTTATTCCGTTTTTGGCACTGTTCTAAGATACACACACGCATGCATATACATGCACATACTTTTTTTCTCCATTATTCCATCTGTCTTCTCACAATGACTTACAGATTGGGCAAAAGAGTGGTCCTCCTCAGGCCAAATTAGGTTTTTCTAAAGTGTGTTTTTAAGATCTTTTGTTCTGGAGAGCTTAACAGGTGTTACAAAACAGGATTCCCTGATCAAGTAAGTTTGGGAGACATTGGGTTATAAAATATAAGCACATTTCTCTACTGCAGGACTTCCAAATGGGCTAATGTATATGGAGATTTTTTCTGATAGAGGAAAATCATAGATGAAATCTGCAGAATTTCTCAAAAAGAGGCAGTAAACCGTGGTGTTATGAGTGGGGGCCTCTGATAGCAGACTTTCTGGGTTTAGAACCCAGCTAGGATATTTCGCTTGCTCCTTATAGGACCTTGGAAAAGTCTGTTTTATCTTTTTGTGCTCCAGGTGTCCTTATCTGTCAAATGGGGATAATGGTAATATTTACATCAGAGTGGTTTTAATATATTCAAACTGCTTAAAAGAGTACTTGGCTTTTAGGAAATGCTCGATAAATACAAGCTGTTTTTTTTTTTGTTTTTTGAGACGGAGTCTCTGTCACCCAGTCTGGAGTGCAGTGGCGCAAGCTCAGCTCACTGCAACCTCTGCTTCCCAGGTTCAAGTGATTCTCCTGCCTCAGACTACAGAGTAGCTGGGGTTACAGGCAAGCGCCACTACGCCCGGCTAATTTTTTTGTATTTTTAGTAGAGACAGGGTTTCGCCATGTTGGCCAGGCTGGTCTCGAACTCCTAACCTCAGGTGATCCACCCACTTCGGCCTCCCAAAGTGCTGGGATTACAGGTGTGAGCCACCGTGCCCAGCCTTTACAGGCTAATTTAATTTTAATTTGATTTGACTCTGTAACCCTTTTCTTGCAAGCATCTCAGGGGATTAAAGTCTTACAGTGCACGTGTGTGGTGCACACACACACACATACACACTTTGGAAAATGCCAAGTTGGGTCCTTCTGGTAAAAAGACTATAGAAGAATGGCACTGGGGAAGAAAGAAAATAAAGGAGATCAGATGACGCCTGGGTTGAAAGACTACAACTCTGCAGTCCAAGTCTCAAAAGTTATTTTCTTATTCCGTCTCTAGATACTTTAAAAATTTTTATGGAGATAATTACCTGCTGCCCTCAAATTGGTTATGTTTACTTTTCTGGAGGAGGGAAAATGGACTAAATGAGGTTTTCGAAACCCAATTCTCCAATGACTTAAATGGCTTTGATTTCCGCATTTGAAAAATGGATCTACTGTTACTGATCTGCATGTGGAATTTTCCTACGAAAAAGGTATGATACTCAAACATCTATGATTAACCTAGGCCCACAATCAAATGGAATTACCATCTCGTGCTCCAGTTTTATCATAAGATGGCAAATGGCAAGATATCAAGCAATATCCTGACTGGACTCTTTGTGGGCTGAAGGTTCTATATCCCCAACTACCCTTTAGAGATAGGCGGTATCATGTAGCGCGTGAGTCCCACAACTGTCATGTACATCAGAATCACCTGTGTGTCTTGTAAAAGTAAAGTTAAAACAACCAAACTTCAGAGTTTTTGTTTCAGTAGGTCTGTTGGGGGCAGGTTGTGGGGAGAGAGGGCTGAGAATTTTGTTCCCAGGTGATGCTAATGGTGCTGGTCCAGGAACTGCACTTTGAAAACCGCTGATATATGTTCCCCTTCCTGTGTCCATGTGTTCTCATTGTTCAATTCCCACCTATGAGTGAGAACATGGCACATGTATACATATGTAACAAACCTACACGTTGTGCACACGTACCCTAAAACTTAAAGTATAATAATAATAATAATAATAATAATAATAATAAAAGAAAACCACTGATATAGAGGTTAAGTGAGGGGGCACTGAAATTGGACAGACCTGGGTTTAAACTCTAGCACCATCACTTAGAAGCTGTGAAATCCTGGTTAAATTATTTAATCTCTGTGACTTAATTTACATATCTATAAAGTGGAGATAATAGTAACAACCTGGTAGGGTTGTTGTGAGGACTAATGAGTTCATATATGTGAAGCCCTTCAAATAGTGCCTGCTGTAAATTAGCCTCAGTTGTTACTATTGTTGTTATTGTTATTGTTATTAAAAGAAAGGTCTTGTAGGGAAGAGAAGTCAAGTCAGGGCTCTGAGTTGGGACAGGATCCCTAGGAGTGGGAAAAAAAGCATTGATATGACAACCCACATTATTCCCTTTTAAAAGGGACATTAATGGTAGAAGTTGATACATTGGTTTTCTAGACATGAAGATGCTTCAGGACAGGGCTATTTAAACCCCGAGAGTTGATTTGTGTTACTCAGCTGTCTAGTTTGCTGGTCTTTCTTAACTCCCTACCACCTCAACCCCACAACATTCTTAAGCTCCTCCTTTCCTTAGCAAAGTGGCAACAGGACAAGTTTAGCAGTGGCCCTCTAAGGCAGATGCTCCATGCCCTCTTCAGAAATCTCCTGGCAATATTTTCATTCCAGGGAATATTTATGAAGTACTCACTTGTGTTTCAACCTCCATGGTTTGATTTTTGTTTTAGAAACCCAGCTAATTCTTCCGGGGGAAAAAAAGGTCCCAGTTTAAAATTCTGATGCCTTTGGTAAGTTGTCCACAGAAGAGAGAAATTTCGTTAATGATCTACCCACCTTGCTCTCAGGTATGCCTCCCATGTTTCAAGGTTCCCTATGTACCTTTAATTTTGATAATAATTAGGAAGCTTGTAAGCATTATCAGGAAGCAACTGTGTGCCCTGGTTGGGGGAGGGTGAATACATCTGGGCATTAAGTAACTGGCCCTCAATCTCTCTGAATGACATTTCAGTGCATTTTTTAAGGATCAATTTTCATACTTCATTGTGGTGGCTGATTCTGGTATGCTGGACAGAAAGGTTTATGATGCCCAATGGGTTAATCAGCTTTGACCAAATCTTTCTTGAAGTACTAAAATGGAGTGTAGCTCTCATCCACAGCAGCTTTCTCCCTCTGCTCATTAGTTCATGTCGGGACTTTAATAGTACAAAGCAAAAGAAAGAGGGTGTGTGTTTGCGTGTCCCCATTTGCCTTTTCCCTCTATACTCACCAGCTGAGAGTAATTTATTTGTTTCCACAAGGGGAAATGTGGAGATAAATGCCTCAATGATTAAAGTCCTGGCCTATAAGTTGGAAAACCTTGGTTCTAGAACTAGCATCACCTGTGACTTTCTTTATGACCTTGGATTTATTAGCTAGATTTTTCTGGGCCTTTGTGTCCTTTCTGTAAAATAGGATGGTCTTGATCATCCCATTTCACAGGGTTGTTGAATACCTAATGAGATAATATACCTGGTCATGCTTTGGAAACTCATTAGTGTTTTATGGATATAAGAAATGATTATTATACTCAACAAATTCTGATTAGATATTCTGCGTTTTTTCTCATGCCCTATTTAATAACAATCTTATAACTTAAAGAATCAAAATATAAATTAAATAACTCTGTATATTTTACAGAGGTAAAACTTAAATTACGGGTTAAGAATTTTCAAAGGGCCAAAGAAGAAAAAGCCTCCAATAAAAAGCACAAGGGAATTTATTTTTGTCTAGTTGACTGGTCTTTCAGAAATAAAAAAGAAGCCATTTCAGAACTGACCAGTAGATGTCAGTGTTTGACAAGCACATAGCTGTTTGCTGAGGCTCCCGTATTAGCATCTGGCTCCATTTCAGCTAGCAAGTTTCTCTGCAAAGGAGAGGGAGTTTGTGTAACTGAAGCAAAGATTTTGCTTTCTCACTTCTCGCCCTGTCTTGCGGAAAACAGCATGATGCTTTGGGTAAGTCGTCGTTATCTTCACTTTCAGTGATTCCCTTTATAGATCTGCAGTCTGCTGAGAAGTTTAAAACACAAAATTAAACATGTGCTTAGCTCCCTGAAGGCCACATACTTGTTTTTCTTCACAAAGGTGCTTTTCCTTTTCCAGACCCACCTTCCCTTCATCCTACCCTTTGTGTAATATTAATCAAATATAGCCAGGAAATACTGCTGTTTGGGGACCAGGTTCCAAAGCTCTTGAAACAAGGATTTTATTTTTTGCTGCAGAGTGACACTTGCTCTGATTTCAGATGAAATTGCCATTTTCTAAAAATGGCAGCTACTTGGTGTGTCATTTTTCAAAAGAAAATGTGATCACATTGTAGCTGCGCTAAGCAGCCTCTTTCAGTCCTCTTTCGTTTTACACTTTTACTGGAAGGCTTTGAAAGAGGCAATGCAATTAGGTTCCAGTTGTCTCTGTTGAACTCAGAGATGCTCACCTTTTCCTGGGGAAGATGAATTCTTGTTATGTTGGTTTCTTATCGCATCCTGGATTAGGGAGGAAATGTGCAGCGAATTCAGACTAGGGATGGTGATAAAATCAACTGAGCTCTTTGAAAAGGCCACCCGCCTTGGGTTTCTGGAATTCAGACTTGTGGGGCTTTTACTCTTGAACAATTTTTAAGGATTGGGTAGTCAGGTTTTCTTTTCTTTTTCTTTCTTTCCTTCTTTCTTTTTCTTCTTCTTCTTTTTTTTTTTTTTTTTTTTTTTGGTGCCTGTGTTGCCCTTTATAAGCAGCCAGCTCAGATGCATTTAGAGACCATTTTTGTGGAATGATTTGGAACTGCAATCTCCCCTCCTTGGTTTGCTCTCATCCTTTTTGCATTTCTATTGGCCAAATGGAATGAAATAGTTCAATGTCATAAAGTCAGAGGTGGCTTTAGGCTTTGGGCACACTTTCTGAAGACCAATGGAGGTGGTCTGGGTGTGACAACGCCTACCAGTGTGGAGTAGTGCCCTGCTGCAGCATTCTTAGTGGCTGCTGGCCAAGAACTGGCCTTGTCCTGGGAAATGAGTCATCAGACATAAGCAGCTTGTTCTTGGAGGCAGAGCTGGCATTGGTTTCAAGGTCCTCTTGCATTTGGTGCACATCTGCTACTGCTTCACTGTGTCTCAACCTCCCTGGGTCCCCTCTCAGCAGTGTTCATAGTCTTGGAGGAAGAAACGTTCCCCCATTTCCCAGAAGGCTGATTTTCCATCACCTTGCCACTTCCCAACTCATTCCAGAGAACTTATCCCTCCTCAACTCCTGAAGGACCCTTTTTTTTTTTTTTTTTTTTTTGAGATGGAGTCTCACTCTGTCACCCAGGCTGCTGGAGTGCAGTGGCATGATCTTGGCTCACTGCACCCTCCACCTACGAGGTTCAAGCGATTCTCCTGCCTCAGCCTCCTGAATAGCTGAGATTACAGTTGCGCGCCACCACACTGGCTAATTTTTGTATTTTTAGTAGAGAACGGGTTTCACCATGTTGGTCAGGCTGGTCTCGAACTCCTGACCTCATGATCCACCCACCTCAGCCTCCCAAAGTGCTGGGATTACAGTCATGAGCCACCATGCACAGCCAAGGACCTTGTTTCCATACATAAAGAGGTTGAAGGTCTGGACCTTTTAGTCTGACACCTTCAACCTCTTCCTTACCTTGATGCTTCCCCTCTGCTTTCCTGCAAGTGAGGTAGTTAAGAGCAATAGTTTTGGAGGCCAACATACCATAGCCACTTGCTACCTGTCTGACATTAGGCAAGATCCTTTATTTCTCTGAGCCTCAGTTTCTTTGTTATTATTTTTTGTTTTATTTTAAATGAACAAATAACAATTGTATATATTGTATATTTATAGGACACAATGTGATATTTTTATACATGTTAATATTGTGAAATGATTAAATCATGCCTATTAACAAATCAGTCACCTCATATACTTTTTTTGTGGTGAAAACATTTCAAACCTATTCTTTTAGAAATTTTGAAGTATACGATGTGTTATTATTTATTATAGTCACCATTTGGTACAATTGATTACTAGCAATACCTACCTTGCTGTGTTTTGTGATTAGTAAATGAAGTACTATATGTAAGGCAACTAGCACTTTGTAGGAGCAAAGTAATCTATAGCTGCTGCTGTTAATTTTGTTGTTATTACTATTCTACTTGTTGCCGGCCTGCTCTCATCTCACTCTCCTCCCTTTAACTGTTCAATATTTTGAATGACTAGGTTATCCTTATATTCATTTACATTTACCATTTACTCACTATCCATTCCCTCTTGTTTTGGCAATTATATTTTAAATTCCAAAGGTTCTTCTTGTTCTCTGTTTTTTTGCTTGTAATATCTTGTCCATATTTTATTTCATTTTTTTTTTGAGGCAGAGTTTCGCTTTTGTTGTCCTGGCTGGAGTGCAATGGTGAGATCTTGGCTCACTGCAACCTCCACCTCCCAGGTTCAAGCAATTCTTCTGCCTCAGCCTCCTGAGTAGTTGGGATTACAGACACCTGCCACCACGCCCAGCTAATTTTTTGTATTTTTAGTAGAGATGGGGTTTCACTATGTTGGCCAGGCTGGTCTCGAACTCCGGACCTCAGGCCATCCACCCGCCTTGGCCTCTCAAAGTGCTGGGATTACAGGCGTGAGCCACTGTGCCCAGCCTATCTTGTCAATATTTCATAGATGCAAAGATCATTTCAAACTAGTCTGAAGAAAATAATTAGAATTTAAAAAAATCTCCATTGTTCCTAGAATTATTTTTATTCTAGGGTCTTTTTATGTTTTCTGCTTGTTTCTGTTTGCTCAATTATCCTCTCTTCTCTGATTATTGACATTTTATCTACTTTTTCTAGGTCCAGTTCAAATGACATATCCACTATGATGTCATCCTTAATCCCCATAGTTGGAAGCAAATACTCCCTTCTCTTCTTCACTTCTATAACCCCTGGTTTGCACTTTTTTTTTTATTACATAGCACCATATATTGTATAGTTAAATGTTTGTTTTTGTGTTTCAGTTTGACATTCTCCTTGGAATATAAATTCCTGAGGTCCAGGACTGTGCTATACATGCCAACCACTCTGTGTGTGTTCAGTACTGGGCTCCCTGCCTTTGTAGGGACACAGAAGGATCTTGCTGGCCATCAATACAGTGTGAGAATCATGAAACTTAAGTAAGAATGTCCAGTAGATCAAAGATTGAAGTAGTAGAGAACACAGTGGATCTTTTCTATAAATCTTTGCAAGTTGGCCTTGGGTTGAGACGAGTAAAGTGGAGACTTGCCTGAAGTGAGAGCTGGACATGACTTTTTGTGATTCTATAGAGACAATGGCTGTGGGCCCTGTGAGACTGCATTGCTGGGATACCCTGTCCCCCTGTAGCAAATGGCCAATAGCTTCAAAGTAGATGTGTGTCAGCATGGAGCTAAGTTTGGTTTCAGTAGTGGGTTTGGACTGTGTCAGGATTTCTTCAGGGGGGATTAACTCATGTCTGAATATTTTAGCCCAAACTTCTCAGCAGGAAATTCCTTCACAGTAAACATCATGTTACAAATGAAAAGGTTGTCTCTCTTTTTGTCCAAAGCCTGTCAATCTCACACATATAATACAAGGTCAAGGCGAAGGCTTGACTGATCTGACCAGTAAAGATACAATGAACCACTTTTAGATTTAGACAGTTTATTATTTACATAGACAGCTGAAAGCAGAATAAGCCTTAAAGTGCCAGATCCCTGTGATCCTTGTCCCATACGCTACAAAGGATGACATGGAAAGAAAAGAGGCTGGATGACTGCATTGCACACTGTGGGATACCCCATTGCTGAGGAGCCTATTCCAGGGTGCCTCCAAGCAGTTTTATGTTCTGTAGCTTTGTATTCACCATAATACGTAATAATATAAATTTATATTTATAACTTTTATTTGTATTTTATATTTATATAAAATTTATATTTTATAAATTTAAATGTACATTTATGTATTATACATAAAAGCAGTTTTATGTTCTAAGGGGGGCATAGCAGAAAACCCCATACCTCATCAGAATCAGGCAGGTGATGAGAAACGATCTCATTGCAGCCCCTCCAGGAGAGGGAGGGAAGTGAGTGAGAGACTTCCTCGTAGCAGCTCCTTATAGGCTTCTAGTCCTCTAATGTTCCAGAAATAGCACAATGCGTTCCACCAAGACTCAGTCTGTGGTTCAGCCTTTGCCTGCATGCTCTATGTGGATGTGTGGTAAGGTCATCAGGATTCCATGGCAGAGCCAGTTTCCTACAATGCCATTCCTTCTTTGATACCTAGTCACGTGTTGACTGATAGTAACTTTGGTTTCTACATGCTGAAGACTTCTGACAACCTCCCCCTCACACCCCTGCTTCTCTAGAGTCAGAGCTTACCTATTTCCAACAAAACTATTTATAGAATTTGCCCTTATTCTTATTGTTCACCCTGTTCCTTATCCTTCCTAATCAAGTTTGGCTGATTCACTTCCTTGCTTTCTCATACAGGGTTCTTTCATCACAAGAAACATCTAAGAAACTTCCTGATCAGGACAGGAATTGGCTTCTAAATCTGGGTCTCTATGAGCCTAGCACTTCTAGTTTTTTTCTTTTTCTCACTTTGTCCTATTTGGTTTCTGCAGGTCTTCAGGATTCTGTATGTGTGTGTGTGTGTGTGTGTGTGTGTGTATGTGTGTGTGTGTGTGTATGTGTGTGTATATATATGTATATATACATATATATACACACACATACACACACACACACACATATATACACACACACACACACACACACATATATATATATGTCTTGACCAGAGGCCTTTCCCTACCCTTTGTTAGGGAATCCTTAGTGTACCTTAGAGTATCTTAGAGTACCAGATGGATTTGGGCTGTGAAGACTGAAAGCCTACAGCTTTTCACCTTCTTGCCTTGACCTTGAGTTCACATGTGCCTCTTGATCCCTGGCAACCTCCTTGCCTAGGTACTAACCTATTGCCTAGTCTAAGCCCTTACTTTAACATATTGCTGGCTCTCTGGATCCTGGCTTTCTGCCCTGGATCTTCCTGCCTATGTCCTTAGTACTAGGAGATTTCATAAAACCACATATTGAAAGAATGTCATATGTGGCCAATTTCAGTGAGGCCAAAACCAGCGCTGTGATAAAACACCACACCACTATGGTTGCATTATTGGGTCAGTACCAGTACTATGAGGTAGGATTTTCTCTTTCCGTGAGCTACTATGATGTAGTATTTCCTCTTTCTGTTAGATACTGCAGTTGGGGCTGTTGAAAGTAAGTAGAATTTACTCTAGCTCTGCTCCCTTGGAAGTCATACCCAGGCAGACAGTACTTAGAACAGGGGAGCTTGGTATGAAGAATCACCAGGGTGCTTGCTCCTTCTACTATGAATGAATGGGTTAGTGGTGAGTCTTGCTGGGAATGGCCCTCTTGAGCAATATTTTAAAAAATATAATAATGCGGCATTCAGTTATGGTTGGGGTGGAGTGTAGGGACTCAGTCATTCATCTATCCAGTCATTTATTCAACAAATATGTATGGTTTCTTACGGATTAGGCACTTTTCTAGACTCATCTGTGAATGAAATAGATACAATTCTTGCCCTCATGAAATTCTAGTTGGTGGTATGGAGGGGCAAAAACATTAAACAAGTAAGAGACAAATATGATGAGATGAAACCAGGTGCTGACAAGGGTTATAAAGAAAATACATTGTCAATGTGCTAGAGCAGACATGCGTTAGATAAGAAAGGCCTGTCTGAGACAGGAGTGTGTAATTTATGTGAAGATCAGGAGGAATAGCTTTCTAGGCAAAAGGAGCAGCTACTACTGAGGCAATGAGTAGGGACTTAGCATTCTAGGCTGAGGGAATACAAGTAAAGCCATGGAGGCTCAGATAATCTTTGCTAAGGGGTGTAGTGGTAGGTTTTGGATGGGGAGGAGGTGGCACTGTGAGGACTTCTTAATTAGACTTTTTTAAATGAACTGTCCCCCAAACACATAAGGACTCAATAGCTTTCAGGCCCCTTGACCAAAAGAAGACATTGTCTGAAATGGAGGTTTTTATAGCCTCTGACACCCATTCTGATGTTCATGAGTTGGCAGAGATGATTGTGAATCCATTTTTAGGATGCAGGAAAGCATGACTTTTTTGCATACATTCTCTCTTCCTTTCTTCTTCATATACACCCAGTGAAAAAATTGGACAGATTAAATCACACTAAAATGTTAGTGAGTGTGTATAATCCCTCCTATGAGTAGTTGCCCTTTTAAGAAGACTCCAGAGAAAAAGAAACAAATATAGGAAAGGATAAATGAAATGACTGAATTCTTAATATTAGAATTTCAAACCCTTGGCCAGCCAAGTAAATGAAAAATCCCCTTTAAGTTTGTTGGCATCTTTCACCTACAGATTCATGAGGTCAGGGAACACTCTCGGATATTCAATTAGATTTCTTTTTTAAAAAAATTTTATTTTATTATTATTATACTTTAAGTTTTAGGGTACATGTGCACAATGTGCAGGTTAGTTACATATCTTTTTTGTTTTTGATTTTATTTTAAGTGCCAGGGTACATGTGCAGGATGTGCAGGTTTGTTACATAGGTGTATATGTGCCCTGGTGGTTTGCTGCACCTATCAACCTGTCACCTAGGTATTAAGCCCCATATGTATTAGCTATTTTTCCTGATGCTCTCCTCACCCTGCTCTCCCGCGACAGGCCCCATTGTGTGTTGTTTCCCTCCCTGTGTCCATGTGTTCTCATTTCAACTAGATTTCTTATTAGCATTCCTTCTCTGTCTCAGATCTGGAGGTATTCCAGATGTATGCACAGCAGCCTCTGGGAACTATCTGCATTTTCCATCTGCTGCTGGAGTCCATTTTCTTGAACTTTGGTTTCCCGCCTGAAGACAGGAACAATCTCTGCCCTTCCCCTCCCCATAATGAGCTTGGAAGGCTGACAGAGAAGATTAAGATCATTGCCATCAAGTTTTATCTGCTGTAAGCAAAAACAGGAAACCAAGAAAGAAAGGCGCAGCATAGCAATAGCTTTTGAGTGGGTAAGATGGGTGAAGTTTTTCTTAAATCCTCTTTCCCGTGTACCTTCCCACCCACATGTTCTTAGTCAGATTTATTTTTTGCATATTAGTTTCTGAGGATGACAAGAAACTTGCCCTTTTCTTAACTGTGATTTTCAGAAGCAGATTATCCTGCACTTAGTTGAGACCTCTTACCAATTCCTTGGAATAAATAATACCCTGGGCTCAGGAAGTGGGTGTTGAATAGAAATTTTATGACTCATAATGGAGTGTCAAAATAGCACTGCTGATGTATGTATGGGTCCCTTATCAATTTTGGAAATGACACTGGGTAGAGCCATATTTTCCTCTTGCATGGAAGTGCTCTGACTAAGGGAAAGTTCTTGATTTCTGCACTGTTTGGCATCTCTTGATATTTAAAAGTCCCACATTGAATGGTGGCTTTTCTCAAAGGTGACTTGGGTTTGGCCTAGAAAGAGAGCTGTTCTCAGAGGAGGGGCCAGAGCATTTCCCCCAGGAGGGGCAACCAGAACCTAAGCTGCCAGGATGAAGGGAGAAAGATTGACATTTCCCTGGCTTATGCCTTGAGGTACTTGTTTCCAAAGAAGGCTGAGGTCAGGATTGTATGCTTTTCCTAGAGTAGGCTGTAAGTTCTCTCATGATATCAAGCAGTTAGTTGACATTCCCAGGTCTCAGGCCTTTCCTTTTCTCTCTCCCCTGCTGGAGGAAATAAAAAGTGGTTCTTTCACAGGGCCCATGGGTCTGAGGGGAGCCTTCCCTTGAGCTCAGCCCTTCTCTTAGGATAGCACCTCAATGACCACACTCAGCATGGGCCCTATTAGTGTAGTTTTCTCATTAATGATTGTTTTGCAGTAATGAGGTTCTATGATATGCCTGTTGGATTGTTTGTGCTCCATGTTGATACCACTCAAACAACAAATATTTGATAACATTTGTTAATAATAATATGAATAATAATAATGATACAGTGGGGCACTTGAAAACAATATGAAATATATTCCTGCTCTTCATGAGTTCAAGAACCAGTTGAGGAGATAGAAAACCTGGCATAAATAGAGAAAAACAAGACAGCGTAGAATGAGATGGCAGATTGCACAGAATGAGATGCTAGATTGTGTAATTTAGTCTATAGGGATTCGAGGGGAAGAGCAGGGAGAAGCAATGTCAGGATGGCAAAGCTAGGAAAGTCTTCCAAGAGGATGCAGGGCTTAAAGGGTGACTAGAACTTGGTGGGGTGAAGACAAGTAAGGGGATATGTGGCAGAAGTGCCAGCAAAGGTATGGAGACAGAAACTGACTGCCGTATATATACACAGAGAATAGGCAGTGATGGTTTAGCAAAGTCGATATTCTGAAGTGGGATATTCTCATTGAGGGGTTGTGGGACTGGAAGACTGTAAAGGCATGGTGAGGCCAGGTAATGAACATCTCAGAAGCCAGATATTTGATTTGAACTGTTTTTATTAGGCTCTTTTGTTTGCAAGTGATAGAGACACTTTCGAGTCATCTCAAGTAAAGGGGTGGTGGGGTATTGTTAAAGAGCAGTAAGAAAGAAAGGTTTCAGGGGAAGCAAAGTCAGAAACCAGAGTGCAGAGGGACCTCATGGGAATTGTACTTGGCTTCATGGCAGCTTCAGGGACCTCAGCAGGGTTCTAAGACTTTTCACCCTAGAGTTCTGTCATTAAAATGGCTCAGCTCTACTTCCCCCTCACTACTGACTGCCTTAAGTGTTTTCCTCTGCCCAGGTTAGCTTTTGGATAGTTCCTAATTCCTATTTAATTTGTTGTTCCTGCTCCCTTATAATTTTGGTTTGCATGGCCTATCAAGCCTTCAGGTTTCTATCTTTTCCCTTATATTTCTGACTTTTTCATATTCCTCTCTAGGTATTCTTTCAGCTTCAGCTCCTACTTCTTTCATTTCTCTCCCTTTCTCTCTCTCCCTTCCTCCCTGTTTCTTTCTCTCTCTCTTTCTTTCTCTTCCCCCCCACCTCATATTTTTAGGGCAAATTCCTGAGAGAGAATCTGATTGCCCTAGTTTATATTTTTATACCTGGTTCTGTTTTAGATCACTGGCCAGAATGTAGATTGGTGGCCCTTGGGTCAGGAGCCTATCCTTGGTCCTTCACTGGGCTGGGGATGTGGATGTGAGGAAGTAACATCAGACAAATATATAAAATATTGGTCATGCACATAAATAGCAAACAGGCATATGAAAAGGTGCACAACATCACTAATCATCAGGAAAATGCAAATTGAAACTGCAATATTACCTCACACCTGTTACGATGGCTATTATCAAAAAGACAAGAGATAATAGCGTTGGCAAGGATGTGGAGAAAAGGGAATGCTTGCACACTGTTGGTAGGAATAGAAATTAATACAGCCATTATGAAAAGCAGTATAGAGGTTCCTCAAAACATTAAAAACAGAACTACCATGTGATCCAGCAATTCTACTTCTGAGTATGTGTCCCCTAAAAATAAAATCAGTATGTCATAAAGATATCTGCACCCCCATGTTCACTGCAGCATTAGTCACAATAGTCAAGATATAGGATCAACCTAAATGTCCATTGATAAATGAATGGATAAAGACAATGAATGAATACATAAAATGTGTGTGTACACACACACACACACACACACACACACACAAAATGGAATACTATTCAGGCATAAAAAGAAGGAAATGTTGTCATTTGTGACAATATGGATGAACTGGAAGACATTATGCTAAGTGAAATAAGCCAGTCACAGAAAGACAAATAATATACGATTTCACTTATATCTGGAATCTAAAAGAGTCAAATTCATAGAAACAGAAAGTAGAATGGTGGTTGTCAGGGGCCGGATGGTGGGGGAGATGGAGAGATGCTGATAAAAAAGTACAAACTTACAGTTATAAGATGAATAAGTTCTGGGAATCTAATGTATAGTGTGGGTGATGGATGTGTTAATTTGAATGTGATCATCATTATACAATATAAATGTATATCAAATCATCACATTGCACATCTTGAATATATATCATTTTTGTTAATTAAATATTTTAAAATAAAAAAGGAGAGATTGGTTATAGAGGAAGTGATGGATTCAGAATATAGGTTCAGGCAGTGAGAATGGAGAGGAAAGATTAGATATGAAACATATCTCAAAGAAAATAATTTGGAAGAGTCAGTATCTTACTGGCTACAGTTAGAGAGAGGAAAATAAAAGATAAATCACACAATGTCAAGGTCTAGATGACTAGGAGAATGATAAGGTAAAAAATAAGGTCTCCTGGACAGAGAGTTAATTTAGGGGAGAGACAGTAAATTCTGTTTTTGCCATGTTGAGTAAAAGTCAACAGTGGATTCGATTGGACATCACTGTTTTGTCCTTAACTTTGTGACCTCCCTTTTTCCAAAACTTGCTAAGGCGATTTAAGCCAGGGGCTATAAGTGTGTGGAGAGTTTCTCTGAAAAGGTCCACTTTAGTCATTTTTTCCTTCACCTTTAAATAGCTAATTGGCCCCATGGAGCAATGGTTTCTATCAGGACAATAAGTAAACAAGGCAGATGTGAGGAGGCCTTTCCAGCCCTGTGTGAGCCTGATTCTGTTTTGGTTACTGTTTTCAGAATCTTCAGAAGAGAGAAAATGAGTAAAGATGTAAGGAAATGAGGCAAAGCAATGGAAAAACAGCCTTGAGCAAGGTAAAAATAAGCTACATAATTTACAGCTGTTACATACCCATTTTGAGAATAGCAGTTCAGAGGAACATGCCAAGTAGAGTGCATACAAGCATTTGACAGAGACCCAGTTGGACACTTTATAGAAAGGGTACTTGAGCTCACAGGTTTGGAGAAAGCACAGAACAGCTGGGCCTTAGGAAGTACAAGGTAACCTCTGCAACCTTGGTGTTGGCCTTAGGGACTAAAACTAGAGGCTCAAAAACTGTCGGGACCTTCTCTTCTTGTCTTTGCTTTTCCCTCTGTGTTGGCTTCATTCTCTTCTGTTGAAGGCAGGATTCTCCGTATGGTGCTAGACATGGCTGCTGCTAGCTCCGAGCTCACATCCTCAAGGCACTTTGACCAGAGAAGAAGGGGTTCTTCCTTGCCAGCTCCAGTCCAAGAAAACCTGGGGAAGAGCTCTGATTGGTTTGTCTTGAGTCATGTGACTAGCGCCAGAGTAATCACTATGGCCAGGCGGGTGGGGTCCTATCCATGGCCAGTTTTGGAGCAAGTGTTCACTTCTCAGCCAATTACTATGGCCATGGATGTAAACTCATGTGAAAAGGATGGTAGCTGTGATTTTGACCACATGCTTAGGGCTGGAGAGGAGGAACAGCAGTTCACCAAAAGAAGGGAGAGGAGAGGCAGCACAGACAGGGCTACTGGGGTATCTTTGTGAACCAAGTGATCACCCCGATTTGTGTTTTTCCATAATACTCACACGGAAACAGGAGGTATTGAGAAAACAGTGCACATCTTTTCAGTATTGCCACTTGCCTTTCCCTCCTCATTGTCTGTTCTACTTCCCATCCCTGCCACCAAATGGTATACTCCAGCTATACTAAAATTACTTGAATTCTTTAGAAGTACTGTTCTTTCTGTTGTTCCCTCAGCTTTGCTTCATTGTTCAGGATTCATTTTGGGTGGCACTTTCTTTGGAAAAACTTGATTGCCCCAACTATCTACCCTCACTTTCAAATCTCGGTTATGTGCCCCTTTTATATGCTCTTATTTTACTCTGTACTTCCTTTCATATTTTGTAATTGCTTTGTTATTTCTATGTCTCTCCCACTGGAATGTAAGCTTCACGAAGGCAAGGACTTTGTCTTTCTCAATTACTACATCATCTCTAATACCTAGTGATGTGTCAGGCTCATTGTTGATTTTCACTAGATATTTGTTGAATGAAATAATAAAGGAATGACAGTTTCGAGTCTCAAATGGCAGGGCCAAATACCCGGAAAAGATCCCGGAAGCAAATAAGAAAGAAAATGATCTTCTTTCAGATGTCTTTTCTTAGATAAAGGAAGGGAGGAAGGGAAGGAGAAAAGAAGAGAGGAAGGAAAGAAAGTGTTCATTTATTATTTTTTTTGAAGAAAACCACAGCCAGAGAAGAAAGTGTTTAGATAAATATAGCTTATTGTAACATTTCAATAAAGTCAAAGATATTTGCTTTGCACTTAGAACTTTCTATTTCTTTTAGTTTTCACACTAAGTAATGAGTTACATGTAATTAAAAAGGTTAAACAATTTTTTACTTTCTTGATAAATTATTAATCAATTAACAATACATTTTCCTAACGAAATAATTATATCACTGTTAGAAAATGAGCCTGCAGGTGAATTGTATTATAACCCTTCTCTTAGTTTTCCACACTTGAACAAAGCTTATGTGTTGGGTCTAAATCAGCCTAGGTACCAGTGTTTATCTGGTGGCAGTTGATCGAAATGTTTAAGATGACAATGTAATGAAGTGTGGTCCACAGACTATCTCTGTCAAGGGTGAGAAGAAGCTTATTACCATGCTGGTACCAGTACCATGCAGACACTGGATCAGAAACTCTGAGGATGGGATAGCAATTTGTATGCAAAAAGGCCTCCAGGTGATTCTGGTACACATTCAAGTTTGAGGATCATTGACAGTAAAATAGCTGCCATGGGGTAATCATTGTGCCTTTTTACAAGTTAAGAGACAGAATTGTCAGATACAAGACCTCTGGTGATCATTTTCATGAATGTGTTGGGATGATACAAATTTCGATGGACTGACAAATGTTTGGTATTTGCTTGCAGGATGCTACAAACACCCGTGCACCTCCATGCTTGGGTTGCTCAGTATTCTGGGTAACCCCTTCATAGGATTTGTACAATTTCACATAAGTAAGGTATGGTGCTGGAGTGTTGGTGTGTCTAAATGTGCAAAATAATTTGAAAAGAAAAAGTTCCACACACTTCTATAATAGCCCGGTTGAAAATCCCTGATTGTTTGGCTGAGTTTAGCATTCTTTTTTTTTTTTAATTTAGCTTTTATTTTAAGTTCAGGGGTAACTGTAGAGGTTTGTTACATAGGTAAACTCATGTCACACAGGTTTGTTGTACAGATTATTTTGTCACTCAGGTATTAAGCCTAGTACCCATTAGTTATTTTGCCTGATCTTCTCCCTCCTCCTGCCCTCCACCCTCTGATAGGCCAAAGTGTGTGTTGTTCACCTCTATGTGTCCATGTATTCTCATCATTTAGCTGCCACGTATAAGTGAGAACATGTGGTATTTGGTTTTCTGGTCCTGTATTAGATTGCTAGGGATAATGGCCTCCAGCTCTATCTATGTCCCTGCAAAGGACATGATCTCATTCTTTTCTATGACTGCATATTATTCCATGTTGTATATGTACCACATTTTCTTTATTCAGTCTACCATTGATGGGGATTTAGGTTGATTCCATGTCTTTGCTATTGTGAATAGTGCTGCAATGAGCATATGTGTGCATCTGTCAAAGCATTCTTTAGAAAGCTAGATGACATGTGTAGTAGACAAAGGCTTTGTTTCCAAAAAAATCTCCATGGCTAGGTTCATGCCAAGCTCAGGTACTATTGTTGGAAGGAAACATAATGTGGTTATTCTAAAAGATGCCTTTTGCCAAGTAGCCTCTTGGTTACTTCTTGGTTCCTGAATTTCCATTTATTTGCTTGGCTCTTAATGGAAACATTTCAAGTCTAGTTTAATTTAAAGCCTAGTACTGTTGTTGCTGATACTAAAATTCAGCTGGGGAAAGATCAAATGATACTTTGTGAAGCTCTCCTGTGATACTCTTTGAAGCATTCTGGAGATCTCTCAGGATCTTTTAGGATTAAGGACAAGTGGTAGGAAGAAATGGTAGGACATTCTAATAAATGGTAATAATAAAATCGCCCTCTGCTGTGCCTCTCTGTGAAGCAGCATTTTCTAAACTCTGCTCTGTAGGTGTTCCACAAAATGTGATTCTACTAAAAATGTGTTCTATGGTTAAATAAGTTTGTGATGCTGCATACTACAAAGCTCTTTTAGAGATTCATTATTCATGTAAAGTTTCTGTTAAATCCTACCATAAAGTCATCTGTTTAACTCTGTGTAATGTTTCCCCCCAACTTATTGAGCCCCTGTCAGCTGACCAGCTTCTTCAAATGGGAAAAAAAGTACCAGAGGATCAACTAACCCAGACAGGCTTATTGAGCTTTATGTAGTTTTGTTTTAGACATATGCATCAGGAGGCAGTGGTTGAGCTGGGCAGCTTCCTCTCTTAGTTTATAAGCTGTAACCACAGAATATTCCTTAGCCATTGAGGCCAGCTTGAAGGATATCACATTACCCACAGACATGGCCTTGATTTCCAAAGTATCCTTGTGGTCAATAATACCTAACTTTTGTAGAACTTTAAAAGTACTCTGTTATATATACTCTTATCAATTATTATTTAAGGAAAGTATTATCATTTCAGTTTTAGAGGCCTAAAGAGGTTAAGTACCTGTCCAAGGATAGTAAACATGACTGGGAGTTAAAGTTTCCAGAATTAAGGTTTTACTTCAACATAGTACTGCTTCATATATATATATATATATATATGTGTGTGTGTGTGTGTGTGTGTGTGTATATTATATATATATATCTATCTATATATATATATATATATCTGTCTGTCTGGTTATATATGTAGAATTCTTTCTGTTGCATCATGCTTTTTATACTATGCTCTGCAGAGCCCTAGGGGTTCTCAGAGGTTCCCCTTAGGGGCCCCCCAAGAGGGCATGATGAATGGGGAGCCAAGAGAGATTGGGGGAGAAACTTCTATTTGAAATCACAAAGCTTTGCCTTTATCTGTTAAACAGAGTAGGTTTAGCCGGGCACAGTGGCTCATGCCTGTAATCCCAGCACTTTGGGAGGCTGAGGCGGGTGGATCATCTGAGGTCAGGAGTTCGAGACCAGCCTGGCCAACATAGTGAAACCCCGTCTCTACTAAAAAGAATACAAAAAATTAGCTGGGCATGGCGGTGGGTGCCTGTAATCCCAGCTACTAGGGAGGCTGAGGCAGGAGAATCACTTGAACCCGGGAGGCAGAGGTTGCAGTGAGCTGAGATTACGCCATTGCACTCCAGCCTGGGCAACAAGAGTGAAACTCCGTCTCAAAAAATAAATAAATGAATGAATAAATAAATAAATAAATAAAAATAAAAAAAACAGAGTAGGTTTGAGAATAAATTTCTTTTCTTTTTCTTTCTTTCTTTTCTTTCTTTTTTTTTTTTTTTTTTTTTTTTTTGAGACAGTGTCTTGCTCTGTCATCCAGGCTGGAGTGCCGTGACACAATCTTGGCTCATTGCAACCTCCACCTCCGAGGCTCAGGTGATTCTCCCACCTCTGCTTCCTGAGTAGCTGGGACCACAGGCACATGCCACCACACCCAGCTAATTTTTGTACTTTTAATAGAGACGGGGTTTCATCATGTTGCCCAAGCTGGTCTTGAACTCCTGGACTGAAGCGATCCGCCCACCTCAGCCACCCAAAGTGTTGGGATTATAGGCATGAGCCACCGCACCCAGCTTTAGAATAAATTTCTTTGGAGGAAAGTGTTCCTAAGAAAATTTGTAAACTGGCTGAAAGCTTAATTTTCTAGTTTCTGAGGAGAGTAAGGCAGGTACTTTCTCCAGATGAATAGATCTTTACATAGACGCAGACTGCCGGACTATGGATATAAACCTAAACAAGCTTTAAGGCCATTTCTAGTTCCTCAAGAGACGTAGTGGATAAGAAAGGGGGGCTCTCTAGGCAAAGAGGGATGTTAAAGGTTATGGTTTCTCACCACTCCAGGCAAAGTTTAGGGCAGTTTGGTAGAGGAGAAGGAGCTGGATCTTTCTTCTCTGTCTATAAAGTCGACAGCATTTCTTATCAGTATGTTTTAGCAGATTCAGGAGCAATAGAACTGGTTGGGTTGGGTTTGTCTTAGGTAGTCCTAGAGAAAGTTCAGCTTCTGCCCAATCTTCCCCACAACTGCTATTATAGACCAAATAGGCGTGGTCTGGGAGTAGCCCAACAGCAGTAGCCTGGAGGACTGATTGTATGGAGGGCATGACCAGGTATTTTAGGGGCAGGTCTGCCGAGGTATTCAGGGACTAGGCACCTCATGCAAAATTAATTCTCTAAAAGACAAATTGCTGAAAACTGACTAGACAGTTTTCTTTTGCACATAGCATTGGTACCTTTGATGGTCAATTTTATGTGTCAACTCGGTATTTGTTCAGCTGTTTGGTCAAATACCAGTTTACATGTTGCTGTGAAGGTGTTTTGTAGCTGTGATTAATGGCTATAATCACTTGACTTTAAATAAAGCCGATTACCCCCCACAGTGTGGGCTGGCCTCATCCAATCAGTTCAATGTCTTATGAGCAGAAACAGAGGTTTCCTCAAGAGGAAGGCATTCAGCTTCAGGACTGTGACATAGAAATTCTGCAGGCCTTCCCTGTAGATTTTGGACCTGCCAGCCTCCACAGTTGTGTGAGCCAATTCCTTAAAATAAATCTCTTAATGTACATATACATATATCCTGTTGGTTCTGTTGATTTGGAGAACCCTCACTGATACTGTATCTAAATTCATTTAGCTGCTTAGCTCCCACTTAGAAGTGAAAACATATGATGTTTGGTTTTCCATTTCCGAGTTACTTCACTTAGAATAATAGTTTTCAATTCCATTCAGGTTGCTGTGAGTGCCATTATTTCATTCCTTTTTATGACTGAGTAGTATTACTTGATATATCTATATACCACATTTTCTTCTTTTCTTTTCTTTCTTTTCTTTTTTCTTTTCTTTTCTCTCTTTTCTTTTCTTTTCTTTCCCTTTCCTTTCCTTTCCTTTCTTTTTTTTTTGATGGAGTCTCACTCTGTTGCCCAGGCTGGAGTGCAGTGGCATGATCTCGGCTCACTGCAACCTCCACCTCCTGGATTCAAGTGGTTCTCCTGCCTCAGCCTCCTGAGTAGCTGGGATTACAGGCATGTGCCACCATGCTTGGCTAATTTTTGTATTTTTAGTAGAGACAGGGTTTCACCATGTTGGTTAGGCTGGTCTCGAACTCCTGACCTCATGATCCACCAGCCTTGGCCTCCCGAAATGCTGGGATTACAGGCGTGAGCCACTGTGCCCAACCATGACATTTTCTTTGTCCACTCATTGATCGATGGGCATTTGGGCTGGTTGCATATTTTTGCAATTGAAAATTGTGCTGCTATAAACATGTGTGTGCAAGTATTTTTTTCATATAATGACTTCTTTTCCTCTGGGTAGATACCTAGTCATGGGATTGCTGGATCAAATGGTAGATCTACTTTTAGTTTTTTGTTGCAGGAAGTCAGGGACCCCGAACGGAGGGACCGGCTGGAGCCGTGGCAGAGGAACATAAATTGTGAAGATTTCATTTTAATATGGACACCTATCAGTTCCCAAAATTAAAACTTTTATAGTTTCTTACACCTGTCTTTACTGCAATCTCTGAACATAAATTGTGAAGATTTCATGGACATTTATCAGTTCCCAAATAATACTCTTATAATTTCTTATACCTGCCTTTACTTTAATCTCTTAATCCCGTTATCTTCGTAAGCTGAGAATGTACATCACCTCAGGACCACTGTTGTACAAATTGATTGTAAAACATGTGTGTTTGAACAATATGAAATCAGTGCACCTTGAAAAAAAACAGAATAACAGCGATTTTCAGGAAACAAGGGAAGACAACCATAAGGTCTGACTGCCTGTGGGGTCGGGCAGAATAGAGCCATATTTTTCTTCTTGCAGAGAGCCTATAAACAGACGTGCAAGTAGGGAAGATACTGAATTCTTTTCCTAGCAAGGAATATTAATAATTAAGATACTGAGAAAGGAATGCATTCCTGGTGGGGGAGGGGGGCATCTATAAACGGCCGCTCTGGGAGTGTCTGTCTTATGTGGTTGAGATAAGGACTGAAATTTGCCCTGGTCTCCTGCAGTACCCTCAGGCTTAGTAGGGTAGGGAAAAAAAAACCCACCCTGGTGAATTTGAGGTCAGACCAATTCTCTGCTCTCGAACCCTGTTTTCTGTTGTTTAAGATGTTTATCAAGACAATACGTGCACAGCCGAACATAGACCCTCATCATTAATTCTAATTTTGCCCTTTGCCTTGTGATCTTTGCTTTGCCCTTTGCCTTCTGATCTTTTTGCCCTTTGAAGCATGTGATCTTTATGACCTACTCCTTGTTCTTGCACCCCCTCCCCTTTTGAAGTCCTTAATAAAAACCTGCTGGTTTTGTGGCTCAGGGGCATCATGGTCCTACCGATATGTGATGTCATCCCTGGAGGCCCAGCTGTGAAATTCCTCTCTTTGTACTCTTTCTCTTTATTTCTCAGCCAGCTGACACTTAGGGAAAATAGAAAGAACCTATGTTGAAATATTGCGGGTGGGTTCCCCTGATAGTTCTTTAAGGAATCTCCACAGTATTTTCCACACACAAAGGCATAAGAATGATACATTGGAGTTTGGGGACTTGGGGGAAAGGGAGGGATGGGGGTGAAGGATAACAGACTACACATTGGGTATAGTTTACACTGCTTGGGTGAGGGGTGCACCAAAATCTCAGAAATAACCACTAAAGAACTTATTCATGTAACCAAACACCACTTGCTCCTTAAAAACCTATTGAAATAGAAAATAAATTTAGAAATACAAAAAGAAAAGAAATTAAAAATAAATAAATAAAATTTGGCCACTAGAAAATTTAAAAAAATATATATTTTCAATTGGTGGTTGGTTGAATCCAAAAAAGTAAAATAAATTTGAGCTGCTGTCATGCAGTCGGCTTGCATCAGCTAGCTCTATATCTAAGACTTTAAATACTCTAGGGAAAACAGTCTGGTGATGAGAGAGTTTCCTTGTAACATGGTTTTTGTTTGGAAAGGCATGCATTCCTCTTGAAGGGGATTTTCCAAGGGATCCCTACCAAACACCACTCTTACATTCTTATATTGGAGAGACCAAACAATAGCATTTGCCACTCCCAACCCTGATCTGGCACAGTTTCCCTAGTCCAATTCAGGAGAAAATGTCCCAGAATTTCCAGAGGATTATCGAATACTTTTCTGGGGACTGACAGAGCAACTTGCTCTACCAACATTATATGTATACTGCTTTTTTTTTTTTTTTTTGAGACAGGGTTTCACCATGTTGGCCAGGATGGTCTCCATCTCTTGACCTCATGATCCGCCCTCCTTGGCCACCCAAAGTGCTGGGATTACAGGTGTGAGCCACCATGCCTGGCCAATTTTTGTGTTTTTAGTAGAGACGGGGTTTCATCATGTTGGCCAGGTTGGTCTCAATCTCTTGACCTCATGATCCACGCTCCTTGGCCTCCCAAAGTGCTGGGATTACAGGCGTGAGCCACCATGCCTGGCCAATTTTTGTGTTTTTAGTAGAGACGGGGTTTCACCATGTTGGCCAGGGTGATCTTGATCTCTTGACCTTGTGATCCACCCTCCTCGGCCTCCCAAAGTGCTGGGATTACAGGCGTGAGCCACTGCACCTGGCCAATTTTTGTGTTTTTAGTAGAGACAGGGTTTTGTCATGTTGCCCAAGCTGGTCTTGAAGTCCTGACCTCGTGATCCACCCACCTCAGCCTCCCAAAGTGCTGGGATTGCAGGTGTGAGCCACCGCACCCCCACGTATACTGCTTTTTACTGTATTTCACAGTGCTCTCAGAAACACTGTCTTGATGAACCTTTGACATAGGTATGGCAGAGGCTACTTTGTTTTTTCACACCAGTTTCCTCTTTCTTCCCCAGTAAAGACCTTCAATATTTTGCTGAGTTAATTGCCATCCAGTAAAAAGACTACTAGTTCTCTGTGAAGCTAGGTGACGTCTAGCTTGTTTTGGCAGTATAGCATTGTGGTTAGGTACACATATTCTGGAATCAGGCTATGTAGGTTGCATTCAGATCTCTGCTTCATCCTTTACTGGCTGTAAATTTACTTCTCTATGCCTTCGTTTCTGCATCTGTAAAATTATATAATAATTGTACCTGTTGTATTGAGTTTCTCTGAAAAATAAATGAGTTTATATTTGTAAAGCTTTCAAACCAGAGCCTAGCACATAGTAAAGGCTATAGAAATTCTAACTATTATTTTTACTTTGGCCAACAAGATGAAAGTGTTGTGTGGGATACATAGCGAGTTTTGTTAAAGGGAAGGGGCAGGTCCATCTGCTCCTTTGTACTTAATCATAGGTGAAATGGGGTTGAAGCTTGAATAGCCATGTTAGCCACAAGATGAGGCAACAAGCTAAGAAGGAAGAGCAAGATAGAGCCTAGGCCTCTGATGACTGATGGCTGTGGAGGTGCCACAACAATTCTGGACTCTGTATCTATCTCCAGACTTCTTTTCATGAGAAAGAAAAGAAACTTCCATTTTGTTTAAGACACTGTTGTTGTTATTACTTTCTGTGGTTAAATGCAGCCAAACTTAATCTTAACTGATTTAATAAGTATGGAGGAGGCGCTACCTGCTTTTTATAGTTGAGAGATTAAGTATGGTCATCCAGTAAGAGTCATAATGTTGGATTGAGGGGAAAACAGTGGTTTCAATAACCCTTATATAGTCTAGCTTGTGACCTGGTATGAGGGAAATCTGCCAGATCTACATGTGGAGAGAGGCATTCATTTTCATCGTAGTTCTCTCCTCACGCCCTTCCCCTAACCTGAGCAGAGATGCTTAGCTATTAGCTATCTTTTCCCCCAGTGTGGACATCAAAAAAAGACTGGGACCACATTGATAACTGTGTTTAAGAGGCAGTTAGAGCCCTTTGTTTTCCGAGGCAAACTTTTCTAGACTCATCAAGGTGTTATATCTATTTCCATCCTTCTTCCTGGAATCTCCCTTCCCCAATTCCCACTGCACATTGAGTCTAGTCAATGCTGTCAGGTCCAACCAAAGACCCATCTTTTTTAGACAACCTTCTCTGATTATTCTAGTTCCTTCTCAATGGCTTGTTTAAAGTTCTAGCAACGGATCCAGTTCCAAGATGGCTGAATAGGAACAGCTCCAGTCTACAGCTCCCAGCGTGAGCCATGCAGAAGACAGGTGATTTCTGCATTTCCAACTGAGGTACTGGGTTCATCTCACTGGGGCTTATCAGACAGTGGGTTCAGCCCATAGAGTGTGAGCCGAAGCAGGGTGGGACATCGCCTCACCCAGGAAGCACAAGGGGTCAAGGAATTACCTTTCCTAGCCAAGGGAAGCCATGACAGATGGTACCTGGAAAATCGGGACACTCCCACCCTAATATTGCACTTTTCCAACGGTCTTAGCAAACGGCACACCAGGAGATTATATTCTGTGCCTGGCTCAGAGGGTTCCACGCCCACGGAGCCTCACTCACTGCTAGCACGGCAGTCTGAGATCAAACTGCAAGGTGGCAGTGAGGCTGGGGGAGGAAGGTCCACCATTGCTGAGGCTTGAGCAGGTAAACAAAGTGGCTGGGAAGCTCGACTTGGGTGAAGCCCACTGCAGCTCAAGGAGGCCTGCCTGCCTCTGTAGACTGCACCTCTGGGGGCAGGGCATAGCTGAATAAAAGGCAGCAGAAACTTCTGCAGACTTAAACGTCCCTGTCTGACAGCTTTGAAGAGAGTAGCGGTTCTCCCAGCATGGAGTTTGAGATCTGAGAACAGACAGACTGCCTCCTCAAGTGGGTCCCTGACCCTTGAGTAGTCTAACGGGGAGACATCTCCCAGTAGGGGCTGACTGACACCTCATACAGCCAGGTGCCCCTCTGAGATGAAGCTTCCAGAGGAAGGATCAGGCAGTAACATTTGCTGTTCTGTAATGTTTGCGTTCTGCAGCCTCCGCTGGTGATACTCAGGCAAACAGGGTCTGGAGTGGACCTCCAGCAAACTCCAACAGACCTTCAGCTGAGGGTCCTGACTGTTAGAAGGAAAACTAACAAACAGAAAGGACATCCACACCAAAACCCCATCTGTACGTCACCATCATCAAAGACCAAAAGTAGATAAAACCACAAAGATGGGGAAAAAACAGAGCAGAAAAGCTGAAAATTCTAAAAATCAGAGTGCCTCTTCCCTTCCAAAGGAACGCAGCTCCTCGCCAGCAATGGAACAAAGCTGGATGGAGGATGACTTTGATGAGTTGAGAGAAGAAGGTTTCAGACGATCGGTAATAACAAACTTCTCCAAGCTAAAGGATGATGTTCGAACCCATTGCAAAGAAGCTAAAAACCTTGAAAAAAGATTAGACAAATGGGTAACTAGAATAAACAGCATAGAGAAGACCTTAAATGACCTGATGGAGCTGAAAACCATGGCACAAGAACTGCATGACGCATGCACAAGCTTCAGTAGCTGATTCGATCAACTGGAAGAAAGGGTATCAGTGATTGAAGATCAAATGAATGAAATGAAGCAAGAAGAGAAGTTTAGAGAAAAAAGAGCAAAAAGAAACGAACAAAGCCTCCAAGAAATATGAGACTATGTGAAAAGACCAAATCTACGTCTGATTGGTGTACCTGAAAGTGACGGGGAGAATGGAACCAAGTTGGAAAACACCCTGCAGGATATTATCCAGGAGAACGCCCCCAACCTCGTAAGGTAGGCCAATATTAAAATTCAGGAAATACAGAGAATGCCACAAAGATACTCCTCAAGAAGAGCAACCCAAGACACATAATTGTCAGATTCACCAAAGTTGAAATGAAGGAAAAAATGTTAAGGGCAGCCAGAGAGAAATGTCGGGTTATCCACAAAGGGAAGCCCATCAGAGTAACAGTGGATTTCTCGGCAGGAACTCTACAAGCCAGAAGAGAGTGGGGGCCAATATTCAGCATTCTTAAAGAAAAGAATTTTCAACCCAGAACTTCATATCCAGCCAAACTAAGCTTCATAAGTGAAGGAGAAATAAAATACTTTACAGACAAGCAAATGCTGAGAGATTTTGTCATCACCAGGCCTGCCTTACAAGAGCTCCTGAAAGAAGCACTAAACATGGAAAGGAACAACCGGTACCAGCCACTGCAAAAACATGCCAAATTGCAAAGACCATGGATGCTAGGAAGAAACTGCATCAACTAATGAGCAAAATAACCAGCTAACATCATGACAGGATCAAATTCACACATAACAATATTAACCTTAAATGTAAATGGGCTAAATGCTCCAATTAAAAGACACAGACTGGCAAATTGGATAAAGAGTCAAGACCCATCAGTGTGCTGTATTCAGGAGACCCATCTCACGTGTAGAGACACACATAGGCTCAAAATAAAGGGATGGAGGAAGATCTACCAAGCAAATGGAAAACAAAAAAAGAAAAGCAGGGGTTGCAATCCTAGTCTCTGATAAAACAGGCTTTAAACAAACAAAGATCAAAAGAGACAAAGAAGGCCATTACATAATGATAAAGGGATCAATTCAACAAGAAGAGCTAACTATCCTAAATATATATGCACCCAATACAGGAGCACCCGGATTCATAAAGCAAGTCCTTAGAGACCTACTGAAATGCCTAACCTTGTTTTTACTCTAACTCGTTACTTTGAGTTTTATCCTGCTTGACTCTTTAATCACCTAGCCTTGCTTCTCATGTAAATAAGGCTCTCTCTAGCTGAGAAAGCCGGACAAACTCCAATTGACCCCTTAATTTACAAGACACAAAGGGCTCCTTACCCAACCCCCTTCTGTAAGGAGTTGGCCTGTGTAAACAGATCCTCAGCATTTCAAAGGAGCCCAATTAACTAAGATACTAGCACCAACAATATATGAAGTTCCCAGGATTTTTCTCCAGGAGATAACAACGTAAAACCTTGAGTTCATGTCCGGTATAGACCCTATATCTAATTATAATGAAAGATTTAAAACCTTGCACCTGGTACCATTGCTCTTTTTGTAACCATTTGTCTTTTAAATTGTTTATCTCTCTGTAACCATTTTGCTTCTTTTGATTCTTGCATGTTTTTACTTCTGTAGAATTATTGCATTTGAGTCCCCCTCCCCTTCCTAAACCTGGGTATAAAAGTTAATCAAGCCCCTTTCTCATGGCCAAGAGAATTCTGAGCGTTAGCCATCTCGTTGGCCACCAGCTTAATAAAGGACTCTTAATTCGTCTCAAAGTGTGGCATTTCTTTAACTCGCTTGGGTACAACACTACAAAGAGACTTAGACTCCCACACAAGAATAATGGGAGACTTTAACACCCCACTGTCAACATCAGACAGATGAATGAGACAGGAAGTTAACAAGGATAACCAGGAATTAAAGTCAGCTCTGCACCAAGCAGACCTAATAGACATCTACAGAACTCTCCACCCCAAATCAACAGAATATACATTCTTCTCAGCACCACATCGCGCTTATTCCAAAATTGACCACATAGTTAGAAGTAAAGCAGTCCTCAGCAAATGTAAAAGAACAGAAATTATAACAAACTGTCTCTCAGACCACAGTGCAATCAAACTAGAACTCAGGATTAAGAAACTCACTCAAAACCGCTCAACTACATGGAAACTGAACAACCTGCTCCTGAATGACTACGGGGTACATAACGAAATGAAGGCAGAAATAAAGATGTTCTTTGTAACCAATGAGAACAAAGACACAACATAGCAGAATCTCTGGGACACATTTAAAGCAGTGTGTAGAGGGAAATTTATAGCACTAGATGCCCACAAGAGAAAGCAGGAAAGATCTAAAATTGACACCCTAACATCACAATTAAAAGAACTAGAAGCAAGAGCAAACACATTCAAAAGCTAGCAGAAGGCAAGAAATAACTGAGATCAGAGCAGAACTGAAGGAGATAGAGACACAAAAAACCCTTCAAAAAAATCAATGAATCCAGGAGCTGTTTTTTTGAAAAGATCAACAAAATTGATAGACTGCTAGCAAGACTAATAAAGAAGAAAAGAAAGAAGAATCAAATAGATGCCATAAAAAATGATAACGGGGATATCACCACCGATCCCACAGAAATACAAACTACCATCAGAGAATACTATAAACACCTCTACGCAAATAAACTAGAAAATCTAGAAGAAATGGATAAATTCCTTGACACATACACCCTCCCAAGACTAAACCAGGAAGAAGTGGAATCCCTGAATAGACCAATAACAGGCTCTGAAATTGAGGCAATAATTAGTAGCCTACTAACCAAAAAAAGTCCAGGACCAGATGGATTCACAGCCAAATTCTACCAGAGGTACAATGAGGAGCTGGTACCATTCCTTCTGAAACTATTCCAATCAATGGAAAAAGAGGGAATCCTCCCTAACTCATTTTATGAGGTCAGCATCATCCTGATACCAAAGCCTGGCAGAGACACAACAACAAAAAAGAGAGAATTTTAGACCAATATACCTGATGAACATCTATGCAAAAATCCTCAATAAAATACTGGCAAACAGAATCCAGCAACACATCAAAAAGCTTATCCACCACGATCAAGTGGGCTTCATCCCTGGGATGCAAGGCTGGTTCAACATACGCAAATCAATAAACATAATCCAGCATATAAACAGAACCAAAGACAAAAACCACATGATTATCTCAATAGGTGCAGAAAAGGCCTTTGACAAAATTCAACAGCCCTTCATGATAAAAACTCTCAATATATTAGGTATTGATGGGATGTATCTCAAAATAATAAGAGCTATTTATGACAAACCCACAGCCAATATACTGAATGGGCAAAAACTGGAAGCATTCCCTTTGAAAACTGGCACAAGACAGGGATGCCCTCTCTGACCACTCCTATTCAACATAGTGTTGGAAGTTCTGGCCAGGGCAATCAGGCAGGAGAAAGAAATAAAGGGTATTCAATTAGGAAAAGAGGAAGTCAAATTGTCCCTGTTTGCAGATGACATGATTGTATATTTAGAAAACCCCATTGTCTCAGCCCAAAATCTCCTTAAGCTGATAAGCAACTTCAGCAAAGTCTCAGGATACAAAATCAATGTGCAAAAATCACAAGGATTCTTATACACAAATAACAGACAAACAGAGAGCCAAATCATGAGTGAACTCCCATTCAATTGCTTCAAAGAGAATAAAATACCTAGTAATCCAACTTACAAGGGATGTGAAAGACCTCCTCAACGAGAACTACAAACCACTGCTCAACAAAATAAATGGAATAACATTCCATGCTCATGGATAGGAAGAATCAATATCGTGAAAGTGGCCATACTGCTCAAGGTAATTTATAGATTCAATGCCATCCCCATCAAGCTACCAATGACTTTCTTCATAGAATTGGAAAAAACTACTTTAAAGTTCATATGGAACCAAAAAAGAGCCTGCATTGCAAGACAATCCTAAGCCAAAAGAACAAAGCTGGAGGCATCATGCTACCTGACTTCAAACTATACTACTACAAGATTACAGTAACAAAAATAGCATGGTACTGGTACCAAAACAGACATATAGACCAATGGAACAGAACAGAGGCCTCAGAAATAATACCACACATCTACAACAATCTGATCTTTGACAAACCTGGCAAAAACAAGAAATGGGGAAAAGATTCCTTATTTAATAAATGGTGCTGGGAAAACTGGTTAGTCATATGTAGAAAGCTGCAACTGGATCCCTTCCTTATACCTTATACAAAAATTAATTCAAGATGGATTAAAGACTTAAATGTTAGACCTAAAACCATAAAAACCCTAGAAGAAAACCTAGGCAATACCATTCAGGACATAGGCATGGGAAAGTACTTCATGTCTAAAACACCAAAAGCAATGGCAACAAAAGCCAAAATTGACAAATGGGATCTAATTAAACTAAAGAGCTTCTGCACAGCAAAAGAAACTACCATCAGAGTGAACAGACAACCTACAGAATGGGAGAAAATTTTTGCAATCTCCTCATCTGACAAAAAGCTAATATCCAGAATCTACAAAGAACTTAAACAAATTTACAAGAAAAAAATCAAACAATCCCATCAAAAAGTGGGCAACGAATAGGAACAGACACTTCTCAAAAGAAGACATTTATGCAGCCAACAGACACATGAAAAATTGCTCATCATCACTGGCCATCAGAGAAATGCAAATCAAAACCACAATGAGATACCATCTCACACCAGTTAGAATGGCGATCGTTAAAAAGTCAGGAAACAACAGATGCTGGAGAGGATGTGGAGAAATAGGAACACTTTTACACTGTTGGTGGGAGTGTAAACTAGTTCAACCATTGTGGAAGACAGTGTGGCGATTCCTCAAGAATCTAGAACCAGAGATAACATTTGACCCAGCAATCCCATTACTGGGTATATACCCAAAGGATTATAAATCATGCTGCTATAAAGACACATGCACATGTATGTTTATTGCGGCACTATTCACAATAGCAAAGACTTGGAACCAACCCAAATGTCCGTCAATGATAGACTGGATTAAGAAAATGTGGCACATATACACCATGGAATACTATGCAGCCATAAAAAAGGATGAGTTCATGTCCTTTGTAGGGACATGGATGAAGCTGGAAACCATCATTCTCAGCAAACTATTGCAAGGACAGAAAACCAAACACTGCATGTTCTCACTCATAGGTGGGAATTGAACAATGAGAACACTTGGACACAGGGTGGGGAACATCACACACCAGGGCCTGTCGTGAGGTGGGGGTAGGGAGGAGGGATAGCATTAGGAGATATACCTAATGTAAATGACGAGTTAATGGGTGCAGCACACCAACATGGCACATGTATACATATGTTACAAACCTGCATGTTGTGCACATGTACCTTAGAACTTAAAGTATAATAAATAAATAAATAAAATAAATAAGGTTCTAGCAACGAGGCCCAGTGGCTTGCTACTCCCTGATAGAAGGAAGCATGAGCCTCCATTATCTGTGATGCTTTGAGTACTACGCCCATGAAACAATGAAGAAAGAAAGAGGTCCCTACTATGCAGCATAATTAGCTGAATGAAACCTGGTGATCAGGGGAGTGATATGTCATGGATGACCTCCCATTTTATCTCCTCCTCTTTGAACTCTTACAATTCTTATTCATGTTATCCAGAAGTCAACTCAAGTCTTGGGTTGATTGAGAGATTTCATATTGCCATGTTATTGAGAATAACTTGCCTTTCCACTCTATTGACTAGAGCCTTCCTTTGCATATCCAAAGTATCTTTTATTTATAGTAGCCCATCTTTTCCAGAGTACCTTACTTTAGCAGTATAAAGAACTAGCAGAGGCTATGAAATATATTTTTCTTCTCCTTTCCCACCAATCTCCATGAGAGGAAGGGAACATACTTCCACTAGTCTGAAATATGCCTCCTCCCTTAGCATACAAAAGTGGAAAAATAAGTTTTGAGTTTAAAAATTAACTTTAAAATTAAATGTTACACTAATAATGCTTGGTATTTATTGTTTACTATGGAAAGCACTATGTGAAATCCCTTAAGTACATTATTTTATTTAATAACTGTACATATTTTATAGACAAAGAAAGAGACTTGGGAAGGTTAAATAGCTTGTCCAAATTCACATAGCTGATATTTGAACTCAGGTCAGTCTAACTCCAAATTTCATTAATTCAGCAGCATGCTATACTGCCTGTCTTTTTCAGTACTCCTTACTTAATCTGTATAATTTAATTAAACATTTGGCAGTGTAGTATAGTGGATATAATGGCTCCAGCACCAGACCTGGGTTTGAATCTGAACTTGCTCTCTTGCTAGTGGTATGACCTTGGGCATACGTACATCATTAAATGAATGAATGAAAAACATGTCTTATAGGAATGTGGTGAGGATTAGATGTGAACATTCCCAGCACACAGCAGATGCTAGATGAAAGTGTTTTCCCCTCTGTTCTTCTTCTTTCATGTGTTTAGCTTGTGTTCCCAAGGAGACTACAAATACCTTAAGGAGAGCGACCATATGTTTGATTTCTTGTATAGCCTCAGAATCATACACAGTGCTAGGCACATGATAGTAGAGCAACTAAAACTTTTGATATTGACTTAAAGGAAGCATTTTGTATTAAAATTTGACAACTTCAAAATAGTTTGAGAGACTTTTCTCCACTTTAGATGCAAATAATTAACCAGCAAAGTATCACCTTGGTCCTCTTCCTTTGTAGTATGTGGCAATAGCATAAGTTTATTTCTAAATACTTTAGCAAATATTTTCTAGCTTCTAACTCAGGAGATGAGTAATTTTTTGCTGAAAGCATTTCCATTTTACTTATTTCCATATCCTCTACCAAAATGAGAATTGGCTTTTCATCTGAGAATAACTTTGGAAAGCCTTGGCTGGACATCGTTAGGGCATTAAAAAAAAGTCTTCTTGTAAATTTAAGTTCCTTGTAGATTCTGGATATTAGGTCTTTGTCAGATGAATAGATTGCAATAATTTTCTCCCATTGTGTAGGTTTCCTGTTCACTTTGATGATAGTTTCTTTTGCTGTATAGAAGCTCTTTAGTTTAATTAGATCCCATTTGTCAATTTTGGCTTTTGTTGCAATTGCTTTTGGCGTTTTTGTCATGAAGTCTTTGCCCATGCCTATGTCCTGAACGGTATTGCCTAGGTTTTCTTCTAGGGTTTTTATGGTTTTGGGTTTTACATTTAAGTCCTTAATCCATCTTAAGTTAATTTTTGTATAAGGTGTAAGGAAGGGGTCTAGTTTCAGTTTTCTGCATAAGGCTAGCCAGTTTTCCCAGCACCATTTATTGACTAGGGAATCCTTTCCCCATTTCTTGTTTTTGTCATGTTTGTCAAAGATCTGATGATTGTAGATGTGTGGTGTTATTTCTGAGGTCTCTGTTCTGTTCCATTCGTCTATATGTCTGTTTTGGTACCAGTGCCATGCTGTTTTGGTTACTGTAGCCTTGTAGTCGTATAGTTTGAAGTCAGCTAGTGTGATGCCTCCAGCTTTGTTCTTTTTACTGAGGATTGTCTTGGCTATATGGGCTCTTCTTTGGTTCCATATAAGATGTAAAGTAGATTTTTCTAATTCTGTGAAGAATATCAATGGTAGTTTGATGGGAGTAGCATTGAATCTATAAATTACTTTGGGCAGTATAGCCATTTTCACAATACTGATTCTTCCTATCCATGAGGATGGAATGCTTTTCCATTTGTTTGTGTCCTCTCTTACTTCCTTGAGCAGTGGTTTATAGTTCTCCTTGAAGAAATCCTTCACATCCCTTGTTATGTATTTCTAGGTATATTATCCTGTTTGTAGCAATTGTGAATGGCAGTTCATTCATGATTTGGCTCTCTGTTTGTCTATTGTTGGTGTACAGGAATACTTGTGATTTTGCACATTGATTTTGTATCCTGATATTTTGCTGAAGTTGCTTATCAGCTTAAGAAGTTTTTGGGCTGAGATGATGGGGTTTTCTAAATATACAATCATGTCATCTGCAAACAGGGACAATTTGACTTCTTGTCTTCCTATTTGAATACCCTTTATTTCCTTCTCTTGCCTGATTTTCCTGACCAGAGCTACCAATACTGGGTTGAATAGGAGTGGTGATAGAGGGAGTCCTTGTCTTGTACCAGTTTTCAAAGGGAATGCTTCCAGCTTTTGCCCATTCAGTATGATATTGGCTGTGGGTTTGTCATAAATAGCTCTTATTATTTTGAGATATGTCCCATCAATACCTAATATATTGAGAGTTTTTAGCATGAAGGGCTATTGAATTTTGTCAAAGGCCTTTTCTACATCTATTGAGATAATCATGTGGTTTTTGTCTTTAATTCTGCTTATATGCTGGATTATGTTTATTGATTGGTGTATGTTGAACCAGACTTGCACCCCAGGGATGAAGCCGAATTGATCATGGTGGATAAGTTTTTTGATGTGGTGCCAGATTTCGTTTGCCAGTATTTTATTGAGGATTTTCGCATCAATGTTCATCAGGGATATTGGCCTGAAGTTTTTTTTTTGTGTGTGTGTGTGTGTGTCTCTGCAATAACCCCATCAAAAAGTGGGCAAAGGATATGAACAGACACTTCTCAAAAGAAGACATTTACGCGGCCAACAAACATGTGAAAAAAAGCTCAGCATCACTGATCATTAGAGAAATGCAAATCAAAACCACAATGAGATACCATCTCATGTCAGTAAGAATGGCGATTATTAGAAAGTCAAGAAACAATAGATACTGGCGAGGCTGTGGAGAAATAGGAACACTTTTACACTGTTGGTGGGAATGTAAATTAGTTTAACCACTGTGGAAGACAGTGTGGCAATTCCTCAAGGATCTAGAACCAGAAATACCATTTGACCCAGCAATCCCATTACTGGTATATACCCAAAGGATTATAAATCATTCTACTATAAAGACACATGCACACATATGTTTATTGCAGCACTATTTACAATAGCAAAGACTTGGAACCAACCCAAATGCCCATCAATGATTGACTGGATAAAGAAAATGTGGTACATATACACCATGGAATACTATGCAGCCATAAAAAGGAATGAGATTATATCCTTTGCAGGGACTTGAATGAAGCTGGAAGCCATCATCCTCAGCAAACTAACGCAGGAAGAGAAAACCAAATACCGTATATTCTCACTCATAAGTGGGAGTTGAACAATGAGGACACATGGACACAGGGAGGGGAACAACACACACTGGGGCCCGTGGGGGGTGGGGGCAAGGGGAGGGAACCTAGATGATGGGTCAATAGGTGTAGCAAACCACCATGGCACACGTATACCTATGTAACAAACCTGTGCATTCTGCACATGTATCCCAGAACTTAAAGTAAAAAAAAAAGAAAAGAGTTTTAAGTTAATTCACTCAGATGACTAGTCAAGTTAAAAAACATTAGCCAAACTATTTGTTTGACTGAGTAGTGTGTTTGACTAGGTTAATTGACAGGAGTTTTGCAGTTAAAGTTACTGAGGGCATGTCTTGATATTTTAGGGCTTTGTGTTTAAATCACTATTTGAGATCCTTGAAGAGAGGTTAAAAGACATGGACGATAGGCAAAAGGTCCAATATACGTCTAAAATGAATTCCTAATGGAGGTACTAGAGAGAATGGGGGACAGCTAATTTTTAAAGAGATAATGAATTTTTTTCAGAATTGATGAATGATGGGAGTCTTGAAATTCAAAAAGCATGAGTCCTAAGTAGAATGAGTAAAAATAAGCCTGCTTCTAGATATATCATAGTAAAATTGCAGAGCATGAAAAACAAAGAAAAGCTCTTAAAATTTACTTGCTCAAGATCATAAAACTAGTTAGTAGTGAAGCCAGTATTCAAACCCTGTGTTTTTGACCACTACTAGTACCAGGTCATCTAGTTACAAGCTGCAATTTACAGATGAGGCAATTGAGGTCAAAAGATGACAGAGATTAGTTTTTGGAGTTTAATGGTAGTAGGTCTTGAAGTTATACTGGTTTCTTTACCTCAGATTTAGGAAAATCTCCATTGTGAGTGGTAAGAGGAGCCACACTGTACCTTGGAAGCAATAATTCATGGGTTGTGGACTGTTGTTTCCAGAATGATCAGCAGACACTGCAGAACATAGCTAACAAAAATGTCCAACACTTATGTAGTGCTTACCATGTGACATTAACCCAGTTAATTTTCATGTCAACTCAATGAGTTAGATAATGGTTTTATCACAGTCTTTTAGATGGGAAACTAAGGCACTCAGAGGAGGAAAGTAATTTGCCACATTCACAAAGCTAGTAAGCAGAAAAGCCAGGATTTACACCCTAAGCAGCCTGGCTGGTGAGTGTTTAACCTCTGCGCTATACTTCTGCTAGCACAAACAAAATAAACCCTGTGAAGTCAGAAACTGTGTCTGTCTTGTTCACTGCTGTATCCCTAGGACCCAGTATAATGCTTGGCACATAATAGATACTCAATAAATATTTCTTACGTTAATGAAGTAATAAATAAGTGAATAAATTTGATTCGTGATGCCATATTCAGTGTGGCTGTGTGGACTGAACTGTTCCATTACCAGCTAGCTACTTAGTAATAGTGAAATTTCTCACAAATGGGACAAATTTGCACCTGGGCAATTAGAGCTGTGCCTAACTACCCTTTGCTCACATCATCAGTTTTACACTGCAGCCTTGGAGATCTACTAAAGTGAATCTCCTGGTTCTGAGTCCCAGCTGAACCCTAGATGCAACCTGCTGACTTGTGATTGTTTGGAGCCTGAGGCAACAGGACCCTGGGTGGAGAGAGTCCAAGTTATGATTTAAAAATATGTATCTGTACCACAGAGTCAACATTAGGCAGCTGGAAACTATTCACATCCTGTATATTCTCTGTAGGGGTAGGGGGACTGACTGATCATGTGATCACAGAGCACACAGATTATTAGCAGGATAAAATAATCAACATGCTTAAAACATAAAAGCTTCTGAGGGGCAATGGGAAGCCATCTGTCTCTTAGCTCTGAGACCAAACTCAAGGCTGGTGTTAGGCCTCTTGTGTGTTACAGTTTCATTTTACTCTTAATTCAAACCAGATTCCTATTAAAACAGACTCCTAATAAAGCTTAACAGCCTAAGTGGGTAATCACTCTCTTAAAAATGAAATCTCACTGCCTCCACTCTGGGGCCCTTATATGGCATTATACAATTTTTAAAGTTTTTTGAGAGTAAGTTTCCATTGAAAAGATGGCAGAGATTTACTTGTCTATCAGTCCTCAGAGTACATAGCTATATTTACAATGGAATCATCGGTATTCTCAGTTTGATGATGCAACTTGGTAAAGCTAATGTGTCATTCACTGTTTAATATGATTATATCTATTCAGGAACTTTGATCTGAGCACTAAAACTGATGGGTTTCTTCAGTAAAGTAATTAGTAAAAGACTAATTTAATAATGCAACTGACTTTGTTCATCACCTCTACACTGAACACCTCTACACTGTTTTTTTTAATTGTTTGCTCCAACCAGTTGGTTTGGAACTCTGTAGTTATGTTCCCAATAAAACCAGGCTACAAGTTGGTCAAACCAGTTGCTTAGATAGTGCAAACACCTGAATGACTACAGGCATGACTTTCCAAAAACATTGGCGTTCTGTTGTCCTCTCTTGATCAGAAATAGAGAGATTTGGTCATTCAGTCATGACAAAAAAAGATAATGAAAGTGTAAATTATTAACAGAATGTTGCCAACACATACTATTTTCCTCATTACAATGTGACTATTTGTCAAGGGTGTTGTTGCCTGAGAAATCAGTGATATGGGAGGCAAATTGGTAATAATACACTCATCTTTTCTAAATTAGAAGACTTCAACTAGGCTTGAACATCATTAGTAAATGCTCCTTTTCCTCTGAATAAACTCTTTAATTTACATCCATCATCAAACATTTCCTAAGACAAAAGCTGGTGATCTTTTGATTGCAGGCACTATTCTCACTGATAATTGTCATTAACCGAATAGAGCTGGATCTATTCTCTTTTCTCTGTATTTCTTTTTACCATAACATGAGTATTCTGCTTTCTTAGGTATATAACTAAAAGATGGATAAATCAAAGAGGTAGAAGAATTATCTTTGATTGAAGGAGGTGGAAGTGCTATAAATATATGTCTAGACACCCGCTTTTTAACTTCCATCTCTGCATCATTAATAAATTTATTAGTGAGGGCCCTGTTCACATTTCTATTATCAATTCTAATTATTTGTGTGTTTGAATCAATCTCTCCTGCCTTCATTAGTGTCATTAACGCCTGTCAGCAAATGATAATGTGGGAGAATCTCACAAATTTATATGCATTCCCAGAGTGGAGACCCAACCACAGTCAGTATTCTTGCATGACAGCAGCTGTAACAAATGGCCATCCTTCCCAGGAGAAGTGTAAACAGGTCACTAATTAATGCATTTACCATTAGACTCTGTTTAGTTTTCAGTCATAGCATATGATTCATTATGTTGGGACACCAAGTACAATGTCGTTATGGAAATGAGGTATTTGTACATTCTCCTTAGATCCACATGACAGATTGAGCTATCTACCTATTTTTCTCTCAGCACTTTCCCAGATTTCAGAGTATATGAATGACCTTGGAGAAGGTCCTACTTTATTACTAGGCATCTAGTGAAAATGGCATAATGGGTTGGCAGTTTATTTAAATACATGCAATGAAAATCAGCTCTTGGTGAGGGATAAAGTTGGGGAAAAAATAAGAGGATTAAGAGGAAAAAGGGAAAATAAATTCTAAATTTTAGGAGTTGTGCTATAATGTCAGGAAATTTAAATCAAAATTAGAAGTGGAGTGGTACAATGAGAAGTTCATTGCTTCAGAAAGACTGAAAAGTAGACTTTGATGGTCAAGCTCCTTCCCTTATATCCACGAAATGGTCAACAGCTCCCCAAGAAAGATATAGTCGAGACAAACTTGTTTTTCTTCCAGCTGGCAATTCTAAATTCCCTAAATCCTTAGATTAAAGCTCCAAATAAAGAATAGGGGCATCAAAGAAGACTAGTCATGCCTTATTTGTTAACTGTATATATTATGTTATATGTTGATCATAAATAGCAGTTCTTATCATAGCTCATCCATTCATTTACTTAATAAACACTTATTGAGTAACACTCTGGGCCAGGCCATATGTTTGGGATACAGAGATGAAAATGATACAGACTTACCCTTCAAGAAACTTAGGAGATAGACAAACTGACAATACAGTGTGGTTATTATAAGTAACATAAGTACTATGATAGTTGCATGCCCAGGATGCTGTGGAAGTATAAAGGATGAATTCTTCATGGTAAGCATAGGGAGGGTTTCACAGAAGAGGTAACATTTAAACTGAGTCTTAAAGGAAAAGTAGGTATTTTTAGAAGAGGAATGGAGGGGACAGGTATGTTAGGTTGAGGAAATAGGGTGTGCAAAGGTAAAAGCACATTAAACAATGTACTATATTTACACAATGGTAACAAATTAAAGGTGGCTGGGACATTGTTTGCATAGGGGATAGACTATCAGAAGGAGCAATGAGAGATGGTTGTATGAGAAGTAGATGAGGTCCAAACAGAGTAGAGTTTTATATGTCATGCTGAGAGGGTTTGTACTATATTATGAAGGAAGTAAAGACTTAATAGAAGCATGACATAGCCAAATTGCTTTTTCTTCTCTTTTTTTTAATTTTTAGAGATTACTCTTGTGACACTATGGAGGATGAACTGGAATGGGGAGATTGGAGGCTGGGAGAGTGGACAGGAGCTTGATAAAGTAGTCTAATCAAGTGATAATTTTTCAAAGTCAGGTCAGGATTAATAACTCTCAGGATCGTAGGCCTTTTACTAGACCTTCTTTCCTGGAAGAACTACCTTTCCCAGGGTCATGAAAGAAACTTCTTTTTCTTTTTTTTAAGTTCGGGGTACACATGTAGGTGTGTTACATAGGTAAACTTGTGTCACAGGGGTTTGTTGTTATTATGAAGGAAGTAAAGACTTAATAGAAGCATGACATAGCCAGTTTGCATTTTCTTTTCTTAAATGTTATTTCATCACTCAGGTATTAAGCCTAGTACCCGTTAGTTATTTTTCCTGACCCTCTCTCTCTTCTCACCATCCACCCTCTGATAGGCACCAGTGTGTGTTCTTCTCCTCTATGTGTCCGTGTGTTCTCATCATTTCGCTCCCACTTATAAATTTACTGCACCTATCAACCCATCACCTAGGTATTAAGCCCCACATGCATTAGCTATTTATCGTGATGCTCTCCCTCCCCTCACCTCTATAACAGGCCCCAGTGTATGTTGTTCCCCTCCTTGTGTCCATGTGTTCTCACTGTTCAGCTCTCAATTATGAGTGAGAACATGCAGGGTTTGGTTTTCCGTTCCTGTGTTAATTTGCTGAGAATGATGGTTTCCAGCTTCATCCATGTCCCTGCAAAGGACATGAACTCAACCTTTTTTCTGGCTGCATAGTATTCCATGGTGTATATGTGCCACATTTTCATTATCCAGTCTATCATTGATGGACATTTGGGTTGGTTCCAAGCCTTTGCTATTGTGAATAGTGCTGCAATAAACATATGTGTGCATGTGTCTTTATAGCAGAATGATTTATAATCCTTTGGGTATGTACCCAGTAATGGGATTGCTGGGTCAAATGGTAGTTCTGGTTCTAAATCCTTGAGGAATTGCCACACTATCTTCTACAAAGGTTGAACTAATTTACACTCCCACCAACAGTGTAAAAGCATTTCTATTTCTCCATATCCTCTCCAGCATCTGTTGTTTCCTGACTTTTTAATGATCGCCATTCTAACTGGCATGAGATGGTATCTCATTGTGGTTTTGAGTTGCATTTCTCTAATGACCAATGATGATGAGCTTTTTTTCATATGCTTGTTGGCGGCAAAAATGTCTTCTTTTGAGAAGTGTCTCTTCGTTTCTTTTGCCCACTTTTTGATGGGGTTGTTTGCTTTTTTCTTCTACATTTGTTTAAATTCATTGTAGATTCTGGATGTTAGCCCTTTGTCAGATGGGCAGATTGCAAAAATTTTCTCCCATTCTGTAGGTTGCCTGTTCACTGTGATGATAGTTTCTTTTGCTGTGCAGAAGTTCTTTAGTTTAATTAGATCCCATTTGTCAATTTTGGCTTTTGTTGCCATTGCTTTTTGTGTTTTAGTCATGAAGTCTTTGCCCATGCCTATGTCCTGAATGGTATTGCCTAGGTTTTCTTCTAGGGTTTTGATGGTTTTAGGTCTTACATTTAAGTCTTTAATTCATCTTGAGTTAATTTTTGTATAAGGTGTAAGGAAGGTGTCCAGTTTTAGTTTTCTGCATATGGCTAGCCGGTTTTCCCAGCACCATTTGTTAAATAGGGAATCCTTTCCCCATTGCTTGTTTTTGTCAGGTTTGCCAGGATCAGATGATTGTAGATGTGTGGTGTTATTTCTGAGGCCTCTGTTCTGTTCCATTGGTCTATATGTCTGTTTTGGTACCAGTACCATGCTGTTTTGGTTACTGCAGCCTTGTAGTAATGTAGTTTGAAGTCAGGTAGCATGATGCCTCCAGCTTTGTTCCTTTTACGTAGGATTGTCTTGGCTATATGGGCTCTTTTTTGGTTCCATATGAAATTTAAAGTAGTTTTTTTAATTCTGTGAAGAAAGTCCATGGTAGCTTGATGAAGAAATGGGTAATATGGCCATTTTCAGATTCTTCCTATCCATGAGGATGGAATGTTTTTCCATTTGTTTGTGTCCTTTCTTATTTCATTGAGCAGTGGTTTGTAGTTCCTCTTGAAGAGGTCCTTCATATCCCTTGTAACTTGGATTGCTAGGTATTTTATTCTCTTTGAAGCAATTGTGAATGGGAGTTCACTCACGTTTTGGCTCTCTATTATTGGTATATAGGAATGCTTGTGATTTTTGCACACTGATTTTGTATCCTGATACTTTGCTGAAGTTGCTTATCAGCTTAAGGAGATTTTGGGCTGAGACGATGGGGTTTTCTAGATATACAATCATGTCATCTGCAAACAGGGACAATTTGACTTCCTCTTTTCCTAATTGAATACCCTTTATTTCCTTCTCCTGCCTGATTGCCCTGGCCAGAAATTCCACACTATGTTGAATAGGAGTGGTGAGAGAGGGCATCCCTGTCTTGTGCCAGTTTTCAAAGGGAATGCTTCCAGTTTTTGCCCGTTCAGTATGATATTGGCTGTGGGTTTGTCATAGATAACTCTTATTATTTTGAGATACGTCCCATCAATACCTAATTTATTGAGAGTTTTTAGCATGAAGGGTTGTTGAATTTTGTCAAAGGCCTTTTCTGCATCTGTTGAGATAATCATGTGGTTTTTGTCTTTGGTTCTGTTTATATGCTGGATTATGTTTTTGATTTGCGTATGTTGAACCAGCCTTGCATCCCAGGGATGAAGCCCACTTGATCATGGTGGATAAGCTTTTTGATGTGTTGCTGGATTCTGTTTGCCAGTATTTTATTGAGGATTTTTGCATCAATGTTCATTAGGAATATTGGTCTAAAATTCTCTTTTTTGGTTGTGTCTCTGCCAGGCTTTGGTATCAGGATGATGCTGGCCTCATAAAATGAGTTAGGGAGGATTCTCTCTTTTTCTATTGATTGGAATAGTTTCAGAAGGAATGGTACCAGCTCCTCCTTGTACCTCTGGTAGAATTTGGTGTGAATCTGTCTGGTCCTGGACTTTTTTTCGTTGGTAGGCTACTAATTATTGCCTCAATTTCAGAGCCTGTTATTAGTCTATTTAGGGATTCAACTTCTTCCTGGTTTAGTCTTGGGAGGGTGTATGTGTCCAGGAATTTATCCATTTCTTCTAGATTTTCTAGTTTATTTGCATAGAGGTGTTTTGTCTGAGCAAATAAATACTATGTTTCATCATAGTATTCTCTGATGGTAGTTTGTATTTCTGTGGGATTGGTGGTGATATCCCTTTTAACATTTTTTATTGTGTCTGTTTGATTCTTCTCTCTTTTCTTCTGTATTTGTCTTGCTAGCGGTCTATCAATTTTGTTGATCTTTTCAAAAAACCAGCTCCTGGATTCACTGATGTTTTGAAGGGTTTTTTGTGTCTCTATCTCCTTCAGTTCTGCTCTGATCTTAGTTATTTCTTGCCTTCTGCTAGCTTTTGAATGTGTTTGCTCTTGCTTCTCTAGTTTTTTAATTGTGACGTTAGGTTGTCAAGTTTAGATCTGTCCCGCTCTCTCCTGAGGGCGTTTAGTGCTATATATTTCCCTCTAAACACTGCTTTAGCTGTGTCCCAGAGATCCTGGTACATTGTGTCTTTGTTCTCATTGGTTTCAAAGAACTTCTTTATTTCTGCCTTAATTTCATTATTTACCAAGTAGTCATTCAGGAGCAGGTTGTTCAGTTTCCATGTAGTTGTGCAGTTTTGAGTGAGTTTCTTAATTCTGAATTCTAATTTGATTGCACTGTGGTCTGAGAGACTGTTTTTTATGATTTCCATTGTTTTGCATTTGCTGAGGAGTGTTTTACCTCCAATTATGTGGTCAATTTTAGAATAAGTGTGATGTGGTGCTGAGAAGAATGTATATTCTGTTGATTTGGGGTGGAGAGTTCTGTAGATATCTGTTAGGTCTGCTTGGTCCAGAGCTGAGTTCAAGTCCTGAATATGCTTTTTAATTTTCTGTCTTGTTGATCTGTCTAATATTGACAGTGGGGTGTTAAAGTCTCCCACTATTATTGTGTGGGAGTCTAAGTCTCTTTGTAGGTCTCTAAGGACTTGCTTTATGAATCTGGATACTCCTGTATTGGGTGTGTATGTATTTAGGATAGTTAGCTCTTGTTGCATTGATCCCTTTACCATTATGTGATGCCCTTCTTTGTCTTCTTTGATCTTTGTTTGTTTAAAGTCTGTTTTATCAGAGACTAGGATTGCAACCCCTGCTTTTTTTCACTTTCCATTTGCTTGGCGAATATTCTTCCTTCCCTTTACTTTGAGCCTATGTGTGTCTGCATGTGAGATGGGTCTCCTGAATACAGCACACCGATGGGTCTTGACCCTTTATCCAATTTGCCAGCCTGTGTCTTTTAATTGGGGGATTTAACCCATTTACATTTAAGGTTAATATTGTTATGTGTGAATTTGATCCTGTCATTATGATGCTAGCTGGTTATTTTGCCCGTTAGTTGATGCAGCATCTTCATAGTGTCAATGGTCTTTCAAATTTGGGGTTTTTGCAGTGGCTGTTACCAGGTTTTCCTTCCCATATTTAGTGCTTCTTTCAGGAGCTCTTGTAAGGCAGGCCTGGTGGTGACAAAATCTCTCAGCATTTGCTTGTCTGTAAAGGATTTTATTTCTCCTTCACTTATGAAGCTTAGTTTGGCTGGATATGAAATTCTGGGCTGAAAATTCTTTTCTTTAAGAATGTTGAATATTGGCCCCCACTCTTTTCTGGCTTATAGGTTTTCTGCAGAGAGTTCTGCTGTTAGTTTGATGGGTTTCCCTTTGTAGGTAACCCACCCTTTCTCTCTGGCTGCCCTTAACATTTTTTCCTTCATTTCAACCTTTGTGTTCCTGACAATTATGTGTCTTGGAGTTGCTCTTCTCAAGGAGTATCTTTGTGGTGTTCTCTGTATTTCCTGAATTTGAATGTTGGCCTGTCTTGCTGGGTTGGGGAAGTTCGCCTGGATAATAGCTTGAAGAGTGTTTTCCAACTTGGTTCCATTCTCTCAGCTTTCAGGTACACCAATTAAATTTAGGTTTGGTTTTTTCACATAGTCCTATATTTCTTGGAGGCTTTGTTCGTTCCTTGTCATTCTTTTTCCTCTAATCTTGTCTTCATGCTTTATTTCATTAAGTTGATCTTCAATCTCTGATATCCTTTCTTCTGCTTGATCAATTTGGCTATTGACACTTGTGTATGCTTCACGAAGTTCTCGTGCTGTGTTTTTCTGCTCCATCAGGTCATTTATGTTCTTCTCTAAACTGGTTATTCTAGTTAGCAATTCCTATAACCTTTTATCAAGATTCTTAGCTTCCTTGCATTGGGTTAGGACATGCTCCTTTAGCTTGGAGGAGTTTGTTATTACCCACCTTCTGAAGCCTACTTCTGTCAATTTGTCAAACTCATTCCCCATTCAGTTTTGTTCCCTTGCTGGCGAGGAGTTGTGATCCTTTGGAGGAGAAGAGGCATTCTGGTTTTTGGAATTTTCAGCCTTTTTGCACTGGTTTTTCCTCATCTTCATAGATTTATATACTTTTGTTCTTTGATGTTGGTGACCTTTGGATGGGGTTTTTGAGTGGACATCCTTTTTGTTGATGTTAATTCTATTTCATTCTGTTTGTTAGTTTTCCTTATACCAGTCAGTCCCCTCTGCTGCAGGTCTGTTCGAGTTTGCTGGAGGTCCACTCCAGACCCTGTTTGCCTGGGTATCACCAGCGGAGGCTGCAGAACAGCAAAGATTGCTGACCGTGTCTTCCTCTGGAAGCTTTGTCCCAGAGGGGCACCAGCCAGATGCCAGCCAGAGCTCTCCTGTATGAGGTGTCTTTTGACCCCTGCTAGGAGGTGTCTCCGAGTCAGGAGGCACAGGTGTCAGGGACCCACTTGAGGAGGCAGTTGTGTCCCTTAGCAGAGCTCGAGTGCTGTGCTGGGAGATCTGCTGCTCTCTTCAGAGGCAGCAGGCAGGAACGTTTAAGTCTGCTGAAGCTGTGCCCACAGCTGCCCCTTCCCCCAGGTGTTCTGTCCCAGAGAAATGGGAGTTTTATCTATAAGCCCCTGAGTGGGGCTGCTGCCTTTCTTTCAAAAATGCCTTGCCCAGAGAGGAGGAATCTAGAGAGGCAGTCTAGCTACAGTGGCTTTGCCAAGCTGTGGTGGGCTCTGCCCAGTTTGAACTTCCCAGCGGCTTTGTTTACACTGTGCGGGGAAAAAACACCTACTCAAGCCTCAGTAATGGTGGACACCCCTCCCCCCACCAAGCTTGTGCATCCCAGGTCCACTTCAGACTGCTGTGCTGGCAGCAAGAATTTCAAACCAGTGGATCTTAGCTTGCTGGGCTCCTTGAAGTGGGATCTGCTGAGCTAGACCAATTGGCTCCCTGGCCACAGCCCCCTTTCCAGGGGAGTGAATGGTTCTGTCTCACTGGTGTTCCAGGTGCCACTGGGGTATGAAAAAAAACTCCTGCAGCTAGCTTGGTGTGTGCCCAGATGGCCACCCAGCTTTGTGCTTGAAACCCAGGGCCCTGGTGATGTACGCACCTGAGGGAATCTCCTGGTCTGCAGGTTGTGAAGACTGTGGGAAAAGATAGTATCTGGGCCTGAATGCACCGTTCCTCACGGTACAGTCCCTCACAGCTTCCCTTGGCTAGGAAGGGAGTTCCCCATCCCCTTGCACTTCCTGGGTGAGGCGACACCCCACCCTGCTTCAGCTTGCCCTGCATAGGCTGCATCCACTGTCTAACCAGTCCCAATGAGACGAGCCAGGTACCTCAGCTGGAAATGCAGAAATCACCCATCTTCTGTGTTGCTGTCACTGGGAGCTGCAGGCTGGAGCTGTTCCTACTCAGCCATCTTGCTAGCCATCTCTGATCTCGTTCTTTTTTATGGCTGCATAAAATTCCATGGTAGGTATGTACCACATTTACTTTATTCAATCTACCATTGATGGGCATTTAGGTTGATTCCATGACTTTGCTCTTGTTTATAATGCTGAAGTGAACATATAAGTACACATGTATTTACGATAAACTGATTTGTATTCCTTTGGGGATATACCAAATAATGGAATTGCTGGGTCAAATGGTATTTATATTTTAAGTTTTTTGACAAATCGCCACACCACTTTCCACAATGGTTGAACTAATTTACATTCCCAGCAATGGTGTATAAGCATTCCCTTTCTCCGCAACCTCACCAGCAGCTGTTATTTTTTGACTTTTTAGTAATAGCCATTCTGACTGGTGTGAAATGGTATCTCATTGTGGTTTTGATTTGCATTTCTCTAATGATCAGTGATGTTGAACTTTATTTCATATGCTCATTGGCTGCATGTATGTCTTTTGAAAAGTGTCTGTTCATGTCCTTTGCCCGCCATTTAATGGGGCTGTTTGTTTTTTTTCTGTAAATTTGTTTAAGTTCCTTATAGATGCTGGATATTAGATCTTTGTCAGATGCTTAGTTTGCAAAAATTTTCTCCCATTCTGTAGGTTGTCTGTTTATGCTGTTTATAGTTTCTTTTGCTGTGCTCTTTAGTTTAATTAGATCCCATTTGTCAATTTTTGCTTTTGTTGCAGTTGCTTTTGGCATCTTTGTTATGAAATCTTTGCTTATTCCTATGTCCAGAATGGTGTTGCCTAGGTTGTCTTCCAGGGTTTTTATAGTTTTGGGTTTAATATTGAAGTCTTTAACCCATTTTGAGTTAATTTTTGTAAGAAACTTCTTTTTCTTAAGGTTTTAGATCTAAACCTTAACTTGTAGGTGTGAATTGGGAAATACATATGTTATTTGGTCTTTCCCGTTATTCTTTTCATTCAGGAATAGGGCACTTGTTCTTGTATTTGCTATTTAAGTCATATCGGCATGATGATAAAACAGGTAATTAAATAGTGATAGATTCAGTTAATGAAGTGGAAAGAGCACTGGACATGAATGGGAGTCATGTGACATCATAAGTCTAATGCTATTTCTTTCACCAAATAGCTGCTTGAGTTTAGGCAGGTTGCTTAACCAATGTGGGCCTCAGTATTCTCATCTCTAAAATTATTATTTATTTTGACTATTTGGTTTATTTCTGTCTATGATACATTCTATGATCTATGTAATGCTAAATAATTTTCTAGACTAATATTCATTCAACACACCACCCATCCAAGAAAGCAGCTCTATGGTCTCACTAAAAATGAGCCAAACACCCAGTGATTTGGATGTTGTCAGTTTAGATTTTAGAGAGTTCATCACTCTGATATAGTAATAGAAGTCTCCTCTTAATCCTAATTTCTATCTCTAGATTCAACCTTCCTTCTTCCTGGTATTAACTAACAATTGAGCACCTGAAGGTTGTTTAGAAGAAAGCCATAAATTGGCCTAGATGACTGTGCTCCTTCATATCAGCTTCCCCAGGCAGTAGAAAGGTAAAGAAAAGTGAAATAATTATCAGCTGTCTACTGTCTACTTGTACGCAAAGACTTGATGCCATTTTTCCAGTTCTAGAAAACTTTATTCTTTTTTAAAAAAAAATTTATTTTTTATTTATTTTTCCATAAGCTATTGGGGTACAGGTGATATTTTGTTACATGAGTAAATTCTTTAGCAATGATTTGTGAGATTTTGTTGCACCCATCACCTGAGTAGTATTTTTCCCTCTCCTTGCTCCCACTCTTCTCCCCAAGTCCCCAAAGTCCATTGTATCATTCTTATGCCTTTGCGTCCTCATAGCTTAGCTCCCACGTACCAGTGAGAACATACGATGTTTGGTTTTCCATTCCTGAGTTACTTCACTTAGAATAATAGTCCCCAATCTCATCCAGGTCGCTGCAAATGCTGTTAATTCATTCCTTTTTATGGCTGCATAGTATTCCATTGTGTATCTATATACCACATTTTCTTTATCCACTCGTTGATTGATGGGCATTTGAATTGGTTCCATGATTTTGCAATTGTGAATTGTGCTGCTATAAACATGCATGTGCAAGTGTCTTTTTCAAATAATGACTTCTTTTCCTCTGGGTAGATACCCAGTAGTGGGATTGCTGGATCAAATGGTAGTTCTGCGCTTGGTTCTTTAAGGAATCTCTACACTGTTTTCCACAGTGACTGTATTAGTTTACATTCCCACCAGCAGTGTAGAAGTGTACCCTGTTCACTGCATCCATGCCAACATCTACTATTTTTTTGATTATGGCCATCCTTGCATGAGTAAGGTGGTGTCACAATGTGGTTTTGATTTGCATTTCCCTGATCATTAGCGATGTTGAGTATTTTTTCTTATGATTACTGGCCATTTGTGTACCTTCTTTTGAGAATTGTCTATTCATGTCCTTAGCCCACTTTTTGATGAGATTGTTTGTTTTTTTCTTACTGATTTGTTTGAGTGTGTTGTAGGAAAAACCCTTCTAGACATTGGCTTAGGCAAGAATTTCTTGACCAAGAACCCAAAAGCAAATGCAATAAAAACAAAGATAAATAGCTTGGACCTAGTTAAACTAAAGAGCTTTTGCACAGCAAAAGGAAAAGTCAGCAAACAGACAACCCACAGATTGGGACAAAATCTTCACAATATACACATCTGACAAAGGACTAATATCCGGAATCTAGACAACTTTATTCTTGTTATATCAGCGACAAAATAGTGTCAAATCCTAACTACCAAGGTGCTTTTGAGAATGTTGCTTCATTCTTTGGGTGTTGGTTTATCCATCTGTTGAAAAACGTTAGTGACCCACGTTTTCTCTTTATTACCCTGACAAGAAATATGTTCCATATGAAAGAGATCATATGGGTAAAAAAACTTGGGAAGGAAGTCTAAAACAGGAATGGTAAATGGGTTTTAATTCATGTGACACCTCTGATTGATTGGTATTAGCTCTTGGAGGCCTGTTGTTGAAGAACATGAGTTTGTGTCTAAGCTCAGTTGGAAAGAGTAACTGCTATGGGTATAGTGTTGGAAGTGGCTGAGCACAGCTCTTGTGCCAACAGTAAGGCAGATAAGTTATTGGTGGTGATCAGAGGGTCTTTGCCTGAGCCAAATAAGAAAGGATGGTTAGATTTGCCCCCTTATCTTGTCCTCCACAAATTGCAGTTCAGTTAAATGACCACACAGTATTTTCCCTCAGAGTGAGGTGCCATGTGAAAAGCTAGTTTTGACTTCCATATTGCCCTGGTCAATTGGGAAGACTCTACACAGGGCTGTTAAATCAGTGAATTTGGCATGAAAGGGAAAAATTAGTTAAAATGGCTGACTCTGATCACTAGATGGTCATTAAAATGAATTGCAGTTTGCAGGATGGGATGGGGATTGGGTCTAGTCTACAGGGAATCAGTTGGAATACGCTTTCCATTTTGGCTCAGGGTCAGAGAGGACAGCAAAAGCTTTGGATATTTGCTGGCCCTATATTGGCTCCATGAGAGAAAAATTTAAGGCAGCAGGCAGCAGTTTAAGAAGGAGAACTCCATGAGAGTTTGAGGGTAAATAACCACATTTCTTTAACCCCAGCGCATAAAGGTGGAATGCATGGTGCCTATAAGGCCTGAGGATTAGTCCATACAGGAAAGCACATTTTCAGAACAGTGAGAAGGATTTAAAAAACTTTTTATTGAAGTATAATATACATACATACAGAGGAGTATGCATATTATAAGTATACAGTTTGATAAAATTTCACAAACTGAAAACCAGTAATAAGGCTTATTGTTTTGAAGTCATAGCCAGAGTGCAAACTATTTGGGGTCATGTGAATGACTTAATACATCCTAACATGTATGCCACTGTGGAGCACTATGTCCGGCCTTTGAGTAGTGCAGTGCTGTATAACTGAAACTGAAATCAGTTTGGTTTTAGGAGAGCAGGGTTCAAATTCAGAATCCACTGCTATGTTGCTGTTTACCTTGGGCAAGTCTTTCCATTTCCCAGTCTCAATTTCCCTACCTGTAAAATGTGGTCAATGATAATTCCTACATTATTTCTATCAGAGGGTAAAATGTAGTTACAGCTGAGAACATCTTTGAAAATGTTAAAGCATCATTTCTCCAGTGCCTAGCACAGTACCTGCCATGTAGTAATATTTTTTGAGTGAGTAGCACATAATAAGTCTCAAAAATGTTTGCCAAACATGATGAGAAGTAATTTGGCACAATGCACATCTAAGGCTTCTTTTAAGACAATTTTCCAAATGAACCTTAAGGTCAATTCAATCACCCTGAGCCTTTCAGCTTTAGATTTCTCTTTGCTCGAAGGGAAGGAAATTCATCCAATGGGAATAAGAATAGAAATAAAACAAGGCGGGTTCATAGAATCCCATGGTGTCATGGTAGAATTATAGTCTGAGATGGTTGGAAATGTTTCTCTTTTTTCCTACAGTATTCCCCCATGGCCCCTGACACTTACCTGTAATACCTTGTAGTTTAGTATTTAGGTAGTTGCTAGGCCTAGCTGTCTCCATGGAGACAAGGGTAGATTTGCAAGTGTGCTAGTTATTGCAAGTAACTAACGCAGCAGTTTATCCAGTATTTTCTTCTCTTTCTTTTTTTTCTTTTTCTTTTTCTTTTTTTTTTTTTTTTTACAGTTCAGAAGTCTTGAAAAAGCCTACTGTACTGTGACTTGTATAGAATTCACTGTGTAGGATACCTTCTTTCTTGAATTTAGTTTACTTTGTCATGGGAAGAGTGAAGTTTGCTTATAGAAGTTATGGCTTCTTGCCTGGAAATAGTCTCTTGGTAAAATGAAAAAATTTACATGTGGAAGATTTCCAAGCTTCACTGCCTAGCCCCTCAAAGCTACTTCAATAATATGTTTAGTGGAACAATGACAGATGAGAAATGTGCTTGACTAAGAATGGCCCCAGTATGGGAGACACTTCAGAGCCTGAAGTGTTTCCCTCATTAGTGTAAAGCAGTGGACTGAAGGCATAGTCCCTCATGGGTTCTCCATCTAGCTGAGCTTATTCTGGCCAGGAGAAAGTGGCCTACTTATTATGGTGGTTGATAGAATTGAAGCAAGAGAGAGAGAATGTAGGACAATTTCTCTCCATAACAAATCTCTCTCAAAGTGGAAAATGGACAGCAGGTGATGCCATCAAAACAGGCTTTGGCTTTCAAAGCTATCCCTTCATCTCCTGGACCAATATCTTCTCTTTTCCTTTCTGTCATGCTTCCCTTGATATTTTCACTAGGAGCAGAACAAGGTATGGCTCTGTAGGATCCCAATTACCCTTGCCTGTAGCTTGAATATAGGCAGGCTGAGTTTGGGACAGTGAAGTTCAAGGGTCTGAGAGCTTTGATAAAAATCTTTAATAGAGTCAAAGCTCTAATATTAATCCTAGTAATTTCAAATTTGCCATAATTCAGAGGGCTGACCTAAAAGTTACCTTTGTTCAGCAAAGGTCTTCAAAAAGAACTATTATGGAAACAGTTAAACATACACAGAAAGAGAATAGTATAATGAACCTCCATACACCCATCATCCAACTTCAACATTTATTACTATTTTGCCAATATTAGCAAAGCTTTTCTTCATTGGAATTTTAATCTTGGTCTCACATAGGACTGTTTGGTGCCTTTACATCTTTAAACTATTTTAGTTTAGAAGCTCCCCTTCAATTTGTAATTGACTTACCAATTACAAATAATTCCAATTATTCATTAAATAGGTCTCTTAGGGACATTCTGGGACAATACTTCCTTAAAGCATTTTGAGTCCAGTTTGAGTTGTTTTTACTTGAGAGTAATAAAGCTTGTTTCTTTTAAATTGTCCTATGATTTGGATTTTTCGTTGGTTGACACTGACCTCATCTTTACCATCTTCTGTAGGTAATATCAATTACCAAAGAGAGCTGATAAATTCAGGAAGAAAAGGTGTGTAGGCCTGAGTTTTGCATAATAGCTGAATTCTTCCCACTGAGGCACAATCACTTAAGGCCAGTATTTCAGGCTGCATCACAGGAAACCATTGTCCTGTTTTGTTCATGCAGAATCAGAAAAGATTCTGAATGGGGCCTAAATGAGATGGTGATTGTCCATTAGCCCTCCAGGAAAGAACTGAGTCATACTGTCCAAAGGGCATTAAATCAGTCTGGATTGTTGGAGTAGATGATTCACCTCTAAGCTGCTTGGATTAACAACATTATTATTTCTCTACCATCAACCAGGCTTATTATGCTTTATGTAAAACAGGACTAATGTGCTTGAAAGCACTTGAGGGTCCTTATAGCTTTCCAGGCTCCTAAAAATTGATACACAACCTTGTGTAAGTGCTTGGTCTATCTGAGCCTATCTCTGGTGCTTCAAAGCCATTAACTTCTAGCCTGTAGAAGAGAAAATATGACCTCCCATCTTTTGCTTCATTAGCATACTGGTATAAATAAGCTCAAACAACAAAGCATTTTATCAACTCATTTGACTTTTCTAGAATTCCACTCACCTTTGCTATCGTAAGGCTGCTGTGTCACATTTCTAATAGCCTTTAAGCCTGAATAAGGACGAGAGGACTGTGATGTCCTTCATCTGTATTGAAAAAAGAACTTCGGGTTAATCATAACACTTGACTGTGAAGCCCATCTACCAATCTCAGGGGAAAGTCTGCTTCCTGCAGGCCCTGGGTATCATGGGATATATAATTGGAGTCTCTGGGGGTCTGAGTTGATGTGGCTGCAAATCAATTAAGCTTAGCACTTTCAAAATCATTTCTCTCATCTAGGTGAAAAAGAATCCCAAGTGCAATATGAGTTTCAAGGCAAAAGCATCTGTGTAAATTGTATCCTAAAGGGTCCTATAAGACCTTGGTTTTGTGGAGACAAATTATTCTGTCATTGCTCCCTACCCTCTCATCTTTTCCCTTGTTTGATACTGGCTGAATTTGGAAGTGGAACAGGGGTATCAAAAAGAGACCTGTAATTCTTTTCTGGTTGAATGTGTAACTCTTGAGATAAGAGCAATACTCAACTGGAATTCTTGCAAAGTTTTTTTGGAAGAGTTTGACTAGTGATAACTGTTGGTTTTAAAGCCATGTTTGACAGAATTTATCTGTTTAGATTTCTCTGGGTCTCCGTCATTTCAATGTGGCAATTGTTCCGTGTCTCAGAAATATAATTCTAGGTATCCAGGCCTAGGCATTTTTTATTTCAGAGACTGAAAATGGAGAGAGAAGAAATATTGAAGATGCTATGGTCCTGCACTTTCATTTTTCAGGTCTGAAATTCCCCTCTGGTTTCTTCTCTCCGTTTTCTGATAACCTCCAAAGAGTGGCTGGGGCTCACAGAAGGAGGATCAGGCTGTTCCTCATCACTGCACTATTTTGCTTGCCTGCTGCAAGAGCTGTCTGTTGCCCACAGGGTGCCTTCTACTTCTCTCCCACTGCTGTCCCTAATGAGTCAACATTTCTCTATTCATTCCATTGTGAGATACTGCCTCTCTGAGGTAAGAGAAGCACTTGGGAGTTGTACTTGTTAATTCCTCTGGAAGAACTCAGTGCATCAGTATGCATTTGCTGCTGTATGGGCAATACAGCCAGGACGATAGTCCTAAAAGAAGGACTGCTTCTCTGAACTTTAGGGCCTCTCTCATTCCTTATATGCCATGCTATAGTGCAAGTAAATAGGGTTGCTCCCAAAGAGAGCAATCCAATGTCGTTGTTTTGTTTTTCCTCCAAGCTGGAGGTATTGGTGGTTGTTAATTTGGTAGGGAGTGGGAGGGGGGTGGGAGGGAGGAGTTGAAGGAGGAATGTAAGGAAATCTGAAAGTTCCTTTAGTGAAATCTAACCCATTTATTTTTCAGAGTTAGGAATGGAGGGAGGATTTTCATGTGGGGTGGGAGAGCCAGCTTAGATCTTAAAGCTCTCAATTTTCTTTCTCTTAGTAGATCTTATATGTTCTTAATGGGCCTGCTACTCCTATAGTGGCCTGATTACTATGTTTTCAAAAGTAGTTGAGAAGCCTGTATTACAGTTCCAATCCTCTCACTAACTACTGGGTCTTGAGCAGTTCCCTTTTCCTCAGTTTGCTCATCTGTAAAATTATGGAGTTAGCGTAAATTATAGATTTCTAAGACTCCTTCAAGCTCTCTGGCTCTCCGGCTTTCTGGCTCTAAATTCATGAGTCTTCTTCATGTCCAGTGGAAGGCATCATTGAGTCCCCCAGAGACTAGTCCAACAGGTATGTGGTATCTGTATTCACACAAACAATGAGTCTTTTTGAGCTTTTTTTGCCTATGAGCTATAAGATACAATAAGCAGAACTAATTATTTTAGACCCCTAACCATAAACTTGGTTTGCTAAATGAAGAACAAATAACCCAGTTTTGATGGAAAAGGAAAAAGCATTTGGAGCTTAATGGTGTGGATTAGATTCCTTAGGGAATGGCATCCCAAGGGGGATGTCTAAGTCCAACACATTGAGATGAACAGGAACTCAGAAGTCACTGTGGTTTCCTTCTGAGACTGAATAGCATCATCTCTAGGAAGTCTTGGGAAGAAGGAGCCCTCATCCTGGGCATGTTGGGGCATTGCCGTGTGATGCCGCTTGTTCTGTTGTAGTTGTAGCATAAATGGAGTTCAGTTAGGAGAGATAGGCTGGGCAACATTCAGAGACAGCAGCTCCTTCCTTTGTGCTCCTATAGCACATATTCTGTTTAGCACATTTCCCACTGCCTTAGGGTTATTGGGTAGATGTGTCTCTCTTGTGTCCCCCATAAGCCCCTAGAGAGTTTCTAGAATAGGAGCAAGTGTCTCAGGCATCTCTGTTAACTCCAGCATCTAGCACAGGGCCTGGCAAACGGGAGGTGTTCAATGAATCTCTTTCAAAAAACCTATTCTGAGTTTCCAAACTGGGTTGGGGTCTTTCTTCTCTACTCCCATAGCACCAACACTTCCTTTCATCTATCACAGTACAGAGTACTGATTACTGTATTCTACCTGCCAAGTGGCTTGTATCTCTGCTGTAACACCCTTGAGGGTAGGGGCTGTATGGTCGTTTTCTAATGCAGTGAATGCACAAAGGAGATACAAAATAAATATTTTTTGATGGATGTATGGAATACTTTATTGTTGCAAAGATTCAAATATTATGTCACAATCTCCTACCTCCGGCTTTGTGGGGCTCCTTAGAAATGTACTTCCCCCAGCATTTGGATAAATACTTTGTCTTTGTCATACTTTCCATCTCTATTATTTGAGAACCTAGTATATGCCTACACTACACAGAGATAAATTGGACAGATCCTTCCTTGTCAGGAAAGCTTTTGTTGATGAGGAACCTTCAGAATTAAAACAATGCCACTATGAAATGAGAGCAAAATCTTAGAGCATATATGGGAACTTCAATTCTAAATCAGATAGTTTAATGCTACACACTTGAGATTTTCCTCTTCTCCATTCTTTTTTCCATGTACCCCATTCCTGGCTGTTTTTATATATCTGGCTATCTTCTGTGTGTCTTCAGCCTTCATATTAAAGGCTGCAGTGTTGCAGCCTTTAGGTACTTTTTTTTTAGAAAAAATTATATTTCCATAGGTTATTGGGGAGCAGGTGGTGTTTCATTACATAAGTAAGTTCTTTAGGGGAGATTTGTGAGATTTTGGTGCACCCATCACCTAAGCAGTATACACTGCACCCTATTTGCAGTCTTTTATTCCTCACTCCCTTACCATCATTTCTGCCTGAGTCCCCAAAGTCCATTGTGTCATTCTTTTTTTTTTTTTTTTTTTTTTTTTTTGAGACGGAGTCTTGCTCTCTTGCCCAGGCTGGAGTGCAGTGGCACGATCTCGGCTCACTGCAAGCTCTGCCTCCCGGGTTCATGCCATTCTCCTGCCTCAGCCTCCCAAGTAGCTGGAACTACACGTGCCCACCACCATGCCTAGCTAATTTTTTGTATTTTTAGTAGAGACGGGGTTTCATCGTGTTAGCCAGGATTGTCTCGAACTCCTGACCTCGTGATCCACCTGCCTCGGCCTCCCAAAGTGCTGGGATTACAGGCGTGAGCCACCGCGCCCAGCCCATTGTGTCATTCTTATGCCTTTGCATCCTCATAGCTTAGCTCCCACTTATGAGTGAGAACACACAATGTTTGGTTTTCCATTCCAGAGTTACTGCATTTAGAATAATAGACTCCAATCTTATCCAGGTTGCTGCGAATGCCATTAACTCATTCCTTTTTATGGATGAGTAGTATTCTGTCGTATATACCACAGTTTCTTCTTTTTTTTTTATGGTGTTAGACAGCAACTTTTGTGAAGTAGCAGTGTACAGCAGCAGCAGAGGTACTGCTCCTTGCAGAGCAGGGCTAACCCGTAGGTAGTGTGCCCAGATTAGTAACTCAGGGGCAGTTCTGCATTCATATTTATACCCACTTTTATTTTATTTATTATTTATTTATTTTAAGATGGAGTTTCACCATGTTGGCCAGGCTGTTCTCAAACTCCTGACCTCAAGTGATCTGCCCACCTCGGCCTCCCAAAGTGCTGGGATTACAGACATGAGCCATTGCACCTGCTCCCCGACTTTTAATTATGTACAAGTTAAGGGGCATGTAATTTCTAATTTTCTAACTTCTAAATTTCTGATTTTCTAGAAATTTAGAAATTTCTAGAAAAGGGGTGGTAACTTCTGGGTGTTGCCACAGCAGTGGTAAAGTGTCATGGCACTGGTGGGCATGTCTGTGTTTTTTTTATTATTATACTTTAAGTTCTGGGATACATGTGCAGAAAGACCACAGTTTTTTTATCCATTCGTTGATTGATGGGCATTTGGGTTGGTTCCACGTTTTTGCAATTGTGAATTGTGCAGCTATAAACATGCGTGTGCAAGTGTCTTCTTTGCATAATGACTTCTTTTCCTTTGGGTAGATACCCAGTAGTGGGATTGCTGGATCAAATGGTAGTTCTAATTTTAGTTCTCTAAGGAATCTCCACACTGTTTTCCATAGTGGTTGTACTAGTTTACATTCCCACCAGCAGTGTAGAAGTGTTCCCTGTTCACCACATCCACACCAACATCTACTATTTTTTGATTTTTTCATTTTTTTTGATTATGGGCATTCTTGCAGGAGTAAGGTGGTATCACATTGTGGTTTTGGTTTGCATTTCCCTGATGATTAGTGATGTTGAGCATTTTTTCATATGATTATTGGTCATTTGCATATCTTCTTTTGAGAATTGTCTATTCATGTCCTTAGCCTACTTTTTGATGGGGTTGTTTGGTTTTTTTCCTGCTGATTTATTTGAGTTCCTTGTAGATTCTGGATATTAGTCCTTTGTCAGATGTATAGATTTTGTAGATTTTCTCCCACTCAGTGGGTTGTCTGTTTACTCTGCTGACTGTTCCTTTTGCTGTGCAAAAGCTCTTTAGTTTAATTAAGTCCTAGTAATTTATCTTTGTTTTTATTGCATTTGTTTTTGGGTTCTTGGTCATGAAATCCTAACCTAAGCCAAAGTCTAGAAGGGTTTTTCCAATGTTATCCTCCAGAATTTTTATAGTTTCAGGTCTCAGATTTAAGTCCTTGATCCATCTTGAGTTGATTTTTTTTTTCTTTTTTGAGACGGACTCTCAGTTTGTCACCCAGACTGGAGTGCAGTGGCACGTTCTTGGCTCAATGCAACCTCCTTTCAGGCTCAAGCAATTCTCCTACCTCAGCCTCCCAAGTAGCTGGGATTACAGGCGCCTGCCTGTTTTTGTATTTTTAGTAGGGACAGGGTTTTGCCATGTTGGCCAGTCTGGTCTTGAACTCCTGACCACAGGTGATCCACCCCCACTTGGCCTCCCAAAGTGCTGGGATTACAGGCGTGAGCCACCAGAGTTGATTTTTGTATAAGGTGAGAGATGAGGATCCAGTTTCATTCTCCTACATGTGGCTAACCAATTATCCTAGCACCATTTGTTGAAAAGTGTGTCCTTTCCCCTCTTTATGTTTTTGTTTGCTTTGCTGAAGATCAGTTGGCTGTAAGTATTTGGGTTTATTTCTGGGTTCTCTATTCTGTTCCATTGGTCTATGTGCCTTTTTTTTTATACCAGTACCATGCTGTTTTGGTGACTATGGCCTTATAGTATAGTTTGAAATCAGGTAATGTGATGCCTCCAGATTTGTTCTTTTTGCTCAGTCTTGCTTTGGCTATGCAGGCTCTTTTTCAGTTCCATATGAATTTTAGAATTGTTTTTTCTAATTCTTTGAAGAATGATAGTAGTATTTTGATGAGAATTGCATTGAATTTGCAGATTGCTTTTGACACTATGGTTATTTTTCACAATGTTGATTCTACCTATCCATGAGCATGGGATATGTTTCCATTTGTTTGTGTTGTCTATGATTTCTTTCAGCAGTATTTTGTAGTTTTCCTTGTAGAGGTCTTTCACCTCCTTTATTAGGTATATTCCTAAGTATTTTATTTATTTTTTGCAGCTCTTGTAGAAGGGGTCGAGTTCTTGATTTGATTCTCAGCTTGATCACTGTTGGTGTATAGAAGAGCTACTGATTTGTGTACATTAATTTTGTATCTGGAAAGTTTGCTGAATTCTTTTATCAGTTCTAGGAGCTTTCTGCAGGAGCCTTTAGGGTTTTCTTGGGAAATGATCATATCATCAGCAAACAGTGACAGTTTGACTTGCTCTTTACCAATTTGGATGCCCTTTATTTCTTTCTCTTGTCTGATTGCTACGGCTAGGACTTCCAGTACTATGTTGAAGAGGAGTGGCGAGAGTGGGAATCCTTGTCTTTTTCCAGTTGTCAGAGGAAATCCTTTCCATTTTTCCCCATTCAGTATTACGTTGGCTGTGAGTTTGTCATAGATGGCTTTTATTATTTTGAGGTATGTCCCTTGTATGCCGATTTTGTTGAGAGTTTTAATCATAATGGGATGGGGATTTTGTTGAATGCTTTTTCTGCGTCTGTTGAGATCATCATGTGATTTTTTTTTAAATTCTGTTTATGTGGTATATCACATTTATTGATTTGTGTATGTTAAACCGTCCTTGCATCCCTGGTATGAAACCCACTTGATCATGTTGTATTGTCTTTTTGATATGTTGTTGGATTCAGTTAGCTAGTATTTTGTGAAGGATTTTAGCATCTATGTTCACCAGGGTTATTGGTCTGTAGTTTTCTTTTTTGGTTATGTCCTTCTCTGGTTTTAATATTAGCATGATACTGGCTTCACATAATGATTTAGGCAGGGTTCACTCTTTCTCTATCTTTTGGAATAGTGTCAGTAGGATTGGTACCAATTCTTATTTGAATGTCTAGTAGAATTCTGTTGTGAATCCATCTGGCCCTGGACTTTTTTTGTTGATAATTTTTAATTTACCATTTCAATCTTGCTGCTTGTTATTGGCCTGTTCATGGTATCTAATTCTTCCTGATCTAATCTAGGAGGGCTGTATATTTCCAGCAATGTATCCATCTCTTCTAGGTTTTCTAGTTTATGTACGTAAAGGTGTTCATAGTTGCCTTGAATGATCTTTTGTATTTCTGTGGTGTCAGTTGTATATCTCCTATTTCGTTTCTTATTGAGCTTATTTGGATTTTCTCTCTTCTTTTCTTGGTTAATCTTGCTCATGGTCTGTCAATTTTATTTATCTTTTCTAAGAACCAGATTTTTGTTTCATTTATCTTTTGTATTTTTTGTTTTAATTTCATTTAGTTCTGCTTGATCTTTGTTGTTTCCTTTATTCTGCTGGGTTTGGGTTTGGTTTGTTCTTGTTTCTCTAGTTCCTTGAGGTGTGACCTTAGATTGTCTGTTTGTGCTCTTTTAGACTTTTTGATGTAGGCGTTTCAGGTTATGAACTTTCCTTTTAGCACTACTTTTGCTGTATCCCAGAGGTTTAGATAGGTTGTGTCACTATTATTGTTCAATTCAAAAAAATTCTTAATTTTCATTTTGATTTCATTTTTTACCCAATTATTCAGCATCAGGTTATTTAATTTCCAAGCATTTGCATGGTTTTGAAGGTTCTTTTTGGAGTTGATTTCTAGTTATATTCCACTGTGGTCTGACAGAGTGCTTGATCTAATTTCAATTTTCTTAAATTTATCAAGGTTTGTTTTGTGGCCTATCATATGTTCTTTCTTAGAGAAATCTCCATGTGCTGTTGAATAGAATGTATATTCTGCAGTTGTTGGATGGAATGTTCTGTATATATCTGTTAAGTCCATTTGTTCCAGGGTATAGTTTAAATCCATTGTTTCTTTGTTGACTTTCTCTCTTGATGACCTGTCTAGTGCTGTCAGTGGAGTATTGAAATCCCCCACTATTATTGTGTTGCTGTCTGTCTCATTTTTTAGGTCTATTAGTAATTGTTTTATACATTTGGGAGCTCTAGTGTTAGGTGCATATATATTTAGAATTATGACATTTTCCTACTGGACTAGTCCTTTTATCATTATATAATGTCCCTCTTTGTTTTTTGTTTTAACTGCTGTTGCTTTAAAGTTTGTTTTGTCTGATATAAGAACAGCTACTTCTGCTTGCTTTTGGTATCTATTTGCCTGAAATGTCTTTTTCCACCCCTGTACCTTAAGTTTGTGTGAGTCCTTATGTGTTAGGTGTGTCTCTTGAAGGAAGCACATAGTTGGTTGGTGAATTCTTATCCATTCTGCAATTCTGTATCCTTTTTCTTTTGAGATGGAGTCTCGCTCTGTCGCCCAGGCTGAAGTGCAATGGCACGATCTTGGCTCACTGCAACCTCTTCCTCCCGGGTTCAAGCAATTCTCCTGCCTCCACCTCCCAAGTAGATGGGACTACAGGTGCACACCACCATGCCCGGCTAATTTTTGTATTTTTAGTAGAGACGGGATTTCACCACATTGGCAAGGATGGTCTTGATCTCCTGACCTAGTGATCCGCCTGCCTCGGCCTCCCAAAGTGCTGAGATTACAGGAGTGAGCCACCGTGCCCAGCCAATTCTGTATCTTTTAAGTGGAGCATTTAGGCCCTTTACCTTTAATGTTAGTATTGAGATGTGAGGTACCATTCCATTCATCGTGCAATTTGTTGCCTGTACACCTTGGTTTTTTGTTTTAGGTTTTTGTTCTTTGAATTGCATTTTTGTTTTATAGGTCCTGTGAGGTTTATGCTTTAAAGAGGTTCTGTTTTGATGTGTTTCCAGGATTTCTTTCAAGTTTTAGAGCTCCTTTTAGCAGTTCTTGTAGTGGTAGCTTGGTAGTGGCAAATTCTCTTGGCATTTGCATGCCTGAAAAAGACTTTCCTTCATATATGAAGCTTAGTTCCACTGGATACAAAATTCTTGGCTGATGATTGTTTCGTTTGAGGAGGCTGAAGATATCCCTTCTAGCTTGTAGGGTTTCTGCTGAGAAATCTGCTGTTAATCTGATAGGTTTTCCTTTATAGGTTACCCGGTGCTTTTGTCATCTCACAGCTCTTAAGATTCTTTCCTTCATCATAACTTTAGGTGACCTGATGACAATGTGCATAGGAGATGATCTTTCTGCAGTGAATTTCCCAGGTGTTCTTTGTGCTTCTTGTATTTGGATGTCTAGGTATCTAGCAAGGCTGGGGACATTTTCCTCAATTATTCCCCCAAATATGTTTTCCAAACTTTTAGATTTCTCTTCTTCCTCAGGAACACTGATTATTCTTAGGTTTGATCATTTAACATAATCACAGATTTCTCGGAGGCTTTGTTCCTATTTTCTTATTCTTTTTTCTTTGTCTTTGTTGGATTCAGTTAATTTGAAGACCTTGTCTTTGAGCTCTGGATTTCTTTCTTCTACTTGTTCAATTCTATTGCTGAGACTTTCCAGAGCATTTTGCCTTTCTATAAGTGTGCCCATTGTTTCCTGAAATTTTGATTGTTTTTTATTTATGCTATCTATTTCCTTGAATATTTCTCCCTTCATTTCTTGTATCATCTTTTGGATTTCCTTGCATTGGGCTTTGCCTTTCTCTGGTGCCTCCCTGATTAGCTTAATAACTAACCCCTGAATTCTTTTTCAGGTGAATCAGGGATTTCTTCTTGGTTTGGGTCCATTACTGGTGAGCTAGTATGATTTTTTGGGAGTGTTAAAGAGCCTTGTTTTGTCATATTACCAGAGTTGGTTTTCTGGTTCCTTCTCATTTGGGCAGGCTCTGTCAGAGGGAAGGTTTAGGGCTAAAGGCTGTTGTTCAGATTCTTTTGTCCCATGGGGTGTTCCCTTAATGTAGTAATCTCCCCCTTTTCCTATGGTTGTGGCTTTCTGAGAGCTGAGCTGTAGTGATTATTCTCTCTTTTCTGAGTCTAGCCACCCAGCAAGTCTACCAGGCTCTGGGATGGTACTAAGGGTTGTCTGCACAGAGTCCTGTGATATGAACCATCTGTGGGTCTCTCAGCCATGGATACCAGCACCTGTTTTGGTGGAGGTGGCAGGGGTGTGAAATGGACTCTGTGAGGATTCTTAGCTTTGGTAGTTTAATGCACTGTTTTTGTGCTGGTTGACCTCCTGCTAGGAGGTTGTGCTTTCCAGAGAGCATCAGCTGTGGTAGCATGGGGAGGAACAGGTGGTGGGCGGGGCCCTATAACTCCCAAGAGTATATGTCCTTTGTCTTCAGTTACCAGGGTGGGTAGGGAAGGACCGCTGTGTTGGGGCAGTGCTAGGCGCTGTCTGAGCTCAGACTCTCCTTGGGCGGATCTTGCTGTGGCTGCTGTGGGGGATGGGGATGAGGTTCTCAGGTCAATGGAGTTATGTTTCTAGGAGGATTATGACTGTCTCTACTATGTCATGCAGGTTGTCAGGGAAGTGGGGGAAAGCCAGCAGTCACAGGCCTCAACCAGCTCCCACACAATCCGAAGGGCTGGTCTCACTTCCACCGTGCCCACCCCCCGCCCAACAGCACCAAGTCTGTTTCCAGGTAGTGGGCAAGCAGGGCTGAGAACTTGCCCCAGGTTACCCTCCTCCCAACTGTGAAAGCAAATGTGTCTTTTCTTCTTCCTTGCTTGTGGAGTCTGCACACTGGATTCATGCCCTCCCCTGAGTTCTGGCCAGGAGGCTTCTCAAACAGTTCAAATTGTTACAGAGTTTAGCTGGGGATTTTCTTCTCCCTGTGGTCTTTTCCCGGTGCCTCTGGCCACCCTCTTGAAGGGCCCCTGTGAGGCCAGACAAAAATGGCTTGCTAGGGAACCCGGTGAGCTCCCAGGGCTCTTCCTGTTGCTTCCTCTACCTCTGGATTTCGCTCAGCTCTCTGAATTGACTCAGCTAAAGGTAAGATCAAAATCTTTTCTAGGTCAAAATCTAGGCCTTCAGTTTCCCCAGTAGGGATGTGTGTTCGGGGGCGGATGATCTCCCTTTCCCACCTCTTCAGTTTGGGCACTCACAGTATTTGGGTTGTCTCCCAGGTCTTGCAGGAGCAATCTGCTTCTTTCAGGGGGTCTGTAGGTCCTCTCAGGTTTCCTGATTTGTTCCTGCAGTCGTTCTGAAGCAAAAACTCATGATGCGAGCCTCTACATGCTGCTCTGTCCATCCGAATTGGAGCTGCAATCTAGTCCTGCATCCCATCCGCCATGATCCCCTGAGAGTCTCTAGGTACTTTAGCAGCCTGAAGCCTTTCTGCTGAGAAATGCAGTGTAGGCTTTCATTGAGTACTGTTCACTTATGACACTATCAAACTAAATTCATGCCTACCAGTTGTACTGGAGACTTGCTAATAATGTCTTCCTCTTTCATTTTTTTTTTAACTTGACTAGGCACCAGGGCTGATTAGATCAGTTTGTTTTTTTTCCTACAATAATGATGTTTATTTCAGCCCTGAAATCTTTTGGTAATTTAAAAATGGTTGTTGTATAGCATTTGCACTGGTAGATATAACAATTGTGCTTTGTTGTTTTCCATGTTGTGAAACTAGCTAAGAATTACCCTAACAGTGACGTTGCCAATTCTGTCTCTTGTCCGAAAAAAATATGAACTACCCTTACTTGGAGATAGTAAATGCTGGATTATTTGTGTTTCTGAAAAGATTTGCCAGTCTAGGGATATTACTGTATTAGTTAGAGTAAATGCTAGGCATATCACTTCTTCAAATAATGATTCAGGGACTGAAACTCCTTTCATCTTATGGCAATGCCATCTTTAACATGGCATTCTAGGCTCTGTTTTTATTCCAGTCAACTAGAAGGAAAAAAAGAACATGGAGAATATTATATAGGAGAGCAGGATTGGAGATGATACATATCACTTTGGTTCATAATCCATTGGGCAAAAATTAATCACATGAATATAACTAACTATAGGGGATACTGGCAAATATGGTCCAGATACATGGCCATTCTAAGGAAAAGGAAACAGGTTTTCATGAACAGATAGTATCTATAATAATTAACTTTGGAGCAACCACTAGAAAGCTAAACCATTCCTTCTACCTGTTTCCTTTTCACTGGTGCAACAGAGCCACTGGGGAACAGACACGCTGCTTCCCACTCCTGTTGTCTTTTCTGATGTGTCCTTAACTTCTAGGTGGAAGGAGCTAGACACTAACCTTACTGATTGTGAAAGATGATTGATCCAGAGATCAAGAATCATTTAGTGAATGCCATGTTAGGTAACGTATTAGTCCATTTACGTTGCTATAAAGGAATACCTGAGACTGGGTAATTTATAAAGAAAGAGGTTTATTTTGGTTCCCAGTTCTGTAGGCTGTACAGGAAGCATGGTGATGGCATTCATTTCTGGTGAGGGCCTCAGGAAGCTTACAGTCATGGCACAAGGCAAAGAAGGAGCAGGTATATCACATGGCAAGTGAGGGAGCAAGACAGAAAGGGGGTGGGTCACAGATTTTTTTAAACAACCAGACCTCATGCTAACTACCTGAGAAAGAACTCACTCATCACCAAGAAGATGGTGCTAAGCCATTCATGAGAAACCTGTTCCCATGACCTAAACACCTCCCACCAGGCCCACCAACAACATTGGAGGTCACATATCAACATGAGATTTGGAGGGAACAAAACATTCAAACCATATCAGCTAATGATAAACTGCTAAAGAAAGTTGTATCACCTACATTTTTTCACTTTATCTTTTCCTCACAGGTTTGCTTAGAGGTAAGGAAACTGGGATCTCCCTCCGGTTCTTGCTGAAAGGAGACACTTAGCTGTGTTCTGAAGTATCAGCAGGCCAGAGCTGGTACCCACATGTGACATTATCAAAAGTAGAGATGAGCAAATATTTACCAAGCAATCAACATGTGCCAAATACTTGCTAGGAGCTGAGGACACAGAGGTTAATAAGATGGTTAAAAACAGTAATGAAATATCTCTTTTCTCTGATAATATTGGCAAAATTTAAAAGGCTGACAATAGCAAGTGTTGGTAAGGAGATAGGGAAATGAAACTCTTGAACAATGCTGATGGGAGTAAAAGTCAGTACAGCCACATTGTAGAGCAATTTGTCAGTGTCTCTTAAAAAAATTCACATACCCTATAATCCAGCAGTTTTACTTCTAAGTCTTTTTACTAGAGTAACACACATGCATACACATAGGCATGTAGTAAAGCACTTCATCATAAATTTCATGATAAATTTTTCATAATAGCAAGATCTTGGAAACAATCTAAATGTCCATCAATAGGGACAAAAATGGTTAAAATGGGGGTACATCCATATAATGGAAAGCAATTAAAGTGAATTACCTAGATATATCTATCATCATGGATATATTTCATAAACACTTTTGAGTGAAAGAAGCAAGTGGCAGAATGATGTACACAGCCACATGATATTTGGGAAAATGTGCAAACCAATACTGTATATTTTATATGGATATAGGTTATGTCTGTAGATGTATACAAAAAGATTGGAAGGCTACACATCAAACTCATATTACTGTTTGGTTACCTTTGGAAAAGCAGTGAAGGGATAGAGCATGGGGGTGGAGGTCAAGGGGGCTTTTGGCTTTACCTATAATATTCTATTCTGAAATAATAAACGGTATTTTTATAAGTTATTTTTAAGTGTGGAAAAACTGGAAGTAAAAGTGCCAAAAGGTTAATAGTGGTTACTTGTGAAAGTTAAAAAACTGGGTGATTGTTTTATTATTCTCTGTACTCTTCTGAATGTTTTAAAATTACTGGCAACAAAAAGGGCATATAGGGAAAAAACCGAAAATACCCATCGTCCATGACTTTAAAGAGCTTGCTCTCTAATAGGGGAAAGATAGGCATAAAGAGGTAAAGAGTGCTGAGAGAACAAAGAAAAGAGTCTCCTAACTTAGGCTCAGGGGTCTAATAAATGCTTCCTAGAGAATATGCCAATGATTTAGGCCTTGAAGATCAAGTATGAGCTTTCTAAGTGAAGGAGCTGCATCCAGGCAAAAGAAGGGGCATAAGCAACAGTGTGGAGATAAAGAGTAGCATATTGTGACTGGGCGCGGTCGCTCACATCTGTAATCCCAGCACTTTGGGAGGTCGAGGCGGGTGGATAACAAGGTCAGGAAATGGAGACCATCTTGGCTAACACTGTGAAAACCCATCTCTACTAAAAATACACACAAAAAATTAGCCGGGCATGGTGGCGGGTGCCTATATTCCCAGCTACTCAGGAGGCTGAGGCAGGAGAATGGCGTGAACCCAGGAGGCAGAGGTAGCAGTGAGCCGAGATTGTGACACTGCACTCCAGCCTGGGCGACAGAGCGAGACTCCTTCTCAAAAAAAAAAAAAAAAAAAAAAAGTAGCATAGTGTATGAGGAAACTCCAGTTGGTTTTGTTTGTCTGGAGTATACATTCTTAGGTAGGAGGTTGAGGCAGGAAATGAAACAATGTGGGTACATACAAACTGGAAAGGTTTCACTAAGGAACTTGAATATTTTCTTATTAGAATTACTAAGATGTATTGAATGATTTATCATGTGCTAGGCAGTGTGTGAAGCTTTGTACATGTACATCATTTAATTTTCTCCACAGCCTGTAAGAGGTAGGTGCTATTATTATCTTTGTTTTAGAGAAAGGAAACCGAGGTTCACTGAGAGAATCATGTATGTATTTGGGCAGTGAAATACTTTTTAGTTGATTGATTGAGATCTGGAGGTCCCACTGAGGAGATTCCACGCTAGAATGCTGTGCACACTTACGAGTTGTTTCCTAGCTGTGGGGATGAGTTTGCACTAAGCTAGTGATTCCTGAATGTTGGTGAGCATCAAAGTCACTTGGTGGAGCTTATTATCATTCAGCTCCCTGGGCTCCAATCTATAGGTTCTGATTCAGCAGGTCTGGGGTGGAACCCAGGAATCTGTAGGTTTAATACTCACCTCTGATTGTGATTGTGATGCAGGTGGGCCTGGGATCACACTGTGAACAATCCCAACACTATTGCCTTTTCTTTCTTAACATCTTTGGACCACTGGTGTTCATTTTAAGCATGGCTGCCCAGGAGCAGGTCAAAACTCTAACTATATATTACAAAAATTAGCTCTACTACCTTGGAACTCCATTTTGCTTAGATAATCAGTCACAGACCTAAATAGAAAAAGCCCATTGGCAAAAACTGTAGAGTGAACAGGGGCCTTCAGTTTCTCACCTGAGCTCTTCCAGCTCCTAGTGCTCATTAGGCCCAGGGCTAAGTGCTTGATAAATGTATAGTATACACTGCTGGGTGGTCAGCTGATTAGGCTGAGCATGACCATAAAGAAGAGTGATAAATTGTAGGTAAGTCATCAAGTTTGTATTTTACAAGCAAATACATTACACATATAAATTACTTAGAAACCAACTGGATTTGTGGGCGAGAAATTCTACAAATGGGATGCAGAGGACACAGTCTAATATTGCCATCACACATCACAGAAAACAGAGGCTCAGGGACTATCCAATAGCCTTGATTCAGAGATATCTCATTCATATTCCTGTCACAGTGTAAACTCTAACCTTTCCCCACTCCATTCCATTGGCATGGGTGAGTTTCTTCCGGGTCTCCTGGAAGAATGTTTATTTCTGTCTCCTGTGTCACTGGGAGCAATAGGTAGGAGCAGAAAATTCATGTTCAAAACTCTCCATTTCCTTCTCCTTAAAGCCTAGATAGATGGTTAGGAGATTAATGGAGCCTTTTGAAGTTGGAGATGAAAATCCTATTGAATCACAGCAGCATGGTCTCTTTGCTTCCCATGATGGTCCTGTATTCTTGCCTTTCTTTTGAAGTGATATCAATTTGACGAATTGGTCGAGGCTGTCATGTTTTACAATGATGTGGCTCCACCTGTTTGCCTTTTTAGGGCCACACTCAAGATTATGTTAATATAGTACAGCTTTAAGAAAGGAAATGGTTATTTTTTGGCTTAAATGTGTCCAGAATGTGGGCAAAGGATAAAAACATAACATAATGCATTGGTTTTTTATGTGCTCATTCACCTTTGTACTTAGCATTGAAAATTCTGACTAAAAAGTGTTCTTTCCCCACAACCCCTTTAATAATTATTTTGTTGAAATTTTATCTTCCTCCTGATACTGTGGTTATATCTCTTCACACTTTCTGGTCTTTTGTAAGTTCTGTGTCCTTTTCTGACCAAAACACATTTATATGCTGCACTCGCATGATGTCCATGTGACTAAAAGTGAAAGATCCAGTTAAACAAACTCGTTTGTGTGTGCGTGTGTGTTTCTTCCCTGTGGATTCAACTATTTTTCCCCCAGATTTTCTGTGATATATACACACCCCATGTGCATGAGGAGCAAACTATTAAAATGGGCATTAGAAATGATGGAGTCATGAGGCTGACAGAATCTGAAGCTATCTTCTGATACAGCTCCTGCATACAGGCAGGTAAATATTTAGTCTCTTTAAGATAAGTAGTCATCTTATCTCTTCTTCAAGGGCTTTACACACTATTTTGATTATTTAGTCCAGTGTTTTGTCTCCACAGTCAAGATATTCTTCCTCATGATTAGTGATGTTGAACATTTCTTTCATCTATTTGTTGGCTATTTATATGTCTTCTTTTGAGGAATGTATATTCAGATCCTTTGCCCATTTTTAATTGGGTTATTTGTTTTCTTGCTATTGTTTTGAGTTTCTTATATATCCTTACCAGATGTATGGCTTTGAAACATTTCTTGTCCAGTCTTTAGGTGACCTCTTCACTCTGTTAATTGTTTCCTTTGTTGTGCAGAAGCTTTTTTAATTTGATGTAATCCTATTTGTTTACTTTTGGTTTTCATTGCAAATTAAACTACAAGGAGATAACACTTCACACCTATCAGAATAGCAATTATCAAAAAGACAAAATATAAGTGTTGGATTAACATGGCAGATAGGAGGCAGGACTAGCTTGCAGCTCCCGCTTGGACAGAGAGAGCAGCATGTGGAGACTCACATTGTGAACTTTTGCTCCAAGAACTACCACAGGAACATACCAGCAAAGGAGAGAGAATCCACAGACCATTTGAAGGAACTGGATCAATGCTGCAGGCTCCCTGAGATGCTGAAAAACTGTAAGTCTGCTTGCCTTCTCAATGAGGAGGTTTGTGGTCCAGGGCAAGTACTCAGTCCTGGTCACTGGCTGCCTGAAAATAGGCTCAGTGTTGTTGGGGAGGAACAGTGGGAGTGAGACTGGCCTTTAGGACTGCGGGCTGTGAGGGAGTAGGATGAGGCCTGTGACTTTCCTCCACTTCCTTGGTGACCTGTATGACTCAGCAGAGGCAGCCATAATCCCCCTAGGAATATAACTCCACTGGACTGTGAACTAAACTCAACTCCCATCCCCCACAGCAGCCTCAGCAAGCCCTGCCCAAGGAGAGGCTGAGCTCAGACACGTCAATCCCTGACCCCACCTGGTGGTCATTCTCTACCTGTCCTGGTAGCCAAAGACAAAAGTCATAATCTCTTGGGAGCTCTATGGCCCCGCCCAGCACCTGAGAAACCTGAATACTTAACCAGGTGTCCCTAGGGCAAGTTTGCATCCTCCTTGTAGGACCGCAACTGATGCACTCTTGAAAGCGCCACCTCCTGGCTAAAGGCTAGCCAACACAAAACCAGTGCATGAAACAAAAACACAACCAAGGAACCTCACAGAGTCTACTTCACTCCCCTGCTGCCTCCACTGGAGCAGGTGCTGGTATCCATGGCTGCAAGACCTGAAGATGGATAACATCACAGGACTCTTTGTAGACACTCCTCAGTACCAGCCGAGAGCCTGGTAGGTCCACTGGATGGCTAGACCCAGAAAAAGAAAGACAATCACTACAGTTCAGCTCTCAGGAATCCCCATTCCTATGGGAAGAGTGAGACCACCACATCAAGGGAGCATCCTGTGGGATAAAAGAATCTGAACAGCAGCCCTTGAATACCAGATCTTCCATCTGACACAGTCTACCCAAATGAGAAGGAACCGGAAAAACAATTCTGGTAATATGACAAAACAAGGTTCTTTAACTCCCTGAAAAGATCATACTCAGCTCACTAGCAATGGATCCAAACCAAGATGAAATCTCTGAATTGCCAGAAAAAGAATTCAGAAGGTCAATTATTAAGCTAATCAAGGAGGCACCAGAGAAAGGTGAACTCCACCTTAAATAAATCAAAAACTTGATACAGGATATGAAAGGAAAATTCTTCAGTGAAATAGAGAGCATAAATAAAAAACAGTCACAATTTCTGGAAATGAAGGACACACTTAGAGAAATGCAAAAGGCACTGGAAAGTCTCAGCAATAGAATCAAACAAGCAGAAGAAAGAACTTCAGAACTCGAAGACAAGGCTTTTGAATTAACCCAAACTGTCTAAGACAAAGAAAAAAGAATTTTAAAAAATGAACAAAGCCTCCAAGAACTTTGGGACTACGTTAAACATCCAAACCTAAGAATAATTGGTATTTCTGAGGAAGAAGAAAAATCCAAAGGTTTGGAAAACATATTTGAGGATATAATTGAGGAAAACTTTCCTGGCTCATATGGTTCGGCTATGTCCCCATCGAAATCTCATCTTGAATTCCCAGGTGTTGTGGGAGGGACCTGGTGATAGGTAACTGAATCATGGGGGCAAGTCTTTCTCATGCTGTTCTTGTGCTAATGAATGAGTCTCATGAGATCTGATGGTTTTATAAAGAAGAGTTACCCTGCACAAGTTCTCTCTCTATGCCTGCTGCCATCCATGTATGACATGGCTTGCTCTGCCTAGCCTTCCACCATGATTGTGAAGCTTCCCCCCACATGGAACTGTAAGTCCATTACCCCCCCCCACCTTTTTTTTAATTGCTCAGTCTCAGGTATGTCTTTATCAGCAGCATGAAAATGAACTAACACTGGCCTTGCTAGAGATCTAGACATCCAAATACAAGAAGCTCAAAGCACACCTGGGAAATTCATGGTAAAAATATCATTGCCTAGGCACATAGTCATCAGGTTATCTAAAGTCAAGATGAAGGAAAGAACCTTAAAAGCTGTGAGGCAAAAGCATCAGGTAACATATAAAGGAAAACCTATCAGATTAACAGCAGATTTCTCAGCAGAAACCCTATAACCTAGAAGTGATTGGGGTTCTATATTCAGCTTCCTTAAACAAAACAATTATCAGTGAAGAATTTTGTATCCAGTGAAAGTAAGCCTCATAAATGAAGGAAAGATGCAGTCTTTTCCAGACAAGCAAATGCTGAGAGAATTCACCACTACCAAGCCAGCACTACAAGAACTGCTAAAAGGGGCTCTAAATCTTGAAATAAATCCTCAAGATACACCAAAATAGAACCTCCTTAAAGCATAAACCTCACAGGACTTATATAACAAAAACACACTTTAAAAAACCAATGTGTTCAGGCAACAAATAGCATGATGAATAGAATAGTACGTCACATCTCAATACTAACATTGAATGTAAATGGACTAAACACTCCACTTAAAAGATACAGAATAACAGAATGGATAAGAATTCGCCAACCAAGTTGCTGCCTTCTTCAGGAGACTCACCTAACACATAAGGACTCACATAAACTTAAGGTGGGAAAAGATATTCCATGCAAATGGATATCAAAAGTGAGCAGGAGTAGCTATTCTTGTATCAGACAAAACAAACATTAAAGCAACAGCAGTTAAAAAGAAACAAAGAGGGACATTATATAATGATAAAAGGACTAGTCAACAGGAAAATATCACAATTCTAAATATATATGCACTTAACACTGGAGCTCCCAAATTTATAAAACAATTACTACTAGACCTAAGAAATGAGATAGCAATACAATAATATTGTGGGACTTCAATACTCCAACGACAGCACTAGACAGGTCATCAAGACAGAAGGTCAACAAAGAAACAGTGAACTTACACTATACCCTAAAGCAAATGGGCTTAACAGCTACCTATAGAACATTATGCCCAACAACTGCAGAATATACATTCTGTTCATCAGCACATGGAACATTCTCCAAGATAGACCATATGATAGCCTACAAAACAAGTCTCAGTAAATTTAAGGAAATCAAAATTACGTCAAGTACTTTCTCAGACCACAATGGAATAAAACTGGAAATCAACTCCAAAAGAAACGCTGCAAACCATGCAAATACATGGAAATTAAATAACCTGCTCCTGAATGATCATTGGGTCAACAATGAAATCAAGATGGAAATTTAAAAATTACTTGAACTGAACGATAATTGTGACACAACCTATCCAAACCTCTGGGATACAGAAAAAGCAGTGCTAAGAGGAAAGTTCATAGAATTAAATGCCTACATAAAAAAAGTCTGAAAGAGCACAAATAGACAATCTAAGGTCACACCTCAAGGAACTAGAGAAACAAGAACAAACCAAACCCAAACCCAGCAGCAGAAAAGAGATAACAAAGATCAGAGCAGAACTAAGTGAAATTGAAACAAAAACATACAAAAGATAAACGAAACAAAAAGCTGGTTCTTTGAAAAGATAAACAAAATTGATAGAACATTAGCGAGACTAACCAAGAAATGAAGAGAGAAAATCCAAATAAACTCAATTAGAAACATAACTTTTTATTTTTATTTTTATTTATTTTTCAATTTTTAAGTTCAAGGGTACATGTGCAGGTTTATTAATAAACCCATGTCGTGGGGTTTTATTGTACAGATTATTTCATCGCCCATGTATTAAGCCTAGTACGCTTTGTTATTTTTCCTGATCCTCTTCCTCTTCCCAGCCTCCACCCTCTTAGGCTCCAGTGTCTGTTGTTCCGCTCTATGTGTCCATGTGTTCTCATCACTTAGCTCCCCTGTATAAGTGAGAACATAAAGTATTTGATTTTCTGTTCCTGCGTTAGTTTGCTAAGTATAGTGGCCTCCAACTTCATCCATTTTCCTGCAAAGGACATGATCTCATTCTTTTTATGGCTGTATTGTATTCCACGGTGTATATGTACCACATTTTCTCTACCTAGTCTTCCAGTGAAGGGTATTTAGGTTGATTCCATGTCTTTGCTATTGTGAATAATGCTGCAATGAATACACATGTGCATGTGTCTCTATAATAGAATGATTTATATTTCTTTTGGTGAATACTCAGTAAAGGGATTGCTGGGTGAAATGGTAGTTCTGTTTTCAGCTCTTTGAGGAATTGCCACACTGCTTTTCACAATAGTTGAACTAATTTACACTCCCAGCAACAGAATATAAGCATTTCCTTTTCTCCCCAACCTTGTCAGCATCTATTTTTTTGATTTTTTAGCAATGGCCATTCTGACAGGTATGAGATGGTATCTCATTGTGGTTTTGATGTGCATTTCTTTAATGATCAGTGATGTTGGCCTTTTTCCTGTGTTTTTTGGCCACGTGTATGTCTTCCTTTGAAAAGTGTCTGTTCCTGTCTTTTGCCCACTTTTTAATGTGGTTGTTTCTTTCTTGTAAATTTGTTTAAGTTATTTATAGATGCTGGATGTTAGACCTTTGTCAGATATACAGTCTGCAAAATTTTTTTCCCATTCTGTAGATTGTCTGTGTATTCTGTTGATAGTTTCTTTTGCTGTGCAGAGCAGAAGTTCTTTAGTTTAGTTAGATCTCATTTGCCAATTTTTGCTTTTGTTGCAATTGCTTTTGGCATCTGCGTCATGAAATGTTTGCCTGTTCTGATATCCATAATGGTATTGCCTGGGTTGTCTTCCAGGGTTTTTATAGTTTGGGGTTTTACATTTAAGTATTTAGTCTATCTTGAGTTTATTTTTGTATACAGTGTAAGAAAGGGGTCTAGTTTCCTTTTTTTTTTTTTTTGAGATGGAGTCTTGCTCTGTCGCCCAGCCTGGAGTGCAGTGGTGTGATCTCCGCTCACTGTAGCTCTGCCTCCCGAGTTCACACCATTCTCCTGCCTCAGCCTCCCGAGTAGCTGGGACTACAGGCACCAGCCACCATGCCCGGCTAATTTTTTGTATTTTCAGTAGAGATGGGTTTCACCATGTTAGCCAGGATGGTCTCGATCTCCTGTCTTTGTGATCCACCCGCCTTGGCCTCCCAAAGTGCTGGGATTACATGCATGAGCCACCACACCCGGCCAGAAAGGGGTCTAGTTTCAATCTTCTGCATATGGCTAGCCAGTTCTCCCAGCACTATTTATTGAATAGGAAATGCTTTCCCCGTTGCTTATTTTTTGTCAGTTTTGTCGAAAATCTGATAGTCGTAGATGTGCAGCCTTATTTCTGGGCTCTCTATTCTGTTCCATTGGTCTATGTGTCTGTTTTTGTATCAGTACCATGCTGTTTTGGTTACCATAGCCCTGTGGAGTTGGAGAGCATGATGCCTCCAGCTCTGTTCTTTTTGCTTAGGATTGCCTTGGCTATTTAGGCTTTTTTGGTTCCAAATGAATTTTAAAATAGTTTTTTGTTGTTCTGTGAAGAATGTCAGTGGTAGTTTGGTAGAAATAGCATTGAATCTATACATTGCTTTGGGCAGTATGGCCATTATAACAATATTGATTTTTCCTATCCATAAGCATGGCATGTTTTTCTGTTTGTGTCATCTCTGATTTCTGTGAGCAGTGTTTTGTAGTTCTCCTTGTACAGATTTCACCTTCCTGGTTAGCTGTATTCCTAGGTATAATATTTTATTCTCTTTGTGTCAGTTGTGAATGGGATTGCATTCCTGATTTGGCTCTCAGCTTCACTGCTGTTGGTGTATAGGAATTCTAGTGATTTTTGTACATTAATTTTGTATCCTGAGACTTTGCTGAAGTTTTTATCAACTGAAGGGGCTTTTGGGCTGAGACTGTGGGGTTTCCTAGATAAAAGATCATATTGTCTGAAAACAGGGATAGTTTCGCTTTCTCTCTTCCTATTTTGGATACCATTTCTTTCTTTTTTTTTAAATTTATTATACTTCAAGTTCTAGGGTACATGTGCACAACGTGCAGGTTTGTTACACATGTATACATGTGCCATGTTGGTGTGCTGCACCCATTAACTTGTCATTTACATTAGGTATATCTCCAAATGCTTTCCTTCCCCGCTCCCCCCACCCCATGACAGGCCCCAGTGTGTGATGTTCCCCTTCCTGTGTCCAAGTGTTCTCATTGTTCAATTCCCACCTATGAGTGAGAACATGTGTTGTTCGGTTTTCTGTCCTTGCGATAGTTTGCTGAGAATGATGGTTTCCAGCTTCATCCATGTCCCTACAAAGGACATGAGCTCATCCTTTTTTATGGCTGCATAGTATTCCATGGTGTATATGTGCCACATTTTCTTAATCCAGTCTATCATTGATGGACATTTGGGTTGGTTCCAAGTCTTTGCTATTGTGAATAGTGCTGCAATAAACATGCGTGTGCATGTGTCTTTATAGCAGCATGATTTATAATCCTTTGGGTATATACCCAGTAATGGGATTGCTGGGTCAAATGGTATTTCTAGTTCTAGATCCTTGAGGAATCGCCACAGTGTCTTCCTTTCTCTTGCTTGATTGCTCTGGCCAGAACTTCTAATACTATGTTGAATAGGAGTGGTGAGAGAGGGAGGGCATCCTTGTCTTGTGCTGATTTTCAAGGAGAATACACCAGCTTTTGCCCATTCAGTCTGATATTGGCTGTAGATTTGAGATATATGGCTCTTATTATTTTGATGTATCTTCCTTCAAGATCTATTTTATTGAGAGTTTTTAACATGAAGGGGTATTGAATTTAATTGAAAGCCATTTCTGCATCTATTGAGATAATCATGTGGTTCTTGTCTTTAGTTCTGTTTATGTGATGAATCACATTTATTGATTTGTGTGTGTTAAACCAAGCTTGCATCCAGGCACAAAGCCTACTCAATCATGGTGGATATGGTTTTTGATGTGCTGCTGGGTTCAGTTTGCCATTATTTTGTTGATGTTCGTCAAGAATATTGGCCTGAAGTTTTCTTGTTTTGTTGTGTCTGCTAGGTTTTTAGTATCAGAATGATGCTGGCCTCATAGAATGAGTTAGGGAGGAGTCTCTTCTCCTCAAATTTTGGAAATAGTTTCAGTAGGAATCACACCAGCTCTTCTTTGTACATCTGGTAGAATTAAGTTGTGAATCAGTCTGGTCCTGGGTTTTTTTGGGGGTCGGTAGGCTACTTATTACTGATTCAATGTTGGAGCTCATTATTGTTCTATTCAAGGATTCAATTTCTTCCTGGTTCAGTCTGTGGAGGGTGTATGTGTCCAATAATTTATCCATTTCTTCTAGATTTTCTAGTTTGTGTGTATAGAGGTGTTCATAATATTCTCCGATGGTTGTATTTCTTTGGGGCCAGGGGTAGTATACCCTTTGTCATTTCTAATTGTGTTTAATTGGTTCTATTTTCTTCTTTATTAGTCTAGATGGTAGGCTATGTATTTTATTAATTTTTTCAAAAAACCAACTCTCGGATTTGTTGATCTTTTGAATTTTTTTTCATCTCAATCCCCTTCAGTTCATCTTTGATTTTGATTATTGCTTGTCTTCTGCTAGCTTTGGGATTGGTTCACTCTTGGTTCTCTAGTTCTTTTAGTTGTATATTCACTACTTTAAACATTTATTATTTCTTTGCGGTGATAACATTAAAAATCTCTTCTAGCAATATTGAAATATGCACTACATTGTTATTTGCTCTAGTTACCCTACTGTGTATTAAAATAACAGAACTTATTCTTCCTATGATATGGTTAGGCTTTGTGTTCTCGCCCAAATCTCATCTTGAATTGTAATCCCCATAATCCCCACATGTCAAGGGGAGACCAGGTGAAGGTAATTGAATCATGGGGGTGGTTTCCCCCATGCTGTTCTTGTGATAGTGAGTTCTCATGAGATCTAATGGTTTTATATGGGGCTCTTCGCCCTTCGCTCAGTACTTCTCCTTCCTGCACCTTGTGAAGAAGGTGCCTTGCTTCCCCTTCACCTTCCACCATGATTGTAAGTTTCCTGAGGCCTCCCCAGCCATGCTGAACTGTGATTCAATTAAACCTCTTCCTTTATAAATTATAAATTACCCAGTCTCAGGCAGTTCTTCATAGCAGTATAAAAATGGACTAATACATCCTAACTGTAATTTTGTACCTGTAGTTTTTTCATTGAGTTGTTAGTAGTTTTCTTATTGCTGAGTTTTAGGAGTTCTTTGTATATTTTGAATAACAGTCTTTTATCAGTTATCTTTTGCAAACATTTTTTCCCGGTCTGAAGCTTGTCTTTTTATTTCTCTGACAGTTTCTTACACAAAGCAGGAATTCTTAATTTTAATGAAGTCCAGCTTATCAATTATTTTTTTCATAGATTATGCCTTTGGTGTTGTATGTAAAAAGCCATGTCCAAACCCAAGGTCATCTAGATCTTCTCCTGAGTTATCTTCTAGTATTTATATAGTTTTGTGTTTCACATTTAGGTCTATGATCCATTTTAAATTAATTTCTGTGAAGGGTGTAAGGTCTGTGGCTAAATTCATTTCTTTTACATGGGAATATTGTCCATTCATTTTTGCTCCATTGCTATTCATTTTAGATGACCTAAGATATTACAAAACACACACACACACACACACACACACACACACACACTCCACCCCACACCACACCACACAAGTATCTTCTCAAGTTGTGAAGAGCTGAGCTGTCCACTTGAAGCTGCAGGAGAGACACTTCAGACCCTGGCCATTCAGTCATTTACTCAGCATGTATTGAGCACCTACTATATGTTTGACGTCATGTTAGAAGGTGAATACTCATGGTGCCTAAGGAACATGCCTTGATCTATCTAGTTCATGGTCTAGAGGGGAAGATAGATGTTTGTACAAGGATGACATAAGATGTCAAGTTCCAAAACAGGGATAAGCATAAAGTGCTATGGATTTCAGGAGAAAGAATGATTAGTTAGGAGGAAGAGAGGAGGAAGGTGTGTTGGTGCTTGGGAAGGTGCTCAAGAGGAAGAATTTCACTTCCTGAAAGATCACGAGGAGTAAAGGGGTGGGGAAAGCAGAGAGATCACTGCAAGTAAAGGAAACAGTATGAACAGTGGTAGAGGTGTGTGTGTGTGTCTGTGTGTGTGTGTGTGTGTGTGTGTGTGTATGTGTGTGTGTGTGTTTAAGGAAAGGGCTAGATCATTGGGCAGAGTAGCAAATGGGCCTGAAAATCACATTGGGGTCATGAATACAATGCTAGGGAGTTTGTTCTTTACCCTGAAAAGTAGATCTGACTCCCAGGACAAACAGATACTACTTTCTGCCACCATTCTCTTCCTCTTTCCTAATCAGTGCCCTCCTTTGTCTTTACTTTTTATGTAAACTGGTTAACTTCATTTATTAAATCATGGATTTATGTTTACCACATTTATTGGGTATTTTCTAATGTACCAATGCTGAGTCTTTTGGAACTGTCATTTGTAGCTGGTGATTGACATGCAGAACCCAAAGAGAGCAGAACTCTCCATGGTCCCCATCCTAGTGCCTCCCCCCAATCATTCCTGTGCCCCTCTAGGGGATTTGGCCAAGACTTCTGGAAGCCAATGCCTTCCAGCTATATACAGTGTTGATATTCTGATATATTTGCCAAGACTCTAGTTTATATGCAATCATTTCTTCTCCAGTTGCCTCCTGGACTTATCAGTGGGACTGAAACACAATATAAAGACTACTGCCAATATTAAAGTTTTTGGCAAAGAAGTGTGCACCTGAATCTTCTTCTTTGTGCAGGGAGGTAGGATTGGGCACTGGGCTTGTCATAGAGCAAGCTGTTGTAAAGAAGTGAAGTGGATCCTGGAGATGGTTCTGTTGCAGTGGCAGCACACTATCTCACCAGGTGCTTAGAACTGGCTCCAAGTCTCTGGGAGGGGAACTGGTTGGCACCAGCAAACAAAGGAGGAAAAAAACTGAGCAGGTTCACTTTCAAGAAATACCTGAAGCGAAACTGAGAAAGAGTCTCTTCCTAGTTCCCACATTAGGGCTCTCTTCATGGGAAGTATATGATTCAGAATTCCATGGAACAGTCTCCATATCCTTGGTTATCTGCCTGAGCCTGCTGCCTGTAGATGCAAACCCAACCAGGATGTCACATTCCCTATCTCTGGTGTATAGTTGGTGCCTATCTTTATCCCTAGATATCCCACCCATGATACCTGATCTTCTCCAAACCAGGAAGTTGGCACAATCCAGAATTTCAGATTTGCTTAGGGAAATGTGTTTTCTTTCTCCACCAGACTTCCTCTGTCAGTCAAGAAAAGTGCAAACTCATCACAAGGGACAGGGTGGGATAGGGGAGGGACCCAAGGCTATACAACCTGAAGAGATTACCATTTAATTTTGGGAGTAGCAGAGAACACCCCTGAAAAAAATGTCTAAAATTCTCCTTTACAGTCTGGCTCAAAACTCATCACCTCCAAGAAGCCTTCTTTTCTATATCTCCCCCCATCACTACCCTCACTAGAGGCTATCTTGAATTTACAGGGATATGTGTAGACATTGTTTAGCTCCACCAAAAGCATAGGCCCCTTAAGGGGAATGTCTAGGCCTTCCTCAAGTTTCTAACACCCATGGTGTCTGTCACAAGGCAGGTATTTGGTAAATGTTTGTTAAATAAATCCCATGGGTTTTGGAATAACTGTTACCATTAATGTTATTTTTTTTTTCTACGTGCCTAGGTCTTGACTGTCTACATAGGGCCTTCACATCCCTTTTTTCCTTGAATCCTCATCATGGTCTATCAGGTTTCTGCTCTCATGTAAGGGCCATCCACGATGCTGGATACACTGCTGTAGACATAAAAAAAAATCTTTATGTTTGGACAATGTGCTTTTTTTTTTTTTTTTTTGAGATGGAGTCTCACTCTGTCACCCAGGCTGGAGTGCAGTGGGGTGATCTCGGCTCACTGTAACCTTCGCCTCCCAGATTCAAGCGATTCTCCTGCCTCAGCCTTCTGAGTAGCTGAGATTACAGTTGTGCCCCACCGTGCCCAGCTAATTAAATTTTTTTTTTTTTTGTAGAGACAGGGGTCTCACTATAATCCCCAGGCTGGACTTGAACTCCTGGACTCAAGGGATCTTCCCTTATTGGCCTCCCAAAGTGCTGAGATTACAGGTGTGAGCCACTGCACCCAGCCCTAAAACATCTATTTTTTTCTGATATGATATCTGCCTTTTTGATAATGCTAGGTTTTCAATTGACTGGATTTGATTTGCTTTGCATTCCCATAGCAAACAGTTCATGTAGGTAGATGCCCTTTATCCAGGTAATCCTCGTGGCTATTTCACTCCTTCCTCCCTTTTCTCACAGTGGATCTCATTAGGTAATTATCAGTTTTAGAAATCTCCATTAAGAATTTCTTTTCCACAGTTAACAACAAAGCTCTGTTTTTATTTTATTTTAGTTTTTGACTCCTGATTTTATTATTCAATTTCTTTTTTTTCATTTAGTCTCCTGTGATTGGGAAGCCTTGCCTCCCAAGACCAGAGTCAGTTGGAGCTGGTTGTTGGAAGGGAGTGGGTTGGGGAACTGGGATGGGGGCAGGGAGACCCCGCTCTGCTGGTGGTCCTAGGTGGAGAAGAAGAATTATACTTCACAGAGCCTGCGGTGTGGTGGGAAGGGGATGAGGCAGGAGCAGCAAGCTGGGGAGATGGGACCCACCTCAGTCCCCAGCTTCATTTTCTTCTAATGTTTCCCCACTGGTGGCTTTCTCTGCAGTCTTGTAGGCCTTCTTCTTTTTTTTTTTTTTTTCTTTTTCTGGGTTTTTTGACTTGCAGAACTCTAGAGGAGAGCCTTTAGCTCTGCATCCTGGACTTCCATCTCAGACTTGTAGAGGTCAGGCTCGAAGGGACCACTGGTTATCTGCATAAGGCCATCGAGCATCAGCAGAACTATACATTTAAACTGGGCAACAAATTCACCTTCCTTCTCATAGAGAACATTAAATAGTTTGCACCAGTTCATGTTTGGTGCACTTCACCACACCAATCTGAGCCTTCTTCTCATCTTCAAATGCTCTTAAAGTAAACGGCATGGCATCAAAACACTTTTCCACCTCACTGAAGAAGGCATGTGAAGTTTTCATCTTCAGTCCGTGCTGTTTAGAGGGGTCTCATTTGTAAATAGTGGTTCTCTGTCCTGCATCCTTGCTCTTGCCCTCTCCTGAGCTGACGAGAACATCCACAGCATATACTTCATGTACCGCCAATTCCGCTTTTTCATGGTCCTTCTTCTTCTGGTCTGTGAGATTCTGGATAATGGTTTTTTCTCCATCGATGACATGCTGCTTCAACTGATGTGACAGCATACCTTCTATTGGCGTGCAGTTAAGTGAGTGGGCAGCTTTGTTCAGGGCTTCTGTCACTTGTGTGTTCTGGTTTCCAGGTTTGACCAGGCGTAGGACAGCTTCATCACAAAGGTGAATTGCCTTAATGACATCTGCTTTCCTCCCTGTTACTTGGGTCCCCTGAGCTACATCAACCACAAAAGTATGAGCTACATTAGCGATGAAGCCATCCACATGGACCCCAAGGTCAATTTTTACCAAGTCACCTTCCTTGAGAATATAATCCTGGTTGCTCTTCAAAGGGGAGAAGTGACATATACAGTTATTTACTGAAATGCTGGTGGGAAAAGCAATACCTTTTCTCATTTCTATTTTTTTCTTGAAGATTTTCCCTATTTCTTCCATAATCATGGCATCATCTTTCTCACACAGGCTCAGTACCAACACACCTGAGCTAGATGCTTCTACCAAGGACCGTAGTACCTGGTTAGCGATGTCGCCCCCCCCCCATCTTATACTTGGTCACGACCAGGTCCTTGGCGATAGTTTGCTCCTGCTGCTTGTCCTTGTCCGACATCTTCCTACCACCATCACTGCAGCCTCGTTTTCTCTGAGCTGCCGCCTGTCTCCCTTCCCAGCCGCAGGCTGTGGTCAGAACCCCCTCGATCCTCGAGGAGAGGGCGAGCAAAATCGCGAGCAAGAAAGGGAGCGGGCAGGCAGGCGAGAGCAAAGCTCTGTTTTTAAATGAAGAAGTTTTCTTATTTCATTTTTAAATACCCAGAGGCTCATTCTGACAAGTTTTCAGCTTCTTTGTAGCTTCCTTGATCTTCGCAACATGACAAATACAATGGAACCTGTTCTGTAGTCCTTCCCTGTCTGTAACAGGGGGAAGGAAATCAAATAGGAGAGACAACTCAGAGCTGAAGGTTGTCAGAGAAATTAAATGTTCTTAAGAGGTGGTGCTGCGAATAAAGGGCGTCCACGCAGGTGTGCCTGACCAAGCTGATGGCTTTCAGGTGCGCATTGATATTTGGTATGAGGGAGAAGGGCCATTGAAGAGGTTTTGCGTTTGAACACCTGGAGAGCAAAGAGAGGGGTGTGGTTGGGGGGGCAAGCAGAAGAGACAAGGTGATTGGTGGTTGCACTCTAGCCTGGGTCAGGGATGAAGTCCAAGTCCCATAGCAAGATGGGCTACTGGAACAAGTGCTTTTCAGAAGCAAGGGGCGCCACTATGCTCAGGTAACAAAGTGGCACGGAGGGAGGAAGGGAAAGAGGTTATAGGTCAGATATTGAGCCTGGCTCACCTGTAACATTTTCGGGGTTTAGAACAAGAGTTCAACTTGGGATCCACATACCATATGCCTAAATATTTGAAATGTTTAAATCAACAAATACAGCATGTTTTATTTAATGGTTTATCTCCTTCCATGACAAATGTAACTTCATAATGACCTCAAAGTCCAGGTTGGGTTCTAGAATTCTCAGACTCCTCTAAGTCCTGTCCAATGGTGTGGGAAGAACTGCTACCCTTCCCCCTCCCGCTTTAGAAATATTTCAGACCTACACAAAATTGTAGAAAACATTACTATAAACATCCATGTATCCACTATTCAGCTTAAGAAATATAACATTACAAATACAGTTGATGTCTGCTGTGGTGCCTTCTCTACTAGAATGCCCCTCCCTTTCTTTCTGAGAGGTAACCACCATCTCAAATGTTCTTGTCTTTTTTTTTTTTTTTTGAGACGGAGCCTCACTCTGTCACCCAGGCTGGAGTGCAGTGGCGCGATCTTGGCTCACTGCCGCCTCTGCCTCCCAGGTTCAAGCGATTCTCCTGCCTCAGCCTCCTGAGCAGCTGGGATTGTAGGTGTGCACCACCACACCTGGCTATTTTTTGTATTTTTATTAGAGATGGGGTTTCACCATGTTGGCCAGGCCTATCTCGAACTCCTGACCTCAGATGATCCACCCGCCTGAGGGTGGGATTACAGGGGTGACCCACTGCGCCCAGCCGCAAATATGCTTGTCTTTCGAATGCACACTTTTCTGTATGCTACATTTGTATGCATCTCTTACATGCACACCTTTTAGTCTCTCTCTACTTACCCACAATCAATTTATGGTGGTCATTTTTATGTTTTCCTAGAAGTCATATACATGGTACTATGTTTGTATCCTTTTGGACCTGACTTTTTCCTTTATGCATTTTTCCCCTCTAGGCCTCAGCCCCTGTGAGTTCTACTTTCCTCCCCAGCCCAGCCCTTGCTGTCCCTTTCAGTTTACCTGAAACAAACCCAAGCTAGTGAATTAAGGCTGGTCTGACAGGAGGTGAAGCTCAACTTCTTTCTCTGTTGCTTGAAACCAGTGGTTCTCAAACTTTAGTGTTCATCAAAAGCTCTTAGAGGGCGTGTTAAAACACAGATTGCTGCCCCCACCCCCAGAGTTCCGATTCTGTAGTTCTTGGGTGGAGTCTGAGAATTCCCAGGTAATGCTGATGATGCTGTTTGGGAACAAAACTTTGAGAACCACTGCTTTAGATCAAAGGCTGGGCCCAAGCTCAGCAATACCATGTGGCCTCCAGGCAACCTGGGCCATCCATGAAGTTTTCTTCAAAACCATGCTCTAGAGCAGTATTGTCCAATAGACATATAATGTGATCTACATTGGGTAATTTTAAATGTTCTAGTAGCCTCATTAAAAAAATACAAAGAAACCAACAAAAACTTTAATATTTTAATTCAAGTATTATTTCAATGTGTAATCAGTATAAAAAACATGAGTAAGGCTGGGCGTGGTGGCTCAACCTGTAATCCCAGCACTTTGAGAGACCGAGGTGGGTGGATCACGAGGTCAGGAGATCGAGCCCATCCTGGCTAACACGGTGAAACCCCGTCTCTACTGAAGATACAAAAAATTAGCTGGGCATGGTGGCAGGCGCTTATAGTCACAGATACTCGGGAGGCTGAGGCAGGAGAATTGCTAGAAGCTGGGAGGCGGAGGTTGCAGTGAGTTGAGACCACGCCACTGCACTCCAGCCTGGGTGACAGAGTGAGACTCAGTCTCAAAAAAAAAATTAGTAAGATATGCAATATTATTTTCACACTTACAGCACATATTAAATCAGACTAGCCATATGACAAGTGCTCAGTAGCCACAACACACAGCTCTAAAGATGAGCCCCATCTCTCTCTTTCCAAAAATTGTTTTAAACTTGTCATTTTACTTGATTTTTGGCAGCAGTAAAAGAATTTCAAACAGTCTTACCAAGTGGTGGAAAGTAACACCTTTCAATGAAGGTATGGTGGGCCAAAACAAAGACTTAAAAGAGAGATTTGAGTTAGGATTATTTATTGAAAAATCTTCCCACGTTTCAGTTTATTCATTGAAAACAAACTTTTATTTTTAACTTGAACAAACACTGTCACATACATCCATGAAAGTTAGATGTCACTGGATATCACTTTTGATGTAACGAACTTTGGAATGATATGTGTTACAATTCCCACAGGCATCTGAAAAAAAAATAAAACAATGAACAACAGAGTCTTCTTTTCCTCCCAACTGTGGGATGAAATGAGAGAAAATAAACAATAGTACAACATTAACCAGCACCAGTGACTTTCTAAATAGAAGAAAATGGCCAGCTCTGTGTATATCTGCAACATTTGTGTGCTATATCTTAAACAGGTAGAGAAGCCCATCTTTTCCTTTTGTAACTCACGAGCTTGGATATCAGGGTGCTTGTGGAACTGAAGGTTTCAGTCAAATGATCACACCAACCTTGTCTGCCTAGCACTAGAAAAGCTTGTTGCTTTTGTTTTTACATGAGGGGCCATTCTGGGATTTAAATAAATCTCTCAAGCTTCAACAGCCTGTGCTGGTTCCACAAATGATACTCCCTTACCCTCCCAGACCCTTGGTTTCCGTATCTACCATGTGGGAAAGAAGCCGTTACGAAATATACGGCTGTGAAAATGCAAAATAAATAAGAAAGAAAGAAAAATGTTAACCATTTAAATATACTCAAAGACAGATATACCTTAAGACTTCATTACCAATTCAGTGATAAACACACATTCTTTTCATCTGACTGTGACATAAAATACCAAAATATATAGCTAAATAAATATATAGGTATTAGTCATTAATTGTGGTCCTACTTGAAATTCTTAGCTTTTTGCTATTTTTAAGTAGTCACTTTGTAAAAGGCATTGAGTTGTCTCCTAGTTACTACGGGAGCCTGCATTTCTGTGGTCAAGTAATGAAGGCCCAACTAATGCGTGGCCCAGCCAAGTTAGCGGCTGTGTCTGGCAACTGTTTTCTACACAAATATTGGTCCTGGTAGTAGGTCTGATACATCTGCCACTTGTTAGTAGTCTTGCAGCTAGAGGACAAAAGACCTCAACATGAACAAATGAGTAGCCAAGAAGTATATTTCAGAACACACTGCAGTTCATATTACTAGGTACATGAATATTCTCGTAACATTTTAAGTAAGTTAAATTGAATTTTTAAACTAATTTTAAACTTTTTCTTACTTAACTTACTGAGAATTTTTGTTGTTGTTCAATAAAACTGTCTGCAACAGGTAAATGCCAGGAATAGTTGACTGATTCTCAAAGCTATACACAGATACCTGGATTTTCTTGGCTTCACCTCTGCTGCGTCTAGGTCCCTTTGGAGTTCTTCACCTTGTTTTCCACATCCTTCTCTTTTTCTTGTTCTTTCTCTTCCTCGCCTGCAGCATCTTGGGCCTCTTCATCCCACTTTTCGGGCTGAGATTTAGTGACTTCTTTAGGGAAGAATAATACACACATGGGGACCAGACATTCACAGAAAATATAGCCCAATTTATAACTAGCAGCGGCATTCAGTTACTCCACCCTCAGGAGAAGCAGGATAGAGTTAAGTAAGAAAGGAATAGCTGGGCACCTTCCTACTGGTTTTCACAACAGTTCCATGGCCCTCACGTTGCTGCTGCTTGATCATTTCCACAGGGACACTGTATTTCCCTTTTTTCCAGTAAATCTCCCACCCAAAGCGGCTGATTATTTCTAGTTCTTTGGAGAAGAAGAGATCTGAATCATCGGGTCTGATCTCATTCTATGGTGTTTTGGTCAGAACTTTGTTGGGAAAATATTTGTTTACCTCAAAAGACAAATTCTATGGTGAAGCTCATTGGTTCCTCACCCCCTGAATGTTTCATTTTTACCAAGTGCTCCTGTATCACTTCATCATTTGGGGGATCAACTTTCTACGAATCTTTACACTTTGAAAAGCCATGAACCAAAAAGCACGCCTGCCTCCCATTTGCCTGTTCTTTTCCTTCTGTTTCCTGCGGAGCTCCCTCCTGAACCCCTATCTACCTGGCCATTCATCTGCAGGCTCGCAAATGGCATCGATGATCTCAGATCTCCTATCAAATATAGGTTGGTAGAGGGCGGCAAGTTTTCTCAAAACCATAGATGTCATTAGAGAATTGGGCTTCGACTCACTGGGACACATTCAGCCTTAAGTTTCAGGAGGGCCCCAACACCTGCTTCACCACCCGAGGCCCCGACCCCCCTTCACCACCCGCTTCACCAGCTGTGCCCGCACCGCAGCCCTGCCCAGAGCCCTTGGACACATGGATCCCCGCTTCCCCGCTGCTGCCGCTAGCCCCCTTACCCTCGGGGGCCACGGCCTCCTCTGAGGTCGGTTCCTCTGCGGCCGGTTCCTCTGTGGCCTCCTCTGTGAGCTTCTCCTCTGCGGCCTCCTCTGGGGGTTTCTCATCTGCGGCCTCCTCCGCGGGCTCCCTGGCCATCTCGGCCAGGTCAGCTGGCACTGCAGGCTCTGGGACCGACGCGGCCTCCTGGACCGACGCAGCCTCCTGGATCAGGCCGAGGCCCTCGCCTTCTGGGGCTGCAGCCCCTGCACCCAGCCTCTGGGACAGCAGCAGCAGGGGAGGGTTGTCCCAGAGGTTGGGCACAGCAGCGTGGGGCCCCACCATCAGGCGGCTGAGGTGACGGTTCGCTATCTGGATGTGGTCGTTGTGATAGAGGCGGCGGAGAAGGGAGTGGACCAGGTACAGGAACACGAAGCCAATGCCCGCCGCCGGGTACCGACGGGTGGCCACCGCCAAGTCGAAGTTGGCCGCCTCGTTCCCCTCTTCCTCCTCCTCCTCTTCCTCCGTCGCGGGCCCGATATCTGAGTCCTCCTCGGCGCTCCCGCCCTGGGGGACTGCGGCCAGGCCTGCCGCCTGCTCACCCTCCTCCTCCCCGAGGCCTTCCACGGGCCCTGCGACTCCGACCACCTCGGCCGCAGGCACCATGTCGCTGCTGTCGGGGCCGGAGTCGCCGCCCTCCTGGTTACCAGCTCCGGCCGCCTCGGCCTGTGCTCCCTCCTGGCTTACCGGGGCCTCCTGGTCCCCTTGGGTCGGGTGTCGGTCCCCTGTGGCAGACATGACACCAGCAGCGCCTCAACTGGGGTGGCGAGCGGGCTGAGGCGACCACGGTGAAGACGGTGACCACTGAGGTGGCTACGGCCGAGGGGAGGCGAGGAGCTGGCCGCTGAGGGAATAAGAGTCTTTCTCTTTATTGAGGAAATAAGAGTCTGTCTCAGAGGACACCCTAAGGTGGGAAGGGCAGGGAGCGAATCCTAGGAACCTCCCACCAAGTCTGGCCTGAGAGGACTTAGATAAGGCGGGAAAGATTCTGGTTGGCAGGAGACAGGGGGCGGGACCGGAAGGGTCAACGAGGGGCTCTCAGTGAGCCCTAAGCTCATTTGCTGAAAACTTCAGATTGACATGCTCTTTGTCCAATGAATGATCAAGGCCCTTAAGCTCTAGGACAACTCAGAATCCAGAATCCAGAGCTTTTCCTTTTCTTTTTTTTATTTTTATTTTTTCAGACGGAGCCTTGCTCTATTGCCCAGGCTGGAGTACAGTGGCATGATCTCAGCTGACTGCAATCCCCGCCTCCTGGGTTCCAGTGATTCTCCTGCCTCAGCCTCCTGAGTAGCTGGGACTATAGGTGCATGCCACCACGCCCGGCTAGTTTTTGTATTTTTAGTAGAGACAGGGTTTCACCATGTTGGCCAGGATGGTCTCGATCTCCTGATCTTGTGATCCACCTACCTCGGCCTCCCAAAGTGCTGGGATTACAGGCGTGAGCCAGTGTGCCCGGCCGAGCTCCACCTTTTCTTTGAGGCCTTAGTGTCCAGGGCTACCCTTTAGGTCCACACAAGTCCTGCCCTTTTAATTTTATGATTATTAGCAACACTATAGTAGTCCCATGTGGAGGCACCCTGGAGCATGGGAACTGCAAGGCGGTCACAGAGTTCACTTATTTCCACCTAGTAATGGCTCATGCCAGTAGAGATAGTGTCATAAAAATGTTATATAGTTCATAGCTAAGCAGTAGTGAAAACCTCCCAAGAGACATAAGAATTTCACTGAGTTAACGTAGTTAAAGCTACTTAGAAAAGAATGTGCAGAGTTGAAATGGATGCAGTCATCACTGAGTGTTGAGGTGGTAAATGACAGACACTGGAAGGTGTTTAATGAATCCTGCCAAATTCACTTCAAACCTCCAAATAATGGGGAAAAAAAGAGATACTTTTTTTAAAAGGACCAGGTCATCTCATAAGAGCTAAGCATCAAAAACACCAAAAGTGCCTGGGGGTGGTGGCTCACGCCTGTAATCCAGCACTTTGGGAGGCCGCACTTTGGGAGGCCGAGGCAGGCAGATCACCTGAGGTCAGTAGTTCGAGACCAGCATGACCAATATGGTAAAACCCTGTCTGTACTAAAAATACAAAAAATTAGCTGGACATGGTGGTGCGCGCCTGTAGTCCCAGCTACTCGGAAGGGTGAGGCAGGAAATTTGCTGGAGCCTGGGAGGTGGAGGTTGCAGTGAGCCAAGATGGCCCCACTGCACTCCAGCCTGGGTGACAGAGCGAGACTCAGTTTCAAAAAAAAAAAAAAAAATTAGTAATATATGCAATATTATTTTCACACTTGCATCACATATTAAATCAGACTAGCCGTATTACAAGTGCTCAGTAGTCACAACACACAGCTCTAAAGATGAGCCCCATCTCTCTCTTTTCAAAAATTGTTTTAAACTTGTCATTTTACTTGATTTTTGGCTGCAGTGAAAGAATTTCAAAGAGTCTTACCAAATGGCGGAAAGTAATATCTTTCAATGAAGGTATGGTGGGCCAAAACAAAGACGTAAAGGAGAGATTTGAGTTAAGATTACTTATTGAAAAATCTTCCCACGTTTCAGTTTATTCATTTAAAACAAACTTTTATTTTTTAACTTGAACACTGTCACATACATCCATGAAAGTTAGATGTCACTGGATATCACTTTTGATGTAACGAACTTTGGAATGATATGTGTTACAATTCCCACAGGCATCTGGAGAAAAAGATAAAAACAATGAACAACAGAGTCTTCTTTCTTTTCCTCCCGACTGTGGGATGAAATGAGAGATGATAAACAATAGTACAACATTAACCAGCACCAGTGACTTTCTAAATAGAAGAAAATGGCCAGCTCTGTGTATATCTGCAACATTTGTGTGCTATATCTTAAACAAGTAGAGAAGCCCATCTTTTCCTTTTGTAACTCACGAGCTTGGATATCAGGGTGCTTGTGGAACTGAAGGTTTCAGTCAAATGATCACACCAACCTTGTCTGCCTAGCACTAGAAAAGCTTGTTGCTTTTGTTTTTACATGAGGGGCCATTCTGGGATTTAAATAAATCTCTCAAGCTTCAACAGCCTGTGCTGGTTCCACAAATAATACTCCCTTACCCTCCCAGACCCTTGGTTTCCGTATCTACCATGTGGGAAAGAAGCCGTTACGAAATATACGGCTGTGAAAATGCAAAATAAATAAATAAATAAGAAAGAAAGAAAAATGTTAACCATTTAAATACACTCAAAGATGGATATACCTTAAGACTTCATTACCAATTCAGTGATAAACACACATTCTTTTCATCTGACTGTGACATAAAATACCAAAATATATAGCCAAATAAATATCTAGGTATTAATCATTCATTGTGGTCCTACTTGAAATTCTTAGCTTTTTGCTATTTTTAAGTAGTCACTTTGTAAAAGGCATTGAGTTGTCTCCTAGTTACTACGGGAGCCTGCATTTCTGTGGTCAAGTAACGAAGGCCCAACTAATGCGTGGCCCAGCCAAGTTAGCGGCTGTGTCTGGCAACTGTTTTCTACACAAATATTGGTCCTGGTAGTAGGTCTGATACATCTGCCACTTGTTAGTAGTCTTGCAGCTAGAGGACAAAAGACCTCAACATGAACAAATGAGTAGCCAAGAAGTATATTTCAGAACACACTGCAGTTCATATTACTAGGTACATGAATATTCTCGTAACATTTTAAGTAAGTTAAATTGAATTTTTAAACTAATTTTAAACTTTTTCTTACTTAACTTACTGAGAATTTTTGTTGTTGTTCAATAAAACTGTCTGCAACAGGTAAATGCCAGGAATAGTTGAGTGATTCTCAAAGCTATACACAGATACCTGGATTTTCTTGGCTTCACCTCTGCTGCGTCTAGGTCCCTTTGGAGTTCTTCACCTTGTTTTCTGCATCCTTCTCTTTTTCTTGTTCTTTCTCTTCCTCGCCTGCAGCATCTTGGGCCTCTTCATCCCACTTTTCGGGCTGAGATTTAGTGACTTCTTTAGGGAAGAATAATACACACATGGGGACCAGACATTCACAGAAAATATAGCCCAATTTATAACTAGCAGCGGCATTCAGCTACTCCACCCTCAGGAGAAGCAGGATAGAGTTAAGTAAGAAAGGAATAGCTGGGCACCTTCCTACTGGTTTTCACAACAGTTCCATGGCCCTCACGTTGCTGCTGCTTGATCATTTCCACAGGGACACTGTATTTCCCTTTTTTCCAGTAAATCTCCCACCCAAAGCGGCTGATTATTTCTAGTTCTTTGGAGAAGAAGAGATCTGAATCATCGGGTCCGATCTCATTCTACGGTGTTTTGGTCAGAACTTTGTTGGGAAAATATTTGTTTACCTCAAAAGACAAATTCTATGGTGAAGCTCATTGGTTCCTCACCCCCCTGAATGCTTCATTTTTACCAAGTGCTCCTGCATCACTTCATCATTTGGGGGATC